>NC_000003.12:191205574-192455574 GCF_000001405.40 Homo sapiens | reverse complement strand
TCTAATCCCATAAACACAATAAACTGTGTAGAGATTAAAGAGATCCTGTGTGCAGAAGGGGCCAGCCCTGACCATCTCTCTGTCTAAATATATGATGTTATCATTTCTATTCTGCTGTAGGTACACCATGTTGATGCAGAGTTTCCTTGCAACTATTTCTCTTCCCAGAATTCCACATAAGATTTGGGTCCAAAGGCTTCTGTACTCTCAGTTTCTTCCTGATCAAGAGTTTCAATCTTCTTGTCATCACCCCATCTGAGTTGAGAACTAGAGTGACAGAGTCATCAGAAACCTAAGAGGCTCAGAGAGCTTTTGATCCTCTTCTTGTCCCCTCTCCGAAACAGTATTTCTCCTCCAAAGAGTTTCTATGTCTGCATTTTATGTGGTGGAAACTTTCTGTACATCATATTATTCTTCTTTCCAACTCTATAGGCTTTTAATTTTAGGAAGTAATTGCCCACTCTTTTCCAAGCAATAAGTCTTATGGCTTAGCTTTGATGTTAGAAGTTCAGTAAAAGTAAATTTCTCACCAGTAAGAGAAAATACATTGAGAATTGGGGGAGTTTTTTAAAAAAGTATTCTCCCCATTTGAAATTAATAATTAAAATAATTATTAGAGAAAGTGGAAATATTGTAAAAACTGAGATGTCCAAGCCCACAGACATCCAGAATAGATGTTGAGCCTTGTAATGTCCGTCTTATTGTTGAGCTCACAATTGATTGTCTGGTTATGTACCAGACATCTTCTGAATGTGTCACCTGGCCTGTTCTCTAGTGTGACACCTTTTTCTCCTCAGATCTGTAGTAATTAACAATCAGTATCATTTTAAATTTTTGGTGAAATTATCGCTAATGGTTTTGTGTCCTTTGTCATTTTCTAAAACTTTCTTTGCCGTGTGAAAAGGGCTGGAACTATGTAGTCTGAGAAGTATGCCTTTGACACCTTGCTGTGTTTCTCTCCTTGCACCATGTTTATCAGACTACAAGGTTTAAGCCCTTTTTAGGTTTATGAAGTAAGCCTTTTATTCCTGAATTTTTTTTTCTCCTTGTACTTTTCAATTATTTTTCCTTATTTTAGAAGTATCTCTCTTTTTGAGTGCATAACATTTCTAGACTGTATTTGTACCAGACACTCCCCATGTTCATTTTATTCTGCTGACGAAACAGGAAAATCTTTGTGTTTTTGATAAGGACTGTGGAAATAGAACATGCAGGCCTTTCTTGTTAAGAGAGATGTAGGCTGGCGCAGTGGCTCATGCCTGAAATCCCAGCACTTTGGGAGGCCGAGGTGGGTGGATCACGAGGTCAGGAGATTGAGACCATTCTGGCTAACACGGTGAGACCCCATCTCTACTAAAATACAAAAAAATTAACCAGGCATGGTGGCACGCACCTATAGTCCCAGCTACTCAGGAGGCTGAGGCAGGAGAATCGCTTGAACCTGGGAGGTGGAGGCTGCAGTGAGCCAAGATTGCGTCACTGCACTGCAGCCTGGGCGACAGAGCTAGACTCCATCTCAAAAAACAAAACAAAAAAAAAAGGAGAGAAATGTAGATATACATCTTTAACTTTTTGCCAAATTTTGATTAGAAAGGAAATAATAGACCAAAAGTATTGCATGGAGAGAAAGAAATATCTTTGGTCCTAAATATGTATTATTTACATAGATATTATACTTATTAAAAATACTTCAAGTTTATAGAGAAATAAAGTTTAAACCCAGATTAGTTAAATTTGATTTAAACAAATGGATTTTGCTAACTAACTGATCAAGGCAAAGATCAATATGAGCGTGAAATTGGGAGACTAATCCCATGGGTCTTCATGCTAGGAGAGCTGAGCCCAAGCCAAGCAAGAGACATCCCCTCATCCCCCAATAAAACAAGCAAAAGTGATCACAGATCAGTACTAAATCCTGACAAAAAAAATGCAAATATTCTCTGAAGGAAAGCAAACATAGTTAATCATTTTCTAATAATACCTTAAAGAATTAAAGTGTTTTTACTTCCATTTTGGAATTCAGTTCCCTAGGAGACAAATAGATCCTCAGAATGTAAAGATATTAGATAGAATCAGATATGACCTTGAAGTTAAATGTGACCAAACTCTCCAAATTTTTTTTTTAAAAAGGGGGGGGCATTCTTAATGACCCTTCAAGAACCAAGAACTTCATATATTAGAATGGTCAGTTTCAGAATAATACAGAGCTATGTATAAAATATTTTAAAAGTAAAATTTATAAGTTTAGATATAGAAGGAACAAAAGATTTTCAAATGTGATCAAATTAGTTTCCCAAAAGAATCAAATACAACTTTTAAAAGTGAAAGATATAATTGAAATTAAAAACCCAATAGATGGTTTGGAAGTATATCAGACACAGCTAAAAGAAAGAATAAATGAAAAGGGAGACATATATGAAGTGATTACCCAGGTCATAATAATGCAGAGAAGGAAGGTAGAAAATATGAAAGAAAAGTTAACTGATATGGAGGACACAATAAATATCTAAGCTAGATCCAACTGGAGTCCCAGAACGAAAGGACAAAGGCAGTTGAGAAAACAAGTAACTGAAAATTGTCTGGAATTATGGAAAGATACGCATCATAGATACACAAAGAAACAGGCACATTAGGTAGGTTAATAAAAAATATGCATGTATATACAATAAAATATTTGAATGTCAAAGAAAGTATAGTGAAGTTTTAGAACACCAAAGAAAAAGAGATCTTAGGAGCAGCTAGAGAGAAAAGACTGATCATCTGCAAGGGAACAATAATTAGGTAAAGAGAAGACTTCTAAAAAATGGAAGCTGAAAGACCGGAGCAATACTGTCCACATTTTGACACAATCACGGACAAGGATGCTGAGTGGAGCCACATAGGCTGTGCACTGAACAACTCCAGAGGGGTGTGATTCACATAGGATTTAGTTTGTGTAGTGTTCCCTGGAGTTGGCCAATGCAGCATAAAATAGAATTTTGAACTCAACAAAATTATCTTTCAAATATGACCTGTAATTTTTCAGGAAGTAGAAGAGGAAGCAATTTCAGCCTCATATCATGAGACCAATAGAACCCTGTTACTAAAACTTGACAAAAATACTTAAGAAAATTAGTAGAGACTATAGCACGTAACACAGAGCCACAAAAAATCCATAATAAAACACTGACAAATCAAATCCATTAATGTATCAAAAGGAGAATAAATTATGGCTAAGTGGAGTTTGTCCTTAGAAAAGAAGTTTGGTTTATCATTAAAAACTCACCAATCTATGCAATTCAGCATATTAACAGAATAAAGGTTAAAATTCACATGGTCAACTCAACAAATACAGAATAAAAACATTTAACAAAATTAAACACCCATTCACAAAAAAATCTCCTAGCAACTGAGAAATATAAGGATCTTTCTCAATTTGATAGAAAATATGTACCAAAAAAACCTATAGCTTACCTCAAAGTGAATGGTTAAATATCGATGCTTTTCTGCTATAATTGGGAATACGGCAAAGATATCCATTTTCATTACTTCTATTCAATATTGCACTGGCGATCCTTACCAAAGCAAACAGGCAAGGAAAAGAAAAAAAAATCTATTAATGCTGAAAATGTGAATACTCCATAATTATCTATTCTACTTTAAGGCAAACATTCTAGCTAAAACTCTTTACGCATCACCAGGAGACACATGTAAGAATGTTTATAGCAGCAATGTTTAGCCTAGCACCAGTCTTTACCCAGGTTCCGTCAGTAGCGGAATGCATAAATAAATTTTAGCAAATTCACACAATGGGCTATTATACAGCCATGAAATAAATTAACTACAGCTATGCATTACTACATAGGTGAATCTTAGAAACAAATTGTTAAGAAGAAAACTGTTAAGTGCAAAATCCTAAATATATGTGATATTTACCAGGTCTTGACATATTCATTGTGTCTGGGACTTTTAGTAGTTTTTTAACTTTAGTGATCTCCTAAACCCTCAACATGACTTATCTTTAGTCCATTAAATACCTAAGGGTCTACTAATCATCACAAACTTATCTTTTAATATGGCAACCTCCTGCTCAATAGTCATAATGACATCAAATAAGTTCCTGGTACAGTAGGCTGGTTTCAGTTCTCATGGTTTGGCCATAGCAAGCCTTTTACAATTTTCCTGTTGTCAAGAACAATGTATTTTATGCTGTCAGACTGGTAATTCTCACAGTTCTCCCATTCTTTCAGCTGTCTTTAAATCTTGTCTCTTGATACTTACAATGGCATAGAACAAAGAGAGTGTTGGAAAGTCAGGAGACTTGGATTCTACTCCTGATCATTCTTTATACCTACTGAGTTAACCTGAGAAATTGTTATGAAGTGATAAATATCTATCATTGGGCACTGTCAATGCAGAAACCATTGTGTTTACACTTTGGGTAAAAATCATATCAATAAAGTAATTCTTGTCCCAGAGTAACTTACAGCTCCAAGAGACCAAGGAAGATACATATGTAGTCACCATACAAAGTAGAGCACAGATCATGATAAGAGAAGCACAGATCATTCTATGAGGCTTCCAGTGTTGGAGAAATCACTTTTCATTTTGTTAGTGGAGACTAGCCAAAGCTTCATGACTGAGGTGATATTGGAAATGAGTGTCACACAAAGGTGCTGAGGTGTGTTGAACATATACAGGAAGCTGTAACCAATGGAAATGCTTTGGAAAAGGGTTCTGGCAACTGAAATAAGTATAGGATTGACACATAGTTTGGTATTTTCCACTCTATTTTAAATTTGACAATTAGATACGGAGGCTAAATGATCTCTTCACTATCAGAAATTGATCAAAGATGGTGGCCAGATTGGTACTGTGGATTCTTAATCCATGAAACTGTTACATTTTTATTCAGATTCTAATATTAGGTGCCAACTTCTCTTTCTATACTAAGTGAATGACTCTTGATGATTATAAAGAGTAAAGCATCTTTTTGTTCAGTTTTGTTTATTTGGATGAATCATAACATGAATGCCTGATAACACTGTGGTCATTGTAATTGTATAGTTTATTTCATCAAAAGTTAGGATGTTAATCTACTCAGTATCCTGTGTTGAGTTTTATTTGGTATCCTATGTTCGGTTCTATCTATGTTTAGTATTACTGGTGGCTTCCCAAATTTGCTACATGATTAAAATTGGATATATTGTCAGTCTCCACTTTTTGCTCCTTAAAAGGATCTGCAGACCTATTTCTGTGTAATGGGTAGTCCTGGTTTGGTACATAGTATGATATGATGCTTTTGTCTTTGAGTCTCTAAGAAAATGAGTTGGAAGGAGATTGCTATAAAATGACACTGAGGTTATTTTATTATATTAGGTGTTTCTTCCCTTCTTCTCCAGTAGTTTTTATTCCTGGAAAGGGTATCTTGGTGCAGTGGGAAAAATGGGATTTTTAGATTTAGAAGGTCTTGGTTTTGGTCTTGGCTTTGTCTCTGCTACTCTTGGATTTCATCATCTTGAAAGATGGTGTATCAATTGTGGTCAACTCAGGAGACAGAAACCTCACAGTAATTTGAAAAGTGAGAGTTTAATATAAGAATTATTCATTGTAATGTGGATTGAAGTAACAGAAAATTGGCTAGTAAGAAGTACAAAGAATTCTATAGGATGCAGCAATAGTATATATAAATATCAGCTGCTGTCATAAGGCTGAGATACAGTGTCAAGGAGGAGCCCTCTAACCCCACCTCAGGCTGAGATCCAGACTCCCTTGGAGAGGGCATGCCCATGGCTGATTATGAATTATTGAAAAGTCATCAAAGTGCCTCACTTCTGAGACTTGCTGGAAACCTGCCTTCTGGGGTACAGAAAAGCAATCCATAGGGAGGTGTTGCCCTCAAGCCTTGCTGCAGAGTTGCCAGAGTCAGTGCTGGGTGCAACCGTTTTCTGCTGGGCACTGTTGGTCACCAGATGCTACAAGAACCAAGGGATAGAGAAGCCTTCGTCTGTAGGAATGGGGCGTTGGAGAAACTGCATTCTAGAGGGGTCCAATGCTTAAGAATGCATAAGCCCTGCAGGAAGTGAGCCCTGGCAGGTGCACAGGAGCTTACCCGACAGCAGGGTGCTGTGGAACCTGGGATGCATGGTGTCCACATTGGGAGATCCATGGCAAGATGATCACTGAGCTGAAACTGGGGACGCAAGCTTACCAAGGGGCTTCACATTCTGGGTCTGTGAGCACCACAATTTGTGAGTATTCCCCTCACAAATTAGCTGCTGACGGCCATCCAAAACAAATAACAAGAAAATCAATATAGAAGTAAACTGGAAGCAGGGAGAGAAACCACTTCCTCCAGCACCCTCTAGTGACAAAGCTTAATATTGTGTTTGCTGCAAAGAACAGAGACTTAAAGGGTTCAAGGCCATTGTTGCCAAGTAGGTAATGAAGGATGGATTTGAACTGAGACACAATAAATTGATAACTTGCATAGAGGAAGGGACAGATCCCCGCAGGTATCGGAAGGACTGAATGAGATTTGATTTTAAAAGCCTTTGTGTACACTAAAACAGAATACAAAAATATACTGTTGCTATAGTTATGATTCACTGTAATTAAACATGATACTGACATAAATGTACAGTGCCAGAGTTGGATCAGACTGATTCTGCTGCAGCAAGTCTGCTGTTCTTGTTTTTAGGGAATTTATTTTAAGATTATATTTGGGAAATATTGCACCTGAATTTAAACTTATTTGGGTCTTCTAAGCTAAACTGTATGGCATATTGGTGGCCATTCATCAGTATAAAAAATAATATTTATTGAAATCTAATGATATGCCAGAATACATTTACTCATGCTGATATTTATATTACTGGCCCTGTTTTTAAAATGAGGAGCTGAGGTAAAGTAGTTTTCTAAGACCATACAGAAGGAAATAATCCAGGAATCAGTTCCAGGTTTTTCAGATTCTACAACCTGTGCCTCTAACTTAGAATTGAAGCATAGTATCACTCAAGCCTAGTATACTGTCAAAGTGCCGTCACTTGGGCAAAATGCATATTTGCTTTGGACCTTTCATGTCTCTGTCCTGCTTACAGTTCTGGTATATTGTTACCCCTCCCTCCCAATTTTCAGGGGGATGTTTTTCTTTTATATTTAGTTGCTTTTCAATAACTCACACATTTGACACTAGGAGTAAATAATAGATAAGCAGAAATTGATTTAGAGTTGGTTGTCTAGCTCTAACATCAGAAAATGAATTTTTTGCAGAGTGCAGAACAACTAAGGCATGTTCAAAAGAAAACAGTTTTCCACATCCTTGGTAGATTTCTGCAGCTCATTTCATTAAGAGGTGTTTTATGCTAACAGTATGACTAGACTGAAGCATGGCTAATAACAGGAACTGAATTTAATAGCTGCAAGGTAGAAATAACCCAAGTGTCCTTCCGTGGCTTGGATGGAGTGTAGTACATATAAATGTGTGCTTATATGTGTATGTGTATACACACATATATATATGAAAATACTTTGAAGAAATGAAAATGAATAAACTACTTATACAAAAGCTTGGATGAATTTCAAAGACATAACATTGGGCGAAAGAAGTCAGGCAAAAAGGGCTGTGAAGTTCAGAAACTGGCGAAACGAATTTATGGTGCTAAAAGTCAGAATGATAATTACCTTTGGGGGTATTGCCTGAGAAGGGACATATAGGAGACTTTGGGATGCTGCTGTGTCAAATACTTGATCTGCGTGGTAGCTATGTAAGAGTAGACATTTGTCAGTTTCATAGAGAAAAGATTTGTGTGCTTGATCTATGTAATATTTTCAATAAAACATTTATGGGTAAAACTTAAGTTTTTAAAAATGGGAAAATGATAAGTATACTGTGTAATGGTAAAATGATTTAATGTTAAGTAGTCATTACGTAAGTTTACTAAAAAATTTTACGTGATGAGAAAAGAGTGCTTAGGTTACAGCGTTGAGAGGAAACAGATTAGAGTCCAAGTCTGAATGCACTGTATTATTGCCACTATGTAAACCAAATGTCTAGAAAATTTGTAGAAAAAAATGCATCAAATGTTAGCAGTACTACAGAAATGGGTGATTTTTCTTTTTACTTCACTAAGTTTTTTCAGATTTCCTGCAATAAACGTATAAACACTTTTAATAATCAGCTGTACTAATTATTGAAAAAAAATGAGTATTTGGAGAGCGTCTTCATCTTTAAAGACCCCAATGTTTCCCATTACCTAATGCTCAAGTACTCTAGAAAATGGCACCAATCTGAGTCTGTATCCTGGATTCTCCCTCCTTCTACAAATATTCCCTGTGCCTTGAGCAAATTGGGTTTTCTCTTTTGTTGTTGTTAATTCATTAAACAGTTTTCAAGCATCGGTTATCAGCCAAGCACTCTAGGAACACAGCAACAAATGAGTGGCTGTGATTTCCTTTCCCTTGATTACTATTTCCTCTACTGGGGAAGACAATAAATAAGCGATTGTCTTAAAGACTGATTAGGTTGAAGATGGGAAAAAATTAAGAGTATTAGGAAAGTTTATCTACAAGGGAGATCACATCCAATCTAAAGGTGCAGTATTATTGCTGCTAAAGTTTTGTTTAAGCAAAGACTAAAAAGATGAATAGAAATCTGCCAAATGTAAAAGGACAGGACACGTGATGGTGGACGGGAGTGAGAACGAAGGATTAGGGATCTCAGGAAGACTGAGGAATTGTTGGGAAGTGGTGGAAGAAAATACTGTAGGACAGGAGGGAGGTGAGTCAGAGTTGGATGTTTCAGATGAAGATTTCAGAGGTGGTGTATGTCCATGTTTGCCTTGGATGCGAGTTGTGAGGCAGGATGGAGGAAAATATTATTCAAGGTGAGGATGCCGGTGGTCTGACGGCTGGTGCTGGATGCGTTACACATGTAGATGCTGACCTCACTGGAAAGACAATGGAGAGGAGTAGAAAGGAAAGACCATCTCTGTTTGCTGACTACTGTCAGACTATGCATCTTTAAAGACCCACGGGAAGCAGAACTTCTACGAGGCCATCTGTGAATTGCCCAATTTGATACATGTTGTCATTCTTTTAATTCCATAGCATCTAATGGTTCATTGCATAACTTGGTGCTCAACGAGCATTTGCTTAATTTAATGCTTCCGTGATACATCACTGTTAGAAACGGATGTGTTGAGCTAAATGAACTGTGTGTTTAACCTGCATCTATTGTTATGTTCCAACAGTTCAGGCAAACTGAATTGCCGATTCTGAAAGCAGTTTTGTTGAGAGAATACCAATCTATGTTTTTCACTTGGTATACAGCCATATAGTTTAGAAAGAATTTCCCTGTATTTGTGCTAAAAGGGTAAAACTATAGCTTTTTAAGTAGTCACTTAATGTTTATATTTCTGTTCAGTGTCTGGGTATAGTCTCACTTTTCTGTAGATAAACTTGCAACTTCAAATGACAGGCATGAATTCGAGACAGATGTCTCCCATGTCTGGAATCAAGACAAATTATATCACTTGGCTGTCACAAAGAATGCCTCTTTTGACGTTATGGAGCAATTTGTTTAATGACACAATTGCTAGGCTGTGGAACAGATGACTGTCTCCTTTGTTGCTTAGAATTCCTGGGGCACTGCAGAGAGCCAAGCAGTTGCAAAATGATTGGTGTGTCTGGATAACTCTGCAGTCACGGTGCCTGAGTGGCAGAGGAGAGGAACAACTCTGTTCTACTGGTGGCAGCTGTTCTGCCACTTTAGGGAAGGTGGGAGGTTTGTTTTCTGGTGGCCGTGCTGCCAATCTTTTTGCTTGGCTAATTATTTGAATCCATAGGATTCCAAGAGCAAACTCATAAGAGTTTGGGATGAACTCTTTAAACCTTGCCACGTGCAAAACGCTGCTGCATGTATTCTGAAAGCCCATGGAAAGAGAAGCGTGAGAGACCCCCACCTTTCAGAATTTCTAGGTGAAGATATGGATCTCTGATGAGCTAAAATAGGAAGGTGGAGTAAAACGACCCCTGGATAAGGATGTTCTTGGGGTGAAGGACTCAGGAAAAGGCATCTGTTTGAATTTTCTAGAATAAATTGGGAAAGCTTTCTAGATGAGATGCTCTAGGAAGCTGGGCTATAAAAAACTAGTAATAGTGTAATTTGCAAGAACAATGGCAATTCTATTCCTAAATTGCTTAATTCCTGGATTCAATGAAGAAAGCAGTGGGGTCTCTAACTGGAGCGCACAGTGTGCAAGAGAATCAACTAGATGCTAACCTCAAATGCCCCTTCCTGGGATTCAGCCCCAGAAATTCTAATTCAGTTGATGTTGGGTAGGGCCTAAGAAGCTGCACTTACAACAAAAAAGTATAGGTTATTTCAATGCAAATGTCTATAAATCACACTCCTCTGTGAATTGCTGGTGTTAAATATGAAAAGGTAACTTGTTTTTGCAAAATGGATGGTAGTTTCAAAGATAGAAGAGATTCTTCAGGAAAGATTTAATGGAAGAGTAGTAATTAGTGCTCTGCTTTAAAGCATGGTGGAATTTACTGCCCAGATACTATGTAAATTTTAACTTGAATGCAATCTGCATAATTAGTGCTCTTTTTTCTTTCTTTAAATTTCTGTTACAAATCTTTTATTTAAAGAAGCGAAGCTACTGTTGTCCTTCACCTTAAATTTTACCTGAGGACGGATTCACCGTACAGATATTTCTCCTGCTACTCAGAGAATCCCTAAGATAGAGAATTCATGAATTCAGGCTTCGCTTCACTGACTGGAAGGTGTTCAAGCCATTTAAAAATACAATTCTCTTAAACGTGTTTTGAGAGCTAAGCCGAAACACAGTCTAATTCGCAGAGGGAAGCAATTTCCCTCATGTCCACGAGGTGGCGCTCGCCCACCACTCCTGGCCTCCTGTGCGTAGCAAGCAGGGCTGTGATGGTGTCTAGAAGCTGAGAGAATCTGGGGAGATCCTGTCAGCATTATGGCATAGGCTTGTTTGAATTATTCTTAGAACATAGAATGACAATATACTCTGCTTTTTTCCCCACTGGTTCCAGTCTTGTCTAATGCTGAAGGTCACATTATCTTGTTCCAGAAGCAATGTTAGGATCAATTGGCTAACTAGAAGAAACAAAGACAGTTTCACAGAAAGGCAAGATAAAAAAAAAGACAAAAGGAACAAACAAAGAGGGCTGAGTCAAAAGCATGGAATCCTTCTAATAAACCTACTGAATGGGAAATGTTGGAAGGTGTGAAGAGAGAAGGAAATTGTGGCGGATGATGAATTCAGGTTTGAAAAAAAGTGAGCTCAAATCTTTCTTCTCCTTTTTTCAAGGTCAGCTGTCAAGGTCAGACCGGAGAGAACTGGAGGGGATATGGGTGATGTCACACACTGTGGCAGGCTGGGCGTTGGTTTTAGGGCTTGGCTACGGAACTCAAGGCGGCCAGACTGATGGTCATTTTCCTATTTCTTCCTCACAATCAACTCGTTAAAGTCCATGCAAATGTCTGTGGTTTGGTGAAGAATTATTACTTTATTATGGCACTATAGGGACTTCCGGAACTCTGAGAATCCATGGTCCTGAGTTGAGAGGAGGTCTGTAAGTCCTGGATAAGCCCAGTGCCTGACATTGGGCCAGCATTGCACCTTGCAGCGCCAGTGCTTCTCAGCCACTCTGTTTGAGCTCTCTTGTTGCTACCTGCCCCACCTGCTATTCTCCTGGTTCCCATAAGCTACAGAACCTTGTGTGTGCATCATGGAGCAGAACTTGACCATGATGGGGAATTTCCATCCTGGCTTATTTTGTGTGAAGCAAATAAATAATTGTGAAAAGGGTAAAGCAAAGTCCAAATGAAAATGCAGATTTTGCTGAGCTGGAAATCATCTTTAAATTTTTTTGCTTGTTTTCATAACTTATAAGGTATATTGAGAGACATTTTGAACTCAGGTCTTAACCGAAATGTTATTTTAAATATTGAGCCAAAACAAAATTATTAGCTGTAAGTTTTGAAGCAGAATGCTGATTATGTTGCAACTGCTTTTCAAAATCTTCAATGGCCTGAAAGATACAGTTAAATACTAACCTAGGTATTCAAAGCTCTCCAACAACCTTTCCAGCCCTACTTATTACTACTGTCCTGCAATACTTAAGTTATTTATATTTTTATAAAATATCTATCTTCTATATTATTATCCACATTTAAAATCTGTATGTAAGAGCAGAAAAGAATATTCCATTCTATCACAACTCAGTTGTGGATATAGGAGCTACAGTGACACAATTGTACAAAGCAGTGAAAACCTCACTTAAGGTTATCTCTGAATACTATGATGTTTACGTATTTTCCAAAGAGGATGGATATGCTTGAAAATGTCTGAATTTCTCTGTGTTGTATCAACTGAAATCCAGTCTTCCCAAATAAAACTCCTTCTTTCAGCTTAATCAAAGATCTTGTTAATAAAGATGGAAGACACGGCCGGGCACGGTGACTCACGCCTGTAATCTCAGCACTTTAGGAGGTTGAGGCAAAGTGGATCATGAGGTCAGGAGTTCAAGACCAGCCTGGCCAAGATGGTGAAACCCCGTCTCTACTAAAAATACAAAAAATTAGCCGGGCATGGTGGCAGGCACCTGTAATCCCAGCTACTAGGGAGGCTGAGGCAGGAGAATCGCTTGAACTCGGAGGGCGGAGGTTGCAGTGAGCCGAGACTGCGCCACTGCACTCCATCCTGGGTGACAGAATGAGACTCTGTCTCAAAAAAAAAAAAAAAAAGATAGAATACATGTGGCTCCCATTTCTCTATCTGAAAACAATAACAGGTTCTTTAGCTAGGGCTCATCTCAGTTACCAGGCAGCATTATTTTGGTACCATCTGAATAAAAGAATTCATGTAAATACTGAGATTTTGGGTTTACTGAAGGTTAATTCAGAATTGATTACATACACCAGTGTGATGATATTCACATTTCTTTATCATCTTCTCTCCAAAGAAAAACATGTGTGTAATCTTGACTTCTTTTCTCTGTCCCAGATAGACAGTACATCTGTAACTTGTTTGGGCATCTTCAGATTCTTTTCCCTCTGGCACCTAAAACTTATAGAATCCAACTAGACTCACCAACATCTTAGTCTGTCTTGAGTCTATTATCTTTTCTTTTATAATATTGCTGATTTCACTTAATTGTCTCATGCATTTATTCAATTAATAATCAGTAGATGTCCATACTGTGCCAAGCCCAGTGCTATACTGGAAGCAGCTTTCATCCACAAACCATTGTTTTTCACTATATAGTCAGTGCGCAATGCAGTGTAGTAAACACTGGATATATATCAGCCCAATGAATGCACAGACATACAGAGGTGAACAAGAGACATGTGTTCCCTGCCCACTGAGCTTGAATACAAGGGTCATGTCACAGACTTCTTTGAATCATTCACCTCTGGCAGTTTATTTTGCACTACAGGTCCTCTGTCCTCTGTCTCTAGTTGGTCGTCCTGTGGGCAAAAGAAAGTCTCACTCAACAATGCTCTAATTTTGATCTATATAGTTACTGTAAATCAAAATTAGGCTTCTAAAATGTATGTACAATTGTTGGCATTAAAGTGAGTCAGCAGCAATAGCAGTTTTATTATTGTCGTTCTAAGGGAAACTTAAGCTATAATGAGTTCATCTAACCTAGAGAGTAAAATTCTGGTACAAGTATGGACCTTGGGATTACAAACAGGAAAATTCTGTAATGGATGAAATTGTTCACTGGGAAACCAGGCCAGTCTTTGAGAGGTAATTGGTACCTTTCCGTATCTGCTCACAAGATTCTGGCCTTAGAATTGCTAAGGACTCACTTGTTAAACAATTGTGTTTCCTAAAGTGGAATTTCTCTTGCTATCTCTTGGACAAGAAGAAAATAATCCAGACAATCTTAGGGGTGAAACTAAGTGCTGACGTTTCTCATTTGAAGGAGTCTTTTCATACTGGAAATGAACAGTGCTTTCAGTTTATTGCTTCTTTCTTCATCCTCAAATAATTGAGTAAAGAGGTTCTTTCTGTGGCTCCCTGGGTCTAGGCTGTGACAATAGGATGTCAGAAAAAAACGTGCAACATCACTGGGAGAGGCGTTACAGGGAAGGAAACTGAGGCACAGAAGGAGAAGAGGCTGACCCCAGATCAGAGAGTCAGTGGCTGAACTGGGGCTAGAACCCTGGTTTCATGACTACCTAACTAATACTTTTTCTACTGGCTAAATCCTCCCTCAGATTCCCCCAGTCAAAGATTCATTTGCTCATGCCTTTATTTATCCAACATTTACTCAGAAAAAGATAAGGAAAGCTGTCCTAATTTCTGTGATGAATGCTGTTGCTTTAAAGTATACTATCTCATTTCACTGAATCTTCAATATTTATAATGGAGGCAGTTGAAGCCCAAGAAAGTGAAATAATTTGCCCAGTTTTACGTAGCTAGTTAAGTGGCAATACTGGCATTAGGACTCAACTCCACAAAATAAGTCTCTTTTTATTATGCCATAAACCATTGCCGGTGCCCAAAACAGTGTTAGGGATTGGGAAATGAACAGTATTTAATTTATCAGATTGAAGTCCTTTATCCTAGAGCATTTTCTACAATGTAAGATGGGGTTCCTGCTGTCATTGAGCTTGCACTCAACTTGGAGAGAAATTCTATATCCTTTAAAATGTAAGTAAAACTGCAAGTTAAGTGTCATCACCAGATTGGTATATATGATGGGACAGAGAAAAGTTACCAGCCTCATGGGATGCTTACAGGGACTGAAGAGTTAGATTGTGTGGCTGACACATAGGGCATCAATTGTTTTACTTTCAATTTGTTGAGTGATTAATATGTCTTAGAAGAGTAAAGAGAGTTAGGTTTTCAAATGTGGCAGATGTGTGAAAACCTCTTACCATCTGCAAAACAAGATTTTAAGAGATGTCGCCTGATATCCTTGTAGCTAGGAAAAAGCGGAGGGTTAGTGAAGGAAAATCGTGAAGCTCAACACATCAAAATTCAAATGTATGATTTTATTGCTCACAGTGTGTCTGTTGGCAGTATCGCTACATTCCGTGGATGGTATCACACTATACATTTATTCCAGAAACGTTGACACATTGTTGCTCTCCCCCAAATCCCATCTGACTAATCACTGATTGCCCCACTGCCACCGCTGTTGTCTTGTGTCTTTCACCTGAGCTGCTGGAAAATACTCCCGTCCACCCTTCTGTGCTAAATGCTCCCTTTGCTTGAAAATTTCCCAGACCACAGTCAGAGTGACGTTTTCAAAATGCAGTGTTTTTCATTTATCTCACTAATTCTGCAAAACCATTCAATAGATTTCCTGTTGCTCTTATAACAAATAAAAATTGTTTTTAATGGTCTACAAAGACCATTTTTTTCCAGTCTTTGAAAAATAACTTCCTCTTATCCTTTACACTCTTTCACATGGCAGTCTTCCTACATGCTGTTCCCAATACCTGAAAAAGTATTCACCTGGGTACCTCCACTCAGCCCCTGGACCTCAATTCAACATTTACTTCTTCCATAAAGCTCCCCTGACTTTCCTCTCCTTATATTATGCTTTTTTTTTTTTTTTTCCATATGGAGTCTTGCTCTGTCACCTAGGCTGGAATGCAGTGGCGCGATCTCAGCTCACTGCAGCCTCTGCCTCCCGGGTTCAAGCAGTTCTCTGCCTCAGCCTCCCAAGTAGCTGGGATTACAGGCGCCCACCACCACACCCGGCTAAATTTTTTGTATTTTTAGTAGAGACGGGGTTTCACCATCTTTGCCAGGCTGGTCTTGAACTCCTGACCTTGTGATTCACCCACCTTGGCCTCCCAAAGTGCTGGGATTACAGGCGTGAGCCACCACGCCTGGCCATGTTATGCTTTTATACAACATGTACCTCTCTGGCTCACAGATGCAATTTCCCATTTAACTTACATGATTTATTCCCACCTGTCTCTCCCACCACTAGATTGTAAGCTCAGTTGAGGCAAGAACCAGGTCTGCTTTTGCTCACCATTGTATCCCCAAGCCAGTGAAATGCTCAGCACATAGAAGGAAACTGCTAAGTATTTGTTGAATGATTGATCCAAGAAAAATGGGACGATTCTGATTCTAGGAAGGGAAGATTAAGGTGTGGCTTTAAAAGGACCTTTATAGGAGTTGCATTACATGGAGAAAAGTTTGATGTTCTTTTCAGCTCCCCTGAGGATGGGTAAAAGAGCTCTGCATTGTGTTGGACATAAAGAAATATTGGGATGAATTACCAGTAGATGCTCTAAAATCTATATAAAGAATACTGATAGTGTCAGAATGTAGGTTGACAGGAGAGAATAAAGGCTAGGTCAGTGAATTTCTGAAGGGGCCATTGTAGTAAACAAAGTTACTATTTTAATAAAAGCTTTAGGCAATTTTAAATTCCTGCTTGAGTCTTTGACTTAAATCTGAATCTGATTGCCTTTTGTAATATTCCATAAGAATGTGAAAAAGGCAGTCGATCTCATGTTGGTGATACAATGTCTTGGGTAATTTTCAGAGACCCGCTGCAAACTGCAAACCAGTATATGCAACTAGGTCCATAGAGTTAGCGTTGCAGTTCAGGACAAGGTGGGGGCTTACCCACACTTCATGACTCCCACATAGAAACTCTTGTTTTACATTCAGCCCTGTAGAGGTGCTTCTCTCAAGCCAACCTGTTCTGTTTCAGTTCTTTTGAAACCGGGGGGCTTTGTAAAGCCAGAGAGCCTGAGAGACTAAGAGGCTTTGACATGTTGAAGCGCATGCAAACTGACTTTCTTGGTCACACCAAAAGACTCCACTCCTACTGGTCAAGCACAAACGTTGTTATTGGAATACTCACAAATCATCAATCTTTGACATGAATGTTTCCTTCCTTAGTGGAGTCTGCCTGATTACAGCAGCAAACCTGGTCTCCTGTCTGGGTACCCTTCCCTGGCTTTTACCCTTCAGAGGCTGAAGCAGAAAGAGGCTTATTAATTAGTGATTTCACTGCACTGGCACCAGGAAATACGAAGAGCAGGAATCCTTAGTTCTGCCTCTGGACTGGATAAGAGGAGCCAAATCTATTTTCCTGCATCCCTGAAGATGGCTTCTTCTAGATTGGCTATAAGTTTCCAGAAGGCTTAACATCAGACTTTTGTATCCATTTATACCTTCTCCAATTAATTTAAAAGATGATAAGTGCAAGCCTTAAGTCTCACACATGCAAACACTGCATACTCTTTGTTCTTAATGATTTTAACATCTGGATGAGAGGTAAGAGTAGAGGGTCATGAGCTATCGTTGTAAAGTTAGAGGAAGGAAGAAGAACCAAAGGTGGGAATAATACTCAGTTAGAATCAGAGATGCTTTTATAGCACATGTGAGATTTTTTAAAGGACAATAGGATCTCATCAACGGGTGAAAATGAGTAAAATCATATCCTTCAGTTTCAGGTGTCTATGTGGTTGGTAACTTGTAAAATATGTACAAAAGGCAATTGAAAATGAGAGACTCAAGCTCAGTATATTTGCAGATGTTCGAGGAAAAAAGTTGGATTCATCACTATAGAAAGGACTTTTTTAGTCAGTTGAGGGGATATGACTGCCAAAGAAGAACAGAATTCAGAGAACACGTTTATTCAGGGACAAAAGAAGGAAGGAGAGGCAGGAAATGAAGCTATACAAGGGAGTGGGCAAAGAGTAGGAGGCAGGCCCTGATGCCCAAGGAAGCTGGAGACTTTAAGTGAGAGGGATTCTCCAATAAAGCTTCCAGATTACAAAGAGACTGAAGGAATAGATTTGGAACTGGGGGTTACTAGCAAGTAATTTGCTCACTGTTTTTTTTTTTGTTTGTTTGTTTTGTTGTTGTTGTTTTTTGAGATGGAGTCTTGCTTTGTCGCCCAGGCTGGAGTGCAGTGGTGTGATCTTGGCTCACTGCAACCTCCGCCTCCTGGGTTCAAGCAGTTCTCTGCCTCAGCTTCCTGAGTAGGTGGGATTACAGGCACCCACCACCACACCCGGCTAATGGTTTGTATTTTTAGTAGAGATGGGGTTTCACCATCTTGGTCAGGCTGGTTTTGAACTCCTGACCTTGTGATCCACCCACCTTGACCTCCCAAAGTGCTGGGATTACAGGCGTGAGCCACGGCGCCTGGCCAGTTTGCTCACTCTTACACATTCCACTGACTTCCTTAAACCTTCTGGCTAAAAGGCGATGCTACCTCTCAACTAGTTCTCTACACAAATAGCATTTTTTGTTAGCTCCTTGTATTTGATGAACTTCTTTAACAAAGATGATAGTATTTCTATTTTCCTAATGATTTTGAGAGTGGTATTGTTAGTATTTTTTTGTAGTCTGCAATCCTATCACAGGCACTTCCTCTAGTCGCTAGCCTTTTATTTCCTCCATTTTCCCAGAGTTCTCCCTGCTCCCCTGTGCTTACTTAACTATGCCCCTTCTACCCGGCTTCTCTTGCTGCAAGACCTTTTAAGGAATTATACACTATTCATTCATAAGATGCAATTCAGACTATATCACTCTCGTCCTTAAACACCTCCATAGCCTCTAATTTTTAGAAAGAAAAGCCTGAGTTTCTTGGCACAGCATAGAGTGAGCACTCAAGAAATTTTTTACGTAGATAATTTCATACATTAATCTTTGTGTCCTTTCATATCTTCCCACCTTTGTGTTCTCCAGCACTGGAACACAGTCTGTGTTGGGAGACAGCAGTTTGCGTATAGTCAGCTACCCAAAAAAGGGGGATGCGTTCTAGTTTTTTCTGGGAATGCCACCTTAAGCATAACTTCACCTAGAATTTCAATCTACAGGGCAAGAAATTGTTGATCAGACAGGCTACTCAGAAACATGTATAATCTTAAAAGTATCTTGAACATGCAGTTATTTTGGGAAACTGACATTGTGCAATCTAACCCAGTGGCTGTCCAGCCTGGATACACCTTAGAAACACCTGGAGAGCTTTGTAAAACTACCGAAGTCAAAGCCTTGCTCCAGACAAATTAGCTTATTCATGATTGCTCGTTTACAACGGAGGTTTTCCAATTGTGGGCCCCACATCAGCAGCATCGGCAGCACCCAGGAGCTCACTAGTACTAAAATCTCTTGACTCCTTTTGAATTGGAAATCTGGAAGTAAGGCCCAGCGATCCGTGTTTTACTAAGCCCTCCACTTGATTCTGCTGTGTATGACTATTTGAGAACCCCTAATTTACAGCAGTAAGCTCTGATTCTCAGTACCACTGTATCCCAGAGGCAAAGCTAGGCGCAAAGGAAGGTGAATGTTCCTCTCTGGTATGGTACTGCTCTACAACAAAGTATCTAATTTTTGGCCCAGGAGGCTTCTCATCTTTATTAATTTAAGTGGGATCACCATCTACAATGGGAGTGAGCTTCTTGTAGACATGGACTATGACAGTATTGTCCTGAGGTCACGTTCTTCTGTTTCCTTCAGAGCTCCAACCCCTAGCACGAGGCCTGGCGTGAAGTGAGTGTTCAATAAAGACGAGGAGAAAACTTTGAGAATTGCTTGGGC
Source organism: Homo sapiens (assembly GCF_000001405.40). NCBI lineage: Eukaryota > Metazoa > Chordata > Mammalia > Primates > Hominidae > Homo > Homo sapiens. The sequence continues at coordinate 192,436,018 of NC_000003.12, read as the reverse complement.
TAACTGAGAGAAGTAGACGTATTCGCTGTGGTGTGTTGGTTTCCTCAAATTGTGTTGTTTCAAAAAATATTCTTCAAAATAAATATTCTTTTTAAAAATGCCAGGGAATTGTAAAAGCTGGTTAAGCAAATGTTATTTATCATTTATGCTTCTGAAAATGTGATAACAAGGCTTAGCATGGTAACACATTGAAAATTACTCTGCACTGGGAAAACGACAGAAGCAGATTGTATCCTCAGAGCCCAAACAGAAGAACAGGAGAAGAAATGCTTATTTTGATTTAGGCTTGATATACTTTATCAGAAAAGCAAAGCTGTTTCATCCTTCAGAGTAACTTGCCTTTTAGAAAACAGAATTTCTGAGAGAGAAAGACCTAAGGAAGTTACTAGGTACAGAGGAGAAAAGTAAGGCCCAGGAGGCTCATGTATAGCCTGCTGGCCGAACAATGCTGTTCTGGGACCAGAAATTGGGTTTCCAGTACATTATCTGTGATACCACATGGTCAAAATGGATCGCCAACTTCCCGAAACTTGCAAGTTCAGGACATCACCAAGCCTGGGGATTATCACAGTGAGCAGTCCTGGGAGTAAGAAGCCAGATGGCCAGGCTCTTTTAGAGGCTTTTGCTAAGCTCTCCTGTCTCTTTTAAGTAGTTTTCAATTTCAGAATTAAAATTTTCACTGTATTTCCTTTAGCAGTAATTACAAATTCATTCTTCATTTAGCAGTCAAAGAAATGAAGTTTTTTTAAAAAAAACTAGTGTTGCACTAAATGAAAAAGATCTGAGATAAACCCAGAATATTCCCCCAACTTCACAGCCTGGAATGTTCTTCTAAAGCTTTCTGATTTGTGGTTTAAAGTAGAAAATAGAGACTTTATGCTTTATAGATCATAGAACATTGGAACAGCTGTAAAATCACTTACCCTGTTGAGGAAAATGAGACCAAGACGGGGATAGGAGCTGGAGTTGTCCAAAGTGTCAAAGATGGAATAATTGTGAAAATGGGACCTAAGGCCAGTTCTCCTGACTTTTTCTTCAGTGCTCTTTAAACCCTTCAATGGCTAAGACAGCACCACTGAGAAACATGCGCATAGACCTGAAAAGCGGTTGGATAAATGTACTGCTAACCGCAATTAAATGGATAGAGAAGCCATCATGAGTTAGATTATCTTTCTTGTTTTTTTTTTAATATCCTGATCATAGGGGTTTTAAACTAATAAACAGCATTCTGGGGGAAATGCTTTGAGATTGGCTTTGCAACCACGACAGAGTCAAACTGTATTTCGAGTAGCACAACTGCTCCTTATGGTACTTTAAAATCAACTCTATGACCCAATTTTATTCCTAAAGACTCTAACTGTAATCAAGGAGAACAAACAAGAACTCAAAAAAGTCAACTCCATATGAAGATTGATCACAGAACACTTCTTTCCTTTCCTCTCTGCCAGGTACATACACATGCACACACACACATACATGTATACCTGCACATGTACACATATGCCTGCACACACACATGCACAATCTCAAGCTTACTCCTATGGCAGTCTGTGTAGCACACTGGTAAAAAGTGTGAAGGCAGCATTCAGGCTTCCTGAGTTCAACTTTACCTGTACACTTTACTGGCTATGAGACTGGGAAGTTATGTAACCTTTCCATGCCTTGTTTTTCTTATTCCACAAAGAGCTTGATCTGTCTCAGTTTTTCAAGGAAAAGCTGATGTCCTTCACTTCCGCTGAACAGAGGCTAATCAAACCACAGCTTCATCAGTTCCTCACTTTCCTCACTTGCACAGCCCCTTCCAAGTTCTGGGAGGGGCTCCCGGAGGGTGTTCACATGTGTTTTGTTTTCTGGGTTTTTTTATTTGCAAAAGTGAGAATTTTTTTTCCACAATTGGTTAAGGTTGCTATCTTTTTCCACTCGGCCATTTGCTTTATCAGTTTTTCTCTGTTTAAGGGTGGTGGATTCGTCATTGCCAGTTTTGGCTCTGGCTAAGGAGAAGTTGAACTGGGGATACATTTAGCTTGGTTTTGGTAGGATTATCATTTATGTTTACAGTCACTTACTAGTAAATCATTGCCAGCCCTCCTGATGTCGAAATGGCCAGAAATACTGAAACTGCCCACTGTGCTGACTCAGTGTGGGGCATGGCACAAAAGTGCATGGCAAGAGATTGAATTGTGTTGTGAACATACCCCATGGGGAGGTGAAGTGTACAGGAATTAATCGTGGGAAATTCTCCCACGTTTCTTAGCTCATATGTGAAATATTTGAGAAATCAAGGAAACTGAGTTTGTTTTAAAATCAAATTTGATACTAGTCTAAATATTTACATGACGTTAGCAATAATGAGTGGTAAAGCTGAATTTAACAATTCTTAACTTTCACAATTAAAAATAAGTTAGTCACATTGGAGGTGAGACTGATCATCTGTTTTACAGAAAATATTGTTAACATTTATGTTACAGGATGAAAACATTTACAGACAAAAATTATAAAGAAAAGGTATTAAAGCTGTGTCTGAATTTTGTGATGTTAATTTTTCAAATGCGCAATTTGGTCTAAATTCTTTTTCTTATATTTAGTAAATATTTGCTTGGTAAGTAATTTGATATTTGTAAATTTGTATTATTTTCTTTAAGGAGAGTTTCCCAAGTTATATAAGCTTCAGGCCACACAAAACTTGTTTGTCCTTCTGCAGTTGACTATTTGTAGGAGGTGAAAGAAGACACTTTGGGCCTGTTTTCATCTAAAATGAGGATCAGGAGAAGATTACTCCCAAATATCTTTAAGGATCATTCTATATCTAAAGTACTGTGATTCTGTTTTCTCAGCACAATGACTGGGGTGCCAGGGTCCCTGGGGGTGCCCTCAAAGACAATGAATCTAAAAATGATGAATCAATGCCCTTTCTAGGAATTCCCTGGATAGAACATATGTGTGCGTTGGAGCGAGGGGGTGGGAGGAGATTGATGACAGCTGGATTCTCACGTTTGACGATCTGAAGGGTACCATTCCCTAGAAATTGTGTGGGAAATCAGATGATATGGTACCCTCAGGGAGTTCACCAATGCTACAGACCACCCCGACTCACTTCATTTAGGGAAGGTGTAATAGTTCTCTCATGCTGCATAACAAATTATTACTCAAAACAACACATGCTCATATCTCAGTTTCGGTGGGTCAGTAAACCGGACACAGCTTCACTGGGTCCTCTACTCAGGTTCTCACAAAACTGCCAAGTGTTTGCCGTGCTGTTGGTTCTCACATGGAGCTCAGATCCTCTTGCAAGTTCTTTCGGGCTGCTGGCAGAATTCAATTCCTTGTGTTTGCAAGACTGACATCCTTTCTTTTCTTTTCTTTCTTTCTTTCTTTCTTTTTTTTTTTTTTTTTTTTTTGCCAGATGTCAGCAATGCTCTCTCAGTTCCTACAGGACCTTGCCCCATGGCCCTTCCCACAGGCGGTTCACAACATGACAATTTCTCCTTTAAGGCCATTAGGACTCTCTCTCTGATCTGCTAAGGAGGGGTCTTACACAACACAATCCAGAGAGTGATATCTCATCATATTCATGGTCTCCTACTTATGTCGAAGGGGAGTGGATTATATAGGGTATGCATTTTAGGGGACGAGAATCTTGTTGTGTTTTTGGAATGTCTCTTATTCTTTAAGGTCTGGCCTTACCGTCATTCCTTCCATCATATGAATCAATACTCCCACAACACTTTGAACAAGATTGTATTTGGTTTATTCTGACCTGTAGTACACTTATTTATTAGGTTGTGTTACCTCCATTAGACTCTCAGCTACTTAAAGGCAAAAGTCATCATTCATTTTTGCATCTTTGTTAGTACTTAGGACAGCTCCTGGGACATAACTGGTGTCAGTAAACATTGAAAGATGGTGGTTGAAATAAGTCCCTTGAAGAATGGGAATTAAGAGGGAGATGCCACAGGTAAGCAGACCTGATCTATGTGGTGCTGCCGAGGTGAACGGTGATGGAATGCCTGGATAAAGGGCTGCCAGTGGGAACAGAAAAAAGACAACAAAGAGACATTGTGGAAACAGCATAGTGTACATGTGTATTGATATGTGTGTGCTGTGCTTGGGGTACATGAAGGAGAGGCTGTAGTCAGAGAGGATGCCCTGTGCTTCCTATTAAATGACCTGGTGAAGGTTAATGCTGTTATCCCAGCTGTTATCTGATAAGCAATGGGACAAGTTAGGCTGATTTGACATGTTGAGTTTAGTATTTCAACAACATTTCTAGATAATAGAAAGCTTACATAAGTCTAAGTCTAGATACAAGTCTATTATACACTTTATGATAATACAAGTCATCATTGGAGAAACGCTTGGTACTTGAGTTGGGCAACTTGACCTTCCAACCCTAGGATTCTGTGATTCTATCAGAATTGTTTTCTGTTGAGCAGGTTTTGTATTTTGAACTGATTTTCCACTTCTCCCTGTCATTTTTCATTACAGGAAGTAGAATAACAGTATAAAAAGAGTCTCTTGGTTTTCTTTAGTTTTCTAGTCACATTGGCAATAGAAATACAAGAATAAAGTGCTATATGCTTTTTAAATTCTCCTTCACACGTTTTCTTTTTAATACAGCTTTACCATCAGGGACTCCAGCTATTTTGTTTCTCCCCTTTAGCTAAGATCTAATCAGCTCCTTTCTATTTTGATTTCCAAGAAAATCAACCTGATACAAACTTTAAATGGAAAGGTTTCACCTACAACTGCTTACAGGTACCGCTGAAGTTTCTCTTTTCAGAACCCAGCTCCTGTGTAAGTAGGGCGAGCTTATCTCTGGGATTCATTGTGGGTGGTAAAGGCCGTTTTTGCCTTTGTTAGAGTGATCCAAGTAATTTCTCCATTCAGATCTCATTTATGTTGGAGTTCTCAAGATAACTCATATCATCTGTTCCTTCATTCCTTTGGCTTACAGGATATCTTCAAAATAATATCTGGTGCTTGGAGAAAGTGGGTGGACTCCATTGTGACTTGAGGTTAACATGAAAACCTCAGGTATCTCTTGAAATAGAGAAGTGTTCAGTGGAATTTAAAAACTGTTGATATTGAGCATAGACCCAATTGTTTGAAAAACTCAAAGGTTGAGAAATTCCAATAACAATTATGCTCCCAATACACTGGTTATAGTACAGAAGCAGGTTGTTGTATTCCGTATCAACAGGAGTCATGTCTTTCCTTACCTGTGGTCACTAAGACCCACCCAAGACTACCCTCTTCATGGTGGCGAAATGCCTTCCCTCATTCCCCCTTTCACCCTAGGGCCAAACTCATTACTTCAGGCATAATAGGACCCCAATAAATGAATTGAATGTCTTCTAGCCAACTTGATTATTACTTTGAGAAATATTTGTACATTGTGTGGTAACTATTTAGAGAGTGGTAATCAAAACCTAAATGGCAGGGGTGAGGTTGAAATAATTGCAGGCATTTTGTTTCAAAGAAGATCCAGTTCTTTATTTTTCATTGAGATAAAACAGATAAACTTTACCATCTTTACTATTTTTAAGTGTACAGTTTAGTAATATTAAGTACACCGCTGTGCAATGGATCTCCAAAACTTTTTCATCTTGCAGAACCGAAACTATACCCACCGAACAGCTATTCCCCATTTTCCCCTTATCCAGCTCCTGGAAACCACCACCCTACTTTATTCTTCTGTGGATATGATACTTTAAATACCTCATACAAGAAGAATAATACAGTGTTTGCCTTTTTGTGGCTGGTTGATTTCATGTGGCATAATGCCCTCAAGTTCATCCATAGTGACAGAATTCCCTTTTTTTTTTAAGGCTGAATAATATTCCATTGTTGGTACATACCACATTTGGTTTATTGATTTTTCCATCAATGGACATTGAGTTGCTTCCACTTTTTAGCTATTGTGAATATGCTGCTATGAACATATGCAAGCAAAGAGAAGGCCAAATTCTTAAGGTAATTATAATACTTCCAAAATGAGATTATCTTAAAATTGCTAATGCTATTTAACTAAAATAGAATAGTGGCAACAGAGACAAGCATTTTATTACCATTGAAAATCTACTCTGTGTGGCTTTGAAGAAAGCATCTGGTATATCTATACAGAAGTGTATTTGTTTGTTGCAAAAAAATATCTTAAGGGCCTTTTACCTTATTGTTTTTCCTTGAGAGTATTTTCTAGCAAAATACACCAGCTGCATTTTTTTTCCAGAATGGCGTTAAGAGATATCTTCTCAAATCTATAAATATTGTTACCTACCTTACCTCATTTGCCAAGATAAACAAGCACCAATGTATAGTACAACCCCCACAAAAAGTAACATACATTGTGGTTTAAACACAAGTGCATTAATATCTAACCAGCTTTCTTTTTTCTTATTTTTCATGGCAGCCATCACGAAGTACACTTGGCCTTTTGGGTAAAGTGTAGGCACATAGTTCTAGAGAAGGAGTAATGCATGTAGAAAGCAGAGAGATTTTGTAGTATTTTAAGGATATGACTATCAATACTTTATGCAAAGGAGAAAGAGGAGGAGCACATAAAGGAAGACAAGGAGAAATAAGAGAAAAATGTTGGAGGGGGAAGTTAGGAAAAGAAAGAAAGGACTGCATTTTTCTCAGTCCACTTCTTTTTCCAAAATACTGCAGTATAGAGGACAAGCTCCTCCTTCCATTCCATCAAAATATGGCCTGTTCTTTGAGTGATCCTTCACAAGCCAGTCTTTAAGTGGTGCCAGTGTGCTTTACAGTTTAAAATTATTAATCTGCGAGGGCTGTTATAAACAAGAGTCAGATGTCTTAAGCTTCGTGAAGAGGTAAGTTGATGCTGTCCTCTTCCCTCATCTCTTCCAGTGAACTTAAATATTTCAACTCAATATTAATTTGTGAAGTACTCTTTTTTTCAGGCATTGTGCTAGGTGTTTGGGGTGAGTAGGGTAAACATAGTTTTTGCCCAAAATAAATTCATGATCTAATTGAGAAAGCCAACATATATCAGTGTATAAATAAAAGTATTTAAAAGTGATCCATGGGTCTTTAAGAAGGATGAATAAACTGACTGGAGGAATGAGAGAAGGTTTCAAGGAAAAGACGGCAATGGAGGTGGGTCAAACACAGCAGAAGTAATTCCAGACAGAAGGATTGCCATATGCAGACTCACAGAGCTTTCAAAGCCTATGAAATACTTAAAGGAACAACCTCATATCCTTCATCTAAAGCTAAGGTGCTGGAATAATTGATTCATAAAATCCCTCCTTCTTTCTGTTAGTTTGTAAAATATACAGGTTTTTTTTCTCTCATATTTTACTGTTTCAAAGTCTGACATTGTCCCCAGTCTGGGGAAGTACGGGATTATGCCCAGATTTGGACTTCCTTCTACCATCTTCCGAAGCATTGCCCAATTATGAGAACCCAAGAGAAGAGTCACTGTCAAGTTTTAGATCATTTATATATTAATAACATTCCAAGCAGTGTTTTTTCTTTTTTCTTTTTTAAGACCCAGATACTCTAATTTATTTTTCAGATGGAACCTTCTCATAATTATCTGTTTGACAAGTCAGGAGTATAAAAATCAACATCATTATTAGAGTGGCTGCTTTCAGACATAGTAATTTATTTCCCTTATTTTCATACATGTGAACTGTTTCCCCCTTCCCTTCTTCCTCTCCTGATTCTTCCCTCTAACACACCTTTAATTAAACTGACTGTTTCTAAAAGGAGGAATTTAGACTCCCTGCCTTCTAGGAAATCATGGTCGAGTAGAGGAGATAGACACAATTGAGACACAAATCAATGTAATGCAAGGTAGGAAGCTGCCTTTCCTTTGGCAAAACCAGAAAGTGCTTTTGACATTCAGACTTGGGTGGCGGAGGGGGATCCTGTTAGGAGACCACAAGAAAGTTGCAATTGAGAAAGATCTTGAAGGGCTTGAATAAGAAAAGCATTTTCTACCTGACCCAACTTGCTACACAATATTAACATCCTTTGGCTTTGGTTGGCAAAGCACAGTTGAAGTTCTAAGACATTCTCAGTGGCAGGTTATGTGAGTGCCTTGAGTCTGCACTCTGATCTAAGCAAACACAAAATCAAGAGGGATATTGTTTCAGATGCCAGCAGGCATGAGAAGAGGCTGTGTCCCCCATACCTACTTCTCTGCTGGTGGCTGCAGTAAGTGGCTGTCTCTGTGTTTCTTGGAAGTCACACAGATGAGTGCTGCTCCCTGCTGCCAAGTCTTAGTGACATTGATGCTCTCTCAGAATGGTACCAGGGAATGCACTTCAAGAGCCTCTCAGTATCTGCTCTTGAAAAAATTGTCTCTTTACACATCTTTCCAGAAACACATACTACTGGGCACTAAATGAAATGATGTGAGAACCACTCTACTGCTATTTGTATTTATTTACTAAATGAAATAAATGCCTACCATATTGATTAGAATTAACGTCAGATTGTCCTATCCAGATAATGCAAATCACATGTCAAAGTGTTCATGCTAATTTAAAAATTCATCTGTGTTTTATGTTCATTGAGAACCTAGAGTATGTTTGGCACTACTACGTACATCATGAGAAAGTGTTAAACAACTTACACTCTTCTACTTCTACTCTTTTTTTTTTTTTTTCAGAGACGGAGTCCTGCTCTGTCGCCCAGGCTGAAGTGCAATGGCAGTCTCAGCTCACTGCAACCTCTGCCTCCTGGGTTCAAGCGATTCTCTTGCCTCAGCCTCCTGAGTAGCTGGGATTATGGGCGCTTGCCACCACATCCGGCTAATTTTTGTATTTTTAGTAGAGACGGGGTTTCACCATGTTGGTCAGGCTGGTCTCGAACTCCTGACCTCGTGATCTACCCGCCTCTGCCTCCCAAAGTGCTGGGATTACAGGTGTGAGCCACCATGCCCAGCCTACACTCTTCTACTCTTATAGTGCTCTACAAACGTTATTGAAAAGTCCCAGGAAAAAAAGCTAGCATTTATTCAGCACATACTGCGTGCCATAAACCATGCCAAGTAATTACTATAATGTATTTTTGTATACCTCAAAATAATCGTATCAGTAAGTATTTTTATTTCCGTTTCAAAGATGACTACCAAACTAAGAGACAGTAAATTAGTAATTAACCTACGTTTCTACCGTTATTTACTTAAATAATTAAAATTTAAAATCAAGATTTTGGTTACAAGTCAAATACTCTTCTACTCTTGAGACATTTGGTTCTTTTAAATCCTGATACTACTTATGTAAGTGTCTCTCTTTCAAACATAGCTAAGGATAAAAGTAAATGTGCTCACAGTCTCTCTAGCTCTTAATATAGTTACTGGGATGTCACCATCTTTCTTTTGTATTACACTTTTTATCTCCTACAACTCTCAAGTAATTTAGGAAGTTGATGAAGAATATTATTATACATACTGGATTGCCATCATCTAAAATGGGGTCATCTCTGGGGTAAAATATAACATCTGTTTGAAGAGCTACACAGATTTCCAAATTTGAAGCCTAATATATTTTCAAAAGTAGCATTAAACATAATGCAATGTTCCCTTGTAGCTTCCTGCCTCATTTTTCACTTTATACCTGTATTTGTTCAATTTTAGGTGAGTAAAGAAAAGGATGTGATATTTTTCCCTCTGACAATACTATGAGGCTCATCACTCCCTAGCCCTCTGCTGTGCTAAGTGTGGAAACTAACAGAGGCCATTCCAGAGACCACATTGGAATCACAGACTATCAGAGCTAAAGCAGACCATGGAGGGCACCATTTCCCCCCTCCTTTTATAGATTAGGGAACTGGAGCCTAGCAAGGGGAGGAAAAGCCCAGGATCTTAGACCAAGTTAATGGTAATAACAACACCAAATCCAGGTCTTACACTACTAGTCCATGCTGTGTGTTATGTATAGCCGTGGGAGAGTTTGTGGATATTTATATGTGTTTTTCTACTTATGAAAACAGATAACTTTTCAATAACATTTGTAAAGAGCTATAAACTTGGTGAGAGTAAGTGTAACACCTATGAACTTGATCTCTTGGAGCTTTGTCTCAAGTGCTATTTATATCCATTTAAGAAAGTTGTAGTAAGACAGTTCCATCCCCATGTAATTTTAATGTATTGAAATTTAGTTTAATACTATTTAATTTTAATGTAATGAATGAATCTGATTACTACTCTGTTGTACCACATTTAAACCAATTATTTTCATTAAAAGCTACAATAGTACATGACTTTATAGATTAAATTCTATCACAGTTCTCTTAAAAAACTTTCAATAGCTCTCTGTTGCCTTTAGGATGAGGCACAAATTCCACAGCAATGCATTCTATTCGCTAGTGATTTATTATGATTTCTATCATATATCTCCATATATCTTATTTTCTTGACCCAATAAGCTGGTAACACTCTCCAAACACTGTTCATTCATTTATTGTTTTGTTTGATTGATTTAATTTTATTAATCATGAGTTTGACATATGAGAAATGATAGTAGACACATAGGATCGCTGCCCTGGAGGACTTCCACAGCCTGACATAACCTTGATGTTTGACACCTTTGTGCTTTTCCTTTCCTGTCTGTTTAGAAGGCCTTTCTCAGACTTATTCCTGGGAGACTGCATCCCACTTTTCCTTAAGTGGGCAGTTCTCATGTCACTCCATGGTGAAACCTTGTAAGGACCCTTGTAATTGAGAAGAGTGTCCTTCTCTCCTGAACATCCCAGCACAGAGCCCACCTTTCATTTGTGTTTGCTTCATTCTGCTATTACATAAAATATCAGGTCCATCCACTAGACAGTACGTTCTAAGGAGAGAAATTATGTTTTATTTCTTTATGTCTCCCATGTGATAAGCAGTTTGGCATGTGGTAAGTGCCCAATGACTGAGGGATGGATGTAAAAGGAAAAGCACATAAATGCTTTGGTAGAAAAAGTTGGCAGGAGACCGCTTTTCTTCCTCTCCTTCACCAGTTCTTACCTTAGCATTTTAAAATTTTATACACACATATATGCAGTATACATATAAAACAACAAATATGTGTATGCATGACAACTCACCTTGTATGCATCTTGTATGTAGGATGTATCATATTTTATAAACATATGTATATTGTATATGCATAAAATTATAAAATGCTGAGGCAAGAAGACTGGTGAAGGGATAAAAAACATGGCCTATTGCAAAGTTTTATTATAGGTAAACAAAGAAATTGGTAAGATGTAAAGATACGTGTGTGTGTTTGTGTGTGTGTCTCTCTGTGTGTACGGTGAATCATTGCTAAGAATAAACGTTGTTTATAGACTCTCCTCCTGTGGCATGTGATTCAAATTATATATATTCAGGACAAGGGCAAATTCATATCTTCATGAAATTTTCCCTAGACTATAGTTGTTTTAAAAGATAACTTGCAGGTTAATGAATACTCTAGCACTGAGTTGCAAGTTTTGTGTTTAATTGAATCCTTGAAGCCAAGATGCACAAGGGGTGAACTAATTAAAGAAATTAGTTATGTGACTATCAGATGCTGCAACATCTAACACATATATTAAAGGCAATGCCTGTCTTGAAATTACCTGGTGGAGAAGATCCTGAGGCAAAGTTTGCATCCTGCCTTTCAGCTCCTATGTATTTTTGGCATGGTGCACCAGATGTTTTGCAAACAGCACTACCTGGTGAAGAAAATTCTCATTAGCATTACAAATAATTCTGTATTTTGATGATACTTCTATGGTTACAAAAAGAATTATGACTCTCTTTTCCTATGCAATAAACCAGTGTGAGAAATTCCTACTGTTCTAAGGAATCCTGTTTTATTTGAAAATAGATGTCAGATGAACAGGATCTGGGGAAGTGGCCAGTGAAGAAATGCTTAGCTTATATGCTAACTGGGGACGTTTTGGGGAAAGCATTAATAGTCTTTTTTTTTTTGAAGACTTTATAATTCATTTGATCTGACGTGAAACAAATTTAAAGAGGGCGGGGTGAAGAAAAGGTCCGAAGAAGAAAATAAATTTCAAATTTCGGAGATCAGAGCTAGAATGCTAGTGTGACCTTGGACCACTTCCTCAGCAGCCTGAGCTTCTCTTTATGCATCTATAAATTAGGCATATAGTGAGTGTTGATAATAACTAGTAACTGTCTTACTGAGTGGTTGTGAGGCTTGAATGGGAAGCTTCTATAAACTGTGTCATTTTGTACCTACTAGCTTTTGTTAGAACTTTTTTAAAAAGCCTAAAATATAGTCTTTAATAGAAAAATTAAACCTTATACCAGAGAAACCACTGATCGTAGAATCAGGAGGCCTAGGCTGTGTTTCTGCTTAAGCTACCAAGAACTGTGTGACCTAAAGCATGTTGCACCTTTCTTGGTCTTCAATTTCATAATCTTTAAAATGAGGGCATAAGCCTGAATAATTCTTAAAGTTCTTTCCATTCCAAGTATTGTATGTGGTGATTCCATATCTAAATCTTTGCACGTAAATCTTTGTCATGAGAGTCTGTTGTATTCATTTTGGAAATGATCTTAAGAAACAAAAAGTTTAAGCTGTTTGCCCAGGCTCTCTCAATAAGCTAACAGCAGTTATACATTAGAATGAAAAACCCGAGAATTTAGCGACTTAATGCTGTGTTAAGTCGCTCTTCTAGATACATACTTATAAAATGGCTCCCTAAGATGGAACACTCCAAAAAGAAAATCAGAGGTTGGTATTTTATGCCAATATAATTTCTAAAACACTCACACATTTTAGTGGCTCTAGGAGAATTGCTTAGCAAAGCTATACATACTTTAATTACACAAATTATGCAACAGGGGGCTCTCTAACAAAAAAGAAAATTAGTGAGCCACACATTTAGGCCTGATTCTGCTTCAGAAGCAGGATTAAGTCTTACCCACAATTTTCAAGGAAGTAGAAGTGAGATGCTATGCTATTACAGGGCTCAGTTAGGATTATAAACTCACGGAGCTGTCATATCAAGGCTTACTTAGAAGATTTTCCGGTATTTGGAAGGGGAAAGCATGGGCTTGCTCCCAACTCTTATAGCTGAGAGCATTCTTCACATCAGGTTTTCCCACCCTGCCCAGCCACATGTTTTCTTTGCATATAGAACAAAAAAGAAGAGCTATCATAGCCATCACTAGCACCAGAACTAGCACCCTTCCTCTCCTACTACACTGGGACCACATAACTGAAATGTGATTCATCAATTACTAAGAGGCTGAACCCAAACTTGCTGAGTTCAAATCATGGTCATTCCCTTTGACAGCTGTATAACCTTAGCCAAGTTACTTTTTTTTGTTCCTCTGTTTACGTGTTGACAATAATACCCATTTAATAGGGTGGTTGTGATAATAAGTTGATACATATAAAGTGCTTAGACCAGTTCCTGGTAAATGATAAGCACTTGAAAAATGTTAGCTTTAAATAATATTGCCTTTATCCAGAGTTATAGAGAAGGGCTTTGTGGCACAAGATTAATGAGTCAGGTTTAGTTCTTCTGGGGACTGAGGGAATCTAGCCAATGGCCTGGGGAAAGAAGGATAACCAATGCTCTTTTCACTTTAGTTAACTACTCTGAAGTTACTTTGGAAGATGACAGAAAATGCTTCCTACTTTGTTTTGTTTAAGTAATATGATGTCGGTGAGCACTATATTTAGAGTCATAGAATTTTAGAGTAGAAAGAGACCTTAGCAATCATCTGGTTAATCTCATTTTAAGAATAAGGAAATAGAGACCAAAAAAGAGGAATAATTTGTTCAAAGTTCCGTACTGAGTAAGTAACATCAGAATAAAAATTCAGCTCAGGCTAGAAACAAATCCATTAGAATGTATTTCCTCTGTTGACTCTCCTCACTATAGAATTATCTCTGTCTTTTATCCAAATTATTACAAAACTGTTCACCAACAGTTATCTAAGATTTCTTATCTATATAGAAATTGTACACAGGAAAAAAAAATACCAAAAGCCAAAAAAAAATAAACTAAAGCAAAAACCTTTGAAGTCCAACTATGACAGGGACAGCTTTATGTTGTTTTGGGCCATCTCCCCAGTTAATAGACATCTTCATATTTCTTTCCTTCACCACCACCACCACTTATTCAGAGATAGAGGAATTCAGTTTGAACTAAAATTGGGAGAACTTAGCAGCTTCAAGAGAGTTTCGTTGAGATGAGTCATTTACTCTTTTTTTTTTTATTATACTTTAAGTTCTGGGGTACATGTGCAGAATGTGCAGGTTTGTTACATAGGTATACACATGCCATGGTGGTTTGCTGCACCCATCAACCCGTCACCTACATTAGGTATTTCTCCTGATGCTATCCTTCCCCTGGCCCTCCATCCCCTGACAGGTCCTGATGTGTGATGTTCCCCTCTCTATGTCCATGTTTTCTTATTGTTCAACTCCCACTCATAAGTGAGAACATGTGGTGTTTGGTTTTCTGTTCTTGTGATAGTTTGCTGAGAATGATGCTTTCCAGCTTCATCCATGTCCCTCCAAAGGACATGAACTCATCCTTTTTTATGGCTGCATAGTGTTCCATGCTGACAATCTTTGCTACAGCTACTAAAGCCATTTTTTTTTTTTCAAGTAAGCAGTCACATTGAAAATATTTGGGTACTCTAGACTATATACTTTTTTTTCTTATTGTTTAGACTCTCTAAAACTGAGTGTCACACATGGTTCCAGAACCCTTCCAAAAGTAATCTTCATTAAAGGACTTAAATCATAAAGATCATCAGTTATTCTTTTAACAATTTCTCATTTTATGGATGAGTAAATTGATGTACAGAGGTTAAGTGACCTTTCTATGGTCACACAACTTTCTCACCTACTGGTGGAACACATGCTTACTTTCTAATTTTAAAGATAATACTGTGCATGGAGTCAGTTAAACATTGTCAAGCAGGAAATGGGATGGTTGCCTTTTAAAGCTCCTAACTTCATGCATGTAGTGGCCACTGTCGATTCTCGTCGAATATCTCTCCACCCCCTTCATTGTGTTTTGTAGCATTTTATTGATAAAACATTTTGTAAGACTTTTTTTTTCCAATTTGTAGTCAGTTTTCTCCAATTGGTTTTGAGTTTTTCCAAATTGTGATTCTTGTTTTTCTTCCTGACAAATGAAATCAAAGATACTATATGATGAGCTGTGAGTGTGTACTGAGATTTACGTATTTCTTTCTTTTTGCCAATAATTAAGTGTAGCAGCCCATTTGATGTTGCTAAAAACAAATACCTGAGGTTGGGCATTTATAAAGAAAAGAGGTTTATTTGGCTTGTGATTCTGTAGATTGTATAAGAAGCATGGCACCAGCATCTGTCTCTGGTGAGAGCTTCAAGAAGCTTTCACTCACAGCAGAAGGCGAAGGGGGAACAGCTAGTGCCACATGGCTAGAGAGGGAGCAAGAGAGAGAGGGGGTACACCCCAGACTGTTTTTAACAATTAACTCTCACATGAACTAACAGAGTGAGAACTCACTCATTACCGTGGAGAGGGCACCAAGCCATTTATGAGGAATCTGCTCCCATGACCCAAACACCTCCCACCAGGTCCCACCTCCAACATTGGTGATCATATTTCAACATAAGAGTTGGAGGGGATTAACATCTGAACTACATCATTGAGTCTCCAGATTTCTCTGTGATTACTTTTAGTGGAATTGGTAGATCTCGTGGGAAATAACCATGACTGCAACTTAAAGTAAGTATTTCCTTTTCACACTCTCTAATATGAGCCTAACACTTAACCTGCAGAAGGCCTGATGTGAGGGAACCATAGCAGAGCTCCTAATAGCACGATTTCCACCCCCGACCATTTTCCTTTGGTTCTGTGCTCACCTTTAAGCTCATCGGCTTTTGGTTATTTTGAGGTGCCTTACCCCAAACTGGGATCTTTCCTACACAAGAATCCAAAAGAGTCAATGACCATCTTCCATAGAATCCACTGTAGTTTTGACGAACAACCTAGTAGCTTTTTACCCTGGCCTTTCCAGGGGAGCTTTCCTCACATACAACTTAATAGGTTAATATGTTTTCTTTTTCTTATTCTCAAATACCACAACTCAGAGGAACATTATCATTTAGGTTTTCAACCATGTGTTAAAAATCTACTTATTTAATCAATTATGCCAGCCTTTACAATACACATTTGATGCCATATAGAAGTGTTTAGCTCTGTGCTTTCTTTCCGGGTTAGTAAAGATGTGCTTTCCGTGACTATCTCCTTGAATCTTCCATCCTTCTGTCATTTCTCCCACATCCCCAGCAATCAGTTTCATTGTTGATTCATGATTCCTTATTTTCCCTTTTTTATGTCCTTTAAAATGAACAAAAGTTTTCCCAAGTATTGCCTTGGATGCAGCCTATAATGATTTTGATTCACTCTCCACCCCCAGCAATGCTGACCTTAATCATTTTATAGAATACCTGTCTGATTTCTTGAAACCCACTTCCCATGGTATTGCTCCTGATCTTGAGTGGAAAGTCTCTGATGGTGGGAAAACCACTTCCTCATTTTGCGATGTAATCTATTCCATGGGTGGAAGAGAGGCATCCAAGTTTGCCTCTACACACACAGGATATCTTGTTCTTAGTGTGAATCTCTTGCACACACACAATACTCAAGTTCTTCAAACACTTGAACATAGGCCTCACTTTCCTCAGTTTCTCTTTCCCCAGCTCTATTTGTTAACTAGTATTTCAAATGGGGTCATGATCAACAAGGAACAAACAGCAGGGATGCCCCTGACTTAGACTGTGGGTGGCCCTAAATGATGTTATCTTACCTGTTTTTAACACTTCAAGAATATGAATTGTCCTCATAAGTTCATTTTGTGGATTCATCATCCTAAAAAAAGTCATGAAGAGAGCTTTGGATTTGGAGTGAGCTAAACTAGATTTGAATTCTGGACCTGACCCCATATTTCAGACAATTAATCAACTTTCTATGACTTTTAGCTTTCCCACTGTAACATGTGAATAACAGTGTTGGCCTTGCCAGGGTTATTGTGAGGATTAGGTAAAATAACCTGTGTAGGGCCCAGGACTGTGCATGGTATGTAGAAGGTGTCTAATAAATCTTAATGTCCATATTAGTCTGTTCTTGCCTTGCTATAAAGAACTGCCTGAGACTGGATAATTTGTAGAGAAAAGAGGTTTAATTGGCTCACGGTTCTGCAGACTGTACAGGAAGCGTAGCTTGGGAGACCTCTGGAAACTTAAGATCATGGTGTAAGGCAAAGAGGAAGGAGTCACATCTTACATGGCTGGAGCAAGAGCAAGAGAGTGAGGGGGGATGTGCCATATACTTTTAAACAGTCAGATCTCATGAGAACTCACTGTCACAAGAACAGCAAGAGGGAAGTCTGCCCCCATGATCCAATCACCTCCAACCTGGCGCCTCCTCAAACACTGGGATTACAATTCAACATGAGATTTGGGCACGGACACAGATTCAAACCAGATCAATGTCCCTTCTATTCCCTACCCTATCCTTCGTGTCCCTCAAACACTTTTAACCTATAATTGGAACGCAGAGTTTTTTGATATTTTTCTGTGGTTCAAAGGATTTGCCTGAAATTATATAAGGACTTGGTAAGGAAAACCCAACAACTTCTTGACTGACATCATACTGTTAATTCTCCATAGTCTGTGTTGAACGAGTGTCTTGTAGTGAGGACTAACTCACCCCAGAGATACAGCTTGGAGACTCTAATTAATTATGTTTGTTATTTCTATGGTGCTGCGTAGTATGTAGCTCCTGGCCTAAGCATTGACATATTAACTTTTTTATTAATTACCGGCAGCAAAAGAGAGACTGAATAGGAACATTAACATAAGACTTTATTGAAAGCCAGTGTGTAACAAAGAAAATTACAATGTGGAGAGTAATTTGCATCTAACATCTACATAACTTGATATAGTTCACTCTTTGGAGTCCACAACTCCAGACTAATATCTTAAAATAATCCCTATGAGATTGTTTTCCTGTGCAGTTCCTGGCTTAATTCTGCTTGGTAGAGGATTTCTTCCTTTGTCTGTCAGCACAACCATAAACATGGGCAAATTATTCAAAATCCAGGCACAAAAGAACAAGGCACATCCTCTTTTTTGAGTTTAAATGCACCTTCCAAGGCTCAGATCTCTTAGCTGTTGCCTGAAACTATGATGTTTCCCTCACTTAGGGCATAACCTTTCCCTTCCCTAGAGTGGTGTGGGTTTACCTTAGGGTTTTATCAGGGTTGCAGCAGGGTTTTATCAAGGGTTCAGTATCTGCTAGATGTACAAAGGAGATAAGGGAAACTCTCCTAGATTAAAACCATTTGTTTTTTACCATATTTATCAAACATTTATTTCTTGTTTTAATAGCCACTACTTAACTGATGCTATCAGAGATCAAAGGTGATTCCACTATTAATAAAAGCATGCCTAGGGTTTTGCTTAAGGTGACATTGAGATTATTCTTATTCATCCTGAACATTTATTATTTTTAAGTCAAAGTTAAAAATCAACACATGCTTACAGTGTCTATCTTATATTCCAAACACTATACTACGTTCTTACAGGAGGAACAAAAATTCTAAGTCAGATTCTTACCCTTAAATTCTGTGTCTACTCTTATACACAGATCATTTTTAGCATTTTTTTTTTTTTTTGGTAATGAATTCTACTTCTCTTGGCATGAAGTCAACATTCTTTCCCTGCCTTTTGTCCTTACAAAATAATAAACGCTTTTGGTTACTTATCTTTTAAAGGCCAGTTACGGCTATTTCCTGGTCATGGCCTTTTAAAGAAATGAGAGAAAGAACTGTCAAAATGCAATGAGGATCATGCTGTTTTTCCATTGCCATGCCATTAGCATACTCAACCAACCAGGAGACAATTTCCAGCCTACTTTTAAATAAATCTCCTCTCTTAAACTGTTGCTAGCTTACTACAATGTGTATACATTACCTAGAGTAGGCTGATGACCTCATGAGATCCCTTGCAGTTAACACTGCAAGTTTAAATATGATTATCCTGTCCAAAACATTGGAAAAATATTGTTTCTTCCTGCTGCAAATACTGTTTAAAGAAATATTCTTATACATTATCTTATACCTGCTTTTCTGGATAGCTGAGCACCAAAATGCATACCTATCTATATCTATCTGTCTGTCTGTTTTGGCTGTAGACTTCGCAGACACACAGACATCTACATCAATGCCTCCTTGATGTCATGTTGCAGGTTGGATTAGTGGCTAATACTAGGCACAGGGGAATATTGTTTTATGTAAAAATTACTTTTAAGTGAGTGACGGATTTTTATTACATGCTTTCATGTACTATCCTAGAATTCTTCAATGTTTTTAATCTGCTAACAAGCTCTCCACATCTTGTTAAATTTTTATTGGGAGCAATTTCGCTTAGCCTAACAATGCTAATTTAGGGATATTTAAATGAAATATGCTGTATTTCCTCCATACAAACATCTGTCCACTCATCTGCTGATCTGTTCATTCATTTATTCATTCACACTTTTTCTCATTTCACAAATCAGTGCCATAATTTCAACCTATTATTTTCACCAATTTAGGTCCTATAATGTAGTTGTTTCACAGGCAAATAAACTTCAACTCAGGCAGACGAAGTAGCTTTATGTAAGGACAACTTATCTACTCTAAATTGCATACTCTTTGTACTTAACATTTTACTCTTAGAGAATTCTACAAAATTAGGACAAGAAATGTCCTATTGGTCACCTTGTCCAAACTTCCATTTGATCCTCTGACAGATTTTTTCTAATCAGTTAGTATATTTCAGTTATCTCCAGTAAAATCTTACTCAACATCAGATACCTGTGAATGCAGGATCAGTGAGATCTCTCATTAATTGTCTCTTACTTTCACAGTGTCTGGTGCTGTGTGCATGCAGAGGACAAAAATATGAATTTATTGTGGTTTTAATAGTATATTTTGAGTGTCAGTCATGTGCTGGGTGCTGTAAGAGACTGCTATTTCAACAAGATCCATTCCCTGAAAATTTGGAATCTAAATTTAGAAATGAGAGCAACTAGGAATGGCCCATGGAGAAAGAATCTCAGTGAACATGGGTGACAGTATGAATGTGAAGATTATTAAACCATTTTAAGGTCATTTTAGTCATATTCTGAGATTTTAAAGTTGCCTACTCATTTTACCTGATGTCTGTGGCTCTCTGTTTGCCTTATTATATTCCTTTTCTTCTGTGAACATGAGTGTGTGTGTGTGTGTGTGTGTGTGTGTGTGTGTGTGTGTGTGTGAGAGAGAGAGAGAAGAGAAGTATCAGAACTGAAAATATAGGCCTAGATATGGGGATGGGGGTGATCAGAGCAGAAACCTAGGTACCATGTACCCTCTGAGGATATCAGATTTAATATTTAGGCAGAGAATTTTAGGGAGTGTTGATAAAACAAAACAATCAACTTTGGAAATGTGGAGGCTACCCTTGAGTTACCTGAGCTTATTTCCTGATACAAAGAGTTGATACCCCATTCTTCACTTTGGGATGACCCATGCATCTATTTGGCTCAAAAATCTGGGTGGATGGATTGATGAATTAATTCATTTATTTGAGTATTTTTTGAGTATCTGGCTATGTGCAAAGATTATTTTAAGCACTAGAGATAAGAAAGTAAACAAAATAGACAATGGCCCTGTCCTTATGGGTATTACATTCAAATAGGGATCTTCTAGCCGAGTTTCTCTTTGAAAAGGAAAAGGTGCCACTGGGTTAGTGACAGTGGGACTTAGAGTAGGGCTAAAATGATGGGCGGTCTGTTGTGACAGGTCTTTCAGCATCCTTAACCCAGCTATGAAGGAAAATAACCAAGTATCAACCATCTCCTAGGTGGTATAAGCCAAACCAATGTACATTTTTAAGGAATGAAAATGGAGGAAATTTATATTTTTCCCCTTATAAGCTTCTTTACTTTCTGTTTTAACTTAGTTTCCCTTTGATTTTCTTATTGAGCTCGACTTGAATTACTAAACTAAGAAGGAGAGTGTTTCAAGACCACCCTCCTAGAACCAAAGAAAACATAGTACCCTATCTTGGCCAACAATAGTAAAACCAGGAGTAGCTTCCTCATCTAGAAAAAGGAAAGAGCTTCACGGGGAGAGAATTGGGGATACTTGTTTCCTCTCCCTTCCAACACAAAATGATCTCTTCAAGGTCATTCACAAGATGTGAAACCATGTTAGAAGCTAGTGAATGGAAGTACATTTGGCATTCTCATTTTTCCCCTCCAGGTTACTTTAGTTAGGGCAGTAGTCACATTGAGGTTAAAAGGCCTGGATTAAACTCATAGATCTTCACTCATTGATTGTATGACCTTGGGCGATCACATTACTTATTGGAGTCTCAGCTTGTGAAACTGAATTATTATTTTCCCTTTAGCTTCCATCATAAGATTGTTGAAGAGTCTCAGTGAGATAATACATGAGAAGATGATTTGTAATTAGTAAAGAGTTACATAAATGTATGTGATCTGCACATTCTTATTTTATTGACTTTATTACATGATTGTAATTATTCATGGTGTTTTGTTTTTGTTGACATGCGTATAGCACAGAGGTAAAAGGGAAACTCTGGAAATAAATTATATGGGTGTGAATCTGAACTCTGGCAATTCTTAGCTGGGTGACCTTGGTTAAACAACTTAACCTCTCTGTCCTGGTTTCTTCATTTATAAAATGGCGATATGACAGAACTTACCTCATAGAGTTGTTGTAAGGATTCAATGTGTCAATAATTGTAATGCACTTATAAGTGTGTAGGGCACTTCTCATTGGCTCACATTAATTACATCTATGTTTCTTATCAAAATACCTATTCTCCAGAACATTGAAAATTTCCCTTTTTGGGCAATGATACCACCCTTCATCTATGTCATAAAGAGGAATTAAATCTGTTCTCTTTTCTGTTTTGGAAGATGATCAAAACCAGATGGACATATAACATGTAGTAATTCAGTTGTCGAATTGTTGAATAAAGCACCATGAATAAATTTGCTATATAAAGGAATTTACAAATTATTAGAAAGTAGTTCTTTATATTGCTTTTGTCAGCCTACTGTAACTGACAATATGTCAGAAAAAAGCAAGTGGAAATACAGCTACTTTATATAATAAAATTCATGGAGAAAAGGTCTTCTTCCATTTGCTGTGGCAGAGCCCAGTGAGCTCATATTCACCCGACTTTGAGTCAGGGGCCTGATCTCAGAGCAAGATGATGTATGAGCAGAGCTAGACTTCTTTGTGTTCTCAAGACAAGGACACTGACAATATTCCACTAATGAAATTCTGTTTGCCATGACAATGTCAAGGTTAATCATTCATTTCAAGTAAATTTTCAGCCTTTGTTAAATACATTCCAAGAGTGAATGATGATGTGTATGAATCATAAGGTGTGTTTTCCTGTTTTAGGAAATCTGTATTTTATGGCAGGGACTTAATTTAAATGGAGATTTTAATAACAGCATGGTCATTCTCATACTTTACGTTATTATCACATCTTCTTTGAGTCTTTCAAGAGCCTAGTTAGGTACTGCTAGTATTATTATGTATCTATTTTGCAGATGTAGTTTAGAGAGGTTGAATAACGTGTCCAACAGCATACAGCTAGTGGGCGATTAAAACAAGAGCCAAGAAAGTTCATAATGTCATGAACTGGAAGCTTGTTGAGGGCAGAGAGAATGTGGAAGTGTCTGGAATTTCACGGTAACTGACAGAGCCCTGGATGTAATCTGTGGACAATGCAATGTTTAAAATGAATGTGTAAACTAGCCCTAATAGTAGATTTGGAAGTTGAAAGACTTGGCCTATGAATAAGCAAAAGACCAAAAAGCCTCTGTTTTTCCTTTTAAAATGTGGAGATAATTAAGACTGCCCATGTTTTTATTTGTTTGACTAGAGCCCAAAAACATAGACTATATATATATAACTAAATATAACTACATAATTATCATTTTGATGTGCATTTGACAATTTTCTTCAAAGTAATTAAAACTTCTTCCACTCATAATGTCTTCAGAATAGGAATAAGAAATTCTTAAGTTGTTCAAAGAAAGCATAAAAATCAAAGTATTGGTATCCCTGGGACATAACCCTTTAAATACCTGGTTGTTAGTTTAACCTAAATCATCAGTAGGTTGGCTTAATTTCATTCCTGATCCCAAAATGCAAAGATATTGGAAATGTACGAGTAACTGTGGAGAAAGACTTATGAGATTTAGTGGCCCAGGTAGGAAACCTACGAATTTCTATATATAAAATAAATTGATTTAAGCATTGCTTCTGAGCTCAATATCCATATATTTAGGTCTTAGCTAACTTCTTAAATTTCTTTATACTCACCTCTTCTCACTGGGGAAATGGAGTAAATTATGCTGATGATGACTTAAAAAGCCAAAAAGCTCTCTGACAATAGCTGCAGGAGTGCGAGGGAAAAAGTAGTCTTTGTTGTCCGATTGAATCCAAAACACTACATTCTTTTAATAGAGATCTAAACACAGAAAGAATGTTGCTCCCAGAAAGCTGACATTGTTTTTGTTCTGTTCTTTAAATGCCTAACTTGATGTTGTCAGGTTAAGACAGAGAGGAGAACTTCAAACAGCAACAGCTACCTGCCTTTTCATCTTTCCTCATAACTTCCTTCTCTCCTGTGCCTCTGTATTCGTTACCTTCTGCACCAGCACACCCTCATATCTCATAAACCTACAGAAAAAAATCAGCAACACAAAGACTAAAGAATACACATCCTCTTTCCAGGCCTTTTATAGGGGGCGCAGGGTGGCGGTGCACAGGACTGCAGTTCTGGAGAAATGTACTATATTTTACTTTTGTCTTCTAGTATTATTTATGTTGCAAACATACATTAAACTCTGACACTTTGACACCTGGAGAAATTGTGAAGAATTCAGATTCCCAGGCTCTACCCATACAGACTTCCACTTCGTGTTTTGAGAGACCATCAGGAATCAGCATGTTAACAAGCATTTCAGGTGAATCTCATGCATTTTCTTTGGAAAAAAAAAACCGGCCATATTTTATTCATTCATTTGGCATTTTCCAGTTTTCAGAATGCTTACACATGCATATTCACTTCTGCGAGGTAGATGAGAATGATTATCCCCATTTTGAGAATATAAAAGAGACTCCAAATTTAGCAATAATTTCCTCAAGTCCTCATTATACACCCCCTCTTGCCTATTTCTCTGGCTACTCCCCTTAGCTGACCTTTGTCTGTGTGGGTGTTTAATAGCAAGGACAGGGAGCCCCCAAAGCCCACTGTACTATCTGTGTCTGCCTTGCTCAAGAATGAGACAAGTCTTCTAGTAGCCAAGGAAGGAAAATAATTTTATCTGTGGAATGTGAATATTTTCCTAATTGATAGAATTACCAGTTGATGTTAAGTAATGCCCCTCACCCCATCCAGATGCACATATGGAAATGCATTCAGCCTTGCTTTTGGACCTGAGGTGTGTGTGTGCGTGTGTCTTTTTCACGTGTCTTGTTCTGTATTGCTAGAATTCCAAGGATATATCCACTGTCTTCATTCAGCCACATTGAACTGCTGCAGGGGATGTGTGCTTCCCAAATGACAGCTGGGATTCTCCCTTTCCTCAGGATGTCTTGCCTATTTAATCCTCCTCCCAGCTGTTTGTCCCATGAGCCTCTATCTGCCAGCCTCTGCTTTGCCCAGCTGGCAGCCTGGAAGGTCCAGGCCCCCGGGCATGGTAGGGTGTTAGACTCCTGCTTGATCTGAACAACGTCACAGATCTCAATCCTTCTTATTGCCCAAGTGAATCTTGGCTAGGCCCATAGGTTTGTGCTCATATCTAGAAAGCTCCTGGGTTCCCTCTGGGTCCCACATCCATTTTCAGTAGCTTCAGGGCCTGCATTTTCCTTGCCTTCTATTAGGATGTTGCCAACATACACCTGTCTGTGCTTGGAAATCATACATTTAATCCTTTCGCACTATCCTAGATGCTTCGTGAAGTGTCTGAAGGAGAGAGATTAGGGATATATGAAGAGAAATTGTAAGTAGAAACCAATAGCCGCTCCCAGACTTTAGCATAAATGGAGGGTGATTAATGCTTCATGCTGCATTTTAACTTGGAGAACTCCTCTGCCCAGTGTCTCCAACATCAGATGTCGTCACATTCACGTCTGGAGACCTGATTGCATTCCACAGCTTGTTGTTGACTGTCCTTGTCCACATCACTCCCTCGCCGCACCTGGAGTCATCCTCTGTGCAGGCTGCTTATTTGGGCTCTCTTTTTAGGGACTGAGCCTGCTTTGCAGCTTTCCAGACAGAACCAAGAAATCTGGGTTCCAAGAAGAAGGGAAACACTTTTTCCTGTTCCAAAATGAGCCATAGGTGGGGCCCACGATAAGGTCCAAGAGGTCATTTTTACTTTCTCCAGTGTTCACTTTCTTCCTAACTAAACAGAGAATTCTACGTGCTCAAGCTTATTGGAGAGAGTGTGGACTGCATTTTCTCAGCTCCCCCATCCCACCTCTTCTTTGCGCACCTAGGGTCCTTTAACTCCCACTGTGGTTGTGTTTCTCTTGTGGGAGGGACCGGACGGAGCAGACCCAAGCTGCAGTTCCCTCGCTCTGCCTCTGAGAATTTCTCATCCAAACCTCAATCACGTAGGATTGCGTAGAGAGGAGAAAAGGGGAGAGACAGAAGACACAGAGAGGAGGGAGAGGGGTGGCGGGAGGGAGGGAGGAAAGAAGGGAGTCTGGAAGCGGAGGGCTCCAGGAAAGGGAACCTGACTAGAGCGCGCTGTGCTTCCCAGCGCTCCAGGGGCCCGGCCCCCAGCTCGGCCCCACCTGGGCGCTCTTTCGCTCTTCCGTGGGTCGGCGGGCCGTGCGGGAGGAACTCTGGCTGCCGCGGGCTCTGCGTCCCACCTGCCATCTCGGTGGCTCTCGCCCGGGCCCCGAGTTTCCTGCGGAGCTAGCACTCCAGCTGAGCCAGCCGGAGGGGCGGCGGCGGCTCCGCGCGCCCAGAGCCTCAGCCCATGAATGGGACTCCACCCTGAGCGCCCCCTCCCGGGCCTGGGGAGGCGGCGGCGCGGCGGCGGGGGGCGCCCCGCAAGCCCGCGGCTCTGAGCGGCCACCCGCGCAGCAAGTTGGGCGAGTTGGCAGCCGCCTGCACCTGCCTCCTGGCCCCGGCCCCTGATTCCGCCTCCGGCCCCAAGCGCCCGGGTTGCGCCCTCGGCTGCCTCGCGAGGTAGCCCCAGGAGGCCTAGGGGCCCCGCCTGCGCCCCTGGCGCCAGACCATGGTGGGCAGCTCCGGCCAGGAGCCTCAGCCGCCGCGAGCCAACATCGCCTGCAGCCAGCCCCCGCCCCACCCGAGCGGACGCGCGGGTATTCGCAGCGCGCGGGTCACTTCCTTCCTCGGCCGGGATGGGCGGCGCGGGACTGAGTGATCGGCCTTGCGTCCGGCGGGTAATCCCCATCTGATCTGCTGCCTGTGAGCTGCTGACTGCCGGGGCGCGCGAGCCTAGGGGGCACGGGCAGCAGCGCGGCGATGACCTGATCCCGAGCCCGCCAGGGCGCCCCTTCCTTCCCTCCCTTCCCTCGCTCCCTCTGAGCCTGTGCGGAGACCAGCTCGGTGCGGCGGCCCCGGGTGGACCATGGCGGGGAGCTCCAGTTAAAGGCGTGTGGGCGCCGAGCTGGAGAGGACACCTTCGGCATCGCTGCCTTTTGAGGGGGCTTATTTAAACTACTGAGTCATTCCAGATTTAGGATTCCCTAAATAATCACCAACTGTGCCCGTCTCGTGCCGGAAAGCAAGCGGAAAGAGAAAGAGCGCCCACTCTTGGGACCCCGCAGATCGCCTCTCGCTGGTTTCTCCCCGAGGGGTGCTTGGCCCTCGAGGATCTCCCTCCCTCCCTCGCGCCCTCCCCCCTCCCTCGCCTCCCGCTCTCTTTGCAGTGCTGCTGGCCGGGAGTTGCTCTCACCGCAGCTGGAAACAGCTGCCCCCGCCCCGCGCCCCTACCCAGACTCCGGGTAACCGCTCCCACTTCGCGCCTCTCGGAATTCCAGAACTCGGGTGGCCGGCCCCTGGAAAGCCGCAGCCGGCGCGATGCATTCTGTAGACCTCACCCTGCTGGGACGGACCTCCTAATCTTCAGAACCGCGGGCCGCAGGGAGTTAAATTGCTGCCTTCCTCTCCTTCTCTCGTGCGGTTGGTGGCTTGTTTTCTAAAGGAACGTTTTATTCACTTTTTAGTATTTTCTACCGGGGGCGCGCTACCCGCCTGGGTCCAGACTCTGCTTTGTAAACGGGTTTTCTATGTATGTATGTGTAGGTATACTTTGGACACCTTACAACGCTTGCGCCTCTCCAACAGAGGCACGTCTTGTTATTTTGGGCATCGTTCTTCCCCTTCCACTTGGTACCCCGAACGCAGTGTGACTAAACTCCCCACTGCCCCTTGGACGCCGATCGCCTTGGGGTGCAAGTTTGGGGTGCAAACGTCTACTTCGCAAGAGGGCCTGGGACCGCCCCGCCCCGCCCCCCGGCCGCCAGAGGTTGGGGAAGTTTACATCTGGATTTTCACACATTTTGTCGCCACTGCCCAGACTTTGACTAACCTTGTGAGCGCCGGGTTTTCGATACTGCAGCCTCCTCAAATTTTAGCACTGCCTCCCCGCGACTGCCCTTTCCCTGGCCGCCCAGGTCCTGCCCTCGCCCCGGCGGAGCGCAAGCCGGAGGGCGCAGTAGAGGCTGGGGCCTGAGGCCCTCGCTGAGCAGCTATGGCTGCGGCGATAGCCAGCTCCTTGATCCGGCAGAAGCGGCAGGCGAGGGAGTCCAACAGCGACCGAGTGTCGGCCTCCAAGCGCCGCTCCAGCCCCAGCAAAGACGGGCGCTCCCTGTGCGAGAGGCACGTCCTCGGGGTGTTCAGCAAAGTGCGCTTCTGCAGCGGCCGCAAGAGGCCGGTGAGGCGGAGACCAGGTCAGTAGAAGCCCGGAGAGTGGGCTCCCCAGAGGGGACGCCCTCTTTCTCCCTCCTCAAAGCACCTCGGGACCCCCGTGGAAGGGAACCAGGATTCCTCTTTTACATTCTGACCCCTCTTCTCTCATTTCCAGACTTCTTTCAACCACTCTGTCAGTTAATAGCTTCTTGCCCCATATTCAGCAAAAACACTCTACTTTGATCAGTCCGGGGTTTGACCAGGAGAAGAATTACATGTATAGATGCACTTATTCCAAAAGAGCCTGTAGAGTCCTTGAGGGGAGTGACCACTTCATTCATTAATTCATTCATTCATCTCTTCTCTCTCTCTCCCGCTCTCCCATCCATCCATCCATGCATCTATCCGTCCATGCATCCATCCGTCTGTAGAGTACAGTACTTACGCTGCCCACTGAGGACCTAAAGATTAATACAGCCCTTCCCTTATCCCTCATAATCCATGATAGACACCTAGTAGACACCAGATGAACTTAAATTTATTATTTTTCCAACTCTTCCTCCAGCAACACTTGGCATTGCATCTTTCAGACGCCCTTGTCAATTTCTCACCTCTTCATTTTTCCCTCATGCTCTTTCACTTCCTTTACACAGTCTTCATTTTCCTATTATTTTCTTCCAACCCCTCTCATTGTTTCCAAGGACTCTGCTCATTAACGTTTCTGTCCTATTACCATACTTAGCACACTCACACTTTTGAGACATTGAGGGAACAAGACAGTATACACAGTTTGGCCTCAAGGAGTGTAAAGAAAACTTCAGCTTGATCAGAGATTTTCATGGCGTGGGCTTTCTGAAGCTAATTCTCTTCTGCAGCCCCGACCGCAGATGATTGCTTTTGGATGTGTCTCTACTTGCAAAGGGAAATTGGATACCCAAAGTTTTGACATGATGATTTCCAGGTCAAGCCAGGCCAGTGTACCCAGCTTGAGAGAATGGAAGCAGAATTGCGGAGAGATCTGTGCTTCCATCAGACTGTTGGTTTTCTGGGTTGTGGCTGCAGAGCCATTTGCATTCTGCAGATACTCTACCCCTATTGTGGACAACTGGAAGGAAATACTGTCTGGAAAGGGAGCCTGCCCTGTAATCTGTTGGCTAGTTTGTCTCTTTGCAACTCTGACTGTGGCGTGCTGTTGGTTTCCAGCAATGAAGTACATGGTTGGGTCCATTGGATGAAGGGCGACACTTGGGAAGTCTGGACAAGTCGGGCTCAGAATTAGCTCAGAAATTTGGGGTTAAGCCTTGTGAAGAAGCGACCCTGTTTCATTTTCCGTTGGGTTTTCATGACATTGTCCACTCCATACTAGGCTCATTTTCTTATTTTGTGATGATGATAAAGTGGTAAATTTCAGGAGTATACAAAAATAATTATGATCCCAAGACAGGAGCTATTAGTCTCTATTATTTTATGTCCAATTAGTATAGCATGTTCATTTTATAAAGTGAAGATTTATGCAATAGTTTGAATTACCTCTACAAAGTAACTCACCTAGTGGAAAATAAAATAACCTGTTCTGTTGTGGAGGGATAATTTGGAGGCCTTCTTTTCTTAGGGCTTATGTGGTCTACAGAGGACTTCAAGGTTCTGAACTCAATGTGACTTTTATATCTCAATCTCTGAAGTACGTGCTTGCACTCTAGTTGGGAAAATTATATGACGTTTTTGAGTTGATCCTAGTCAGCCTCTTCTAAAAAACAAGATAATAAGAATGATAGGTGGATATATGTGAACGGGTAACATAAACTGATCCTGATCTCTGGAGTTGACTTGGAGATGATCAATGGGTTACTTTTGCATGGCTTCATTTTGCATGGGAAGGAAGGACTGTATTTGCTGCTTCCTGTGGGCTCTTCCTTAGCATCTCATTAGAAAACAGAGATTTGAGGCAGTTTCTGAGTTTATTGTTTTCTTCAGTGTTCGTTTAATTTGCCTCCCTTTTTGTTCTACACAGTGTTCATCTTATCAGAGAGGATCCTGACTGGTGACTTCCTTTAGCTAAAGTGTCAAAATAACAATCTGGCAGAGAGATGGCAGGACCTATTAAGACATTCCCAGTGCAAGGGCAACCTGCGTGTATTTGTATACCATTTCAGTTTGTTCTGAAGCTTAGCTTAGAAGAATGGGCATGTGGTGTGTGTAAAAACATTTTGGGAAGATGATAGTGTGCTATTATCTTCACTAACAAAGCCAAATAATTAATCTGTTGATTTGCTGTCAGCAGCCATGATTCACATAGCATGGAATAAGTCTATTTATAGAGAGATAGCACCTTCCACATATCAGTTCCAGAGAAGAATCTTTAGTTGGATTGGGAGGAAGTTGCTAAACACCAAAAAGAAAAACTATTCGAATCTGTTTTATAATCACTTTGATGTTGTATTCACTTAATATTTGACTGATTCTTGAAACCACTAGCCTTCCTAAGCCATATCATTGTGAACTAACAAAGTAACTCACAAATGGTAAAGTGGTGAAGTGGAATAATTTGTCCTGATAAAGAATTTCCACTCTGAATTTCTGTCACTGAGACACATGTTCCATTGACCAGACTTTCTAGGGGAGTGAGGCTTAGGAAGTGAATCTAAGGCAAGTGTTTGATGGGAAAGGCCACGGTTGTATTTCTGATTTCAGGGCTGACACATTGAGTATCTCTCCTTCTCTTTTTTCTTAGCTAACCAAGTTCTGATATGTGTAGTATTGAAGCTGTATAAATACAGTGGGGATCCTGAAATTATCATGGCAAAGGGCTCAGATTTAAAATGACAGTAACACAGAATGAAAACATGGGAAATGACTAGGTATGGCCTCACATCACACAGTTTCAGGGCCAGGGTGCACATTGGATCCTTTTTGTGCAGCAAAATCTCTGTCTTTGTAGATGAGAAATCCTGGAGCCATTGCAAGTTTGTAATTTATCTAAGGTTACACAACTAGGTTTTGTCAAAATTGAGACTAGAACTAGATTCAGTTGACTTTTTTTCCTACCTTCCTTGCAACACAGCAGAAAGTAACATCAACTAGTGTAAATAACTGGATGTCTTCTGTCAAAGTTTTAACCATTGGTATTATTATTATCATTGTGATCGTTATTTTATAATTAGAACAGAGATAGGGTAGAGTAGAAGAGGTAACTTGTAGAAGAAGGCATAGGCTAAGGAGGCCATTGGACTTCAGCAATGACCACCGTATAGCATTATTGAAGACCTATAGGCAGCTAGGGTTAATGGGCCCCTTAGACACTGTGTGGACTGTAGATCTTTGAAAATGAAATATTGGAGACCCTGAACTGGAAAGTTGGATGAGGTCATTGAACCATGAAAAAGCCTTTAGAACATTTCTGTTTGTGCACTTTCTAATGAGAAAAGAGTGTACTTATAGTCATTATTTGAGTCATTATTTATGTGTGAAAAGGCTGTATTAGTCAGGCACACTAGAATATTTGCCTAAATGTTGATGCCACTTAATTTGTTGTATCTAGACTATTAGTACATCCGTATGAATTACACGCTTATTCATGTCCAACCTTTAGCTTTATTTTGAGTAGAAACAATAGTACAAATGATTGACTACAAAATGATGTATGTTTTGACTCGGAAGTTATTACAGACAAAGGGTAACACTCATAATCAAGGAGGGAAAGGTGTTTGTAGAATCTCTGAATGTCTGAGTGGCCACGAACCTTGGAGGTCATCAATATTACTCTTTCATTTTTCAAATGAGACCCTCTCTGGAAAGAGCAAAGCAATTGATTAAGCCTAAATCTAGGTATTTTAAGTGATGTGGGTGTTTTTATTATATTTCTATATAACTTAGTTTCTTACCTCAAACCAGAACATGAAAAGAATAATCAATCAGGAAAAATCTATCTTAAAACCTAAAGATCTTCAGAATTTTTTTACAATTTAAAGATTTGATTTCATACGCCGATCCCTTTAAAAAGTAATGGAGTAGAATTACACTACATGGTAAAATAAATCAAAGTAGTAATTGTAATTTACCCGATTTTGTTGATTTTCATTTACCTTATCTTTCTGAGTCCCTGTTTCTGCTGTTATAAAAATTATGGTTATTCAAAATATTTCAGTATTCTTTTACATTGTTTCGGTAGATGCACAGTGTTTAACAGTATACTCATTCAACATTTTTATTATAAAACGTATCCTTTTGCATAGAGGAAGAAAATATCGTAGGAAATAGAAACTTCAAGAAGAAAGTTGACAGTAAAGGTGAAATAATGTTTAATCATGTGATTTATGGAATATGAGTTAGATTTTTATAAATTGAAATAGTTTTGGCCAATATATGGGTCAAGAATAGATTTATATGACAGGTGATATTTTACATTTATAGGAAGTACTTTGATTACATTTTCTCTTTTGAAAGTATGACTCATATCTGAACTACAAAGTCAGCCTAATTAAATGATATTTGGCTTGATTTTTGTTAAAAAAAAAAAAACAGTAAGACCCCTAACTTTTCAGAAACCCACCTTAGGGTTTAAACTGATATTTTGAACATGTTTTTAAAATTCGGTTCTCTCTACAGCAGTGCATTCTCAACAACAAATTATGTTTCCATTGTAGGAACATTTTAAAATAGCAGTTATTGTGATCTCTTGATTTCTTTCATCCCACAGAGATCTCATCAAGACGTAACTCGAGATTAAGTCTTTAAAGTTTTAATGAATTTGTTTTTCTTGAACAGAAGTAGAAAAACAATTTATAGGAAGTGAGGCAGTCTCTGCATTTGAGGAAGCAATAGGAATATTTTGGAAGATCTTTAGAAATGTAAGCTTTGTCTCATAAAATTGTATTTTAAAAAGTCCTGGGCTTACTCATATGGAAACTCATTGCTTTTATTCTTGGTGAGAGAATAAATTTGCTCTGGAAATTTTGTAGATTTGCTTTGGAAATATGTTAATAGTGATCAATTTTTTCTTGTCTCTTCTTTGAATGCATGATCATCATGTATATTTGCTTTTGATGTATAGAATTATTATAGATTGTATGATGATTCCACAAAACAGCCTTGTTAGACATAGAGGACACGCTTGATATGCTATATTTTCAATTTTATCTTCTGGCTTACTCATGGAATTACAGAACTTTTCCTATTTTCTAAAGAAAGGTGCACCACATCTAAAGGGCTGTGATTCCAAGACTACCTCCTAAGCATCTGTGAGTGGGAGAAGGCTTAGATGCAAAATGCCTATAAATTAATCATCTATAATAATAAATTTTAATAATAATAACTTGACTTCAGGATTTATAGAATTTCTTTATAATTTTTGCTTCTTTTACTTTTTATAGCAGTCTGCTGAGATAGCCCCATCTTAGAAAAAAGAAAACTAAGCCTCAAGTGGCAATGAGACTTGTTCAGATTCATGGAATCAGAAGATGAGTAAGTGTCACATGGCTCCCAGTTCCACACTGCAGATAATCTGCTTTTATCTCCCACCACACTGAGGGTTAGGAAGCTGGGAAACTATTGTTGGAGGGAATCTGATGAAAAGTTCAAGAAATGTGGAACGTGATTACATGGTTTGTTTTGCTGTGTGTGTGGTCTAGAGTCCCCAGAGTGGAGGAGAGAAGTGGAAAGCTGATGGAGATCTTCAGGGCAGGACTGAAGAAGCAGTCCCATGGCTATGTTGTTATGTGCTGGGCTTAGGCTCCTGGCTCGGATGTTCCTGCCTGAATGCCGGGAGCCTTGATGATATGAAGGGGTGCCACATGGGATACCTAAGGACCCACTGGGAGACTTGGGCCCAGAGGGCCAGACTCTCTTAACCATAAACATAAATGATTGCTTCAGATGTTTTGGATAGTAAAGAGGTTAACACCAAGTTAAAGAGAGCTCTGTAAGATTTAATCTTTTTGTTTGTTTGTTTAACTTAAGTGATAGCATAGCAGAATGATTAAGTACCTGGACTTCGGAGTGGGATGTGAATTCAAATTATGGTCTTATTATTTGTAAGAACATTAGGCAAGTTTCTTAATATCTTTGCACCTCAGTTTGCTGATTTGTAAAATGAAGATATTACCTCTAGCTTTTGGTCAAGAAATGCTTCTTTGAGGAAAAATCATTTAAGCTGAGCTCCAAAAGATGAAACAGGCAGACAGGAATGGAAGAACCTTCAAGGCAGAAGAGAACAACTTGCATGAAGATTGATGTGAGAGGGAGCTCGGTGCTTCTGAAGAAATTGAAGTATAGCTGAAGCAATAAGAACAAGGGGAGAGGGGTACAGATGATGTTGGAAAGTTTGGCAAGAACCGCAGGGCCTTGAGAAGCCTAAGATGAATTTTGTATTTTAATCTAGGGTCCAAAGAAAGATCAGCAGTATGGGGTGATATCATGCGACTTGTATTTTTAATTGGGCACTTTGCCTTTGGAGAAGAGAATGGATAGCAATGGAAGCAGAGTAGAAGCAAGGGAACAGTAAGGAGGCTAGGGCATCAGTCTGGACCAGCAGTTCTCAAAGTACCATACAGTACAGAGGCCCTAGAAGCTTCCTGAAAATCTTTTAGTGGATCCAGAAGGTCAAAACGATTTTCATAAAAAATATTTCCTAATACCACTAGTTATTTGCCATTTTCACTCATTCTGTCACAAGTGTCCAGTGGAATTTTCCAGAGACTGTGTGATATATCCACAATCATCTGTAAAAGGTACTAAAAATTTCCTCCCTTTTCAACCACGTTTCTTTGTGAGGCCAGGTTATCCTCATGTACTTCATCCACAATAAGATATCAAAAGAGATTGAATGCAGAAGCAGACTTGAGAACAAGCTGACTTCTATTAAGCTAGACATTAAAAAGATTTACAAACCAGTCTTTTCATTAATTCCTTTTTGTTTGTTTTGGAAAATAAAGATAAGTTTTATTAAATCATGCTATTTATGTTAACACAGTGGGGCTTATTATTGTTTTAATAAACAAATAATTATTTGAAAAATTTCATTGTAACTTCTAAATACAGTAAATATTGAGAGATATAAACTACATAAGCACAAAGCTCTTCGGGGTACTCAATACTTTCTAGGAGTGTAAAGGATCCTGAAAACAAAAAGTTTGAGAACCACTGGTCTAGGCTATAGATGATGTTGAAATGAAGTTGATGGCCATGGATATAAAAAGAGTGGGTAAAGGTAGAATGAGCAGAACTTCATAAGAGGTAGACTATGAGTGGAGAGTCGAAGGTGCCTGGATAATCCCTGGCTGAACTATTCCATAGTGAATTGCATGTTTGTGGAGATGGAGGAATGCTGGTGAAGGAGCAGGGTTGATAGAGGTCAAATAATGTAATTACCCAACTACAAAACACTATAGAATGTGAAGGTGGGGACGGGGTGCGGTGGTTCACACCCATAATCCCAGCATTTTGGAAGGCTGAGGCAGGTGGATCACAACGTCAGGAGTTCGAGACCAGCCTGGCCAACATGGTGAAACCCCATCTCTATTAAAAATACAAAAATTAGCTCAGTGTGGTGGTGGGTGCCTGTAATCCCAGCTACTTAGGAGGCTGAGGCAGGAGAATCATTTGAACCCGGGAGGCGGAAGTTGCAATGAGCCAAGGTCGTGTCATTGCACTCCAGCCCGGGCCACATGGCGAGACTCAGTCTCAAAAAAAAAAAAAAAAAGAAAAGAATGTGAAGGTGGAAGATTGGGTTTTATTTATTGTTTAATGGTTTTACAATACCCATATATATAAGGCTGTTTACTTTATTCTTGAACTCTCAAGAAACACTCATTGGCCTTCGAATCGTCAAGTGATTTTACAAACACAAATTTTATAAAGTTCTATTTTTCTGCCTATTGTTAGTTATTTGATTCGTTTGTAGTATTTATAGGCCTCCCAGACTCCATGCTTGTAACCACACTTATGTTAATGCCTCATAATTGAAACTTGGACTGATGGTTTTGCATTTGAAGATTCACCAACCATGGATGGAAATATTCAAGAAGAAAACCATAGTACAACCATGCTATGCAAATACTATGCCATTTTATGTAAAGGACTTGAGGATCCTCCGGTTGGGTATCCTGAGGGTGGCGGTCTTGTAACCACCACTCCTCACCCTGAACATAGGGAGGGATGACTGTACTCTATAGAGTCTTTTCTTCGTTACTTTTCAGGAGTCAGTAGAGAGGGCCCTAAGGCCTAAGACCAAACTTGGTTCCCTAGAAGTAAAGAATGACATGGGTCAAATAGGATCTGTATGCTGAATCACAAAATGTTAGCACTTAGAGCTTATATAAGCCACTGGTTCTCAGCCCTAGCTGCAAAATGAAATCACCTGAGAGTTTTTAAACGTACTAATGCCAAACACCTAGAAAGTCTATGCTAATATGCATCATATATTGAGAGTCCCCAACCTGTTCCAATTCCTTTATTTCATAAATTGTGGCCCTTAAACAAAATTAATGATTTTGTTAATGTCTTTAGGAACACATCCATTATGCCTAGAAATTTTATACACTAATATAATTTATAATGATGATCTCTTCTGTCTCAGCCCATTCTGGTTGTTATGATAAAATACCATGCACAGGTGGCTTAAACAACAGAAATGTATTTTTCACAGTTCGAGAGGCTGGCATTCCCAAGATCAAGGTGCCGGAAGATTCGGTGTCTGTGAGGGCCTGCTTCCTAAGTCATAGATGGCAGTCTTTGCTGCTTTTTCAAATGGCAGAAGGGGCAAGGGAGCTCCCTGGGGTCTCTTTTGTAAGACCACTAATCCCATTCATGAGGAGAGAGGCTTCATGACCTAATCACTTCTCAAAGTCTTCCACTTCCTAACATCATCTTGGAGGTTAGGATTTCAACATTGGGCAGGGGGAGGGACACATAAACGTTCTGTCCAAGGCACCACTTTTTTTTTTTTTGCTTATATTTGAATCTTTCCTGTGTTTAA
Organism: Homo sapiens; assembly: GCF_000001405.40. Classification (NCBI taxonomy): domain Eukaryota; kingdom Metazoa; phylum Chordata; class Mammalia; order Primates; family Hominidae; genus Homo; species Homo sapiens. Next base: position 192,399,094 of record NC_000003.12, on the reverse strand, counting down.
TGATATCCCAAAACTGAGCTGCATCATCATATGGAATGCTTGCATGCCTCGTCTTCTTGATGAAAACTTCAGTTCCTAAGCACAGGACCTGGTCAGCACTAGATTTCTCAGAACTTAGTATACTGCCTGTGTCACTGCAGTTCTTCAGTTGCTGTTAAATCAATGAGGAAATGACATCCTGACTCACTGAGCAAGCCTCAGAGGAAGAAGGATTCTGAAGGTAGCATCTCTCCTTCCCACCTAAGGATGCTGAGGTCCTGCAAAGCCTGGGGCTTCTCAGTTTCACAGGACTGGTTAGATTCTGGATTTAGACTCAGGTTTGTTTTTCCTAATCTACTTTTCTTTCTACTCTGCCAGTCCTGGAAATGGACCTCAGTTTCTGTCTTTGAAAAACAAGGGAGCTATATATAAGAATATATAAGAGCTGGCTCACACCTGTAATTCCAGCACTTTGGGAAGCTGAGGCGGGCAGATCACTTGAGGTTAGGAGTTCGAGACCAGTCTGGTCAACATGGTGAAACCCTGTCTTTACTAAAATACAAAATTAGTCGGGCGTGGTGGTGCATGCCTGTAATCCCAGCTACTTGGGAGGCTGGGGCAGGAAAATCACCTACCTGGGAGGTGTAGGTTGCAGTGTGCCAAGATCACACCACTGCACTCCAGTCTGGGTGACAAAGCAAGACTCTGTCTCAGAAAAAAAAAAAAAAAGAAAAAAGAAAATATAAGGGCCTCTTTAGCCTGAAAAGCTATTAACTGTAGCTCCCCTCACCCCAGGAAAAACATTTGTGACTGGGAACATGAAACACAGATCTTTTCCCTGCTTCTTACTTGAAGGACAAAACTATTTTCTTAGTGTGCTGTTTTGGATGTTCCTAACTGCATCCCATGGTTTAATTACTTGCAAGGCACTAATAAAGAAATCTGTCTAAAATGTCAGTCTTTCTCTTGACACCAATTTAGGCTTATTTTGTCTCTTCAAGGATTAGAAATTAAATCAGTGTGCTGTGTGCAGTGTTTTAGATTTTTTTTTAAAGGGGGTTTGAAGGGAAGAGTGAAATTCATGAAAGAAGAACTATAAACCCGGATAAGTTGTATAAGTTATTATAAAGATAAAATAGACTAAAAAGTTCATAAAGAGTTTTTTTTTAAATTGCACTGGTGATTTAAATGTTGTATATTAATTTGGGAACTCAAAAGATGACCCAGATCACCTTCACAGTGTCCTAGAATCAGATAATGCATTAAAAATCATTAAGAAACAGGGGCAGAATTTAAATAAGTGCCCAAAGTAGGGATCTATATTCAAATTTTCTGGTTAGAATAGGTGTCAGGTTCTGTTTTCAGCCAAATAGCTCTAGCTGTCTACACAATATACCTTCTACATACAATATTACATTTGAGAAAGGAAAGTCACCCAGAGTCACCCACAGAGGCCGCAACAGAAAAGGTTCATTCATATCTGAGTAATTAATAGAAAATGATGGAACATATAGAGGATCTCAAATTCTATGGAAACCCAAGTTTCTCACTGAGGAGCGAGTCATGTATGTGTTGCTGTCATGCTTTGTTGCTTCAAAGGATATTGCAGTGGGTTTTTGCAACTCGACTCTAGCTAGGAGAAGAAGAGATGGCATATGAGGTGATAGTTCAGAAGCTCAGAATTCTAGGAAAGGAAGTCACAATGATAGAAACCCAGACATCCTCTGTAGTCTTCTTATAGGATATTTCTCTGAGAAACTGGAGATCTATTTTCTTTTCGGGAAAGTAGAGAGGATTCCTCATTGCCTCCTTGCCTCACCTGTCTTTCCCTGACAATCCCTGGGCCATTATCCTCTGCAGCTTTGCTCAGGAAAGGAGTTGGCAGCATTGTGGCCAGGCCGCCTCCACATTCTGCAGCTCTGGTTTCCCAGGCATTCTATCTACTCCTCCCTCTCCACCTACAGGTCATGAGAAAAGCAGGACCAAGAAGGAAACTTGCTTTGAAATTATGCTTTTCCTGGTATTGCCACAAAACTCCCTTCTTTGAAATGTTCCCGAGTGCATTTTCTGGGTTACCACATGGCTTTATGATTTAGAGTTCCATTCATTATAATTTTGCTAATGGAACTACCATCTTGGTTGGGAGCCTGCCCCTTCAGGGTAAGTTTTGATCTGGTGAAGATGGAGGTTCCTTGGTCCTGACTCTTGTTATTTTCACTGAAACTGCTGGCCTGCCTGTTGTCTTTTTCATGCTCAGCAATTACATTCAGTCTGAAGCTGGTTTTCTTTGTGATTATGCAGACACCTGTTAGGGCTGAAGAGCAGCAAGCTTTATGCAGCTGGGTTCATTATTTGAATTCAAAGTCTGGTTGAACTGGCACCTTGATTAAGACTTTCGTCCCAGGCCATTATATATCTTGCACTTGGGGTTGACTAACTGTGACATTAGCCTTGAGATGTCCACCTGGTAAGGTATATATGAAAAGTGTTGGTGGGTTTGAATTGGAAAACAGAGCTCATTACAATACACCTGCCCACCTCATGGAAGAAAGAAATAAGACTCATAGTGGGTGTTAGGTCATACAACTATGAAAGGCAGAGCAAGGACTGAAATTTGCGATAAGCCTATGCCTTACTGCTACACCACAGCTGCCTCCTTTTAGGGCCCATTGCCCAATGCTGGTAGCAAGAGCTATCTGCCTGTTCTGTGTCTGGAGCAATATAAATGTTGGGTAGATGCGTTTAAATATCTACAGTCAAGTTATATTGCTAGACACCCATTGAGTATTTGTATATCATGTGCTTGGGAATGGAATATAGAAATACTGAGAAAATCCTTGCCTTCTTTTGTGTAAGGCAGTATATAATTAAGATTTATTAACTCTTGCTGGATTTGTGTTACTGTGTTCCAAGTTATAGTTTTGCTGTATTATTTTGGACTGTTTCTCCTTTAATGTCTATATTTCAAGAAAAACAGTAATTTCTTAATTTAAAAAACTTAGCCACAATCTGTCTTTTAAAAATACACGTGTGGGCTCAATACGTGGTTAAGAGCAGACAGTTTATTATTGTATCATCAATATGAATAGGCTCCACAATCAAGGTTCTTTCTCCACCCTTCCCCACATACTACTCTAGCCGACCCAAACCTTCTTGACATTCATAGAACATTTACTGCATCTATCCATTTCAGTTCTTTTAGTTTATAGATGTTTTTATTTCTCCACGAGGGATGCCATTAACCTCCACACCTATCCTTCACTTACCCAGAGACAACCCTTCATTTATCCACTCTGCTGCAGTCCTGCCCATTATTCAAAGCCCAGCTCAACTCCCATCTCTTCTGCCAGATCTTCTCAGATCCTTCCAGGTAGAATGAATCACTGCCTGCCCCAGGCTTTATACCCTGCACTGTTGTCTGCGGTTAGTCTGTCTTGTCTTATAATTACTCTATAAGTACCTGTTTGTCTCTGCCGCTGGAGAGTGAGTTCCTGGAGGGCAAGCGCCCTGTCATTTCAATGCTTTCTACATACTAGGTGATCAGAAATAATTCATCAAAACGAAATTAATTCCATTGGTGACTAATGTGCTTATGGCATCAGTATAGTCAGGCTCTGAGGGAATTTCTGCATATATATGAAAATGTTGGGAAAGAAAATAAATCAGTATTTTTGGCTAATACAAATATCTCTTCATTTGATATTAAATTCCAAAAATATTGTTACTCCAGTTTAATTTGATATGTAGTTGTTTGATAAATACTTAGAACTTCATGTCTTTACTTATTCCCCAACCCAACTCCTAATGGCCATCCCTTCTTATACTTAGTATTTACTTTGCCTAACACCTTCAAACTTTACCTCTTTCTTATCAGAGCACCCACTGATGCAGGGGGCAGTTTCTATGGGAATGCTGAAAGAAGGAGCATCTTTATATTCATTTATGTCTTTGCCCCAGAAACCTAGAGGGAGTGGGTGGTGCAGCCAATATGGAAAAGGGCCCATTTCTATTTTGACTGGTTTAGGTTTCTTAACGTTAGGTTAATGAGGAATAACCTTTGCCATTGATTTCAGATTTAGTCATGTCTGGTCCTTATATTTACAGCTGAGACCAACAAGTCATCTTAGTGTTAAATACCCTTGAGGGAACATATTCACTCTGGGTTCACTTTCTCTGGTGAAGCGCTAAGTGATGGGGAAATACAGTATCGATTGGGTTTAATGGAAAAGGTTCTTTCTGTCAACTCTTGATTACCTCATTTGTTTTTCTTCTTTTCTCTTACTTTTAAAGTTATTGATAGCAGCATTAAATAAGTCTTCTGTGTATGCTACAGTTCTCTGTATTTATTCTTTTGCTTGGTTTGAAACCCAACCTTTTTAAAAGGAAGATATAAATAAAAGAGGTTTTTGATTCAGTCTAAGGTAAAATGATGTGATAGAAAAAATACTGGACTAGGAGTCAGAGTCCTGGTGACCTTGGGGAAGTCATTTTTCTTCTCTTCAGCTTAGTTTCCTTATTTTCAGCATGAAAGGGTTACTATCAATGATTTCCGAAATTCCTTTCAGCTTTATTATTCTTGATGTATATTTATGGTGCTAATACTCATGGAGGACAGGTGTATGTATTCCAAGATATCTGTATGTCAGATATAAGAAAATGGCTTAATGATATGTTTGATATGAAGTTCTAGAAGGTTTGACATGTATATTAAATGGAATATCACAAATTTAACAAATATATTTTTATTAGCTTCTCTGTTGTATATTCTTTATTTGTTCTTAGATTCATTCAACTGGACACAAATTGACTGTATTTCTAAATTTTCCTTGTTTCTAGCATTTTGACAGGCCTTCAAGGTAGACCATTACATAAGTTTGGACCTCAGCCCCGGAAGAACTTAATAATATAGTGGAACTAGTATTTGTTTTAATAGAAAATACGTTTATTTACTAGTGTAGTCTCGAAGATAATAAAACAATTTTTAAAAAACAGACAGGAAAGGAACCACATGATTTTGAGTGAAAGCTGGAGACTTATTTCTGGGTAGGTTAATGTGTAATGTCATACTGCAGGACAGTTTTAAGCAATAGAAATGTAGTAAAGTATAGGATGCCATAGGAACTGATTGGAATGGATGTGGAGAGGCAAGTCATGCCTTAATTATCAAGTTTTTAGATTTCCCAGACTTGGGATATACCTTTTAGATATGTTTTCCACCAGGACTTCATCAATTATGAAATTTTTTTTTAAAACAATGTTTACTAAATATCAGCCTTGACATTCTCTTAGAATCATCACGTTTAATATTATGGACAGTTTGTGAAATTAATTTATGCTCATTAGTGATAATAGTAGAAGACTTGGTAAGGAAGGATATGATTAAAATATATCCTAAAATGATATCTTAAGAGTTTCTGTGAATTTTATTCATGTATATTATCCACATTATCTATTTCCATAGGTGTGATTGGTATTTGACCTTTTTCTTTTTTTTCCCATTTTCTTTATCTGTGCAGTATGATTACAGTATACACAGGAAAATTCAGTTTTATCTTTTGTGCCATTGGTCATGTTACTTCACCAAAAATAAGCTTGGCCTACTCCCTGAATTTGAAGTATAATACAAAATCAGTTTTAACCATGAGAAGGGCTTTTTCTTTTTGAGGAAAATGTCATAACAGTCAGTTAGAGGCCACCTCATGGTGTGTGTCAAACATGAGGAAACTTTTACAAAAACAATTTGGAGGGCTCCTATAGGATTATTTCTCCCTATTTACAAGTGAGTTGAGAGTCAATGTAGGATTCTACTGAATCACTGGCTAGTTTACTGTTTGATTAGAACAGGGTGCTAATAAAGTCATTTCTTGAGGTTAGTCCCTTACGTAGAACACGGTAAAGAACAAAGCCTAGCATATTGCTTGACACGTAGATGTCACATAAAATATATTTGTTGGATGAGTCACCTTACCAATGACATAGGCCTAACAAAACAAGGTGAATGCAAATTATTACTCCTGGTGGAGAGGGAGAGTGAAAGACCTCAGCAATGTTCTATGAATACTCATAAATAGAGCCATCTTCACATACACTATGAACCTTCGGGAAATTTGAGTTTGTTGGGTGAAAGTTTTTGATTCTGCTCTATCCTGCATATAGGTAGAATTAAAAAGCAAACCTATACCCCATTAACATTGTAATCACAGAGTCTTCATATTGTAGAAAACTTTAAAGGTCATTTACCTTCATATTTGAACCCACTGACTCCAACACCACTGTACATTCATTTACATCTTCAATTATTTGACAGACATCCATTGTCTACTTATAATCTGTCTAGAACTGAAGTATGGGTCAATAGAGAAAAAAACAAAGGCCTTTATCTTAAAAAGGTCGTGGGTTAGAGGAGATACAGAACACCAAAAATTACATGTGTAGTTCATCTTCCTTTCTTCCTTTCTTCCCTCCCTCCCTCCCTCCCTTCCTCTCTCTCTCTCTCTCTCTCTCTCTCTCTCTCTCTCTCTCTCGGAGTTTCACTTTTGTTGCCCAGGCTGGAGTGCAATGGCGCAATCTTGGTTCACTGCAACCTCCACCTCCTGAGTTCAAACGATTCTCCTGCCTCAGCCTCCCCAGTAGCTGGGATTACAGGCATGCGCCACCATGCCCAGCTTTATTTATTTATTTATTTATTTATTTATTTATTTTTTATTTTTAGTAGAGACGGGGTTTCTCCATGTTGGTCAGGCTGGTCTCGAACTCCCGACCTCAGGGATCAGCCCACCTTGGCCTCCCAAAGTGCTGGGATTACAGGCGTGAGCCACTGCTCACAGCCTTAGTTCAGCTTTCTACTTGAATCTTATGATCTTCAGTGGATGACATATGTTGTCAACTCTGATTATAAAATGATGTTTCCCCAATATTAATTCAAAGTCTGTCTTTTGGAAGCTTCTTAATTCAAGTCTTCTGAGAAACAAAAATAGAAACATAGGAAAAAATCTGTAATCCCTTCTCTCTATAATAGTTCCTCAGATCAGCACTTCTCAAACTTGTGAAATGCAGATTCTGATTCAGCAAGTCGGGAGTGGCTTTGGAATTCTCTCCCAGGTGATACCATTGCTGCTGGCCTGGTGACCACACATTGAGTAGCAAGGCTTTAGTAAACATAAATCTTTGCTTATGCAATACAGCCTCTCTCCCACTCCTCAATCTGTGTCTTACCGTCTCCAATCTAAGTCTCACTTAGTTTCTTAGTTCTTCCTGATACAAGGTGGCTTTAAGCTCATCTATAGAAGTAATATTGAAAAACTGACATGTCAGAGAAACATGGTCAGGTATTGAATTTTTCTAATCCTCACTTTTCTTATCTGAAAATCAGGACACCAAACTTACCTATCCTAAATATGGAAAGAATTTATTTGAGATGAAGGATTTACAGCACCTATTATGAAACTGTATTTCATATAGGAGATTTGTTCACCTCCAGTTTATCAATATCATTGTAGAGGGTGTTGCTTGGAATCAAATATAATAATCCAGATTTGGTCTGATAAACCCAGAGTAAAATACCTTCAGTCCAGATTAGAATTTCTGTGAGGCCTTTACGAGATCACTTTATCCCTCTGCACAGTAATATTTGGTTAATAATCCTTGCAACTGCTGTTTATAATGTGCTTTGAGAAAAGAACTTCATAATTTCACAGTAGGGATTTTATTATTTTTTAACGTTAACCAAACTCTTAGGATTTTCATAAGAGATTTTTGCTTGCATTCTAAATTAAATCACCAGTTGGTCTAGACGTCATCTGAACTGATTCAGGCACTTTTGCAGGTAGATTTCACAGCATGTAAACTATATGCTCAAAGGCATTCCTGTGTTTAATTTTAAGAGTTCTGAGCATATTGTTGTCCACAATTTCACTGTTACAGTCTGAAAACTATCATAATGAAGAGATATACATTTTGCTAATCCCCAAGCGGTGCATCTTTTTGTCCTCCTTCGGCTCATGCTTTTCTCTTTGCTCGGCTATGGTTTCTCCTTGGATAAACTCATTTTTATTGACTTCACTTGTCTCCTCTATATTTTTGAGCCACAGATTAACATCTGAGCTCCTCATCCAAATTTTCAACTACGTGCTAGATACCTCCTGGTAGTTGTTCCACTGGGAACGCAAATGCAATTTGCCTTAATTTGAATGTATTATCTTCCTCCAGAACCCAATCTGCTTTGTGTCTTGAGTTTCCCCTTTAGTCAACAGCACTACTAATGATACCTAGTAGACACTTAGCAAATATTGGTAGTTTTCTGATACTGACCATCTTGTTTGCCACGTTGGGGACCCCACTTATCTTTGACTCATCTCTTCATATCAGTCACACGCCTCGTTGACTGTATCTCTGTAACGTTTTACTCTATTGTTTATTCATCAGGTACTAACTGAGGACTTTCTGGGAACTATAAGGGACAGTAAGATGAATTAGCATGGTCATGGTCATCACATAGCTATCAGCTTCTGTTTCATATAACCTTTTCTTCATCCCTTCTGCCATAATTAAGGGGCTTGTTGTTCCAACCTGAAATGTTGTAGAATCTCCTACCTGGTGTTTCAACCTCCCTTTTCTTGAATCCCTGATTATTCTTCACACATAATTTTTCAAAACATATTTAATGTCACATTACTTTCCTATAGAAACCTTTGCAAAGGTTCCCAGTTCCTTACAAGAGCACCTTTAAATGGCTTTAAAATGACTGTACTTTGGTGAGATCTTATCTCTTTCAATCTCTCCATCCTCTCTCTTAGCTGTATCCACAGCCCCCACACTCTGAGTATGGCATTTGAGCCAGGCCGGAGAAGATGAGAAGAATTTCAATAGGCAGTAAGTGTAGGCGGTAAACACATCAACAAATAAATGAATAGAGATGGGAAACTGTATGGCTGCATGTCTCAGCAGTTACTGAAACTCAGAAATATATGACACAAAAGGGCTTTCCCACATCCCTCCATTTTGATATTTTTCACATAGTGTGCTAGAATCTAAGCAGCCATTTTGTATGTTCTAAGGAAGGAAAACCCATGGACATTTGAATGTTTTTCATAAACTAAGTGAACTAAGTCAGCGACTATGAGTCAGCCTACAGGACAGCTTTTTCTTTATATACCTGGGTTACCATAGTGCCATTCTTGGTTTAGATTAAACATTTTAAAATTGAAAAGAGAAACTTAGAGCATGATAGTTAAGTAAAGGAAGTTCTTTTTGTTGTCCAGATATTATGGATGATGGTCTTAGTCAGACATATAATATTTATTTCACCATTTGTTCCTCGAATTGACTTTTTGTGCCATCATCTAGTCTAACTGTAGTTTATATTGGACACTTCTGATTAATCAACTCTTGTAGAAATTATACATTTTGAAAAGTGGGTCTAATACTTAATAACTCATAAGAGAATGCCTTTTTATTAGCGTTTTGTATCAAATAAAGATTTTAAAATAATTTTAAGTAGAATCAAAATAAAGTTGAGTTGATCTAAATTTTTGTTTGCTTTTTGCTTCTTTTTATTTTGCTAGATCAAACATTAAAGATTAGGAATGTTTAGTTTCTGTTTTAAAATCTGGAATAGACAAATGGAAATGCTCATGCTGAAAGGATAGCGTTAAAATGCACGTATGCTGTTCCCAACTTTCCCCTTGAGGAAGTGTTTGATCTAGATTGTCCCAGACCTCAGGGGAAGATTGCGGAATATGTATTGTCGTTGTTTGAGATGGAGTCTCACTCTGTAGCCAGGCTGGAGTGTGGTGGTGCCATCTTCTCTGCTCACTGCAACCTCCAACTCCTAGGTTCGTGTGATTCTCCTGCCTCAGACTCCTGAGTAGCTGGGACTATAGGCATGTGCCACCATGCCTGGCTAATTTTTGTATTTTTAGTAGAGATGGGGTTTCGCCATGTTGCCCAGGCTGGTCTGGAACTCCTGACATCTGGTGATCCGCCTGCCTCGGCCTCCCAAAGTGCTGGGATTACAGGCGTGAGCCACCGCGCCCGGCCATGTATTAATTTAAGTCTTTTCACATTGGTTAGCCATTAATTATGTTTCGTTGTAAGAGTATCCTTTTATTTTTTCTTGGTTACCTTAGTTTCCTTTTTATTTTTTGGCTTCTTTTTTTCAGTAATTTGGTATCACAGGCATCAGTATCAGGAAATAAGTGACAAAATTTTGGCACCACTTTATATTTCATAAGACATAGTGAAAGTTTTTGCTTATTTTGTTATTCTTCTTTTCCATATGTTTCATTTTTTTTTAAAATTGAATATGTTTTAAAATATATTTTTCAAACTTGAATACTTATTTATAGAATTCCACAGTCTGGCATCATATAGCAAGTTGCTTTCAAAAATGTGAAATGTTTTTAAAATATAATTTATGATGACTTTAATTTTAAGAAAATGACATTAATTTTTAAATTTTAATTTTACCTTCTATATTCTATCTTCAACTTTTATTCCATGTATTACTGTATTGAATTTATGTGATTATAAGTTATATATCTTTCTTAATAGTCTGAATTCTTTTAGGGCATGATACATATATGATTTCTAATTGTGATCTCTACAACATCTGAGAAAATATCTAGCAAATAATTATATTTCTGTAGACAAAAAATAAATAAAAAGCACCTAACATATGTCAACCTCTATAACTTCAGAAATTTTAAATAAAATGCAATATAAATTATGATACCTTCAATATAATGACTCATTTACTGTAGCTGATATTACATTGTATTATAACGATTTGGATTGTCTTTGTCTTTGCTTATTTTTATAGACACTTATGTTTTATGTATTATTGTTATTTTTTTAGATAGGGTCTTGCTTTGTTGCCCAGGCTGGTGTGCAACAACAGTCCGATCGCAGCTCACTTCAGCCTTGACCTCCAGGGCTCAAGTGATCCTCCTGCCTCAACCTCCCAAGTATCTGGGACTACAGGCACATGCCACCATGCCTGGCTATTTGGTTTAATTTTCTGTACAGATGGGGGTGTCTTTATGTTGCCTATACTGGTCTTGAACTCTTGGTCTCTAGCAATCCTCCTACCTTGACCTCCCAGAGTGTTGGGATTCAGGTGTGAGACACCCCTCCGGCCTTATGTATGTTCAATTATATAAAATAACTAAGAGTGGCTATAATCAAACTTCAAAGTCATGACATTTCTATCTTGTTACTTTTTATTTTTTGGAGACAGTGTCTCACTGTGTCACCCAGGCTGGAGTGCAGTGGCATGATCACACCTCACCGCAGCGTCAACCTCCTTGGCTCAGGTGATGCTCCCACATCAGTCTTCTGAGTAGCTGGGACCACAGGCACACACCACCACAACCAGATAATTTATATATATATATATATTGTGTGTGTGTGTATTTTTTTTTTGTATTTTTTTTGTAGAGATGGGGTTTTGCCATATTGCCCAGGCTGATCTTCAACTCCTGGGCTCAAGCATCTTCTGGCCTCAGCCTCCTAAAGTGCTGGGATTACAGGCCTTAGCCACCGCATCCAAACTGTTTTGTTATTGTTTTACTGAAAATAACTATACTACTTTATTGAAAGAATGAAATTAGTAATAAAAAGAAATCATTTTTAGACATTTACTAAAAATTATTGAAGCATACCTGGCTTTTTGAGTTATTTTATTAATACGCTATTTTCTTTCTCCCAACTTAAAAAATAGAAGACAGGTTTGGATGTCTATTCTATAACTAGATGGCTAGATATACTTTTGGTTTATCTAAACCTTAAAATTTTGAGCTTCCGAATAGCCCCTTGTCACATCTATTCTGTGAAATCATAAAAGGGCCAACAAGGAGGTGTCATTTGAATTCTTCCTGTGAGATATAATAGAATATTAACCAGCTCCTCAGTAGGGTGTTCCCAGATGCAGGCATGCCAGGGAACATTGTGATTCACTGATAGTAACGGGATCTGATTACGATCCCAGGATTTGCAGTGCAGTGAGACAGGAATACCATGGTTATTTCTCTATATTCTTTCTCAAATACAGTGCACAGCCATGCTAGCAATTGCCCCTTTTTTTGTTCATATTACTGTTATTTATATTGTACAATGTATAGAGATATTCATATTCTAGGTAAGGAAGCAACAGACAGGTGAATGTCAACCTTATCGAAGGTTTGACACTTTTAACAATAAAGTATATAAAGGCACTAGCCCTGTACCTGAAACATTGTAAGTGTTCAATGAATTTTAGTTTCTTTTTTGCCTCCCCAGCTTTTGACTCTAATTCCAGTGTTCTTTATATTACCAGAGGTTACCTCTCCCAATTGCCTTTTTATTAGGTAGGTCAGAAATAGTTTGATTTCTTCACCTACTCAATTCATCATTTTCAATTTGTGTTCTTCAGACACGTCTCTGTTTCTATTCATGCATTGCCTTGTATGTAGAAGGAAAAATAGAAAAATAAATATTATATAAATTACTCTAATTATTTTATCAGAGCCTTCCTTTAACTTTCATACTCATATTTATTCTTCTGGATTCCAGCTGGGAGACAGAACTTTAAATTATAATACTTTTTTTTAAAGTGAGAAAAGTAATTTTTGATGGAATTTGAATGCTGTTTTGGATGGTGAGGTTTATAAGTATTGCATTCCTGAGTCATAAATCAGCCAGAACTTATGACAGATGAAATTTGTGTAGGGGAAATCAAATAATGAAATGAGACTTAATAATTTCTGCAAGCCATATTTAAGATTTGTTCCCAAGATAAGCTGCAGCTAGCATACAGTGTGTGTATGTGTGCATACACATGTATAATTACACACCAACATAGATATAAATGTATGAGTGAATGAGCTATCAAGAAGAGAGTTCAAGACCATGAAAAACTAGCATAGCAGTATGTATTGAAGTCAGCGTGGAACTGTGGAATTAGCTCTGGAGAGAGAAAGAGAAGACTGTGTTCATGTTGGAGACAATGTCACTAATTAGATGTGTGTCATTTATTCCTCGTTTATTCACCCCATATTGAAAACTTACCATATTCTAGCAATTGGGCTAAGTAACAGTTGCTTAACCTTTCTGAGCCCCAGTTACCTTCATGTTAAAATAGTTTAATGAGAATACTAATGATTGCTTTAATTCTTAGGTAGGGGCCTTTGTCCTGGACTCTACTCAGGCCTTCCTCCAGGCATGTCCACGTCTGTGGTGGCAAGGAGTCCACGGGAATAAGGGGGCATGTTTACCTGGAGCCTGGGCTTCCCTATTCTGTACCACACTCTGGCATCCCAGAAGTTCCTACCCAGACATTACTGAGGTTGCTTCCAGGAGCTGTGTGCTCGTCTTCCTTGGCTGTACTTCCAAGGGCAAATTGCATGGCAGAGAGTATTCGCCCCTGGCCTGAAGGTTCACCAAGGCTGTTAGACGGAGGTGGATGTTGCTTGGACATATAAACTATGGTTTATATGTGAATCCCTATGGGTCCCTGGCAGTGTCAGTTGGCTGGAGCCCAGAGTGGGAAGAGAAGAGGTCTGAACTATGAGCTGGGGGGGGTGAATTCTCTCAGTCCTGCTTTGTTTTGTGAAAGATCAGATCTGAGGAGCCCAGGAGATCTGTTTGAATTAGGAAAACATAATTTTCAAGTAGCAGAACTAAATATCCAATATTTGACAGTTACCTTGATTTATAAATTTAAATATTAAACATATGATATGGGAGTCTCCATTTGTTCTCTTGCTTTAAGCCCTACAAATATTAGGGCTGAGTTTGAATACTACCTACCTTAAAAGTGTGTGCTGTGGAACAAACAACATATATATGTTAAAATTTCATTTAAATTAGAAAAAATCTACATAAATTTAGGATATGTTGTAACATATTATTATTTTTATATATAAATAAATACTAACAGAACTCCACATTAAGAGATACTTGGTACTTCACGTAGAGCCTCAGCACAAAGTGCTCAGGACATGGTAGGCACTGCCACAGACACACTGAAATTCATTCAAATATGACAAGCAATTTCATAACCGAGTCTATGTACCTGCTTCCTGAAAAGCCAGGTCATCTCCCTTTTCCCTCAAATCTATCTATATATCTGTATATCTACTTATTTACCTATCTGTTGCTACTGTATATACATGAGGACTTTGTAGAAACAGATGTCACCCAAATGAGAGTGACAGAGTTAAGAATTGAGGCAAGTTCTCCTGACCCTCATAACAGTCACTTTTCACCCTCTCTCTACCTAAGGAATACAGAGGTAACTGACCATCCAGTGTATCTGTGCAGATGGTGCCTGTACAATTCTTGGGATGTGTCACTCATGCAAACATCAGTGAATGTCACCCCCGGAGCCTGAAAGTGGGAAACCTGTGGTGGCTCAGGAAAAAAGTCATCCTCAGCAGATATTCAGTGTAGTCTTAGAGAGATTGTATATGTGCGTGTGTATGTGTATAAGTATTTTTTTCTCTTTAAGAATTTTCATATATGTATTAAAAATCTTGAGTGAGAATTACCTGTTATAAAGAGAAGTCATCACATTTGGGAGCTCCTCAACACTTTTGCATCTGAATAAGCAAATTAACATCTGTTCTATCCTTCTTTCCTTCTGTTAGAATGAAGATGTTATTTCTTCCAGCTAAGACCAATCTCCTGTGTTCTAAATCTCATCCTCTCTCACCTTCGTAGGGAAGATACATCACCTTTCATCCCCTCTTCTCTAGCTTCTTGCTGTTTTCAATTTAATATGCTTAAGTCTTTATAAAATATCAATAGTCCCCAATCCTTTTTCAGGACTGAAAGAGTGCCTACATTTCTTCTTTTTGATTTTTAACCTTTTAACAAATTCTGTATATTCACTGTTGGCTTTTCTTTACCTCTCACTTCTACCTCATCTTTTTCTAATCTGGCATTTACACTCAACACTAACACTAACAATCCTGTTCTTGCCACCATTACTAATGATGTCTAATTTACCAAATCTAATGGATACTTTTCAGCCCTCATTTATGTGACTTCTTGATAGCACTCAACATTGCTGGTTAATTCCTGTTTTTGAAACAGTCTTTACTCCCATTTTTCTGGTTTCTCCTTAGTCTCTTTAAGCAGTTTATACTCTTCTGTTCCATCTTTAGAGATCCAAGGCTGAGTCCTGGATCTTAAACACTCACATTGTACTTTCATGGCTTTATTTATCAAAACATCAACACTGCCACATTTATATCTTCAGGCAAGACCTCTCTCCTGAGTTCTAAACCTGTAAATCCGACTTCCACTTGGTGCCTCCAACTGAAAATATCCTAAACCTAATTTGTAGGTTTCTTTCTAAATCTGTTCCTCTTCTAATATTTCCCTCCTCAAATAATGTGGTTATCATGTTTAAACAAGCATGTACCCACTTTGCCAATGGTGTAGAACCTCAAATATATAGCCATAAAACCTAAACACCTTTGCACAAATTTAGCCTTTGATTTCATCTACCTTTGTCCAAGAATAATGTCCTTTCTTTCTTTTCCAATTATTAGTGTGGTCTTCTCTATTACTTATAGCAATAGGTTTTTTTTTTTTAATCAGATTTTTTTTTTTTTAAATCAGAATCCTTGGAACCATGTCATTTTAAGGGAGTTCTGACCTCAAAGGTTTATCTGGGTTCAAAGACTTATGAGAATAACTTGTTTTATTTAAGACCACCTTGACTGCCTTTTCCCCCTCTGATTTACTGTCACACCAGCACATGAATATTATAAAGGGTACACACAACAGCAAGGATACAATGGACTTTATTATAGCATGTGCAGCCTCCCCATTGGCTCCATAATATCTCACAGAGGCATGCTGAGCTCAGTAGTCAATAAAGCTCACAAGGAGAGAAGTATGTTCATTAGCTCAGAAAAGTATAAACTCTGGGTTTTGTCTTCCATGCCATGCTGGGGTGTATATGTTAGTTTGGGGGAAATAGATCAGTGAAGGATCTACTTTGCTGTCTTCTAAGGAAATTCTGTCTGTGCCATGATTACATACTTCCACTTTCTATTTTTACTGTGCTCCCACACATTTCCCTTTCTGCCCACATGCAATTAATAACTAAGTCAAGACAATTTTACATCTTCACAAACTAGTCACTGGCATCTCTTGACTGGCCGTGTTGTTACTTTCTCACTTGTCTCCCTGCTCATCCTCCTATCTGTTCTCTCGTTATCAGTCTCTACTGAGCTTTTAAAATACAGATTAGATATCATTCTTATGCTTAAAACTTTTCAATGACTTGCCATTACTCCTCATAAAAGTGAAAAGTTTTAAATATAGGCATTCATTTTACAGGGTAATTTACATTCAAATTTAATAATTATATATTTTGGGGTAATACAACTTATTAAAGGGAAATGATGAATATACCTTATATAATTATGAATTATGACTGTCACACAATTTTAATTTATTTAGAACCAATCTCTTTTGTTTGATTACTTGCTCTATATTATAGCAAAGGAAGGAAAAAACATGTTATTGCTTGGGTAAACCAGCTGTTTTGTGTGACTGACTTTGTTTTTTATACCAACGTATTTTTTTTTTATTGCTATAGGTAATAGAGAAGACCACACTAAGAATTGGTAAGCGAAGAAAGGCCATTATTCTAGGACAAAGGTAGATAAAATCAAAGGCTACATTTGTGCAATGGTGTTTAGGTTTTATGGCTATATATTTGAAGTTCTACACCATTGGCAAAATGGGTACAGGGTGATCAGCCTGAGTGTAGATGGACTATAGCATAGCATTTGATTGATGTACAAGCTCAATAAAAAGTGTTATGCTAGGCCGGGCGCGGTGGCTCACACCTGTAATCCCAGTACTTTGAGAGTCTGAGGTGAGTGGATCACGTGGTCGAGATCGAGACCATCCTGGCTAACACGGGGAAACCACTTCTCTACGAAAAATACAAAAAATTAGCTGGGCGTGTTGGCACATGCCTGTAGTCCCAGCTACTCAGGAGGCTGAGGCAGGAGAATGGCTTGAACCCGGAAGGTGGAGGTTGCAGTGGGCTGAGATCGCAGCACTGCACTCCAGCTTGGGTGACAGAGCGAGACTCCATCTCAAAAAAGAAAAAAAAAAAAAGTGTTATGCTAGTCTACATAACACTCCCTATATGTCCTATGTGTCTGACTTTTTCCATTCAGAATTTCCCAAATGACCCTTGCTTTCACACTGCTTCTTCCGCCTTGCTCTGTAACATTCTGAATGATCTGAACTCCTCTTTGGGCCACTGTCCAGACTCTTGGTCTCTGAACTCCACACTTTCAGTTGTTTAAATTCACCAAAAAAATTCACCAAAAAGTCGTTTCTGACTTTGAACCTTTTCTTTTACTTCTGTCCTTGTGTGGAGTGTTATTATTTTTTACTCCTCATTTTTTCTGACACGTACTCACTTCCTCTAGCTAATTCCTTCTTTTTCTTTACACTCATCTTCAATGTTCTATCCTGAGGGAGCCATTTTTGACGCCCTAGGGTTTGGTGAGGTTTATCCTCCATAGCAGCCAGGACTCCTTCAGAACACTTCTCATATTTGTAATTATAATAACTGATTGTGGCATTATTTATTTAGTTTCTTTCTGACAAGAGGGTCAATTTCACGAGGACACTAGCCATACCGCCTTGTTCATAGTTGTGTTCCTTGGCGTGGTATCAAGACCAGGGTATTGGTGGAAGGAAAGATCAAGGTTAGGATGGAAGGAATGAAGGCAGGCAGGCAGTAGGTTTAGGATATAATTTTTGCTTGCACCTTATTTGGTGCGTATTTTTCAGAATGTACGTGGTCTTTGATTACCTGTACCTTGTTGTTATCAGTATTAACAAAGTCTTCAAGATCATTGTTGCTTTGTATAATAGATGGTCGGGTGCTGTTTGGAGAAATGTGTCTGTCAAGATGTCCAACCACCTAGGTCTGTGCTGTATAATATGGTAGCCACTAGCAACATGTGGCTTTTGAGCACTTGAAAGTGGCTAGTTGAACTGAGATATACTGTGATTGCAAAATACACAGTGTGTTTTGAAGACTTAGCATGAAGAAAATGAATGTATGATATTGCAATAATTTCTATATTCACTACTAATTTGGGATACATTATGTTAAATAGAACAAGTCATTAAATATATACTATATATAAATAGAATACTGTATATAAATATATACTCTATATAAATAGAATATACACTTTCACCTGTATATTGTGCTTGTTTAAAAATGAGTACTAGAAATGTTTTAAAATACTTACGTGGGGTTTGCATTATATTACTGTTGGATAGTACTGGCCTAGGCATGAAACTCAGCATTCTTTCCCTTGCTATTAGATCCAAGGGAGAGAAAGCCATTCTGGTGAAATGAGGTGACTATTGTCAACAATGTGCTATGAAATCTAACAAGTTGTACTCTACTTTTTATTGGACAATCAGGGGCAGGTTTTTCTGATTTTGCCTTACTATCTTGCTATCAGAAATTAGAATTTCTGTACATAAACACTATTTCTGAAATAACATAATTGTTACCATTTGATAGTGTTTTATGGTGTAGAGCATTTATTTATAGTTAGATTATTTTTTCTCTCTCATGAACTTATACTCTATTAGCCACCATCTATACTTTCTTTGCTAGATTCTAGAATGTGGTTTGTTATGTTTTCATTCAGGCAAATGAAAGTTGGTAAGGTTTCAAGCTTTGAAATAAGCCTGGAAATTTTTCCAATGAGATAGAAAATGTTGAAATCAACCATAAATTATCTCACAACCAATATTAAGTCTAGAACTCTGAATTTTAAGAAGACACCAGTCCATTAAGCAAACAGATGAAATATGCTTTGCCTAAAGGTTTATCTGCAGTGCAGTAAATTGTAATTCTTAATGAGACAAGGAAGGGAAACTTGGACACCTGGAACTGAAACTAGACATCATCTATTTAATTATTAGTGGATATTAATTATTACTGCCTAAAGTTGGATCTGATTTAGTGTTCTTAGAGATTTCTGGCATAGCCTTTAATTTAAATATTGTTATTAATTTCCTGTTATTTATTTCCCCAAGCAGTGAGCTATAAAAAGTGTGTTATGTAACGCTGTGGTGTTTGAATGTGTTCAAATCTGGGTACTTTATGGTATCCAATAACTAAAACATAATAAAATCGTAAGTCAATGTCTTATCACTACCACCATTATTGTTTTAAAGCCATAGAACAAAAGAGGTAAAAAAGATCTTGATGATCCAACTCCTTTAGAAAGCTGAGTAATGGAGTGAATGGCAAAGCTGGGACTGGGACTTAAGTCTCCTGAATCCTGGAGCAGTGTTCTTTCTGTGGACTTCTCCTGAGAGTATATTGCTTCCAAAGTGTGGTGACTTATTATTGTTAAATTGAGTAAATAAGGCAGCATCTTTAGGTATGTTAAACTTAATAAAAATCCACAATTATCTATTTGTGTGCGAATGCATTGCGTGTGTGCACGCGTATATGTGAAATTTCGATGTCATTCTGGGAAATAGCCACTTTGTAAATATTATTGCTTTGTTAAAGATTCCCCAAAGGATTGAGAGCTCTTTTAGTGTCCCTCATGTCTTTATATATTTTTTTCCTTTTATTGTTGAAGATAACAGAGTACAAAAGGACATTTAAAAAAGATAGGCTTTTTTTTTTTTTTTTTTTTAGAGCAGTTTCAGGTTCACGCAAAATTGAGTGGAAGGTGTAGGGATTTCTTATGTATCCCTTGCCCTATACACAGTGACAATTTGTTAGGTTATCTCCAGAATACATGATTTTATTTGTATTTATTAATGTTTTTATTAAATAGTCATATACACATGTATTTATCACACAGTCATTTGGGAAATGTAGGTATGAATTATGGAAGCTGAATAACTGCTTTTGCAATTCACAATAGCAAAGTCATACAATCGACCTAAATACCCATCGATGGTGGATTGGATAAAGAAAATGTGGTACATATACACCATGGAATACTATGCAGCCAGAAAAAATTTAAATCGTGTCTTTAGCAGGAACATTGATAGAGCTGGAAGCCATTATCCTTAGACTAATGCAGGAACAGAAAACCAAATACCACATGTTCTCACTTATAAGTGAGAGCTAAATGATGAGAAATCATGGACACAAAGAAAGGAACAACAGATGCTAGGGCCTTCTTGAGGGTGGAGGTTCGGAGGAGGGAGAGGAGCAGAAAAAATAACTATTGGGTACTAGGCTTAGTACCTGGGTGACGAAATAATCTGTACAACAGCCCCCCAATCCATGAGTTTACCTGTATAAAAAACCTGCATATGTATCCCTGAACCTAAAATAAAAGTTAAAATATAGATATAGCCCACAACCCCACACCTGCACCCCCGGACCCTAAAAAAAAGTGCTTTTGATTCTTGGAGTTTGGAGAAAAAGGATTAAAATGGAACAAGAAACAACAAATAAATGTGATTTTCTTAAATCAGAATGTAAACTTATACCAAAGAATATTCTTGAAGAGCTGTTTGCTAAAATGACGAAAATGAATCCCTGTTCCGTTACTTTTGGAAATCTTAAATTTAAGTTTACTAAAATTATGTTTATGAATAATCTAAGGTTTACCTATTTAAATTTCCAGTTACAAAAGTAGTTGTGTCTATATCTTTGCATTTTTGGGAAAGCTATTTTAATAGTTAGAGGAGACCAGGCACAGTGGCTCACACCTGTAATCCCAGCACTTTGGGAGGCTGAGGTGGGTGGATGGCATGAGCCCAGGAGTTCAAGACCAGCCTGGGCAACATGGCAAAAACCCTGTCTCTACAAAAATACAAAAATTAGCTAGGCATGATAGCACACGCCTGTAGTCCCAGCTACTCAGGAGGCTAAGGCGGGAGAATCTCCTGAGCTCAGGAGTTCGAAGCTGCAGTGAGCTGTGATCTCACCACTACACTCCAGCCTGGCCGACAGAGTGAGACACTGAGAAAAAAAAACAAAGAGAGAAAGAAGGAAAGAAAGAAGAAAGAAAGAAAGAAAGAAAGAAAGAAAGAAAGAAAGAAAGAAAGAAAGAAAGAAAGAAAGAAAGAAAAGAAAGAGTCAGAAGAAAGGGATCTCGTCTAATTTTGATCAATGCGTAATACCAGAAAAGACATTTTTTCCTGCACTAGGGTTCTATTTTTCTCTTGTAAGGAGTGGTAATAAGAACAGCTTTCCTCACTGGTGGTTTTCAATTCTCTAGGGAAAACATCTGTTCAGATATATTATTCTCCTTAAAGCAATAGAATGAACTATTTAAAAATTATTTTTCCTTTAAGATTTAAAATTTGGGAACATAAACTAATAAGCTGCCTATTGTATCCCAAGCTCCTTGCATAGTGTCTGGCCCTGGGAGACTCTCACCTACTAAATACCTGACACTTGGAAGGGATCAGGCAGATGTGTTCGTGACTCAGTCATTCAGAGTGTTTTTATGTCCTAATTGCACAGTTCTAACCACAATGATAATTTTGAATATTATAGTTTTAATGTTACCCCCATAATGTTCTACTTGTTAGAGGCATAATAAACATTGACGCTAAAATAAGACTTTGACTATTGTAATCTGAGCTGTTACGAAATGACTCTGCCTCCCACTTAAAATAGGTGAATCTGCTGGAGAAAATATAACAACAAAAATTAAAATGCATAGTTGCGCTCAAAACCAAAAAGGGGAAATCTCTATGTGCCAGAAAAGAAGAGGGAATTTATATTTATCGAGATGAGCAGGAACTGAGTTTCTGTACTTCAGGTGGCGATTACTAGAATGGCATAGGCATCAACAGGTGAGCATCAGGCTTAACCTTTATGTGGGCACAGGAGACTGGGTGTCAGACCCGTGTGAGGCAGGCAGGGGCCTGTACAGAGACAGTGCTCCTTCTGAGAGATGGTGATCTAGAAAAATTTTCTATCTGCCAAGGAAAACTAAAAGGAACTTGATGTGTCCACCTAGGGCAATGGGTGGAAAGTGTTGTCTATGAGGAATTAGAAACCCAAACGGGGACCACTTCCTGGGTGAGGTTCAATATCAAACTCTCCTTGTTAAGTTGGAATTCCAGTCTGAGAAGTTAACGTAAGAACTTCTCTCTAGCTGGGGAAATCCGTGAAATACTACAAGAGGCCAATACAAAAGCTTTCCATGTGTTTCACAGTCCAGGGAAACACAAAACAACTTTCTCTGAGGAAAATCTCAGTCTGATAATTGAAACCATACAAGGATATAAACCATCAAAAAGAAGAGTAAAGCTCAACAAGTTGAATAATTCATACCCCCAAGTTGTAGATATTAAGATGAATCTAAAATAAATTTTAAAAATAATGTTTTAAAAGTTTATTAATTAAATGAAGCAGAAATCACAAGACAGGAAAAGGGCAGTATAGGAAAAAAGGTGAATTTTGAAGAAAATGATTATATAGCGGTCAGGCGCGGTGGCTCACGCCTGTAATCCCAGCACTTTGGGAGGCCAAGGCAGGCAGATCACCTGAGGCCGGGAGTTTGAGACCAGCCTGACCAACATGGAGCAACCCCGTCTCTACTAAAAATACAAAATTAGCCGGGCGTGGTGACACATGCCTGTAATCCCAGCTACTCGGGAGGCTGAGGCAGGAGAATTGTTTGAACCTGGGAGGCAGAGGTTGCGGTCAGCCAAGATCACGCCATTGCACTCTAGCCTGGGCAACAAGAGTGAAACTCAGTCTCAAAAAAATAAAAATAAAAATAAATAAATAAATAAATAAAATTAAATTAATAATTATATAGCAATGACAATAGTAAGAAAGAAAGTTTATGTGTGTGTTCAAAAATAAGCTCTAAATAATAGAAGAGAAAATGATTAAATTGGAGATGAAAGCAGACAAATCAATTCTTCTGAGAGATTAATAGATGGAAAACATTGAGTGAGATTTTAAGAGATAGGAAATATATATAAAGAAGCTCCAACATGCATTTCAATGGAGTCCTGGGAAAGAAGAAAAGATACAATGTCAGATCATCTATAATCAAAGAGATTAAGATAGAGAATTTGCAGAACCCCAAAATTCATATGGGCTTTTCCCATCATGTGGATTCTTAAAACAATCCACACCTGGGAATATTATAGTAATGTTATAAAATCACATTATGATGAAGATACAATATTTTAAAAGAAGTCAGAGAGAAAAGACAGATTAACTACAAATGAAAGATAGATTGCAGACCTGTCAGCAATAATAGTTGCTAGAAGATGATGAAATTTTTTTCCAGAATGCTGAGGGAAAGTAAGCATCTTTTTGATGTTATGTGTCCAGTTAATTACAATAAGAAAGAGAGAGAAATAAATAAACAAATGTAATGCCAAACACTGAGACATTTTTACACTTTAATAGATTGGTTCCTTATTGGTTCACAAAGAGGGGGTTGAGTCTGGGGGGAAAGAGGGGTTATAATGATGAGCAAAAAAGATGGTAAACATGTTTGTAAATCTATCATAATAAACGAAAAAAATCTTATGACGAGCATTTCTTGGGTTTAAAAAGAAACCAGAACTAAAATACTAGCCAGTAATAGGAATATGTGGATTTGAGTTTTTAGCCGTTTGCATTATTTGATAAAAGCTTAGTAATTAACAGTTAGACTTGGATTTTGTTAAACTACACCTTTATGTTAGATATGTAAGGATTACTACTAAAATAATAGAGACAGAACTGTAATTTCCAATTCAAGATAAAGGGAAAAATTGGAGAGAGTATAAGGGAGACTAAATCAATCTAATTGAAGGAACATAAGGATAAAATAATGAAGCAAAGAAATGCATAATAAATAAAAACCACAAACGAAGATGATAGAAATAAAAACAGCTAAATCAGAAAATTAAAGTTAAAGCAAAATGATTATAGCCATCTATTATGGGAATTTCAAATCAGATGAAGATTCAAAATCCAAATATTTGGTGTTAATACAATGTTGAATGAGATAATCAAATTGCTTGATAATATACATGGCATATTTTTATGTTAAAATGCACAACACACAAAGGGCAGTAGGTACTTTTTGTGGATATTTACAGAGGGAGTACAGGCACAAAAATATGAATAGGAAGGCTACCTCCCAAATTCAGAAATATGTCTGCATCTCGTTAGCAAAGTAATGGAATGGAATTAAAGAGATGACTGTAATGGTTTGATTCTATAAAACGATTTGAAGCAATTATGGAAAATGCTAGTATTTGTTAAATATGGGTGATGAGTACCTGGTTGAGAGGCAGTGAGAATGATAATCTGTTCTATGGGTTCTGGAGCCAGGCTGCCTGCGCTCAAATCTTTACAGCCCTTCTGCTTATGAAATTTGGGTGAGCCATTGGGCAGTCACTTCACTTGCACCTTAGTATTAACATCTATAAAATGAGAAAAAAAATACTAACTTCATAGAGCTAATGCAAAGATGGAATGAGTAAGTACTAGACATAGAAATCATTTGAGTCCCTGGCTCATGGTAAGCACTGTTAAAAAGGTTATTATTAGTTTTCTGTTTTCTGCATGTTTGAAATATTTCATGCTAAAAAGATAATTCAAATTAATAAAACTGTTAATGGATAGGTAAAACTATAATAAATCTTCAAATCATAATCAAGATAATCTTCATCAAAGCAAATTAAAATTACGAATAAAAATTCCTACGTGGTACATATAGATGTTTTCAGAGCCTCAATATCAGAGTTAAAGAAGAAAATCTTATGACCATTGTATCTAATTTGTTTTCCCATTTATGACTACACAGGTGATCCATGGAAAGAATGGATTATGTGTGGATACATACTTGGGAAGAGTTTCAATTTTTTCATCTTATGTGGTCACTAGAAAGAAAACACAGAGATTCTAAAATTAAACCAGTTTTTATAAAACAAAGTGCAAGATTTTGAAGCATCAGATAAAAAACCCAATGTTTTTGTATTTTTGATTCTGTAACACCTAAACAAAATGCAACATACATTTTAATGTTAATTGTTCTCCCAAACGTGTGCCCTTTAAAAATTATTTGTTGACAAATCATGCCTTTTCTTAATACAATGTGTCACATGTAAATGGGAAACTGTTTTCAATTTTTAAAATAGGTTATAGGTGTTAAAGTCAAGCTGACCGTCTCCATAAGTTTGAGAGATTCCTTAGCTAGGGGTAGATCAATCCTTGCTGTATTGAATCCTGAAATATGCTTCTTGGAGTCGGCCATGAGAGAAGTAGGCTTTTGATCATGTCTACAGTCAGATCAGCCACCCTTGAAAGTATTGTCCTGGCACTTTGTCTGAAAACACTGGTTCATTTCTTTATTCATGAGATCTTAGCCTCTATGTCACAGTCCATCATTATCAGTCACAGTGGCAGTTCCCTGTATCTGTGTTTCACTTGTCCCTAAGAGCCTCCCAAAATGAATCTAAGTTATAGCACCCAACCCATGTTTACATATTTACAGTGTATGTGTTATCCACATTTGATAAATATTTTCAGTGCTCTTTTGTGTGATGTAATATCAAGTAATAAATTAATTGTATTAATATAGTTTGTCTAGATTATAATTTAACTGAAATTTTAATAATCTTCATTGATTTACAGTGGTAAAAGATATATCTATTAAAAATGTTTTCTCCATTTTTAATTCTAACTTATTAAAAATAGCTTGTAAGTATCTATCTTGACCTGAGAGTCCCTCAGGTTTCTGGGACCTAGACTTGGAGCCACGGAACTCTTCCAATACAGTCGTTTTATAGATGAAACCTGAAGCCCAGAGAGAAGAAACTAGGTCACTGAAAAAAAAAAAAAATGTTTGCTTCCTGTATGTTAATGGGCACTATGCTAAGAACTAGATATTCTGTAATAAATAAAAGTTACATGGCCTCACCCTCAGGGATGCTACAGTCTAGAGTGGGAAATAGATAATAAACAACAAAGAGAAATAGCTATCTAGTTACAAATTCGACTACGTGCAATGAAGGGAGGTGAAAAAAAAAACAGTGTGCTGCCAGATAATATCTGTACAAACGTGGCGGCAGATTTAGGTTGGAGGCCTAGACAAGACCTCTATGAAATTGTATTTATGCAGTGACTTGAATTTATTTCAGGAAGAAAATCAATCCAGGCAGAGGGAAATGCAGGTACAAAAATCCCTAGGTCTGAATAGAAAGAGGGCACATGTGCCTAGAGCTTAGTGAGCCAGGGAGAGAGTCAATTAAGATGATGATGAAACTGTGGGCAGGAGCCAGATGGTGCAAAGCTCTCCCGGCCATGCTAAGGGTCTGACGTTTTCTTGTAAATGAAATGGGAAGCTGTTAAAGAGTTTAAGCAGAAGAGTGACATGATCCAATTTATATTGTAAAATATTACCTTGACTGTAGTGTGGTTTGGAAGAGAAAGAGTGTTAGTGAGGAGGCTGTTAGTGGAATCTAGCCCAGAGCACTCGATGGCCTGAACAAAGGTGGAGGCAGTGCGGATGGAGAGAAGCAAACAATTGGAATTAGACCCCAAATGTCCGGATCCCACTGCCCTGCATATGCCCCTGCACCACGGTGCCTGAATTTACCAGGATCAAGGCTGATGGATGTGTTCTTGGAGCTCTCAACTGCTCTTTTGCCGAAAGTATTATTACACCACTAGAACTCACTCTGGTTGACTCTGCAAAGGCAAAGCATTGTGTGTGTGTGTGTGTGTGTGTGTGTGTGATGGTATGAAAAGATGATAGACAAAAGTCACATTTAACAACCATAATAATATACCTGAAGGTAATTTACATTTGGGCTGCATGAGGGAATTCCTCAGGCTTGCCAACCTGGATAAACAGATCTCTGATATCCAAGGCAGTTTCAGGACAAGTCCAACATTTGTGCAGCTCCCCTGATGTCAGGGAACTGTCATGCCTGTGCTCGCCCAAATAATGTGTCCTGTTCATTTATTTCTGGTGCCAAAAGATGTGTCTGTGAGAAAAGAGACTCACTGAGAAGATTTTTCTATGCCAAATGAGGATGCTTTTATTACAGAACACTTTCTGTGTGCATAGAAGTGTCTACAGCCCCGCCACTTTTTTTTGTGACAGGAGGCCAAAAGCTATGTCTGCAACTCCAGTTTAGTGTTTGCTTTTTATTCCTGGCCCCTGGCTTTATAGATTTCCACAGGGTTTGTGGGCTGATCACAGTTAAAGAAGTAGAGAGATGTATTAGCATGTTAGAGTTCTTCAAAAGACAACTGATGATTAACAATGAGGTGTAAAGCAAAAACCTTCCACCCTGGCTCTGGCATGGATTAACTCTGTAATTTAGCACTAGTGATTTCACCTCTGTAAGCCTCAGTTCCCTAATATAGATGTAAAAAAAAAAGCCCAATGATAGTACCTGCCTTAAATTATTTCAGTGAAAATTCAGAGATAATCCACATAAAGTGCCTGGCATTTGTTAACTGCTTGGCATTTCCTTTCTGTGAATGAACCTCAGGAGAATTTGCCCATTGCTACTGTTTAACTAACCGTGGATTTTCCTATCTACATTAATTCTGTCTGAAAGTTAAATCTACCATATAAGCGTGGCTTCCTAGTCATAGAGCACACTATAATGTGTCTTCCTAATTTCTTAGAACAAGCTTTAGTTCAGTGGGTCTTAGTTATCTAAACAATTTCACAAGAAGCAAAGTATGGCTATGCATGAAGAAATGAAATGGCTTTCTGGATACCATGCAGCTCGTTTGGGATAAGATCAGGAAACCTCTGGGAGGCACAGAACTGGAAGATCCTGGTATATTAAAGAGCTCTGACTCCAGGGATTGGAAGATGTGCTGCCACGCGACTTTCCCCTCTCCCTGGTGTTTTGTTTCTTCATATGTAACATGAGCTTTGAATTAGATTATCCTGAATGGCTTGTCTGGCTCTGAAATCTTAAGATTTTAGGATTATCTTCATGTTTGAAGTGTCTTGTGGTCGGCATTCTCCAGCAATCATTTTTGAGCTGCCTGGAAAGCCATGTTCATTCCAGGTCTACTTCTCTGGGTGATCATTTGAGAAAGACCAGGGAGTTGTAACCCAGTGAGGTTGACCAGTGTCAAACTCCCCTCCATGAACAGAGATTCTTAAAAGGCAAGAAGGTATTTGGCTTCATGGGAATGCCTGCGTTAAGCTTTCTTCACCCACACTTTCATTAATATTCTACATTTAAATAGTGCTCCCTTAGGAAGATGACGATTGATTCGGATTCGGATTTGGGATTTGGATTTACAACTGAAATGAGACTTTCATTCTTAAGGTGGCTGAAACGTTAGCACACCAAGCACAGTCAGTCCTCTGGCTGACAGCTTTTTCCATCCCCATTGCCACTGCCTATCTAAGGTCCTTCTTATATGGAATAGCTCCCTAACTGGCTCCCATAACCACAGTATCCTTTGACTTTGTAAAATACTACCCTCATAATTTTAGCCCCAGACTTAAAATCCTTCCAAATTTTCCCATTGCTTAATGCATTGGCCTCTGAAGCATGTGGGGCATGACAGCCATTGGCTATGAAAAAAAACTATTACAACTTTTTTTTAGATACAGGTTCTCACTCTGTCTCCCAGGCTGGAGTATAGTGATGCAATCATAGCTCACTGCAGCCTTGAACTTCTGGGATCAAGCAATCCTCCCACCTCAGCCTCCCCAGCAGCTAGGACTGCGGGTGTGCACCACCATGCCTGGCAATTACAACTTTTGTTTGTGTTTTTCATTGATCTCATTTTAAAATTCCTATTTTGTGTTATATTATACACAAAATTTACAGAGTGGCACATACACGTGGCATAAATTATACATGTACATATATGAAGGCTGTAGATTTAAAATATTTTACTGATAGAGATGTATAATTAGAAAAGTTTGGACATCATTGACTTAAAGAATAAAGTAAAACTTGTTATTAGCTTTGCTTAAAGATCCTCAAGTGTCCTGGACCCTGCTTCTTTTCTGCTGTCGCCTCCAGCCCCTGCATGCACCCCCATATTTCCTTCACCCTGACCACACCCAGCTACATACCTGGTCCCTGCACATGCTAAGCACATGCATCTGTCTGTGCCCTTGCTCCTGCTGGTGCTGCTCAAAGCAAAATCCTCCTGCCTATTCTAGGCTAACTATAAAGTGGTACTTCATCTTTAAAGCTTTTTTCAACTGTTTCTTGTCCCAGAACCTGCCATCCCAGGTAAAATTAGCATCCCCATTCTGTGATTCCGTGGCATTTTATTTGTTCATTTATGACAGCACTTTAAATGTTCACGGAAATAATGATTAGTTGTGTATGTGTCTCCTTGATCAGGCCGTGGGTGCCTTCAAGGCAGGAATTGCATCTTACTCATCTTTGTACCCAGCACCTAGTGCATGTTGGAAGTCAATAAATGGTGCTGGAACTATTTTAAATTTTCATGAGCATATTACAAAGAAGAATCTAGGAGGAAGGGGGCTAATGCTATGAGGAATAAAACTGGCTCAGTACAAAAACCTTGTCCCTATTGGCATTTCACATCTTAGCTCAGTTTTCCTGCCCTCCGTCTCATGTCTTCTACAGCTCAGACTGCTTTGGTGAAGAGGAAACTCCAAAAATGAAGGTTATTTTCTTTCCATGTAGCTTTGAGACAATATGAAGATTGAGGATTGCCTGTCTCAAGGTCATTCGATTCCTGTTGAAATGTGAGGCAACTCAGGGCTTTGGAGACTGTGCAGTTTATGGAGGAGGCTGCTGTGCTTGTCAGACTGTGTTCAGTGTGCAGGACAAAATTGGAAGAAACGCATTAGAGGCCAGAGGCATTATATTCAAAGGCTATAAGCAGCTCTTTGTACAAATGAGAAGCTCCTTTGAAAGTCACAGGTGACAAAGGAAAATGCCAGGTATATCTTATTACTTTCATTCCTTCAGCATACAAACACTCCTCATCTACCTTGTGCCTGGCACTGTGTTAGGTGCTGGGATAGAGTTGATGAATAAGGTCTCTGCCCTGAGAGGTTCATAGTTCAGCAGCAGAGACAGGGGTGTAAACAAGCACCTCTAAAATAGTGCACAGCTCTCCTAACCTATGCACAATGGAGCTTTGAAGAGGAAGTGATTAATTTTGCCTCAGGGTGTCAGGGAAGACCCTGTGGAAGAAAGCTGTGCTTAGAAGGCTCTGGAGGACCCCTGGGCAGAGGAGGAAGGCAGGGGTTGTGCTTTTCAGGCAGAGGTGTCTACAGAAGCAAGAGAAAGCAAGTAGAGAAAGGGCTGGCAGACTTTCTCATTAAAGGGTCTGTTAGTAAAGATTTCAGTCTTTGCAGGATATAGGGTATCTGTTGCAACTACTTACCTTTGTTGTTGTAGCATGAAAGCAGAGGCAATGCATGAGTGAATGGGCATGGTCATGCTCTAATACTGTTCAGATTAAATGAGCAAGAAAATGAAAAAAAAAACTTTATTAACAAAATTGGCAGCCACAGGGCTATAGTTTGTGGACTCTTGGCATAGAGGAAGGATCTTCAGAGAGCCTCTAATCTGTTGGTTATTAATCTTTACCATTATTAGGATTGCTTTATACTTGCTGCTCCCTGCTCCTGGAATGTATTTCTGTTAGATATCCTTAATGGTTTCCTTCCTCTCTTTCTTTAGGCTTCTGTGATGTTATCTTCTATTCGTTCTGTCCACAATAGCACATCCATCCCTTGCATGCTCTATCCTTTTATATTGCTTTAATTTTTATCATAGCACTTATACTAACATTTTATTATATACTTTATTGTTTACATGTTTATTTTCCATCTTCCTACTAGAATGCACGCTTTATGTTTTATCCTCAGTTATATTCATTGGTGAGCTGGAGCTGATGGTGCTCACCTCTTTCCAGCTTCACATCTATGTTCAGTGATGTCAAGTAGTAGTTTTAAAGCAGTCATAGTTGAAGTAGTTGCACTGTGGAAATCATCCCATGAAAGTCTGGTTTTGGATTTTCTTTTCTGCTCTGTTTTTTTTTGGAAGGGGAGGGAGGTGGGGGAGAGTTGATTTACTAGCATGCACCGATTATCCCTTTTGCCCAGAAGAATAACTGTCACAAAGGCTGTTGCTCAATAAATATTCATTTTTAAAAAATAAAACGTGCCATTAGTATCTATTGATAACTGAAATAGAATGCACTTAGTTACAGAATCCTCTTGGAATATCAGCACTTTTGGGGTTGATTCACGGCCCTCAGCAAGGTAGCTGCTGATGGTGTCTCTCGTCTTCATTTGACCAATGGGGAGATCGAAGATGAGGGACAGGACATGACTCACTTTACTCCACAGAGCAGATTCTGCCAGGCTAGAGTGACACGTCTTCAGCCTTATCCTTTCAGTTCTGGAAGGTGTTCCTCCAGGTCTGTTCACTGCAGTCTGTTGAGTGAATGAGGGGCCTCAGGCCTGCTTCTCCTTTACTAAATAGCATATATTTTTACTGAATCCCCATAGATCAGTAGAGTTGCAATTTTTCAGTGTGTTCAAAAGTCCAGGTAAGTTCTGTCCCTTTTCAAATGCTTACTGTAGCTCATTTCTGATTTGCCTGGGACTTTGGTTTATGGTATGTAAATATGCCCTAGTCTATACCCTTTAGTTATGATTGGTCAGAAATGTATTTGCTTATGAACATTTTCTAACCCTAATAGTCTAATTTTGAAGTCTGCATCAATGTAATGCCCCCGAAGCCCTTGACAAGAATCACATTTAACAGCTTCTTCAATCTCATTTCCCTTAAGTGGACAACATTAAATGTTAATACAGAAGGCACATTTGTAAACCCAAAGAGGCTGATTAAAAGAACCCGTCAAACTACTCCACAATCTATGTTTAACATTTATAAAGAAGGTTGCATTTTCTGGATGCCTGGTAAACAGTCTTTTTAATTCCCTGTCTTAAGCACCGACTAAGGAAACAGAAAAGTGAAATTGTATTTAGTGGACCATCTGGCTTATCTCAAAGCTTTCCAGGACATCAGGGTTAGAAAAGACCTTTCATTCTCACTCAGAGTGTCTCCGCCTTTGGAGACGTCCACGTCCTTCACAGCTGCTCTGACCTGTAGTTTTTCTGCTTCTTTCTGGTTATGTCCAGTGATAGAAAACTCACTCTTTCCTTAGGCGACCTGTTCTGTCTTTGAATACAATAAACAGAAAGTTCTTTTTAATCTGCATATTCCTGTAACTTTCACCCATTGGCCCTAGGTCTATCTCTGTGGAGCCACTCAGAACAAATTGGCTGCTTCTTATTTCTTTGGATTTTCAAGAACGTGGAGACAGCTCTCCAAATCCTCCCTCTTCTAGGCTCTCACATCCCTCCAAATGCTTCCTTTTCTAGGCTGCACGGCCACTGTTAATTCAGCCATTCTTCATATGACAGTCATTTATACCCTCTTTATTTGGCTCCTTTCCTCTGGACAGGTTCCTGTTTTGCCAGTACTCTTTTAAAGTGACTGAACAGTACTAGGGAGTGGCTGTGACTTTGGGTCAAAGTGGTGCAGCTTCCTTGAATCTCAACAAAAAATGAAAAATGAGAAAAGAGTACCTCATACAGTTAGTTGTTATGCATAATAAATAAAACAACAGTAAAAGTATCAGAAGTGTGCCTGCCACGAAGGAGATGGGTTCAATATACAGCCATTGTTATCAAAAGTACTATTAATTCTCTAGATATGGCCCCCATTACATAATTTTCATTATTGTTATAATAGTTTTCATTTTAGATTGGAGTTTATATGCAGAACCTTTCTCTAAAGTTTGGGTATATGTGAATACGCTGGCCCTAGAAGATTTTAGTATCAAAGGTTATATAGATACATATTTCTTGCACAATTTTCTGTAACTGCTTTTCTATCAACACGTACTTTAATAACTGATTCACAGCTAGATACTCTCCCCTCCTTATTCTCTCCTCTCTTCTCCCTTCTTGCTCCCCAACCCTCAGTTTTGGTAAGGTAAGGATTTTGCTCTTTGGAAAGGAAAGGATGATGTCCATTCAGTATATAGGAGCTGAGTTCTTGTCTGAACTCATCAGTGTGTTAGCTGTGTGACCTTGGATAAGACACTGTCTCTCCGAGCCAGAGTTTTGTTTTTTGTTGTTGTTTTTTTTTTTTTTTTTTTACCTTTGAAGCTAATGAAGTAAAGTGTCGATCCTTTCCACGTCTAAAATTCATCCTATTTCCTGTAATTGAATATTCATCCTGAGATTTCTGACCAGGACCCCTTGGCTCTGTCTCTGTTCTGGGTTTCCATCGTGTACCTAGGAAATACTTCATAGCACTAGATGGACTGTCAAGCCGGCAGGAACGTCTAGATAGCTCCAGCATGTGTCAGCTTTTCTGAGTGGCTCTGAATTCAAACGTTCTGCTGAAATTGCCATGTCATCCTGATGGGAAGCAGTATTGAACCCGAGGTCCCATCCTTTACCTTCCTTGTCACTCAGCCTCTTTGAGGAAAACATTTATTACTTGCTTTTTTAGCTGTACTTAGTATTTTTAATATAATTATTATCTTAGAATTTTTTTTAATTTATAGAGATGTGAAGATAGTACAGAGTTCTCATATACCCTATATCCAATTTCCCATAGTAACAGCTTACATTAATGTACAATATTTGTCACAATGAAGAATCTATATCATTACAGTATGTTTAACTAAAATCCATACTTTATTCAGATTTCCTTCATTTTTACATAATGTTCTTTTTCAGCTCTAGGATCTCATTCAGAATACCCCATTACATTTAGTTGTTATGTCTTTTTAGACTCCTTTTATCTATGACTTTTTCCTAGACATTCGTTTTCTTCAATGACATTGATAGTTTTTTTTTTTTTTAATTTTTTACTTTTAACTTGTATGGGTACATGGTGGGTGTATATATTTGTAGGGTACAAGTGATATTTCGAAACGGGCCTATGATGCATAGTAATCACATCAAGGCAAATAGGTTATCTCTCACCTCAAGCATTTATCCCTTCTTTGTGTGATGAACAATCCATTTTGAGGAGTACTGGTCAAGTATTTTGTAGAACATTATTTAACGGGCATTTGTCTAATTTTTTTTTCTCATGAATAGACTGGGGTTGTGGGTTTTTTGGAGGAAGATCACAGAGGTAAAGTGCTATTCTCATCACATAATCTCAAGAGAACATACTATCAGCATGTTTTATAATTGATGATATTAGCCTTGATTGCCTGACTGAGGTAGTGCTTTGTTTGTTAGGTTTCTCCACCATAATATTACTCTCTCCTTCCCTTTGCATACTGTATGTTTTGGAAGGAAGTCCAAAGCCCATTATGCACAGCCAATGGAAGTTTATTTCTTATTCAGTTCACGGTCCAAGGTAGGTATTTCAATGGCAGTCATCTTTCCTTTACCTGTTATTCAGGGACCCAACATTCTTCCATTCTGTTGTTTCTATAGCCCCTAGGGCTATGTTATCTTAATCTGGCCGGTGTTAAGGAAAAGAGAGTGTGGAGGAGAATGTTTGCTTTTAAAAACCTTGGCCTGAAAATGGCACACATCACTTCCACTTACATTCCATATGACACTCATTCATCTGCCAAACCTAACTGCAAGGGAGGCTAGGACATATGGTCTAGCTGGGTGCCCAGAAAAAAGAGGAAATGGATTTCAGTGAAATGCTTGCAGTATTTGCCACACCACTTTAGAGCACAAAAGGGAGCAAACCAACCCTTCCTCCCCTACCATCTAATAATATAGTCATCATTTCATTAAGAAAAAGAAAAACAGTAATGGAAGAGCATAATTTTAAAATCAAGGAGTCATATAAACTGGAAAATATTAGCTTCATAGAAAACCTATTCCATTGACCCTATTTGTCTTAGTGTCACTGTTGTGCTAGAACATTTGTTGAGAACAGGTACTTACTTGTATGTCTGCATTTGAGAACCCTTTTCTCTATTCTGTCTATACCAGGCTGCATCATTCCCAGAGTTGTGATGTTTTGTGTGGAATGCCCTTTCTCTGGTTTCCTTGCCTATGGCAATCCTACTCATTCTTTAAGTGACAGATGAAGTGCCTTATCCCAACCTTCAGGCAGAACTGGTCCCTTGCTCCTTGGTGACATCACATCACTGTGATTCACTTCCTTATTTATCAGCTCTCCCACACTGGTATTATACACAAATATGTTTCATGCATTAGACTGGGTGCTCCCTGAGGACAGCAAAGGTTTTCGTTTTCTTCATATCTTGGGTCCCCAAGCATAGTCTGATAAATAAACGTGTGTTAGTTGAATGTACCCAGGATGCTGGATATGCTGAAAAGTGGTCTCATTTTATACCTCCTTTCTTTAAAATAGAGCAAAACATGTTCTGGTTTTCCTCATCGTAAAGGAGATTCTCACTTACGATAGCTGAGTCTTCATGGAGAAGGTGATGTTGAGCTGAACCTGGAAAGGTTGGTAGGACTTGATCGATGGTAATAGACATACAAGATGCCACTCAGGCTACACAGCTTTCTGTGCCCCATCTATATTATATATGTTCAGGGTATTTTTTTCAATAGATGATCAAGTCTCCTTTGAAACTTCTGTAATGCAGGATGTTCATTTTCACATATCACAACATGATTAAAACGCAGACTCTGGGCCTGTTCTGGCACTGCTCTCAGAGATGGGTGCTCAGAGTCTGATGCTCATTATCCTGAGCAGGAGTTACCAACCCGAATTCCCAGGGCTCCAACAGGGGATGGCTCCACCAGGGCAAAAGAAGTGTTTAATTACAGGTACAGAAAGAGGAGCACAAAGAAAACAAACAATCATTCACAGGCTTTAACGACTAAACTGGCATGCATCTCATTACCAATAAAAACATGACTTCTTTTTTTTTTTTTAATTATACTTTAAGTTTTAGGGTACATGTGCACAACTTGCAGGTTTGTTACATATGTATACATGTGCCATGTTGGTGTGCTGCACCCATTAACTCGTCATTTACATTAGATATATCTCCTAATGCTATCCCTCCCCCCTCCCCCTACCCCACAACAGGCCCCGGTGTGTGATGTTCGCCTTCCTGTGTCCAAGTGTTCTCATTGTTCAATTCCCACTTATGAGTGAGAACATGTGGTGACTTCTTAAAGTGACTTTATCAAGCTTATTAGAAATACAGTGTGAATTGTAAGACAGTTGCCCTCTTCCTCCCCTCTATTGTTTTATATCCTGTACTTTTAGCCCACTGTTTACTTTAGTGGCTTTACAAGCTCAGTTAATATTTACTAAAGCAGAAGCTGGAGACATACTCTTTTCTCAGAATGCTTCTTTTACCTCCCTTATACCGTGTCCTTGATTTTCATAGTTGAAACATTAGACTTTAATTAGGATGTATATTTTATGGGTTTTCTAGTTTGTACTCTGTCACTATTCATTTGAAATTTGCAAGGATTATAGAGTAGGACTTTTTAAAAATCTTACTATATAGATACAAAAACTTGAAACTCAGATGTTAGATGAGTTGATCGGGGCCACACAGCATTTGAGGTTCAAATCTATAGGTGAGTCTACCACATCAGAAGCTGCCTGTCAGCCAGGTAGCCAAAGGCAGAGGCACACAGAGAGTTGTTTACAGCAAGGACAGAAAACCAAACACTGCGTGTTCTCACTCATAGGTGGGAATTGAACAATGAGAACATTTGGACACAGGGCGGAGAACATCACACACCTGGGACTGTCGTGGGGTGGAGGGGTGGGGGAGGGATAGCATTAGGAGAAATACCTAATGTAAATGACGAGTTAATGGGTGCAGCCAACCAGCATGGCACATGTATACATATGTAACAAACTTGCACGTTGTGCTCATGTACCCTAGAACTAAAAGTATAATTTTAAAAAAAAGAGAGAGTTGTTTGCAGTGACGTTAGCTAGCCAAGTGTGTCCCTGACTTGTCCATAGTTGTGGGATTAGATGAGCCTATGGAGGAAATGCATTGAAGACAAATCCATTCTTCTATTTCTGACACCATTCAAGGCAGAGGATTCTAATGTGCTCAAAGTGAATAGAGACTCATATGAAGGAACAAACAACCATTCAGCTTAACTTCCAGATTTTTATTGATGAGGACATTGAGGTTCACAAATTTAAAAAACGGAATTTATTTAACTCATAAAGATAATACATATCTATTAATTAGAATACCTAATTTCCAGTTCAGTTCTTTGCTCATTAGTCTGCTTCCTCATTCCCAATTTTCTTGACATCTCTTTTGCTTTGTAGGACTGCTTTGAAAAAGATGTGTTGATAGAGGCATTGCCCCATATTCCCAAATAATGTGAATGTGATCAAGTCACATGTGCAAAAGTCCCAACTGCAGACACTTGTTATAGGGTGTAGGCCAATTCTCAAAGAATTAATCACATTAAATGCTTAACTAGAATTCTTTTAGACCTAAATATCAATAATGCATTCAGTGTAACACACAGTGCCTGCCATATTGCTTGGCAGAAAAAAGACATTCTTGGTAAACATTAGTTGAATAAATGGATGAAGGATGAAGTTGACTAGCTTAAATTCAGCGATTGTCCTTCTGAGGATACCATGTTGTTACTTCAGCAATCATATGATTTCCATCTTTGCCTCCATTTTTATCACCAGAAGCAGCATTTTTCTTTTTCTCCTCATTTTAATGAAATAATTAGAGCTATAAGGGCACTAGAATACTTCATTTTTGCTCAACAATAGAGACAAAAATGGTGATGCGGTGGAAACTAGATTGTTGCTGGCAGCCAGCACTGCGATGAGAAAGCTTTAAATATTTATATTAGCTGATGCACAAAAATTCAAATGTGTTATACAAAGGTTAGTTTGAAAGTATTTGTGTTTAGAGGGTTTTTAAAAGTTGAGCAATTCTGGTTTGAAATACTTAGATAAATATGTATGACTTGATTTTTTTTTTTTTTTTTTTTTTTGTACTGGAGAAATGAACTTTGGAACACTGAGGCTCCTCTCTGATGAAGTATTTAGTGAAGGTGAAATTTGCGTTTCCACATATTTGCCAGTGACATCTCATGGCCGTGGAAGTTTTTGCTGTTGCCTGTGGTTCTTCTCCAAACTATTCTTTCTGGCTGAACTTGATCACAAATTCAAAACCCAGGAACTTCTGATGGAGAGCTGACATCCTGCAGAGATAGAAGTCTTATGGACCTGGTTATGGCTACTAGAAACTTAGAAATTACAGAGGCATTTTGGCCTAAACAATAATTCTGGAATGGGACTATAAAGTTGGTGAAATCTTGCAGTCAGACACCAGATGCACAAAGGAGGAAAATAACTCACTTTTTAGCATGTCTCTGTATTTTCCCAATCATAATTAGCTTTTATTTATTTGCATTTAGTTTACTGCTAAAAGTGTTAAAGCTCTACCTCTAAATGGAAAAAAAAAAGCATAGATATGTTACTGAAACACCCAACTCCCAAATACATAATTCAATATTTAAGCTATTGGCATTTACGTATTTACTTACAGGATGTTTTTAACAATCTGTAAGTGTGCATTTGTGTAAGCCAAATAAAAATTTGAATAATTATTTTGTTTTGCAGAACCCCAGCTCAAAGGGATTGTGACAAGGTTATTCAGCCAGCAGGGATACTTCCTGCAGATGCACCCAGATGGTACCATTGATGGGACCAAGGACGAAAACAGCGACTACAGTAAGAAACATTAGCTTCTTACAATCTGATTACAAATCAAATGTAGGGCCCAGTGTATCTTATACTTAAAGCATTGCTAAGCTGCCTTACCAAACTATGCCTTTCAAACTATTTAACTATTAGTAAGCTAGTGTCTTTTCCTTTATCCTTCTTGCTATGATTTCCTACAGCAAAGACAGTATAGGAGAGAGGTTATGCACTTAAGAGAAGGTAAGAGGCTTGTCCATTTGGTCAATGGGCAAGAATATACTCCCATCACAGTGTTTTTAGGCAGCATGATGATACACACTCCTAGGAACAATACAAGCACATCTTCCAACACAAGATGGTATTTAAATCCCGGAACCAAGTGATGAACAAGTTATAGTTCAATAATGAACAAGTTCTATATTTCTTAGAACACAATTTCTGACAGACAAAAATTACCTCTTAAGGTAAACACTGAGTACATGCATATATGTGTATGTATATATATATATATGTTATTTTATGTTAAAGGCAAAATTGCTGATTTTAAAAGGAAAATATATTTAAATATTATAATTACATATGGTACATATAATAAATATATATAATAGTAAGAAGATAATGAAGACTGATAGACCTGAAATGGAATTTAAAAATTTTGGGGGGGGAAATAAAAATGCTGGGCATTCAAAGATTAATAATAATTTCTCTGGATATAGTTTTTAAGTGCTCTAACTTTAGAGTTGACAAGTTAAAAAATTAAATGCAATCATCACGGTATGACAAAATGAATTTGCAGTCTAGAAAAATGTCAAATACAAGCTCCAGAGGCAAGATTGATAGCTGTCATATCTTTCAAATTCTGCATAATCATATACAGATACCTGAGGGCAAATTCATGTCATTCTAAAATTATGTATGGTGCCATATTGTTTCCTAATGTTTGTCTGTCTTCACTGCTAGATCTTTAGTGTTGAGCACACAATAAATGCTCACTGATATCTGTCCCAACAAGTTGTGATTCTGATGGATGTAATTTTGTGATCAGGCTGATAATCTACCAAACTGCATAAAGTAATTTAGGAAGCTAGATATTTTGTAGTGAAACGTCTTTTAAATTATTAAGAACTATTTGAGGAAAAATTTAAAATCCCTAATGAATGAAAATGCCCTTGTCCACCCTTTCTAAGTTATTCTTTGTTCAGTTAATATTACACATTTAAAATATAATTTACAATAAATAAAAGATCTTATTATAAAGAATTTCATTTCAGTTTTCTTGCTCTCAGATTTTTTGCTAAGTTGTTGATTGGCTGATTTTGGTTTGCATTGTTGGCTTGTGTTTTTGTGAAAGCATTCTTTAAATGATTAAAGCTTTCAACTCAGTGTAGAAGAATCAGGATACTTTTCTCTCCATGTACTTTCATTTATTGCGTCTGTAACTGAATGTCGATTTAGTGAGGCTACAAATATAGATGC
This sequence comes from Homo sapiens, assembly GCF_000001405.40. NCBI lineage: Eukaryota > Metazoa > Chordata > Mammalia > Primates > Hominidae > Homo > Homo sapiens. The sequence continues at coordinate 192,358,981 of NC_000003.12, read as the reverse complement.
AAGAACCAGGGAACCACTTATTTGTGTCACTTATCTGCACTAACTCCAAGATATTACTAGTTCTCAGGTTTAATTTCTATAAAATCTAATGGCTGGAGATGGTGATGATATATCAACATCCCTGTCAGCATCGTCCATCTAACTTTAAAAAAAATTGAAAAATTATAAATTGATGAAGATAGAATCAATCCCCAAGTAAGACGATTAGCCATATTCAATCTACAAAATGCTACCTTTACCCAGCCAACTATCTTGCAAATGCATGACATTTATCATGGGGCAGAGACAGAAGGGTAGAAGTGCAAGTGTGGGGTCAAGCTAGGACAAATCCTTCCTTCACTCTTTCTAGGAAAATAATTGACAACGCTTGCTCTGCTGACGCTGGGTGAACTGCTAGTGTAAATCTACACCCACGTGTACATTTGTACCTTCCTCCATGCATATATATATCTTAGCATAATGTCATTCTGCATACCACACACAAACCCACATACACACACACACACACCATAGGGCACACATTGTGTCAAATAAGTACTTTTAAAAATTCTCTGAACTCCCAAATTTAAACTAATATTTTATTAAGATAAACTATCTTAATATTTTATTAAGATAAATTTAATAAATTGTGTTTAAAATCATTTAGGTGTACAAAATATATAGATTAATACAAGTTTATCTGGATACCTACCACTAGCTTTAAAATTAATTAAAAATATCAATATAGTTTAACCTTCTTGTTGTGTTTTCCCTCATGGAATCTTACTTTTCATCATTACCAGATATAATAACTCCCTGGAATTTTGTATGTCTCATATATATCTAATTTAAGAAAAAATTTTAATTCATAATATTGTTTTGCATATTTTAAAATATTTTATAAGTTAGAACATTATCATAAATATATTTTATGTACTTTAATCCCCAATATTATGGTTGTGAGGTTTGTATATGGTAATATATTTATTTGCTTTATTTCTTTCATTTTTGTAAAATATCCCACTGTATGAATGTATACAAACATATTTATTCATTTTCCTTTTTGTGTATAATCATTGTTTCTATGTTAAGGCCATTACAAATAGTGCTGCTAAGATCTGTCTTATAGGTGTTGAAGATGCCTTCCTTAACAGTCCTTTAAAAATTACACTTCTCACCTTGGAACTCTATTTTCATATCCCACTTTCTGAAATATGTATTGTTGCTGTTTATTTATTTTTGATCTTCTTTCCCAGAAGAATGTATGTTCCATGAGTGAAAAGATTTTGATTGATGCCTCATGCATCATTAGAACCTAGAATGAATGGTCTGTAATACATAGTAAGCACTCAATACAAAGTGAATGATGAATGACTAGGTGCATGAACGTCTCCGTCAATATGTAGAAAAGTTGTTTGTTTTTTTTTTTGAGACGGAATCTCGCTCTGTTGCCCAGGCTGGAGTTCAGTGGCTGTAGGTCATTGGCTAAAATACTGTTACCCACATTTTTTTTTTTCTTTTTGAGATGGAGTCTCACTCTGTCACTAGGCTGGAGTATAGTGGTGTGATCTCGGCTCAGTACAAACTCTGACTCCCTGGTTCAAGTGATTCTCCTGCCTCAGCCTCCCAAGTTGCTGGGGTTACAGGCACATGCCACCACACCCAGCTAATTTTTGTATTTTTAGTAGAGATGGGGTTTCACCATGTTGGCCAGGATGGTCTCGATCTCCTGACCTGGTGATCCACCCGCCTCGGCCTCCCAAAGTGCTGGGATTACAGGCGTGAGTCACCGTGCCTGGCCCCACATATTTTTTAACTTAAAAAATCATTTAAGACTTCAGAAAAATTACAAAGTAATAAAAGTGAATTCCTTTATACTTTTTACCCAGCTTCTACTAATGGTACCATGTTACGTAACAACATACTGATCAACATCAGAAAATTGACACTAGTGAATATTATTTACAGAGTGCTATAGCTTTTATTAAAATGTTACCAGTTTTTCAACTAATGTGCTTTCTTCTGACACTTTCCCCACATATTTTAATGAAGAATATCAAATAAAAACAAATAATTTTACATATACTTTGTCAGAGTGGGGATTAGAAGTCAAAATATCGAAGAAGGATTTAAATTCTACTCATTTGTTTCATAGAAAAATTATAAACCTCTAAGTTGTTAAAATGTCTTTTCTTTCTCTACTTTGTGTGTGTAGGAGTAGAAGCAGTTGATTGTTTGAAAAAAGAATCTTGTTACTATGAGCATCTGTCAGAAATGTGTTGTTTGGTTCACTAGACATCATTAGGTCTAACCAACCTTACCATGGTATATTTCACAGAATTGATAAAGACACCTGTTCTTTTGTTCATGAAGAAAAGACTAATTATATGTAATTGAGTACAAAACACAAATGGATTTGTCGGCAGGAACAGATAAGAATCTCTGCAAATGTAATGATAAAAAGCACAAAACTGTGTTGGAACACTGGAACAAAAAAGACAATGGCAGTTTGGAGGGTATTAATAGGAATATTTTACATAAAATTAAAAAGCTAATTATTTTGTTTCCTGAGTTACCATAGGACAAGATACATTTGAAGAGGTCAAAAACGCTAGGGAGAAAACAACAAAGATATTATAACCAAAGGTATTGTTCTCTTTACCTCTGAACAATAAAATATTAAGAGCATTTGATATGGAATGGGCTGCCTGACAAGTTAGTACGGTGGAAAGACTGGAGATACTGAAGCAGATGCTGTCCTGGCACTTGAGGCAAAGGGAGAGGTTTACAAGAAAACCCCCTTGGTGTGGGAGGAGGAAGCAGAGTGGTGGTGGGAGGGGCATGGTTTCAGAACTCAGTGACTTTTAAGGTCTCATTTAGTCCTGATATTCTTTTAAAAATTATTTTGAATAGGTAAGATAAGTATGTGGCACCAAATTATAAAGGCACAAAAGGGCGTATAGTTGAGAAATAGCAAAACAGTCCCTGACAGCCAGCAGGTGGCTTGACACTCCCAAGAAGACTTGGTCTCCTTCTGTTGAATATAGACAATTTCACATTTGCAATTAGACAAAGCCACTGAGACATGATGGGTCAAGATAAAAGCAAGACCCTGTAATCATGTCTGAACACGACGAAAACAAAAATGTTTCCTAAATTACAAAATGAACAAATATGTCTCTGTCCTAGATTATGTGGGTGGCTGCTGCTTCTTTACCAAACACAGCTTTAACCTTGCTCTGTTCTTCTTGCCTTCTAGAAAAGAATTACTAAGATAGTAGCCATAGAATTACACCCACATCCTTAGAGCATCCAATCTGGGGCAGATTCACATATCTTTGAGCCCTCCTTAAAACCACTTGACACACACCCAAATCCTGTAAATCTTTTCTTACATCCTCTTACCAAGAAACCCCAGTTCTGCTCTGGTGTGTATTTTTCCTCCTTGCCGAGTGTTATTAAAACAAACTTTGTTCAACCTTGGGTGTGTTTATGATATTCATTGGAAGTCATTGACACAGTCAAAAGCAATTTTCATTCACACCCTCCATTGCCACCTGGGCACATTCTTGATATTTTCCTGATATAGTCTATGCACTTATCAACATGTACAATATCTATCCATCCATCCATCTGTCTTTATCTATCTACTATATTGATCTATCAGCACCTTCTTTTAACTTAAAATGTATATCTGCAAGATTTTTTCATATAATACATATTTAAATGGATAATTTAAATACTTAATTTCCTATTAGGTATTTTGCTAATACAAACAATCCTATAAAGAATATCCTCCTATATAAGTCATTTTTCATATATGCAAATGTATTTATAGGATAGTTACCTAGAAGTAGAATTGCTGGGTCAAGGGTATGTGCTTTCTTCATTCTGAAAGATGTCACCTAATTGCTCTCCATTATGCAAATTTACTCTAAAATTGTGTTTCCTTATCATCTAGTCAACAAAATGTGTTATCAAACTTTTGGTTTTAGTTGGTTGCAGTGGCTGACGCCTGTAATCCCAGCACTTTGGGAGGCAGAGGTGGGTGGATCACCTGACACTGGGAGCTCTAGACCAGCTATGGCCAGCATGGTGAAAACCCGTCTCTACTAAAAATACAAGAAAAATTAGCCAGGCACGGTGGTGCATGCCTGTAATTCCAGCTACTCGGAAGCCTGAGGCACGTGAATTGCTTGAACCAGGGAGGTGGAGGTTGCAGTGAGCAGAGATTGTGCCACTGTATTCCAGCCTGGGTGACACAGCGAGACTCTGTCTCGAAAACTAAAAACAAACAAACAAGCAAACAAAAAACTTGGTTCTTTGTTACCTTAAAATGTAAATTTTAATTTTTTTTAAATTATGAGTTAGGTTGAACACTTGTTTAAGGGTGATCTTTACTTCCTTTTCTATGAACTGTCTGTCTATATCTGATTCTATGAAATGTCTTTTCTTATTTTTAGGAAATCTGTATTTAAAAAATCAGTTCTTTGTTGTGATTTACCTTTTTTTTCTAATTCTGTTGCCTCCGATATTTTTTTTTGCCATGCTTTATTCTTTTTTGTTTATTTTAAATGTGCTTTTCTGCCGTCAGCTTTTCTTTCCAATTTAAAAAGCCTTTATTTATCCAAAATTATTTAAAAAGTCTCCTATGTTTTGTTTTTTGTAACGTATTCTTTCTTTTCTTATATTTGATATTTAGTTAATCTGGAATTTATTTCTTAAGATTCTCTCAGTCTAGACTTCTAATACTTTATGTTCTTATCAGTTATGAATACAAATACACTTTCATTAGATTTTATGAACGTACTAAATTCACTGTGAGTTTAGCAACAACAAACATTTCAAAATGTTCTGTGTCTGATTTTCAGAAAACCAATTGGAAATGTAAAAGTTTAGTCACTCGTTATGTTTTCTATACAATACCAAACATATGATGTTTTGATACCACCAGTCACAAGTATATAGACACAGCCAAAGTCAGCAGAAGCTTTTATTGCTAAACTATGAACAGAAGTATGATCCAAATGGTTAGCTGAGGAAAATTATGAAGGAAATCTATTTCTTATCACAAGGGCATGCAGGTACTACAAAAAATTAAACAGATGTTCTAAATTTGTTAGAAATTTGTTTTCATTGACTGTGTTTTAATTTTAAAGATAGTGCCTCCAAATAATATTTGTGGAAAATTTTAGCAAACACTAGTTATTTTCTTGAATGGCTTACCCCCTTACATAAAATCATAAGGGGATAACTCCTCCAGATTCTTCAGCCTTGGCTCCTCACTTTCTTCTTGATCTTATATATATTTTTGATCATAAGACTTCTGCTCCCAGCCGGGCACAGTGGCTCATGCCTGTAATCCCAGCACTCTGGGAGGCCGAGGCTGGCGGATCACAAGGTCAGGTGATCGAGACCATCCTGGCTAACACAGTGAAACCCCGTCTCTACTAAAAATATAAAAAATTAGGCGGGTGTGGTGGCGGGCGCCTGTAGTCCTGGCTACTCGGGAGGCTGAGGCAGGAGAATGGCTTGAATCCAGGAGGCAGAGGTTGCAGTGAGCTGGGATCGTGCCACTGCACTCCAGCCTGGGTGACAGAGCGAGACTCCATCTCAAAAAAAAAAAAAAAAAAAAAGACTTCTGCTCCCATGTATCTTTCTGGTCAGTAAAGCAAAACGAGTCATTTGAAATGATATTCTTTCTTATTTACTCTGTGACTTTTTATGGGCATATTTCTAGGCAGAATACATAGTATTTAAAAATCTTATTGGAGCTCCTTAACCAAGTGTATTCCTAGAAAGAGCTGAGGACTGAGGTTGTCTTTGATCTGTTTTTGGCTCTGTGTGATGACTAGTGCTTTGGCCGTGGGCAAGTCACATAAACATTCTCTGATTTATACAAATTCAGATAGTACAACATTAGAGGAGCCAAGAATCACTAAGATTTTGATAGTCTTTTATTTACTTCTGATATAGAAGTAAAGGTATGCTCAGAAAAACTGATTGACAGCCTCCATTTCCCTAAATACCCTTTGTTCTGAAAGATATGTTACCAGCAGGCAGGAAATCATCAGTTTGCAAATCCCTGTGTGATAGTCTCAAAGTGTGTTTAAAGATCTAGAGAGTTAAATACATAAATGCTAAAACCAGAATTTGGGTCCAAGTAATCTGACTTGAGATTCTTTGCCCTTGAATTAGTTATTTAACCCCTCTCTGTTAAATTTCCTCATTTGTTAAATGACAATAATAATAATATTTAGATCATAGGGCTGTTGTGTAGTTTAAATGGTTTGATTCCTTAAAAGTACCTAGAACACAGTAATTCTTAATAAATGTCATCTGCTGTCATTATTTTCATCAACAGGGATGAGAGACCCCTTGTTTTCAAGGAGCTCATACACAGTGACCATTTTAACAGAAATAGAATTCTTAGCAGTGGCAGCTATTATTATATGGAAGAATTTGAAGGTGTTTACACTGGTGGGTATTGAAGAATAAGTCAGTGATTCATAAAATGTCTAGTCCCTAGACCAGCAGCATCTATGTATCTGAGAACTTGTTAGAAATACACATTTTCCAGCATCACTTCAGACATGCTGAATCAGAGACTGTGAGGCTGGGGCCCAGCAATCTGTGTTTTGACAAGCCATCCAGATTATTCTGATGCACTGCAGCAAGTACAACTGGCATCTTTCCTCTGCCCCCAGGATTTGAAGTGCTCACATTTGCTAATGAAAGCAATCTCTGTTCTGGGACTGTGAAGCCTATTTCTATGGGGATCTGACTCCTAATATAATAGGGAAAGCAGAGGTCTGTAGACACTGAAATTCAAACTTTCTATCATCTTAAACAATGTGTGAAATCTGTTACATTTTGATTAATTACTTGAAGAGAGTCAAGGCTCAATTCTGGACAGATATATGATCAAATATAAGTTTGGAGGATTACAAAAAAAAAAGAAAAAAATATGAAAAATATGTAGTGATATAGGTAAGCCTGTATCACAGATTTGTATGTCTTGGAGCTTTTACATATGCAAATTTATTTTGCTTGCGATGTCTTTGCCAATCTTATCCAGGAGGCAAGCCACTCTCACCCTTCAAAACCCTCCTCAACTCTTGTTTCTTTTGTCCATGTGAGGTCTTCTTTAGCCATCTTGTCTCAACTGTCACCCCCATACAGAACCCCACGCTCACTCACTTCACTCTGCTGTATTTGAGGGTTATGCATTTGTTTACAGCTGCGCAAGTCACATTATATACTGCAATTCCTTATCTGCTTTTGTGTTTTCCCTATTAGAGTATGACTTCCTTATTTGCCCTTCTGCTTAGCCAAGCAATGGAGATTTTCCAAAATCCAAAGAGCTACAAATGTGTTTCATTTAGCTGGCATGCTTGGGAAGGGGGAATGATTGTATGTAAGCAACAGATGCATCTACTTTTTTCCCCACATTTTCTTCCTACCTGCCTAGGGCCTGAAGACTTTTCAGTTTGAGATACCTGTGGCTTTCACTCAATGTTTGTTAAATCAAAATAACAGAACAGAACTTTAAACGAACAGTACAAACCCCTTAAATATCACCGATTGTAAGACAAAGTAGCTTGGGCTGTGAGTCAGACAGCCTGGTTTCCAGTCCAGGTTCTTTCTCTAAATAGCTGAGTGAACTTATTTAAGTCCCACAAACTTTCTGTTCCTTGGTTTACTTCCCCCACCCCTCATTTCTCCTCTGAGGAATGAATCCTTTGTTTTCTACTCTGTAAAATGAAGCGTTTAGAAAAGATAATATCCAGTATCTCTGATAGATCTGAAATTTTGCAAGCCTACAAGATGACAATGATTTTTGTTTTCACCTTTGAAAAATGGGAAACTTTTTATTTTAAACACATTACAAAAGAAGGCAAAATTGTAAGAGCAAATAGTACAATAGCTTTTGCATTGAATTGGAACACAGTAGTGAATTCACTGCTACTTTCAGTGTATACATATACAGATTTCCAGCAATTCTCAATACCCCTATTGCCACTCCCTAGTCCAAGCTACTATCCTCTTTGTATGGACTCTTGCAATAACTCTCTAACTGGTCTCTTTACTTAAAGCTTCCCCGCATCAGCCTATTTTCCACACAGCAGCCAGAGTGACCCAGTTAAAAGATAAAACGAAATAAACTCACTTCTTTGCTCAATCCCTTTCATCACATATCATTCGGGGTAAAAGCCAATGACCTTTTTCCTATGACCAATAACGTTTTATATAATCTCACCCGTTGTCTCCTTCATCCCTCCTCACATATTATCTCTCCTCTTTCTTTCCACTGGCCATCTTGCTGTTCCTCAAACACACCAACCATGTTCTTGCCTGAAGGCATTGGGACCAGCTATCCCCCTCTTTCTGGAATGTCCTTCCAAATATCTAAATAGCTCAATCCCTCATAATCTTCATACTCCACTCAAAAGGGAAGCCTTTTCTCAAAAAGATCTTTTCTAGTTAATCTATATACATCTCAGTCCCTATCCTCAATATTTCAGTCTCCTTTGCCTACTTGAATTTTGTTTTCATCTTTAGAACCCTTACCACTATCTAATATACCTACTTGTTTTATTATGTCTTCTTACTACTAAAATATTACTTATATATACCATACTTTTTTTATTCTATCCTATACTTGCTTATGTTATTTCTTTCACTAATTATGCCATCCTCTAAAAGCCTTTTGTCTTTGAAGCCTGTTTCTGATTTAACTGTACATTCTACTTTTTCTCTGAACAAACTGTACATCTCTTATGATTTTATGCTGTTTCATCTGTATGTATTTATTGTGTATATGACTGGCTGACTTCTTTTTGGTTATGAACTACTTAAGGGCATTGACAATACCTGCTTTATCTCTGTGTTGGCCTGTAATAAATTCTTAATAATGAGTAACGCCTTGATAATGGATATGGATAAGTTCATTGATAGTAGCAATAGTATAATCATTATACCATTGAAACCAAAAGATTTAATTAGAATATAAGCTTCATGGGGGCAATGAGCTTTATCTGCATTTTGTACTGCTATGTCTCCAGCACCTAAAAGAATACCTGGCACATATTAGGTATTCAGTATTTGTTGAATAAATGAATGAAAGTGAATTCACAGAACAACCCCATCAAAAATGAATATGACTTTGCGTGACAATGCCCAGCTTGAAAAATTAATGCTAATGGGACCATGCTTGCATTTTGTCTTGAGAATGACAGATGATTTAAGAGAATTCAAGGGATGAGTAAGGAAATTATTTCCATTTTGAAAATAGGAAGAAAATTGAGTATGCTTAGTCTGGAAAAGTGAATTCTATAGCAATAATAGTAAAAGAAGACACTTTCGCAGTGTTACATATATTCTCAAAGTGTTACATGAATATATATATTCATGTTGACAATTATAGAGACATCATTTTCTTAAAATAAGCAAATGGTATATTTGCCCATAAGAGAGAGAGTCATTGCTTTTATTATTCATCTAAGGGCAGCAGTATAAATTTAAACATATGTTGCAGGAAAAAGAAAATACACACTCAGGTGTTTTAAGAATAAGAAACTAAAAAGAGAGGGTTTCTTGAAGTAGTGGAAAAGGGTATTAAAATTTTGATGAGTGAGAATTAGAGATCACTTTAAAATTCCTGAAATTCATTACCTTACTTTGAGGCTCTGAAGTGAGAGTTGATTTGCTCTAAGTACAGTAAGTAGAATTCATTTCTACTATATCCATATCCTGTGCTCCGTCTTCAACATAAGTTACTGATTGCAAGGTTGTATAGATTTGTCCATATTCTTAATGAATTGCAGTGTAGTTTCTTATATGTCTCTGGTTTGATTAAGCACTGTTTTTAGCCACCAGCTAAATAAGGTATAAATTATAAATGTATACTCATATGGATTAGCATTTTCTAGGGCATACTACCATGAAGCATAAAGAAGAACTACATATTTGGAATGAAGGATTTGGAAAATAAAATGGTCACCTACGTGTCAAGCATTATTTCTTAATCTATGACTTGGGGACATATCAGATAATAGTAACTGTTTACTGAACACCTTCTAAATGTTCAGTACAGCTATGAAAATTTTCAAAATTGTACTCAGTTAAGTCTTGTGATAACCCTATAAAAGGTACTGTAATCATTTCTATTTTGAAGATGAGTAAATTGAGGCACAGGAAGGTTAAATAATTAGTCCATGGCCTTAAAGATATTAAATAATAGACCCAGGATTTGAATTCAGCAAGTTTAGTTCCAATGTTAATACCTTCACCCAGTTTACACTGTATCTCGAATTTATCTTTCCTGGTTAATATTTCCCAGTGTATAATAAACAATCTCTTAAATCATACCTCTGCATTCTTCTGACAACACTTTCAAAAGGCATTAAGAAGGCAACGTGGTTTAGTTCTAAAATATTATGGAGGTTTACTTTAGACAGGCTAAACAGTGAACTTGCAAGGATTTTTCTTCAATGTGTTTGACGTATTTAAAATATATATTAAAACATTTTTTAGAGATAATAAACCATTATACAATAATTTTAAAGATTTTAAATAACCTGGTTGCCTATTTCATATATCTGATTTGAGAAGTTTGAGGTGTGTAGGATGTGTGTGTCTTTATGTGGATATATATTTTCATGTATTATTCAGCAGCCTAGATAGAGTGGTACTGAACAGGCATCCAGCCAAGATCTAGCGAGGTTGCACTTAGTACATCTGCTTCCCTTGACATTGAGACCGAATCTGGAACACATACCTATGTGAGACTATGTATGCACAGCATTATTAAGCCCACTCCACAGTATTACAGTTGAATTTTTACAAATATCCTAAAGAGAACTCCTTGCTCCTTCCTACTTAGGTACGAGCAGAAAACATCACTTTTATTGTTTCTATAGTATATACCAGGGATCATTTCCCATACTTGAGGAAGCAGGATAGTGTTATAAATAGTCCATTTGATTTTAGGGACAGACAATCATGGATATTAATATGAGTATCTCCACTTGCCAGCTGGATAAACTTGGGCAATTAGTTTAACACTTTGAAACCAGAGTTCCTCATCCGCAAAATGGGAATAATATGTAGGAGATTTAAGTTAATAATATCAAAATGTACTCTTATGGAAGGAAGTGCCTTGGAAAGTCTCAACAGGGGAAATCAATGCTGACTGAAGAGTGATCAAGAGCCATTTCAGAAAAAATGAAGGACTTGAGCAGAGCTTTGACAAATTGGGTAAGAAGCCATTTTTGAACCACATCTGTAGTTTCAGCACTCTTTTAGGCCTTAGACCAACCTTCTTTTCTTTGGAAGAATTGATCGAAGTCTAATTTAGATAAGATTAACATCTAGTGCACTTGGAGTTTCCCTCTGAAGGGGTTGGAATATACAGTTACATATGGTCTCTTCCCAGTCTTTGACACTGATGATCTGGGCAGAAAAGCCCTACTGAGACGTAAAGGAAGACAGCAGCCGCTCCTCATAGATCCAGGTTCTCAACAATGGCTCCAAAATCTTTGTTTTTGAATCAGGAAGTCTGCAGGAGGACCACACTTTGAGAACCAAGCACACAGCACTTCTCAAAACTTTAACTGCATTGTAATTGTGTTAAAATGCAAATTTTGATTCAATAATTCTTGGATACAGCCTGAGATTCTGCCTTTCCAACAAGCTCCAGATGATGGTGATGCTGTTCACACTTTGAGCAGCAAGGTTTGGTTCATTGACTGGTAAGATTTGGGAAGAATCAGTATCGCATGTGAGCTTGCTAGAACTATCCCAGACTATTGAATATTAAATTGTTTTCAACAATGAAGCATACTGGAATAATCTGGGGAGTTAAAAAGTACTTGTCTTCAATTCCAGGCAATTTTATTTAATTATTATGAGTGTAGTCTGGACATCAGAATTTTCAAACTTTTCAGAAGGTTTTAATATGCAGCAAAGTCTGTGAACCATTAAGCTAAATTACCTCTGGAGAGTTGGTTTTTTTCTTCAATTTTTAAAGTTTGCATTCCAAATTTGTATTATTATAACTTTGAGTCAAAGTTATACAATAAGATATTGATTTTAAAGTACGGTGCAAATCATCGCTGTTTTTATGGAATGTTTCATGCTATTTTATTATAAAAGGAGGCCCTCAAGTGGGAAATGACAAATCAATGGCTGAAGTACCCCTTCCTGTGTTCACTGCAGACATCACTAAATTCTCACAACATTCATTGTTGCCTGGCTTCAAATGTCTCCTTAAGACATTGTTTCAGGCAGCTACCACAAAATGATTGAGTTTTCACATATGCCTGCCATATGCATGCTTTATTTTCATTAATACCAACATATTGAAGGCCAACTGCGTTCTAGTTACTGGATTACAAAAATGAATCTGATACAATTCCTGCCTTCTAGCTTTTCCCAGAGCATAAAAGGTTTTACATTTTAATGTAAAACAAAAGGTGTCACTGGTACTACCAAGTGATTAGAAGAATCACCAGATTTCAGAGATCTAACAGATCCTCAAAAGCCATAGTGATCAACAAGTTTGGTTTTAACCCAATTCTTGAAGAATGGGAACAAAATAAATAAATTAAGATTAGGACAGTTGTATTTCAGGTAAGGAGGCACAAAATCAGGAAGTGGAGAAAGCTCCCACCATGTAAGGGAAAAATTAACCCACTAGCTTGCATGAAGCAAAGAGATTATTTGGAAGTATCATGGGGCCATATTTTAGAGTGTCTTAACTGACACTTAAGGGAGTGTAAGCTTTATGTTGTAGGAAATGGGGAACCAATGAAAGTTATTGAGCAATGAGTAAAATGCAATACTTTAGAAAAATTTTCTAACTGGAGTTTATAGTAGACATGGATTGAATGAGAGATTTTGAAGTAGAGAATAGTAAGGACAAAATAATCATTTTATTTTTCAAGTCCTTTTTTATCCCTAATTTCTAAAAAAAAAAAATCTTTCCACATTATGTTTATTTCTATAGATCCACTTAATATTTTTGGAATTAGGCAGTCATATTTTCTTATTTAGGTATTAATGATAACAACGTGCAAAGCTTTGAGCATATCTAAATCAACTCAAATAAGTGTGCTTGTGTTGCCTGTGTGTAATTTTATCTAAGAAAAACTAAAGATTTTTTACCTTTTGAGCAGGATGGTTCTACTTGGCTAAAACATTCCTTGTAAGGTTTTCACATTTTCTTATTATAGTCTGTTTTTCCTACTTTCTTCACAACTACTTGAATTGTTATCATTAGAATTTTATGTTATATCTTTTTTTTTTTTTTTTTTGAGACGGAGTCTCGCTCTGTCGCCCAGGCTGGAGTGCAGTGGCGCGATCTCGGCTCACTGCAAGCTCCGCCTCCCGGGTTCACGCCATTCCCCTGCCTCAGCCTCCCGAGTAGCTGGGACTACAGGCGCCCGCTACCACGCCCGGCTAATTTTTTGTATTTTTAGTAGAGACGGGGTTTCACCGTGTTAGCCAGGATGGTCTCGATCTCCTGACCTCGTGATCCGCCCGCCTCGGCCTCCCAAAGTGCTGGGATTACAGGCGTGAGCCACCGCGCCCGGCCTATGTTATATCTTAAGAGCAACAATATTTTACAGCTTTGTAGCCACCAGAATCTAGGTTCACAGCTTAGCTTTTTCACTAGCTGACTTTATAACCTTGGGAAAACAGTATCTTTGAGTATCAGTTTCCTGGTCTGTAAAGATGGATACATATTACACATGTGGTTACTTTTATCTATTTTAGACTTTAACTACTATGATGGCAGGTACCATCTCTGTCCTTTCTACCACTGTATTGCAAGTGCCTGGCACAATGTCTGGAATATATGTGATGAATTAATGAATAAACCTAGTAGGCCATAGTATTGATTTTGGCAACATAGTTTTTGATGAAAGGTTTATAGAGGATGCAAATCTAAAAGCTTCAAAACATGCAAAGATTTCTTGGAAGATGTTTCTGCCCATTGATCTTATGGACCGTCACCTGTGCTGTTCACTGAATTCTTCAGACCAGACGGGCTCCAAGACAAGTCTGTGTAAGACAAATGGCTCCAGAGAATGAGTAATGACAGGCATTTGCTTTCATTATCAATAGTGATATGCCTCATTTTTCATCTTAATGAAAAAATAATCACGTTTAATTGACTTGTTAATTATGCAAATTTTTGAACATTTTTGAACTATCATAGGAAAGGTTATATGATATTATCAGGATTAAAAGTCAATGACAGGACTTTTACCAGAGCTAAGGCAAATATTTCTACTACCTTATCAAATAAAGAGATCACAATGCTGCTCATTTTTGTTATGCTGAAAACCCACAGTGTATGCTGTCAGCCAATGCTTAGAAGAAAAATTTTAGTCTCTGAAGTCCCAAACCACTAGTCAGCTCTGTAAGTCGATAAATTCAGTGAGAAAATAAATCAGTCAGTTGGACTATTTGGCCAATTGCTTATAAAATAGGACATCATACTTAAAGCAGTGAACCAATATAACTTAAAGTATGTTGATGTTTACATTCTTAACAGTGTTTTATTTTAACCACATAGTTGTTTTGCTTATGGGAACTTCAATAATAGAAGATGGAATACATGCTTTTTTTTTTCTCCCATAACATTTTAAAAAATTTAAGTTGAACTATGGAATAATGACCACCCAGCCATGTTCCTCCTACTATGAAAACTCCAGATGTGGAGATATGAAAACAACAATGAGAACAAAAACACTGACAACACTGATAGTGATGCTTTGTATCCTTTATGGTTTAAAAAGTGGCTTGTTTTTATTATCTCATTGATCTTCATAACAATCCAGTGAAGCATTCAGAGCCAAGAAATACTCAAAGTGGTTAACTCATTTATGCCTAGTGTTCCATTATTGGAACACTACGCATGTGGGAGTTATTTATATCCTACTGCTCAAAGTCATCGCCAAGGTCTGATTGCAGAAATTCAAAAAATTGCAACCTCATTAAATTACTTGGAGTCACCAAGACCACTTATTTCCTTGACTTAAAAGCTAAAAGAATACGGCAAGTTACATCTTTCCTTTAATGTCTGTAAGAAATGCTGTTTTAGAGGGTTAAATTCAGTAACAACAATTGTTTAGGCTTTATTTTGAAATGCAATCTGGATGCAAAACAACAACAAAAACATGTTATATTCTATGAATCCCTAGTTTTCAGGGAAACTCAGACAAACATATAAATATTAATAAGCACTGTGATAAGTGCTATGTATGGAATGCTGTGGAATTAGGGTAAGGGAATGAATAATTAATTTGCCTGGGTGAACATTCCATTGTACCATAATTTATATAACCACTTTTGTATTGGAAGATTTAAGAGCTCACTCCTTTGCTGTATATTCAATAATAGCATTTTCCTGTTGAGAATGGGGAGGGTGAATAATTGACTTAAGTAAATTATAAATAACAGAAGTAAATATTAATTTCATAACTGAGGAAAAACCAATTGAGTGGCCTGCAAATATTATGAATATTATAATTATAGATATTATTGTGAGAGACTATAGGATTTATTGTAGGAGAAAATAACCTGGTACTAACTTAACTTTTTATTTAAGATTTTGTAGGATATGATCTTATTCACACTCTAATAAAATATCTTGATTGAGAACATTTTGAGATGTGGGAAATGATATTGAATTTTCAAGGAAATCTAACATTGAAAATGCACAGATTATAAACCCAAATATCTCCATTCTCTCTCAGTATGTTCCACATGGGTTTTTAATGGGTCACAGGATGAATCTTTTTTATTGGCCATTTGACAAAATAGATCTAGAATTTCTAAATACAACTGTACTCTTTTATACCTTTCTTCGTTACAAGCAATGAGTCTGTCCTTAGAAGTTACTTGGAAAGATACTGGATTTACATGTTCCAAAGACAATTTGTAATGAGCTTTTTTTTCTCCTTCCTTCCCTCCCTTCTTCCTCCCTCTCTCCCTCTCTCCCTCTCTTCCTCTTCTTCTCTTTCTTTGAAACTTTCTTGGTTGTCACATTGTTTTCCTATGTGTTTTGGATTGACTGTTACCTTTTTCTTACTGGAATAATATGGTGTGTACAGGTAGAAATTAAGCTGAGTAAAACATAGCACTTTTAGAAAGTACATTTTTTGGTGCAGTATCATTGGACAGGATGTTTATTTTTTATTTTATTTTGTTGAGACAGAGGCATGCCCTGCCCCGTTACCCAGGCAGGAGTGGAGTGGTGCAATCATGGCTTAACTGCAGCCTTGAATTCCTGGGTGCAGGCTATCCTCCGACCTCAGCCTCCCAAGTAGCTGGGACCACAGGCACACACACATACCTGACTAAATTATTTTTGTTTTTATTTTTACAGAGATGGAGTCTCCCTGTGTTTCCCAGGCTAGTCGCAAACTCCTGGGCTCAAGTGATTCTCCTGCCTTAGCCTCCCAAAGTGCTGAGATTACAGGCATGAGCCACCACGCCTTGCTGACAAGATGTTTAATATCTCAATTGTAACAGATTCCCCAAACTCTTTCCTTCCTCTTAATTCCCTCCAACCTTGCATCACTCTACACACACACATACTCCTACCCTTACCAGGCCTATGCATCCCATGATTCTGCCATTTCAGACTTTGTACCATGTAGGTTTTTTGGCTTTCCTTTAGTCTATGTGTAATACATATTATCTTCCATTTTTTTCTTACATGCTTAATTATAAAAATATGACTGAGAAAAGTTATGAATAAACATGTGTAAGGAGAAACTACTCCTAATTCATTTATTTATTCAGCAGATATTGAATAACAGCTTCTAAAACCAAGATATCATGCTAGGCATTGGGGATCATAATAAAAGTTTCTGGTACCTTCAACTTGCCCTTAAAGTAGTGGAAACCTCGGAAAGATTCACAGATAAAAGTCTTTTCACTAGAGACCACAACTGTTATGTTCGTCACTCTTTTTTTAGCCTAGGCATGGTATTTGGCATACAGTAAGTCCTAACAAATATTTATGGTAAGAATAAATGACTTCTAAGTCAGGTTTTTACAAGTGCTGTATGTTAACTCCAAATGTTAGGATGGTGCTTTACATTTTCTCAATTTTTTTCACTTTGTACCCCTCAAAGAAGTTAGGACTTTTATATACTGTTCAATGAAGCTATTTTAAGTAGTCAAATACTGAGTTTATAATAAAATGACATTTCGCATATCAAAATGCCTACCTAGCAGGATGCCTGAAAAAATAGACAGTCAATGAATATTATCTATTTAGTTTTTCTTTTCTCATTTGTTACTTTCTCTCATCTTCTCCTTCCACTTAAATTTCAATATGAGAATGATTTAGGTTTTGTAGGTCCTAAAGCTTATCTTATGTGGGGTTCTCCCTCGAAAAAATAAATATAATGAAATGAAAATTAGATGCAAAATTGAGTATTTAGACTGAGAAAATATACCACAACAGTTTAAATTTTGAAAAGCTGAGAACTATCAAAGATGATACAACTCAGGAAAATAATACAACATTTTAATTAATTGCCTGATAGCAGCAAGTCTATAAATTTCCTTCCCATTATTATGGATATATAATTTTTGAATGTCTTTCCATATGACAACAATTTTATTATACATTTCTTGTAGAGAGAAATATAATTCAGTCTTTCCTGTAGCATGATTAATCAAAGTGATCCTTTAATATTTTATAACTTGGAAGTGTTTATTTTAGGTTAACAGCTCATAATTATCTGATGATTAGTGATGTTGAGTATATTTTCATATACCTGTTGGCCATTTGTTTGTTGTTCTTGAGAAATGTCTGTTCAAGCCCTGTGTCCATTTTTTAATTGGCTTATTTGTTTTGTTTTTCCTTTTGAGTCATAGGAGTTTCTTATGTATTCTGGATATTGAACCCCCACCAGATATACAATTTGCAAATATTTTCTCCCATTCCATAAGTTGCCTTTTCATTCTGTTGATTGTTTCCTTTGCTCTGCAGAAGCTTTTTAGTTTAATGTAATCCCACTTGTCTAGTTTTTGCTTTCATTTGCCTGTGCTTTTCGTTATCCAAGAAATAAATCATTGCTAAGGCCAATGTTGACTTTTTCCCCTATGTTTTTTTCCTATGGGTTTTACAGTTTTAGGTCTCACATTTAATTATTTAATCCATTTTGAATGAATTTTATGTATGGTATAACATAAGGGCCCAATTTCATTCTTTCATGTGTGAATACCCAGTTTTTTCAGCATCATTTGTTGAAGAGACTATACTTTCTCTTCATTACCTTTTCCATTACCTTTTTTCTGTGAAGTTTTATGAATGAGCTTGGTTTATGGAAGCCAAGAGTACCAGCTCCATTATTTCATTTTTCAAAATACAAGAGTCAACTTTACAAAAAGATGTAGAACAAGATACTCCTTTTGGAAAGGACAAGTTTAAGAAGATCTTTGAATGTCAGATTAAATACTTGGACTCTATTTGGCATATAATTGTAGTATTATTTAGTCTGCAAATGTTTACTGGGATTGCTAATATACACAGAATATATACTACCCTGCATATTCTCCCTCTTGTTTTCTCTGTCTCTATCTGTCTCCTCCCTTCCTTGTATTATACAAGTGTAGTTTTGATGTGAGTTTTGTTTTGGAGAGCTTACAATCTGGTTGTGGTTGGCAGAGGAAACAGATTTTTTAGAAGAATAAAACTATAAATTGTGATAAATATAGTCTGGATCCAGGAATAGGGCAGCTAAGAAGTGAAAGAAAGCACTTGGCATTTGGTGTGTCATTTCACGCATGTCAGGGATTTCAGTGTGAAGATGTAGGGAGAGTGACATTCCAAGCAGAGGGAGCTAAGTTAGCAAAAAGATGGAGTTTAGAAGGTAGGAGGAGGAAGATCAAATTACTAGAAGCACTCAGTATTGGAGTGAAAGTGCCATGTAGCACAAATGTATGTTGTAGATTAACTTTGAGTATCAGGCTGAGATGCTTTAAGTTTCTAATTTCATTTTTATCTTAAAAAGAACTTTCATTCTAACAAGAAAACCTACATTCCTGGAAATAACGTGTTTTTGTCATAACCCATATAATAACATTTATTTAATAAAGCTGTGTACATGTACCTGGGCTAGACATTACAGCAACTACCCTCAAGAGTCTTGCATTGTAGGGATGGAGACAGAGATATAAACAAAGAACTCTAAAACCATGTTCTAAATATCATTACCGAAATATACACAAGAAATAAGCCATCTGGAAAAGGGAAGTATTATTTCTGAAGGGTTTTGGGCAAGATTCATGGGGGAGTTCAACAAGGTAGGCCTTAAATGATGAAAAGAGTTGGCCAAATTTAGAAGTGGGAAGATAAGCTTTCCAAAAAGAGATAGAGGACAAAAGAGGACAAACTCCAGCCTAGTTAAAGATCGAGGGGGAACTTAGGAAATGGCAAAAAGCTCTGTGAAGCCGGTTACAGCAGATGGAAAGGGTGACAGGTGATAAGCTGGAAATGTGGGTTGGAGCCAGGTTGTAAAGGACATTGGAGACAGGGAGGAATCACTGCAGGTTGTAAGCAGGAAAATGGCTTAAGAGGATGCAAGGGACTTAAAGAGTGGGTGGAGTCAAGCAGCCCAGTTACTATGAGTTAGGACAGTGGCTTTGAGGAGTAGTGAAAGGAGTAGCAAAGGGCTCCTGTGAGCTGGAGCCACAGTATGCTACTCTGAAGATAATTAATAGATAACAGTAAGTCATTTGCCACCTTTTGGGACTTTTAGGAGGCAGATGAGGACCTTTCCAGAGAAACTATGTTTAGCTTTTACCAATAAAGTCTCGTTTCAAATCGTTTACTGATTTTTAAAAATGGGCTTAGTAAGTCTCACAAAGCAAACCAGCTAAAGGCCATTATCATGTTGTGGTTCATATAAAACTTTCAAACAGGTTTCTTGTTTTTGTCCCTGCCTAGCATTATCAGTTTTCTCTCATTCCATGTAGGAAAAACTTTATAGTTGCTTTTCCTTCTATGGTCAGCTACATAAACCAGTGTTCTTAGCATTTATCCTGGGAAGTCTTTTCTCCTTCTCACAGTAATTATCAGTGAACTTAATCGTTTTCCAGTATCTGCTTTTATTTAAAATGAAGTACCTTGCATCTAGTTCATATCTTGCATATTAATTCTGCTTTCATTAGCATCTCTATCAGTTAGGATTAGAGTTGGCTCTGCATCGCACAGACTAAGAGAACAAGGACTTATTTTCTCACGTAAAAGCCAGACCTGGGTAATTGAATGTTGGACTTGTGCCACTGCTCCACAAAGCTCTCAGGGACCCAGCTCCTTCCAGCTCACCTGCCAACACCCGCTGGGGAGTAGTCCTTGTTTTTTTGGTTTGAGATGATCCAGCTACCATATCCCCATTCAAACAGCAATAGGCAAAGGTTGAGAAGGGGCACAAAGGACACCTTTATGCTGTCTTTAAGGAAGGATTCCTCAAGCTTATAATGATGTGATGACTTACATCTCATTGGCCAGTAGTGGGTCCATAGGACCTACATCTGGTTGCAGGATATGTTAGAAGGTGTAGCTGAATAATCTATTTATTTGCAAGAAGGCAAAAATGGATATTAGAGGAAATTAAAAGAACAAAAAGGGGAGGCCGAGACAGGTGGATCACAAGGTCAGGAGTTCGAGACCAGCCTGGCCAACACAGTGAAACCCCGTCTCTACTAAAAATACAAAAATTAGCTGGGTTGTGGTGGCAGGCGCCTATAATAGCAGCTACTCTGGAGGCTGAGGCAGGAGAATTGCTTGCACTCCAGCTGGATGACAGAGCTAGACTCTGTCAAAAAAGAAAAATAAAGAACAAAAAGATGAAATATGATGTTTTGAACAGGTAACCACATTAGGGAGCCTGAAAGCCTTTGTTTAGATGCATTTTCCCCTGGGTTAACTCTAAATCTTTTTGTACTTCTATAAATTAAGGTAATCATTCTGTCCTAAATTCTTCATAGCATTTATGGTTGAGGATCAAATACAATTAATGAATGTATCAGCACTTTGAAAATTAATCTTGCACAAATATAAGGTATTAGATTTTAAAGCTTTAAAGCAATCTGCTGAATATAAACTAAAAAATATTACTGAGGTAATATGTCAGTTTTTACAATAGTCTTATGGTAACTTTATCTGACAAACAGAAGAATTAGGTATTCATGACAAATAGCTCTTAGAGAGGATACATCTCTGTGAATCACTTTCAGAAACATGACAATGCATTTGGTTCTATCAACTCTGTGCAATAAGCATTATCATGTCCATTTTACAGATAGGAAAACTAAGGCAGAGAAGTTAAATGAATAGCTCAAAGCCAAGTGACTGAGTGGAGGGTTTAGAAACTATGTGTCTGCAAATCTCATAATCTGTGTTGTTGCTCTAGTTTTCATATGTCACACGTCTTGTTGCCTATTTGGTAAAGTCCAGATATCTAAGATTAGAGTGACAGACTCGGTTATTTATCCTTATTTTATTTACATGCTGTTCTTTCTCATTTCCCCCCAATATAAATCAAATCCACCAATCTGCCAGTCCCTTTCTGCATACACACATTACTCTGCAAAACCACCTAACTTCCACCTCACTAAAATGTTTTCTGTTCTTGGCTTTCTCAACTTCCGCTTCTTTAGGTGTCAACTCAGGTTCCATTTTCTGTGTAAGGCATTCCATGAATACTTCAGGCCACACAGAGCTTCCATTTTCCTGAACTTCTGTAACATAGGGAATATATATATAGAATGCATATATTACATTTAATTATAGAAGTAAATTATACACTGTATCATATTATTCCATATGTCTTAGCTTTTTCTCCCCAACTAGACTTTGTCTAGTTCTTGTATTTCTTAAGTTGTTTCAGTAACACAAGGACACTGGTAAGAATATAGCAAGAAATAAAACCAGTTCAAATCTAAATTGAGCCAACAATTAATCTATAAGAAACTACTTACAGTTTCTTATCTAGTCTCAGTTTTCGTAAAAAATGTGGAAATGGATTCAAAGAGGCAAAAGGACTGATCCGATGTCGACAGCTAAGAATGGAATCCTGTTCTACTAAACTTGTGGTCTAAGACTTGATCCTCTACAACTGTCAATTGAACATTTGACTGAAAGCCAAATACTGTGAGTGTGTGTGTCTGCATGTGTGTGTGTTTAGCTTACTATTGTAGGTTGAGAGAAGCCGAGAAAAATAGAGGCATCCCTAAATAATGGTAGCCCTTGGGTTAATTTATGTGTATCTTGTATTAAAAACTAAGAAGACGAGAACTGATAGGAATTTTATCAACAGAAAAAGTGGATAAGAACTTCTAATTAAGCCAGGATACTGAAATGAACTGCAGAGATATTCTCTTATGCATACAGCCGTGAGATACTTAATTCATCTCCATGTTGCCATCTATAGAGCCTAACTATATGATTGCTTTTCTTCCATATGCAATGTGAATTGTTTCAGGGTGGGGGCAGTGTTTTCTGTTTATGCTCATTTCGTGATCTCAAAAGTAACTGAAATAATCCCAAGGACAGAAAAATATTGTTGGAAGAAAAATAGAAGGTTCTCTTAGGTATCTTTTTTTCTGATCTACGAATTCCTTCTCTAAGTGGACATATAGACTATTGAGTATTTTGAGTGATGAGCAACTCGAATATGTAAAGACTGCAAGCATGTTTCCATTTCATCTTAGGATGTTGAATTACTTTTGTCAAATTAATTCTTAATGGTTTTGAGTATATGTGTGTGTGTGTGCATATATATATGTGTATATATATTTGTATATATATAGTATGTATATATGTGTGTATATGTGTGTGTGTGTGTGTGTGTGTGTGTGTATTTCCCACCTGGATATAAAATATATCCATTACAGCTTAAGCTATCTATCAATCATCTGTCCATCTGTTTATCTCTGTTTATTTACATGTAAAAAATTGAGATATCAAGAAAAAAGTTTTGTCTGAATGTTATCACCAATAAGTCAGTAATTTTTGCATTCTTCTTCTGTGTTCAATATAATGTTTGGAACAACAAGGAAAATACTAAAAACAAGAAGCTTTGGCCTGTTTTAAAGATAGTATTTTGTTATTTCTTGTGACTACAGATAGGTTTTCTCCTGTTGAGAATTTTTCGGTCCATATTATTTGTTTGTTAGAAAAAATTATCTTATATTACACTGTTTGAGGATCATTTTAAGGATCAGGGATCCTGAAATCTCAGATCCAGCTGGGCCTTTAGAGACCTTCTAATCCAACCCCTTTAGTACAGAGTTTATGTAATTTACCTGAAGTTACATAGGTAATTAATGCTGGTGCAGGGTCAAGAAGTCAATTTCTCTCGTTTTTAGACCTCTCTTTATTTCTCTCTCCATTTTTCTACCAAGTTCAATTAATAGGTTTTAATTCTCAAAAGAATGATTATAAGAAGGATTATTTATTCAAAAGGTCACTGATCCTTTCCGCCCTTCTTTTTCTCCCCCCAGCTCTCTTCAATCTAATTCCCGTGGGCCTGCGTGTAGTGGCCATCCAAGGAGTGAAGGCTAGCCTCTATGTGGCCATGAATGGTGAAGGCTATCTCTACAGTTCAGTAAGTACATTGTAGTGTGTATTTGTGTGTATGTGTGTGAACTACCACTGAGAGGTAATGGAGTAACCATCATGTTAGGCAAGAAAATTGGAAGTTGAAGTCATTTTATATTTTGTGATCCTGTTTTTCGGGATTATTTTGAGGTTTTGTAATTTAGAGTGTTAAGGACCATGTCTTGTTGAATGAGTATATTGCAGTTACTCTCCATGCGATATAAATTCTTTGTGTCTAGCTTCCATTTCTGCAGGATACTCTCCTTTTGGAATTTTACCTTTCTGTTTAATTCAAAGAGCAAGACATTTTTCTTTTCTCTTGTTATCTCTCCTTTAAGCATGGAGGATGGCTCAGGGAGGAAAATTCTTCAATTTGTCTGGAAATAGTCTCTGTCCTACCATGGAGAAAAAAACGTTCATAATTTGTGAAAGATTGTGGCTTTGTTTGTATTTAGTAGGTCTATGTTTTATCTAATATGTCAGATTCTCAGAATAACTTTAATTTAAAGGCAATATGAATTTATGGAATGAGCTCTGGATTACGAGCAAGGATATTTGAGTTTTATTTGCATTTCATTTACTATCTTGATATCCCTTTGGGCAAATTATCTACCTTCATTGGCTTAATTTTGGACTTTTCAAATGAGCATGTTGGACACAATGTTGTATCAT
Source organism: Homo sapiens (assembly GCF_000001405.40). Taxonomy (NCBI): domain Eukaryota; kingdom Metazoa; phylum Chordata; class Mammalia; order Primates; family Hominidae; genus Homo; species Homo sapiens. The sequence continues at coordinate 192,334,695 of NC_000003.12, read as the reverse complement.
GTCTTTCAAATCCCAAACTGGCAAAATTAGGTAGCCATCAGTGGCTACATTATCAGCACTGACATATTTTAAAGTAGCAAACACAATTATGATGCTTGTCTCACTCTCAGGATAATAATTTATGCGTTGAGAGAATGTGGCTGCACTGAATGGGGTGTGTGTGTATATGTGTGTATTTCCGCTTTCTTGTAAGAGAGTTGGCTATTTGTAGTTCATGAAAAAAATTCCTTGAAAATCATGATTACAGATTTCCACCCTTACTTTTTATGATCTCAGTAAATAGCACAAGGTTATTTTGGAAGTTTCCATATGTCTGCTGGATTCTAAATTAGTTATTGACTAATTTTCATTAGGCTCTTCCAATGTTCAATTAAACAAAACTCTGGTACCTTGGAGCTCAGAAATTGATACTCTCAAATATGGTGTTTTTACATGCTGCACAGAAGAAGCAGCCTCAAGTCTCCTCTGAACTCCGTCTGCCTCCTGTGTCTTAATCCTGTCTCTCCCAAAGCACAGGATGAAGTTGTTCTCTGGAGTTCCCTTATCTGCCTAAGCTCGGACCTGCCAAAGAAGAAAACAATTACCTTTGGTCTCTTCCCTGAGTTTTCATTAACTGAACTCGTATCACAGGAAGAAAGACAGAAGTCCATCAATACACCTAGACAGCATTTTGTCACAAACCATGGTTTACTCTGCAGACCCAAAAGACTTTGTCCCAGCTCATTGTATGTTCTTTAAGTTCATTGAACTCCCCCCCAAAATCATTTGCTGTCGCTGTAAAATCATCCACACATCCCCATCTCCCTTTCCTCTAAAAAGAAGGGTATATAACCATGTGTACCACATTTCGCATGGTGGGGTAATCACCCTGTAATTCTCCCCAGTGCACATTAATAAATTTGTATTTCTTTTCTCCTCTTAATCAGCCTTTTGTCCATCGATTTTCACTTAAGCTACAGAGAGTGAAGGGAAAATTTTCCTTTAGCTCCAACAGGTACATCATACTTGCTTATTAGTAATACATCTGTCATTTGTATTACAATTATTTTTTTTACTCCTGAAAATATTCAGATCAAAATATACACTATATTTTGTATTTACACTATAAATATGCTATATGTGTACATATACCTTTTTTCAAAGTTTCTGCTTAAAATAACAATTAAATACATTTTCAGTCAAAATAATGGGCTCTCTTAGTGTGTCACAGCTCTAACAATTCTTAATGTCCAGTTATTGTGAGTCTATTTTAAATGTAAGAATTAAAATTAAAAAAGGCAAGAGGATGTTATTTTGAATATTTCTAGTTAGTCTTACTTTAAAGATTTAATCAGTCATTAAATAAGCAGCTAAATGTAGACTATATTATGTATATTTAAAAAGTCATAATTCAGGTTATAATTCCACAGAAGCTATAGAGTTCAGTTTATTAGACTAGAATTGATCCCCAAAGGTCCATGAAGAAGAAAAACACAGAAAGTTTGACAACAGTATTGTAAGCAGGAGACAATTGTATAAGGGAAGGAGGGAGTTTGGAGGGATTGCTGGGTTGTGGTTTCATCCTCTGAAGCTTTTCAGAGATGCATTCCTTCTGTCCTTCTTGCTTAGTTCTGAGGTTACGAGGGGGTGGGAATCTTGAGCCAAAAGAGGGAGTTTCTTTTGTAATGGAGTTTACCTTTGTAAACCTATTGGGGTATCTGTATTTTCAGTTCTTCTCTCGACTTAAGTCAAACTTGCCTCACATCTAGAATCACAATGCTTTCGCCTCGTGAGTTAAAAGTCATCTGTTAACTTTGACTTTCCTGAGGTGTTTCTGGTATGCATTAAGGCTAGAATTTCTTTGAAAAGCAATTTTCTATGTCGTAGGCAACACTGTAGTTGGGCAACCAATAAGGGTCATAACTGCAGTTTATGGAGAGAGAGGAGAGTGCTGAAGCAAACTAAGAGGACCTACATAAGCTAATTTAGAACCCAAAAGATTCACAAGCAGTATCATTTATCTAGTGTCATTTACCTGGCTTCTATTTATTTTTAAGCTAGGAATTAATAGGAAGTAATTCCCTTGTTACTTTTGATTTCTATTTCTTCACCAGGAAGCAGGAGGAGAGAGTGTCAAAGACGGAGTGAGTGTTAGGTAGCACAGAGCTATAGTTTTAAGAGTTGTTCTGAAATTTTGTGTTTTAATAGATGAGTTTAATCCATATATATATTTGATGAGATTATTGATGTATCTGGATATGTTTTTACCATAATAGTTTGTATTTTTTTAAATTTCCTTTTGTTTCTCTTTTCTTTTTTAAAAAATTCTGTTGCTTTATTCACATTTTTTTATTTTATTAAATTCTTCTGCAAGTTTGTAACCTCAGGCTGTATTTTTATTCCTGTAGTGGTTAGTCTTATTTTTTTTAATCATACATAAATCACGACATACTTTGCTAAATATTTTTTAGTGTTTCTGTCTTCCTTTCCAACAGCTTATGGAGGTTACAGTGTTTTCTTGCTAGTAAATATCACAACCTTTCTTGCTGCCAGTTTGATTAGTTGCACTTTAAAATAAAATCATATGCACAATTAGTTATGTTATAGCTAATCGTTAAATTAATGAATGTTTTGAATAATTTTATGCATAGAACTTTTGTTTGTGTGTGTATATCAAATTTGGTCTCTGATTTCACTTTTCTTCTAAACTAAACCTTTAATTGTTTTGTGTGTGAAGGTGTGCGGATGGTGAACTTGCTTTTGGTTTCCATGAAAATGTCTTCCTTTCACTTTCATTCTTGAATTGCAGTTAAGGTAGTTATACAATTCTGAGTAGACCAATATTTTTCTCAGCATTTGGAAAATAATATTACATTGGTTTCTGGTATCTGTTGTTAATTATGAGAAGTTTCTCATCAGTTTAATATTCTTTCCCTTGTAGGTAATCTCTACAGACCCTTTATTCCATCCTGGAAAACTAAAATTCTGTATACCCATTGAACAATAGCTCTCTTTCCTCTCCTCCCCCAGCCCCTAGCAACCACTATTTTTTACTTATAGTTACAAAGAGGTTGACTACTTTAGATATCTCATATAGGCGGGAAAATGCAGTATTTGTGCATTTTGTAACTGGCTTATTTCACTTAGCGTAATGTTCTCAACATTCATCTGTGTTGTAGAATATGACAGGATTTCCTTCTTTTTAATGTTTAAAAATATTCCATTGTATGTTATACGCATTCTGCATTCTGTTTATCTATTCATCTACTGATGGACATTTAGGTTACTTTGGCCTCTTGGATATGAGATTACTGCTGCAATGAACATGAGCGTACAAATGTCAAGATCTTGTTGGATTATATGGTAATTCTGTTTTTGTTTTTGTTTTTTTTTTTTTTTTTTTTTGAGAAAACTCCATACTGTTTTCCCTATCAGCAGCATCATTTTACCTTCCCACCAACAGTGCACGAAAGTTCCAATTTCTTCACATCCTTGCTAACACTTGATACTTTTTGTTTCTTTTGATAGTGGCCATCCTAACAGGTGTGAGATGATAACCCATTTTGTTTTGATTTGCATTTCTCTAATAACTAGTAGTAATGGGCATCTTTTAACATACCTGCTAGTCATTTGTAAATCTTCTTTGGTGACATGTCTATTCAATTCCTTTGCCTACTTTTTAATTGAGTTGTTTTGTGTTGTTGTTGTTACTGAGTTGTAGGAGTTCTTTATAGATTCTGGCTATTAAAGCCCTTATCAGATATATGATTTGCAAATATTTTCTCCCATTCTGTAGGCTACCTTCTCACTCTGTTAGTTGTTTCTGTTGATACATAGAATTTTTAAAGTTGCATGTAGTCCTATTTGTCTATTTTTGCTTTTGCTGCTTATTGTTTTGGTGTCATATCCAAGATATAGTTGCCAAATCCAGTGTCATGAAGGTTTTTTCCTATGTTTATTCTAGGAGGTTTTTTGTTTGTTTGTTTGTTTGTTGTTGTTTTGTTTTTTGTTTCTTGAGATGGAGTCTTGCTTTGTTGCCAGGCTGGAGTGCAGTGGTGTGATCTCAGCTCACTGCAATCTCCACCTCCTGGGTTCAAGCGATTCTCCTGCCTCAGCCTCCTCTTATGCAGAGATTTGTAATCCATTTTGAATTAATGTTACATGTGGTGTAAGGTAAGGGTCCAGTTTCATTCTTTTGCATGTGGATATACAGTTTTTCCAACACCACTTGTTGAGAGGCTAACCTTTCTCCATTGTGTAATCTTGTTGAAGATGATTTGACCACATATTAAAGGGTTTATTTCTGGGCCTCTCTATTGTGTTCCATTGGTGTTTGTGTCTCTTTGTGCCAGTACCATACTGTTCGATTACCATAGTTTTCCACTACATTTTGAAGTCAGAAGGTGTGCGACCTACAGCTTTATTTATTTATTTTTTCTTAAGATGGTTTTGGCTATTTGAGGTTCCTTGAGATTTTATATAAATTTTGGAATGGAGTTTTCTATTAGTGCAAAAAACGACATTGAGATTTTGATAGGAATTGTATTGAATATGTAGATTGTCTCCGGTAGTATGGACATTTGAAGAATATTAGGTTTTCTGATTCATAAACATGGGATTTCTTTTGACAATGTTTAGTAGTTTTCAGTATACAAGTTTTTCAACTCCTTGATTAAATTTAATCTCACAGTGCCTTTTAGAAAGGAAGACCAAAATAATTTTAATGGTATTAAATAACATTTAAAAAATAGAGTAAATAAAAAGTTCTTAATGCATCTCTTTCTCAAACAAAAGAAGGTTAAGCATGTTGGAAACTTATGTTTCTGAAACACCTTTTTCGATAGTTCAGGAAATACCATTCTGTGTTACAATCTGTTGAAACAGATTTTTCTACAAATTTTACCTTATACATAGACAGTGCCTTTTAAAAATTTTGCTGTTTAACCAGTTTTGATTTAAAATGTAATATCCTTTAATGTTTTATTCTTTTTGAGTTTTAAAAGTTTTTGACAAAACTTGTAAGACCACCTAAATTTTCTCAAATGATCACAGTGCTTAAAGGCATTTCGGTTGGGAGTGGTGAAGGAGAGGTATATTTTCATTTTATACAGGAAAGACAAAACCCAAGTAAGCCCTCGACCATCCTCTGTAAATTGACTCACATCTTTTTATATTTGAGTTGTTTGAACTGAACCTTGTATAAATAAAGCAAATGTAGATAAACATCATTTGGTATGATATTATAAAGCTAGATTTTCAAATTGTGGTTAGAACACTAGTGATATAATATTTTAGGTAACTTGATAGAATGATACATGTGATAAAATATGTAAAGAGTAAAAATAAGACTTACTAAAGTGCTATCACTGATACTGTTATATTTGCCTTTTTCTCTTCTGTACCTATGTAATTCATAATTTTCCTTAAAGCTCAGCTCAAATCTTACCTGATATGTCACCTGTCTCCATTGTCCATCCTCTATGAGAATTAGATGCTACTTCTGCTGTAATATCTGAGCACTTGACTTTTATTTTGCTGGTGGGCAGGAATTACATCGTATTCATCTTTGCTATCTGGGCCATCTGGGCCACATATTTGGCCCAACCACAGCATTAAACACATTCCCTGGTAAAGGAAGATTCTCAGTAAAGACTTGTTGAATTTTGAAGAATTGCCTATTTCAAGTATAGACGGAACAAATTTCATACAATTGTTGCACAATTAACTATGATTACATTGATCAAAGTTTAATTGGTAGTCTTACAAACCACTGCACAAATGCTGGTTTGTCCTCAAAGCAATCTCAGTAAACCTAAAATTTGTTCAATACATACTGATTGAAAGTCTACCACATCTCAGGCACCAGACTGCATACTGAGCATATAAAGATGAATGAAATAGATACAATTCTTATCTTGTTATAGTTTGCTCTTATAATCATAATTAGTTAGCTGTCATAAGGAGTTTAGGCCAACTACTAAGTTAGAGGGCATAGTCCTCAAGACCACCCTCACTTCTGGCACCAACTGCAAGTTTATGGCCTCACAGAATCATCTTTAGATTGATAACTTTCCAGAAGGACTCACAGACCTCACTGAAAACCATGGTTATACTCACGGTTACAGTTTATCTTTGAGAGAGGGACAGATTAAAATCTGCCATGGGAAGAAATACCTAAAGCAGGATTCAGTAGAAGTACCAAATACTGAGCTTCTATTGTCGTCTTCCTGTTGAGTCAGGACATGTTACTCTTCAGGTACCAACATGTGATAATACACATGAAGTGTCGCCAAGCAGGAAGCTCACCTGAGCCTCTATGTCAAGAGATGTCATTGGCGTCTGTTACGTAGGCAGGATTCATTCATTGCGCATGTGCTTGATCCCAGCCTCTGACTCCACAGATATTGTGTGACCCAAAGCCCCTACCCTAAATCATAGTGTTATTCTCTATTTAGCCGAAGGCTCTCAGGAAAACACAAATTACCTTCCAGAAACCAAGGGCAATGGCTGCACCTCTTTTTGGACAAGTTCTTTATGTGTCCAATGTCCAAGTGAAGTGAATGCCATAGTCCATAAATACGTACCTGTGACTCTGCTTCCAGTCCCACGCCCTCACTCATCTGACTACCGTCTATTTTCTTACCCCAGCTCAGAAGAAGAAAATAATGAAAGAAAAGAAATTTATGGGTGTAATATCTGGCATATCAGCACTTGGGAAATAAAAATATAACTTACTGCTTTGTATAACTTAGGAGCCTTGACATTCGCATCTAGGAGAATAGCACTTAAAAATAATGCAGTTTGAACCTGGACAAGAGGTGAGAATCTGTCTCTACAAAAAATTTAAAAATTAGCTGGGGATGGTAGCATGCACCTCTGTTCCCAGCTACATAGGAGGCTGAGGTGAGAGGATTGCTTCAGCTTAGGACATCGAGGCTGCAGTAAGCCACGTTTGTGCCACTGAACTCCAGCCTGGGCAATAGAGCAAAACCCTTCCTCAAAAAAAGCAATTTGTATAATTTGAAACATGTCTAGAACGCATAACTAGGCAAACATTGGACCTTTTTTAATGAATAGTTTGATGTGCTTAGCACACTTATCGCTGGCATTTTAGTGGTTAATATTGGTTATAATGTTTTTAAAAGGTTTATTTTTTTCAAACTATAGCGATGATTTGTTTACTTTTTATAAACTTAGACTATTTATTGTCCAAATCTGAATTAGGTAGTTTATGAACTAAATGAGAATTTTTTTTAACTAAAGGATAAACTAAAGTCAAATTGTGCGAACACAGTTTTTTGTTTAAACAGGGCCTTAACCTGTACCAATTATATTTGAAGCTGAAATAGTGATAAAGACGCTTATTTTAGTCAGTCTATATTCTAATAAATAAGTAATATTATAAGTTCTTATCAGAGTAGCTGTAACCATGAGAATCATGGTAACAATATTAATGGCTGTGCTAGTGCAAATAATACAGTGTACTTTTAGTTTTTGTTGTTTCTGAAGGACTTTTAGATTTGTATTTAATTTCACCGCAACTCTGTGAGGAGGGATGGAAATGAACCAGTAGATATTGATGAAGAGCTGAGGCTTAGTGAGGTGCTTGACTTAAATAAGCCCACTCTGGTGACTAATAGAACTAGAGTTGAAATCTAGGTCTTCACGTCCACAACCATGAGCTTTTCATAATACCATACTGCTCTTGGCCTTATGTGCAATAAAACCTTTCCATTGGAATGCTTCTCATATTTTCCCATGTGCTTTCACATAAACTGTCACATTTGAGCCTTGCAATAACTCTATTATTGCTGAGTGACAAAAGTATGCCTGGGAAACAGAGAAGTCATGTGACTAAAATGAGGTCACTCAGCATTGTGAGGCAGGTTAAGAAAAAGCAACTTCTAGTTCAATATTCATTTCTTTAATCAATATTGCTTCTCCTATTTGCTGTTGCAATTAAGGATGTGCCATACTACAGTGTTCCAACATAATATAAAAAGCATAATTCTTTGAAAACCGGGGCAGCCTATCACCTTGTTTGTGATGGCTTTATTACAGTGATAACACCAACAACAAAAATGAAAGAGAGACTGCTTGATTGATGCATGTCCTCTGCACCATTGGGAATTTCTCCCTTAAAGTATTGCCTTGGTGCAAGCAGACAATGTTAAGATTGTGAGATGACGATACTGATTTTATATTGAAAAGCTGTGTCAGGAGTTATTGAGAAACATGAGTTGGGGGTGGTGATCTCTAAGGAAGAAAAATGAAAGGGCCGCTATTGGTAACTATAAGGAGAGGACTATTTTATGTCCACAAGGTAGATGATGGGAGAAAGTGGTTGTTATTCCCTCCTCTAATTTCTTTTACTTCCTCACTATCATAGATATCCAAATTTCTCCCATCATTTAGGACCCAGTAAACATTTTCCCAATTTCTGCAGCCCCAAATAACTTCCACATTTTATACTTTGATGGGACATTTATCTCTGTATTTCCTTTCTTTTGTTAGAATTTGTTCTTAATGCTTTTTATATCTTATCAGATGCAAATTCCTTGAGGTTAGGGATCATATCTAATATAGATTAATATCTCTCATGGCACTGAAAACTGTAATTCCAATGTTCAGACATCTGCTGAAGTCTAGTTGAATCGGTTGATAGAGGCATCATACAGTTTAATTTTGGCAATAATTCACTGGCTGTCTGGACTCAATGGGCTTTATAATAATTTTCCTGAGTATGACCCTACACACTTTCCAGTTCAGTGACTAGTTCACTTTTGAGTAGTCTGTTTCTATTCTACTGAAGCATGTAAAGTTTACTCGAGGAATCTTAGTGTTCATGCTTCCCTATTGAGGCTGATATGGTGCTGTAGTTTTAAGAGCTGATATTGCCATGTTTTTCTTTCTGTACTAAATACTGTTTATAAAAGGTAAGGGAGAGGTAAAGATTAGCCATGATATCTTCCTGGGAAGCCACCTGGTTTTTACAGTTAATCTCTCAGTGAAAGAATTCTGTTCCATCCTAAAAAGATACGCAGGCTTTATAAAACAAGCATATCTGGAGTAGAGGTACAAAGCAGTTGCCCACTCTGGAATTTGAGTTTCCTTATCAACGTACTTTCTCATGGAAAGTTCTGAAATCTGAGGCATATTCACAACTCTTTCTTGGGACAGCAAGTGAGTGACGTCTCAGAAAAGTGAAAGACGAGAGAGAGAGAGAAACAAGAACCTTAACTATTAATGTCAAATGAATCATAGAATTTGAACTTAATGATGCCTAAATAGAGAAAAGTCAAAGGCCAAATCTTAGGGGCTTGTTCAACAGGTAGATTGTTAAATATTCAGTTTAGATCATTTACATAATTTTTTCTTCTCATATGCTCGTGATTTCCTTGACCTTTGTCACATTCCTTTAAAAAAATTGGGGGGTATAGCACTTGGAAAAGGATTATCTATTTTGCCTATTTCTTTTTTCACCCCATATATATTTATTAAATGAACTGGAAATTTTTTCAGTTAAAAAAAGAAAGAAAATATGGAATTCTGTCAACCCAAGAACCTGGCAATTATCGCTTGCAAACATGTGACATGGGTTATTTTTTGTTGGGATTAGGTTGTCTTTTTTCAGAAACAACAGATTATTAGTTATACTTTCAGTAAGGATTAACAGTAAGCATCCATTTTTAACTTACAATGTATTCATAGTAAATAGTGTTGGTTTTTTTTCTAAGAGTTTATAACTTATGGAAAATGTTAATACTTTAGCTCCAGGGCTAACCTTAATTGGAAAATTAGCATATATGTTTCTAGAAACATTTTTCATTAGAAAATAAAAGCAAGGCTCAGCTTTTGAGAGCAGCACTAATGAGGACCTTTGGTTAAATTATTTGAATATGATGCCAGATTTTATATTTTTCTTTTCCATCTTGTCATTAGCCACATTAGGCCAACAAGTAGTCATATTTCCAAAGTTTCTAGATTGTATTTCTTTAGTCATCAGTGAATCAGGGAATATTAAGTAGTAATTTAAAATGTAAGCTTTAGAAATAAAACTGTGTTTGAATCATAGCCCTGTAACTTACTTCCTTTGTGAAAAAATTGGAAAGTTTTTTAACTTTCTAGATTGTTTTCTTATGTGTAAAACAGGGGTAATAATGAGGATATGGAGCTGTATAGAATTGTGTAAGGATTAAATGGAAAGATGCACGTAAAGCCCTAGGGCAGTGTATATTATGTACTCAACACTCAGTGTTAGCCATAAGCAGTAACAGTAGCAGCAGTAGATATATTTTAAAAAGATGCTTGGTGTACCCTCAAACAGCTCCTGAGCATCAATCCATAAAGTTTCTGTAGGATTAATCTCACTGCTAGTTTTAGTGCTGGTTCCTGCTTTGCCTAATCAAATATCTTTAGTCACTCTGGTCTTGGGGGATTGCTTGAAGAGTATTTCTCATCTAATTAGGGCAAATTAGCTTCAGGCTCAAGACTTTATCTGTTGAAAGAGAGTTGCATTTTATTATTATTATTTTTTAATTTTAAGTTTTGTGGGCACGTGGTAGGCATATATATTTATGGGGTACATATGATATTTTATTTAATTAATTAATTAATTAATTTTTTTGAGACAGTCTCGCTCTGTCGCCCAGGCTGGCATGCGGTGGCTTGATCTCGGCTCACTGCAACCTCTGCCTCCTGGGTTCAGGCAATTCTGCAGCCTCAGCCTCCCAAGTAGCAGGGACTACAGGTGCACACCACCACACCCAGCCAATTTTTTTGTATTTTAGTAGAGATGGTATTTCACTGTGTTGCGCAGGCTGGTCTCAATCTCCTGAGCTCAGGCGATCTGCCTGCCTCAGCCTCCCAAAGCGCTAAGATTACGGGCATGAGCCACCATGCCCTGCCACATGAGATATTTTAGTACAGGCATATAATGATAAATAATCACATCAGAGTAAATGAAGTATCCATTACCTCAAACACTTACCCTTTCTTTGTGTTACAAACAATTCAATTATACTCTTTTAGGTAATTTAAAATGTACATTAGCTTATTGTTCACTGTGTTGGGCTATCAAACGTTTGATCTGAAACATTCTATCTAACTATATGTTTGTACCCATCAACCAACCCTACTCCCCATGTCCCCCTTTCCTGGCCTCTGGTAAGCATCATTCTACTCTCTAACTCCATGTGTGCAATTGCTTTAATTTTTAACTCCTGCAAATAAGAACATATGATGCTTGTCTTTCTGTGCCTGTTTTATTTCACTTAACGTAACATCTTCCAGTTCTATCAATGTTGTTGCAGATGACAGGATCTCATTCTTTTCTGTGGCTGGATAATATTCCATTGGGCATATATACCATATCTTCTTTATCTATTCATCGGTTGATGGATAGGTTGTTTCCAAATCCTGGTATTGTGAATAGTGATGTGGTAAACATAGGAGTGCAAATATCTCTTTGATATACCTATTTCCTTTCTTTTGGATATACCTAGCAGTGGGATTGCTGGATCATATGGTCATTCTATTTTTAGTTTCTTGAGGAACCTCCATACTGTTTTCCATAGGTGTACTAATTCACACTCCTATCAACAGTGTTGAAGTTTTCCCTTTCTTCACATCTTTGCCAGGCTTTGAAGTTGCCTGTCTTTTGGATAACAGCCATTTTAACTAGAGTGACATGATATCCCATCATAGCTTTGATTTGCATTTCTCTGATGATCAATGATGATGAGCACCTTTTTATATACCTGTCTGCCATTTGTAAGTCTTCTTCTGAGAAATGCCTACTCAGATCTTTTGCCAGATTTCAGTAGTTTCATACTTTGAGGTCTTAGATTTAAGTCTTTAATCTATTTTGATTTGATTTTTGTCCATGACAAGAGATAGAGGTCTAGTTTCATTTTTCTGCATGTGGATATCCAGTTTTCCAAGCACCATTTATCAAAGAGACTCCTTTCCCCAATGTATGTTCTTGGAAACTTTGTCGAAAATGAGTTCTCTGTAGAGGTACGAATTTATTTCTGGGTTCTCTATTCTGTTCATACATTGGTCTGCATGTCTGTTTTTATGCCACTACCATGTTGTTTTGGTTACTATATCTCTACAGTATAATTTGAAGTCAGGTAATGCGATTCTCTCAGTTTTTAATTTTTTTGCCCAGGATAGCTTTGGCCATTCTGGGGTGTGTGTGTGTGTGTGTGTCTGCGTGTGGTTTAATATAAATTATAAATTTTAGGATTATTTTTTTCTATTTCTGTAAAGAATGTTGTTAGTATTATGATAAAGATTGCATTGAATCTGTAGATTGCTTTGGGTAGTATGGACATTTTAACAATATTGATTCTTCCAATCCATGAACATGGAATATTTCCCATTTTTTTGTGCCCCCTTCAATTTATTGAATCAATATTTTATAGTTTTTATTGTAGAGTTCTTTCACTTCTTTGGTTAAGGTAATTCCTAGGTATTACATTTCATTTGTTGCTATTGTAAATTGATTTTTTTAAATTTCTTTTTCTGATTGTTCACTGTTGGCATATAGAATGCCACCGATTTTTGTATGTTGATTTTGTACCCTGAAACTTAACTGAATTTGTTTATCAGCTCGAAGAGTTGTGTGTTTTTTTTTGTCCTTAGGTTTTTCAAATATACTATCATATCATCTGCAAACAAAGATAATTTTACTTCTTCCATTCCAATTTGGATGCTTTTTATTTCTTTCTCTTGTCTGATTGTTCTAGCTAGGACTTCCAGGATTATGTTGAATAACAGCAGTGAAAAGTGGGCATCCTTGTCTTGTTCCCTAATCTTAGAGAAAGACTTTCTGCTTTTCCTTGTTCAGTATGATACCAGCTGTGGGTCTGCGATGTATGGCTTTTATTTTGTCAAGATATGATCCTTCTATACCCATCATTTTTAGGGTTTTGATCATGAAAGGATGTTGAATTTTATCAAGAGATTTTTCAGCATCAATTACAAAGATTATATGATTTCTGTTCTTCATTCTGCTGATATGACATATCACATTGGTTGATTTATGAATGTTGAACCATTCTTGCATACCTGGGATAAATCCCTCTTGCTTATGATGAATGGTTTTTTTAATGTGTTGTGGAATTTGGTTTGCTGTATTTTGTTGTGTGTTTTTGCATCAGTATTCAACAGAGACACTAGCCTATAGTTTTTTTGTGTGGTTTTTTTTTTTTTTTTGAATGTCTTTATCAGGTTTTGGTATCAGGGGTAGTACTGGCCTCACAGAGTGAGTATTATTCCCTCCTCTTCTATTTTTTGAAATTGTTACAGTAGGTATTAGTTCTTCATTAAATGTTTAATAAAATTATTCAGCAGTGAATCCACTAAGTCCTGGAACTAAGTTTCTTTTTTGGGAGACTTTTTGTTACAGCTTCAATCTCATTACTTGTTACTGGTCTGTTCGGGTTTTGGACTCTTTCAGGGTTCAATCATGGTATGCTGTATGTGTCTGAGAAGTTATCTTTGTCTTCCAGGTATTGTATTGGTGTGTAGTTGCTTATAGTAGCCACTGGTGATCCTTTGAATTTCTGTGGTAGCAGTTGTAATGTCTCCTTTTTTTGTCTCTGATTTTACTTATGTGGGTCTTCTCTCTTTTGTTGTTCATTGGTCTGGCTTAAAAGTGTGTTGATTTTGTTTATCTTTTCAAAAAACCAACATTTTATTTCATTGATTTCTGTATTTTTTTAAATTTCAAATTCCTTTACTACTGCTCTGGTCTTTATTATTTATTTTCTTCTCCTAATTTTGGGTTTGATTTGCTCTTGTTTTTTTAGTTCTTTACAATGCATCGTTAGGTTTATTAGAAATGTTTTACTTTTTTATGTAGGCACTTATACCTATCAGCTTTCCTCTTAATATTGCTTTCACTGTATCCTATAGATTTGGGTATATTGTGCTTTCATTTTCTTTTGTTTCAAGAAATTTTTACATTTATTTCTTAATTTCTTTATTGAGTAAGAAATATTCAGGAGCATATTATTTAATTAGTTTTCATATGTTTGTAGAGTTTTCAAAATTCCCCTTTTTATTGATTCCTAGTTTTTATTCCACTGTGGTCAGAGAAGATACTTGATACTATCTCAGTTTTTTTGAATTTTCCAAGACTTGTTTTGTGACCTAGCATATGGTCTATCCTTGAGAATAATCCATGTGCTGAGAAGAATGTATATTCTGCAGCCATTTAATGGAATGCTCTGTATTTATTAAGCCTATTTGATCTATAGTGCAGATTAAGTTTATTTCTTTGTTGATTTTCTGTCTGGATGATCTGTCCAATGCAGAAAGTGGGGCATTGAAGTCTCCGGTTATTATTTTATTGGGGTCTCTCTCTGTAGCTCTGATAATATTTGCTCAGTGTTGGGTGCATTTATATTTACAATTTTTATATCCTCTTGCTGAATTGACTCCTTTATCATTATATGATTTTTTTGTCTCTTTATGGTTTTTGTCTTGAAATCTATTTTGTCTGATCTATGTAGAGCTACTCCTCTTTTCTGGTTTCCATTTGCATGGAATATCTTTTTCCATCTTTGTATCTGTCTATGTGTGTCTTTCTAGGTAAAGTGTATTTCTTATAGGCAAGACATTATTGGCTCTAGTTTTGAAATCTATGCAGGCACTCTACGTCTTTTGATTGGATAGTTATTTCATTTACATTCTGTGTTATTATTGATAAAGAAGGAATTTTGTTCTGGCCACTTTGTTATTTGTTTAATGGTTGTTTTGTAGTCTTCTCTTCCTTTTTTCCTTCTTTCTTATCTTTCTTTTAGTGGAGGTGATTTTCTCTGCTAGCATATTTTAATTTCTTGCTATTTTTTTGTGTGTATCTGTTGTATGATTTTTGTCTTGAGGTTACCGTGAGACTTGCAAATAATATAACCCACCATTTTAAACTGATGACAACACAGGCTGCATAAACAAACTAACAAAGAAGCAAAGAGACAACTAATAAAAACTCTACATGTTAGATTCATCCCCTTGCCTTTAAACTTTTTCTGTTTCTATTAATATCTTATTATACTATCCATGTCTTGAAAGGTTTTTGTAGTTATTTTATTTATTTATTTATTTATTTATTTGAGACAGTCTTACTCTGTCACCCAGGCTAGAGTGCAGTGGTGCGATCTCAGCTCACTGCAACCTCCGCCTCCCAGGTTCAAGTTCTTCTCGTGCCTCAGTCTCCTGAGTAGCTGGGATTACAGGCATGCACCACCACACCCGCCTAATTTTTGTATTTTTAGTAGAGGCGAAGTTTCACCATGTTGGCCAGGATGGTCTTGAACTCCTGACCTCAAGTGATCCTCCTGCCTTGGCCTCCCAAAGTGCTGGGATTACAGACGTGAGCCACTGCGCCCAGCCCAGTAGTTATTATTTTTGATAGGTTCATGTTTTAGTCTTCCTTTTCAGGATATGAATAGTTTATACACCACAATTACAGTATTATAATATTCTGTGTTTTCTGTGTGTTTACTATTACCAGTGAATTTTTTGCCCTCAGATGGTTTCTTATTGCTCATTCACATTATTTTCTTTCAGATTGAAGAACTCCCTTTAGCATTTTTGGAGGAGAGTTCTGGTGTTGATATAATCCCTCAGCTTTTGTTTATCTGAGAAGGTCTTCATTTTTCCTTCCTTTATGTAGGAAATTTTCCCTGGATAATTCTATTCTAGGATACAAGTTTTGTTTTGTTTTGTTTTGTTTTGTTTTTCCCCCTTCAGGACTTTAAATATGTCATGCCATTCACTCCTCTTGGCCTGTAAAGTTTCCACTGAGAAGTCTGCTGCCAGATGTGTGGGAGCTCCATTGTATGTTTTTTGTATTTCTTTTTTCCTCTTCCTGCTTTTACGATCCTTTCTTTAGCTTGACCTTTAAAATTTTAATTATTAAATGTCTTCATATAATCTTTTTTGGGGTTAAATCTGCTTGATGTTTATAACCTTCTTATGCTTGAATATTGACATCTTTCTCTAGGTTTGTGAAGTTCTCTGTTATTATTCTTTTGAATAAACTTTCTACTCTGATCTCTCTCTCTACTTCCTCCTTAAGGCCAACAACTCTTAGATTTGTACTTTTGATGTTATTTTCTAGATCTTGTAGGCATGCTTCATTTTTTAAAATTCTTTTTTCTATTGTCTTCTCTGATCGTGAATTTTCAAATAGGCTGTCTTCAAGTTCACCAAGTCTTTATTCTGCTTGATTAATTCTGCTGTTAAGAGATGTTAATGCATTCTTCACTATGTCAGTTGCGTTTTCCAACTCTAGAACTTATCCTTGATTCTTCTAAATTATTTCAGTCTCTTCATTTATCTGATAGGATTCTCAATTATTTCTCTGTGTTATCTTGAATTTTGTTGACCTTCCTCAAAACAATTATTTTGAATTCTGTCTATCTCTCTGGGATTGGTCCCTGGGGTCTTATTTAGTTCATTTGTTGAGGCCATGTTTTCCTGGATGGTCTTGATGCTTGCGGCTGTTCATCAGTGTCTGGGCATTGAAGTTAAGTATTTCTTGTAGTCTTTGCAGTCTGAGCTTGTTTTACCTGTCCTCCTTCGGAGGACTTTGCAAGCATTCAAAAGGACTTGGGTGTTGTGATCTAAGTTTTTGGCTATTGCAGCCATACCTGCATTAGGGGGCACCCCAAGCCTAGTAATGTTGTGGGTCTTGTAGACTCACAAGAGGTACCATCTTGGTGTTTTGGGTAAGATTGGGAGAATTTTGTGGATCACCACGCAGACACCCTTGTTCCTTTCTCTTACTTTTCCCCAAGCAAATGCAGTCTCTCTCTCTCTCTCTGTGCTAAGCTGCCTGGAGCTGGAGGTAGATGACACAAGCACCCCTGTGGCCACCACCACTGGGACTGCACTAGGTCATACCTAAAGCCAGCACAGCACTGTGTCTCCTTTATGGTCTGTGGTGAGCACTGTCTGGTTACTACCTATGTTCACTCAAGGCCCAAGGGCTCTGTAATCAGCAGGTGGTGAAACCAGCCAGGCTTGCTCCCTTCAAGGCAGCGAGTTCCCTTTTCCCCCATGTAGGTTCAGATATACCATCTGGGAGCCAGGGCCTGGAGTTGAGAACCTTATGAATCTTGCTGGTGTTCTATTCTACTGTGGTTGAGCTAGCACCCAAGCTGCAAAACAAGTCTTTCCTACTCTTCCTTTTTCCCTTTCCTTAAGCAGGAGAGTCTCTTCCTGTGGCCACTACCATCCCTGGCCCACAGCACACATTGCCTGGCTACTGCCAATGTTCATTCAATGTCCAAGGGCTCCTCAGTCAGCTTGTGGTGAACGTTGCCAGGGCTGGGTCTCGCTCTTTAGGACAGTGGGCTCACTTCTGCCCCAGGACTGGTCCAGAAATACCATCCAGGAGCCAAGGCCTGGAGCTGGCTACCCTGGGAACCTGCTTGATGCTGTACTCCACTGTGGTCAAGGTGGTGCCTAAGCTGCAAGAGAAGCCCCCCTTACTCTTTCCTCTCCTTTTCTCAAGCAGAAGGAGTCTCTTCCTATAGCCACTACATGTGGGAATATGCTGGGACACCCTTGAAGCCAGCACAGCTTTAAGTCTCACCCAAGGCCTGTGGCCTCCACTGCTAATTATTCACAATCCAAGGGCTCTTTAGTTAGCTGGTGATGGATCCTGCCAGAACTGGGTCCTTCCCTTCAAGGCATTGGGTTCCTTTCTGGCCCAGGGTGTGTCTAAAAATTTCATCTGGGAGCTAGGGCCTGGAATGCAGGCCTCATGACTGGTGCTCTATTCTATAGTGGTTGAGCTGGTATCCCAATTGTAAGGGAAAGTTTTCTTTACTCTCCCCTGTTCTTTCCTTAAGCAGAAGGAAGATGTCTCTCCCGTAGCTGCTAGCTGCACTGCCTGGGGTTGGGGGAGGGGTGATGCAAGCATCCCCTTAGCCACCTGGGCTGGTGTCTCACTAGGTCACATGCACCACAAGTCCACTCAGAGCCCAGCCCAGCAGCAGGACTTGTCCAGGAATTGCAGGCTTTGTTGTCTAGGCTGCCTTTCAAGTTCATTTAGGACCTCAGTGGCAAGGCTTGGCAGAACTCAAGTTCTGACCACTAGGACAGACAATTCACCTCTGGCTAGGGCTGGTCTAGGTGCCCCCTATCTGGGCACCGGCAAGTTCTTCACTTTGCTGTTTTCCACTGTAACAGGGAAGCACTGAGTCCTAATGCAGAGCCCCACAACCACTGTACTCTCCTTACCCCAAACACACAGGTTCTGTCTCCATGCCATGCAGCCACTAATGGGGGATGGGAAAGTGGTGATATAGGTGATTCATAACTGTCTTTCCTACCCTCTTCAGTGCCTCTTTCAGTGATATGAAGTTAAAACTAGATACTGTGATAATTCATCTGATGTTTGGTTATTATGAAGGATTTTTTTTTGTGTAGGTAGTTATTCATTCTTGCGTTTTAGCAGAGGGAGGACAGCTGCTGGAGTGTTATCTATTTGCCATCTTGCTCCACCTCAATGATCTATTATTATTTTTTAAACTGGATTTGGAGCAGAAAAGATAAAGGGACTCTAACCATCTTAATACCACAGAGGGAGATCCCTTCTGCTAATGATTCCAACATTCAGAGGACAGGAGGTCTGGTTCAAAACATGGGGAGCAACAAGTTCTCATTCTTATCCTTAAAGCCAGCCCTACCTCCAAAACTCTCAGTTACCTGAGCCAATAATTGCCCTTTTTACATAAATCGGTTTGGGTTACATTTTTATGAACTGCTAAACTGATAAAGCAGTGAACCAATTTTTGAGAGTAGTAACATGTTCTGAAAAAGCTGAAGCTCCATTTAGTCCATGTCCTCCTTGTTGTTCCTGCCAAAGCATCACACAATGGCCTTCTGAAGAGTTATGGCCTTGCTGTAGCTTATGGCCTTGCTGTAGGAAATCAGTTCACCCTGATTTCCAAAAGATCTCCTGTCTTTATTAGTTCTGCTTTCTCTTGCTGTTCTATACCCCAGTCTGCAAAATGTAAAAACATTAGTAGTTTTCATATTTGAATGTTTATTGGGTTTTTAACAAGAAAATCCTAAAAAAGTATTGGCTACTTATTTTTTCCCCCTAGGATGACCTGGTTTTTCAACTTCTGGGCATTTTCCTTCTCGGAACTATCTCCTTATATAACTCACTTGGAGGGAAGTATACAACATAAAATAAAGCTACAGTCCAGGACTTTCATAACCTTCAGGGAGAGGAAAAGAGAAAGAATTTATGTGTCCTAAATGCAAAGGGGAAATCAGTGGATTTTTCAGTAGAAATTTGAAAGGAATAGAGATCTGGCAAAGCAGAGAAGCAGAAACAAGTCATTCTTATGAACAAGTCTGTAGAGAAGTTGGCTCTTTGAACATATAGCACTGAGAAAAAAGACATAAAACAACAACAACAACAACGACGAAACAAATTTTAAACACCTGTGATGGGGTCAAATAAGAACAATGATAGACAGAGATAGATCACGGAGTGCAGCATGCTCCACAAGCCCACAGTCTGCTGTATTTATGGTATACCTACTGGTTATTTCTGCACCAAACAAAAAACCTAGTAGTTATGTTAGGGGAATATATAGAATTTAAGTGACATACCTTTCAGCCAGCTACAACTGAAATGAAAGAACTTTATTTTGAGGCCACTGTGAACATCATTCTCCCATGGGGTAACTCTATGTCCTGGTTCATCCAGAAGAGTTCTAGTTTATGCCTAGTATCTTAGTATAATTATTGGTGGCACCTATTTAACCTTCTAAAGAATCCTGGATTCAGATTTTGGCAATAATTATGCAGTCACCTTACACATGCCTTCCACATAATTCTACATGTAACTCAGTGGGTAATTTGAGGTGTCAATATGTGCACAAAACCTCACTAAGAAGAAAGTTTCCTCTTCTGATTTTATTTCCTAAGACCAATTATTAATAACAAATTTCTTATGTTTACTTTCCTGTATCAATGAGGAATTGAGTCTAGCTGTGAGGAAAGTGATGCCCATAACAATGGTTTAAAGGGATCAGAGGTTTGGATTTCCTCATACACCCAGAAGTCTAAAGATAGACATTTATCGGTATTGGTTCATTGATTGACTCAACGGGCCCATTATGTCCAAGGCCTCTTTACATTTGCTTGGACTTCTCTTCCTGGCATGGATGGCTCTTAAATCCCCAGATAACATGGGAGCTTTCTAGGCAGTAGAAAGAGGCACAGAGGAAGAGATGGTGCCTTTATCAGGAAAGCTAACATCTTCCCAGAAGTTCCAGTAGATTTTACTTATGAATCCTTGGATAAAACTACATCACGTGGTGAACCTTAAGTTAAAAACAGAAACAAAAACAGGGTAATGCCTCTTTTAGCTTTTATTTTGTTTTTTTTTTAATTTTAATTTTTAATTTTAAGCAATATACTTTACCATGTGTATCAAACCAGAGTTGCCTTAGTTTGGGCTGCTTTGACAAATTATCACAGACTGGTTGGCTTAAATAATGGACATTCATTTCTCACAGTTCTGGAGGCTGGTGAGCCCAAGATTAGGGGGGCAGCATGGCCAAGTTTCTTGTAAGGGCCCTCTTCCTGTTTGCACTTGGCCATCTTCTTGCTGTGCACTCACGTGGTGGTGGGCAGAGAAAGAGGAGGCATGCTCTTCCCTGTCTCTTCTTACAAGGACACTGATCCTATTTATGAGGACTTTACTCTTATGACCTGATTACTTCTCTAAGTCTCCACCTCCAGATTGCATCACATTGAGCATTAGGCTTCAATATATGAATCTGAGGGTAATAGAGACTTACAGTCCATAGCACCTGGCAGCAGCCACACCTCTCTAGACCAAAAACTTAACTGTGCATAATATAAGACTTTAGGGCAAGAAAGAGAGAGAGAAAAAGGGAGTAGACTGAAGCATAGATATGCATACATAGTCTCTTCATTAGATTGCATATTATCTTTCTAATCACCATAACTATTAGTTGACAGGTTTATGAACCTCTACTGGGAAGCCAAATATTGAACTGTAGAGACTACAAGGAAGAGAGATTACCTCTAATTTTATTCAGGTCTAAATAAATTAGAACTCATCTGGGATTTGGAAACAGAAGCTTATTGCTTGATGAGTGTTCATTGCAGATTGCTAGATATTACCTCTAAAATTTCTGTAGCAAGGGCAAGGATGAATAAGCATTACTACTTCAACCTTTATTCTTCGATTTCAATAGATGGGAAAAGGTTTTCTCTTCAGGGAAGTGTGAAAGGTTGTGTGGGAACTGAAAGCTCTACCATGAAAAAGGACATAGCAATGACATTGTGCCTGTGGTTTCAATATAGCTATTCCTGAAAATCCAGGGATCAGCAGGTTGTCTATGATCCCATTTACACTATCATTTACCACCTATTTATTTAAAATTATTAATGTGTCACACATTGTCTTAGGCATTGGAAGTAAAATGAAAAACCTTCCATCTCCCATATTGGGAGAACACAATAACATGTAAAAAAAATAAATGTAAACATTTACTGTTTAGGATTAGTGCTATGAAAGAATGAAATGTATTTCTGTAATAGAGAATAATAGAGGAAACTAATTTCGACAGAATTTCTCTGGAAATTTCTTTAAGGATGTAATACTTAAGCTAAAACATAAAGGATGAAAAGGAGAGAAAATTATGCATCAAAACAGGGAAAAAGTGCCAATTCTAGAATTCATTCATTTTAATTTGTTCACCTATTCAATTTTGAATATTTTTACTTATCATGTACCAAGTTATATTATAGATGCTTTAATCATGGTAGAAGACAAAGGCAAACACTATACGTTAATACTATAATAAAATATTTAAATTGTTAGGTGCCATAAGAGAGAGAAGCAGGGTTATAGAAACATTAAATATTTTGTGTCTTGGCATAATTTTTTTTTTTTTTTGAGACCGAGTCTCACTCTGTTGCCCAGGCTGGAGTGCAGTTGTGCGATCTCGGCTCACGGCAAGCTCCACGGCATAACATTTTAAGTTTTCATTAGCTCTCATGAATTTCCTTGTTTTGTATTTGTATTATCTTTGCGTTTTGACTAATTGTACATATAATCCAAGAATAAGATGTTTAATTTCTAAAAATTTATGTACTACTTATTGAAATGCTTTCTTTTTTATTTATATGCTTATGGGTTTTCCACAAACTTTCTTAGTTATTTCAATGAAAAGATCTTGTTGCCATTGTCTGAAGACCTTAAGAAATCTGAATGGTAGCAGAAAAAAAAAAAAAATTAAAGGCTAAGTTTTCACATGACATATGAAAAAGTAACCCAAAATGGATCACAGACCTAAATGAAAAAGTAACCCAAAATGGATTAGAGCCCTAAAACCTATGGCTTTTAGAGCTAAGACCATAAAACTCATGGAAGAAAGCATAGGAGTAAACTTTTATGACCTTGGATTAAGCAGTGGTTTCATGGATATAACATCTAAAGCACAACCAACAAAAGAAGAATCGATATGTTGAATTTCATCATAATTAAAAACTTTTGTGCTTCAAAGGACACAATCAAGTGAAAAATCAATCCACAGAATGGGAGAAAATTTTGAAAACCACATATCTGATAAGAAATTTGTATCTAGAATATATAAAGAACTCTTATAACTCAGTAATAAAAAGACATATAACCTAATTGAAAGGGTGCAAATGATCTGAAAACAGATAGATAGATAGATAGATAGATAGATAGATAGATAGATAGATAGATAGACAGACAGTCAATAGCAATGTGAAATGTACTCAACACCATTAGCCATCAAGGAAATGCAAATTAAAATCACAAGAAGATACCACCTCCCACCCGCTGCAAAGGCTATATTAAAAAAGACTGATAATAACACACGTAGGTGAGAAATGGGAACTCTTATACACTGCTAGTGAGAATGTAAAATGGTGCAGGCATTTTGTAAGACAGTCTGGCAGTTTCTCAAAAGATTAAACACAGAGTTATTATATGACCCAACAGTTCCACGGCTAGATGTGTACCCAAGAAAATTTGCAATATATGTCTACACAAAGACTCTTGTATATGCATACCCATAGTAGCATTATTCATAACAGCCTAAAAGTAGAAACAATTCAAATGTCCATCAACTGATGAATGGATAAATAAAGTTTGGTATATTCATACAATGGAATATTATTTGGCAACAAAAAGCAGTAAAGTACTGATGCATGCTACGATAAGATTGAACCATGAAAATATTATGTGATATGGAAGAAGCTAGTCACAAAAGATATACTTTATCATTTCATTTATGTAAAATATCCAGAAAAAGCAACTCTATTGAGACATAAAGCAGTTGTATAGCACTGAATGGGGATGGGAGGAATGGAAGGGGTTCACAGCTAAAGGGTGTGGGGTTGCTTTGTGAGGTGAAGAAAAATATTCTAAAATTAATTGGGGTGATGGTTTTACAACTCTGTGAATATATTAAATACCATTTAGTTGTACACTTTGAATGAGTGAACTGTATTGTATGGGAATTATGTCTTAATAGTTCTGTTATTTAGAAAGATAATTTGTCCAAACAAAAGCTAAAATGTCAATTTAATCATTATTTAATTGAGATTAAACAGGAAATAAAATCATTGTTCTTTATGTATTCAATACACATTAATTGAATTACATTTTTTAAAGTAATACAGAGGTGTGAATTTCTTCACGATTGGAGAGGTGAGACAACATTTTAACACTCTGGTGATGGACCAAAAAAGTGGAAGAAGTAGTGGAAACAGAGTGGAATCCATGTTTTCGTTGTGAAGCTGTGTCTTACAACTGTAAACACAATGATTTTGACCACAGAAGACTACTATGCAAGAAGAGTTTTCCTGATTAAGAGTTTTCCTAGGACTGGTATTTAACTGTACTTACTGAGCTTGGGCTTCCAAATGATTATTGTCAGCACTTAAAAAAATTATACATATCTCTTAATGAGGTGGTACATTTGAGTAGGTATTAAATTGCAAAACAGATTTTTACTTTCTGTCCTTAGATCAATTTAAACATGTATTGTGAGATATTTTATAATATTTTGTACCTTAAAATGACACCTTTGAGCTATTTAATGAAAACCAGATATAGAAATGTATGTATCAATTCTGCAATGTACATTTTTGGTGCCTTGCATCAGAGAGAATATTACTTCCTCATAAGTATTTGCAAATTGCAATTTATGGTGCAGTTTTAAGTATAAATATTTTAAAAGGGCTCTAACTGAAGTTTGAAGCCCATAGAAATCTTTATAGAAAGACACATGAAGACATACTTTCTATAATTAAATATTTATCTTTAGTTCATACATTTTATGATAAATCACTTAATGATCATCTCTACGATATCAAAATAGCACACAGTTGAGGGGCAACATGTGTCTTCCACTCTCAGTTTAGTTTGTTTCACCTTCTTCATCGTTAGACATAATAAGCACATCTAAAGTCATAGAAGTCTATTTTGTGAAGTGTGACTGTTAATCCAGGTTGTAGCTCTTGGCATTGCGACAAATACTTTACCAGCACTTTTTTGTGTTTATTACAGTATTCTTATGTCTGTTACTCAAGGTCAGTGGCTGGGTTAATCAATATTACTTTCACTCATTGAATCAGATGAGATTTCATGCTCGATAATTTACCATTTTAAATATTCTATATCTACTTCACCTTGTGTAGTTTAATTCAGCCCATCTCTTAAAAAGAAGAAAAAAGAGTAAAAGAAGAAGTACTCTAAAATAAATACTGAGAAGTACAGAGTTTTAAGAAGGATGAAAGATTTTCAACATAGTTTAGCCTAGAATAACATTTTCTGATGGGTTCCCTCTAGAAGCCAGCATAATTCTCTGGCTTCATCTCCATTTTCATTTACTTTTATGACATGTTTTCCTTTCCTTTTCAGTCATTTCATATATCTCAACTTTCCATGCACTCAGTCAGTGCTCATGTCTCTCTGTCATCGTTATTTATCAATGTCCTGTTTCTTCTTTAAGACCCAGTATACCTCCACCATGAAATCCTCACTGTGTTTCCTGTTGAAACTGAAGAAGTAGTCTGCCTTTCTTTATTCTTCCATAGCTTTCTGCTTGTACCTCTCTCCCACCTTAGGTTGAGTTTGTACTTTTGTCTCCAGAAATGAATTATCAGCATCTTGAAGGCAAAGGCTGTGTCCGACTTATCTTCCAGTTCCCATCTTCCAGTTTCCTGCAAACTCTCTCACCCCCATCACCCACCCAACAGTACCTCCACAGAGATGATGGAGTTTTTTGTTGCCACAGTTTCTTCAAATGTGTGGAAAAGCTTTGTGTCCTCACTGTAGCCACTTAGGAAACCATAGCAGATGGGATATTTGTGAATTTAATCTTAATGAGACTGACACAAGCTATGGTTTCTGCTTTGGTTTTCCCTGAATGGTCTAAATCATAGCAGCAGTCTTTCTTTCCACTAATGGCTGTGTTGTGCTCTTCATTTTATTCTCTTCCTTTGCACTCTGCATGTTATTTTTTATAGTCAATTTAGCATGTTTATGGTTACATCTTTGCTTTAAAATTATGTGATACCCAGAAATGGAGTTGCTCCTGCATGATACATTGAGGGTGATTCTTTAATTTACAAAAAGCAAGTAATATTTCTGTAGATGAAATACAATATTTACATTGTATTTTATATTTTACATTGTATATTTACAAAACATGTTTGTACTTATTGTCTCATAGGAAAAGTAAGTGGGTACAGACCTTGAACTAATTTTTCAATGCCTACTCTAAGACAATTTCTTTTATATAATTCTAGAATATTTAACATTCACCTAATTTAATTCCTTAAAATAACTTATCTGTAATCTTTCCCCTACCCAATGCTCCGTCAAGTAAAATGGATTGCTGTAGGTCAGTGGTTTAAAGGACCTTATTTGGTTTGGACTTTTATTTTTTTAAATTTATTTGTTTATTAATTTCTTTTTTTTTTTTGAGATGGAGTTTCGTTCTTGTTGGCCAGGCTGGAGTGCAATGGTGCAATCTCGGCTCACTGCAACCTCTGCCTCCCAGGTTCAAGCGATTCTCCTGCCTCAGCCTCCTGAGTAGCTGCGATTAGAGGCACACGCCACCATGCCCGGCTAATTTTTTTGTATTTTTAGTAGAGATGGGGTTTCTCCATGTTGGTCAGGCTGGTCTCAAATTCCCAACCTCAAGTGATCTGCCCGCCTCGGCCTCCCAAAATGCTGGGATTACAGGCGTGAGCCACTGTGCCTGGCCTCTTTGATATTTTAAATTTTAAATATATTTGATATTTTGTTTGTTTTGCCATTAGATCTGCCAATGTCATTTGCCCTCCAAACGGTTTAACAACCTATTACTTTTGAGTGCTCTAGTAATACTGAGGTTAAATGTGATTGAGACAGTTGCATATTGGGTTCTGGTTATTTCCACATTTACTTGTTTGTTCTTTTACTGTCTGGTTTTTCACGTGAATATCGTTGGAGAGTGGTTTTCATTCTTAAAAGCTTTTAATGGTCTGCTAATTTATCATCTCAACAGTGATTTTTTTCATTAGTATTATAATTTAAAATATAAGTATGGAGCATAGAGCTGTAGATAATTATAGTAAAAATTCATTTCTTAAGATTTCTAACGTGCGTTTCTTGGTCTTTATTCTCAAATCTATATTTACAAACAGACTATATTTTTGGTGTCTTATTCTTCACAAAATGAAGTCCCTACTATCTAAGATGTATGGTGTGAAAATGTAAAATGGAGTTGTACAGCCTAAGTCTCAGATGAAAAATGCAGAGGGAAGTAATTGGCCACATTCCAAACTCTTCTGAGAGACTGATCCAGTAGTCCAAAATGGGAAATGAAATTTCAGAAAAAGCATTCCCCAAAGAGGCATGATTCATCTTGCGTGGCAGTAAATATAACTCTTTGAGCACTGTTATTTATTTGACCACTTCACTGGG
This sequence comes from Homo sapiens, assembly GCF_000001405.40. Taxonomy (NCBI): domain Eukaryota; kingdom Metazoa; phylum Chordata; class Mammalia; order Primates; family Hominidae; genus Homo; species Homo sapiens. The sequence continues at coordinate 192,307,694 of NC_000003.12, read as the reverse complement.
GTCCAAGCTTGCCTATCTTTGCAAATCAGCTTCTCAGCAAACTCTTAAAGCCCAACCTCAGTGCTTCCCCTAACAGTAAACTGTTATTATTGTTGTTTGGTTTGTTTTAAAAAAATTCTGCCTGTAGAATTGAGAGATCTTCCAAATATGCCAGTTCTGTCTCTGCTATCTAGCATTGTGCCCACTCTAGCTTTATTTATTTATTTTTTAACTTTCAGTTGATAAAAGTGATCATAGAGGTCGGCTAGACTACATCAGTGGCTTCTTTTCTAATATTCACCACAATTAGCATCCTGTCGTTGCTGCTATCTCTGATATTAGAACTTCATTACCTAAAGCGTACCCTGGAGGTGACGATAAGGAACATTTTCTATTTATTGTGCCTTTTTTATCTGGCATCATAGATAACATGTTAATTACTTAACACATGGTTAATGTTCTAAAGCTGTTGGTTGTTGTAATGATTAAAAGAATTTTTCTGTCTCTGTCTCCATTGTATTTCTTACCTCAATCATTATCCATATCCATGTCTATCTATATATTTGTCTTCCATCACATGAAATGATGCCTAAGATATGGTAAGTGCTGTAAAAGTGTTTGCGAAAATTATTATTTTTCACATAACACATTTTCAACTATTTGTTGATCACATTTAAATACTACATGATGTGTGATCATAGTGTCCATGAGAATATTAAACAAATCTAATTCTTTCACAGGTACTTTTCTCATTTTAAGTAAATAAATATTTTTAAATAAATAAAGGAACAAGTAAATAATATTATTAAATTTTGGAAGTGGAAGGAAACATAAATTATTGGGTTCAACCCCATTTTATGAGATTAGAAAATTGATTTGGACAGGCTGGACCTTTTAAATCCATTCATTATCCAGAGGTCCCTCTTATTTATACTGCCTCTCCTGAAATGTGGTGTTATTTAATCTGTGCAAGTGATATTTTATTAGCTTCTGCCCTGGATAAGCCCTTGATGACAAACCATTGTCGACTCTCTGGGGCCACCAGAAAACCATTCATGGTCAACATATATCAATCAGCAATACAGGGTTGAGAACTAGAATTCATTCATTTGCCCCTTAGAAATATATGTCAAGAAACTCTCTTTAGGTTGTCCAGGCTGATTTTGAACTCCTGGACTCAAGCAATCCTCCTGCCTCAGCCTCCCAAAACTCTGGGATTACAAGTGTGAGCCACCATGCCCCGCTTCTTTGACCAATTTTTTGGTAGTGATTATGATGCCACCCAGAAAAATGATGCCCCTTTTTGCCTTCTCAGAGTATTCCATCATTGGAGAATCATAACCTGCAACTCACCTGAACTGGGGGTTAAGGCACGTTTTTATGTATACCTGGTTGCAGTAGTGGGAATTAGTGGCTTAGAGCGTCCATAATGGATGGATTTGTGTAAGAATTTCCAACTTGTTGTGTCCCCTAACATATAATTGAAATCATATAAACAAAAATGTGCATTCAGAAAAGGTAATCCAACTGTGTGTTTTTGTGTACATTTTTAAAATTTAAAATTTTCATATTTGTAATGACACTGGATCCACATAAAAACCTTAGAGACAGGTGGATCACGAGGTCAGGAGATCGAGGCCATCCTGGCTAACACAGTGAAACCCCGTCTCTATTGAAAATACAAAAAATTAGCCGGGTGTGTTGGCAGGCGCCTGTAGTCCCAGCTACTTGGGAGGCTGAGGCAGGAGAATGGCGTGAACCTGGGAGGTGGAGCTTGCAGTGAGCTGAGATCATGCCACTGCACTCCAGCCTGGGCGACAGAGTGAGACTCCATCTCAAAAAAAAAAAAAAAAAAAAAAAACCAGAGAGATGGATTGAGCAGTGTCATTATTGCTATCTTAGAAAAATAGAAAGTTTCTCAAAGGAAATAGGGGTCACTAATATCAGTGTCCGACACAAAAACTAAGACTCTTAACTCTAGATCTTTTCACACAGTTTTTCATAGGATTTATATATATTTATATATATATATATATTTTTTTTTTTTTTCCTAAGCCACCTTTCTCTCCCTTATTAGAAAAGTAAATGTTCTATCATGTGCAGGAGTTTAGAATTTCTATTTAAGACTTTTATTTCTTCATTTGTGTTTCACTGGAAGCCAGAATATTGGCTGAGGTGTGTGTCTGGAAGAGAGACGGCGATGGTTTGAGGACGTGAGAGCTGGGGACTCGAGCAAACTGACGTGTAGAATCTGGCTGGGAGGCAGAGAAGGAGTGGGAGGTATATAGAGAAAGGGCAGCTCGACGTGTATTTCTGGGAAGAAAAGTAAAACACAAACAAAGGTATTATATCTCTGTTTAAAAATTTGTTTTTTTTTACATTTAGCTTTTTGAGTTTGTATGAAAATGAAGCCTGTTAAAATTCCATTTTTTTGACACCCTGTAGTAGCATCAGTCATCCTAAGGACTAAGAGGTGACATACAAGAGTGGCAATGAGAAACAGTGTTATACTGTATCTGAAAAATGGTCTAAGAGTTGTATTTAAAGTAGTCAAACATCTTTGATATCTCTCCTCATGCATTTATAACAATTTAGTTTTCTTTCTTCTGTTTCCATCTTTCCTTTCTCCTTATTTCCCTCCTTCCTCTCCCTTCTCTGTTAATCTCTCTTGTTTCTGCTCCATTCCTCCAATCCTCCTCCTCTTTCTCCATCCCTTTCTTTTTTGTTTTTATGAGTATTTCTTTAATAGCTATTTGTTAAGCATGTACTACTGTGTACAAAGTGAGCTAGATGCTTTGGGTGTGTGTGCTACAAACAATGAAACAAAAATTCTGCTCTCAAAGGAGCTTATACAGCAAGAAAGCTAAACAGTACAAAAATTAAGACATTCAAAGTGGGATCTACTAAAGTTCTGAGTATGGAATAAGCATTATGAAGCAGAGAGGATATTTTAAAATTGTAGCTTAAAACTGTAGTTCTTGTCAGTAAGTCTTACTGATTTGGGTCCAGCAGAATACTGGCCATTGTGACCTGTTCTTAACTGTATAACAGATTCACGTGTTATAACATGTAAAGTATGGTATATGCGATAATTATATTATACCTTTTTAATATTAAATATTACCGCAAGCAAGTGGAGTTGAGTGAGAATTGAGAAACTGACTACTGTAGGTCCTTTAAAAAAATTTCCTGGTCTTTCCTTTCTATGCAGGAGAGAATTTTGATAATAAGATAAAAAGTAGATACTCTGTTTAGACAGACCTGTGAGGAACTATAAGCTTGGTAGCACTTGCTTAATCAAATAAACCATGGACTATCCCAAGTTTTTAGTTATATGTAGAGCAGGAGAATAGTAATTTCATGGAATGGAGAGGTCATCAGGAGGAGACAGCAAAAGTAAAGCGCTCGGTGCCCAACAGGGGAAGTAGATGTCTTGGAAATAATCTCTAGCATGCATGAATGTGTTAAAAAGCTGTGGAGGGTTAAGAGAGTTTTGTGCAAGATCCCTTGGATACATGTGTTTTTGGGTTCTATAGAATATTGCTTTGGGGGTCATTTAGTAGGAATAAAAACTGTCTCCAATTTAGCAACACCTCAAGTTCTCGCAGCATTAAATGATGGAATGATAATAATTGTTAGTTAACATTTTTGAGTGCTTACTACAGTCTTCACAGCCAGTCCCTGAATCACGTCCTAGCATTATCTTCCTTGGGCAGGTGAGGAAATAAAGATGAAATGGCTTACTGGAGATTACCCAGATGGGAGCTGAAGCTATTAGCTATATTAAATGCTGTTTCTCTAATAGTAGGAAAATGTCAGTTAGTATTTATTTACATGAAGCTTGACAGTTTCAAAGGGCTTTGAGATCTGCTATATTTTGTGATTAGCACAACACTGCTGTGAGATATGTTAGGCCAGGCAATGTATGTATCTTATTTTAAGAGATGGAAAAATTAAAACTCAGGGAAACTATCATGCCTCAGAACACATGGGCAGTAAGTGATAAAACTAACAGTCACCTTTAGGTGTCTTTAAAACCTAAGCGTAATCCACCACACTCTGATACCTGTTCATAATTTAAACACACAGACATCTAATTTTAGGCAAAATTCCAATCATGCTGTTGAAATTCTAATAGTCCCTGGTGCATGGGAATGTAAATTTCAGTCTCTTAGTAATTATCTTGTGCACTATACAGTCTTCACTGGAGTTGCCAGATAAATGAGATGTCATTGCACTTAACAGCAAGGATCACTGCTGCTGGCTTTTGATTGGCTCCATCTGTTGCTAGGAGGAGTTGCTATCTCTCAGCAGCTGCCAACCAAGCAGGCATTTCTGACTGGAGCTGAGTCTAGGTTGACATTAGCTAGAAAAGGGACGTATCCTAACCTGGCAAGGACATCCTTCAAGTCGATGTTTTTGTCTACTAACGTGACAAAATCTCTGATGTTGATGCATTTCATTGCTTTTTGTGAAGCCCATTTTTTTTCCATACTTAAATTTGTGTAATGGCTGACAGACCATATTCATGCACCTTACAAAAGAAAAAGTACATTGCAATTAACATATGAAATGCAGAATTTGGTTCCAGCTCTATTGGAAAATTGATATATTGTTTGATTTAAAAAATAAGGACTGTTTTTTCTAAATAAGGACTCTGGGCACACATCATTTTCCTAGCAATTACAAAAGAGATTTAAAAATGTTCCCTTTAGGATTTTGATAAAAGAATGAGAATTGTCTGATTTGGATGACTTCCCATGTTTAAAATCCTGTTTATCTGCAATGTGACTGAAATAGATGCTGGGGAAGGAAAAGCATTATGTTCATTCTTTCCCTTCTTGCCTTTACTTATCATAGTCTGTCTGCCTGGAATGTTCTTCACCTTGTTTAGCTAACTCCTGTTCACTCCTTAAGATCAGGCACCAATGCAAGACTTGTGACAAAACTTTCCACATGTACCTCTCCCATTAACACTTACTTCCTTCTTAGTGGTCTCAGAGTTCTTCCTTTGTATGTCCAGGTTGATACAGCAGTAAACTCTTTATGCTCACTGTTTTCTGCATGGCCATTTCCATTCTGAGCCCGTTGAATGACTAATATGCAAGGACCACATTTTATGCAATTTGGAATTCCTGGGACCTAGTCCCGTGCCTGGTCTTAGTAAACACCCCTCCTTAAATCCCCAACATCAACATCTAGACATTTAGTGAATTAGTAAGTGCACATTATGATATATTAGTCTTCATCTCTGAACAGCTCAATTCAGGTTCCAGTTTCTCAAAAGTGAGACTTAAAAGGGGGAGAAATCCCACCCCAACAACAAAATCTTAATTATATGTCTGACTCCTTAAATATATTAACTGCCTCCAATCCTACACAAACTCAGATGTATTTGAGCATTTTCTAATAACAGTCTGAAAAATGGAGCAGAGTCTGTTTAACCTGGCAGGAACTTCACAAAGTCAGTTGCCTACAAGCTCTATGACAGATGTGAAAGGAAGGCTCCCAGAGGAGACATGACCTGCCTAAGGCCACCCAGAGGGCTGGTGGCTCTACTTCAACACCTAGCAGGCGTTCTGTTAGATTTTTTTCTCCCTGTCACTTGATTGTTCTGCAAAGCAAGTGTTGTGCTCACTTTTATATTCTCCATAACACCGTCTCAGTTGTACATTTTGGATTCTTGGTAAATATTAAAATGAAATAGGGTTTCTCTTATTCTCTTCATCATATTCTTTTCATGGCAAAAGGTGTAAGAGAGAAAAGATGGCTCTGATTTGGAGAGTAAATAAAAGAAGAGGTGGTTGCTCGGGCTCCAGTCAAAGGATTAGATGGCGAAAGTTTGCCTCCTCCTCCTTGTTTCTTTCCCTGCTCCCTTCCTTACCTGACTTCTACTCCCATACTCTCTTTTCTTCTTCTCAAGGTGGAGAATCTACCCAATTTCTGCAGTGTGTTGAAGAGTGTCATAATTCAAAATACTAAGCAGCAGTACCCTCTTTTTCTACATGCTCCTCCCTTCATCTGGAACACCCTCCCTCCACTCTGCCTGGCCAATTTGTGCTCATCTTACAGGTCAAAACTTCAATTCCACTGACCACGAGACTATGCATGCCTTTGTTGCCACAGTACTCTTTTCCTCCGTAGAGCTTATCATAATTTTTTGGGTTCTTACTCACTTAACTAATGCCTGTCTCTCCAAGTCAACTGTAAGCTTCACAAGGTCAAAGACCATTTGTGGTGTTTCTATACCATTGGATATCTATCACCTAGCATGTGGTACCTGACACATAATAAGTGTTCAATACATTTTTACTTACTGGATGAATTGAGTAACTAAACAATAATTAGTAGCTCTTGGCTATTTCTCCCAAGTGACTATTTAGTGGGACCCTGTTTCTTTAAGACACTACTTGCAAGATAAAGAGAGTATTCGGTTTTCTCCCTGATGCTTGTCTTGGAATGATTTCTCCATGCCCGGTGATTCGTTTATCTTCACCTAGTCTTAACCCATCCCCTTCCAGATATTGCAAACTCCTTTCTATTGCCCTTTTTTTTTCACAGTAATATTTTAAGTCCATGTTTCTTTGGACTTTCAATACCTCATTGTGTTTTCCTTATGGAAAGTGACCTCTCTACTCTTCTTTGTCCCATGCATTTGCTATGCTTGCACATTAACTGATTTCTGGACAATCTTTCGGGAATTTTCTTTTCCTTTGAGGCAGAATCTTACTCTGTCCTCCAGGCTGGAGTGCAGTGGGGTGATCTCGACTCCCGGATTCAAGCAATTCTCATGCCTCAGCCTCCCAAGTAGCTGGGGTAACAGGTATGTGCCACCACACCCAACTAATTTTTGTATTTCTTAGGAGAGATGGGGTTTCACCATGTTGTCCAGGGTGGTCTCAAACTCCTAGTTGCAAGTGCTCAGCCCCCCTTGGCCTCCCAAGTGCTGGGATTACAGATGTGAGCCACTGCGCCAGGTGAGCCTTCAGGGATTCTTAACCGTTTTGTGCCATGGATCAACTTGGCAGTCTTGTGAAGTCTAGGGATTCCCTTTTTAGAATAATACTTTTTAATTTATATATAAAAAAATACATAACATTATAAAGAAAATGAATTATTATGAAATATAATTATCTACAACTCTTCACTCTTACTTCTCATGACCGCCCCCAAGAAAGACCTGACTTGACCAAAATTGGCACCTACCATGCTTCCCCCAGGACCTGGCCCCAGGCATTTGGAAGGTAATAGATTGGTAGTCCAGGATTGTAATATTGGGCTGTCTCTGTTTAAGCTAAAAATTAAGGTAAACTATTAGGTCCCATCTGGACAGCCCCATTGTTAAGTTTTATATAACCTTTCATAATCGGCCTCAATGACAGATATGTCCAGCAAATATCCAAATTGGTTTTAAAGTCAGTTGCACCATCATTTACTGATATTTAAAGTAGATCATTATAATTTAGTAAGTACCACTGGTGGCTAGCTCTGGGAGGAGGGCTGCCATGTGACAGAGTAGGTAAGATTTTCCAACCCAGGACACCTGGTAGGTGCTATTAGCAGCGATACCAGTGTCTTCCTGAGCATGCCCTAGGGGTGGCAGAAGGGATTGCCTGTGCTCCCCTATGTTTTGCCAGAGTTTCTATTGGCTTTTGTGGGAGATGAACACAATCCATAGAGAAAATAGGCCCCAGTGGGACAGGTGGAGCATCACATGAGCACAGGGGAAGAAAAATAAAATGCATAAATACCTGAGGCAGCTTTGTAATTTCAGTACTGAAATGAAGTCCTTCTAATGAGGAAATATCTAATAGAATCAATGTATCTGTGGAAAGACTATCTTAGACTGGGATCGGGAAGACTTGAGTTCAATGACTGGCTCAGTGTTTTGTGCCTTACTCATTGCACAGAGAGCACTGTCTACGACTTCATGTGGCATTCCAGTCGTTCTCCTCATAGTCTGGAGTCACTCGTCCTCCCTTCAAATTGTAAACTCATCAGGTAATATTTAATTAACAAGAATTTATAGAACATTTTTAATGTATCAGCACTGTTAAGACATTCTTTTGGGAACAACACTATATCCTCCATAATGCCTAGAACAAAGTTAAATGTGTATTTGAGGAGTTTCTGTAGACTTATTGTATGTTTGCATATAAGTAATTATGGTGTAGTATGCCATAGAAGTCTTTCAGCCTTTTATTCAAAAGAGACTTACATTTTCTCATTTTTTAAATACAATATACATTAGGAGAGGAAACAATCTGAGGAATATTTCAGATATATGAAAGAATAAGTCATGTCCTCAAACACTATAGAAGCACATATTTACATACAACCAATTTGTATGGTAATCACAGGCCAATCTCATCCAGAATTTCTCAGCAACACAAATCAAATTTGAATTTACAGAGTGTAGTCAAAAGTGATATAATTTCAGCTACAAATTTCTCCAAATTGGTGGTGGCAGGAAAGCTATTTCTACTTCTTGGCCTTCCCTCAGTCTGCAACAATCTTCTCCAATTTCTTCTGCCTATCAAAATCATGCAAAACCCAAGTAAAACTACATCTTTTGTGAAGCATTGTTTTGAATCCTCACTGATATTGATTGGATATTTGTCCCCTTCAAATCAGGTGTTGAAATTTGATCTGCACTGTTGGAGGCGGGGCCTGGTGGGAGGTGTTCAGGTCGTGGAAGCACATCCTTTATGAATTGCCTGGTGCCATTCTTGAGGAATTGAATGAGTTCTCACTCTTAGTTCCAATGAGATCTGTGTGTTAAAAAGAACCTGACATGTTCTGTTTGTTCTCTTGCTCCCTCTCTCACCATGTGATATGCAGACTCCACCTCCCACATCTCCTTCCACCATGACCAGAAGTTTCCTGAGTCCTCACCAGAAGCAGAGGCTGGTGCCATGCTTCTTGTAAAGTCTGTAGAACCATCAGTAAAATAAACCTCTTTTTTTTTTCTTTGAGACAGAGACTTGCTTGTCACCCAGGCTGGAGTGCAGTGGCACGATAGCTCACTGCAACCTCCACCTCCTGGGTTCAAGTGATTCTGCCTCAGCCTCCTGAGTAACTGGGATTACAGACATGCACCACACCTGGCTAATTTTTGTATTTTTAGTAGAGATGGAGTTTCACCATTTTGGCCCGGCTGGTCTTGAACTCCTGACCTCAAGTGATCTGTCTACCTCGGCCTCCCGAAATGCTGGGATATTACAGGCATGTGCCACTGTGACTGGCCAAAATAAACCTATTTTTAAAATAAATTACCCAGCCCCAGATTTTCCTTTATAGCAACACAAAATGGACTAAGACACTCACCAAATAGAAATATTTCTTTCTTCTTTTGTTCTCCGACCTTCCTGTTCTTCTATTGTTGTCTTTAATCATCTTCATTTTTCACTTACCTATATATCTCTAGTTAATTGTAAACTCTATGAGATCAAGGGACAGATAACATTTTTCTCATCTTCTTGCTAAATCATTCAGTGATTTGCAGATAGCAGAGCTCAACAAATGATGATTGATTGACTGGTTAAATGAATGAACAAATAAAGATATGAGTTAATGAAGCTGAGAGAACATTAGCTTTTTATGTTGGGATGACTAGTGATTGCTGTGTGCCATGCACTGTGTTCAGTCTCGGGTATACAATAGTGAACTTGTGCTTGCCACCACAGCGCTAATGGTCTAATATTGTAATAGCGGTTACAAATGCCTTCTCAGTGTTATATTCAGAAATATAGACATTCTACCATTTTTGAGAATGTATGGAAAAACCTGTGGCTCTTAAAAACTGCACACACGTTGGAGTACAGAAGTGAGCTTTCGAGAAATATAGAGAGCATAAAGAAACCTATGGGTTCAACTTATCAGTGCCTAAAAATATTAAAGATGTTAACCATATCAAAACAGCACTGCTAACTTTGGGGATGTTAGAGATTCTATTTCAAATAGAGATTCTATTTCAAAATGAGATTCCTTTTTGAACTTATCCAAACCATTTCTTGCTTGAAATCCTCAGTTTTATAATCAATTGCTCATTCCCCTGACAAATGAGTATTCTGGGGATTAATTATTTTAAAGCACTTTGCAAATGAAGGGCCTATATAAATTCTAAGTGGTATTGTTATGTTGTGGGTGATGTGCCAGGGAAATATTGACAAAAGCCCTTATTTGCTAAAGCCTGCATTGACGTATTAAACTCCTGCTATAGAACAGTGCCTCTGGGAGTCTTATATATTCTTTTCTTTAGATATGTGAATTGGCAATTAAAAATAATTATATTGCATACTCTGTCATGCCAATCAAGAAATCTGCATTTAACAACACAGGATGTGGTCTTTGAGTTCCAATTACCAAACAGTATACTTTTCTCTTCCCTTTTCAAACAAAGTATTGCGACTGAACCAGTCTAGCAATCCAGAAGACGTTTTTAATTTTTAAAATTTTTGCTTCATAGCATATTTCCAGAAAAGTGAATGAATCGGTCTTGTTTGTGGGCTATGACGCAAATCGTGGGAAATTCTAACCAAATAGGTTTTTCTCTTATTATTATTTTTTTGAGCAGACATACCTATATATTGACCCTAGTACTTTTATTGTTCTTCACAACATGTGCTGGTAGAAGGGATAGTAAAGGGTGAGCAATAACCATGTTGTGCCAAAAACAAGTCTAGATAATGAAACTTGAACAAAGCAATTTAGAAGAATTTCGGTTCTCATTTGTGGGCACTTTGCTGACTACCTGGATTTTATTCCTTTTGTAAACTTGCATGTAAGCCTATCTTCCCTGGGTTTGGGCTAAAATGTGTTCAGGAATAATGTTATCAGTGCAAATGATAGAACAGAGTTAGGCTGTATAAACTAAGTACTCCACATGTTTTTTTCTGAAATCTAAAGTTTGGACCTTAAAAGTATTTTATTTTTAAATTTGATATTATCAAATTTGCAGGACATTTCTTAAGGGATTGTAAAAGTTTCATACAGAATTATAGATTACTTATGTGCATTAAACTCATAAAGAGCAATATTTCATTTCTTATGAAGACCTAATAATGTTCTTTACAAAGAAATAAAGAATCTGTACAACTAAAGATGGTAAATATTAATATCATGTTTTAGGATGTTGTATTTTCTTATTAAATCAGGACAATTTTTGAAGATTTTGTTTAAAAATAAAATGAGGCTGGGCACAGTGTCTCACACATGTAATCCCACCCCTTTTAGAGGCCAAGGCGGGGCTATCACTTGAGCTCAGGAGTTTGAGACCAGCCTGGGTAACATGGCAAAACCTTGACTCTACAAAAAATATGGAAATAAGCTGGGCATGATGGTGTGCACCTGTGGTCCCAGCTACTGGGAAGGCTGAGGTGGGGGGACCACTTGAGCCTGGGAGGTCAAGGCTGCAGTGAGCCATGATTGTGCCACTGCACTCCAGCCTGGGTGACAGAGTGAGACCCTGTCTCAAAAAAAAAAAAATAAAATAAAATGAAAACATTGTAGGCCAGGCATGGTGGCTTACGCCTGTAATCCCAGCACTTTGGGAGGCCGAGTCAGGTAGATTGGTTGAGGTCAGGAATTTAAGACCAGCCTGGGCAACATGGTGAAACCCTGTCTCCACAAAAAAAAAAAAAAAAAAAAAAAAGAAAGAAAAACAAAGTTAGTCAGCATGGTGGTGTGTGCCTGTGGTTCCAGCTACTTGGGAGGCTGAGGTGGGAGGATCGCTTGAGCCTGGTAGATGGAGGTTGCAGTGAGCTGTGATAGTGCTACTGCACTCAGCCTGGGCAACAGAGCAAGACCTTGTCTCAAAAAAAATAAAATAAAATTTAAAAATAAATTAATTAAATTAAATATTTCTATTGCAGTTTTTAAATCAGAGTTGTATTGGAATAGCTATGAAAAATGGGAGTGTTTGTGATAAAAATAGTCTATACCAATTTGATTTTGACAGATATTTCAGGGAAGAGATTTGATTTTATTTGAGATTCAGTATTCTTTAAAGAGAAAATCTAGATTTACCTTTAAGACAGTCTATCAAAACAATCACTCTAGGTTGATATACTTTAATATTGCTTCCTGTTGAAACATTTCATTAGGATTCCTGCTGTGATTATATTTAGCTCTTATTCCTTGGATAGAAAATTAAGAGAGAAATGTAGACATTAATTTGATATATCCACACTTGGATATTCTGTCTTCGAATTCTTCTTAAATATAACACATTATTTTGAGGTTTTATATATGTCGAACAGTTATCCAGGAGAGAAGGCATCTGAAGTCCATACTGCCATGGGCAATGACTCTAGTTAGGTGAGGCATAAGGAGATTCCTGGTATATAATTGGTGCCAGTGGTTATATTCAAAGGTCATGATGACCTAGTGGTATAAATATTTCCAAAATTAACATGCTGTTTTGTAGTGGATAGATAAGTGAACTGGGAGTGCGGAAATCCAATTACTAGTTCCAATCCTGCCACTGACCCACACCAAAAAGTACAATGTATTGCCAGAAGGCTCTAGGCAGTTCTCTTAGATAGGTCGGCTTTTGTAAGCCAGAGAGAGTAGGAGGTGGGGAGGTGACTGAATGCTAGCAAGAGAATGAGGCAAGATTCATACCGTTTCTTCTCCATCACTCTGAGTCTTAAAGCCTCATCATTTTTTGTCACTAGAAACAATATGTTTACATCTGCATAGAACTGTCTTTGATTGGTAGGATAATTAACCTGCTAGAGTCCACTGGTATTATTTTAAGTTAGGGTCTTATGGGCAAAATTCTGAGAGTTTGTGTTTCAAGAAACCAAACCTCTTGATGACTTCTTAGTTTTATATACTCAAGGGAGCCCTCTTAGTGTTAAACAATATGTCTTTATAGAGAGATATTATATTTTTCTAAAAGTAGTTACCTAATCTAATTAAAGTTTATTTACCCCTATCAATTTAGAAGATTGCTGTTGCTTATCTTTTATTTTATGTTATAGTTGCAAAACTTTTCCCTATAAGCCAAAATATGTTGGAAGATCAGGAAGAAAGCAAAAAAGCATGTTAAACATTAAAAAGACAAATTGTGATGCCTTTCTATACAATCTCATGCACTTTATTTGTAAGAGTAGAAATTATTCTGCTTTTATATGATCTGATATCTGTGCTTCTTCCAACCTAGGTTGTTTTGTTTCTTTGCCTAAGGAGACAGGAAGCTACACTTAAAAAGGAGAAAAAGAAAAGAGTGACAGCGATGACAGGGAACAGTGCTATGACTGAATGTTTGTGCCCCCCTACATTCATATGTTGAAATCCTAACTCCTAAGGTGGTAGTTTTAGGAAATGGGGCCTTTGGGAGATTAAGTCATAAGGGCTCTCAAAAATGTCATAAATGTCCTTATAAAAGAGACCCTGGAGATCTAGTTAGCCCCTTCCTCCAAGTAAGGACTCTGAGAATTAGTCTGTTTCACACTGCTGATAAAGACATACCCGAGTCTGGGAAGAAAAAAGGTTTAATGAACTCACAGTTCCACATGGCTGGGGAGGCCTCATGATCATGGTGGAAGGCAAGGAGGAACAAGTCCCATCTTACAGGGATGGCAGCAGGCAAAGAGAGAATGAGAGAAAAGTGAAAGCGGAAACCCCTTATAAAACCATCAGATCTCATGAGATTTATTCACTACCATGAGAACAGTATGGGGGAAACCACCCCCATGATTCAATTATCTCCCACCAGGTGCCTCCCACAACTTGAGTGAATAATGGGAGTACAATTCAAGATGAGATTTGGGTAGGGACACAGACAGACAGCCTCATCTATCGACCAGAAGAGCAAGCACTTACCAGACACTAAATCTGCCATCACCTGGATATTGGACTTCCCATCCTCTGGAACTGTAAGAAATAAAGTTATATTGTTTATAAGCCATTGGCTACAACTACCCAAACAGATGAAGATAAGCAAGAACTAGGAGAAACAACCCTGAATCAAAAGAAAAGGCAGGCAAATGTTGAATATATATTAGAAAATGTTCCACACAAAAAGAAGGAACGTTTGAAAGGTACAGAATCTCTAAATCTTTAATTAATTATAAATGGCAGTCAGTGCTACATTCCTGAGAAGCCCAGTATACTGAGGCTTTATTCACCTGCATTATTCTCTTAAGAACCTCACAAAATTTGGCACTTCTTTTTGATACAAAGGCTCTCAAACTGATAGCAAATCGAAACACTAGAATAATCCCTAAATCAAATTAGCCTTGAGGACATGAGGATGTGACGATGGAAAGGTATGTTAAGTTTTATTTTAGAAAACCCTTGAGAATGAGGTTCAAATTTAGCACTGGAAAGATGATTGGAAATCTCCAGATACATACACTTCATTTTCTCTTCTGTTAACGAATTGTAACAGGTAAATTTTCATATGATTTTCTTTTATTTCCCAAGAGAAAGTGTTTTTCTTCCTCTAAATTCCACCATTTTTTTTTCAGTAAACATCACTAAGGCACAGAATTAGATTAACCAGAGAAAACTTTGATTGAATTAAATGAAATCTCTCTCTTTCCTTCTTTAATATCTCTTTCTCAGATGTCTATGAAAGAAATTTAAATGAAATTCTGAGAGATCATATGATCAAAATTACCTCTCAAGAAGTCAGTTGTTGGCTTATGCCTATAATCCCAGCACGTTGGTAGGATGAAGTGGGAGGACTGCTTGAGGCCAGGAGTTCGAGATCAGCCTGAGCAACTTAGCATGACCCCCATCTTAAAAAAATAAAAAAAGCCTAGCTGGACATAGTGGTACATGCCTGTAGTCCTGTAGCTACTCAGGAGGCTGAAGTGGGAGGATCGTTTGAGCTCAGGAGGTCGAGGCTGTAGTGAGCCATGATCATACCACTGCACTTCAGCCTGGGTGACCAAGCGAGACTTTGTCTCAAAAAATTGAAAATAAATAAGAAGTCCCTTGTTCAACTGGTATGTTTGTATTGAAGTGTGTTGTTTGTTGTTTCAGATAGGTATGTTTTAGATAGAAAGTGAGCCAGTCAGAGAGAGAGACTGACTTTACAAGCCAGAAAATTGTATAGACCGTTAAAATATTTTTAACGGTGCCATGTTTATTTCAATATCTTAGACTTAAAGCAATTGTATGCATATTTGAATAAATGAATGATTTTTCCTTTAATATCCTCTCATTATTTTATTATTTTATAAGTAAGACAATGTAGAAATAGAATTGACTCAGATGTTTCCATTTTCCTTTAAGATGAGAAATTAGCACTGATTAAAGGCATTTTAAAGCAATCAAGGTCACTGTCCTAAAGTAAATTATCACGAATTCTCTTTATAAAACTTAGAAAAGGATGCTGACTCATTGCAACATATTATTTTATGTTTGTACTGTATAATATTCTGCAAACACTAAAAAAAAAAAAATTGTTTGGTATTCCTGACACAATGACCAATAAAATGCCACAAACACAAAGCATTTGAAAAGAAACCACGTGATTTGTCAATAGCTACTTGGTCCATATGTGAACAAAGTAACTTGCCCTTAGAAAGTCGCTTATAACACGCTGAACAAACTTCTGATTCTGAGCAATATTAGTGAGTAGTTTTAAATTTACTATGAGTGTAATCAAAATTTGGTGTGAATGTTAGCCATTTTCATATTTTGGTTGAGTGTCAACACATGTTTTGAGCTTTGATTGTGGAATTATTATGATTTGCCTTCCTATTTCTACTTAAATGGCATTTCAAATTGGGTTAGCTGCATGATCCCAATGCCAATTTGATACACGTATTGTTGAATATAGCACACTTTGCTTTTATGAGGACTTTGGGAAAATAGTTCTTTTTTCCTTTTAGTTAAGATTCACAATCTTTTGCTCCACAAGTTGTGTCAAAGGTTACATAACTTTAGTATTTCCCTTAAAACATAGAAAGAATGTATTTCTATGACTCATTTGTTTCCATATATTTATTTCCCCTACTTATTTCCATAGGTTTCTCACATTTATTCTATTAATATATACCTTTTGCTCTGTATTAGTAAGCCAGTACTTCCCAGAGTATTCATTTGAGGAATATTTTTGGGTGATATTCTGGAACAAACCTCTGGCCATGGTAATTTTTTTTTTTCTTTTTTTTAAGACAGGGTTTTGTTCTTTTGCCCTGGCAGGAATGCATTGGTGCAACCTTGGCTCACTGCAACCTCGACCTCCCAGGCCCAAGCAATTCTTCCACCTCAGCTTCCTGAGTAGCTAGAACCACAGGTGTGTGCCACCACACCCAGCTAATTTTGTTTATTTTTTTATGGAGATGAGATCTCACTGTGTTGCCCAGGTTGGTCTTAAACTCCTGGTTTCAAGTGATCCTTCTCCCTTGCCCTCCCAAAGTGCTGGGATTACAGGTATAAGCCACCATGCCTGGCCTGTAGTGATAATTTTTTAAAAAGTAACATCCATAAGATTCTCAAACTGTTATGTCCATAGAATAATTAATAAATGAAAAGTGTTTTATAAAAATATATACACATATATCAGATGTTCTTCGTATACAAGAAGCTCTCCTACTCAATAGTAGTAAATCACCAGAAGATAATAAGAAAAGCAATTTATTTATGCACAAATACATGTACAGTCCATGAACTGGAGACATGGTAATTTAATGTTATTTAATAAACAAGGGATAGTGACATTGTATATGTAGATAGATAGATAAATACACACACATATATGCATAGAGGTGAAAAATACACACTTGTATGTATAGATGTTTTTCGATGTATGTGTGTATATACATGTATGTTATATACATATTTTTTGTATGTGTCCTTTTTTTTGAAGTAAATAACTTTATAGCTTACCAGACCAGAATTGATTCTAAGATTCCTATATTGTTATTAACAAGGATACAACCTGCATGTAACTATTGGGATATTTTTGTGTTTTAACAAAGAGTCACTTTAATACAATATAATTTAAGAACCTGTCTTTTCTGTGTAGCAAGTGAATTTCCCAGCTAGTTACATGAAGAAATAAGTATCATGATGTGTTGGAAACTTGAGAGGTCAAGTCCCATCCCTGCTACTCACGAGCAGCACAACTTGGGCAAATGAATACTCTGTTAGTGTCAGGTAGCATGCTAGGTGTTTCGCATGTATGACTAATAAATGGCACACCACAGGGCTGGGCTTAGCTGTCTTCAGTAGGCTTGCCCTTAACCATTGTAACTTGGAATTGTACTCTATAGACAGATTGTAACTCCTACAACTTCCCCTTCTTTCACTACTTTATGAAAAGCTCCTACGCCTTTATCTGAAGCTGTGACTTATGTATTACTTTATCATAGGGATACGATCAGTAGGCAGTGTAGTGCAGCCAAATCTTTTTAAAAATTGTTATTTTTAATTGAGAAATCATAATTGCACACACTTATGAGGTACAGACTGATGTTTTGATATATATGTACAAAGTGGAATAAGTCAAACTAATTAACATATTTATCATCTCACATAATTTTCTGTGGTAAGAAATTGGAAGTTTACTATCGTAGTAATTTTGCATTACACAATATATTATTATTGATTATAATCACCCTGCTGTGCAATTGATCTCAAAACTTATTCTCATCTAACTAAAACTTTGTACCCTTTGACCAACAACTTTGTCTTTCCATCCCCAGCCAAGAGGAGATATTAGTTGGGTCTAACTCCAAGCTCCCATGCAAAGCAATCATCTTGCAAATGTCACTTGATCTCTTTGAGCTTCAGTTTTCTCATCCATAAGAGAAAGATGATAAAACCTTTTCTGAAGGGTTACTGGAAGGTTGAATGAGGCACTGTCAGCTGTGTTATAAAATAAATTATTATAACTGGGTTTCATATCTCCTTGTAATCCCTATTTTGTAAATTCTACTTATTCCCCTGATAAAGAGAGAACTGGCATTTATTGGACATCTAATATGTACCAAGTGCTTTATTTACACTAATTAATATTAACTACAAACTTAGAAATTTGATGTTGTTCCTCTAATTTTGTAGTGAATAAACAAAAGTTAAAAGTGGTTAACTCTCCCACATAATGAAAATAAGAGATGCAGTCGATAATCCCACTCTGGATTGTTTGCTCTTCTCTTCTGTAGGCTGGAGCCAGGTCTGTGCAGTACCCAGCAAGATTCCAGTCTCTTCCTCACACATATCGACTTAGAATGGTCATTGTATTTTCGCATTTGAATCCTCTACTTATTTTTTTCTTCATATCTTCCAGTGAGTGTTCCTTCTCGTTTTATTCTTACCTTCCTTTTGGCACAAAAGCTGAGACGCTATCCTGTTGCTCCAAATCACCAGTCACGTTACCTATTTTGTTGTCATTACAGCACTTGCCACTGTCTGAAATTATTGATGTATTTAGCTAGGCACTGATGGACTCATTCAAAGGAATGTAAGTTCCATGAGACCAGGGACCTTGTCTACCTTGTTGGGTCCTGCATCCCAGCACTTAGAATGGAGCCTGGCATTGTGAATACATAATCAATAACTGTTGAATAAATGAATGAAAGATGCTCAGCTATTTCCCCAAATCTATTTCCTATCGTCAGAGGCTGATCAAATCATTTAAAATATAACCTTCAGGTTCCTGCATGATTATCAGTGTTTTCCTTGAATGTCATCTAATTTCCTGGAAAGATTTCTTGGTGATAATAGACTTGAGTATCAGTGAGTGGTTTCCTCTTGTAGCAGGATGTCAAGGGCACTCGGACATGAGGCCTTTTTTGGTATCATGAATGGTAGTTCTGTGATAAAAGTTAAGCATAAAAGGCATGGTGCACATGAGAGCTTAGGTAATGTTGAAGACATTTAAAATGGAAATATAGTGTTTATATCTTGAGTGCACAGTTTGCAGCCAATCTTTAAAGTGTCATTTCAAATAGAAAAATGGATTTATAACCAGGTCCCATGTTCCTTGGTAACCAGCACAAACTAGTTTTGGGATAGACTAAAATTTTGTCTACTTTGATACTGAAAAGCCATTAAATAAGAATTAGTTTGAGCTCCATTGCTTAAGTACATTTATCATTGCCAAAATCCTAATTATGAACACTTTATAGTTGATGATTCAAGAAAATAGGATGGCCATGGATGAACTTTCAGGCTGTTAAGTGGAAACGTGGAATCATCAATTAAGATACAAGTATCATTTGTATTTTAAATATAAATTTCATCTGGATATCAGCTATAACAAAAGAGCATACCATAATTTAGTAAAAATTAAAAAAATTAATCACAGGTATAAATCTAATTTTGAAGGAAGATTCATGAATCCTTCGGGAGAATAGATACTATGTTTTGTCTTTCTCTTAAACGATACCTAGATGGTTTATGTAATTGTGCTTCAGCTTTGATAGTATTTCTTGATGTCTGTGTTAAGTGTATTCTGCATTAATTGCTATAAATCACTCTTGTTCCTGCTGTGAATTTATTTTTCTGTTAGGTAATTGTTTGTATTTTGTGAATGACGCATCTTTGTCACACAGAGTAGCATTGCAATTCACAAACTAAGTTTTTCCCTGCCCACACATCGCTTGAAAACTTGTCACTTCTACCCAAAGTTATGCCTATAGTGAACACCCCAAATCCTGAAGCACTTTTGGAAGATTTTTTTTATTCTAAAGCCTTTCCTTCAACTTATTTCTAGGAGTGATTAGTGATTAGTGCCTTATTAAACAATAACAGACAATAACTACATTTTCTTGGCAACTGAGTTTATCAAGGGAAGTTACTACACCAGGAAGCCCTTTTTGGCTTAGGCTGGGTTAAAGAAGTATCTTTTGTCTGCGCTTCTGCTCTAATGTGTTTGTGTTTGTCATCGCATTTGCCACTTTTTCTTTTTTTTGAAAATAAGATAATGTATCCCTTTCCACCAGTAGACAGTGAGCATCTCAAAAGCAAATGATCCAGATGCCGTGTCAACCTTTGTAAACTCAAATTCTGGCATAGTTCTTGGCACACAATAAGTATTAAATAAATAGTTGTTGAACTTGGAATCTAGATGAATACCCTTTTCATTTACATTCTCAGAGTCACTGAAGGTTTTGCAATCATTTGCCCCTCCACTGAAGGACCCCAGTCTACTTTGGGGTTAGTGGTTTTACTATTTTGGCTGGCTTTTTAAATGTAATCTCTTCTCATCTGTGCTAGCTTTCGGAGCTTTTCTCATGGTTGCTGCTTCTAGTCTGCTTTGATGCAACAGACCAGATAGCTAAACACATTAAAACAATAAGCTAAATTTCACGGACTGTTAACCTCTGAACAACTGCTGAATAAAGGTATATGCATAGAGTTGTGTTAAGTATCATTAAGATACAAAGAAAGTACAAGACACGGTTCCTCCCTGATTTACTTGGAGAGACAATAGGCAAAAAGGGAATACAACTGGAGAATGAGATAATATATCCAGCAGTGAATTGTTAAGTGCAGATGAGGGTTAAGGAAGTAACACTAAGGGAATTAGTAAATAAAGGATGGTTCATAAATTATTATGGTAGTCGATGTGATTAGATCTAAACATTGAACGTTAATCAAAAAGAAACAGGGAGATTGACAAAATTTATTTGGAGAAAAAAGGTTAGTATAGTCAAATGCTATATTTTTCTTATTTTAGGCCTGGTAGTCTTTAATTTATTCTGAGTCATTCAGACAATTCCATTTATGTTTGATCATTAATTTTCTATTTTGGCTTTTTTATAAGTTTGTAAATTGCCTTATTATCTTAGAATTGCATAGGATGTAAACCCTGAAGAAAACATTTTGAAAGGCTGACATATTTTACAGCAACACTTCTGTACATTGTAAGTGTGCATGCCATGGCTTAGCAGCAGATATATAGTGTCTTAAAGTTTCCCATAAGTGGTCAAAACCCTCTGCTATCATGGAACTGTTGTGTTATTTGATCACTTGTTGATAAAAATGAAGATAATTAAACAAAAATCAATCTCAAGAGTATACTCAGAACAACAATAAACCATTGTCTTAAAAGTTTTGTGAATATTAATTAACACAATAGATAAAAGGATTTCTTTTTCATTCAGTTATTTCTTCATTAAGAATCAGTTCATTCCATTCTCTCTTTTGTGCCTTTTTGGGAGACGATTTAACATTTCCTTGTTGAAAACCTCTGTATCTACCATTTGTAAGCATATGTGAAACAACCAAAACTGGTCATGATCCCAGAAATCAATCAATTCAGTCAGATTGCAGATCATTCTAAGCAACTGAAAAAGAGGGTACAGATTTCTGGCTGCTTTAAATTCTCCATAACTCAGTAACACCACAGTACTCAGCACTAGTAACAGTGAATGCAAACAGTGAGTGGGAACGCTTCCAAACAGAGTCTACCATGGATGCATATTTGAGTTGGAGGGTTTTCTGATTTGGTAAGGACCTTTGGGAGGCTTCATAGCTCCATCAGAAAATTAACCTCTCTCTGATGGGCGCCAACAGCACATGTAATGGAAAACTTAACCAGAAATCCGATGATATACAATTCAGAGCTCTAGGATTGATCCTTTTACTCCTTAGCTTTTTAAAGTTCATATTGTAGCAAAAGTATGTCTGTTACTTCAAGGTTCAGTTATCACCTCCTTATTGGAATTTTCACTTGCATCACATGAATGAATGACTGGCCTTCTCTAAGCCTGCCATTCTTTGCTTATATGACTAAGTTTGATAAATTTTTGTTTAATTGATTGTGTATCCATCTCTCCTAAACTGCAGTCTCGTCAGGGACAGGCACCAGGTTGTGCTAATTTTTGTATCTCCAGCACATTGTAAATATGCAAACATTTGCTGTCATAGTTAAGGAGCACACTATTCGTTCACTCAATTATCTTTGGTTATTTCCACCAAAAACAAGATAACCTTGAAATAGTCTAGAATACTCTCACAATAGGATGTTATTTCTTTTACTTCATGCAAGAAGTTTTAATTACTAAAGGCAGCCATGAAAATAATTTTAGTTTGACCTAAAAGGTGGTTCACAGCATAAACACCAAAAATGAAAGTATAATTAGTTTTTTGGACATTTCAGTTTTATTACAGAGGGTAGAAAGTGAAACGAGAGCTTCAGAATTTAAAAGAATTTCAAGTTATAATAAGAAAATGACAGTAACTGAACTACACTCACATGAGAGATTCTTAGAAAAATGCTTATTTACATAGGCCATTTTTGAAAAAAAAATACAGGAGCAAACTATATGAATGATATTTAATTTACTCATGTTGCATTCCCTGTAATAAGCTGATATTCTTCATAAGTCATTGATCTAGAAAATCAGTTCTTGATGTGAAGATATTTGCTTGAGATTGTAGTGAAAAGAGCATAAGGTTTAGACTCAGGAGGCTTGAATTTTAGTACTGGCTTGGCCAATTAGAAATAATGTGGTTATGGCCAAGTTACTTTATTTCTTTGAGGCTTATATAGCTCATCTGTAAAATGGAGATAATAATTCCACTGTCACAGGTATTGCTTATCAACTACTAAGGGTCATGGGGATTAAACTGGCAGAACATGATTTATATTACATTTCATTTCATAGGGCAGCAGTATACTCAAGACTTGAACACTGCATTTGTCAGGTCATGGTAAATCCCAAATAGTACTTAGTATACTACAATAGCTTGTTATACGTCTCTGTAATGTGTATCCGAATAAAGGCTATGTCTGTACTTGTACCTTGGTGGAACCTAACTAAAGTAGCTCCTGGGCAGTCCAATCAGCTTGTTGTAAATCCCAGTAACATTCATAACTTCAGAGTCACCAGCAATCTGATAAGAGCCTAGTGCTTGCTGCATAACACCAGGGCCAATGAGTTAAAATCCAGCTTCCCCAGTAGTTTTCTAGGTGACTCCAGGAACTTATTTCAACACTTCCAGCCTGTTGATTCTATGACTTTATGAAAGCCAGTGCATTACATTAGAGCTTGTCTAGATTTCATTGCTTTCTGAGTTAATTGGGAACTTGAGATTTGGAGTTTTGTTCTTTTTATTCTCTAGCTCTATTGATTTGCCTTGAGAATCATGACAAACATTACTCTCTCCCTGTGGAATGCTAGATAAAAGGCTGTTCTGCAGTGTGACCTGCTTCTCAAAAATCAAATAGATCAATACATTTTGTTCTTCCTATTTTTTTGAAAATCTCCTCTCCCTTCTGTCCCCATATCCTGCATTTAGCTAGAGTCTCATATCATTGGGAAGCCAAATTGCAAAGGTAATACTATGTTTTTTACATTTGTGTTGGAAACTTCTGGTGTAAAGATTATTTGAAGGACAGAGTAGAATATAGCAGCAATTGGGGCATATTTTAGCAGATATCTCAAAGAATTATATTAACCAGATTTACATTTAAGAATATTAATTGAACATCCACAATGGGCAGGGTGCCCTGTGATCATCAGCATGTCACCAAAGGTAAAATGCGAATATTCCATGATCCTCCTCATCAAGAACTTTCCAGTGTAGAAAGAACGTTGAGGTTTGGAGTAATGATTTTCTAGGTTCTAACTAGTAGAAAATAGGGACAAGAGTGCAAATGGGGAGCAAAGTACAGTTTTATTATTAGTGGCAAGTGTCTAGTAGCTGGAAAAGCTGCAATGCAGAATTCAGTGTTGCTCTAAGACAGAGTGTGGGATTATTTCTGAGTATCTGAATTAGACCTCAGAGCCTACCTGTGGAGAAAGCTGTGTCTGTAAGTGATCCCAAATGTTCTTATGCATTCAGCTTTGTGGAATTTCTCTGGTAGAGCAGGAAAGAAGGAGAATTTCAGGCTTTTATGTGTGCACTGAGATTGAGAGAACCTGGGCTCTGTTTTAGAAGTGCTGACCACGTGGAAATAGGAGAGGAATTCTTTGTCACTATTCAGGCAGTGATATAAAATAGTGCTTCCCCGACTGACCACTCTCCCACCACCTTTTAAACCTAAATAGCCCTATTCATTTTTTACATGGCCCAGTGCATCAAGTTTTGACTAATGAGATTACCTACATCTCATATGGAATAAAGATGTAGGAGGAGTGACTGAAAATCGGCTTCTCTGTTGTGGCAAATAAAGGGGTGACAATTTACCCTTCTAAGGTAAAATGATATTCTCTCCCAACCAGGAGTGATAACATGTGTACACAAATAACTATTCTAACTAAAATCTCCTAAAAACTGAAATCCTATAGCTATTTAATTATATGTGTGTGGAAATTATTTTCAATCCTTTTATGAATAGAGCTGAATATAAATGATCAAATAAATGCCTGTGCTCAACCTTATCCTTTAACGAAGAGTTTAGTTGCCTCTCTGATGTCAAAAAATTATTAAAGATAATAATGTTTTTGTTTGGAAAGAAAACAAGGTGAATCACAATGTCCTACCCAGAGTGAATCACAACTGACAAAGAACTTTTCATACTGTTATTACTATTATAAATAACATAAATAGTAATAGTTCTTCTAGACTGTGGTTCCATATGTTCTAGCCCCAGACTATGGTGGTTACATTCATCTAATATTTTAGATAACATTCAAAAATATGTGTTATGCCATTCATGTCACGAAAATTTTTCTCATACCTGTTGTACCTTTACATTATTTTTCAAAGGCCAGTCCAAGAGCCACTTCATCTGGGAAGTCCCTCCCGGTTTTCCCTCACATACAGCATTTCTTGATTCTAGGAAACACTGTAATACTGCCTGCAAAACATGGTCATCCCTTTTTCAACAGTACAAGGCATCCATTTTATCTGTTTATGTGTATATCTCTCACGTCCACTTACCTCATGGGCAGAAATTAAGCTCTACATGTCTCTTCGCTCTTCCTGAGTAATCACATCTGGTGCCTTATTTATAGTATATACTCTCTGCACTCTCTGTGCAATTTCTGTAGACCTGAAACTATTCAAAAGAATGAACTTCTTAATGTGGGAAACAAGAGTAAAATATTAATTCGAGGTCATATTGTTATATGTGTTACAGCTCTCTCTGTCTCTCTAATATATACATATATATATCTAATATACATATATCAGATAAATATTAGATATACAGAATCTGTAGGCATAAAGGCCTATGGAGCTTTTATATTTGACCCAATTAATTGACCTAGAACTCCTTGGAAGCCACAGTGAAAACAAAGATATAGTCATTTACATACTTACTTTTTGATTTTGGTACATAGTACACTTAGCCACTCCTTAAAGAAAATTTTCAAACATCTCATAGTGGGAGTATGGAGGGACGGCACACAGTGGAAGAGAATCCAAAACAAAATAGCTCTTTTAGCATAAATTATTTTTTGACTAGAGTAATAAGGGGGCATGTTGTGTATTTAAGAATCTAGTAATTTTGCATTCTCTTCTTTGTCATCCAGTTTCATTCATTCATTCAGCCAAGTTCATTCACTCATTCATTCATTTACTCAAAAAATATGTGTTGTGTTGAGTACCTACTATGTACCAGATGTTCACCTAGATATTGGCAAGAAATCTGAGAACAAATGGAGCTTGCATTCTAAGGAATTAATCAGACAATTGTTCAGAAATATTTAGAAGATTGAAAATATAACCTACCAATAAAATACACATTTTACTAACTTATGATTAAAAACACCACCTATCACTTACGAATGTTCTTCAAGTGGATGAAGTGACTACCTACAGCAAATGAATGAGTAGTGTGTTCTCTGTATGTCATGGCAGTCAGATGAGTGTAGGTTAATTCTCGTTTCTAATTTACACTGTTATTGGAGATTTATGGAAACAGTTTTGCAGGAAATCTCCAAGTAGACATTTTCATACTAGCATCTGCAGTATAATCAGGAAACGATTACAGGAAGTATGAGGATTTGAAACACTGAAGCCTTTGCACTCTAGGATTGCATAAGGGCTATAGGGAACAGCTTTGGGAGGGCTGAGGCACATATTTGTTATGTTTTAGGTAAGCCCTGGATGCACTGTACTCAGAGGATTACCCCTAATCCTTTCACCTCAGTCCTTTGAGATCGCTGAAAACTGTTTGCCCATGTGTTGCTAAGTGCCCAAGCTGAGGTCACAGTGCGACCTTCGGCAGCATGGAGACATCTGTGAAGTCATTACAGAGATTATGTGTTTAATATAGGGTCTCTCAGAGGTGTATGTCAATGTCAACTTAATGCCAGGCCACAGTATCTCCACACATGAATAGTGTCCTCCAAATTCATGTGTACTTCGAATCTCAGAATGTGACCTTATTTGGAAATAGGCTTTCTACATATATAATTAATTAAGGACCTTGAGATGATGTCATACTTGATTCAGAGTGGGCCCTCCATCCAATGACTAGTGTCCTTATAAAAGAAGGAGAGATGCAGAGATACACAGGTAGAAGGCCGTGTGAAGACAGAGGCAGAGGGTGAAGTGATGTGGCTACAAACCAAAAACACCAAAGATTTTCATTAACCCCCCAAAGCTAGGAAAAGGCAAACTAGGATTCTTCCCTAGAGGATTCAGAGGGAAGATGGCCTTGCTGACGTTTTGGTTTTAGAATTCTGGCCTTCAGAACTGTGAGATAATAAGTTTTTGTTGTCTAAGCCACCCAGTTTGTGGTGATTGTAGTGGCAGCCCCAGGAAACTAATATACCCCACACACTGAATGTGAGAGACTGCAGAAAGTGTAAGGAAAACTGCACCACAAATTTCTGAGGCCCCATCATTCAGTGTAGTGAGTAAGTGGAGAACAGCATTTCTCTTGTCAAATCCTTTTTGTAATGAAACAGAATTTTCAAGAATAAATAAGGCTTCAAAAAAGGCCTAAATTTTACATTTTTAAGACAGACCTTCTGTGGAAATATATCTAAGATATCACATCAAAGCCTCAAACATTTGAACTAAAAATTACAATATTTTAGCTTATATTATTGCTATTTATCCTGTTGTTTCTGGTTTTATTCTGCACCTCTCAACGGTCTGTTGTCACATCCTAGCTCTTCAACTAACTGATTAACTTTGGCAAGTTACTCTTTCTGCCTCAGTTTCCTCATTTGTCAAATGAGGATGATAGTTCCTAGATATGGGTTCGTTGTGAGAAAAAAATAATATCATAAATGTAAAGCATTCAGAGCAGTATTTTGCACATAAGAAGTGCCTAAATCATGTCAGATACTATAAAAATTTCTGCTCAGCGACTTGAGATTTGCTTTGAAGAGGCACTAGTAATACAACTATTGATTTTACAGTAGCAAAAGACTTATGTGACAAGAAATGAAGTTATGAAAAATATTTTATAATTACAGATAATTATAATATATATGGAGAGAAAGTAAAATATTGAGTTATTTTCTAATTTTGTAACTAGTAAGTAAAGAGACCAAATACCATGTTTCATATTTTAAACTCTGAATTCTTGTTACATTTCTTATTTAATGCTAAGCTATGACAAGGAAATAAATGTGTTATCTGCTCCATTAACTAACATTTGTTTGGAAAAAAACCTCATTACATTTGCAAAGTAGGATTTACAAAACAAGCTGCCAAAACAGCTGTGCAGTTCTAAAAATAATAATAATGAATCTATGTATAACCCCATCACACTCTCTTTAAAAAAACACATTTAGGCTTCTTTGATCTTTGAAACTGTCTTTTATTTTCATCCAGTTGACATGTTATAAAACATATTTTTGATTGCATGTTATGTTCAGATAGCATTTTTTCAAAACTATCTCTTATGTAAATGTAAATTTTAAAAATATTTCATCAGCCCTGCAGTCAAATGCAAGGCTAAATTGTTTGCATAATTTAATATGCATTAGCTACCCACCACACACATATTCTTTTAGAGCTGGAAATCAAATTCAAATCTGGAAGGGACCCTGGAGACTCTCTAGTCCATTTCCTTAATTTAATCGACATGGAAACTCAAGCCCAGAAAATGTAAGTTATTTACCCCATGCCACACAGCAAGATAGTGACAGACCTGTTGTGCTGCCCTCCTTCCTTTTTAACTTTTGTTTTATTGTTTATGATACAGCTGAGTCCTCACAAATTGATCTAGGGGAAATCTCATTCAGGATTTCTGGTGTAGACGCTGGCTTTGCTGCTCACTCACTATATCATGTGCCTCCTGGATAGGACTGTAGGCTCTGAAGCTCAACTGACAGGTGTAATTGCTGACCATATCACTTGCTGGCTGTGAACTTTAGTATCTCTATGCCTCTGTTTCTTCATCTATAAAATGGGGAATATAATAGTGACTACTTCATAGGGTTGTTATTAGAATTAAATGAAATAAATATGTGAAATGCTTAGAAAAATGTCTGGCAGTTCATTCAATTCAAGCAAGCTATTGATTGTCTTAAATGCTCTCTCTTAGAGTCATTTTCTTTACCTATGAAATGAGAGACATATTTATCTCACAGAGTGGCTGTCTAGGTTAAATAAAGTTCTCTATGGGAATGTACATTTTATATATATATATATATATATATACTCATACATTAACCAAGCATGACTTATAAGGTAAAATCAGTATACAAACTGATCATTTTCTTTAACTGTCCTTTAAAAATTTATGCATAAGAAAAATTTTCCCATGTCCATGGATGAAACTCATCATTTTTCTTCAAGTTGTAAAACACTTATTCACTTAATAAGTAAATTTCCCAGCTCAATATAATATAAACACTTCCTTCGTTATTCAAAGGTTATTCATTCCACACTCTCATCCACAATCAGGCCCTAACTGTGACATTCTTGCAGGAAGGCCACCAAAAATTTTAGTCACCCCCACTGCCCAAACCAACCACCATGACTGATATCTTCAGGACTAGTTAGACTATGGAGAGGGAGGAGCAGGAAGGGAACCAGAGAATTGTTACTTGATTGGTACTTCAGTAAGAATCTGGGGGTAGCGCTTACCTACTGTAGTTAAGGGTTTTTTAGAGACTTCCCTTTGTGGGCTCTCCAACTGAAACTCTGTCCGGTCAGTGATGACTTCTCACCTTCAAACCACTTTTCCATCAGCTCTTGGTTTTCCACTTTCTACCATATGTAGGCTTTTCCTATTAAAGCCTCGTTTCCTCTTACCCTGTTCTCTTGCATTGGAGTTTTAAAAGACTCTAGGCTGGTTCTTTTTTGCCATGTGGCCCACATCTATTCTAGAAGTATTATACACTCATTCTCCTCTGTCTTGACCAGCTTTGGGAATGCCGTTCAGTCAAAATATAGGATGAGCTCCTTGCCCTTGCTTTCTACGTTCCTAGGTGGGACTATATTTTGACGTTGGTGTACTGTGCTTCTCAGTACAATGGGAAGAAGATCAAAAACTCTCCATGGCCCTATTGAAGCCCTTTCTCTAGGTTTTAGATGAAGAAATTACCAAGCCCTACTCTTAAACTTTCTATGTCTTCCTTGTAGAATTTAGAGCAGTGTAATCAATTTCTGTGTTACCTATTTTCAGATTTCTATATTTTCTGGAATAAAATTTTAGAGTTCATATCTATTCCCTGATGCCTTAGTCAAAGTTTGTCATTTAAAAAAATCCTGTTACATACATAATGTCTATTCATCAATATATGTTAACATAGTGATGATTTTCAGTCTTTAACGTAGGTAAGCTGACTGATTGGTAACAGCGTAAAACCTTTAAAGGAGAAATGTGGCTGGGCGCGGTGTCTCACACCTGTAATCCCAGCACTTTGGGAGGCTGAGGCAGGTGGATCACGAGGTCAGGAGTTCAGGACTAGCCTGGCCAACATGGCGAAACCCCGTCTCTACTAAAAATACAAAAATTAGCTGGGCATGGTGGCAGGCGCCTGTATTCCCAGCTACTTGGGAGGCTGAGGCAGAAGAATCGCTTGAACCCGGGAGGTGAAGGTTGCAGTGGGCTGAGATCGCACCACTGCACTCCAGCCAGGGCGACAGAGCGAGACTCTGTCTCAAAAAAAGAAAACAGGGAAATGTATGTGTACGGGATAGGAGCTGCAGGGACTGTGACAGCCAGATCCTCATACAGATGCTGGGCGGTGGACTTCCGTGCTCTGAATACACGCAAGGAGGAAAGAATGTTCACTGTAAAGACCCATGCAAGCAGTAGTGAGCACTGCAACACAGTTGTAGGTTCTGCAAGCAATACTCATAGTTACCCAGTTAAAAATAGTAAGAGATTTGCCTCTTGTGGACCAAAAACTTCATGTGAATACCCTATAGAGATTGATCAAACAGCTGCCCCCACTGCAGACCAAGCATCATTCTTTGGTTTCCCTTGAAAACCGTCTTTACTGTGTCTCTTGGTTTTGCAATCACAGCAGTTATGCATATGGACAGAAATCTTTACAGAATGCTTTCTCATTCAGCCCAATAAAAGTAATAAGTGTTTTATGACTGCTCCTCAAATTTGGCTCCTCTTACCAACTTCTGGCTTCTCTCTTCTGGCCTAGGCATATCTCTAAAATCTGAATAAACTTGAGATAATATCTTCACTTAGAAACAATCTATTCTTTGATAGGGACAGCAGTGAATCATTTTATCAATGAATGGAGAGTATACGGGCTAAGAGAAAAATTTTCCTCTGCTGCCTTAAGGTTCACTGAAAATTATTGACAAGAGGCAGATTGAGAGGAAAAAGGCATATAAATTTGTTTGATCACAGTTTTACATGACATGAAGCCTTTCAGAATGAAGGCCCAAAGAAGCAGGGGAATAATTTGTCCCTTTTTATTCTTAGGTTTAACAAAGTATGGACAGTATCCTGTAGAAATATGATTGGACAAAACGAATATGATTTAATGCTAATAGACTGAGTAGGGAAACTCAGTAAGACCTGTCTGTCTAGATTTTTCTTGGCCTTTCTGAGTACGTATTCCTTTCTTCTGAGTGTGGTGAGGACCCTCTCTGGAAAGGGAATCTTATTACCTACAGTTAAACAAGGTAGGTCAGATAATTTTTTCATAGCCAATTTTTGTACAGAAAGGTAGAGGGGGCAAGTTAGAGTAATATGTTAAGGTTTTTGGCTGGCTTCAGGGAAATGGGGTTCTGGTTTCTATCACCCACCTTGGGAAAGAAGGGGTCTAGTTTCTATGGCTAACCTCAGGAAAAATTGGAACTGAGAGGCAGGAGGACAGGAAAAGGACAGAAAAAGATTGGATTCTGAGGCCTTCAGTTGGGGGTATTGTTTTCTAACTTGCAACAACAACATTAAAATGAGAATCATTTTCTCATAAGGCACCTTGGTTATCTGTGAGTTTATAAGAAATCATAAATTTTAAAATAAGCTGTAACCAAAAAAGTAGTGAATCTACACTCTAAAACCTTGTCAGAACACATTCAGAACATTGTGATTTGCGCTGGATGATGACTTGAACAAACTTGTCCATTTTACTCAGCACTAAATTTCTAGACTTCATCTAGGTTGTTGTGTAGGCCTGGGATTTATCCATTTTACCCATGCATTTCCTCTTGAAGTTGTGCTCTTGTGAGGGAAAAGAAACTTTAGTGCTTAAACACGTGGACTATATTTTCTGCAGTGACTGTACGACTGGTGAATCAGCTCTCCTGCCAGTGAGCATTTGTTTCCACGTTTGCTTTTTGAACACTGCATATATGAGCCTCTTTAACTCCAAGGTTTGATGATTCTTAATGAATCGCTGACTGTTAACATTGATAATCTAGAAAAGTAAGTAACGTTATTCCATCCCTTATCAGTAGGTGTTGGTTTTATATGGAGTGTTGTGATACATACAAGATGCTGTTGGTAATATAATTTATGTTAGTTTCAGATTACAGGGAAAGGGGTTCCAATCCATCTCAGTGAGGTGACAGTGAGGCAATATCCTTAGCTGGGAGGTTGGAATGTGGAGTTATCTGAACAATGTGGTCAAGCCAATCTCGTAATTTATAATCTTTCATAATTTCCTGGAGAACAATGAGTAAAGTCCAAATTCCGTGGCTTGACATTCATATTTCTTCACATTTTGTCCCCAAAGTACATTTCTAGTTGTTTATCTTACTTATACTTTACTTAACTAAAAAGGATATCTTACCATTCCTTGGGCAAACTCTCTTCATTATTTTTCTATTGTGTTTTCCTGTATTGTTTCTACCAATCTTTTTAGTTCCCACTTAGAAAACACCACCTTCACAAAACCTTTTCTAGTCCCAACAGGTAGATATAATTCTAAAGACAAAATTACAACAGATTTTAGTTTGAAGATCCTAATTGTTTTTTATTTACCATTCTAGAGTCAAGCAATTTTGCATTCTATAAAATAGAATGAATATTTCAATGAGCTGAACAGAGTTTGGTTTTACAAACAGAAAAGGGTAGAGGAAAACATATATAGAAAACAAAAAGCAAATTGGTCTTTTCAAAGTTACTTTACTTGCAAAGGTTAATGCAGGAGGAACTTCCTTATCGTAGTACCTAAAACTGGACTGTTTGGGGATGTGAGTCTCTCCTGATTGCTTAAAAGGTCAAATAAACAACTTAGTTTTGGCTTGGTGATGAGGAATTTCAGCATGAGTGACTCCATCTTGGTTTGGTCTGTTGGGCTTGGTGCAGGAGCTCAGTCTAAACGAATGGCTTCCTATAAATTTTATTTATCTATAAATAAAGTCTGATTACTTATAGATAGCTCTCATGCCAGGTACTGAACAAAAGAAATAATAGATACTAATCATCTTTAATCTAAAACATTAATATGCAGCTTCATTATCTATATTATTTGAAAGATCTGTTTTCACTTTGTTAGGATGTATTTTTTTTCCCTTTGAAAACAGTTGAAGGACCTGTCCTAGGTTCTTAAAGCATAATTTAAAGAAACACCTAAACCATGGACTTTGTACTGATGGCATCGTTGGATAAAGAAAATGTGAAGCCTTCCACAGTGATTGATATGAAGGAAACCAGTTTACTTGCAAAAGCTGTATGTTATTAGCAACTTTGTTTCTTTAGTGCCACACTGTGTCCTTGTTATGTCCTTATCTGAACATCAGTCATGCTAATTTGGACAAATGCTTACGTATCCTTAAAGTATTCACATATTATTGGCTTCAACTTCAGAAAAGCCAGGGGATTAGATAGTAGCTGTAAGTAGAAACCATTTCTTCTATATTCTATCTCTCTCTCTTTCCCCTCTTCTCTCTCCTCTCTCTTCCTCTCTTTCTTGCCAAATTCTTAAACTCTGACGACCCTGGTTTACACCAAATAGTTTTTCTGATTAGCCATCAGTGTGACCACGTTCCTATTTTTATTACTATGTATCTTCTCTCAAGTGTGTTAATAGGTATAGTTCTTGTGAGGTATATAAACAGTAGGCAAATATGGAATTTTTGAAGTACTTTCTCTGTTATTTATTTTTGGTATGGCTTACTCTACACATTTTATATACATAAATACTTGTCACTGATTTTCTCACTGTAATATTTTGGTAAGTGTGCATATTAAATATGTTATTTTACAAAGATGCTTGTATTGGTGGAATTTTTACTCTGCTCTACCTTGATAGGTAATAATGTAATAGGAAGATTTATTCTGGAATTTCAGTATATCTCTGGATATAGCAAATAATCTTTATTAACTCTATTTCTTTTTATTTTTTCTTTAGCAGTACCTTTAAAAATAGAGTATAGAGTGTTTATACGATGTTTATACAAAAGATAATTAGGATGTGTTAACCTTGAGGCATCTATTTTAGGTTTTATGTTTGTAAAAATCATCTTCAGCCTGTATAATTATCTGGCTGATGGTGATCAGTCATTACGATGCTGATGACAGGCATTTTTCACTGTTTTCAGTTCTACTTTTTTTTTTTTTTAATTCACTCACTTAACATCCTGAAGACTCAAATCCTTGAATCAGTCCACTGAGCAGGAAGGACACGGGCAGCAAGCAGACAAACCAGTTCCTCAGCTTGCTGTCTCAAGGTTGCAAACACAAATTGAATCCTCCTATCTATTATTTTTGCAAGCATTTTTTAAAGAAGAAGTTTTATGGGAGTGGAAGTAAATTTTCCGAAGCCTTGACACGCCCAGTGTCAGATATACATCCATTCATTTAATATTTACTGAGGGTGTACCATGCACAAAGCCCCAGGGAAGAATATTTACCACCTTGAGAATGGTTTGCAGTCCAGCTACAGACATGGATGTGCAAACAACCAATAATGCCAAGAGATGCTGCGTGACTCCTCGAGCTTACATCTGAATGCATCCTGAGCTACTGGTGAGGAAGAACTCTAAATATTGCCTAGCATGCAGGACTCTCTTAGAGGCCCTATGTTTGTCTGTGCCCATAACCCAGCTTCAGCCCCAGGGAAACTTGGTCTTTTTGTCTTTATTTTTTAACAAGTTTGTATTTTGTGAAGTTTTCTTCTTTCTCCTTGGATCAGAGTATATTGTATATATTTTCCCTTTTCCACTATAGTGGAAGCTAAAACAGTAGGAATGGCAGTGTCTCTCAATCTCATTCATATGTATAAATACAGAGTGCTTAGTGCAGATGTTTGAATGGATTTCCCCATTAACACATTTATGTAACAGCATAAGTGGTTCAGTAGCTTTTGTTGGAAGAAGAGATTGATTTTCTTATGAAAGGAGTAAATCCCCTCATAGGGAACACTTTACCCAAAAGTGATAAAACTAACTTGCCCTTAGTTATGTGGGAAGTGTGGCTCTATCCACTTCACCTGTTCTCTTCCTTCCTTGAAACCAATCTTGCAAAACTGATTCTAAAAATTTATTCACCATTTTCTTCTCATCTATCGAAGTTTGAAAAAGAGATGGAGGTTGAGATAGATGACATTTTTTCTTCTGAAACTGGAAGGATTTGTCTATAAAACAGGTTGTGTAAGTGATGGCTTCTCAAATTTAGCAAATCACAAGTCAAGGAGCATCAGACTGGGAAAGGATCTTTCCTTACATCCATGAATATTTTTACAATGGCTATGATCAGTTGGGCTATTTTTGGGCTCTCTTGGTGATGGAGAGCTCCCTCTCTTTCAATGTGCACATTCTCTGACACACAGGGAAAAATCAAGCAAGTTGGAGCCTTGTGACAAATGAGCCGCAGTTATCCTGCCTCATCCCTTTGCAGTTTCTTCTTTGTTTTACTCAAATAGGGAAGTATCATTTAAAAGAGTACCAAGCATATCATATAGTCATAGAGCCCCCTTCTCCATTGTTGAGGATTTATATTCATTTAGTGGAGTGGTTTGTAATTTGCTGGTAATTAGGTTCAACTGTGCCCCGTAATCATGCAGCCATATTTCACTGGTTACGTTTTATTTTATTTAAAAATGTTTTAAAGTAGTTTTTTATCTTCATGAAATGGATTACATTTTTACATAGCAATTTCACAAAATCAGATAATATGAAAATATAACCTCCCCGTCCCCTTTCCTTGTCTGCAATGGAACTAAGTTAGGCTTGAAACGAAATGAGCCTTACTTGAAGCATAGCTACCACAAAAAAGCAATAACAGTTACTGAAAATTCCTAGAATAAACTGTGTCTTTATGAAATGCTTTTTTAAAAAAATTTGGATTTGTCTCTGGGTGATTGTTTAATTTTCAGATGACTCCAAGGAACTCGGGCCATTAATTTTTTAATGCAGCTCTCTGAATTTTCCAGGACTCACCATTATTTTTATTAGTCATTCCTAATATCACTTGGAGGAAAGTCAATATTTTTCCCTCTCCTGTCTTCCCAGAAAACCCTAGAACTGGATAAGAGAAATGAGTAGGACCAGATCAGATTCTAGGCAAGAATCACAATTAGGAGATCAGCTTTGAAGAGCCGTTTTAAGACGTCTCAGTAAACCAAGGAGTCAGTCTGTAGCCTGGGAAATTCTGAATCCTTTGGGATACTTCTTTTTACAGTGCTGCAAAACTAGTGTCCTCAGCTTCTCTACCTCTTCCTTGGGACATATTGTATGTCTTTCAGACTCCTGCATTAAGTTGCCTTTGTGTTTGTTTATAAAACATTCAGATGTGATACATGAGAGTGGACTGATCTAATCTGGGGATGAGGGTTGGGAAAGACTTCCCCCCAAACAGAAATATTTGAATTGATATCTAAAGGAAAAATTAGGAGTAAATTAAGTAAAGGTTGGAAGATACCATTAGTAGAAAGAAGGAAGGCAGAGGTGATAGGGAAAGCTAGAGATAGGCAGGTAGGTGGGAAATGGTAAGTTAGGCTTTGTAGGTTGGATTTCAAAGATGGGTGGGATACGCTGATGGGAGTTTAAATCAGGAATTCTGAGCCAAATCAGACTTTGCCTTGCTATTGTAATGTTTCAGCCTTGCTACTGTAACTTCCAGCAAATGGGCTGAGAATCAGATTCACAATAGTTCTGGTTGACAGTACAGCATTCAACAATGCAGATACTTATGTCGACTCAGAAAAAGTTTAATGGGCGAATAACACAGAATACAGGAGAAAAGAATTTGAAGAGTGCTTGAACCTCTGAATTCATACAAAGCCAGCAGATGTACTGGATGTTACTAAATACATGACATGAAGGAGGCTCTGTAGTTTCAAACATGAGGCTTATTCTTCCTTGGTAACCAAAAATGATGCATGGATGTCTTATACAATGTCCATGATATTTCATGCCACAGTTAATGATTTTTAGATGACACTTGGAGAGAAATCTTTGGCAATGTCTAATTGATTGATTTTGGTCCAGTTTTTTAAGAACCATCCTTACTGCAGGGAATGAGGCTGCCTGCCAATATACTATCTGAGAAACTCAGAAGGGCAAGAAAAACCTACATATCAAATCAATTTAAATGGAATTTGAGGTGTTTTTGGTGGAATTCTAACATCCACCAACACCCATTATATCTCCCTATTTTCTTCCCATTGAATTAGTGGATTCTTTTATCTTCCTTCCTTCCTTCCTTCTTTCCTTCCTTCCTTCCTTCCTTCCTTCCTTCCCACTTTTCTTCCCTCCATCCATTCATCTGTCTTACCTTTTTTCCTTCTTTTTAAAAATTTCAGCATAGCATTTTTCTTCTACAATCTGGAGGAATATATGGGTTATGTAAGTGTGGAAACATATTTGTCATTTTAGTTTACCTTTGCTGAAATAGTGAAGGATACATAACGTATAAGATACAATAATTCTCTTAATTTTTTGTGACTTGGCTCATCCAGAATTAGTTTGTCAGCTCCTGCAATGTACTTAACATCTTATTTCTCCCCAGTACCCTTCATGAGATCTGCTGTGGTTCATAGTAACTTAGATTGAATTATTTTTCTTTTCTTTTTCTCTTCTTAGTTCACTTTGCCCAGTAATAGTAGGGGAGAAATGAGGGGTTTTATGAAATGTTGATATAGTGGAATAGCATGAGTGGAGAATTTCAAGAAAGTTCAGTTCTTTGCTCATGAATTGATTTAACAGTTACCAACTAAGGTGCAGGAAATTAAGTGCTGTATTACATGTAGCCTGAGGCTCCTTGGAGAAAAGAAAAATGCTTTTGCTTTTCATTGAGCTGTGGGAAGTTGTTTCAAGACCATCAGGAAAAGCTTTATTTCTGTGAAAAATAGCTCTATGGTCATCAGAGCAAAAAGGCCTTGAATTTTATATGTGAAAGATTTCTACTGAAAAACCGCTAGGTCCTGACTCCATTGACCTCAGAATGCAGGAGGATGTGGAACACAAAATTGAAATTGTGGCCCATGAAAGTTACTCTTTTTCAGTAATACTACAGTATTACAAATATTCCATGTTCTTTAATGAAACACCTTGCCACTAACCTGAATGGATGTCAGTTTTGTTTCTCTTTATAACACAGGGCTCACTAACAATGTTCAGCTTTTCAGCCATTTATTAAACTCAGAAATTTGTCTTAATAAAATCACTTCAAAGGAGAAAAAAAAGAGCTGTATGTCTGAAGATATTCTTTGTAGTATTAGCTATAATAGTAAAAGATGGAAACAATTTAAATACCCAATGGTATAGAAATTATTAAATGAGTTTACATGCCAAGAGGTAAAGAAATATTGTGTGGCCATTAAGAGTTATTGGGTAGACTCTGCAACTGCAGAAAATTGGCTCCAACCTAGTGTTATATAGAGGAACTAAATAACTAGTCATAATAAATATAGCATTTATTAGGTCCTTTTAATGTGCCAAAC
Source organism: Homo sapiens (assembly GCF_000001405.40). Taxonomy (NCBI): domain Eukaryota; kingdom Metazoa; phylum Chordata; class Mammalia; order Primates; family Hominidae; genus Homo; species Homo sapiens. The sequence continues at coordinate 192,269,583 of NC_000003.12, read as the reverse complement.
ACTTTTGAAGGACTTTACATTTATTAAGCCTAACAGTAATATTATTAGGTAGTACTATTATGGTCCCTAATTTACACATGAAGGAACTGAGCAAGATTGCAGGGCTGATAACCCCTGGGTTTGGGATTCAAATGTAGAGAGTCTGTCTGCAGAGTTCACATTTAACCAGTACTGTGTATACGATCAACAAATGGCTGTATCTACATTGATTACATCTGGTAACACTGAGTGCAGGTTAAAAAGCTAGGAGAATATAGAGAAATAAAATTAGTTAAGACTGCTGAAATTTGGAAGAGAGGCATTTTTTTAAATTTTCTTTTATGTTCTAGTGGGTGGCTTTCACTATTTAAAAATGTCTTAGTAGGGCCAAGTATGTTAGCTCATGCCTGTAATCTCAGCACTTTGAGAGGACAGGACAAGGCTGGTGGATCACTTGAGGTCAGGAATTTGAGACCAGCCTGGCCAACATGGTGAAACACTTTCTCTACTAAAAATACAAAAATTAGCCAGGCGTGGTGGCACACGCCTGTAATCCCAGCTACTAGGGAGGCTGAGGCAGGAGAATCACTTGAACCCAGGAGGCGGAGGCTGCTGTGAGCCAGGTTCATGCTGCTGCACTCCAGCCTGGGTGACAGAGTGAGAGACTCCATCTCAAAAAAATAAAAAACAAAAAATAAATAAATAAAAATAAAAATGTTTTAGTAATGTGTAACATTTGCATACAAAGTTCAAACTTTATTAAAGTAGGCTATTGTATTAGATTATTCTTGCATTGCTATAAAGAAATACTTGAGACTGGGTAATTTATGAAGACAATAGTTTTGATCGGCTCACAGTTCTGCAGGTTTTACAGGAAGCATGGTGCTGGCATCTCCTTGGTTTCTAGGGAAGCCTCAGGAAGCTTACAATCATGACAAGGCAAAGGAGGAGCAGGTATGTCACATGGCAAAATCAGGAGCAATGCAGGGGAGAAGCCACACACTTTTACACAGCCAGATCTCATGCAAACTCAGAGAGAGAGTTCACTTATCATCAAGGGGATGACCCAAGCCATTCATGAGGCATCTGCTCCCATGATTCAAACATCTCCCACCAGGCCCCACCTCCAACATTGGAGATTACATTTCAAAATGAGATTTGGGCAGGGACAGATATCCAAACGATATCATCCATCACATAGTATGAAAGAAAAGAGCTCTCTATCCCACATGACCTCTTATTCCATTTGAAAACCCACATCTAGAGTTCTGGTGTTAAATCTAGTTTTAGATAAAGGCCACCACAGCTCCCCAGATGGAGTAGATGCTTGAAGGATGAGCTCTTCGTGGAAAATTGGAAGCAGCAGAATTTGCTAGTATGTAGGGCAGAGAAGTGCAGTCTGGGTAATCAGTTTGTAATCCTCTAGCCTATGATGCAAAAGTGACAAGGAAAATAGCTACATCTGGCATAGGAAATATTTACGTTAAACATTAGGAAGAACTTCTGAGATTTCATAGTACTGTGCTGGGTTGTGTATTCATGTTTTAAAATAAAAGCTTTATCTTTAAATCTGAGATATCCATCCCTTGGGAGAACAAGAATACTCAAATAGAAACAGAAAGGATTCTTACAAAGTGGGAGGTCAAGCAACTTATAGAATAGAGAATATGTGATGTGGAAGGAGAACTATGATTTGTGTTAAACTTATTAAAGGTGCGTTGTTAGAAATTTGTGATTTTTGATGCAAAATTATCTATAGTGGGTTTTTATGATTTTGAATAGCACAGAAATCATATTTTATAATTTAAAATGTCCTATAAAATTTTTAACATTGGGAGTCCATGAATAAGTTTAGGGAAATTATACAGCAAATTGATGTATGTGCATATGAATATTTTCAGGAAGGGAAATCCATGGTTTTAATCAAATGTTTATAAATGTCCACAATGCCACATTTACTACTATAACATCTCCACTGATATGTTACGGGAAAAGAGAGGACTGAATGGTAATTTAGGTAGATAGATGACAGATAGATTGATGATAGATATAAAAACAGATATATAAATATAATCTCTTGCATAGACTTGGAGAATCTTCTTGGCCCCTACTAATGTTGTTAATATTCTCATTAAAAAGAGAAGATATAGTCTTTTATTAAACTCTCATTGGAAATGGAAATAACTAACATGTATTTAAATACCTTTAATCTGTGGCCATTGAAAAGCGTAATGCATGGGAATTTTAGACGGGGGCTGCAGCTATACCTTGCACATTGTATTTTGGCATAAAGATGAATCAGAGCATTGAGATGATAGACTGGGGTTCTTCCTGGAGATGCTGTGCTGCCAGCCAATCAAGCATAGTTATCTAAGTTGCATTAATCAACTATGTAACCTGTGATTTCCTCTCAGACGAAATCACCTTTCCAAGGACTAAGACTCAATTAAACCTCCATTGCTTACCTTGGTGACATCTGTTGTTCGCATTGTCAGGAAATCTGTTGTCATTATTTAGAAAGCAATCTTTTAGATTTCATGTAATCGAAGGTGCCAAAAATTTAAATTAGCATGAAACATCTGATTCCTCAAGGCATCAGTTCCTTGAAGCAGATAACCAATGAGAAGAGATTTATTTCTCTCCTATAATTCAGGTTTTTATTGCTTTTACTTTAATAAGAGCTTTTTGAGATATAAGTCACTTCATAGATTTTTTCCCTGAGTTTCTTTTCCTTTTGTTAGCTTTTTAAAAGTGTATTTGTTCATGTGTGAGGTAGTGTATGTGTGTGTGTGTGTGTGTGTGTGTGGTGTTTAAAGATAGAGCAAATTGACTTTTGAAAAGAACGTGGTTAATAAAGCCATTCGGGTTAGTAATACAGGATGGAGTAAGACTGATTGAGCAGCAGAAAAAAATGGAAAGTATTAAAAGTTCCTAATTAACATATTCATTTTATGAGCTACCATTTTCTCACTAAATGCCTCTTTTGACTCTGGCAGTTGCTATTGCTATGACATATTTTAATTTATACCCTAAAGCCAAGTGGAATATATATCTTCATAGGTAAAATATAGCAAGATATAAATTAGACAGTCTAATATTTGATACTGGTTGGAGAAAGCCTTTCCCTGACATTCCTTTGACTGAACCTCCTAGATAACATGTTGCCTATTATTTGGGAGGGCAGTAAACCTACTTAAATACCCCCAGTTGGTTGTTCATTTTCATCTTCATTCAGCTTTTCATTTGTTCAGCAAACATTGAATGTCCCCTGTGTATAAGGCCCTATCTGTGCTTAACATTATGCAAGTCATGAAATTCATAAGAAATAATATCTGCATTTAAGAAGGGTCTTAGACATAACCAAAGTACAAGGTAGATTGAGGATCATAATATGACAGACTGGTAAACAGAATGCTGTGGAAACATAGAGGGAGCAACTAATTTAACCTGAGCAGTCAGAGAAGATTGTATGAAAATACAGTATTTTGTTTTGCCTTCGAAGGACCAGTACGATTTTAGCAGATAGAGGAGGAGAAAAGGTGCTAAGTGCTTCCAACTTAAGGGAAACATTAATTTATTAAGTGCTTTTTATGTGCAAAACAGTCTGCTAAATGAATTCTTTCCTATGAGCCAGTTCTTTATCCCCACAATGCATAGAAGGAAACGGAAGCTTGCAGAGATTCAGTTTATTTTCTGGCCAAAAGAAAGAGCAAGTAACAGAGTCACTGCCATATTTGCTAAGCTGAAAGACATTTCTTTTTTTCATTATTGTGTCAGAGAGAGGTTGGCAAACCTTTGCTTAAAGAGCCAGATAGTAAATATTGTAGGCTTTTTACACTGCACAATCTCTGTCACAATTACTCACCTCTGCCATGGTATACACCAGACTCTCTGGTGTATAGCTTAAAAGCAGCCATATACCATAAGTAAATGAATGAGCATGGCTGTGTTAAAAAAAAAACTCATTTATAGATATTGAAAGTTAAATTTTACACAGTTTTCAGGTTTCATCAAATATTCTTCTTTTTAATTTCTGAACTATCTAAAAATGTTAAAACTGTTCTTTGCTCATGGCTCTACAGAATCAGGAGGTGGGCTGGATTTGTCCTGTAGGACATACTTTGCTGACCCTTGAAGCTTTATCAATACTTATCATGAGAAATAATTAAGGGAGAAAGAGCCACCTACCCTTTATATGAGGCCATCGCATCACACAACTCCTGGGTCTTCATTTGATTTTTAGTCCATCTGAATAGCACTGCCTGCAATTGTGGTCTCTGCAGTTTGAGTGACCAGTGAACTCCCAACACGGAGGAATATAACATCGGATGTTACTACCTCTTACACAGATGCATCTGCTGAAAAATAATAGGTTAAAAAAATCATCTGAGATAAGACTTGACTCTATTATTGAACAAAGAAATGTTTCCAGGCCAACTCTTAAAGTGAGCAAAGTTATGTCATACTTAAGTTACCTTGTTTGTCAATCTTTACACAGCAAGGGCTTTTTATGTTTTCTCCTTTATCTTCAATGGTTCCCTTTTTGATTAAAAAATATGAAAAAGTCCCTGAAGTTTGACTTACTTATAAAGTGAAAATGATGCAAGCCTGATTATGTCCTTAGAAAGCATTGATGATATCCTGTATACTTCAATATACCTAGTGAATTCTAACACACCTGAATGGCCTTGATGTAGACCAGAACATTTAGAGAGACAGAGGCAAAGCACTTGGCATCAGACGGTGGATCCCAGAGACGTTTTAAGGTTCACTAGACATTTGCTGTAAGTTTCTAGGGCTAGACTTCTGGAATTCCACTCTTGTTGGTTGAGAAGTAGAGTCTTGATAACCAGGAGTATATTAGAGATTTTCATGGAGGTCTGTCTGACTGCAAAGACTCTAAGAGTCAAATCATCATAAGATTCTACTCAATAAAGTATAAAGTATGACCTTGGCAACGTTTCTATCCTCTCTGTACATCAGTTTCCTCTTCTGGAAAGTGGGGGTAATAATAGCTACTTCCTTAGGTTGAATAGAGGACTAAATAAGAAAATAAATCATTTAAATTATTTTAATTACGCTCTTTGAATTTTTGTTTACCCTTTTCTCCAGAATTAAAAATAGAATTCATATTTTCTACATTCCTGATTTATCTGTTATGAATGCAAGCTTTTTTTGCTTAGACGCTTTTGGATTCCACATTAAATGTGAAAAAAAATCATCTCTTATTTTTGTTCATCAATATCGTCAAAAAAATATGATATACCCAGGCAATTGTATTATTTAGCTTTTAGGAAAAGTCTTCCTTTTTGAAAGTCATTTTATTGATGGTGTGAATTAACACAAAATGTTAGGTCAATTTAGTTATCGTGTGCTTGGAGAATATTTATTCATTCTGGAGATTTCTGGATGTGCTATATAGTTATGGTGATATATGAAAACAAATCGGAATACTCTGCCAAATTTTTAACAAGAATCTAAGTCATAATGAGATATTAGTTTACTTGATGGGAGGATTGATTCATTTGATTTTTCCTAGGGGAAAACAGTGTTTCAGGCTTTAAAGATGAAATATGACACATTAGATCCTCTTTAGGCTCAGTAAGGAAAGTTTGCTTTAATTTTGCAGAACTTTAAAGTTCAGTTTTATTCTGCATACTGATATTAACTGTTTAAGATGATTTTGAGTCAAAGAAGAATAAGAATAAGATATTTTGTTGGACTGCATTTATGAGCCTTAGAGGGCATATTTAGACTAATGTGTCTTTCCATTTGATCCTAAAATCTGTAGGGTATTAAGTAATGTCTTACTGGAGTTTTCATATATGGTATTAGAAGTTTATTTCCTCTGATTTAATTTCAAAACTCAATTTCATTTATTTCAGAAAATTCCAGCATAGCCAGCATGATATTTCATTGTTTTGTTTAAATCAATGTTTCTCAACTTGGCTGCACCTGAGAACTTCATGGAGCATTAAAAAAGAAACTTCATCCCTGGACTCATATGCGTATTTAATTGGTTTGGAGTGTGGCTCAGGAATAGTTTTTTTTTTTTCCCTCTTTTTTTTTATTTTTTTAAAACAACACCAGATGATTTTAACGAGTAGTTTTGATTGAAAACCAGTGGTATAAATTAGCACTTCTCAAATTGTAATGCATGTATAAACCACCTGGGAATTTTGTTAAAATATAGATTCTGATTCTTCTGTAGTTCTGGGATGGGACATTGATGGGATTAATGCTGCTGAGTCAAAGACCATATTTTCAGTAAGAAAGGTCTAAGCTAAGGCCCAATGTAGTTAGAAAACATTTTATCAATCAATGCCTTGATACTAAATAATTGTTTATGAAATAATTAATGTTTACTTGATTACTCGAAATGATGTCATACTCAACATTTTACAATGGACCATTTTTACTGCCATATTGCTTGATTCAATCCTATATTTTCTGACCACCTACTATATACTTACTATTTTGCTAGTCTTGCAGGGAATGTACAGAGTAGAAAAATAGAAATCCTATGCTTAAATAGCTCAGAGAATCAGAGTGTTTATGCTAATGACCATAATTAAAAGGAAAAGGCTTGTAAGTAAAATTTTTGATTTTATACTTAATTTTGAGGTATTATGCCTTTTTGTTAGAGAGATTTCTTACGTTTTAGAAATTATTGAAATCTGACATCTTTTCTTTCTCTCTCCCTTTCTGCAGGATGCGTGTGTGTGTGTGTATGGGGGAGTAGTTCTTAGGGGTTTTTATCTACTTTTTTGATGGGTTTATCCAAAGCAACTAGAGGAGCACTTGATTGGAAAAAAAAAATTACAGTCACGTGTCACTTAATGATTGGGATACATGTGAGAAATGCATCCTCAGGCAATTTTGTCACTGAACAAACATCATGGAGTATACGTAGGTAAACCTAGATGTGAGAGCCTACTACACACCTGGGCTGAATGGTATAGACTCTGGTTCCTATGCTACAAACCCATATGGTGTGGTACTGAATACTGTAGGCAGTTGTAACGTAGTGATATTTGTGTATCTAAACCTAGAAAGGTACGGTAAAAATATAGTATTCTAATCTTATGGGGCCATCTTCTTATATGTAGTACATTGTTGACCAAAACATCGTTATGTGGCACACAACTATATATACCATAATTCCATAATATTTAACTGTCTGCAGTCAGATCTAAAAACCATTTTGAAAACTACTCATATAGAATACATTTTAGAGCTTAACATGCAATGGAGACAACATTTTTTGTCTTCAGAAAAGTGTTTTTGAATCTCTTACAAGAAATTTAACAAAATGATCCACAGCTGTTGCCAAAGGAATTAAAAGCAAAGTTTATGCCTCCCCACGGCCAGCATACTTGTACGAAACAAATGTCAAAAGCTGCACGTGGGGAACTTGGAATGGTTTAATTTATGTGTACGGAGTCAGCACAAAATTCATAGCAGTCTGTCACCAAGGTTTGTTAGCTAATTGCTGTGTTTTAAATAAATGTGAATTTTAACAACACTGTTTAAGAGCCTGCTGTCTCCCTTTCTCTTGGCACACCTAGGGGTTCAAGCTATTATCTGAACACATTTTCTAATTCTTCGAGTACTAAGGGGGCACCTCTGTTGTCTTTGACAGTCAGTCCCCCTCCTTAATAAAATCAGCTGGACACATTCTCAGGAAAACAACCCATAAGAGAGAATTTTCATGGGCTACTACTACTATTTTTTTCTTCACACACTTCTTTCCCCATAAAGCACGAACAATTCAGATTGTGCCACAGGCTGCTGGAGATAACACGTATTGAGTTTTCCTCGTCTGACTCTACATAAAATTACTTTAGGTAGGGAGAATTCATTTTACTAACTAAAAAACTCATCTATTTGTAACCACTGTGTTCGATGTAAGCTCATGATGTAAGCAAAAAAGATTTCCTTTTCTCTCTCTCTGTCCTCCTTACACTTTGTTACAGTGTGGCATATCTTCATGTGTTCCTGGACATAACCTCTGGCGGAGCCATGACATCTCCACAGCTCTACAGACACTTTAGATCACAAACATAGTGCCAATTCAGTAATTAGAATGGAGTCCAAGGTGTTAATCCAAACTTAAAAGCTTGTGTAATCAACAGTTAAATCCTCTCCCAGGTGAGGTTTGCTTTAGTGCAGAAGCCTGTGGTTGGAAACGGAAGTATAGCATTAGCTCCTCTTAGAGTCTCTTACTACCTAGATGCTGTGTTAGCTCTACCAGGACCAAAGTGATGTGTAGAGCAGAGGAGGTGTAAAAATAGTACAGTTCTTGTTTATCTGGGTGGCTTCATAAACCCTCGGCCATGGCCAACGTTTGAAGTTGAGGTTTTCAGGTAGACCAGGCCAATATAAAAGCCATCTTTTTTTCCTTTCATGAGTGTTTTCATGGAATCTTTAAAGATTCCTTGCTGGATTCTCTCACCTGCAGTTCCCTTAGCTGATATTTCTATTGCAGATAATTCCTTTGTGGCTCCTTCCTCAGCCCCTGCGTACCCTGTGGTGTGTGGCCGGTCTCTTTGTGGTGAGGTTCCTTTACCCCTGTACCCCAGTTTAGCTTATCCGAAGTGACTCCCTACCCCCATCTGTCTTGGCCTACATCTGATCCAGATAAAACCCTATACATCCTTGGTTCTCACAACTTCTGGGGGTTGTGCCCTATCTCAATACAGCGGTACTCTCCTATCTGTTTCTGCTATCAAAGCAGCTGGTCAGGCTTTCAGTCTCTGTATATATTTCTCTGGCATGGGTTAGAGCCTAGTAAAGTTTAACTTTTTAAGAAATGAGTCAGGCCCCTGTCCTCTGTGTCTTTCCATTGCAGAGAGATAACACCTCTCAGCCCTCCCTCCATAGAAGCAGGAAAGGGGACTTACAACACAGCAATAACTTTCTCTGGAGAAATCTGATAACAGGCTTTCTCCAAAATTCTATTTCTGACCCTTGGACCTCTATTTATACCTTATGCTAACTGAGAGGTCCAAGAGTAATGGAATATGTTCTCCCACATCACATGTGTAAATTCTGCATATGGAGATTTGTGTAATACGCGGGTTGTATTATGGTATCCGCTGGGTTGATTCTACAGTGAAATCTGAGGCAGGAAGAATCCCAGTCCAAGGATTTGTTACATATTTTAACAAGTTGGGGATGAACAGAATCCAATTTAGTGTGATTTCTTAGCCACTGAATAAACACTATTAGTTGGCACAGTAAAAATTTGGTGGGAGATCAAAGATGTATAAAATATAACATTTGTCTTCATTGGCAAACAACCTAATTGGGAAAGCCAGATACACTGTAAATAGCTAAATATAGATGAATACGGCTGTGATATACACTTGCCTAAACTACCCTGGTATGGTATCTTGTAGTTTGTCAAGTCAGAAGGTTTTGTACTTGGCAAAGGGAAAACTAGTTTGCTAGGCATAGGAACATTTTGGCATGATGATTTTGGTTTGGAGATTGGTGAGGTTATTGATATTATCGTAGAGATGCTTCAAGTGACAGAAGATCCGGTTGGGGAAGAAAAAATATGTAACAGCAAATTATAAACTTAGGCTAAGCCCACAGATTTTACTGAGTAATTTCTGTCAGCAAAAGCATCCACAGTGAAGACATTCAACCATTAGAGACATATATGAGAATGCCACATATAATCCCACCTACGAGATCAGCTATTAAGAATTCTGGCATTAATCCTAGGTGTGAATCATTGGTCGTGAAACCTCACACCTCGTTTATTTTCATTGCTACATCCTATGCTTCAGCAAACTTTTCCTTCAACCATTACCTAAAGTTAAACTATTTCCACTATTTTGTGGTAAGAACATATTTATTGTCTTTTTGTATCTTATAAAAAAAGAGGGAATTTCTGATTGTTTCTTCTTTGAGGAAATATTTTTAAACTCCCCTCAATCTACAGATTTCTTTAGTGAAGAAAGTATAAAACCACCCTATTTCTACTTACAAACATTTCCTAAAACATTTTTTTCCTCTCATGGGAAAATTATTGCCATGAATATTTATACATGGCATGTCAGAGACTTAGTGCGTTTTGCCCATACACTTAGACTTTCCTTGTTCCAATCTAATGCTTCTGGAGTTTTTAAATAACATAATTGTGCTCAGCTCAATTCATTTTTTGTTCTATTTTATGGATATATTGTCAGCTACATTTTTACGTATAGAAAGTTGTTTTACAGCCATTGAACCATAGCCTTAACATCTATTGTTATGGTTCTTATTCATCACCCCCAAAATAATTTTTAAAATTCCAATACAACTCTTATCTTATGATGCAGTATTTTCATTATGAAGCTTTCCCTTATTCAGTTTCTTAGCAAAACCTTTTCTGATACCAGACCGATATTTTCCACTTATGATTCTGTTTTCCAGTCATATTAATCAAGCTCAACCCATGACCTTGAAAAAGGATGAAATAGAGGAATTGCCCTTGGGTATAATGAATTGACACAGGAAAAGCTACTCATGATGGATCTTAAATGCAACCAAGCAATTTGCTTAGATTCTCAAGAGAATGATTTTATATTCTCTATTAGGATGTGTTTAACTGAGTAACTGCAGTTACGTAAGTAATAGTGATGCTGTGCAGATAAGGGGGATAAATATACGTGCAAATGCAAACACACACATCACACATACATTTAATAAAATCTGATTCGTTAGTGACGCATATTTCTGCAGTTGCTAAGCATTGATGACAGCATATCATATTCAAAGATTTATAGAAACACGATTTTCACAAGTCGTTCACTGCTTTCTTTCTCTTTATGTGGAACATGAATTTCTTTCATATATCATTACTTGAGGAACTTCTAGTCATCAATCTGCCCATTTGTGTTAATCTGCTTTTGAGTCACCCAAAAGTTTTTATACTTTCTTTAATAGTATAAAAATAAAATGCTTCAAAAACCTTTAAATCTTCATATGGATTACAACAGAGCAAAAGATTAAGGTATCCAATATTAACCTTCTCCAATTTTAAAGAAAATGAATCAACTACATACTGCTTATGCTTTAAATACGTTTTTATTATAAACAAACTATACTGTTTTTAACTGCTATTGTTTATTTTATTTATGTATTTATTTATTTTTTGAGAAAGGGTCTCACTCTGTCACCCAGCTGGAATGCAGTAGTGTGATTTCAGCTCACTGCAACCTCTGCCTCGCGGGTTCAAGTGATTCCCCTGCCTCAGCCTCCTTAGTAGCTGGGACTACACACGTGCACTACCACGCCTGGCTAATGTTTGTATTTCTAGTAGAGATGGGGTTTTGCCATATTGGCCATGCTGGTCTGAAACTTCTGGCCTGAAGTGATCCATCCACCTTGGCCTCCCAAATTGCTGGGATTACAGGCATGAGTCATTGCACCCAGCCCTATCTTTTAAATTATATTTATTGTCGTGTCTTATATTTTTCCTCATGCAAAATTTTCCTGGTTCCTCTCTCCCCTGCAAACAAACAAACAAACAAACAAAAACAACCTTTACTTTGTAACATTTCTGTTCGTTTTGCTTTTTTTTTTTTTTTTAAATTTTACCACTACCTTACCAATATGCAAGCTTCACTGGTTCTGAATCACACAGGGTACCGTAAGGATTGGAATTTAAGAGTTTGATTCTCAAACATTTGCTGCATGTCAAGCCCTCTCAGAAGTCAAGCCCTCTCAGAAGTCAAGCCGAAGTTCAAAAATAGAATAATATCGTTTAGAATTTGCTCACCCTAATCTTGTATAAAGTGTAAATTTGTATTCCTTGTTATGAAATCAGGAGAAAGCCAATTTTCCTGTGACCATGGAAAGACTCTTCAAAGGGAGACTTCTGGCAAAGTAGTATGTTTATGCTTAAGAGTAAAAACACAAACAAAAAACCCTCCCTAGTCAAATAACTAGAACATTTGGTTAACTCAACCAATCAGCAAAATCAGCACCAAAATATTTTTCATGAAATAGATGAACTACACTTAGCCACCACTGCACCATAAGTGGAAGTTAAAATGGCTCTGAAGAGAAGATATGGAGAAATCTATTCTTTAAGAAGTCAAAATCCCAAGATAATGATGGGTAAGGGTTTCCGAGAAATTACTCAAAAGTCAGGGATGTGCACGATTACAAGCAATATGTGTGCAACTGATATAGGGATTAGAGCTTCATCTGCCACTCTCTGATGTTGATATAGAGATCATCTGGGTGATGGACAGGCTATATTTTGATTGTTATTGAATAGGAAATTGGGTCTAAATAACACGGTGGCAAAACTAGGACATAAATTCAAAATTCTGGTTCTATAGCTAAATGCTAATGCTGAGACTCTGACAGGGCTTTTGATACTGATAAAATTACCCCCAAAAGATATGGGAAGGTACTTATTTAATCTGATAAAATGTGGGAAAATTAGAAAAGGCATGTAGCAATAATGGTACTGGTTTAATATTTTGAAGAATAACCAAGTCACGTTATATTATTTGCACAGATTGCTCTTACAGTTTTACAAAAACCAAACACTAGTAGGATCTTACATTTAGTCTGTGAGAGCATAATTACAATTTATGAGCTTATGGGAAAAAGTTACTGAAGGGTGAGGTTTTCTGAGGAGCACAATTCTTGAAATCCAGACTTGGAAACTAGCGATGGTGAAAACAAATATTAATTTCCATATAGTCACTAACCAGATCCAAGCTAATTAAAGGAAAGTCCAAAAGCTCAAGAAAATTCAGTTTAAATTGCCTGAGTTGAGGGAATGCTCATTATTCATCTATTCTGCTATCTGTGTGTTTAATCCATAAATAATTACATCAAATAAAACCATACTTGAAATTATTCTCCAATAAGACTTTTAAAACCTACTTTACTATTTTTATGCTGTTGCCTAAGGAATCTATTTCATTTCAGTCTAATTAAAATGGCTCAAAGAGCATTTTTAAGGGAGCAAGAGAAACTTGATGTTAAAAAGTTTTTTTGCCATTAAATGCTTTAAATATATGGCATATGCCATACCAAATAACATGCAAATTAGTATAGAGCACATCATTTCTAAAGAAAGTAAACCCGCATATTTTACTTAAAATATATAAATATATAAAATATGTACAATTTATATTTATAAGTAAACATAAAATATGTAAATATCTATACAGTAACAAGTATGTTGCTTATAGGTTTACGTGTGTGTGTGTGTGTGCGGTATGAGTAATGGGGAAGTAGATTTGCATAGAGGGTACAAATCAATAAGACAATGAATTATTGCAAAAGTATCAAAAGATTAAAAGGAACAATGTATACTTGGTCAGATTATTGAAAGTTTCTATTATTTAACAATTATAAAATTATGCATATTTATAAGTCAGAAGCTGGAAATCAAAGTAAATGACTAATTTGCATGGGAAGTAAGACTCTGCCTCATTGTAGCTAGTTGTAAGAATTATGACAGAAGATGAGGACAGGACAAGGACCAACCAGCTGGGTTCACTCTTCTTTGGCGTGAAGCTGAATATTTATGACAATGAATTCATCTTCTGGAATAGCATAACAAGTTAAACCATAACAGAAGTGACTTGCAGTTTCCCTCCCCACCAGAAATGATGTCAAAAAGCACTATAAATTTCATTAATGGGATGTTTTAACTCTTTGTTGTGGAATGCCAACCAGAGGCCTGCCAGGTGGGTACATTCATGAAATGCCATATAACTTCGGGAAAGACATTAATGGCTACTGGAGATGTTCCATAGACTTAATAATAGGCACATCTCTAGGAAAATGTATGTGCATGGCTACGTTTAGTAAATGTAACATATTTCTTTCATGTTAAAAACTGCTTGGGGGTCCGACATGAGAAACTATGTTTAAGCTTTGGCAAATACCATTTTAAATATTGTTTTAATAAAGTTAGGTTTACATTGATGACTAATCAGAGATTGCAAATAATAAAGAAATAATAGTAGAGGATTAGGTTGTGCTTACATGTGATATGTAAAACAGATATCTAATTATTTTATTATACCAAACGTGAATTGGAATAGATTGGAAAACTTTATGCTATGATATGCATTTTAACATGATCCCTACTGTGCATTGATAATTTAAACTTTCTAGGTACCATAACACTTTCTTCCCCAACTCAGCTTACTCAGGATGCACTTAATAAGTAAAACTCTGAAATGTTTTCTCTCCCCAGTTAGATTGTAATTTTAATTAGTATACCTCTCCCCCAGCCCTATTCATTGGCTTTTGTTAGAACGATTGTAATGGGAAAAGTTGACAATGTTTATAATATTAATAATTTAAACTTTTCTCTAACATTAATAATAAATTACCTTTTATTGAGGTTTTATAATGTGCTCAGCTATTTGATACAATGCTGTGAGCAGTATTTCTATTAATCCTTCCTGTAGCCTTTTATGAGAGAGCTGTGCTGTTAATTCACATTTTACAGATAAGGAAACTGAGGCATCAGCAATTAAAGTATTTTTCTCAAGATCTCACAGCTGGTAAACAGGGGAATCACAATTCATACCCTGATCAGTGTGCCTCCTAAGTTAATACTCTTCCTACTAGTTCACATCCATACCTCTCATCTCTCTAGACCTATGGCATGATATGCATTTGCAGAGTGAACATTTTGAAACTTAGCAAAAATTATATAATGTTACCTAATGTTCCAAATAATTTGAAGGAGTTTTATATGTGTTCATTATAAAATAAATATTAAGGAAGGATCTATTTGTTATATAAACACACTTTTAACTTGTTATAACTTCTTTTGATTGAATTGTTAAACTTTTTATAGTGCAAAGTGACAGAGAATTTTAACTCATCATTGTTATGTAAGCACTTAATGTCTTCCCATTGGATCTTTTAATGTTTATACATTAGCCTGAGAATCTTGGCTTTTGCCTAGTTGTAGAATCAAATATTTTTAGTTTAAAGGTAAATTACAGATTATTAGTAGTCCAGTATCACATTCAATGCAGTTATCCTTTGTACATTTTCCTACATAGCCTCTGAATTTATCTTCAATGATAAATTTATCAAATATCCTATGTTGTGTGTCAATATTGCAGAGAATGGCTGTAACATAATAGGAAATTGAATACATATTTTATTTATAATGCATCACAATATTAAGATGGCTATCAACATGAATAGAAACAGAAAATGTAGTATATATGCACAATGAAATACACTTCAGCCTTAATAAAGTGGGAAATCCTGTCATTTTTGACACCATAAATGAACCTAGAGGACATTATGTTAAATGAAATAAGCCAGGCACAGAAAGACAAATACCACATGATCTCATCTATATGCGGAGTCTAAATATTTGAATTCATAGACGCAGAGAGTAGAATGGTAGTTACCTGGGTCTTGGGGAGAGGAGGGGTTGGGGAGATATTGGTCAAAGGATACAAAATTTCAGTTTGATAGGAGGAATAAGTTCAAGAGAACTATGGTACAAGGTGGTGACTATAGCTAATAACAATGTATTCTTGAAAATCACTGAGAGAGTGGATTTAAGTGTTCTCATCTCAAAAAAATAAGTATGTGAGATACATATGTTAATTAGCTCCATTTAGCCATTCAACAATGTATATATATTTCAAAACATCATCTTGTACATGATAAATATATACATTTTTTATTCGTCAAGTTAAAGTTAATTAATTTTTAAAATACTGTGGTGGTTTTACAAATAGCTGTTTTAAACCAGTTATAAATGAATGACAAATCTTATGTTAACAATAATACATGATTCATTTCTTTTCTAAAGTGAATAATTTTCATAGCCTAAATCATTCTGTGGGGAAAATTTCCTGCATCTTTTTATGCCGAGAGTCTCAGGAAAACATCCGACTTTCTCTGGATTGATATGAGAGGGCAAGACTCCAAACATAATTTGAATAACACCATTTCCCCTTCCAAACCACAAACTTTAGCCACATCCAGCCTTTTCTTTTTTCAATTTTTTAAAATAATTCTGTAATTCTGGACACATTTAACAGAAAAGCAAGAGAACATCCTAATTTTTATTCAATCTTCATTTCTTACTGTTAACTAAAGCTAAATTAATTTCTTTTCTCTTTCCATTTTTTTCATTCTTTCTTACTTTTGTTCTTCCCTTTTCCCTTCCTCCCTCTCTCCTTGTTGCCATATTTTTTATTAAGTACTTATGTAATATGCGTTACTCTTGCCAGGAGTCATGATTTCTCAATGTCATCTTATTTCCTCCTTCCCTTTCCCTTTTCTTTAATAGGATTAGTTCCATGTCTAGGAGCAAAAATCCAACATCAATAAAATGGTCTCTCTGCTCTAAGAAATATTATCTTCTGGAGATTGAAAGGAGGTGACTGAGCACTTTTGTAAAGTATGCAATTGAGAGGGTGAGTTCAGATCCTAGGAGCCTGCAAAATCAAACCATATCTCCTCATCCAGAGTCAGAACATATTTTTCCTTCAGTGAAAAGTAGAGAGATCCAACGATTTTTGATACATTTTATATGCCATTGGTCAGAAATAACCTCTGGATCCATTGATCAATTCATAAATCCATTTTCAAGGATATGCATTTCAACAGTTTTATTCAACAACTGATGTGATTTAGTTTCTTATTGTTTCTTTCCTTGGCATTAAGACCAAATCAGTTCCCCCAGGGTATAATGAGAGCAATGTTTCAAAAGGCAATAATGTGAAAAGCACACTTGATATAATGCTTTTTATTATAATTAATCTTTTTAGGGGCTCTTTATTTTAATTTTACTGAGATATATATCTTATGTGAATTAAGTACTATTTTTCAGAGTATTTTTCCTGACTATCCAGTAAGTTTTTTTCTTTTCTACCATAGCTGACATTAATCAAAATTAAGGTGATCCTTGTGTTACTTGAAGACAAGTGATTATTTGTCAAAGAGTTGGCGGCAGAAAGTACTTTGACAGAGACATTGATTCTAGTTAGAAGCAACCAACATAGGTACATACATTTTTATTTCCTCGGTCACTGTAGAGTTGGAGAAGACTTTTCTTTTCTTGTCTTTTCTTGTCTTCTCTTGTCTTCTCTTCTCTTTTCTTTTTTTTTTTTTTTTTTTTTTTTTTTTTTTGAGACAGATTCTCACTCCATTACCCAGGCTGGAGTGCAGGGGCATGATCTGGGCTCACTGCAACCTCCACTTCCTGGGTTCAAGGGATCCTCCAGCCTCAACCTCCCCAGTAGCTGGGATTCCAGGCACGCTACCACCACTCCTGGCTAATTTTTGTATTTTTTAGTAGAGACAGGGTTTTGCCAAGTTGGCCAAACTGGTCTGGAACTCCTGAGCTCAAGTGATCTGCCCATCTTGGCCTCCCAAAGTGCTGTGATTACAGGCGTGAGCCACCATGCCCGGCTTATATTCTTTCTTAAGAGCCTGAATATTTCGCATCCTAGAGAATACAAAATTTAGTCAGACAGGTCTCTGACTTCACGTTACTCTCAATCTATATTAAAAAGACTTACACACAAAAAAAAATTAAGCATGCAATTACCTGTCATCTTGTTTGTTGGTGTTCTTATATAAATACCTAGCATAGACTAAATCCTAAATAACGATACGTGTTTCTTGTGAGGAATGATTTATGGACAAAGTGCTCAAATCTAATGTGTAAAGCTCCTGTGTAACCACTATCCAGATATTTGGAACCCTTCTACCACTCCCCGAAGTATTCCTAATGCCCCTTCACAGACAAAGCTCTCCATCAAGAATTAACTACCATTTTGTTTTCTACACCTATTTTTTTTTCTGTTTTTGAACTTTATATAAATAGGATCATACTATATGGGCCATTTGTATCTGGCTTTTTTTTCTCATGCAACTAAAAATATCTAATCTTTTTCATGCTGTTTTGTACATCTTCGTTCATTCATTATTATTGCAATGTAGTATTCCTTTGTATTGTATATAATACAATTTCTTTACCCATTCTCCTGATGATAGACATTTGGGTTATTTTCAGTTTGGAGCTATTATGAATAAAGTTTCTAAACATATTCTAGTCATTTTCTTTTGGTGGACATGTACAGTCATTTGTCTTGGGACTTTGTATAAGAATAGAATTGCACAGTCATAGGCTACCTATGTTTAGCTTTAGTAGATAGTGTCAAACATTTCTTGAAAGTTGGTGAATCAACTGATACACCTGTTATAGCCAAATTTAGGAATGTAATAGTACAATAGAGTTATAGACAATACACAGCATGACTAAAGCAAAAGAGCACAACTTACTCTCTATCAGAATCAAAGTGGGTTCTCATCAATGACAACATTTTCATGGCGCACTCCCTGCTCTTAGTTAGGAAAAGATAAGCAGCTCTTTCTAGGAGAAACATGTTATATGAGTTTGAAGGCCCTGAAATATTTGATCAACAGACAAAAGTGAGTTGTGGTGAGACAGAAGAGTTTCCATAGAGTGACAAAGGGTACAGATTTGTGTCCCAGTAGCTCCATTATTGACTCACGATCAGCTTAAGACTGTAAGTTTTTCTTATCCAAAACCCACAATCATAGGCAATGGTATATTTTGTCCTAGAATAAATATAATAGGATGTCTCACTTTTGCTCTTTCTGGATACCAGTAATTAAGTATGCTTCACCTGATTTCAGCATTTAGAACTCTATTCTCTTTCTGGAAGGGCCAGATGTTCTTTGGCTTGTATGAATTTAATCTTCTATGTTTGATTTTAAATAAATGAACATCCGAGTTGGATCCTTCCTTTCTAGTCTACCAGAAATTAAAAAAAAACCTTCAAAATAGATTTATTTGCCCCATAATGTATTGAATTCTTTACAGCACAAAGAAAGCTTCCATTTTATACTATGTTTTGATTCTCCAGAAAAAGAAGATACCTATAGGTATCCTCTATTTTTTGTTTGATAAATTCTTTAAAATCAATTATCTAAATATATCATTATTGGCATTTGAATTATTGTTAGCAGCAATTAGGTAGATAGGGAGAGTATGATCAGAATTTTATGGCTGAAACAAACTTGAAATATTTAAATCTTAATATATTTTTCTAATATTTGAATATTTATCAAAAACACTTATGCTTGTATTGTGGCATAATTTTTTCTCAAGGTGTAAATATTAAGTGGTTAATTAAATGTAGAACATTCTTTGGTGACCAAATATGAACAGGTGCCCTGTTTTCTTGTGCTGACCATAACTTATGCACAACTCATCAAAATAATGACTCTAATTTTTCCTTAGTGTACACTTAACTAGCTAATGATTAATGCTATCCCCTAATCAAAACTGTTTTTCTTTGGCTAAATGTGGCATTTCCAGGGCCAGAGAACCAAATTCAAAAGTTACCAGAATAAACAGAAATAGAAAGGCAAATTTAGGCATACCCTAAAACGTTAGGTTATTATGTCAGATTTAATATAAATGTTATTTGAATTCTCAATGTTTTAGATTATCCACATGAGTGCACACTTCGAGTACTAAGCAGAATGGAGTTGACTGTATAAATGAATCGATAATAAGGTTGTTTTAAAAATGTATTTTAAAATATCAGAGCAATGGCTTCCATATCTAAAGCACTCTTGTCTTCTAGTTAGACACCAGCCTTTCTCAATCGTTGCTTTTTGTTGTAGTGTAGTCCTGGTGACAATGCCATTCAACGTTTTTTTGATGCAAACTGCTTGAAAGGAGCCCCAAATTGCCTTTGGTCAGTGTCACATAAAAACTGATAGAATGTGAGTTGTAATGATTGCCTCATTGTTCAGACAACATTGAGAGGGTCACCTCACATGCCTCTCCCTTTTGTAGTCTGACAGTAGGCAAAGTGCCACCAGAGGAAGAGAGGGGTTTGTTCTTTCCATTCTGAAGTTACTATGTGAACAGTCTCAACTCATCAAAAGAATCAGGGCAAATAATGCCTTTACAAGCACCATGGAAAACAATCAATGTTCCCTAGCAACGAAAGCTGGAGTTTTCACAAAGTCATTCTTAAGACCCTGATTCTACGTGTTGAGAAAAAAAAAACTCCTCTCTTCCTAAGGCCACCATATTGCATATTGAAAGGTAGCATTCAAGACCCTACTGACTGTTCATGAAGTGGTGGAAAAATTATTTTACTGTATTACTATATTTTAAATATTCTGTGGGGGCTGAGTCAGGAATTATATCACAAATTTGATTCAGAGCAATTGTTTGACCAAACTTAATCTTTTACACACGTTTATCGAGTAGCTGCTGCATGCAGTATTGTATATGTAAGTATAATCAGACAAGTTTTTAAAATGAAATACTAGATTCATACTTGAGTTCTCTATAATAGTGTTTTATTATTCAGCTGTCATTTAATGAACATCTGCTTTGTGAAAGACATTCTGCTAGGGACCTTGGATGGGAGTTATATCACATACCTTTCCTCAAAAAACTTGTGATTAATATTATAATAGTACAGTGGGCTGCATTTACATAGCCCTTATAATAAAAACTCGCTACCATCTTCATTATGTAATTATTGAAGCAGTTTCATTTTAGTCATGGTTGACTAGTTTTGCATTTGTTAATCAAGTCTCAATTTGAGCGCCAAAACAGTTGTTAAAACTATTCAAAACTCTTCACTAACCCAATCAATAATCACTGATTGTAATGGTAGACAGAGAGTGATGATAGTAAATATGGCTCATCAAGCAGGTAGGGTTTTCTGATAGATCAAATTAATTGTGTTAAGCTAAAATAAAATGCTTTCTAAAGAATTAACTCTTAGGATTTTATATATTTGTGTATTTATTTTGAGACAGGGTCTCTCTCTGTTGCCCAGGCTGGAATGCAGTAGTGTAATCACCGCTCACTGCTGCCTGGATCCCCCCGGGGCAGAAGTCATCCTCCCGCCTCAGTCTCATGAGTAGCTGGGACCACAGGCGTGTACCATCACACCTGGCTAATTTTTTGTTTTTATTTTTTGTAGAGACGGGGTCTCACTATGTTGCATAGGCTATTCCCAAGGTTTTATAAGTATTATTAGTCCAGAAGACTGCTACAAATAATTAAAGGGAAACTTTGGGATCATCCAAGAATCTTAACTGTCTGAATACCCAGGATAGCTTAAAGCCACATGCCAGAGAATGTGATAAGTATATTCAGTGTTAGTAATTGTGCAACATGAATAGTGATACTTCTTAAATTCAGATAACTTGAAGATGTCAGGATAGGTGAAAGCAGCTGCATGGAGAATATGAAAAGTGCCATATTGGGCCACATCTATACATCTGAAAATAGCTTCAAATAACATATTGTCAAGGTTGTTCTCCATGGTCATGTTTCAGTTCAATGTACACTTTAACTATGTCCAAGTTCCTTAATGGCTGTTTTATTAATTTGCCATTTGTAATTTTTATCTCAGCTCCTTTGAACATGTGTATTATAACTAATGGTTTGATGAAATTTGTCCTAGAGGAAGTAGATGTTCATAGTTTGGTTCCGTTGATTCTAGATAGTATATTGGAACAAGATAAAATTTGCTGAACCATTTATTCCCCCTTTAGAACTCTCATGGCTGATCATAGAGAATAAAATAAGAAAGTCTTGAAGGGTCAGATAGCTCAATTTCTTAAGCAGTATGTGGGCCCCAATTTAAAAAGTCCTAATTTTTTAGACATTACAATATGTGTTAATCCACCATCTGGCTTAACCATATGTCAGGAACACTACTTTCAGAAGCTAAATACTTTTCATTTTCAATATCCCTTATTATTGGTAAAGTCTTATTTAGAGCAAAATTCTACCTCACTCTTTTGGCCTTCATCTCTCCTGGAAGCCACACAGAAGCTGTTGACTGTTTTTTCTATAAATCTTTCCCAGACTTAACGTCTTCAATTTTGCATACATTCCTTATTAAAAGTGGTAGAATCAATAACTATATAATGAAATGATTTATTAAATTATTGACCTTGAACTGTCATCTCCTGCCAGTGATCGCTAGGTGTGGATTCAGAAAACTGTCAGCAAAATATGTGCCATCATATAGACCCACATAGCTGAAATTCTCTCCTTATGCTCTTTTGACAGAATGCAAGTTGGCTGACCTTTAAATCATATTGTATTCATGATTGTGAGGTGAGCAGAGTCCATTGAGCCATATCTGATTGCATGCATGGGTGACTGCAAAATACAGTGACCTTTAAGCTAGTAGAAACTGAATGAATGTTTTTTTAGCCAGGTAGAAGGGCAAAATTACTCACCAATTTGATACTCTACAGTGACGAAACAACTCTTCAGTGCTGAAGTCTCTGGGGATGGCAGATGAGTGCATCTGCTTGTTGACTATTTGGGATTAGGCTGCAAGCATGCCTACAGATTTGGGTTTGTGCTACACAAATGTTTCCCATCAGCAAGTCTTAGCACCATTGCACATCACCAGTCTCCTTTCCTCAACATTCTGTTTTGTTTCCTGAGAGTTGCTTTAGGATATTCCTTCCTTCCTTCCTTCCTTCCTTCCTTCCTTCCTTCCTTCCTTCCTTCCTTCCTTCCTTCCTTCCTTCTTTCCTTCCCTCCCTCCCTTCCTTCTTTCTTTCTTTCTCTCCCTTCCTTCCCTGCCTTTTCTCCCTCCCTCTCTTTCCTTTTCTTTTTCTTTCTTTCCTTCTTTCTTTCTTTCTTTTTCTCTTTCTTTCTTCTTTCTTCCTCTCTCTTTCTCTCTCTTTCTTTCTCTCTCTCTCTCTTTCCTCTCTCTCTCTCCTTTTTTTTTTTTTTTGACGGAGTTTCACTCTTGTCACCCAGGCTGGAGTACAGTGGCACAATCTTGGCTCACTGCAATCTCTGCTTCCCGGGTTCAAGCGATTCTCCTGCCTCAGCCTTCTGAGTAGCTGGGATTACAGGCGTCCACCACTGCACCTGGCTAATTTTTTGTGTTTTCAGTAGAGATGGGGTTTCGCCATGTTGTCCAGGCTGGTCTAGAACTCCTGACCTCAGGTGATCCACCCACCTCGGTCTCCCAAAGTTCTGGGATTACAGGAGTGAGCCACCACACCCGGCAGCTTTAGGCTTTCTTATCACTTTTATATTTATGTCAATTAGAACCAGGTCCTACCTGGAAAAGCCTGCATACTATCTGAAAAAATAAGTACTTATGCTATCTTGAGTCAAGGAAAGTGTATATCTATCTACAACATCTTAAGACTTCCAGAATTCCATGGGCAGCACCACTAAATTCAGTATAATGTTTGGCCCATTTATATTTACTCCACTTATGTTAAAGATTAATTTCTTTCCCTTTTATTGTTCCAAGTGGTTCTTGATGTCACCTGTTGTCACAGTGATCCTTTTGCTTTCTTTTTTTATAAACTCATACTAAATATGTAATCAAGTATGTAATTATAATTCTAAAATATAAATTTTAAAATTCATTTAGTTTATGAGCCTTGCCTTGAATTGGAACATGCTTTTGGAGGAAGCATTTTAAAACTAAAGCTATTATTTCCGGTAAATGTTTTGAAGTTATGTTTATGTTCTGATGTTATTAAAAACAGAATTTTGTAATGTGATGAGATATCAACGAACTAGGAATTCCATTTTAATTTTAATGTTTTTTAAGTTTTTAAGTGTTTTTTAAAGTTTAATGTGAACTTAAAACTTAATTGTCCTACTAATCACTTTTTTACTATTACATTTATTCAGTCTTTTAGCATTAGGGTCCGAAAAAGCAAGGACTCTGTTGTCTGTCACTTATAATTCTAGACAGTCTAGTAGAAGTAAAACTTCCTCTGTTTTGTAAAGCCCTCTCTGAGTCTCCCCAGGCATTGTTACTGCCTCCTTCTCCTAGCCTCTTGCCATTCTTATGATTTGTGGCTACTATTCTAACATGGACCAAATTGTATTAAATTCTATTATATTCTTGTCTCCCTGAATAATGATTACCATGCAAATTATTTAAGGGCAAGGAACATGTCTTTCTCTGTTTCCAGTACCTTCCATGCTACCTGGCATGTAATTGATGGCCATTAAATATTCATTGACTAAAGAGTAAATTGTGCTTATGCAAATGCATAATTACTTCCTGATTAAATATTTCTGATGCTCACATGTAGGAGGAAGTGTTATGATTATGCCAATAGCTAATTGATGCCCAATAAATGTTTGCTGAGTAAACAGTAAGTCCTTGGCCGGGCATGGGGGCTCACACCTGTAATCCCAGCATTTTGGGAGGCCAAGGCAGGAGGATAACTTGAGGCCAGGAGTTTGAGACCAGCCTGGGTAAAATAGCGAGACCCCATTTTTCTGAAAAATAAATAAATAAATAAATAAAACAAAATAAAATTGCCGGGCATGGTGTCATGTGCTCATGGTCTTAGCTACCTGGGAGGCTGAGATGAGAGGATTGCTTGAGCCCAGGAGTTCAAGGCTGCAGTGAGATTTGATCATGCCACTGCACTCCAGCCTGGATGACAAAACGAGTTCCTGCTTCTCAGAGAAAGTCCCAAGCAAACAAACTAACAAAAAAACACAGTAAGTTGGGCTTATGCAAATGCACGATTATTTCTTGCTTAATTGTTTCTGAGGCTCACACTTAAAAGAAAAGAGTATCATAGTTGCAATGAGTCTTGGAATAGAATATTCAAAAGGGGCAGTTAATTGCATGCTTGGGAGATAGAATCCCCAGTCTGTATAGAGAAGATAACCACTTGGTCCAGAGGAAACTCAGACTCGAAGGGCTCTGGGTCAGTAAGGTAAAGCTGCATTAATAGCTTCATCTGTTGTGTTCATCTGTCAACATGAATTTTAAATTAACAAAATATGACTCATGTGGGATAGTATTCTGGATTTCAAAATCAGCATTTGTTGATCATACTGTGCATATCTTCTTTCAGGTTTATCATAATAATCTTTTGTCAACTATTTTGAAACAATTTATTTCCCTTTGAACAGATAATACATTCACTTAACTCACAACCATAAGATACAAGATAAATTGAACAATCTCATTCTGCCTATCTATAGCCACTTTTCTATAGGCTATCAATATTACAATTTTCTTATTTGTCAGCTGGAGTTATTATTATTATTACTTTTTGCTTATACCCATATAAGTAGATATGTCTATTTACCTCTCTTTGTTAGAAAAGATAGCCACTGTCCACACTATCACTCCATTTTGCTCTTTCCACTTAATATTTCTTGGAGATTATTCCGAATCAGTACACAGGGAGTTTCTGTATTTTTTAAAAGCTATGTGGTATTATACCATAGACTGTGACATACGTGATTTCATCAGTCCCATATTTCTGAAAGTTTGCCTCAATATTTTGCTATTATAAATAATATAGTTATACATCAGTATTCTGCACATTTTATAGTATATCTGCAGAGTAAATTTCTAAAAGTAGAGCAGAAAGCAGAATATTTGTAAGTTTGCTAGATAATGCCAAATCGATCTCCCTAGATATAGTATTTACACTCAATAAAGAAATATATGACACGACAGTGCCAATTTTTCTGCACTTTCACTAGCACAGTGAGTTATGTAATTTTAAAAAATATGATGGATAAAAAATTCTATTCATCATAGTTTTAATTTTTACTTTATTTATGATATGTGGTTTTAGCATATTGTAGGAGAATAGCCAATAGCTGATTTTATTTTAATTTTGTTTTACTTGTCACCTATCCTTGCTTTTGTTCTTATTTGGATCTTGGTCTTTCACTTATCTTTCTGAAGGAACCCTTTTATATTCGGAAAGTTAGCCCTTGCAAATGCTTCCCACTTTTTACCTTTTGATTGGTTTATGGCATTTTAAGTAATACAAAAATTTTTGCATTTTCATAAGTACCGTGTGTTTGACAGACTCAACAACATAATGATGTTAACATTTTATTAATCTTTTTTTTATAGTTTCTGAGATTTTAAAATCTCCTACTGAGGAATACCTTCCTATTCCGTTGTCATTTAAAGTCATTAAAATGCCTGAAGTAAATTTATTGTTTAAAATTTTATGCTTAAGTTGGATATACTGTAAAGGGAATTTACTTGAGTTTTTTTTTTTTTTCCATAAAGCTGCCCTAATGTTTTACCACAATATTTTAAATAAACTATCTTTTTCCCCTTAGTGTTAAATGCTACCTTGAATATACATATATGCTTTACTTATTTGGACTTCTGTACTACCCAGGCTGTTCCAATTTTATGACTGTTTATTCATGTGCCAATAACACACTGATTTAATTATTGTAGCTTTACTTTATTTTTTAATAACAGCAAGTCTACCTCTTCTTTTAATCTCCACATCCCACACCAAATTGCTCTTCGTTTTCATGATCATCCTAGTTATTCTTTCTGATTTTGTTTTCTATATTAATGTTAGCATTAGGTTTTTCAGTTCTCTCAGATTTTCTTTTGGTATTTTATTTATAGATATATTTAAGGTTAACATCTTTATGAAGTTGAATCTGCCTGTTTAAGTACCTGGTATTGTTTTGATTACCTCAGAAGTATTTTGATAGTCTCTAAATATAGATCCTGAAAATTAACTATCAGTATTATTCCTGAATATTATGTGTTTTTCCACCATGATCTTCTATATAATAGAGGTTATTTGTATACATAAAGGAAAATGATTTCTGTCTTTTAATTTTATACTGAGCTAACTGACTAAATTTTCTTACTATTTTTCATAGTTGCTCAGTAAAATATACTTTTCTTTCCAGGTAAACAATAATATCAGCAAAATTAAATTGCACCTGTAAACAATAATACTAATTTTTGTCTTCTTAATCTTTTTCTAAGGTTATTTTCTTTTACTAAATTATATGGCCAAGTGTATCTGGAAGGGTCAAATAGCATTGTAGTAAGGACTGGTTTTAACTTTTTTTTGAGATGATTGGATTTTGGCAAGTTTCCTCCTTTGGTAATTCATATATTACATTTTCTATTTTTGTTAATTTTACTTTAATATAATATTATGCTTTATATTCAGGTTTCATATTAATTTGTAGAGTTTATTAAAATAGCCTTTGATTTTTAAAATTTTCCCTGACTGATCATTACTTGCTTATTATTTCTTATATTGGGTGTTTGTGCTTCTTCCTTTCCTTTTTGACTGGGCTACTTCAGTGGTTCTCAACTGGAACAATTTGGTTCTCAATTGGAACAATTTTGATACCCCCAAGGGGAAAATTGGCAATGTTCATAAACACTTTTGGTTGCTAGAACTAGGAAGGGGAGGGCTACTGGCATCTGGCTAGGGATGCTGCTCATCCCATAATGAACAGGACAGCTCCCACAACAAAAATTATCTTCCTTAAGTACCGAAGTGGAAATATCCTGGCAGCTAAAACTTATTTATATTATTATATTTTTTCAAAGAACCTACTTTTGTATTTATTTACTAGTCCTACTCTTTTGTTTCTAATTCATCAATTTATTTTAATCATTGCAATATTCTTCCTTCTACTTTCCTTAGGTTTCATGATTTTTAACTAATTTCTGAATATGAATGCTTAATGTGTTTTTCTTTTTACTTGTTCCCTTACATAAATATTTAATGCAGTGATTTGTTTTTCTGAACACTGCCTCAGCTGTACCCCATAAATACTGATGCAACGTATTTTTATTATTTGTCTCTAAAAGTCTTGTAATTTTGGTCTTGATCTCTTTTTTGATTGAAGATATACTCAAGAACAGTTGGTTTTGTTATTTGAAGTAACTTGAAAGCCTTTTTCTTTATTATGTGAATTTAGCCGTATGAATTTCATTCCTTAAAGAAATTTTTGCCTGCAGTCATGAGCCAGGCAATGTTCCAGGTGCTCGGGACACAGCAATGGACAGAACAAGCAGACATCCTTTCCCTCATGGAACTATCAATAGGGGAGATGTATTTAATTTTAATTCTAGCATAGAATTTCATGTTATCCTTTCCCATCTTTAAAGCTTTTTGTATTTCCTTTTTACCTACTTTGGAGAGAGAGAGAGTGCTGCTTCTGCTCATTAGAAAGTTGGTATTCTTGATCTAATATAATTTTTATACCCTAAATCCCCTGTTTCTTCAAACTGTTTTTGATTCTCCACTATAATCAGTGATGGAATTAGTATGTTTGTTTTTCTTTATACTGCTTTTTCCTCTTATCCCCTTGATTTCGGTTAATTACATAATCTTTGTAGTGTTTTCCTTTGAGATATTAAATACATTTATATTCACATTACTTATTTTGAAGTATTGAAAATATCCTTTAACTCCTGGTATTATAAGTGAGAAAATTACCATACTTATCACTCTCCCACCCAGTCATTTAACATTTACATTCTCTTCTGTCACCTTAATCCTTGCATATGTTTAAATCATTGTTCAACAAATGTATAGATTCAAATTTCAGTACTAATCTTTTTATATAGTCTTTCCAAAAATATCTTTCTGTTCAGTGAAATTCTTCTTCAGCAAGAACTCATGGGAATAGTATTCCCTGAATTCTTACATGTTAAAAATTGGGTTTTGTTTGTATTTGTACTTGAACACTGTGGCTAGATATTAAAGACTTGGATTATATTTTTCTTTCCTTGAATATTTTGTGGGCATTGATTCACTGTATTCTAGAATTAAATGTTGCTGTGTAGATATCTAAGGTCAGCTTTATTTTTTCCCTCCTCGTAATTGGCTTGTTCTTATTTCCTGAAAGCTCAAAGAAGTCCTTTCCTTACCCTTTAGGTTAGTTGCTTTAATAAGATACAACTTAAGAAAAAATAGAGGCTTTGCTTTGTTATGGTGAAAAGCATGATAGTATCATAAAATAAAAAATTACAAATAACATACAAAGTAGAGATAAAGACCTCTGAGAAATTGGGGGGAGATATGTCTTCTGACAAAATATCAGACCAAGATATTTATAGGATTTAAGCTGAGTCTTAAATAATTAGAGCATGAGGACTGGAAAAGGAACAGAATACAGCTGGGTGATAATGGGACATTGGGTGAGATAATCACTGTGCACTAGGTCATCTATTTTACCAGATTCTGAGCAGTTTGAAGTCAACAACTACTTCTGATGTCTTTTTATTTCTTGCAACTAGCAAAATCTTTTGCATATAACAGCTAAGTTTACATTTATTGTTGCATGTTATCATTCTTATTGTAGCAGATAAACATATTTATATTGGTTTTCAGAGCAAAAAAATAATAATTTTATCAGAAAATCATCTTAAATTCAGTGAAAAGTTGATATTCCAAAAAAAATAACAGGGGAAATCAGATAAGTCATTGTATTATTATTATAACATTGATTTATCTTTTCTTGAATGGCAATTATTGTCACTGCTGGGCTGGAAAAATCCAGAAAGCTCTCCAGTATATGGTAATTAGATATGGGATCTATCAGTCATCGTGTGGTGTTGAATAACAAACATATGGAAAAATGAAGCATGAATGCATCTGTTTTGTACTATTTCCTCTGAGCCTTCAGCATACTAATGGATTACCATAAGGGTGGGGATTCAACATGCACAACATCTATGAAAAATGTATAAGACAACTTTCCTGGTTGAGTTTTTCTCTACCAAGAAGGTCATATCTTGGACTTTCATTCAAAGACTATTATTTCTGGGATCTTCCCCCCTGCACCCATAGTGTCTAATACAACTTTTTCTCACCTTTCATCTTACCCTGTTTCACTAAGACCTCAGATATTTACTGGGGCTTTCCAACCTTAAACTTAGTTGTGACTTGGGTTACCCCATTAGCAGGATTAGTAGTCTATCACAACAGTCCCCAACCTTCTTGGCACCAGAAACCAGTTTCTTGGAACGCAATTTTTCCACAGACTAGTTGGGGGTTGGAGATGGTTTCCAGATGAAACTGTTTCATCTCAGATTTACAGGCATTGGTTAGATTCTCACCAACAGCGCTCAGCCTAGATCCCTCATATGCACAGTTCACAATAGGGTTCATGCTCCTATGAGAATCTAATGCCACTGCTGATCTGACAGGAAGAGGCAGAGCTCAGGCAGTAGTGCTCACTCACCCGCTGCTCACCTCTTGCTGTGTGACCAGTTCCTAACAGGCCACAGACCAGTACCAGTCTGTGGCCCAGGAGTTGGGGGCCCCTGGTCCATCACACACTTGAAGAGCTATTGTTAGAATAAGCTTCACATAATTAACGGCTTTGTCCCAATTTGGTATTAAAAGAGCAATTTCCCATCTTACTCTGTTCACCACAATTCAGTGTAAGAGATCAGGGATTTGTTCCTACTTCTTTAATGGAAAAACAAATCTATCAAAATCAGTAGTTCTGGAAACATCAATGCAAACAAAATGGACAAGTTTCCATGGATTTTTCTATTGTTCATTTTGAATAACATTAAAGTGCATGGATGCTACCATTTGTATGCAAACCAAATAGAGAATAGAAAAGAGCTAGCTTTTTATGTATCCTGCAGATATTTTTTGGGCTCAATTTATATTTTGGGCCATGTACACTTCTACATGTTACACATAGACCTCATGTCTTTTCGTAAGTATGAAGACTAGGAAAAGTTATACACTAAGCAAGCCCATTCTGTGGGATTGGAATGTTAACCTGTATTACACTAAAATCTCTGCTTTTATTAGGATGCTGGTCTACTTTCCAAGATGAGTACTGTTTGTGGAAAATGCACTTCCCATCACATTTGGGAGAATTAGATTAGTATAGACTTGACTCAGCATGAGCTTCAGCCATCCCAGGTTCACCATTGATAGGCCTAGCACTGTCCAAAGATTGCCATTGATAATGTGCTCCAGGAGGATTACATGTGGAATGACCAAAGGAATTCACTGAGTTAGAGTAAACTTTGGACCTGTGAGGAACCTTTGAAGCAGCCATAAGATGATGGAAAGAGCAATATACATGTAACACAAAAGCCTGGGATTACCTGCTCTGCTCTTTTCCAGAGACAACTCACTGAATTCCTTGAGCTTCCATTTACAAGTCTGTCCAGTGGCACATCAAATAAAATAATTGAAGTCTTTCTGCTTAAGAAAACTTTAAAAATTACAGTTCAGTCATTTTATAGTACAGGTTAACAAAACTGAAACTTGGAGTAAGAAAACGACCTGGTGGACCCCTACCATTATGCATCCACCCATTGTCTCCCCCTGCTGGCACACTCCAACCATGACCTCCCCTGCCAGCACGTACCTGCTTGCATCCTCCCCCTGTCAGTGCATACCTGCCCATAGTCTTTCCCTGCCAGTGCACACCCACCCTCAGCCTCCCCCTACTGATGCGTACTCGCCTGCAGCCTCCTCCATTGGTGCACATGTGTGTGGAGACTCCCACTGCCCCACTGGAGCAATTTTGCCAGCAGCCCCTGCCAGAGTGTTGTTGCAAGTGAACTGGGAACACCTCAGCACCTCCAGCACAGCAGGTGCTTAATCTCAAGGGGCCAGAGAGCAAAGCCACAGGACTAATCCCCCATCCCCCAGGATTACAGCATGCAGCCCAAGAGTGCTGAGGTGAGCTTTGGCTCCAGAAAAGCATTCAGAATTGAAACCAATCCATGAAACCCAATTTATACCATAGTCAAAACCTCAAGAGCATCAAATAATAGAAAAGCAAAAAGCCCCATCCAAAAGACAGCAGCTTCAAATACCAAAGGAGCATCAGTCCACACAGATAAGAACTAGTGCAAGAACTCTAATGATTCTTAAAGCCAGAGTGTCTTCTTGAGTCTAAATGACTACAACTTGCTCCCCAGCAATGGTTCTTAACCAGAATGAAATTGCTGAAATTACAGATACAGAATTCAGGAGCTGAATGACAAGGAACCACATATAGTTACAGGAGAAGGTTGAAACCCAATCCCAAGAACACGGTGAAACAGTCCAAGAGTTGAAAGAGTACACATCCATTTTAAGAAAGAAACAAACTGAATGTCTGGAGATGAAAAATTGACTCCAGAAATTTTATAATGCAATTGGAGGCATTAATAACTGAATAGATCAAACTGAGGGAAAAAAGTCTCAGAACTCGAAGACTGTTTTTTGGAATCAATGCAGGCAGACAAAAATAAAAAAGAATTTGAAAAATGAACAAAAGCTCTGAGAAATATGAGATTATGTAAGGAGACCAAACCTGTAACTCGTTGTCATTCCTGAAAGAGATGGAAAGAGAACAAGCAACTTGGAAAACATATTTGAGAATATTGGTCATGAAAATTTCCCCAACCTTGCTGGAGTGATCAACATGCAAATTCAGGAAATTCAGAGAACCCCTGCAAAATACTATACAAGATGACCATCCCCAAGACACGTAGTCATCAGATTCTTCGAAACCAATGTGGAAGAAAAAAATCTTAAAGACAGCTAGAAATAAGGGGCAGGTTATGTACAAAGGGAACTCCGCCAGGCTATAGTGCACTTTTCAGCAGAACCCTTATGAGCCAGAAGAGATCAGGGTCCTATATTCAGCATCTTTAAAGAAAAGAAATTTCAGCCAATAATTTCATATTCAGACAAACCAAACTTCTTAAATGGAGGAGAAATAAAATCTTTTTCAGACAAGCAAACACTAAGGGAATTTGTTACCACCAGACTTGCCTTATAAGAGATTCTTAAAAGAGTGCTAAATATAAACACAGGAGATGATTACCTGCCACCACAAAAACACACATATGTACATAGCCCACTGACACTATAAAGTAACTATACAATTAAGTCTACATAATAACCAGCTAACAACATGAGGACAGGATCAAATCCTCACATATCAATATTAGCCTTGAATGTAAAGGTACTAAATGCCCCTACTTAAAAGACACAGAGTGTCATGTTGTATAAAAAAGCAAGACCCAACTGTAGATCCATCTCACATGCAATGACATCCATATGCTCAAAGTAAAGGGATGGAGAAAGATCAAGCAAAGGGAGAGCAAGAAAGAGCAGGTGTGGCTATTATTATTTCAGATAAAACAGACTTTAAGCCAACAGTGATCAAAAGGGACAAATAAGGGAATTTCATAATGATAAAGGGTTCAATTCAACATGAAAACTATACTAAATATGTATGCACCCAACACTGGAACACTAAGATTCATAAAAGTTCCTGCAGACCTATAAAGAGACTTAGATAATCAAACAATAATAGTGGCAGACTTCAACACCCGAGTGACAGTATTAGACAGATCATGAAGGCAGAAAGCTAACAAAGATATATCAAATGTAAACTCCACACTTATCAAATGGAATTCGGAGACATCTAGAGAATACTGTATCTAACAACAACAGAATGTACATTATTCTCATCAGCACATGGCGCTTACACTTAGACTGGCCACATGCTTGGCCATATAGCAATTCTCTATAAATTCAAAAAAAAATGACATCATACAAGCTACACTCTCAGAACACAGCAAAATAAGAATAGAAATCAATACCAAGAAAATCTCTCAAAACCATACAATTACATGGAAATTAAACAACCTGCCCCTGAATGACTTTTGTGTGAAGAATGCAATTAAGGCAGACATCAAAAATTTCTTTGAAACTGATGAAAATAGAGATACAACAAACAGAATCTCTGGGACATAGCTAAAGAAGTGCTAAGAGGAAAGTTTATAGCATGAAATGCCTACATCAAGCAGTTAGAAAGATCTGAAATTAACAACCTAACATTACAACTAGAGGAGTTAGAAACACAAGAGTAACCCAACCCCAAAGCTAGCAGAAGAAAAGAAATATCCAAAATCAGAGATGAACTGAATGAAATTAAGACATGAAAATTCATATAAAAGATGAACAAGCCCAAAAGCTGGTTCTTTGAATGGATAAGTAAGATTGATAGACCACTTGGTAGATTAATAAAAATGAAAGAATATCCAAATAAACACAATCAGAAATGACAAAGGTGACATTACTACTGACCCCACAGAGGTACAAAAATTCCCCGGAGACTATTATGAACACCTCTCTGCACACCAACTAAAACACCTAGAAGAGGCCAAGTGCAGTGGCTCACGCCTGTAATCCCAGCACTTTGGGAGGCTGAGGCAAGCAGATCACAAGGTCAAGAGATCGAGACCATCCTGGCCAACATGGTGAAACCCCATCTCTGCTAAAAACACAAAAATTAGCTGGGTGTGGTGGCATGCACCTGTCATTCCTGAAAGAAATGGAAAGAGCTACTCAGGAGGCTAAGGCAGGAGAATCATTTGAACCTGGGAGGTGGAGGTTGCAGTGAGCCAAGATTGCGCCACTGCATTGTAGCCTGGCGACCCAGGGAGACTCCGTCTCAAAAAAACAACCAGAAATCTAGAAGAAATTGATAAATTCCTGAAAACATACAACCTCCGAAGATTGAATCAGGAATAAATTGAAATCCTGAACAGGCCAATAACGAGTTCTGAAATTGAATCAGTAATAAACAACATACAAACTAAAAAATACCCTGAACCAGATGGACTCACAGCCAAATTTTACCAGATGTATAAAGAAGATCTGGTACCAATTTTACTGACATTATACCATAAAATAAAGGAGGAGGGACTCCTGCCTAACTCATTCTATGAGGCCAGCATCATTCTGATACCAAAACCTGGCAGAGACACGAGGGAAAAAGAAAACTTCAGGCTAATATCCTTGATGAACATAGATATAAAAATCTTCAACAAAATATCAGCAAACCAAATCCAGCAGCACATGAAACAGCTAATCCACCACAATAAAGCAGGCTTTAGTCCTGGGATGTAAGATTGGCTCATCATATGAATATCAATAAATGCGATTCATCACATAAACAGAGCTAAAGGCAAAAATTACATGATCATCTCAATAGACACAGAAAAGGCTTCTAATAAAATTCAACATCACATCCCTTTGTTTTAAAAACTCTCAACAAACTAACCATTGAAAGACCATACCTCAAAATAATAAGAATCATCTTGACAAACCCATGGCCAGCATCATACTGGAGGGACAAAAGCTGGAAGCATTCCGCCTGACAACTGGAAGAAGACAAAGATGCCCACTCTCACCACTCCTATTCAACATTGTACTGGAATTCCTACCCAGAACAATCAGGCATGAGAAATAAATAAAAGGTATCCAAATAGGAAGAGAGGGAGTCAAATTATCTCCCTTTGCAGATGATATGATTCTATACCTAGAAAACCTCATAGTCTCCATCCAAAAGCTCATAGAACTGACAAACAACTTCAGTAAAGTTTCAGGATGCAAAATAAATGTACAACAATTAGTAGCTCAACAATAGCTGGCAGCCAAATCAAGAATTTGATCCCATTCACAATAGCCACAAAAGGAATCAAGTACCTAGGAAGACAGCTAACCAGGGAGGGGAAAGTACTCTATGAGAATTGCAGAAACTGCTGAAAGAAATCAGAGATGACACAAACAAAAAGAAAAACATTCAATGCCCATGGACAGGAAGAATCAATACTGCTAAAATGATCATACTTCCCAAAGTAATTTACAGATTCAATACCATTCTTATCAATCAATGTCATTTTTCACAGCATTAGAAAAAAAATTCTAAAATTCATATGAACCTAAAAAAGAGCTGGAATAGCCAAAGCAATCCTAAACAAGATGAACACAGCCAGAGGCATCACACTATCAAACTTCAAACTATATTACAGGGTGACAGTAATAGATACAGTAGTAGGCTACAGTAAAATACAGCATGGTAGTGGTACAAAAATAGACACATAGACCAATATTAGATAACCCGGAAATAAAGCCATACACCTACAACCATGTGATCTTTGACAAAGCTGCCCATTAACAATCAATGGGAAAAGGACTCCCTATTCAGTAAATGGTGCTGGGATCACTCGCTAGCCATATGCCGAAGACTGAAACTGGGCCACTTCCTTCTACCATATACAAAAATCAACTCAAAATTAAAGACTTAAATTTAAGACCTCAAATTATAAATATCCTAGAAAAAAAATCTAGGAAATACCACTCTGGACATGACCTTGGCAAAGGTTTCATCACAAAGTCTGCAAAAGTAATTGCAACAAAAACAAAAATGGATTAAGCGAGACCTAATTAAACTAAAGATCTTCTGCATAGCAAAAGAAGCCATCAACAGCATAAACACAACCTACAGAATGGGAGAAAATTGCAAACTATGCATCCAACAAAGGTCTAATGTCCAGAATCTGTAAGAAACTTAAACAAATCAACAAGAAAAACCAAACAACCCCATTAAAAAATAGGCAAAGGACACAAATGGACACGTTTCCAAAGAAGACATTCACATGGCCAACAAGCATATGAAAAATGTTCAACATCACTAACATTAGAGAAATGTAAATAAAAACCACAATGAGATACCATTTCACACCAGTCAGAATTACTATTATCAAAAAGTCAAAAAATAACAGATGCTGGTGGGGTTGTGGAAAAAAGGGAATGCTTATACACTCCTGGTGGAAATGTAAAGTAGTTCACCCATTGTGGGAAGCAGCCCAGAGATTTCTCAAAGAACTTAAACCAGAGCTATCATTGAACCCAGCAATCCCTTTAGTGAATGTACACCCAAAGGAATATAAATTATCCTACCAAAAAGATACACATAGTAATATGTTCACTGTAGCATTATTCACAATAGCAAAGACATGGAATCAACCTAGATGCCCATCAACAGTGGACCGGATAAAGAAAACATGGCACATGTACGTCGTGGAATACTATGCAGCCATAAAAAAATAACAAAATCATGTCCTTTGCAGCAACATGGATGAAGCTGCAGGCCATTATCCTAAGCAGGTTAATAGAGGAACAGAAAACCAAATATCACACGTTCTCATTTATCAGTGAGAGCTAAACATTGAGTACATATGGATACAAAGAATGGAACAGTAGGCACTGGGACCTATTTGAAGGTGGAGGGTAGGAGGAGGGCGAGAGTCAAAAAAACTACCTATCAAGTACTATGCCACTATCTGGGTAACAAAATCATGTGTACACCAAACCCCAGTGATGTGCAATGTACTAAAGTAACAAAACTGCACATGTACCCCCTGGACCTAAAAGAAAGTGGAAAAGAAAAATAAATAAATAAATAAATAAATAAATAAATACACGTGCATGGGAGCCCACCATTGATTAATCTTCACTTGCTAGGGTTGACTATGGAATTATACAAATTATGAGAACTCTTTCCTGATATTGTGCATATACATCAATGAATCTGATCTTTTATTAAGAGTTTTCTGTACTCTATTAGAAAAAATAACTTTGGCATACCTAATTAAGCATTTATGACGTGGCTCCTAGAGAGCAAGAAGTATCATAATCATTCCTTCTTTATTTACTATTTTAAAAAGAAAGGAAAGAAAATGACCTGTTGATACAGATTGGTAGAAAACAACAATGAAGATATTTTTAATAGACAAGCTCATTTCCCATTGAAATGTCTTTCACTGTAGTGGGAAAGAGCTACCACATATAGCCTGGGTTTTAATGATATGACATTGTCAATGGGAAGTTACAAGAAAAAAAAAGGTGTATTTGATTTATTACTGAATTCTGGAAGGATTATGGAGCACTTGTCAGAATTTATTTCAAATGAATATTCGTTAAGAATTAATTATCTCTACGTCGTTGAGCAATGAAATGAACGTAGAAGTCCATCAGAGGAATTACCTTTGCATCTCCTAAGTAGCAGGCAGCACTGACTTTGATCTCTGTTTCCTACTGGTCAGTAATTCACATGGTATGAGCTGATTAATCTAGTCGATGGTTTTCTATTAGGTTGGTGCAAAAGTATTGTTTTTTTTTCCTATTGAACGTAGTAACTAAAACTGCAATTACTTTTTTTTTTGGAGACAGAGTCTTGCTGTGTTGCTCAGGCTGGAGTGCAGTGGCACCTTCACGGCTCACTGCAACCTCTGCTTCCTGGGTTCAAGCGATTCTCCTGCCTCAGCCTCCTAAGTAGCTGGGATTACAGGCACCCACCAACACCCCTGGCTAATTTTTGTATTTTTAGTAGAGATGGGGTTTCACCATGTTGTCCAGGCTGGTCTTGAACTCCTAACCTCAAGCAGTCCACCTGCCTCTGCCTCCCACAGTGCTGGGATTACAGGCATGAGCCACTGCACCTGGCCAAAAACTGCAATTACTTTTGCACCAACCTAATAGTTTTATATCCACCTGCTCTTATTTTAACAGCCCTAATTTAAATGCATGAAAATACAAATGTAAAGTGTTTATTTGGAGTTCTACAGAGCACCTCTAATTCAACCTCTTTTCTCGTTGTTGATGTTCTGTGATTCCTGATTTTTAAATTTTAGCTTAGTAAAAAAAAAGGGGGGCCTGTGACCTATCTAAATAGGCATTTTCAGATTTTCCATGCATTTTAAGGTTTGTTCAGCATGACTGAAACCTGCATCAATAATATATCAACAATATTTAAAATACAGAGAAGAATTCGGAACTCTGTCAGAGATATTTCCAAGGCCAGAGAGGATGGTATAGGTTTTCCCTTAACAGATAAAATTAATCAAGGACATTTTTACAGGTGAACTTTAAGTTTTTCACATTTAATCAAATTTAGCAATGTCTAGAGACTATAAATCTAAACTAATTCAAGTGCTTAAAAATTAGAAAGGTAAATGATTTTCTTAAGTAGGTCATCATTAGCTTAAAGTGTTTAATTTTATTAAAGCTTTCATTTCTTGTTTTGAAAATTCCAGGACTATGTCTACCATCTATATTTTTCAACTTGATTTCCACAACCTGGGAGATCACAATTGCTGATGCACTATATGAATTTGATTGATCATTCCTTACATTTCAAGGTGTCCTCTAATCCTATTAAAATTATACATGGAGACTGTTACCCTATGACAGTAAAAAATAAAGAGATTAAAAAAAAGAATGATTACTTCCACCTGAAACTCTAGGTTAGTCTGACATTAGATTTCATCAAAATGAAGTGTGGGTGCTCAAGAATATTAGCAACCTTTTGGTTTTTTTCTATTCTGTGAATTGTTATTTCCAGGTGAGTTGGAATTAATGTTTCTGAGAATTTCCTACTCTTAGTTGTGCATCCAAAGCATTTTTTCTCTAATTATTGTCAGATTATGATACTGTCATCACTGTTTCTCAAGGCAGTTTACATATTTATCAGGCACTGAACTAAGTATTTGAAGGCAATCCTTGCCGTCCAGAAATGTGCAGTCTAAAATTTGCTTCAGTGATGCAAAAAACAAATACATCAAGAGTATATGTGTATGCCAAAACAGTTATGTAGAGGAATGCTTAATTAGAATATGAAACAGTAACACCATATATGTATCTGTCTAAATAAGTGCCCATGGATTTGCTGAAGTTTCACATCACATAATTGGGATATCAAAACATTTTTAATATTGAATGATAAAAGTGGATCTTGAAAGTAGTGAAATTACTGCTTTCCATCCAACTTACATGTGAATAAGTCTATTGGCAATATGGGTAAAATGTATATTCTGATTCAGTAAGTGTGGAATGGGGTCTGAGATTCTTTGGATCAGTTCACTTCCTAGGAATGTTGATGCCATTGCGCTGTGACCACAGCTTAAGTAGAAAGATGTTAGGTAATAAGCTCCGTCATATGCATTACACTTTAAAGTTTACAACATCTTTCTCACATAATGTATCATCCATTTTTACAACAATTATGTAAAGCATGAAAAGTAAGTTGTTTATTTTACAGATGAGAAAACTAAAGTGAATGTGACAATTTCAAGCTTTTCAGGTGTATGAACCTCTAATTAGTAAACATAGTGCAAGAGCTTTGTTTTTCGGATTCCATGAGTAGATCGCTTTCATTTACATAATGTTCCAAAGCTGTATAGGAATAGCATGTAGTTCAGCTAGTTTATTTTCCATGACCATTCAAATTACTTACAATAGCCATTTATAAATTGCTCATAGAAATATACATTTACCTCATTTTAAACTACATAACATGGATCTTCTTAGTCTCCAGGATCTGTAATTAATTTTCAAAATGTTGTATTGTATCACTTAATAGTGATAGTTGACCTCTAACCTGGTAGCAGTACTCTAAAAAACAATTTTAGAGTTTCTGAAAAATAAAAATCTGCAATGATCAACACACACTTGATTAGCCAATAGTAGGTTATGAGGTTTTAGAGAAACACAGGGGCCAGAATACCTGCATCTAAATTTTAGCTCTTCCACTTTCCCTATGAGAGAAGTCAGTTAAAGGAACAAATGTGAAGGATTCCCACCTATCACTGGAGGAAGATAATCATTTTTCTTTGCTTTTCTCAAATGCTTGTTTTGTACCATTATATAAATAAACATTTTACCAGTATGGCTTGGTAAAATGGAAAGACATTCTTGGGTTCGCATCTTAATTCTTTCATCTATTCCTTCTGTGTGCATAGCCCTCCAAGAACTCAGGTTTTTTTTTTTAAAATTTTATTCACTTAGATCCATAAAATTTATAGTGCATCAGCCATGTCCCAGAAGTTAGACAACTTAGGTTTAGTATAGAATGTCCTTACTCTCAATGAGCTCCAATCATGAGGTGAGGAATCTCACAATATAATAAGCTCTACCATAGCCTGAAATTATCTGATCAACTGTAACATGAGGATTATGCTACATATGTAACTCGGAAAATTATTGTGAGGATTGAATAAGTTAATTTTAAAAAAACGTAATTGAACTCTGTGACTGCAAATGTATTGGCTCTCGTAGTGTCTAGTTTCCCTCTGTTTTTCCTCAGACGCAGTATTAAAAGTTGTACGGAATAATTTCTTAAATCCTGTAACTAAAGCAAGAATGTAAATCAGTGGAGCAAGTGATATTCTTTTATATTCATCTTAATGGTTCTATGCCCTAAGGAAACATGACTTGTGGATTCCTTGAGAATATGACATTCAATTCTGAGTATTGTTTCTTTCCTAAAATAGTGATGATGATTCTGTATTTATCTCTAACACTGTAAAAATGCATCATTTCTCATTCTGAGGGAAAAATCACCCGAGGGCATGGTGATTGTGATAAATTTTCCATTATTTTTAATATCTTGTCTGTGTATACTGTCCAAAGGTGACGCGCCTTGACAAGTTGACATGGAAGCTTTGCTACATAGATAAAACACTGTTGTGGTAAGAGCAAAGTTAGTTACATTTAGCCTATTTACATTTTTATATATCGCTAATATCTGTAATGCAATTGTCATGATTAAATGTGATATGCTTGCTCAACAGAATAAGAGGTCAGGACACAGGGAAGCTGGATTTTTACCACTGTGATGGGTAATGCATGCCTCATGTCATCTATAATCACTTATTTTTTAATTGACAAATAATTTTTTATATGTATGGAGTACAATGTAATGTTTTGATGTGTATGCATTTGTGGAATAATTAAATTAAGCTGATTTGTATATTAACTACCCATATACTTTTTTTTTTGGCGAGAACATTTAAAATCCACTGTTCTAACAATTTTGAATTAAACAACACATTGTTAACTATCGTCACCATGGTGGGCAATAGATCACTAAAACTTATTCCTCCTGTCTGATCAAAACTTTGTTGGCTTTGACCAACATCTCCTCTTTCCTCATCCCCCCATGACTTATCTTTATTTCTTCTAAACAAACAAACTTTTAAAGTAATAGGTCCTCTTGTAGAAAATACAGAAAAGTAGAAAGAGGAAACAAAACATTTTTTTGTTTTGAAAAACATTCCCCTTGCTTCAACTATTTGCAGTTCTCTTTCAATGCTTGTCAATTCTATTTTTTGCTGAAGTTGCTTCTGTTTTGAGCACAAATGGAAAATCATGACTATGTATCATAGAGTTCAATAAGAAGTAATTGACCTGCGTTTGTCAATGATGGTTCGTTGGGAGTGAGTTTCCCTTCCTAGACTATGTTTTGACTTTCAGTCAATTTTTCCTTCAATTTCATATACTTACTAGTTACCTCTTGCTCACTTACTATGGTGTGATAGAAATTTTTTTTCTTTTTTCTTTTTTTTTTTTTTTTTTACTTTAAGTTCTGAGCACTAAATGGAATTTAAGCTTTACCAGGTAGAAGTAAATGTTTTTTCCCTGGTTAAACATTGCTTTCCATATTCCATTAGTCAGATAAAGGGAAATATGAGGAAGCATTTAGGGTACATTTCGGATATTGACTGCTTAATGGTCTACTTCTGGAAAAAGATTGAACTGGCATCCTCATAAAAGCAAAGGAAAGGATATCTCATAAACCAAGGTGAGAGGCACAGGGTACGGAGTTAAGGCTTAAATGTCTGTGCATAAGTACAAGAACTGTGCTTCCTGGGTTTTATTTTTCTTTCTGAGATTGCTGCTAAAGTAGTGATTTTGCTGATAGCAGTATGAGGAAACAGAGTAGTAAGACTTTATAAGATATGATCATTCCTTTATTGTATATGTATGTGTTTAAGTCTGTTTGAGCCGCTGTAACAAAATAGCATAAACTTGGTGGCTTGTAAACAACAGAAATTTATTTGTCACAGTTCTGGAAGCTGGGAGCTCAAGATTAAGGTGCCAGCAGATTCAATGTCTGATGGGGGCCCACTTCCTGGTTCTTGGACGGCCCTTTTGTGCTGCATCCTCCCACGGAAGGAGGGCAAACAAGCTCCTTTGAGAAACCTCTTTTTATCATTATATTCATTTTTTTTAATTGACACACAATATTGAATATATTTACCAAGTGCAACATGATGTTTTGAAGTATATATATATGTATAGTGGAGTGAGTAAATCTAGCTAAGTGACATATATGATTCCTCACATAGCTATCATTTTTGTGGTGATAACATTTAACATTCAGTCTCTTGGCATTTTTCTAGTATACGATATGTTGTAGTTAAGTATATTCACCATGTTGTACATTAGATCTCTCCAACCTCTTTTCTAAGGACACTAATCCCACTCAGGAGTGTTCTGCCCTCATGACCTAATCACCTTGCAAAGGTTCCACTTCCTGTTACCATCACCTTAGGGGTTAGGATTTAAGCATAAGAATTTGAGGGGGACACAAAACTTCAGACCATAGCAGTATGTGTGTATGTATATATGTGGGTTTTGTGTGTGCATTATACATAGATGTGTGCTTACTTATTAATGGCTGCAGTAATGGCATTTTATGTTGTCTTTGCAACACACACAATTCTGCCTTATTCTTATTTTAAGGATCTCAGCATGTTCATGTTTCAAATGGAGATTGCTACATACAAAATTTAAAGGATACTGTGTTTTGAAAAAAATAGTTTGCTTTTTTACTGGGCATTCAGGCATAGAGTACCGATACTATGTGACATATTATGGTAATCATGCATGAAACAAAGATATTCAAAAAATGCCCTAAGCCATGGGGAAAAAAGCATACCAGGACTTCAAAAGAGCAATGGTTCACTTAGTCTTGGGTATAGGACGCATGAAGAGAGGCTATAGAAGAATGGGTCTCATATACCAAGTCAGGAAATTTAGGGTTTTGTTTTTTTGCAGGTGGTGAGGAGCTATTGGAGACTTCAGTGTGTTTTAACATATTCAGAAGGTTGTGCATTCATCACCAGTATCTAATTTCAGAAGGTTTTCATCACCCCCAAAATAAATCCCATACCCACTACCAGTCACTTCCTATTCCATCCTTCCCCCAGCCCCTGGCAGCCATCAGTTTACTATCTGTCTGTATGGATTTGTCTATTTTGCACATTTCACGTAAGTAGAATCATACAATATGTAGCCTTTTATGGCTGGCTTCTTTTACTTAGCATGTTTTCAAGGTTCATCCATGTTATAACATGTGTCCACGTGTCCTTTTTATGACCGAAAATATTCCATTGTAGGAAGAGATCACATTTTATTCATTAATTAGTTGATGGACATTTCAGTTGTTTTTACTTTTTCACTGTTATGAATTATGCTGCTATGAATATTAACATTTGTTTATACATTTTGTGTAGATACATGTTTTTAATTATCTTATATATATATAAAGTAGGAGTAGAAGTGTTGGTAATGTGGTAACCTGTTTAACTTTAGGAATTACCAAACTGTTTTCCAATGTGGCTGCACATTTATATATTCCCATCAACAACATATGATGATTTCAGTGTTTTTACATCCTCATTGGAGGCTTATAAGGAGTTTTAAGATTATAATTATGCATTAAGAATGTATGTGTGGTAGCAAGAGTAGGATTGATTAGCATGAGGGAGAGAATGGAGATGGAAAAATCAAAGACGAGATGATTATAAAAGTCAGGCAAGGGATGGTGGGGCAGAGAATGACGATGGAATAGAGGAGAAATATGCAAAATATTGAGTGCAGAGCGATGATGGCTA
Organism: Homo sapiens; assembly: GCF_000001405.40. NCBI lineage: Eukaryota > Metazoa > Chordata > Mammalia > Primates > Hominidae > Homo > Homo sapiens. Next base: position 192,225,256 of record NC_000003.12, on the reverse strand, counting down.
GTGAGCAGGAGGATGAGCATACTGAGGTTTTGAGATTGAAGGGTCATTAAGAGAAGCAACAATAATTTCAAGGTTTAAGTTAAATTCAGCTTGGGATACAGACTTGCTGGCAGAATATCCAGGGGGAGATGTTAAGTGGCTAATGATACTTTTTTTAATGTGAAATTTCAGCCTTGAAGTTGTGGCAAGTCTTCATTTTCTCTGACTTGTGTTTGTGTAAATGTGGCCTGTAGTAAGGATGGGCAAGGCAGGTGCTGGTAAGAAATGCTAAGTCCTGGGGCCTCTCTCACATGTATTACGTCAGAATTCCGGGTATGGTATCAGGAATTTCTATTTTAACAAGTAGTTCAGCTGATTCATTTACATACTGGACTTTTAAAACTACTGCTGTAACCTACTAGCGTAAGAAGAGGTCACTGCAAGAATCTCAGTGGCAATGGCAACTCGAACTACTCTGAGGATTATGTACAGTTGAGAACATTCAGTTTCGAGTTTTATTGACATCATGCCAGACACTTCACACTTTTTCTTTCCTTTTATTCTAACTAATTTTCTGAGGTAGGACTATGATAATCCTCATTATAAAAATGAAAACATTGAGCCTTGGAGAGTTTTTCTTTTAAGAGTGACTCAATGGCAGACCTAAGAAGAAATTTAAGAATAAGTTGAGGAAGAAAAGCCCAAATTAAAAAAAAAGTAGCTATGAACTGATATTTACTTGTTAACCATTTCTTTTCCTAGTCCCAGAACAGATTTTTCTATAATAAAATGGCAGATCTAAGAGATGCAGAATTGAGATTTGAACACTAAAATGTCTTTTCACTTTATCAAGCCATATTGGTATAATTTTTATTTACTATATAAAACAAGGATTGGCTAGAGAAAAGGAAAAAGAAATGTTATCTTCTTCCAGTTTTGTGTAGGAAATCCTTCACGTTTGTTTTCGAAGGACTGGAGTAGAAAGTATTTAAATAAATGGAATTGTATGTCATTATCATCATCATCATCACCACTATCATCATAATACAGAAAGCGTTCTCCAGCACCGTTTTGCTGAGCTGTGAGTGCTCTGCACCTTGCAAATATAGAAATGCTGTATCAGTTTGTCTAGTAGTAATAATGGATTTTGTAATTGGATTTCAGAAAACACTGCAACAACTCTCCAGGTATCTTACAAAATCCCTACCCTGAGGCAATCTCTCAGTGGTAGTATTAGATTTGGGCAGTAGCCAAGGTGACCTTGATTTTGCTGCTAACAAAGCTGCTGAGGCTTGCAGAATTATCACAACTCACTCTATACACTTTGTCTTTCTTCTTTTTATGGGCTATGGGGAAGTGCCTTCTTGGTGTAATTTATTACATTAGGCAGGAGAGTTTGCGGAAACAAGTATTTTTGTCAATTTAGTCATAGTGAATGATATAATAATATCATTATATTGTTTAGTAGTGAATATTTTAAAGAATATGTTACCATTTATATTTTTTCAATTAGATTATACATTTATAGCTCCCCAAGGGCACTGACTATCCTAGTACAGTTTTATATTTCTCAATACATTCTGCATATACCTGTAATAGACAGTTACGGCAAACATAATTTATCATCCGAGCCTGGATAATTTTCAAGTGAAATGAGATACCGTGAATAATTTTGCCAGAACCATAGGCATAAACTGGAAATATACCAGACAAACTGGATGTATGGTCACCATCATTAATGAATGCTAAAAAGGCATAACATTATTTCCATATTATCTGAGGAGCCACGGAGTAAGATCTCATGATCTGGATTATAGCTGATAATAGAAATAATTGCCCTTTATTCATTATTATATCTTTAGCTTTTATTTTATTTCAGGAACAACTCAGTGGCAGACATAAAAAGAAATTGAAGAATAATGTGAGGAAGAAAAACTCAAATGTGACAGTAGCTATGCACTGATATTTACTTGTTAACCATTTCTTTTTGCCATTCCCAAAATAGACTTTTCTAAAATGGTATTCTGCTTCAGTTAGAGGGCTTTGTGTTGTTTTTAAGTGTAGTCACTGTAAGTTTCCTAGGTAACCTGTAATATTCAGTGTTCAGGCGCCTCTAGTAAGTAAAATGTGTTGAAGGTACATAGCTAAAAGAAAAGAGTTTTAATTTAGGCATTTGCAAGATCCCTTTCATGTGATTTTATTTGCTTTGAAAATATTAATAATTTTAAATTCACTTTACTAAGTTATATCTAACCTTGGGTAAAGTATGGGCAGAGGTGCAGTGCGGAATACGTGCAACTGAAGAGGAAGGACATGAAACGTGGGGGAGTTTCTCAACTGCATCCTGATGGAGACACTGAGTCTTAATTCAACACTCATTTCTCAGAATTCTAATGAACAGTTGTTTTTGCAGAATAAGTAATGAAAGTGTGCTGAGTTTCATCCTGCATTTACAAAGAGCCAGGATGAGCACTCGGTTTGGTGAAACTCATGGCCATATTTTTTGATGGAATAGATTTACCATTCCCCAGCCTGTTGTATCGGGTTAACTTGATAGATATCAGTCAGTATATTCTTAAGATTAATTTGGAATTTTTCCCTTTTTCACACACAATAAAAGTATCATGTATTGATACAGCCTGTTTCCCAGACACTCTTATTATCTTTGAGTGTGGAGGAGAGACATATTTTCACAATTCAATTGGTATCTGCCAACTGAGCTTCCTAAAGAACACCACACTAGAGCAAGGTGAAATCTGATGTGCAAGAAAAATACTAATTATTATTCTTTCCTTTTGAGTTTCCAGATGCTAACATTTTAACAATGAAAAAATTAATCTGGAATCCAATAATCATGTTCGGGAGTTTACAGAATTTTTCAGAATAGAAGTAAAGGTGTCTGATATGGAAACTGATTTTCCTCTGGACATTCTAAGGACATGTTACAGCCGAAGAACCTTATTTGAGTCTCTTCAATAGAGTCTCTTCAATAGAGTCGGCTGTTAAGAATGCTGTATTTCAGCGTTCTTTGTTGAACCTAAGAGAATAAGAAACCTGGCTTTCATCCATCTCTTTTCACCTACTCAGCACTAAGTACTCATTCCCATGTTCATGGCCTTATCAGGATGACCCCACCAAGTTTTACAGTCTCGTCTCCCACTTCTTGCCCCATTTACTTGTATTCTCTCTAGATTTGATTTATGGATAGTATCTGAATACATGTCACACCTGTCATGTTCTCTGTTCCTGTGGCTTCCTCTTCATACCACACCTTTCCTGGTAAAAATGTAATTTGAATTATAAGGCAAATCTCTATCAAATGTTTCTCTATTTCTTTTGCTAATCTATTTTTTGTTTGTTTTTGTTTATATTTTGCTTCTTCGAATCCTCACACCATATAACCTTGGTGGTATTTATATCATGATCATTTTATACTTGTTATATTCTACCTTTACACTGCCAGTCATAACTAGAGACAGGATTGTATCTTAAATATTTTCGTGATATTTTCTTCTATATTTTATACTTCAGTAAATCTTTGTTGACCTGAATTACATTTTACTTTTAGATGTCCAAGACTTGAACTATATTTCTTTCTTTATATTACCCATGCATATTGTTCTCTTGATTTGCCCCAGCTTTAAGCCTTCCTAAGTCACTTCGTCCAAAATGTAGATATTTAAAGGACTATTTATGATGTTCTAAAGGTCCAAGCAGTTGGTTATTCATGATGGCTATCTCTTCCTCCCTCCAGCACCACTGGTGTTTATTAACGTACCTTAGTATAAAGATACTGATCACATCCCTGCGCTGTCATGGTGCTTACAGGTATAATAGTGTCTCTCATTTGAGTAAGGCCTTATTAAATTCTAATTAGTACTACGTATGCATAGCATTTTAACCTAGTTACCATTTTTCCATTGGCTGATCTGTCAGATTAATGGCTTGCATATAAGAGCCTAAGAGAATGTGCAGAATTTGTGGCTTTAAGGTGAGAAGGCTCCGGAACATGAAGAACACTTAAAATAAAAAGAAATACCAATCATGTATGAATGTGTGTGTGGGTTAGCCTTGTGAGGCTTTGTCAAACAGAAAAGGTCACCCAACTCTAGCAAAGAGGAAATTGGAGAATTGTGTGTTTTGAGTAAAATCCAAGCAGCACCAAAGGTAGGCAAGCTGCCATGTTTGGCTGAGACCCAGTCTTATCTTGTTACCAGTACTCTTCCCTTTAAACCATCCTCTCATGGAGTCACACAAATACATTAACTCACCTCTTTGTCATTCAGATGGTTGGTGCAAGATGCTTTTAAGATACAATATTTGGAGGATTTATTTGTGTCTCATTTCATCTAATAAAGAGAGTAATAATAGAGGAATTGCCTTGAAGATGGAAAGGAGAGGATTCACAGATTATCATCTTCAGTAGACTATTGGAATATTTAACATCATGTTTCCATTTGTTCAAAAATCCTTCAAAGAAACTTTTAAAAAACATATTTATACCCCCAAATTTCTAAGGCTTCTTTTCAATGAACCAATATTTACCAGTCATATAGAGCTTAGCACAGTTCTTATCTTATAGAAGTCAGTTATTATTTTTTTGGTTAACCAACTAGATGGATGATAGTTCGTAACTGACAACTAATATGTTGTCTGTGTGTGCATGTTATCTCAGTATGTCGAGTGATGTATGAGAGGCGGAATAAAAACCTAAGGTAGTACAGAGTGGATCAAAACTACTTAAGATTTGATGGATCAAGGAAGGCTTCAGAAGGAAATGGTGTTTGGGACAATTATAGTGTGAGGAGAATTTGGAGGAGATGGTAACAGAAGACAAAGTTTGGTCAATCCAAGTGGAATGAAAGCATAAGTTGAAACATAAAGTTAAAAGTCAATATGGAGTAGGAAAGTTTAGGCAATAGTAAATTATTTAGAGTTTAAAGTTAATAGGGAAGTAGAATGGTGAAGGAGAAGTGTAGAAATGCAAGGAGGAGCCAGGTCATGGAGGGTCTTTGATGCTAGGTGGAGTAGACTGAATATATTCAATGGCAAGTCACTGAAGAATTCTAAACTGAATGAGTTTATGACTTGGCTTGCATTCAGGAAGACAAAACTGTCAACAGTATATATGAGGAACTGGAGTGAGTAGGTACTAGAGGCAGGGAAGCCAGAAACAGATTCAATTGTCAAGATAAGAAGTAATGAGGGCCTGGACTGGAACAATGGCAGTAGGACTATAAGGAAAAAAAAATGATTGTAATATTAAGAGGGTTGAATTAGCACTGGAAAAGAAAACAATGCCTGAAGCTTGGTTGGTGTCTTTTTGTCATAATCAGAAAGAGGAATTTCAAAAGAAAAATTAGGTCTGGGAAAATGAGAATGAACTCAGTTAGAGGATCTTCAAATACAAACACAGCTATAGGTAAGTCAGTTAACTGAGTGAAAACAATAACTATAAGCAATAACTAATAGAGATGTGCAGGGTCTACATAGTGCAGTGGTTCTCAAATGTGAGTGTGAGTCAGAATCACATGCACATTTATGGAACACTTGTTCAAACACAGATTCCTGAGTCTCACCCCAGAATTTCTGATCGTGTAGGTCTTGATATGGCCTGATAATTTGCATTTCTCACATATTCCCAGGTGATGTTGGTGCTGTTAGTCAACCACTTTGGGAATTTATGCTACTGTAGCCCAGCTCACTGTAGCATGAGGCACATGAGAATCATCTGAGGAGCTTAAAGGAAGCATACCAATACCTGGGTTCAAACCACATCTATTATATTAAAATATTTCTGGGGGTTTTTCGTGTTTAAGTATCTCAGGTGATCCCACTAGGCAGCCAGGCCAAAAACCACTAGTCAGTTCTTCTGATATTTAAAAATTAAAATGACCTGGCGCAGTGGCTCACATCTGTAATCCCAGCACTTTGGGAGGCCAAGGTGGGTGGATCACTTGAGGTCAGGAGTTCGAGACCAGCCTGGCCAACATGGCGAAAACCCATCTCTACTAAAAATAAAAAAATCAGTCGGGTATGGTGGCAAGTGCCTGTAGTCCTAGCTACTTGGGAGGCTGATGGGGGAGAATTGCTTGAATCTAGGAGTTGGAGGTTGCAGTGAGCCAAGATTGCACCACTGCACTCCAGCCTGGGTGACAGAGCAAGACTCCATCTCAATTTAAAAATAATTAAAAAAAATAAAAATAGATATTTATAAGTAAATGTTTCTAATTTTTATAACATTGCATTTACCAAATAAACAAAGATGTGGACTTCCAAGTTTGCCAACCCAGCTACACAACTAGGGCAACATCTAGCTAGGGGTCACAATAGGCAGCCGAAAGGCAGGGTCAGGACCTGGAAGATACATTTGTGTTGTGGTCATAGAGCTAGGTATGTATTTGTAACTTTTTAAATGTGGAGCAAATCTAGCAATCAAATGGAAATTATGAAGTTTGATATTGTCCAAATAAAATGGTTATTTTAAAATGCTCTTCCTCTTTTCCGCCTTGGCTCATTTTTAGTCAAAGTACTTTGTTGTGTATGCAATTGTGAATCATATTGGATTAGTCCATTCTTGCACTGCTGTAAAGAAGTACCTGAGACTGGGTAATTTATAAAGAAAAAGAGCTTTAATTGCCTCACAGTTTTGCAGGCTGTATAGGCTTCTCCTTCTGGGGAGGCCTCAGGAAACTCACAATTATGGTTGACATAGGAAGGGGAAGCAGGTGATAGCCAGAGCAGGAGGAAGAGAGAGACGGGGAGGTGCCACACAATTTTAAACAACCAGATCACATGAGAACTCACTCACTATCATGAGAACAGCACCAAAGGGATAGTATTTAACCATTCATGAGAAACGCACCCGCATGATCCATCACCTCCCAACAAACCCTTCCTCCAACATTGGGGATAACAATTAGACATGAGATTTAGGTGGGGACACAGATCTAAGCCATATCACATATAATCCAGATCAACTGGCCCCAAAAGATGCCAGTATCTCCTTACTTATTTCCCACATGCCACAAATGCCCTGCCACAAGATGAACTCAAATTTAAAGTTCTCCATTTATCTTTATAAATTTCACTTTTTAGATCCATTAATAGAACGTGATTTCCTGACGTAGAAAAGTGACAAGAAGGGCCAGGCGTGGTGGCTGACGCTTGTAATCCCAGCATTTTGGGAGGCCGACGTGGGCCACCTGAGGTTGGGAGTTCGAGGCCAGCCTGACCAACATGGAGAAACCACATCTCTACTAAAAATACAAAACTTAGCTGGGCATGGTGGCACACGTCTGTAATCCCAGCTACTCGGGAGGATGAGGCAGGAGAATTGCTTGAACCCAGGAGGCAGAGGTTGCGGTGAGCCGAGATCATGCCATTGCACTCCAGTCTTGGCAACAAGAGCGAAATTCCATCTAAAAAAAAAAGAAAAGAAAAGAAAAGAAAAAAAGAAAAGTGACAAGAATTAATTAGTATGTCATATATCATGAATTACTGATGGCAGTGATGAGCCCTTGATCCTTTTAAATTAGGATTTTAAAAGAACTAAATGCATGTGTACCGTTACAAAACTATTTAAAGCAAAGCAATTCAGAGAAACATCTTCAAATTTGATTTTATATATTTTTCCTAATAAAATACTAAAGCTTAATTCTAAGTTATTCATAAAACCATTATTGACATGATGGCAAAGAGACTTGGCAGCCATTGAGACCTGCCTGCAGGTGTTTTACAGCTCCATGTGTTTTTATTTTGTTGTCTACGTTCCTCTTTGCTCTCTAATAAAGAGCATTTACCCACAGTAATAGAGTCAAACTCTTGTGCCCACTTCTTCCCCTGGATTAGACCTCTTTGCTTCAGCTTGAATTTGGTTACCGGCTGGTACAAAGTGAAAAGAGTGGAGATTCAAACTGAACCTGAGAAGAATATGGAAAAAGTACTTATTCAGTTTAAAAATAGTAACAACAACAAAAACAACAGCAGACGCTCATATAGCGCTTAAGGTGTTGGGCAGTTTTATGTGCACTGCATGGATTAACTCGTTTTATCCTCAAAACAAGCTTATGAAAGAGGTACCTTCATTATCCCTCTTTTAGGGATGAGGAAACTAAGGCCTTGTGTGGTTAATTGACTTGCACAGTGCCAGAAAGCTAGTTATCGGCTGGGTGGGGATGTGAAGCCAGGTTTATCTGGCTGAAAGCAAATGTTCTTAACCACTGTGCTCTTGCATACTGTATGTATAGCAAGTGCCACTCAGTAAACATGCTTTCCTTGCTGCACAGATTATAAATAAAACAAACACATTAGAAACATCAAGTTTCCTGATTCGATTAATTCATCTTCTCACATCCTTAATATTCAATTATTAAGATGCTTACCAGTACAAAGAAAAAATTGTTGTGAAATAAAGTGATAAGAGTTGGAAACCAGAGTTTAAGCCCGTGTTTGCTCCACACTCTCTGTAGATTAAACAGATATTGCATTTCTCTGGGCCTCAGTTTTCTCACCTGAAAATGGTAGTTTTAAAGATTATTTTCAGCTCCACAATTTTGTGAATTAAACTTGATTTCTGAGATAAAATGAAAAAGGAATGAGAGAACTATTTAGAGATTGTTTTCTACCCTGCTATTGCCTACCAAATCCTACCAAATGTCAATAATTTTCTTTTTATAAATCTTTTATAGAAGTTTCTGATTATGTAGCATTTTAAAGGTATTGTTTATTACACGTTATAAAAAATTTTATATAAAGGGAAACCAAGTTTTTTAGCACATACAAATTTTATGATATGTATTTCATTTGATGGAACGATGTGCAAATTCATTTACTTTCCATGCAAGAGTGATCTTGTTTTGATTTCAGACTAAGAGCTGGAAAAATAATTTCCATTTTGTTGTTAAAGACAATGGATAGTAAAACAAGATCTGGGTGGCAGGGAATAACCTCCATTACCAGGGGGTAGATAACAAATGGCTGGATGTGTGACAATGTCCAATTCATAAAATTCTGGTTAACAATAATTTAATAATACTTCTTTGTGCGAGGAGAAAAAATAAAAGAAATAGTCACTTGGAGAAATGTAAATGGGAGGAGATGGTGTTTTTCTGTCATTGAATATAACAATACACTACATTGTCTTTGTAACAATGGTCTGGAAATTGGTTTCAGAGGAAAGTAAATTTTCCTAAATTTACTGTGTTATCTGAGCTCCTTGTGAACTATATTCCTAGGGTCTAGCAAGGTGCCTTGTACATAATAGAAACTCACGTGCTTGTACAATGAATTAATCATGACTATATTCAACATTTTAATACAGATAAGATAGTGGGATGCATAGAGAGGAGGGCAGCAAAGTGAAGAAGGAGGAGTCTTAAAATTAATTCCTGTGAGGAAAGAATAATAAAAAGCTGGACGTTAGATGAGACTTTTAGGGAAACTAGAAAGTTGTTTTTATGTCATTGAAGAATTATATCAAAGAAATGGCTTTGTTTTATATGTCTACCACCAGTAAAAGATTGGCAGAATTTCTTCTACAGGGGAAAAAGGTTTTGGAGGAAATAAGAGAGAGCAGTCTAATCTGTACAGAGATGGCTCTGAGCTATTTGGAGAGACAATGAGAACTTCCTAACAGAAGACCTGCTAGGAGATAATAGGTACAGAGTCGGCAGGAGTGTTGTGGAGAAGCTGTCAGCCTTAAAGTAGTATTGAATTTATGGCTTTTTGGCCTTTAAGACCCATATAACCATTAGCCAAGCACTTACATTTGGGCCCAATGCTACAGATAATGTGTAGTAAGTAAAAATCTTAACTGAAGAAGCACCATTGCTCCAATGAATAATTGCCATGTGAGGTCCATCAATTATAGTGCTAAGGTTTAGCAACCAGCAGTAGTGGTGTGAGGGTAAGAAAGACTTCTTTAAATTGCTGGGTGATGAGTACCAAGTATTTCTCCTCTCTCCCTTCTTCATTGGCTCAGAAAAACAGACTCTGAGACAGAGATTAGTGCAGAGTCTAATGGGCAGGTGGGGGTTATTTGAGAATGAAAATGATATCAACACCTTCGAGGGAAAGCCAGGAAAGGGAAGACAAGGAAACAGGATTCAGCAGAGGGAATTGTGAGTAAGGATGAAGCTTTGATGGGAGAACACAGCCATTCACTCCTGTAGAGAGTTCGGGAAGAGCCGATGACAACGTAAGCATCCTCTGATTTAGGCTGAAGAGGATTGGCCCCTATACCTCCATGTCGATTAGTCATTGTAAGGCAGCTCTCTTAAGCAGATCTGGGGGGAGCTGAAAGCATGAAGAATTTCTTCCAGCAGTTCTCCCAGCAGCTGTGGAATAAATTCATTCCTAAGGAGGCAACTGGGTTACATGTGAGAGTACCTAAAACAATTGTTTTCATGTAACTACATTTAAGTTGACAAATATTATTCTTTACATAATGCAAGTTCCTAAAATCATTCTTCTCCAAACATTCTTATGTGATCAAAGATGTGTGTGCTATTTAGCTTCATCCTAATGTTGATATTTAAGACAGCTGTTGGCCTTGGACTAACAATGCTTATGAGTTGGCATTTTTAACAACTTTTAACATGTCAATTACCAATTTGCCTTCTCCATGCTTATTTCTGCTCGTGGGTAAGTTGCTTCATCATAACAACTGAAACTATGTGGAACACAGGAAAATGTGACTGATCTGGAAGCCAGTTTGTAGTTAGAGCTCCTTTTTTCTACTGTAACACACATATAGACCTATTTGGAGCATCTGATGATGGTGACCTATGTGTCACTTGTCTCTTCTCATTCCACATCTTCTGTTAGCAAAAATATTTGACAGTACCATTACCTCCCCCAGGAGAACATTTGCAAATAAAAAAGTAAAACACACCAAGATTCATGGAAGAAATGTTACTGTGCTTACTCAGAGATTCACTGTTATTATTTCTAGCTTTGGTTCTGGGTTCTCTCATTTATTAAACATGAAATATTGAGAAAATATCTTGCCTTTTCTGGCTCTGAATTTCCTAAGCAGTAAAATGAGTATAACACTGATCTCACGTGGTTATTGTGAAGAATAAACAAAAATGAATTAGTAAATGTAAAACGTGACACACAATCATATAGTTTCTTGGTAAATGTTACAGTTCCCGTCTCTGTCGAAGGAAAAGCATCTTCTAGATTGAGAAATGACCTAATTCAGTTTGGCATTCTAGTAACGAGCGTTATAATATTTGTAAATTACATGGACACACAGGGAGAAAAGTAACAGTTTTTTAAAAAAAAGCCCCTCCCTTTTCTTGACTTGGGTCTTTCATGCCCTGGTACTCCAGGAAGTTCCCCAACCCTGGAATCAGAGCTCACTCACAGTCAAATGCCCACAGCTTCCACAACGGTCAGTGAAACTGAAAGCTGCATTGGAATAAATGGGCCACGAAGATCCAATCTATTGAGAGTCACCACAGCTACATGAAATAAGGAACAATTTGGCTGAATCACAGGCCTGTGAGTAGTGTGAGCTGTGTTCAATCTATCTGTTGAGCCACGGAGAGAGACAGTTCTTATGGTTCTTCAACTCTCTGGAGGATAAACTCCTATAGTGATAGAAACTGTAACTTCCTGAAATGAGGCAGTTAAAATGAAGTAAAATGAGAGCTAGACTGGATCTAAGACTTAGTCTTGCCCCTTCTAAGCTGGGCGATCTCAGATAAGTCACTTGACTTATTTGAAAACTGTATCATCATCACTATAGTGGAAAAATAATACTTACTCTGGAAATGGCTGTGCGAATGAAATGAGATGCATATTTATAAATGAGAAAATAAAATGATATGAGCATTTATCAATTTAAAGAGCTTAATTCATGTCTGGAAATAGTGTTATTGGATTTAGAGTTTCAAACAAGTAGAAGGTGTTCCCTCTTAAAAGGGTAATTCCTATTCTGATTCATCCAGAGCTCCCTACTGACTACAAAAGCAGCTTCCAAAAAAAAGGGAAAAAAAAAAGAATTGGAGACGCTTTCAGATAACCAAGACTTAGAAATAGGCAGATGCTCTCCTTCGCCTTCAGCTGCTCTGGCGCTCGCTTGCTGGGACAATTGTGCTTACAAGGGGGAAGGAAGAGTGACAGCACACAGCGTTTTCTTGCCCAGAAGCGTAAGCACGTTCTGTGAGGAACCTTCTTGTGCAGAACTGTAGACATTGATAAAGATTGGCACATCATAACCTGACAAGTTTTGCTGCAGGAAGAACATGGGACAAAGACCATTGGTACCATTGCACTTCTGGGACTGGCACGAGACAGATAGCTCTGACAAGAGCAGCTGCCACTCCAGACAGGGTGTTTGATTTTTGTGTGTTTCTCTTTATTGTATTACACATCACTGATGCTAACGAGATTGTCTCCACCAAAGCTCAAGGACCAGCTTTTGAAATTATCAACAGAAATTACCAAGTTATCTTTTTATTTCTTTTTTTAACCCCCCCCCCATTTTTGTGAATTTTAATGTTGAGAAGAAAATATGAGAGATTCTCAGTCTCCAGGATGCCACAAAATGAGGCACATTATTTATGACTGTTAAATGACAAATCCTGAAACTGCTTTGAGTCCAGGCAGGATAAAAGGTTTATATTAAATGTGACCTTTGAGTTTAATGGTATCTAGCAGAAACCTTCATTTTGACTGTGCAAATTGTGCTATAAGTTATTAGCCCAGTTTACTGCATTTTCACACAGTGGAGTATAGGGGGCAGACAGACAGCAGCAAATATATATGTATTTCTTTTCACCTACCATCTTCTAAATAACAAGTTATTTAAACTTAACCATTCTTCTCCCCACACCGTTTTACATAACACATTTAATACATTTTTTTTTCCTGAAACTAACTGCCTGAACTAAATCAGAGTTGACGTTTTATGGGAAATCTCTTCCCTACACTGTCCTCAGTTTTCATAGCTGCAAAATGACAGTGTTCGTATTCATTATCAATATATTTGTTTCTAGCTTTAAATCTTCACTATATAACCTTCCTGTTTTTATTGTCTATGAAAGAATAACTGTTAATCATGGCAACAACTCAGCGGTTTGCAGCCAGATAAGTGATTGGAAGAGCAATCAACTTCTCAGAGATTTCAGTATTTAAAGGTAGGCCCTGCTGTGCACGTCTGTATAAGTGACAGTGTTGCAACACAGAGAGGATGCATTTGAAAAAGAAGTTAGGCAAAACAGAAGTTAAATTGCAAATACATGTTGTTCAAGTTGCACAATGGGCTATTTGGGAGAACGCTATAGGCTGTTTAACATTCCTGTGTTTAATGTGGGAGAGACTTCACTTTGTAGCAAGAGTCTAAACTTTCGTGTTTTCCTATTTCTTCTAAAATATGCAATTATGTAGGATTTATTATGTTATTTGAAAGGGAAAGCTATTTTGTATTATGTCTTTTTTAAAGCATTTAAAAATGACCATGCAGCAGATCTAATACCTTCTTTAAAATGTATTGTTAAAATAACAATATTTTACAATATTTTTATGTTTACAAAAAATAAAGGCCAGTCACGGTGGCTCACACCTGTAATCCCAGCACTTTGGGAGGTTGAGGCAGGTGGGTCACCTGAGGTCAGGGGTTCATGACCAGCCTGGCCAACATGATGAAACCCCGTCTCTACTAAAAATACAAAAATTTAGCTAGGCGTGGTGGGGGGCACCTGTAATCCCAGCTACACGGTAGGCTGAGGCAGGAGAACTGCTTGAACCTGGGAGGCGGAGCTTGCAGTGAGCCGAGATTGCGCCGCTGCACTCCAGCCTCGGCCACAAGAGCGAGGGTCCGTCTCAAAAAAATAAACAAATAAATCACAATATTGTGGTATCACACACTAAACCGCCATTGATTTTTTCATGTCCAGGATTGATCTTCTCTTCTACTATGCTCCATCCAAAGTGTTCTCCTTTGTCGTTAATGGCAACTCTACCCTTTTAGTTGCTTAAAAACCACCACAACTCTCAAAAGCATCCTGGATTCTTCTCTTCTTTTATATCCCACATATAATATTTGAACATTGTCATGGCTCTGTTTTTTCAATTATATGCATAATCTGACCATTTCTCACCTTGTCCAGAGTGCCCCTCAAATCCAAGCTTTCAGTCCTTCTCCTCTGGAATACTGTAATATCCTCCTTAGTGGTGGGAATCCACCATTGCACCCTTGGAGCCTAATCCAAACAACAGGAAGAGTATCCTTTCGAGATATGAGACATTATGTCATACCTCTGCTTTAAACCTTGCAATCTCTCCTGTTTTCACAATGGCTTACAGGATCTAACCCATCAATACATCTCTGACTTCTCTCCTGTTGTTCTTCTCGTTGCCTCCAGCCACCCTGGCCTCATCACTGTCTTTGGTCTCATCTACCTTGATGAATTTATGAACTTCTTAAAATTGCCACATTCTTTCTCACAACACCTTACCCCCATTTATATTCTAATAGCACTCATTTCCTCCAATATAATATTTATTACATGACTGTCTCTCTCTTCTACTCTCGTTAGAATATAAGCTCCGCGATGGTAAAGACTTTTATCTCTATTCCTTGCTATATCCGATATGTAGAAATTTAATTTAATTCTATGACAAATACCGAGGTCAAACAGAAGTGCTGCAATTGTCATTTATGTTCAAGTTCATAAAATCCTAGGTTACTGTGTAACTTTCTATTCTTCCATCTCTTTTCTGTGTACTCTATGTTGACTTTCCTAGAATTTTATTAAACTAGTTATACCCTTCTTAGAGCTCCAGCCAAAGCCCCATATATTACCAGGTCTGTCCACCTTTGTGGGGACATGAACTACTCTTGGCTCTGTGTGAGCTCCAAGAATTATCTGGCTTTTTTCTTGTGTATTTTTTTTCTCCCATAGCCTTGGGTAGTTTCCTCTCACACATATGCAGGTCAGTATTCGTCTAAATTACTGACTTCTTTTAATCTGATACACTGACACCCAACTTCTAGCCACCTTGCCTCCCCTGGCTCCCTGAAATCCAGTTTCTGTTTCCTCAGCTCAGTGAATCTCCTTGGCTGTTTGTGTTCTTTCTTTCTGTGCCGCTGTCTAGACATTTCCTTCTGGGGCAATGCTCACTATGTTTTTTTCTCTCAAGGATCACAGTTGTACACTGCATGTTTCCCAACATCTGAAAATCATTGTTTCATATATGGTATAATTTTTGGTTGTTTAAAGTGGGAAGTTAAATCTAGTCACTGTTACTGCACCATGGCAAAAACAGAAGCCCAGTGAAAAACTATGAAAGCTATTTTTTTTATCTTTAATCAAAGGAGCACGTAAGTGAGTCAGGTAGTGAATGGTATACAACATGTGACTAATGTTCACGTGTAGAACCTGCAAGTTATCAATAGGAAAGCAATACATTTTAAGTCAAGAACGTTTGGTTTCTGGCTGTACCAACTGCTGTTGTTTGACCTGAGGCAGATAGCTCAACCTTAATTTCATCATCTGTTTGTATGGGAAATGGAAGTCCTTCTGCTTTATTACAGAGTTACTTCAAAGATTAAATGTGGTCACAGATATAAAAATTCCTATCTCTAAAATCCTGTATCCTATCTCTAAAATCCTGTACTGATGTGAGGGGATATTCTTATTTGCATCATCATTATTTGTGAAGCTAGAAAATTCAGAATGACAAAACACTTCACCTTAATTCATCTTGTGCATGTTTATCCTGATAATTTATGTAGACAAGAATACATTCTCTTTTGATATAACCTGTGTCAGCTAAGATTAATTTTCACTTTAAACAAACTAAAAGTGGTTTAAACAAGGCAGAAGCTTGTTCTATTATAAAAAGGGATCTGAATGTCTACAGTCCATAGCTAGCACAGGATTCCCAGAGGACACTAGGAACCCAGCTTTCTATTTTTCTGTTTTCCCATCCTCATTGATAATTTTCATCACCTCTTGATTCAAGATGGCTGCTGGAATTCTAGCCATTACATCCACATTTCATGATGATGATGAAAATGATGATGATGGTGGTGGTGGTAGTGGCAATAGCTGGAAGAAGTAGGGGAGAAAATGTTTTCCTCTAAGCCAAATCAACTCATTTAAATCAGCTTTTCTGAAAGTCCCATAATATATATTCATTTATATCATATTAGCCTTAATTTAGTCAGATGACTACATATAGCTACAAGGAAGAATGGTAAATATTGTCTAACTTTTTAAGTAATGTAGCCAAGTATAAAAACGTGTGTTGTTATCAAACACATTAGAAAAGAATGAATACTGAAAGACAGTTGTCAGTTTCTGCCACATGCTTTTATCAACAAGGAATTCTCTGAACTAGTTCAACTGAAGGTACTACAAGGAACACTAATACTACACTTTATGCCGAGTGAGACACTTATAGACAGTAGCTAAGTTAGATACCTCTCACGTGGCAACTGAGAAGCATTTGGCTCAAATTGAAATTTGTCTATTTTGAAAAAGTAAATTCACTACAAAGGAGTTGCTCCCAGTAAAGATAGGTCAAAGAATGCTCTGAAAGCATTCCTCAAAGAGGGTTCCCAACAGTGTTTTTTGTTTTAAAATTGAAATTATTCTACATTTATTTGCATTCTGGAAGTGACTCCGTTGATATTAATAATGTATTCTCGTGAAATATCTATTCACAAGAAAATTCAATATAATGAGATTAAAATAGTTTTTCTTTTATAATTTGGTGTATATATATAAAATATCCAAATTACAACATGTTCTTTAATTTATGTAGCAAAGGACATAGTTCATCTGATGAGAAACTGTGGACAGAGAGAAGCACTTAACATAAAACTATGTATGAGATTCAGGCTTAAAGACAATAGAGGTTCTTATTCAGTGGCTAAACAGCTGTATTTCTAGCTATTTCTATTAATCTGACTACTCATATTGTCACACTCCCTACAGTGTTTTGAGTTATGGTGGCTGAAATTTGTGAAATGCATTCTATGGAATATCGTAACAGACATTCTTCTTATTCTAGTTTCTATAAATCACATCGAAGTGCTTTTATAAATCAAATTTCCTTTTTCATTGAAAAATGATAACTTCAAACATTTTATTTTCATCCATGAAGATTTTTAATAAGAACACTTGAAAGTACATCTTTAGGATTTTCTTGACTTTCTCCGCCTCTATCAAGTAGCTAATGAGCTGTAAAGGGATGCCTAAATGCACTAAGAAACTTGCTATTTAGAGGAACTCTGGGATCCTAAAATGAATCCTTTTATGAAGCAGAGAATGTTTCTGCAGTGGAAATAATTACCCTGTAATTTATCTGGCCCTAAGTAGGATTTTCCTCTGCTTAGCTTTGTGAGTGTGGTTTACACTGAGTGTCCTGCAGGCACCTCCACTTCAGCGTGTCTGAAATGGTGGCAGGGAGCCCAGGTAGGAGGCTGTTGCTGTAAGTCTTGACACCAGTTTCTCTCAACTCTAATTCATCAGCCACTCTGATGCCAAGGAAATATTTCCTGAAAAACAAATCCACTCATTTCACTGCCCTGCTAAAAACCTCTGCTGGATCCCCGTTGCAGATCTTCATCCTCTGCTGGATAAATGCCAAGCCCTTTAGCAAAGTATCGATGACCCTTCACATTTTGGCCCTGACTGCTTTTCCAGCAACACTTCCTGGTATTCCCCCTACATGCCATATGCTCTAGCCACACTTCACTTCTCCCCACTCTCCAAATACACTGAACATTTCATACTTCTCTGCATTTGCCTTTGGCTATGCCGGGATCGCTCCGTGTCCAACAACTTTTGTACCTGAAGAATCCCTCCTTCTGCAAAAGCTTCAGCTCAAATATCACTGTTCCAGCATTCCAAGGAAAGTTAGTCATCTGCCTCTTTATTGTCATAGCAATCTGCTCACATCTGAGAGAACTCATTACATTTTATTGTAATTATATGTCTCCACAACTGGCCTTTAAGTTTAGGAGGCATGACATCATAATCTTTTTATGTTGAAGGTTGATAACATTTGGATGTTTACTAAATCCCAGAAACTATATGCTCTACAAATAATATATCATTAAGGACTTTCAATACAATTATGAAGTATTATTTTCGTTTCACTGATGAATGGATGGATATTCAAATGCTAAGGGGCTTTCTCAGGACTAGACTGCCAATAAAGCCTATAGCTTTGATTTGATCCCATTTTCTGATGCCAAAGCCTAGTTATTTTTTTCCCAATATAATATCTTTCCTCCTCAAGACTTAGCACCACGACTGATGTCTAATACATGAAAAAATGTGTGAAATTATGTTCTGCCTAACTCTAAAGTTTACATTCACCCCCAGAGAATAAGATTTCCCACTATTGAGGTCAGTGTGAAGGAAGCTTCAGGGGCAGCTTCCAGGGGGCCCTCCAGGAGGGTTGAGAGTCAGGGCAGTGCTTTAGAGTTGGATACAGACACCCTTTTAATAAAATGTTAAACTGTTAACTTCGTTTTGCTCACCATTTGTTTCAATGACAGCAAGGCAACTTTTGAAGAAATAAAACTTATAGGTAGGGTCCCCATCATCCACCCTATCTTGTCGAAAATATATTTTTTCTTTTTTGAAAAAGTGCCCGAAAATATGAGTGGGTTTTGTTTCAAAATGTGTGATATGGTTTAGAAATATTCATTTACTAATGTAGATTGAGTGCTGTTAAACTGGACTAAAAACCAAAAACACAGAAGTGCATTAATATTTCTTTTGTAATTGAGCAGTCTCAACTTGGTGGATATAAATATGAACCTATTACGCTTTGTTTTGTTCTTCCTGTCATTACTTTTAACTGTACTTTGTCAAATCCAGCTTTCCTGCTTAACAACGTACTGAGTAGATTCTATTATTCTCCAACCACTTGGTCTAATTTAGCAAAAAACTTTAATCTCATATCTGATTTCAGGCTATTGATCTTCCCTTTTGGAGACTAGAGCTATGATCTATGATCCTTTGTTGGGTAGAGTGAAAGAGAAGAGGGTTCTCTGAGATTTCCCCTTCCGTTGCTGCTTCTGGGCCTAGAGCCTTCAGTTTTTCAGGGAAAGGGAAAAGGATGGAAAGGCAGAGATCTCCTTATAAAGGCACATGAAGATAGTGGAGTGATGTCTATGGCATTGCTCTGGATTGGCCTGGTTCTGTCTGCTGCTAAAGCTTCAGGTGATGTAATTGTCTCCATATTAGCAATATGCATGGTTTTCTTGGAGTCATCTTCAACTTCCTGTGACCTTCTCTTGGTGAGGACCCTCTCAGAGAAGGAGCTGTGTCTCTGATTACCCCATCAATGGTGCACAATAGTAACACCTCCTCTGTGTAGAGCACCACATTCTTTGAACTGGACCTTCAATATGCATAGCCATGCGGAATCCAGAGGTCTTCTTCTGTGTCCCTGCAGGGATGTAAAGACTGGAGTGGAATAGCTGGCATTCTCATCTTCTTCCACGCTTATCACACCACTTCAAGGCCTCCTCTATGATCCCATAATCAATTATAGCAGGGAGCCTGATTTCCAAATCTCTTCATCAGAAGTGGGCACCATTTTCTATGTTCTCAAAGGCCGAAAACATGAGGTGGCACAAGTCACATTTTTACAAGAACTTCTTAAGCACTCCCTACTCTGCCTACACCAACAGGACTACTGTTTATCAAGCACCCAGTCTAAGGATAAGATGCTAGTCTCTTCTTGCTGGGCACTTAAGTTTTATGCATAATATTCTTGGAGCTTCCTTCACTTAGCTTCAGGCAGGAGGGATATTCTCCCTTCCCCTAACTAATCCACAAGGAGGGAAGGGAATTGATTGTCCTCAGGAACGCTGCGTCTCTCAAAGACCTAGGTCCAAGAAAACCCTCTCTCATCTCTCATCCTTTTCTTATATTAACATGGGGGTAGGATATGGTATGGTAGTTGGCGGTATTTCTTTAATCTCTTAGAAAGTGCTATAAAGGGTAGATGTCTCTAATTCTAGGAAGCTTATTTAGAATGTGGGGTGGATAAGGTTGAATATTTTAATCTTGGATTTAGCTACAATTCTGGGACCACACAAAAATCTACTTAAAGACCTATTACACTAAGAGATTTTCTAAATTAGATTAATCTTTTTTTTTCTAATGGCTGTCATAATTTGTCCTCCCAAAAGATAACAGAGGATACTTCTTCCACAACACATGCTTAGACAGCATTTATATTAGGAGGAATGAGCAGTCCAAACTTAGGAGAGTAGAAAATCAATAGTGACCAAGTCTAAGGAAGAGAAATGCAGAGATAATGAAGCAGAGCTGTGCATACTTCTTCCAAGGAGTGCAAATTTTTTCTTTCTTTCTTTCTTTCTTACTTTCTTTTTTTTTCTCTTTTTGAGATGGAGTCTCACTCTATCGCCCAGGCTGGAGTACAGTCTTGGTGCGATCTTGGCTCACCACAACATCTGCCTCCCAGGTTCAGGAAATTCTCCTGCCTCAACCTCCTAAGTAGCTGAGGCTACAGGTGCATGCTACCACGCCCAGCTCATTTTTGTATTTTTGGTAGAGATGGGGTTTTGCCACGTTGGCCAGGCTGGTCTCAAACTCCTGACCTCAAGTGATTCACCCACCTTGATCTCCCAAAGTGCTGGGATTACAAACCTGAGCCACCACTCCTGGCTCCAAGTGCAAATCTGAAAGTGAACTCCTGATATTATGGGACCTGCATAAAAGGCAACAACCTGACTTCACAGGTTATTAAAATGCAGCATATTTATCTGCCTGGATTGTGGCACTTTACAATTCTTGCTTCAGTAAAGTGTGACTAAAATATTTAGTGGCACTCTCTAATATAGTAGACACTAAACAAATATGGCTATTTAAAATTTAGTTCCTCAGTCATAATAACCACATTTTGACTGCTCAGTAGTCACATGTGGTATGTGTCTACTGTATTAGACAGTGCAGAGGTATACCATTTCCATCATTAGAGAAAGTTCTGCTGTACAGCTTTGCATGTTGAGACTCTTATTTGCTCTGTGATAAAGAAAATGGAATTTTCTTTCATCTTTTTGCTCAGATCTGCCGTGTGTGGGGCTAAAAGACATGGATTAGATGGATTCCTTTTCAAGTTTTTTTTCCAACTCAGTTTTTGGGTGACCTTCATCTAATACCTAGACAAATTGAAAAGTGAAATTTGCCATCTATCATTGGTTGGATCAAATCACACAATCATAATTAATAAATCGGACAGATTTGCTTTTTTTTTAACGACAAATTCTTTTTGGCCAATGAACCACTGGCCTTTATTTCTAAAAAGTGCAGTTATTCAGGGAGGCCCCTGACATGTCTAAAATTGAAATCATAGTAAAGAAAGTAAATTGCTGGGCATGGTGATGCATGCCTATAATTCTAGCACTTTGGAAGTATAAAGCAGGAGGATTTTTTAAGGCCAAAAGTTCAAGACCAGCCTGGGCAACATAGTGAGAACCCTGTCTCTACAAAAAAATTTTAAAAATTAGGTGGGCGTGACAGCTAATAATCTGAACTACTTGGAAGTCTGTAATCTATAATCTATAATCTGAACTACTTGGAAGTCTCAGATGGGAGGATCACTTGAGCCCAGGAAGTCAAGGCTGCAGTGAGCCATGATTGTGCCGTTGCACTCCAGCCTGGGGTGTCAGAGTAAGACCCTATCTTCAAAAAAAAAAAAAAAAAAGTAAAGAAAAAAGAGTGTAAGCTTGTAAGCTGACTCATTTATTAGAGACACCTAAGCTACTTCAAATGCAACATGTATCCAAATCCTTAGACATATAGACATGTGATATTTACAGAAGAGTTTAGCATGGCCTTCCAAATCTTAACTTTGTTTATACTTTTCAATAAGGATATGTGCAAATGAATGAAAATAAAGTTTTACCTCCCAAGTCAATTTCACATAATTCTAATTCCTTTTAACTAGAGAATATCTTGTTTAGAAGGATCATTAAGCTAGGTCAAGGTAAAAAACAGGTTATAAGACAAATGCATATGAAATCTACAACTTATAAGGAAAGAAAATACCAAATTAGTTCTATCAGTCCTCTAAACTACAGAAGAACATTATTTTTACCTAGTGTGCATGTACACACACACACACACACACACACACAAATATTTAATGCTTTTAAGTACATTTTTAAAAAAAATCTAAACAATACTTTGACTAGTCTTTTCCTCCTAATATTATATATAGACTGAAGTTTTTGAAAATAAAAGTAGCTGAGCCAATGAAATGCTTTAGCATTGTATTTTTACCATCAAGCACTGTTTAGCAGGCTGTATTTCCCACTTTTCTTCATTGATATCAGGAGCAAGCACTAGAAATATAGAAAATAAATATAAAATAATCACAAGTTCTTAACCTTATTTTTTTCAGTCTTTATCAGCTTCACGTAGAGAGCTGCTCACTGTGTTATAGCACTTTTTAAGTTGCAAAGCCTTGTCATATACATTATAATTTGTATTCCTCTAAGCAAGTAAAGTGGTAATTACTGGTATCCTCAACTTTCTGGTGATAGAACCCGTAGTTCAGAGATGCTAATGCTGCAAATTCACATAGGGAGAATAATAGAGCTCCCATCACTGCATTCCAACAATATGGCCTTTCCTCTACTATTCGGATATGAGACAAAATTAAATATTTTCTTGATTTTCCCTTACAATTAAAGAAACCGTTGTCAAAAACAAAAATAAAAGCTTCCAGCTTAGCATTTGCTTCAGTGTTGTATGAAAACAGAAAGTGCTTATTTCAATTAAAAAACAGTGTTTTTGCCTACATTAATTAGAACAGGCACATAATAAATCTGTGCCTAAGACCAAACACAAATGGAGACAAAAATCTTGGGCAGTTATCTGTGGCTTTAAATATTTGGATTTTGCTATCATGTAGACAAAGTACTCATGACCTTCCAAAGCCTGACATCAAAACTCTGTTTAGATCTTTCCTCTAATGCTTTCATTAGAGCTACCGGGCCAATCTCTGTTCTTGGGAACTGTGCCACTTCCTCAATCTGTCTGTTTCTTTTGCTGTTTCCTTCATCTTGCATTCCTTCTGCATTGGAACTTTCTGTTGGATACCTTACTTTTTTTTTCAGGGTCCCATCTCAAATACCACTCCACTTAAGACATTTTTGCATAGAAATAATCTTTGGTGTATTTACTTTTGTCATCTGAATGAGATAAATGGAAAAATTTGGCAGCATAAATTGTTCAAAGTCAATTTGGTAATTCACATTGAAGAAACATCCATATGTAAGAGATTATTAGAAATAAAGCCTTTTAAAGAATGTATTGTTAATAACTATTAGTAGATTTGTTCTTGGTAAATAGAAGAACATTGTTCCCCAGAGGTTTATGTGTATATTCCATATCTGAAAATCAATGTGCACAAACACGGGGCTGTTATTAGCAAAGTCATTAATTACAGTCCTGCTTGCTCTTCTATTATGAAGAATATTCATTCGTTTGCTTTCTCTGACTGACAGGCAGTAATGACTTCAATAAGCTAATGAGACATCTAGTTAAATAAATATGATTTTAAGTTAGTAAAAGTGTAAACATGATTTTAATGAGTTCCTAGGCTAATAGAGTTTCCACAGTTATGGGCTGATGGTGGTGGTATACAGAGAGGGATGAATATAAGACTGGGTTCCTATTCAAGCTCTGCGGGTTACAAGATGTGTGGCCTGATTGGAGCTATATCAGTTCTCTAAACTGTAGTCTCTGGGCTTACTGCATGGAGATGTGGTGAGGATAATGTCAAATAACTCACATTGACATTGTATTTTGTAAAATGGCAAGTGTTAATTAAATGCATAAAAATGAATTTTAAAGACCTGTAGAGTAGGTGTCCACTCACACCTTCTTGATAAAGCTTTGCCCTTGCCTGCCCCTTTCTGAATATTTCCATTTCAGTTGTTGTGTTCCATTTCCATTCCCCCACACATATAATGAAATCTGTTGTCCATCCAATATGTGTCAAAATTTGACTTTAGAAAACAGGACAATGCTAAAGAGATCAATCAAGAAAGCAGAGGAAATTACACATTTAGAACATAAAGTACAGCTTAGCACCTTGACTCCTTCCATATTCATACATCATCTCATTCCCTAAGGATCCAGTGTTAACCAGCTAACTTAGTAAAGAGATATATACCAGTGGCCCCCTACAGATGACCCTTCACAATTAACAGAGGGATTATCTGGAGACATCTGAAGCTGTACCCCTTTATGAAAACTTTCTGTGCTTTTATTAGCTTTTTCACCTGGCTGTCAAAGCAGGATACTTTTACCATCTCTTAAAGTACTGAGGTAGCCTACTCACTCATTTTTTTTTTTTCACACAAAAGCCTGGTTCTTCTGGTTCTAATGGGAGCCTATTACTAATCTTCTGACAAATAATATAAAATACAGAACCACTTTGTGACATCCATAAACTTAAGGAGCATAGGCCTTGCTAGAGAAACTAAATCTATGGTGCTGTAAAGAGTCGAGATAGCATCTTGTCCCCATTCCCTCTCCCATTTTAATGACCATGAGAGGACAAGTATGTCTTGTCCAGGATCACATGGCAAGGTACTGACGGAGTTTGGTCTGTCTTACCAAGCACTCACTGACACTGCAGTCTACACTTGTGAGGCTTTGATAATCGCTGGCATGTGAAGATGCTCCAGTAATTAGTGTACACATATGGGGGAAACAATGTGGGAGGATATTTGGCTTCCTACGTGAAAGTTTCTTTCTTAATGTATTACATGTTATCTCTTGGATCTAGTGTTTTTCTGGTTTAAACTGGAGAAGGAGAAACAGTACACAGCAAGTGTTTTTATTCCTGTTTGATTGGCATTCTCATTTTATTATGATTTTAATATCTTCATGTTCCCAAACATGAATAATTTCTATTGCCTTTTTTTTTTAAGATGGACTCTTGCTCTGTCACCCATGCTGGAGTGCAGTGGCACAATCTCGGCTCACTGCAACTTCTGCCTCCTGGGTTCAAGCAATTCTCCTGACTCAGCCTCCGGAGTAGCTGGGACTACAGGAGCACGCAGCCACACCCGGCTAATTATTTTTTTTTTTTTTTGTATTTTATTAGAGATGGGATTTCACCATGTTGCCCAGGCTGGTCACAAACTCCTGAGCTCAGACAATCCACCCACCTCGGCCTCCCAAAGCGCTGGGATTACAGGAGTGAGCCACTGCACCCGGCCTTTCTATTGCTGTTTTGATTTACCTCTTTAGCATTGCTCTGTTTCCTGGAGCCAGGGAGCAGTACGTTTCATCTCTAAGAAATCGACTTGAAAATCCCTGAGCAAGTACATGTATATGATTGGCCTTTGATATATGAATCATTCTGGTCATAAACCTAGAAAATACCCTTTAGTCCATCTGAACTGTGATGGTTTTATTCTTGAGCTTTCCTGGCGTAAGAGTGGCGTATGATACAATCACTTTCATCTTCACTGTTTTCAGAGTGGGAGGAGGAGGGAGGAGTTAGATCTCATAAACAGCTAGACTACCTTTTTATTTTTTGCCTTTTCAGATTGGCAAGGAATATCATTTATTGCATCTTTTAATACCCACTTACAAGATTTAGCTTTTCTCAGATGGCCAAATAATTATCCTTTATTCCTAAACTTCATGCACTGGCTCTCAAACCAAATGCAGGTTAGGTGAGGTTTCTACATTTATTGGCCTGCTTGTGAAAGAAGGCCACATATACATTTGGCCTCCATTTGTTAGCTGGCTTCACTAAGCTACTTGGTATTTGCAGACAATGCTGTTTCTTTGTCCTAATCATCTCCTTCCCTCTCAAGAAAGTAAGAAATCTCAAATACGGAGGACATCTGATCTGAACTGTTATGATGTATGTCTTACATGAAATGCTATCCTTGAGTGAAACGTTAGGGAGGTTGAATAGAAAAAGACTGAACAGGAGCACAACTCAGTACACTTACTACTTAGTTTTCCTTTTCAATTTTGTTAGCATTCTGTTTTAGGCTCATAGGCTCTTAGACATAGAACAGATCTGAGATTATCTCATCCCTTTTCTCCCCTTGCCCCATTTTATGAATAAGTGAGGCCAAGAGAGACGAAGTAACATGTCAGCATTTGCAACTTTAGTTAGCATTGTTACTGACTTCAGCTCTTTCCCATTTGTTCACACATCTTGCACATATCTTCCTTGAAACGGTGCTGAGAAGAGCTAAATTAGCTTACTACTAAAGATTATTCTGATTAGTCTTTGTTTCTCCTGATTAACCTAAACAACACATGTGTAAAATTTTCCAGAATGAAAAGATTATATAAGTTTGGGATAGTCTGTTAATGAACTATTGCCCAGTGATGAAGAAACTACCTTAAAAGCCACTAAGAGCTGTGTCTCTGGTAGTGTCCAGAGAAGCTGAGTAAACAACATGAAATTTCCTTTTGATGGTGGACACTAGCATGTTGACCTTATTTACCTCTTCACTGTAATAATTAGGACTTTTCAAAACATTCCTTAGTTATTTACATATTTCTAACCAGTTGGGTCATGATATTGGTAATTACAAATTTCAGGAATTTGGAGAACATCAGATTTGTAAGCTTTTTTATATTCCCCAAATCTTAATTTTCATGAAATCTTTCTAATATCCTCAGCAGTCTATTTTAGACTCATAGGCACTTATACCTAGAGAACAGATATAGAAATTATCTTGCTGCCTTCCTTCTCTCACCCTTTTTTCATGGCTGAATAAGTGAGGTCATGAAAGGTAAAGCAGCATTTCAACATTTACAAATTTAGTGAGCATTATTACTGATTTTAGCTTTTTTTTTCATTTGCTCAGTGGTTTTTATGCTCAATCTAATGTACAGATTCTTTTTTACTCAGGTTAAAGGTTAGAAAATAGATATTAACTAAAGCAATGAAAAAAATCTTGTCAGTTTTAAAGGCCATTAATTCCCTAATCGCCATCAGTGAACATTTGCTTCTAATTTTCAAGTGCCTGAAAACATTTTGGTCATAAAAAAGTTGAACATTCTCTCCTAATCCTATTTATGTGATTCATTTGCTTTTCATATCTTTTTATCAGAATACAAAATACTCAGCTCTCTGCCTTTAGAATGGATGCACCGTTCTGGATCCTTTGGGGTCTTTCTTTTATTCAAAATTTGTACAAAACTATAAAGTTAAGAAGTTTGTTGACAGCAAATTTGCTGATATTGTGAGAGAAGAAGTTAAAAAAAAAAAGTTGGCTTTGTAGTTTGGCACTCGGGACCCCCGGAGGACTTTTTTTTTTTTTTTTTTTTTTTTTGAGGAGGAATTTCGCTTTTGTTCCCCAGGCTGGAGTGCAATGGCATGATCTCAGCTCACTGCAACCTCCGTCCCCTGGGTTCAAGTGATTCTCCTGCCTCAGCCTCCCAAGTAGCTGGGATTACAGGCATGTACCACCACGCCCGGCTAACTTTGTATTTTTTTAAAAGAGACGGGGTTTCTTCATGTTGGTCAGGCTGGTCTCAAACTCCCGACCTCAGGTGATCTTCCCGCCTCGGCCTCCCAAAATGCTGGGATTATAGGCGTGAGCCACCACATCCGGCCCCCAGGAGGGCTTTGTAAAGGCCATCACTATTCTCCCTTCATCTGTTACCTCATTGGTGAGTTCAGGCACTGTAGAGGCCCCTTGGATAGGATGGAAATGTGAAAGCAACACATTTCCCTTCACTGTTTCAAATGCAGAGGGACTTATAAGGTCCTTATGATCTTTATGGTACTTAATCTAGATCATTTTATAAAAGCTAGACAAAAAAGGAGATATAACAACACAACACTGCAGTTCAAATGTCGTTACCTTCAAAATTAAATTTCATATAACGCAGACTTCGTTTTATCCCCAATATAAAAACCTCACACTGAATATTAAACATCTTTAAAAATGAGTACAGAAGGACACACGATACGTGTTTGAAACTGATTGCCTGATCTTGAAGTTCACAGTAACTGTCTATAGAGTTTCATGTAGGCACCGAGAAGAATACAGAGTGTAAAACAAACATCACTAAAAATACATTTTTATACTAGGATTTTCCAGAAAGACTTATAGAAAATTGCACATGTACTGCCGAATCAGAGATTGTGGTGGGCCAAATCTAAGCAATCAATAGGAACAGTAATCCATTATAATTTTTAGATAATTAATTCTAAGGGAAATCTTTGAGGGGGCTCTTACCTTTCCTTAGATTTCTGGTAACTGCACATCTTATCTAACAAAAACAGAAACCCCAAGCATCTCATAACCGATCTCTTTCCTGAGTCTGTTAAGTAGATACTGGTTTTCTGTTCACTGTCTTATTAAGTTATTTTCTGTAACTACTGCTTAGTTGATTTCTTGCTGAAAAAAAAAAATACTTGTCTTTGCAAATATGGTCTCTGAAAACTGAATCTATAATTTTACCCTGTGTCTTCATTTGTATGCTCAAGACTGTCAAATTGTCACACACAAAAACTAAATAGATTTAAATGGTGGAAAGAATGCTACAAAATGCTGTCACGTCTACCTTGATGGTTCACATTTAGAGTGTTATTTTTGACGGAAAGTTAGAAATTTACACCCTAGAATATTTTAGTTATTAATTTTATCTACATTTCACATTCTTTACAGCCAAACATGTTGCTAAACAGCTTTATGGCATAGATGGGATTTTTTTTTTGTCTCCCAGGCAATTAAAAAGCTCTACTGTCCCATCAGATATGCTTATCTAATAAGCTCTAAGTATTGGCTAAAAAATGAAAAGTGGCATCTCACCTCTCTATTGTTTATAATGATCTTTTACATTTCAGAGCATTACATTTTGTTGTGTTCTAACACTCCCATTTAAAAACTTTGCCCAAGGAATTAAAAAATGTGCTATTTACCCAGATTAGTTTTTAAATCTCAATTTTTAAGGTAATATTTGGAACAGTCTTTTGTGTCTTTTAAAGTTGATGGACTCTTTTTTCATCCGTCCATTGAGGAACACTTGGGTTGATTCCATTATCTTGTTTATTGTGAATAGTGCTGCAATAAACATGGGAGTGCCAATCTCTTTGAAATCATGGATGAAACTGGAGGATATTATATTATGTGACATAAGCTAGACACAGAAAAACAAATACCACATTATCGCACTCATGTAGAATCTATAAACTCTAAACTCATAGAAGTAGAGAATAGAATAGTGGTTACCAAAGGCTGGGGTGGTTGGGGGAAGGGGGAATGGAGAAATGTTCCTCAAAGTGTATGTAATACAGTTAGATGGGAGGAGTTAAGTTCAAGAGATCTCTTCTATAGCATGGTGACTGTAGTTAAAGAAGACATATTGTACTCTTGAAAAATGCAAAGTGGATGTTAAGTGGTCTTACCACAAAAGTGATAACTAGATGAGGTAATACATTTGTTACTTAGGTATATTTAACCATTTCACAATGTGTGTGTGTGTGCGTGTGTGTGTGTATACACACATACATACATACATACATATATACACATACATACATATATATACACACACACATTGTGAAATGTGTATATGTATATACATATAGTTATACATTGCTTACAATGGGGATACATTGTGAGAAATTTGTCATTATTGCAAGTTCATTGTGTGACTATCGTAGAGTATACTTACAGAAAACTAGACGGTATAGCTTACTATACACCTACACTATGTGGCACAGCCTATTGCCGCTAGGCTACAAACCTGTCCATTTATGGAATAATGTAGGCAATTGTAAATAACGGTAAGTGTTTTTGTATCTAAACATAGAAAAGGTACAGTAAAAACTTCAGTGTTACAAGCTTATGGGACCACCATTTGCACATGTGCTCTGTTTTTGACCTAAATGTTTTGAGGTGCATGACTGTATTTCAAAACATCATGTTGTACACGATAAATACGTATAACTGTATCTGTCATTATAAACGTGTAACAAAAATCATGGACTCTGACTTTTCTCTTTGATCATTTAAATGGTAACGACTTTAGTTGAAATAAAATCCTCATGAAAAATAACACAAAAGGCCAATGATACATTACATATAAAAAAAATTTGTTTTGTTCCCACTTCAAAATGAGAGTTCACGATGCCTTTGTTGAAAGAGGTAAGCAATTGGTGGGCCCTCCGGGCTACGTATAGGACTGCCAATCTGCATCCTAGTTCTGGCTCCAAGACAACCACAATGGGAGACAGAATACTTGGTGGAGATGCTTTTCTCCATTAAACTGTAAACCACTTGAGGACAAAGTCAGTCAGCATGCTTCTTTTACCACAACCCTTTGCACGATATCTGACCCAAAGCAGGTATCTTGTAAATCCTTGCTATATAAATTAGTTAAATTAAGCCTTAACATTTAATATTGGTTGCACTGTATTTTAATTTTTTATTGGTGAGAAATCTGAAAAATATGTTATAAAAATGATCAAATTCCTTACTAAAAAAGCGTACATTTAAAAAGTCTTATTATAGTTAGGTAGAGTGAATAGACTCCACAATGTTTCAAAGATAGTATTGGTTTTTAAACTGTTAATAAAGTTACATTTCTATGAGTATCCTATCAGGAAAAACTTGACACACTCTGAATCCATCCATATGATAGTCATGGACAGAAAGAAAAATTCCACCAGGTATATACTATTTTATTTTTAGGTTGTCAAACATCTAAATATATATGAAAATAAGTCCATGTGGAAATACCCAGATGTTTAGTGCTGTGAATGAAAATTTCATCCAGAGTAATATGAATGTATAGCTCTATGGTATTATCAGTGTCAATTAGACTCTAAGCCACAGTTTCATTTTGTAAGTGGAGAAATGAGAATCTCCAGAGTTTCATAGCTCTCACTCAGCCTGATTCAATGATTTTAGTTACCACCTGATCCTCTGAGGTATGCATTATCCTTGCACTGGGTGAGAAAATACTAATCACTGGGTCAGTGTGCCAAAGAGGCTCAGCATACTTTGAGGCACAAGCTTTAACAATTTGGGCAGACCACAAGATAAGCATAATGAGCTAAATCTCTTGTCATACATTTTACAAATTTCTGACCTATGTGAATGGATTTCTGCTTTATATAAATCAGCTGCTTGAAGGAATAGAAAGCTATGCATTTTATAAAATATGTGCCTACATTTAAAACCGCTCAGATTTATTTTTGAACATTATGTTAGGACCAGAAATACAGGGCTGTATGAGTTGGAGAAGTGACGTTGTTTTAGCTAGAAAAATATTGCTTTTATTTTTTCTACATACTACACATCCCTGCTGGCCCAGTATGTATATTTGGTAGAAAGAAAAGTTGAGAAAGCTATTTATTCACAGTCAAACTCAAGTACACGAAGATGAGCCGACTGTAATTGCTTTGTAGGACAGGCCAGAAGTATTCCTGAGAATCACGCTGATGGTACATATACAAATTATAATGCATTTGGAATAAAAATATCCTTAAAAAAAAAAGAAGACAGTGGCTGCTTTCTAGTATTTAAAAGTGTTTCAGTAAGGACTGGGGAATCATTCCAAGATAGGTATAGAGTCATGTTATTGACCAGTGATGTTGAAAATGGAAGATGACATAGGGTGAGACTATAGAGTGTATTCTGGAAATGATACTTGATTTTTAACCAAAGTAACTCTAATCATTAATCTTCAAGAGAAGAGGTATGTTTGGTAAGAGAATGTCAAATAAATTTGATGATTATAATGTTAGGGCTGCTGATAAAGGAAGCTGATTATGAGAACCTACTTAAAAGGAAAAGAAACTTGGATCACTGCTGAGGAGTGAGTCCTTTATTACCTGTAGAAGAAAATGAGCACCCTTCTGAGTATTCTGTGCAGTCCAGTGTTGGAGTCCAAGACAGTGATGGGGTGATCGTGGCAGTATCATATCCAAGGCATAAGAGTTGAAGTTGTTCTCTTGTCACCTCAGATCAGATTATATCTAAAGTATGTATTCCTTTATTGGAGTCATATTTTAATAGGAACATTGACAATCCAGAACAGATCTAGAGCAAGGCAAGCGAGACCAGGAAGTAAGTCAAACCATATCATGGGCAGAGTTAAAATATTTAGAATATTTAAGAATACACATGGCATTTATGAAACTTTTTTTGGTCTCTGAAAGAAGTGAGCTTGAGAACCCAGACCACTGATACCCAACTTCTGTTCTACCTGGATCGAATCTTGTCCTGCTCTATGTTCTTCCTACCTCCCAAAAAGACAATTACAGCAACAATATTTCACTCAGTATAGGTGCTAAAAGTATTCTTGACACTGCTGCTTACATGATTATATATTGTCATTAATTTCATTTTTATTGACAGTTCATGATGCAAAATGCTTCCTACTTAAAATAACAAACATCTCAATGCTGTATTTACACAATGATATGCTATGTATGCGCTGATGTATTATATGAATAAAAAATAACTGCAGGTATTCATAAATACCTGTTGAAGGCAGACTTAATGCAACAATATAGAATTAAAGACACTTCTTTTATTTTTCATTGTCTCACTCAGGACCTATTTCTTTGTAAAAATCAAATGTTCTCCCTTTTAAGTTTGAAAATACTGTGATTCTATAATTCCACAGGGAAAGAATGCATAATAAAAGTGTGGAGAGAAGAAAAAAGTTATTACTAGTTATATTAAAAACCTGTTTCAAGTGCGAAGATCTGTCTTGTTTCCTGCCCCACTGTGTGTGTATATATATAATTTATATATAACATGTAATTATATATTTATATTATATATTTATTATATGTAATATAATTATATATTTATCATATATAATTATATGTACATATATGATTTGAACAAAAAATCTTACAAATTTTCTTCTATGAAAAGTATATGTGTAAATGTGTATATATAATTTGAATAAAATAAAATACTTATAAATTTTTGTAAGCCTAAGAGACAATGAGAGAAAGATAATTTCCCTTTCTACCAAAAAGTCCATAATCAACAGCTAAATAGTTCCATTTTGATCAACTTGTAAGAAAAGTATGAAGCTAGTAATAATTTTATTATTTCTCCATTAAGTGAAAGTTAGGAGAGCAAGACTTCCAGCTCTAATTATGACAGATCTTCATTTAGCATGTTAAAGTTTTTGGATCCAATGAGATTGAAGAATGATTTCTCTAGAGTTTGTCCTGAAGGTTTATGCCAGAGCACCAGATTTTACCACTGTTGTATGCTTAGTGTGTTGAAAGGCACACGATGTTATCCCATGCCTATGTGACAAACACATAAAATGAACTTAAAAATTATTCAGTGTAATTCTCTTATTTTCTGGGGAACCTTTCCCCTACTCTGTGTATCTTTCTTTATCCCTGCTATTTGTTTAGGGCTTTGTTATTAGTTTTTTAAAGGCTTTTTTTTTTTTTTGAGACGGAGTCTCGCTCTGTCTCCCAGGCTGGAGTACAGTGGCGTGATCTCTGCTCACTGCAAGCTCCACCTCCCGGGTTCGTGCCATTCTCCTGCCTCAGCCTCCTGAGTAGCTGGGACTACAGGCGCCTGCCACCATGCCCGGCTAATTTTTTGTTATTTTTAGTAGAGACGGGGTTTCACCATGTTGGCCAGGATGGTCTCCATCTCTTGACCTCATGATCCTCCCACCTCAGCCTCCCAAAGTGCTGGGATTATAGGCGTGAGCCACTGTGCCTGGCCTTAAAGACTATTTTTAGAGCAGTTTTAGGCTCACAGAAAAATGGAGAAAAAGTTACAAAGATATCCCATATACTCCCTGAAACACACATGCATAGCCTCCACATTATCAGCATCTTCTGCATTAGTGGCACATTAGTTACAATGTATGACCCTGCACTGACATATCATTATCAACCAAAGTCAATAGTTTACAATAGGGTTCACTCTTGGTTTTTTACATTCTGCGAGTGTGGACAAATCTATAATGACATGTATCAGCCATTATAGTATCACACAGAGTAGCTTCACTGCCCTAAAAATTTTCTATTTTTCATGGATTCACCTGACTTTTCCCCTGGGATCCCTGGCCACCACTGATCTTTCTATTGTCCTCATAGTTTTGTAGAACTTCATTATTTTACTTATGAAAATACTTCTCCATATTATGTCAGGGTAGTCACCAATACTAAAAGTACTGATGGGAAAGATGTACCTTCAAGAAAAATTACAGAGGTGTCCTTACAATATCTTGTCTAATTATACAAGATCTATTATTGTTTTCTTTTAGGCTCACTCTTAGGATAGCCTAAAGAAATCGACAGAAATAATGAATATTCTTTTGAAGAAGTCATCATTCTTCAGATAAGGGTCATAAATAATAATCCGTTGCACATACGTGATACTTTATAATTTGAAAGACCATTTCACGAGCATTATCACATCATTTGTATTCTGATTCTTTTCATGGGGAGATGTTGACCTATTGAGATTTATAAAGAATAATTCAAAAAGAGTATTGGGGCCGGGCGCGGTGGCTCACGCCTGTAATCCCAGCACTTTGGGAGGCCGAGGTGGGCGGATCACGAGGTCAGGAGATGGAGACCATCCCGGCTAAAACGGTGAAACCCCGTCTCTACTAAAAATACAAAAAATTAGCCGGGCGCGGTGGCGGGCACCTG
Organism: Homo sapiens; assembly: GCF_000001405.40. Taxonomy (NCBI): domain Eukaryota; kingdom Metazoa; phylum Chordata; class Mammalia; order Primates; family Hominidae; genus Homo; species Homo sapiens. The sequence goes on along the minus strand of NC_000003.12, from coordinate 192,190,615 downwards.
TAGTCCCAGCTACTCGGGAGGCTGAGGCAGGAGAATGGCGTGAACCCGGGAGGCGGAGTTTGCAGTGAGCCGAGATCCCGCCACTGCACTCCAGCCTGGGCGACAGAGCGAGACTCAGTCTCAAAAAAAAAAAAAAAAAAAAAAAAAGAGTATTGGGCTTACAGATTGTCAGATTTTAATTATCAATGTATAGTTGGTTTATATAAAAAGAATATTGTAGCTCTGTTAAATAATTCATTAAATTTTCTTCTAAAATGTGGATGCTTTAAAATATTTTCAATGAATTAATCATTTGCCCTTTAAAATAGTTTTTGAAACATAAGGAATTTTTGAAACATAAAACTTCATACTAGTTGCAATTTATAAAAGGTGTTTTTGTTTGTATGCTTGTTATGGGAAGATGTATTGTTATATAATAACTATAAAGCTTTGACCACTGTGTTTGATCCTAGAGAAGTTATATAAAAATGCAAAGTCTATGCAACATAATTTCAAAATAATTTTTTATATTTCTTATAACTTTAAAAAAACTTTTCCTTAGCTCTCATAAACTATGTGCCATACCTTAAGTGCTTCCATGCTTTTTTCAATTTGTCCTGATCCATTAAAAAGTGGACAATTCCACCTTGACCTTCTATGTTTCACATAGTCTCCCCCACCATCCCCCCTTGCTCCTGAGTGTCAAACACAAAAGTCCTTAAAACATCCTGCTCAAAGGAAAGAGGAAAGGGAGGGACTGGGTAGCCAAACCAGAATCCTCTTTGGTCGGTATATTAGTTTGCTAAGGCTGCCATAACAGAGTACCAGAGACGGAATGGTTTCAACAACAGAAATAAATTTTCTCGTGGTTATGGTGATCTTGGAAGTTCAAGGTCAAAGTGGCAGGGTTGGTTCCCCCTCAGACCTCTCTCTGTGGCTTCCAGATAGCTACTCTCTTGTTGCCTCTTCATGTGGCTGTTTTCTGTGCACACCATGCCTGGTGTTTCTGTGCATATCCAAATTTCCTCTTCTGATAAAGACACTAGTCAGCTTGGAAAGAGCCCACTCTAACAGCTCATTTCACTTCATCTAAAGGTCCTATTTCCAAGTACAGTCACATTCTGAAGTACCGGGAGGATAGGGCTTCAACAAAAAAATTTTGGGGTGAGAGAAGGCACAGTTTAGTTTGTAACAGACGGCAAAGAGAGGAGAGAGGTGCGTCAACTTTACATTTTTTAATCTAACATAAATGCATTCAGTCGCCAGCTAATTTCTGTTTGGAGAGGTCAAATTTCTCTGTTATTTTGGAACTGAGAAGCATGCCTATGTCACAGGAGAGGGTATGACTCCCTTAAAGATTATCTAATTAATATTGTCTTTCTCCATTGGATTCCTCCAAGTATGGGAAGTAAAGGAAGAAAGGAGAATAAATAAATCAAAGGAAATCAAAAAAGCCCCTTTTAGATGGCTTAAACAGGACTGGAGATACCATGAAACCGAGGCTGAGGAAGCCTACAAGCTGCGGCTGGCATGAAATGTCAAGTAGTTCTTTGACATTGATGTGCCGGAGTCCCAGGCAAGTTTCCCCTAAATCTGTGTTAGCACACTCATGTGTAGGGAGGGGAGCCTGGGTCACGTAACTCCAGCTAATTCTTAGACAGAGGAATGAAGATGAAGTGTTACCTGAACTTCAGACTTTTTCATAAGAAATTAGAGATTACATTTCTATGTGAAATGTTGTGAACTTGAAAAACCTCTTGGGATTGGATCAGGCATATTTGTGGATCATATCTAGGTGGTTACCCACGTTCTTTTCAAAGCACATTGCACCACATGGCTTTGTCTTCTAACAGACTTGTGAAATAAGTATGATGATTCAAGTTTTAAATGAGTCCAACGCTCATAGAAATGAAGGAACTTTCTGCTTTTCATTCAACTAATAAATGGCACAGGCAAAATTGAAACTCAGTGTCTTGCATCAAAGCCCAGAGTTTTCATTTGTCTTACTGTATTTCTCAGACAATGTATTGTCATCCAGGTATCACATGACACACTTAGTTGTTTCTAAAAACTTATTATCGAAGCTTATTTCTCAACTGTCCACTGCAGTTTTTGAAAGAAAAAATGAAATAGATATAAGAATCATGGGACCCATAACCCTCCCTTTCTTGGTCCCACCAACTGTAGCCTCTTGGAACCAAGTCACCACCCCGCCACCTAGTGGCGGCATTCTCTAATTGGAGGTTAAGTACCACCTCAGGAAAGCAACCTGAAAATGGAAACACAAAAACACGTGCGTAGTTTCAATCTGTAATCCCCATTAACCTGTAAAGAGGACAGAATAACATAATTTGAAATGTGCTGAGTTTTGTGGAGCAAAGAGTATGGAGGTCCTATGCTTAGAATTCCTGCCATTGGACAGTCTTTTAGTTCAAGCTGTCTCACTAGTACCTCTTTGAATTCTAGATTTCATTCTTAGAATCACATGATTATGAAATTATTAGAATATTATAAATTGATGTTGGATTAATAAAATAATACATTGATGAATAAATACATGAGGCCACTACTCTCCTTAGGAAACTTTCCTGGCTCTCTGTTTCACTGGAATGTCTCTGAAACTCCTGGGACTAGAATAGGAATGTCTCCACTTTCTAAACCTCACTTGTCTTTCCGTTCTCATTTCCTAATACATAGATCTGCTACTGTTTATTTCCGTGATATGGTAACCACAGTTGACCCCCCATGTCGAGGAAAACTTACTATTCTTTCTTCCTTTTCCCTTCCCTTCCTTTTTCTTTCCTTTCTTCACCTTCCTTCACTTTCTTTTCTTAGTTTTCTCTTTTTTCTTTTTTCTTTCCATCTGTTCTATTTATTTCTCTCTCTCCTTTCGTTTATCTCTCTTCATTTGCTTCCAAGTTCCTACACATTCTTCAAGGGTCAATCCAAAGCAGCCTCTTCAGGAAGCTCTCCTTGGTCCTGATTCTTATTCAAGAAGGAAGCATTATCACTTAATCTTATACCTCACAGTATGGCAAATTCTTTGACTGCAAAAACTGTTTATTAATCTCTTTATCATTAACCAGTTAGAACATGGACAGGATTTAAGTGTTAGCTAAAAGACTACATGAATTACATAATTATTTTAGTGTCTATCGTGTAATTAAATAGCAAATGCTGTTTGGTCAACTTCACATTAACCTTCTCTTTCTACCTGGACTGGCTCATTTATAGCTGTTTTACATTAAAAATATATGTGGAAGTTGAGAATGCAGGCAAAAATATGCTTATGGTTTTACTGACCTGTTTATGATAAATTATAAGATATACTATATAAATTTTGCCTTTGCTCAAAAAAAGACTATATATGTCAGAAACTAAAACTCGTCGACTCTAGCATAATATCTCCTTCACATATTGTTCTGCTCTCCCACACAGTAGTTTTAAATACAGCTTTTCAAAATTGAATGCTAGAAATTTGCATGCTGATTCTATTAGGGAAAATGGTCAGATTCTATTCATGTTGAATACAAGCTAAACTGATGAGATGCTGTGACCCCTCTGCTACTTGGCTTCAAGTTAAGAGAACAGAAACAGTAGTGAGGTTGGCTTCCTTTTATAAAATGATGAAATTCCAATTAGAAGAATTCCAAGCTTCCTTTCAGCTTCATCTGTACTAATACAGATTTCTACTAAGGAGAAGAGAATTAAAAATGCCAAGCTGCAAAATATCTGAAAAGAGCAGACTATGTTTGAGTGTGTTGGTACATTTCAGGGGGAACCAAAATCAAATACTAACTGCTTATCAACAATTGAACCTCAAACTTCAAAACTGAAGTTTAGGCAGATAAAAGAATTTAAGGTCAAGAGGAGACATGACTCATACTAAACAATAGATTTTTCAGTTGTTCTTGAAACTGCCAACGCAGTTCTTTATTTTATTTTTTTGCAAGAGCATGAAAATCAAAACAGGAAATGAATCAAAATTATTCTCCTTTCAAATAAAGTAGCAGTATACACACACACACGCACACACAAATGTAAGAGAAAATGAACTGATGGTTTTTGTAGTTGATGATCTGAAGAAGAAATTGTTTATTCATTCGATATTCCTGAAAAATAACTTTAATAGAATGAGTCTATAGAAAGGAAGTAGATAGCCTTCTTTCTAGTAGGCTTACTATGTGCACAACCACATATATAAGAATAAATCATGTACATGTCACTAAGTATTTATCAAACAGCATTTGTCTAAGGCTTTATGCAAGATGGTGGCACCACGTAGTCATGAACTGAACAGGAACCCTGACATTTTAGAATGTATCAAAACAATGGATTTACTCTTAAGTGATTCACATGTAATTCTCAAAGTATTAACATCAGAAAAGAAGTATTCGCATTTTCCTTATACTCTCCAGGTCCCAGAATACCATCTGTTTGCTTTGGTTCATACATGTTAATGACATTTATCAAGTTAACATATATTTGAATTTCTACACAATTGGTTCTCAGTTCAAGAAAAAAAAATAGTATCTCTTACACTCAACATAAAATCACTATCTTTTGTAAACTAACATAGAATGTGAAGAGGAGGTTGAATCATACCTGTGTTTATTCTCTCATATTATAGGCTTCTTGAGATTGTATGCTTCAGTTTATATTTTTTTAATGTTTTTTCTCTCTCTTTCACCAATGAGTGAATATTTTCTGAAAAATTAAATGGTTATTTTTTAGGCTACTGATCCATTAATTATTCGCTGTAACTTTTTTTTTTTTTTTAGACGGAGCCTCGCTCTGTCGCCCAGGCTGAAGTGCAGTGGTGCGATCTTGGCTCATTGCCACCTCCGCCTCCTGGGTTCAAGCATTTCTCTGCCTCAGCCTCCCGAGTAGCTGGGATTACAGGCACCCACCACCATGCCTGGCTAATTTTTGTATTTTTAGTAGAGATGGGGTTTCACCATGTTGTCCAGGCTGGTCTTGAACTCCTGACTCCGTGATCCACCAGCCTAGGCCTCCCACAGTACTGGCATTACAGGCGTGAGCCACCACGCCTGGCCTATTAGCTATAACTTTTACCTTTCAATTAAAAAAAAAATTCATGAAAAAAAAAGAAAATGTAAACAGTTGAGTTAAGTTCTGAATTTTGTTAGCTATGTTGATTTGTAGAAAGTCTACTGCTGGAAGCTATCTGTAATAGGCTTCATAAGCCGTTACAAGGGCTATTTCATCAAACTACTCCCGACATGGAACAGGCTAGACTCCTCCATTCATTAGCTCATTTACAAACAGTTATGGAGGAGCTACTGGGTGTCAGATGCCAGCTACTGTGCAAGTATCTTATTTCAGTGAGAAATAAGACAGAGGCCGGGGTCTCAAGTGAGTTCTATATAGTATGTCATCATTGCAAATACACATGATATGTAATACAAAGTGATCATTATGTTAAGACAGCCACAGATAAATAGCTATGACGGGAGTCAGAAGAGAAAGAGATAATTTTAGATGACAGGATCAGAGGCAATTTTGTGAAGGGAGTTGAATTTGAACTAGATCTTTAAGACCAGGAGAGATTTGGATTTGCAGATATAGGTGGGAGGAATTGCCACATGTGAAAGCACAGCAGTAGTAACAACAAATGAAATAACTATAAATTGTAATGAAATCTGTGAGAAGTGATAAGATATATATCAAGTACCCTAATGAGATGGAGGCACATATATGAGGTGATTTAGCAATCTGGTGGTAAAGATAGAGAATGTAAATTATCCACATATATCTGAATTCTTTTTATGGATTTGTAATCCAACACTGTAAATGGGAAAATTGGTAGATAAAACACGTTTGGAGAACGATTTCATTTCTTTACCATTTTTGTAGGGTCTGCAAAGATGCTTTGAGGAAGGCACTTGCCAACTTTCAGTTTGCTAGAGAAAATTACTTTAGGATCAAATCATAAGTTCTGAATCACAAATGAACTCAAAATGTGCATTGATAGCATCATTAGGTAGCAGTACGGCTATTGATTTTCAGAGTTGGATTGGCCTTCCCCTGACCTTTCACCCATTGTTCCCTTTGCCCACACATGGCAATTCTACTTTGAAAAATACAGTATTTTCTCCATTCACCATCTCTAATTCAGACCATCGGTCAAGCTTACTCTGGTTTTATCCTGTTCATATAAAAAGAATCACCCTTTTTTGCCCTTTGCCAGCTCTTACATTACTAGTGTCTGCTTTATGGAATCAAGAGCAAATAACTTCCTACCTGCAGCCAAAATGTCTAAAAGCAGAGAATTCACTCTAATCGGTAAGCAAAGTGAAAACAACTATTATATTAACCGAAGCACATTGGTCAGTCATTTGATTAATGGAAAATATGCTGAATTAAAAGTAAAAGCCTATTTTATTTTATTTTTGGGGGACAGGGTCTCTGTTGCTCAGGCTGGCATACAGTGGCAAAATCTTGGCTTACTGTAACCCGTGCCTCCCAGGCCCAAGCTATCCTCCCACCTCAGTCTCCTGAGTAGCTGCAACTACAGGCACCTGTCACCATGCCTGGGTAATTTTTGTATGTTTTTGTAGAGGCACAGTTTTGTCATGTTACCCAGGCTGGTCTCAGACTCCTGGGGTTAAGTGATCTGCCCACCTCGACCTCGCAAAGTGCTGGCATTACAGGTGTGAGCCACCATGCCTGGATTATAAAAGTCTATTTTAGCTAATCATTCTTAATCTACGAAAGCGCATAAATCATAAGCAAAGCACCCACTGTGGCAAAGAGAGGGCAGACCCCTGGACTGGAGAGCAGGTTCTAATCCTTATTCTGCTGTTATTTAGCGCCATGGTCTTGATCGGGTTAATTCCTTCCCCTGCTCAGCCTTGCTTTCTTCATCTGTAAAGTGAAGAGTCAAACTACATATTTGCAATTTTAGATTTCAAGGATTCTATGATGAGGACAGAGCTTATGAACTTTCTTTTTAGTACCTTTTATGAAATTAAACAAGTGTACTTGTGATCTCTTTGTCCAAATGGTAGTATATCCAAAACATGATACAGGTAAATGATATTCCTGGGACTTTAGAAATAAAGCATAAAGTGAACCAGGCCTCTCTGTCTTCATTCTTCTTTGGTGGTGCAGGTGTTTACTTTGCATTCTCATTCTGAGGACACACCATCACAGCAAGAAGCATTGCAGCAAAGATTTTTTTCAAAAACACAGCCCCGGCTTTTCAGTGCCATCAGAACTGTTTATCTAGCAGATTACTCTTTAGGCTGTTAAAATGAACGTGGCTGGAGTGACAGTCCATGCAGGCTTGATTGAGTCTGAGCAGAAAACACCTGTGAGATGTGCGTTTCTAGCTCTGCTAAGGATATGATGTCAGATCTCAGCCTACTCACTGCTGGGTATCTTCATGTTGTTGGGGCTTCTTTGCTTTTCTAAAAAAAAAAAATCTTACATGCTCTCCAGATCCATAAAAAGGATTTGAGGTGTCTGCTGTACTCACATCAATATCTCAGCAATACTGCACCACATGCTGCGTCCCAGTCCACGTTTCTCCTTCATTGACCATTATAGTCTCTCCTCACTGAGAAATGTTTCAGTCACTGAGCATTGTAATCACCTGCAGGAAGTCTATGTTTAGATGAATGTATAATTTAAACCCAATGAGCAAACAAGTAACACAAACAAATTCTGGAGTTGTTTCTTCCCCATGGCCGTAGGCATAATTTTATGTCATGCCTACAGGAACATAAGACCCCCAATAAAAGCCCTTTACTGCATATTCGCAGGTGAAATGTCATCATCTTCTGGAGAGCCTACATCCTTCATTCCAGCTTTGATTAGAAAATTAGGTAGTGTTGGAGGAGGAATTTCAGGGCCCCCTGGATGTTGGGATTGATCTGAGTCATGAAAATACTGAAAAATGAAGCGAGTAGAGTTCAAAGAATGATGAGTTTGTTTGCTTTAATATATATCCCTTGTACTGAGGTCCAGTGTAGTTCTGGTGGTCTAAGCAGGACATAGACGATGGGGTAAGTAAACATATTTATTCTCATTCCCTCCTATACTCAACGAGTCCATTTAGAGATTGCCTATTTCATGGGTTCTTCATTGATTTTCTTCCTTCAGTAATTTTTCAGAGGAAGGGGCCATTCTTTTATATGGGATTAGGAAAACTTATGGTATATCCTTATAGTCATCTTTGTTTTGTGAGCCTGGGTAAGTAAATTTGCACTTCAGAATATATGTTTTATAAGATTTGAAATAAAACCCTATTAGTAATTGGAGGTCTGTAGTCTATATTTAACTAGTACATTAATTGTACTTGACCCAGAATTTTTCCCCTAAATTCATTACTTGAAGTAATAATACATGTAGAAAAAAAAAAAGTCTATTTCTTATATCTCTGCTCCCTAGCCAACCAAATCCCTTCCCAGGAGCCAACACTATTACCAGCTTGTGTAAGCTTCAAGATATTTTCCAATCATACATAATACACACAAATACCGAGTTGTTTATATGTGCCAGTATCCAGCCTATAATTAATTATATCCAGTAATATTTTCCCTCAAATATGGTTCCTTTCAGTTCTTAAATTTTTATTGGGTTTTAAAAATCATTTATATTTTTTCTGCTGTTTATTGTTTATTCATTATGTTCTTTTTTTTCATTGAGATATGTTTTCTCTAGAACATATTTATAGTGGCTGTTTTAAAGTTCTTATCTGTTGGCTGAGCATGGTGGCCCATGTCTGTAATCCCAGCACTGTGGGTTGATCCCAGGAGTTCGAAACCAGCCTGGGGAACACAGCAAAACCCTGTCTCTACTAAAAATACAAAAATTGGCAGGGTGTGGTGGTGCATGCCTGTAGTCCCAGCTACTTGGGAGGCTGAGGCAGGAGAATTGCTTGAGCTGGGGCAGTGGAGGTTGCAGCGAACAGTGATCCCGCTACTGCACTCCAGTCTGGGCAACAGGAGTGAAACCCTGTGTCAAAAAAAAAAAAAAAAAACAAATTACTTCTCTTAATTTTAACATCTAGGCGACCTTGTGATCTTTTCTACTATCTGCGTAACTGACCATGAGTTACATCGTGCTGCTTGCATCCATGTTTTGTGATATTGTATGTTAGACATTTATAAAAAACATTGTAGAGTGTATTACATTATCTGCTGATACAGGTGTGTGTTTTGTTCTGGCATTTGGATTAATAACTAATAAATCCTCTTGATCTTGTCATGCTGTGTGTGTGTGTGTGTGTGTCTGTGTGTGTGTGTCTGTGTGTGTGCGTGTAGGTCTTGTCTTGACTGTTTTGGTTCTGTCTTTAATCTGGGGGATGAGGACGTGCTCACTTAGGGTGTGGTCATTAACTTGAACCTGTGGCCTTTCTGAGGTCTTCATTGAATGCCCTCTTTGCTTAGTGAGGCCCCTGCTTTCTGACTTGCCCGGAAGTTTATCATATCCTAGCCCTACACAGCCACAGCCATCTCCATTCAGCTCTCAATCCTGGAGCAGCCATTCTATGCTGGGCCTTGAAGAGTCTCATCCTGAGCATGTGCTTTTCTCTCTGTAAACCCAGGATCCACAGGAGATCTCCGTACAGTCTCCTGCCCCTCATTCCATCCAGCCCTTTTTCACTGGCACCTTGCTCCACAAATTCAAGTCACCTTAGCAATCTCGAACTACAGTTTCTGCCTCTTCAGCTTCACAAAACCACAGTGCTGTCCCTTGAAGAAAGCAAGAAAACCAACACAGAGCCAAGCAAATACACAGTGCTTACCTCCTGTGTATCTGCCTTCTCTCAAAGATCAAACACCCACAGTTCCAGTTGACAAGTGCCTGGAAACTTCTACCTCATATACTTTGTCCAGTTTTATAATTGCTTACATCGGAAAGTTAAGTTTGATATCAGTTAGTTTGACTTCATGGGAGTTGATACAGAAGTTTTAAAAGTTAGGAAATTTCATGTAAAAAATATATTTTTTAGCCTTAGTTGATAATTTCTCGTACCTTTTAGTGTATGAAATGTGACTTTCCAAAAAGCAGAAGAATGTTGAAATTGAAATATGTGCATTTGACAACATCCCTACTTTCATCCTTATCCCAAGAAAGGAAGACAGAGGCTGAGGCACTAGAAGCACATATCTTGCCATGATTTTCCTGTTCAGTCATAGTGGGACACATGATTACGTATTGTGCACAGGTTCACTTGGTAAGAACCAAAGGCATTTTCAATGGAGAATTGTGCTGCCCCTCCAATATCTGCTCTAGATATGTCGTCTCTAAAACATTGAAGCTCCTGGAAGTTATTTTGATGATAATAGTGAATTGTAATATAATATACCCCTCACCCACTGGCTTTCTCCCACCTCACTTCTATACTTACAGTCTTCTGGCTAGAGGCTGAGTCCAGTGGTATTGTGGTATAATGCCTCATTAGGAGGTGACAAGAACCTGAAATTACCACATCACTTATCTCCAATTGATGGCACCAAATTCCTCTACCAGAGAAAGAAAAGTGATCTGATATCTCTGTGTTCTCTATATATAGATGACCAAGTTGAGCCTTAAGCAAGATAATCTTAATTAACCTCTCACAGGTAAGAGATCCTCATGACACGTTATGTGGATCCACAACTACAGTGACTTTTCTCTGCCCGCTGCTCAGGCTACTGCATTCTCATTTGTGATATCAGTTTTCCCCTGAAATTGTAACCAGGAGTAAGGAGAGTGAGTAATAAGTCAGGTACTACATGCTTGACACACCTTCATTGTCTAGTCTAATAATCACAACCTGGCCGGATGCAATGGCTCATGGTTGTATTCCCAGCACCCCGGGAGGCCAAAGCAGGCAGATCCCTTGAGGTCAGGAGTTCGAGACCAACCTGGACAATATAATGAAACCCTGTCTCTACTAAAAATATAAAAATTAGCCCGGTGTGGTGGCACACACCTGTAATCCAAGCAACTTGGGAGGCTGAGGCATGAGAATCACTTGAACCCGGGAGGCGGAGGTTGCAGTGAGCAAAGATTGTGCCGCTGTACTCCAGCCTGAGTGACAGAGCAAGACTGTCTCAAAAAAAAAAAAAAAATCAACCTTACAGTGATGATATAATTAACCTTAACTTACAGATGTGAAACTGAGTTTCAGAGAAATTAAGTAACTTGCTCAAGGTCAAAAATCAAGGGTTTGAGTATTGAGTAGTTGTGTCCATCTACCTCCAACATTACATTTCCAGTACGTCACAGGTTGCATTATTTTATGATGGTATAAATTTACCTTGTTTCCTTGTCAGATGTTGCAAAGAATGTGTTAACAAAGAACCTTTATTTTTAGAGGAATCAGCTCAGTAGTTTTCCAGTAAAAATTATTTCAAAAGTGTGTAGACAAAGGTTTCCGTATCTGCAGAGTTGTTTTTTTTAAGTTATAAAATTAGACTTGTTCTAGTCAAAGCAATCCCAATTTTTTTTTCAAAAAAATTCACTTGAGATAATGTAATTTGGCATTTTCTTTGCCTCTTGTCAGGATGGAAAACAATATTTCTCTTGCTTGATTTAATATCATTATGCGTGACAACAGAGTTAGCAAAGTAGCAGCTATTATAGCAAGGATTTTCAAGTTCTCTCCATCTAAAGGCCATTAATGAAGTTAGCAAATCAGAAGCTTCACAGCCAAATATCCAGTGAGAATAACCGAAAGGACTCTGTCTCTGGAGTTGTTGGATATAAATTGTGTTGGAAGATTCCCCAGTTGTTTTTGATTCCTTTCTTTCTTACACAAAACTGAATCCACAAGGTGGCACAGCAAACAGAGAAGGTGGTTATATACATTAAAAAGAGTTTAGACCTGGCGCAGTGGCTTATGCCTGTAATCCCAGCACTTTGGGAGGCCAAGGTGGACGGATTGTCTGAGGTCAGGAGTTAGAGACCCGTCTGGCCAACAGGGTGAAACCCTGTCTCTACTAAAAATACAAAAAAATTAAGGCATGGTGGCAGGCGCCTGTAATCTCAGCTACTCAGGAGGCTGAGGCAGGGGAATTGCTTGAACCAGGGAGGTGGAGGTTGCAGTGAGCCGAGATCGTGCCACTGCACTCCAGCCTGGGTGACAGAGCGAGACTCCCTCTGGAAAAAAAAAAGAGTTTAGATTTGGGGTTTTAAGTGGGAAAGATAGAACCAAAATCAGAGGCCCTTTTTTATCTGGCATATGCTTGAAAATTCAATAATTTCTACATACCATATGGAGAGTCATTAGTCATAATTACTAACACAATAGCAAAGTCTATTTCTCTGATTAATTTTTCTTTGTTTGCTTATTAAATAATAATATATTACCACCATTTCTTTGGTAGGAAAGCTCTATTTTTGAAGAAACAACATTTTATATAGGCTCTTTAATTTTAATACATTATGTATTTAATATGAATAATATAGCTATAAAGTAAGACAAAAGTGACATTTGAGATTGTGTAATTTGGCATTTCTTTTTTACATTTAGAGAAACTGAGAGCCTAAGAAAGAAAGAGGCCTTTCCCATTTGATCACAACTTAGAGATATACAGGAAGAAAAAATTCAGATTTTATGATGTATTTTCACCAAATTATTTTGTTGGAGTCGATTTGTTGTTTAATTCCCAGAACTGTTGAGAATACGAAGAGAATATAGCAATCATGGTAGCTACTTTCAAGAAGCTTAAACAAATTCATATGTGTTATAATGCCAGAAAGGGTCAAGTTATGAAGGAAAACAAAAGCAAGGTAAAGGGTTAGAAAGTGGCCGTAGTGCTAAATTATGTAAGGTAGTCAAGGGAGCTTTCTCTGAGGTAGTTACATTTAAGCAGTAACCTGAATGAAATAAGAGATCAAACCATGTTAATATGTTACTGAAGACATTTTCAAGAACAAGGAATATTGATTGTGAAGGATTTGAAATGGGACATGCTTATTGTGTTTCAGTAACAGCAAGGAGACCAGTGGCTGAGTACAACGAGCATTCACTCATTGACTGTACATTCACCCATGGGTTATCTCAGCCAGAGCAGTAAGGAGGAAACAGGGATCTGCAAAGAGCAGAGTGAAGATGAATTATGGTTATGGTATCGTGTAATTATATTAACTATACAGTGCTACCAAGTGCTGTATTCCTACTTGAGTTGGAAAGCATGCATTTGGCAAGTAAAGCTCATGGGAGCAAAAGCGGTTCTGAGTGAATCACATAACATTCTTTACCTTTCAAGAACTTTATTCTGAGCAGATGTCATACTAAAATGTAGAAGCCTTTAAAGTTACAATATCAAAGTTGTCTGTGAAAAGAAATAATCTCAAATAATTTTATAGGCCTTTGTAGTTATCAAAGAGCTTTCATATCTGTTAAATAATTTGATCATTACAATGCTCCTAGTCTGTATAGTAAACGTATCTTCAGTGTACAGTGGAGGAAGTTGAGGCTCAGAGAGGTTAACTGGCGTGCCAAAGGTCAGGGAGAAAATTGTCAGTGAATGACAAATCAGAAATTTAGATAATTCAAATGATTTTCCAGAAAATACTTACTGTTTATTTCTCCATGTGTCCTGGACAATTCTGTTTTTCTATTCTGTTCATTTGATGTCTTGACATAATTATTCTGTAGGACCTTGTAAGTGGTTACTTTTAACTTACACAGTTTTACAAACATTATTAGTAAATCAAACATGTAAGCATGGGCGTTGTATAATATAACGGTGTGGAATAGAAAATAAGAAGGGGAATGTGTTAGTTGGAGACAGAATGGAAAATATTTTTTCTTGAATAACTTATGTGATCCACAATGTTATATTTACATCTTGAACAAAATTTGCTTGCAACCTATAAATGAATGGTTGTTATTTGTTATTAAACTTACCATACATCATCTGTTAGCTAATTATGTAGGAAAAACTTGATATTGAAAGAAGGACAAAGATTTTTGGGAAGTAATTTTTGTCATTTTACTTAATCTTCAAACATTTTTAATGTGAGAATTATTGCTCCCAGTTTAATGTAATAGAAAAAGAGATTTTTAACAAAATTAAATAGCATGTCCAAGTTCATACAGGTAAAGGGACTGAATCAGTACTGTCAATCAGTTCTATCTCACCACATAACCTTTGCTGTTTCCTTGACTTAAATTATTGCTACATTTATTTAAACAAGAATAAACTGGGCGCTGAATTGCTTGGCTTCATAAAAAGCATTGAAGAGGATTATGTCCCTGTGAACTAAAGCTCACATTGTCTGCTATAGGAGCAAGAAAAACCATCGTGATTCAAGACAGAACACATTAAATACTAAAAGAAATATCAAATGCTATGAGAAGCAAAAGGAAGGAAAGTTTGCTGTAACCTGAAGAGTCTTGAAAGAGCATCTGTTATGGTCCTATTTGATAGAGAAACAGAGAGAACAGCTTGAGCAAAGCACAGCTTGAGGGTTAGGAAGTGGGGGCATTGCAAGAAATTAGCATGTGATGAAAACAGTGTTGACAGTGGGAGTCAAACCTGAAAAGATACAGCATTTTATCCAAGTATTCATTAAAATCTCTAAATTTCTGTCTATTTATCCTTGATGGTGTTTATATCTTAAGGGGAATTCCATTCAGATGAGGGGGCGGTGGGAAAGGCCAAAGCTGACACAGTTAGAGGCTGACTAGAGAGGAAAGGACTTTTCCTGGGCAGTGGTAGACCCTAAGAAGCCAGAAACTGTGTGACAGTTGTCTATGTGCAGGGAGAAGAAACAGGAAGAAATTCAGTGTTGGAGAGGAATCAAGGTAGAGTATGAAACTATGAAGCTGGGGTCAGGGAGCATTCTAGGGAGAGGAGGTTGGAATCCCATGGGATGGGGAGAGACTAGAAGGGGTCCTGAGTGATCATGTTGGGCTTACGTAGGATTCCAGCATTCATTCATCATCTGGATTAAAATGAGTTGGAGATTTTAACTTTTGAGGCAAGGCTAGGGTGGACAGGTATTTGGAATGTGAAAAAGAATTGGTCAAATATTGGCTTATACCATGATAGAACAAAAACTCAGTTCTGCAAATGCTGATAAAAGAGGGAGCATTCAAAAATAATTTCGGAACACTATCAAAATATTCATTTTCTGCTGAAGTCAAAGTGAGTGGAAGTTGAAGAATGGGCAGGTTTTAAAGTAATAATTGTGAAAAATAGACCTATCATTTCACATATCTACACACATGACATAGAATAGAACACGGGGGTGTTTCTATTTCAGCAGATTTCTATAAGTTTTCTCTGATGCCTACATTGAACTGAGGGCTCAAGACTATAGGAAAAAGAAACACTCATGAGATACAACATGACTACTGGTTAGTCTTACGAAAGAAACAAAATCATCCTTATTATACTGATTATTTACTCTGCTTTCTATTATATGCACTGGATCAAGGTGGCCTGGGATTTTATCACCTTTGACCCCAAGCCTGCCTGTTTCCGTTATACATTAGATTTTTTGTCAGTCTGAACACACATTTTATAACCACAGAACCCCTTCTGAATATATGTGATTGTCTAAGTCTTTACCAAAAGCTTTAGATTATTTTTAAAATGTCTATATATTTGTAACCTGCCTTAACTACTCTTATGGCACAAGGTCCTAGATGTTGGAGCAGATATAAACATGTGACAAAAACCAGAATTGAGTGCCTTATTATAGGATTCATTGCATTTTTCCTGCTATGTGAAAAGTGAATAATGAGTTGGAGGTTGTTAAATTCTAAACATTTAAAACATGTGTCCATATGCATGATTTTCCTTAAAATAACTCAATTTACAGTTGAAAATGTGAAATTTAGAGAATTGTAATCACTTACCTAAAATCCACAGCTAATATGTGTGGAGCCAGAAGGAAAACCCTGATTTTTTTTTTTTTTTTACTCCACGTGTAGGGCTCTGATTTCTCATTACAAAAAAAAAAGAGGCATAATAGCAAATACAATGTAAATTCTTTGATGCCCAACTCCATATTGAAACTGAAACTGCACATATATTGTAAAGGTTCTACTTAGAATGACTATCCAAGCTGGTTCAGTGCCATTAAGATTTCCCGTCCAGTTTATAGGGTAGCCTGCCTGTGTCCACACAAGTGCCTGCAGCAAACTCCTGCCATGTTTCCAGCCGGAAATGTCTTGCCCTGGTCAGGTATTAATAGCTGCCTCATTTTCAGATTCTGACTCTGCATAGCCCTGTTGGAATTATACTGAATGGAAAACTCCACTTGGCTTTTCATTGCTGATTAGGACCTGGATGCTGTGCAAGAAATCCCCCATTTGTCAATTTAGTAGTTCAAAGCCCGGTTCCTACCTAATGCGGTTCCTGGCTCAGGACCCCAGGACTCCAGCTTCTGTGCAATATCTCTGATTTTTGCTGTTCCGGGAGGGAATTTTAAATGAGTATGAAACAGAAACCTAAGAATCGTTATTTATTAAATGAGAGTGTTGTTTTTCTCATGTATAAATGACAATGTAGTAATTATACATCACTGATATGGTTTCTATAATATGAGTAAGGCTTGCCCAAATCAAGCTTGGCATCAAAAGCAGGATTGCGTATGCAGTAGGAAAGCAATGTGTGGCATTGGAAGAAGTACTGAACCAGCAGCGAGGAGCCCGTTGTTCAACACAGGGTCTGGATCTGCCGCTAGCTTCCTATGACACTGGGGACAATTATTTCGCTGTCATGAGCTTTAGTTACCTTGTTAGATAAAGGTGCCAAATTGTACTATCATCACTAAGCAGCTTTATATCTATCTTCAAATTTACATGTTTCTGTGATGTACATTCATAAGGAAGAAGGTTTTATCACCATCTACATATATGACGATATGTACTTACACAAAACAGGAATTATTTTTTTCCTAACTTCTTTATAAAGTCTGAAATCTTATACATTGAATGTATTGCTTGAACTTTCCAGAGTTCCTTAGCATAGCATCTAGGGTTAATACTGTTTGCTAGTATTGGACTAGATCGAGAAAAAAAAATAATAAAAAGCTTTGGGATTATTTTAATTAGTTTGTTTTTAAAAGAAAATGAATTAAAATTCAGACCTAAATCTAAGCATTTTAAAAATACTTTATTAGTCCTAGGAAAAAAACAGAACTTAATATTATCATCTATATTGAATCTGAGTTACTTTTATCCATATACTTGGCAATGACTAAACTCTGTCCTGGCAATATTGAGACAAGGCCTTCGAAGAGCCAGTTTTCCTTCACATGGGTTATCATATAGCCCTGTGCTGCCAGGCAAGGAATGTGCAATAGTTTCATTCCTTCCCTCACTTTCTTTAATCACCTGGTTTATCTGATTTTTTTTCATTGAGATATCAATTGAATGCCACGTAATTTACATTTTAAAAATGTATGCATGCTTTAGTGGTTTTTGGTACATTCAGAAAGTTTTGCAAACATCACCGGTATCTAATCCCAGAACATTTCATCCCTCCAACAAAACAGTCACTCCACCCTTATCCCTCTCACCTCCTTCCCCAACCCTTGATAATCACTACAGTACTTACTATCTCCGGATTTGCTTATTCTGGACATTTCATATAAATGGAATCATACATGTGGCCTTTTATATCTGGCTCCTTGCACTTAACATAATGTGTATGAGGTTCATCCTTGTTGCCACATAAATCAGTATTTCATTCTTTTTTATAATTGAATGGTATTACAGTTGCATTCTGTAGAACTATCACACTGTATTTATCCATTCATCACTTGATAGATGTTTGGGTTGTTTCCACATTATGAATGATGTCACTATGAACATTTGTGCACAAGTTTTTGTGTGGACATATGTTTTCATTAATCTTAGAACTATACCTAAAAGTGGAATTTTTGGATTGTGTGGCAACTGTATGTTTAACCTTTTGAGGCACTGCCAACCTATTTTCCACAGCTTCTGCATAATTTTACATTTCCACCAGCAATGTATGTGAGTTGCAGTTTTTCCACATCCTCATAAACACTTTGTCATGTCCATTTTTAAACTATAGCCTTTATAGTGGATGTGAAGTAGTATCTCATGGTCATTTGTTTCTTTGATTCTTAAGCTAGTAGTTCATTTACTTAAAACTCAAAGTACTCTAAGAAATCATATTTCAGTATTAATATAAACATAATATTAATTTATTGCTATTCATATTATCTTACTATCTACAACCACCTTTCTACTCCAATTTTCTTTGGGGGGTGTTTTCTTGGACTTTTTTTTGAAGGGGGGGTTGAGATCCATTTCACTGTGTCACCCAAGCTGGAGTGTGGGGTGTAATCTCTGCTCACTGCAACATCCACCTCCCTGGTTCAAGTCATCCTCCCACCTCAGCCTCCCGAGTAGCTGGAAATACAGGCATCTGCCACCACACCCAGCTAATTTTTGCATTTTTAGTAGAGACGGGGTTTCACCATGTTGGCCAGGCTGGTCTTGAACTCCTGACCTCAAATGATCTGCTTACCTCAACCTCCCGAAGTGCTGGCATTACAGAGGTAAGCTACCACACCCCAGCCTACTCCAGTTTTCTTAGTCTCATTTTTCTTCGTCTATAATGTTGGAACTATTCAAAAACAAGCTGGGTGCAGTGGTACACACCTGTAGTTCCAGCTACTTGGGAGGCTGATGTGGGAGGATCTTCTGGGCCCGGGAGTTTGAGGCCAGCCTATGCAACATAGCAAGACCCCACCTCTTACAAAAAGAAAAAGAAAAAAAAGGAGAGAGGGAGAGAAAGAGAGAGAGAGAGCACTCTCTACAAATAAGGAGATTGGCATGGGAGTATCACCTACAAGGACATGGCTTCAACCAACCTATATTCATTAATATTCCTATATTCATTAATAACTTAATTCCA
Organism: Homo sapiens; assembly: GCF_000001405.40. NCBI lineage: Eukaryota > Metazoa > Chordata > Mammalia > Primates > Hominidae > Homo > Homo sapiens. Next base: position 192,171,767 of record NC_000003.12, on the reverse strand, counting down.
GGTTTGCTTGCATTAAATCATGGGAGTCTCACACTGAAATTCTTCCAGTTCATGGAGAGGAAGATGGTGACTGTGGTGAATATGTCTGACATGTAGGACTCCTGTTTAATTGCAGCTGAAGAAGATGCAATAGCATTTGTTTTTCTTCTGCTGATCTCAGAAGGGGAGAAATTTCTTCCTTCCACACAATACATTTTGTTCATGTGACATGTTAGGATATGATTTTATTGTATTGATTTTTAAATCTCATTATAAGTCACTAAACAAGACTCAGGCAGAAAAGGTGAGCCTGAGAGACTGTGATTGTGAAGCAATGAATGTGAGCTCTGGCATTGACTCAGTAGTTTCTTAAATGTGTATTTGAATTAATCACGTGACCTTTTGGTTTTCTCACTTACCAAATGCTGGAGTTGAAGTACAGGATCTTACAGTTTCTTCTGAGACTAGAACTCTCATTCTGTGTTTCACTGAGGTCAATAGTAATAGGAATTAATACTATTAGTAATTTTCTTCAATATAATAGTAATTTTTTTCTATTATTCCTGGGCTTTTTACCTGAGATTTTGATTACTAAGGAAAAAAATGTTTTAAGGAAATTAGAGAGGAAGTTACTGACTTTAGGAAAAGTGGTGATTTTCCTGACCAAGCTGTGGCTGTGTAATACATTTGTATATACAGAATAGTCTCTTCAAAAGCACCTTGTGTGCCTGTGTTTGCTGTGGTTATATTTGATTTTGATTTCCAGGATAAATTTTAGTTCCTTATTTACATGTTAAGGGTGAGTAAATGAGGAATGGCCAATCACTTTAGTTTACAAAACATATTGCTAGGATCGGAGCGCAGACTTGGCCACAGTCCTGAATGATTTTAACGTAGCTTCAAGCCTGAGCAAGTTATTATCTCTGGGCTGAAGGTTGGCTAGAAAGGCAATCATGTTTTTTGATTTTGTATGATGAATCTTTGTAACCAAAGGCTAATAGAAACTATGTGTCATTGCCTTTCATTTGTTCTTAACAGAGGACATGGATTTCAAGCTTATTGGATTTAAGCATTTGCTGATTCACCTTTAAATCATTTCTCTTTTTTGTGTCTTTTTTTTTTTTTCCTACAGGATGTTTTCACTCCAGAATGCAAATTCAAGGAATCTGTGTTTGAAAACTACTATGTGATCTATTCTTCCACACTGTACCGCCAGCAAGAATCAGGCCGAGCTTGGTTTCTGGGACTCAATAAAGAAGGTCAAATTATGAAGGGGAACAGAGTGAAGAAAACCAAGCCCTCATCACATTTTGTACCGAAACCTATTGAAGGTATGAAACCAACTGACTGTCTTTGTTGGACCCTTATCTGTGTGTTGACATCAATTCTGCTTCTTGCCCTTTTGGTCCAGAGAGTTTGCCTGGAATGCAACAGATCAGAAGAAAGATTCAAAAGAAATATTCAGAGAACACAATAGTATCTCTTCCTTTTTTTTTTTTTTTTTCTTTTGAGGCAGAGTCTTGCTCTGTCGCCCACACTAGAATGCAATGGCTCAGTCTCGGCTCACTGCAACCTCCTCCCGGATTCGAGCAATTCTCCTGCCTCAGCCTCCGTAGTAGCTGGGAATCTTTTCCTATTAAAAAAAAAAAAAAGGAAAATTCTATTACAAATACTTGGCACTTAAAAAAAATGCCTGAATATAGAAGCCGGAAAAATTTTGAAAGTAGAAAAGAAGTGGTAGTTACTATCTAGTATGCAGTTTCCTCCTTTTCTAAACCTAATAATTTCCTTTCTCAAGATACACCCTTGAAAAACAAATGATACTTTTATATTTACCGTATTGCACTGTATCCTTCTCAGGTGAGCCTATAACCTTTTCTCTCGTAATCATTTAATTCTCTGTTCATTTATTTCAAACTGACCATTAGAATAAACTTTTTTGTTTTTTTTTTTCTGAGGAAACCGATTTTTGGCAGCTAGGCTATGTTCCCTCAGAAATTCCTTAGCTAGGATGAGAGCATATCATTTGGGTAACCACATTTCCTGAATTCAGCCAAGCTTTCTACTACAGGCTGAGTAAGCTTGTTTCTCCTCTGAAAGTCACATTATAATCACTTTAAACATTGGCTCAGCATCCTCGTCTGAGGAAATGAGAAAATTGAGGCAGTGCATTGCAACTCTGTGGCTTAGTCAAGCTTGCTGTCCCCTGAATATCTCATATGGCATGGTCAGTCAATCAGTGTACACAATGCCTGGTGCATAGTACATAGCACGGTGACTGCAAACATTTAAGTCAATACTATCTTCCAATGTTCCAAGCACTGGATGAAATGTGATATTCAAAGCCCCTAGCCCCTCTCAGGACCCTCTTCACATGCTGTGTATTCAGCACATGAAATGAACTTTTCTTTCCTGCAGTATATTTTCACTTTATTTATTTATTTATTTGAGATGGAGTCTTGCTCTGTCACCCAGGCTGGAGTGCGGTGGTGCAATCTCGGCTCACTGCAGCCTCTGCCCCCTGGGTTCCAGCGATTCTCCTTCTTCAGCCTCCTGGGTAGCTGGGATTACAGGCACACACCACCACACCCGGCTAATTTTTGTATTTTTAGTAGAGACAGGATTTCGCCATGTTGGCCAGGCTGGTCTCAAACTCCTGACCTCAGGTTATCTGCCCACCTCGGCCTCCCAAAGTGCTGGGATTACAAGCGTGAGCCACCATGCCTGGCCTATTTTCATTCTTATTGGGCTCATTTTGTTCATCACCCCTGCTCCTTTAGTTTTTATCCATTTATCTCATCTGCCTGGAAAATGTCTATTAGTCTTTGGAAAAAAATAATTCAAGAGTCAATACTTCCATGATGGCCTTCTTGACTTTCTTCAAGTAGAACTAAACATTCGGTCAGCTTGTCATTGCATACATTTCTCTCCCATAGAAATTATGACATTAAATTTGCCCAATGCCACTCTGTCTCCTCTTATTCATGGTTAGCTCACTCTTTGAATGAACAGAACATGTTTTATTTTTCTTCATATCTCCCTTTGTCTTCTATAATAGTTGGCATATCATAGAGAGATATTTGATAATCAGTTGTCTGAAAAGTGAACATGTGAATGAATTAATGAATAGAAAACTATAAAGACAAAGAAGAATATATGCGCCAGAGAACTTTATGATATTCTTAGAGGTGTGACATATGTTTACTCAGAGCAAAAGTAAAATGTTAAGTGATGCAATATATAGGATTTATATTGGGACTCAGAGAAAAAGGCTATTATTTTCCCAAAAAGTAAGATATCATTGAGAAGCTAATATTTAAACTTACCTTCAGGGCTAGGCCAGGTTCCTGCAATTTGAGATGAGAGGTAGGGATTAGGCAGACAAAAACATTCCAGGTGCAGTGTGAATAAAGGCAGGAAAGTGCCTGCTTCTTAGGGTTAAGCAAAGGGTACCTGAGAAGTAAGTAATATTTTCACAGGGAAATATATGGATTCTCAAAAATGAAATGTTTGATGAATTATGCTCTTAATTATTGCATCATTTTTATTTGTTCATTTACATTGATTTTCTTCTTGTTATAAAAGTAGTACAAGGTCATTAACAATTTTGGAAAATTTAGGAAAGTATGAAGAAAAGAAATCCACGTGTTGTGTTTATTCCCTTTACGGATAATGCCCTTTATATTCAACTTCACCCTCATGACCCCACTTAAAAATACACCTAGGCCAGGCTTGGTGGCTCACGCCTGTAATCCCAGGACTTTGGGAGACCGAGGTGGGCGGATCACGAGGTCAGGAGTTTGAGATCAGCCTGACCAACATGGTGAAACCCCGTCTCTACTAAAAATACAAAAATTAACCGGGCGTGGTGGCACGTGCCGGTAATCCCAGCTACTCAGGAGACTGAGGCAGGAGAATCAAGGAGGTGGAGATTGCAGTGAGCTGAGATCACGCCACTGCACTCCAGCCTGGGTGATAAAGCAAGATTCTTTCTCAAAAAAAAAAAAAAAAAAAAATTTTATATATATATATATATATATATATATATATATATATACCTATAACCTACCCTCCTAATTTTAGCTGCTATCTGTACTTTGGTTAATCAAGTTTCCTCTTGGGTCTGGATGAGCATGTACGTGTACAACTGGACATTCCTATATGGATTAGAATTAAGGTTGTCTTCACACAACACAAACTCATATTAACAGCAGCTTAATCATATAAAGTTTTTTATTCTCTCACAAAACAAATCTAGAGACCAGCTATCCTAGCTGGTACTGTGCTTTTCCAATTGGTAGGGCCTTGGCTGCATCCAGCTTTTACTACCTCTCTCCCAGTGTTTTGCTACGGCTTATTTACAACTGTGCACTGCACCCGGAACACAACCACACATGCTGGCCCTGGATCTGCCCTTCTGCCCATGATCCAACCAGCATCTTATTCCAGCCAGAGGGCAGAGGAGAGGTGAAGAAGACAGAAGGAAAAGCCAGGGCCAGTTTTCTTTCCAAGTTGTCCATGGTAACTGCCATATGCTACTTATCGCACTGGCCACAACCTAGTCAGGTAGTCACACTTAGGTGTAAAGAAGCTAAGAATGTAGTCTTTTTTTTTTTTTTTTTTTTGATAGCCATATACCAAATAAATGTTCTGTGACTAGGGGTTATGGCACAATGGGTATTGAGACACTAAAAACTCTGCTTCAGGCTTCCATCCTCTTAATTTTAGAATATCTCTGATTTCCTAATTTTCTGATTGACATCTTTTGGTAGATTATCGTGTTTTTACTTTATGTTATTGACTGATCCTTTAGAATGATTTTCTTTTTGTTCTGGGAAAAAAAATGCATTCTAAATCAGATTCACTAATACTTTGATTCACTTCCAAGGATTTTTGTCTCTCTAGGTGTGAAGCATATAGAATATGATGATAATTACTTCCAAAAATGAAAAAAAAAACTTAATTGGTTTTAGGCCAAACACCTTCTCATTCCCTATAAATGTCTTTATCTTTTGTCTTAGGGAACTAACTTTATTGAACAATCTTAGCTAACAGTTTTATAAATGCTTACTCTGTGCAGGTGCTATTCTAAGCACGTCTCAATTACTGTCTCTTACTTTCCATTCCATTTGTACGAAGTAGGTTCCAGTATTATCCGCATTTACAAATGTGAAAAATGAAACACAGAGATATTGAGTAATTTGTCCTAAATCATGCAGCTAGCAATTGGCAAAGCCAGAAATGAAACCAAAGCATTCTGACTTGAACAATCAAGTTCTTAAACCCCATTTAAAACTGGTAAGACAGGCTACAGTCTGAGGTCTGAGAAAGATGTAGATGTAACTTCAATATAGTGGGACCTAGTAAATGATCTTGAATAAATGTCTCCTAATTGCTTCTCTTTTTAAAAATCTGCAATATATCCCTACCCCTTAGAAATAAAAGTTCTTGCAGATTAATGGAGATCATCACACTCTTGTAACTGACATGAAACACATGAAATTGGTTGGTTCTCTTCTGCCTCCTATGTGCTTTGATGTCCTTATAATACAGAAAATGTGAACAATTACCTTATGATTCTCCATGCAGTTATACATTATATCCTTAAATGATTTTAACAGGTTACCATTACTATCAAAGATATGTACACTTGAGGTTGTGTCAGGCATTAATCCACTGGACATTGAAACCTTTCTCCTCGCTGCTGGGATACTCAAATTATTTTTGCTGCCACCATTACTGCTATTACTAGTCTTACTACTTCTGTATGCAGTTTATCAATTTACTATTTGCTAGCCAGGTTGCGTATGTTATCTCTGTTAAGCCTCACAATAGTTCTGTATTTTTATCCTCATTTTATAGATGAGGAAACGTAATTTAAAGTAACTAAGTAACCAGTCCAAGACCACAGGGCTAGATAAATACAGAACTGGGGTTGCAGTCCAGGAACCCTGATGTCACGTAACCTCTGTACTATGTTGCCCTTCAATCTGAAGTAAGCCTGTGAATATGCAAATACTCAGAAAAGTCAGTGATAGCAAAGCAGAAACCTTATACTATGATGCAATTTGAATAGTAAACTAGTTTTAAATCATGCAAAATTGAGACAGGAATACATGATATGATGAGAAACACATTGGTAAACAATCAGATAAAACAGTTAATGGAATGCCATGTTCAAGCTAGGCAAGAAAGAATTAACAATGCATCACTTCTTTTCTGGTGAATTCTAACAAGGTTTATTTCCACTCAGCAAAAAAAAAAAAAAAAATTGGACCAGATGATTTCTAAAGTTCTTTGGCAATGACATTGTGTGGCAGTCGTTATAAGCCCTTCACTGTAAAACCATGTTCCTTCATAGAACCTAGCCTAGAATTTACATGTAAAACTGGTCTAAACATATTTTCTTTATTGAATTATTGAAAAAATAAATTACAGCTTTATGAGCTATTTCCATTATTTGTGATTTTTTTTTTTAATGAAGGGATAGGATGAAAGGCATCCTAGCCATAACTTACATTTAAATAGATTTTAGGACAGACGCAGTGGCTCATACCTGTATTCCCAGCAATTTGGGAAGTCGAGGCAGGTGAATCACTTGAGGCCAGGAGTTCAAGACCAGCCTGGCCGACATGATGAAACGTCATCACTACTAAAAAATATGAAAATTAGCCAGGTGTGGTGGTACACACCTGTAATCCCCGCTACTTGGGAGGCTGAGGCAGGAGAATCACTTTCAACCCAGGGAGTCGGAGTTTGCCAGGAGCTGAGATTGCACCACTACACTCCAGCCTGGTCAACAGAGAAAGATTCTGTCCCAAAAATAAGTGAATAAATAAATAAATAAAGTTTTCGATAATATTTTTCCATAGGGCAGGTATAAAGCACATAACTAGATGACACTTTTAGAAAACGATTAGAAAATGATAGCATAAGAGATTAGCTAACTTGCTGCTAATGGGTTAACCAAAAAAATTATTGACTATTTTGTTTGTAATGTTTAAAGGCATCTTTGTAACCCTGTAAGTCCAATGGTAATACTGTTAACATCCTAACAGAGTCCAGCACTGCACGGTAAATGAGCCCTTCCTTTGTGAAGGGAATTGTCCTCTTAGGGAGGAAAAGCCAAAGTAGGGTTTTTTTTGGCTTTGGGTTTTGCTTTTGTTCTTTTGTTTTTTCCTGCTTATTTGTTTTTCACATATGTCTGCCTTTATCCCAGTCCTGCTGGTGTTGTCTTTTGAATGTCACGATTCCCAAAATTAAGCTCTGCCAGTTTGAGGATGGTTAAGTCCTACACTGATAACATGATAATAATTACCCACCAGCCCATTTCCCTTCACTCTTTCACGTCTCATCCTGTGTTTAGAGAACAGGAGCGTTGATGAGGGGTTTCAGGGTCACCTATTCTGATAGATGGCCTTGATGTTTAAGCACATTACTATGTACATTGCATATAAACCTCTACTTACATGGGTCCCCTCCCCTGGAATTTTGGACAATAGCACAGGCTTCCTGATTCTCAATTCTGCCCTTTCAGAGTATTGTTCAAAGCACAGATAAGTAACTTCCCCAGATGTAAAGTGTTTTAGTGGTGACCTCCCCCTTTAGCATCAGATATAGCAGTCAAATACTCTTTGACAAAGAACAAAATATAGTCTCCTCCTTTTCTCCTCCCTCCTCCTTCAAGAAGCACATTGCTCAGCTACTGCAGGTGGCTGAGTATTTAGGATCTGGTTCTTCCCTTCTGAAAAAAAAAGTCTGTGTACTTTGCAAAGATTTAAGCTTCAAGAGCTGAGACCTGGAGAAATAAATATATTTCCAAATAAGATAACTAAGAATCATTTGAGAGCCATCCATACAGAAGTATTAAACTTGGAATAAAGGAATATTGATTTATTTCTCCCAATTTATTTGGTAGTGGGGAGACAGTACTAACACACACACACACACACACACACACTCACACACACTTGGCCATATACATGGTTTCCATTTTCTTTGTTAGAATTGGTGCTTTAAGCTCATAGAATCTGATTTAAGACTCAGCAGAATGTAAACTGTCATTTCCCAAACATCAGTACCAGAACCATCTGTAGTGTTCCTAGAAGCTAACAGATTCTCAGAGCAAATCTCCAAAGTGATCTGATGTTTGAAACCTATGTATGACCTAGGACTCTATAGGTTTAAAACGCTGTCCAGGGGATTTCTGATGGCATTGAGTTTGAGATGCAGTGTTCTGAATTTGGTGTTTCTAAGCTCCTTTTGGTCAAATCTGGCCATGGATGATTTAAATTTATTCATATTATTGTGATCAATATATTGGACTGAATCTAATGTAATATAAATTGTCCCTCTGACATGAAATTAAGTATACTATATATGTTACATTTTTACATTCCCTACTACTATCAAGACAGGTATGTTTTAGTCCAGGGTTAAATTCCTATATGAAGTCAGTAGAGGTAATGCCAATTATTTTATTAAATTGACACCTCTTAGAGCAACCTAATAGAAATCAAGTAACCAAGAATACAGAAGTGTCTAATTCTTTGGGTCAAAATTTGGCAATGATTTGCTAAGCAATTTTTGTTTGAATGAAAGCAAGTGTATTGGAGAAGTCAAGAAACAGAAGAATGGCTACTCCATAGGCAGAGCAGCCTTGCTAAGTAATTTTGAGAAAATAATTTATCTCCTTCTACCTCAGTCATCTCTGAAGATAAAGTCTATTATAAATTCCACCTGCTTCAAAGGAATAATATGAAAATTAGACATTGTAAAAAAAAGTTGGATTTTTCAAGAGAATTCTGTCAGATCAAACATGAAATGCCTTTTTCATTTTGTCTTAGAAAATGGACATTGTCTTACTGTGTTTTGTATTGGAAAAATGCTGTGAGATGTGGCATTGCATGAGAAATTAAAGGCAATGAAAATGGAATCTGGAAGGAAAATAACAATCCCTTCAAAACTACATAATAAGACACCAAAGAACAGAGCAAATCAGGAGTCCTGATGTTTTAAAACTCCAACTGGTGGACACTAATGCCAAATTTGATATTTTTATTTCAATAAACTGGAAATAGAAATAAATGCCTTGGTTCTCTTTTGGACCCAACCATACTGAAAGACAAAAGCAGAAAGATGGAGCAAAAAAGAACCTCTCTGCCAGTAATTGTTTTAATTACAGAAAGGATAATAGCTGCAACTCTTTCTTTTGTGTTTTGGGTTTCTGCCAGCCTGTGATACTTTCCTCCTGCAAACCATTGTAACTTATTCAAACCAGTTTTTTCTGGTTTCTGAATGTAGTCTTTAATACAACCCTCTTACCTCTTCCCCACACATTCTTCCTCTTTCTCTCTCTTTGTCCCTCATTGCAAATATTGCTTTTTCTTTCTTTCTAAACGAACATACAGACGCTTTTGTTCACAACGTTATAGTTGTTATCTCATTATAGTAAATATGTATAGCACAGTGAATGCATTTCTAAGGCAATACATTTCTTCCAAACTAGCACTTAGAATTCTCCCAGAGTTCCAAAAGGATCCCATGTAACATTAATTCAGGTGTGAAATTGCTTTAGGTAAATTTCCCACACCCTTCTATGATCTGCTATTAAGACAATTAAGTATCTTCAATGGTGCATTAACTAACACAGCAGTCTAACCTTTCAGCTTCTTGGAAATTACAGAGGACCAAGGAAAATTCAATTAAATTTGTAGTAATAAAATGATTAATCATATTTCATTTGTCTTTGATGGTAACTAGTAGTCGATGGAGGTTCTTTATAGAGTTTAATGTTTTAGTTTTATTAAAAACAGAAGTTAAATTGTTTTTATTTGGAAAACAGAATTTGTCAGAACAACTCCAGTGTTCCCACACACAGGTTGTTCAACTCTCCACTACAGAGTGACATTGACACTTAAAAATTACTGCTAGCACTCTCAAATTTCAAAGGATCTGTCAAGAATACAGCAACAATATAAAGTGATAATTAGTAGCAGCTATACTACCTTATATTCCATTTGAATGGCATATTGTCCTTTCAACATGCTTTCTGAACCAAAGTATCATTTAATAGCCACTAAATCCTTGGAAGTATGAAGGTTAAGATTTACTATCCCTATTTTAAACACGAGAAAGATGTCATTTCTAGAGGTTAACTCACTTAGGTGTATACAGCTAGAAAGAAGCAAAACTAGAATTGTTACCTGGTAACTTCAGATGTCATGCTTTTCCTACTACAAATGTGATGTGATGTGTGTGTGTGTGTGTGTGTGTGTGTGTGTAAATAGGCGTTGTCATTCCTTAAAGTTATTCAATTTAGTTACTTAATCAGTTGTGTGTGTGTGTGTATTTGTGTGTAACTTCTTATGAATTAGAATCTGCAGAGGCAAGACATAGATACAAATGTGTATTCTTAGAACATCCGGGTATTTCTCATGGAAGAATTAAGGACAGCAACTCTACAAGTTGAGTGTGCATCAGAATTACCTAGAGAGCCCACTAAAGCATAGATTGCTAGGCCCCATCTCCTGAATTTTTAATTCTGTACGTTTGAGCTGGCCAAATAATTTGCATTTCTTAACGTTCCTGCTGTTGGTGGTGGTGGTTAGGGGTCATGCCTTGACAATCACTAAGTTTAGGGAACTGTCTGATGCAATGATCCTTAGAATCTCTTTCCTTTCTAGACTCTATAATGCACCATATATACAAGGAAAGGTAAGGGTGGTCGTCAGCTTTCTTGGTTTATTTTCTGTTTCATTGATTTTTCTTATTTCTGTGAAGATGAGGCTTATTATTTGATTATTCAAATATCACTTAACTAAAGGAGCTTGATAAATATTGTCTACCGTATAGTATTCCTTGCTCCATTTGTGTCAAAGTCATCTATTTTACCTTTATATTGGTCAGTTTCAGGGAACTCAGCCCAAGTTTAGGACCTTAGATAAAGTAAAGATTCACTGACTTTAAAGGTGAAAGAAAAATCAGCTTTACTCCAACCAAAGACTTCTTCAGTTAGTCACTGTAGCATAGTAGATAGGAATATTCATTTGGAACATAACTATGAAACATCTACTAAGCGTCTTTCACTGTACTAATGGGGACACAGTTAGTACTCAAGGAAAGACAATTTTGACTTGATAGCATTTATGTCTAGAAATGGGTAAAAAATACGCAATTAAAAATAAGCAAGCATTTTAAAACATCACTAGAGATTAGTTCCAAGAAAAAAATATGGGACTATTTTAAAAAGGATGATGAAGGTAAATTTTTTAGAGAAGATGACGTAAATGATGTTTGAACAGTAATCTGAATGAAATTTAGTAGTAAACCATGCAAAGATGTGGCACAAGGTTTTTGCAGGCAAAGCTGAGAGATTCCAAAGGCTTTTATAGACTCCGAGGATGCCTAATAATGAGCAAGAAAGCCAATGTGACTAGAATGGATTGATTAAAGGAATGGAAGGTAGGAGATGAACTTAGAGAGAAAGGAAAGACTATAAATTGAGGGCTTGTAACCACCTTCAGGACTTTAGATTTTATGGTTAATGTGATGGGGATTCATTATAGATTTTGAGCAGAATTGCAGTGAAATCATCCAGGATCTTAAGCAAGATAGTATTAGATTGGACTCTAGGGTTTTATAACTAGAGGTAGAGAGAATGACTTTGAATTTATTTTGAAGGTAGACCTGATAGAGCATGCTAATGGATTGGATGTAGGTTGTTAGATAAAGACAGAAATCAGGGATGACTTTTAGGTGTTAGGCATGATGAACTGGGCGAATAATGGGTCTGTGTGCTGAAATGTGTACACACACACACACACACACACACACACACACACACTACTTAAATATGACATTTTAAAATCACTTGTAATCCCCTAGTACTGGTTATTACAACTCAGACACTACTGACATTTTGGGACTTTGGGTTCTATAATTCCTTGTTGTGGGGCACTTCCCTGTGCATTGGAGGATATGTAGCAACATCTATAGCCTCTATGTTCAGGATACCAATAGCAAATCATCCTCTCTAGTGGTGACAAACAAACATGTCTCAGACATTACGAAAGATTCACTGAAGGCAAATTCACCACCGCTTGACAACCACTGCCCTAGGTTCTATGACTACTTTTCAAATGGGGAGACTATCTTGTTTGGAAAAATTATTCTATTGTGTGGAACTTTCTCACATTATAGAATATTAGTAATACCACCTTGACCTCCATCACTATAGTTGTGACAAGAAATGGGGAGAATACTTCCCTAGTTTCTTCACACTGCTAAGAAAATGAATGTAATTGCTGACTTACTCCTGGGGAACACTAACATTTATTGGAAAAGGAGGCTCCTGCAAAGGAGAATAAAATAGAGTAGCCAGTGATTTGCAGAAAGACTAGGCTATTTTGATTGATGTTCAAGAAGCCAAGTGAAAACATCTTGTCAAAAAGGAGGAAATAATTAACTGTATCCAACACTGCTGGAGTGTCTAGCAAGCTGCTAAATGAGAATTGATCTTTGCTTTTGTAACTCGTGGTCAGTAGTGACTTGACATGAGTGATTTTGGTGAAACAGTGAGAAATAAGTCTGAATGGAAAGAATTAAATGATAACTGGAGGCAAAGAAAAGAAGAAGGTAATATTGAATATTAAAGTTCTTTTGAGAACTGCTGCTATAAAAAGGAAGTAGAGAAATGAGGAGGGAGCTGGTGAGAAACATGACAGTTACATGGTAGGGTTCTTTGTTTTTAAAGCTATTTCATACATTCATATACTGATGGGAACAATCTGGGATAAGCAGACATTGGGATCACAGGAGAGAGGGACACCAAAGAACACTGAGTAGAAGGGCTGGGACTGAGTGCACCATGGCGCTCTAGATTTAGGTAAGAACTGCACAGTGCAAGCATTGTAACAAGCAGGAGTCAGAACACGTGGGGGCAGATGTCCATAGGTTGGTAATTTTTGCCATGAAAACATTTCTCATCTAATTCTCCTTTCTAAGTGAAATGCAAAGTCAGACAGTTTATTGTCTTGGAAAATAAAGAGGAAGAATAAGAAGGAGAGAGGGAGAAGGAAGGAAGGAGGGAAGGAAGGAGAAAGAGAGAGAGAGAGGGAGGGAGGGAAGGAAGGGAGGGAGGGAGGGAGGGAAAAAACAGAGAGAAAGAAAGAAGGAAGAAGAAAAAAAGAGAAAGACGAGAAGAAAGAAAGAAAGAGAAAGAAAGGGAGGGAGGGAGAGAGGGAGGGCGGGAGGAAGGGAGGGAAGGAAAGAAGAAAGAAAAAGGAAAGAGAGAGGAAGGAAGGGAGAGAGAGACAAAGAGCAAGAAAGCAAGAAAAAAGAAGAAAGAAAGAAAGAAAAAAGAAAAAGAAAGAGAAAGAAAGAAAAAGAAAGAGAGAGAAAGAAAAGAAAGAAAGAAAGAAAGAAAGAAAGAAAGAAAGAAAGAAAGAAAGAAAGAGAAAGAAAGAAAGAAAGAGAAAAGGGAAAAGCAGGCAGGTCTATTTCCTGAGTCTGTGGAGGGGCTAAGGTGGTATTGGAAGCTTGAGGTACAAGGGGAAGGTGTGAAATAAGTAACTTGCGAAGCATGAGAGAGCTGATTGACCAGAAAGATGTAGTAGAATTCCAGAAAGTGCTGTGTACAACCATGAGGTTTGGGGTCAAGGTTTTGACTTACGACCAGTCAAAACAGTTTTATGTTTTTCAGCATATTTACACATACTCAACTGTTAGGCTATCAGCTTAGAGCAGGGGCACCAGGGTTAGTCTCAAATGGATTTTAAAGCTGACTGCCCTGTATTGCTATATTACTTTGGACAGGTTACCCTCTTTGTTCTTCAGTTTACTCAGCTGCAAAACAGGCCACTAAAAGTATCTATTTTTATGGTCATTTAAAAAACTGTTTGTATGTATAATGTGCAGGCATATAGTAAGTGCTCAGTTAACGTTAGATATTATTATGAGGATGACTAATGCTTAATAGGAGAGTACTCATAGGATGGTACTTGGCACCCGGTTTATTATAGCTGTGTGCTTTATAAATAACAGCAATGCCCAAGATTTTACTTTTTTCATACTTTTAAGAAAGTCTTTGTTTCATTGTAATTTTTTCAGAAGAAATTTATAACTAAAATAGAAGTTATTGTTGAATGTTAGAAGTTGTAAATAGGGGAATCTGAGCCATCACGATGGCAAGGAAAGCCTGCATATTCTGGTAACTGCATTTGCAACACAGGCACCCATGAAAAGAATGTAATAGAAAAATATTAAATAGAAAGCTTGCCCTGGAAAAAATCCATACCTAATCCTACAAAGAGAAAATGGATTGTTTTTGACAATACTTCAAAGCTCAGTGATATATATTTCACATTTCTCTTTTCTAAAAGTGTAAATTTTTCACTTTAAAATGAAGCAAGAATTAAATAAATAGAACAAATACCATATATCATCACAGAGTCAATATATTATGGTCCTGTTCTGACCAAGTGTTGCATTGTATTTGTGTTACCAGAACTGCAGGGCTTTCTATGGCTACATGGTCAGTGCATGCTCAGACAGCTGTTAAAATCAAAACCTTCACTGTGCTGGGTCACCTGGTAACTACTGTCTATCTCACAAGTGCATTCTGCTGACATTCAAGGGTTAAACTGGTTTCTAGTAAATACTGTGCTTTAAAGTAGTACATACTGTGAGCTGTGTTATTAGAAACCTGCTTGTCCTTGTGTCTGAAAATAAGGAGGAACACTCTCGCACCAAATCTCTACCTTATTTTCACTCAGAAAGCTGGGTTAAATCTCTCCGTTTCAATCTACGATAGCTCTAGAAAAGTCAAAAGCATGAATAGAAAGAAACATTAAGAAGAAGGAAGAAAATTGAAATGTAAGTCAGAATAGAGGAAAAATAAGAAGAAAAGAAGTGAAATAAGAGTGTGCTTTGATTTGAAGAAAGAGTACAGAAGAACCAAAAAGAAATGCTTCCTCTTCAAAACATGATCGTATTTTACCATTTGTCCAAAACTATTATGATGATACATGCATTAGAGGAGCAATGATATTTTATCTCAGAAATATCCTGGGGTGAGGGAAGCAAATATTTCTTTTCCTACTCTATGTACTTGACAAATGAATAGAAAGAGGGCAAGCGGCTTGATCAAGGACAACCCAGAAAAGCCAGATGAAAGGGAAATAACATTGTTTATTTATCTTGCAGGCCAGATGAAAGGGAAATAACATTGTTTATTTATCTTGCAGGCCTTGCATCTTTAGGACACTGAACATCCTTGAAATTTGGGTACTGAAACTGTGTTGGAAAAATAGTATCAAGTGCAATCAGAGAGAAACAAAGTTTAAATCAGTTTTATACTAAGTACTATCTATAACATCATACCTGCTGAAAATAAAATCTATATCACAAGTGTTGCCCCAAGGTCCTGAGTGAGACATAGTTAACTAGTAACATCCCATATTGTCTAAATTAGAGGATTTGCTTCCAATTTCATATGAGAAGTGCCACTGAATCTGAGTTTTTGTGGAACAGGATTGGGGAACTGGGAAGACAAGAAAGATAGGGAGTTTCTGTTTCTTTGTTTTGTTTTCATGTTATTTCCAGTCTAGAAATTACTGCTTATCATAAGAACTAAAATATCAAATTTTGTTCTCATAGCTGAAGTGGCCTCCAGTGCATAACACAGAGGAAACAGGAAAATAATTTTTGAAGAAAAAAAAGAGATTTAAAAAAAATTCTAGCACCTCCTAAAGCATGGCAAATCTATTCCTGGTGAAATAATATTGCGCATTATAACAGAAAGAGATGGAAAAAGTCCCTCTTGAAATACATTGCACTTCGAGCTACTACAAATCAAGGGACTAGGAATCTTTCTGGTTAATAATAAGGATCTGATTATTAGGAAGAGAGAAACTTAATCTGGCATAGGATAAGAATAATTTGAGAACCACAGTTTAAGAGTTGTAGAATTCATGTAGCTATTGAAGGTCAGAGCCTAGACAGTTCTCTGGACATACTTGCTAAAGGTTTCCCCTAAATGCTTAATAGTATGTGATTAGAAATTAATAGCAGAACTCCAAATTCTAGTGCTGATATTTATATAAGATCATGAATAAATTTTACTATAAAGTACATGTGATTCCCATTTTCTATGTGGTATTAGTAATTCTCCATACTTGTTCATAGCCAAAAGGCCAGAAGCAATGACATTAGTAATTCTTAATTTATTTTTTGTTTGTTTAGGCTTCTTAAGCTCCCCCCCAAAACAAAAGAACATGTTTTAGATCGCCCAAATGAACCTCACCTTTCAATTGCATTCAGAATTATGGTACTTGGAATGGGTATATTAGATAAACAGTGGGCCCTATACACACAGTGGGACTTCAGCTAGATTTATTCCTACGAAATTGTGATTGTGTTTGCAAAGCACCAGAACAACTCATAAAAGTTTCAAATGCTGAAAGACGGCCGAATAGGAACAGCTCCGGTCTACAGCTCCCAGCGTGAGCAATGCAGAAGACCGGTGATTTCTGCATTTCCATCTGAGGTACCGGGTTCATCTCACTAGGGAGTGCCAGACAGTGGGCGCAGGTCAGTGGGTGCGCGCACCGTGCGCGAGCCGAAGCAGGGCGAGGCATTGCCTCACCTGGGAAGCGCAAGGGGGCAGGGAGTTCCCTTTCCGAGTCAAAGAAAGGGGTGACAGACGCACCTGGAAAATCGGGTCACTCCCACCCGAATATTGCGCTTTTCAGACCGGCTTAAAAAACGGCGCACCACGAGACTATATCCCACACCTGGCTCGGAGGGTCCTACGCCCACGGAATCTCGCTGATTGCTAGCACAGCAGTCTGAGATCAAACTGCAAGGCGGCAGCGAGGCTGGGGGAGGGGCGCCCGCCATTGCCCAGGCTTGTTTAGGTAAACAAAGCAGCCGGGAAGCTCGAACTGGGTGGAGCCCACCACAGCTCAAGGAGGCCTGCCTGCCTCTGTAGGCTCCACCTCTGGGGGCAGGGCACAGACAAACAAAAAGACAGCAGTAACCTCTGCAGACTTAAAGGTCCCTGTCTGACAGCTTTGAAGAGAGCAGTGGTTCTCCCAGCACGCAGCTGGAGATCTGAGAACGGGCAGACTACCTCCTCAAGTGGGTCCCTGACCCCTGACCCCCGAGCAGCCTAACTGGGAGGCACCGCCCAGCAGGGGCACACTGACACCTCTCACAGCAGGGTACTCCAACAGACCTGCAGCTGAGGGTCCTGTCTGTTAGAAGGAAAACTAACAAACAGAAAGGACATCCACACCGAAAACCCATCTGTATATCACCATCATCAAAGACCAAAAGTAGATAAAACCACAAAAATGGGGAAAAAACAGAACAGAAAAACTGGAAACTCTAAAATGCAGAGCGTCTCTCCTCCTCCAAAGGAACGCAGTTCCTCACCAGCAACGGAACAAAGCTGGATGGAGAATGACTTTGACGAGCTGAGAGAAGAAGGCTTCAGACGATCAAATTACTCTGAGCTACGGGAGGACATTCAAACCAAAGGCAAAGAAGTTGAAAACTTTGAAAAAAATTTAGAAGAATGTATAACTAGAATAACCAATACAGAGAAGTGCTTAAAGGAGCTGATGGAGCTGAAAACCAAGGCTCGAGAACTACATGAAGAATGCAGAAGCCTCAGGAGCCGATGCGATCAACTGGAAGAAGGGTATCAGCAATGGAAGATGAAATGAATGAAATGAAGCGAGAAGGGAAGTTTAGAGAAAAAAGAATAAAAAGAAATGAGCAAAGCCTCCAAGAAATATGGGACTATGTGAAAAGACCAAATCTACGTCTGATTGGTGTACCTGAAAGTGATGGGGAGAATGGAACCAAGTTGGAAGACACTCTGCAGGATATTATCCAGGAGAACTTCCCCAATCTAGCAAGGCAGGCCAACGTTCAGATTCAGGAAATACAGAGAACGCCACAAAGATACTCCTCGAGAAGAGCAACTCCAAGACACATAATTGTCAGATTCACCAAAGTTGAAATGAAGGAAAAAATGTTAAGGGCAGCCAGAGAGAAAGGTCGGGTTACCCTCAAAGGGAAGCCCATCAGACTAACAGCGGATCTCTCGGCAGAAACCCTACAAGCCAGAAGAGAGTGGGGGCCAATATTCAACATTCTTAAAGAAAAGAATTTTCAACCCAGAATTTCATATCCAGCCAAACTAAGCTTCATAAGTGAAGGAGAAATAAAATACTTTACAGACAAGCAAATGCTGAGAGATTTTGTCACCACCAGGCCTGCCCTAAAAGAGCTCCTGAAGGAAGCGCTAAACATGGAAAGGAACAACCGGTACCAGCCACTGCAAAATCATGCCAAAATGTAAAGACCATCGAGACTAGGAAGAAACTGCATCAACTAACGAGCAAAATCACCAGCTAACATCATAATGACAGGATCAAATTCACACATAACAATATTAACTTTCAATGTAAATGGACTAAATGCTCCAATTAAAAGACACAGACTGGCAAATTGGATAAAGAGTCAAGACCCATCAGTGTGCTGTATTCAGGAAACCCATCTCACATGCAGAGACACACATAGGCTCAAAATAAAAGGATGGAGGAAGATCTACCAAGCAAATGGAAAACAAAAAAAGGCAGGGGTTGCAATCCTAGTCTCTGATAAAACAGACTTTAAACCAACAAAGATCAAAAGAGACAAAGAAGGCCATTACATAATGGTAAAGGGATCAATTCAACAAGAAGAGCTAACTGTCCTAAATATATATGCACCCAATACAGGAGCACCCAGATTCATAAAGCAAGTCCTGAGTGACCTACAAAGAGACTTAGACTCACACACATTAATAATGGGAGACTTTAACACCCCACTGTCAACATTAGACAGATCAACGAGACAGAAAGTCAACAAGGATACCCAGGAATTGAACTCAGCTCTGCACCAAGCGGACCTAATAGACATCTACAGAACTCTCCACCCCAATTCAACAGAATATACATTTTTTTCAGCACCACACCACACCCATTCCAAAATTGACCACATAGTTGGAAGTAAAGCTCTCCTCAGCAAATGTAAAAGAACAGAAATTATAACAAACTATCTCTCAGACCACAGTGCAATCAAACTAGAACTCAGGATTAAGAATCTCACTCAAAGCCGCTCAACTACATGGAAACTGAACAACCTGCTCCTGAATGACTACTGGGTACATAACGAAATGAAGGCAGAAATAAAGATGTTCTTTGAAACCAACAAGAACAAAGACATAACATACCAGAATCTCTGGGACGCATTCAAAGCAGTGTGTAGAGGGAAATTTATAGCACTAAATGCCCACAAGAGAAAGCAGGAAAGATCCAAAATTGACACCCTAACATCACAATTAAAAGAACTAGAAAAGCAAGAGCAAACACATTCAAAAGCTAGCAGAAGGCAAGAAATAACTAAAATCAGAGCAGAACTGAAGGAAATAGAGACACAAAAAACCCTTCAAAAAATCAATGAATCCAGGAGCTGGTTTTTTGAAAGGATCAACAAAATTGATAGACCGCTAGCAAGACTAATAAAGAAAAAAAGAAGAATCAAATAGACACAATAAAAAATGATAAAGGGGATATCACCACCGATCCCACAGAAATACAAACTACCATCAGAGAATACTACAAACACCTCTACGCAAATAAACTAGAAAATCTAGAAGAAATGGATAAATTCCTCGACACATACACTCTCCCAAGACTAAACCAGGAAGAAGTTGAATCTCTGAATAGACCAATAACAGGAGCTGAAATTGTGGCAATAATCAATAGTTTACCAACCAAAAAGAGTCCAGGACCAGATGGATTCACAGCCGAATTCTACCAGAGGTACGAGGAGGAACTGGTACCATTCCTTCTGAAACTATTCCAATCAATAGAAAAAGAGGGAATCCTCCCTAACTCATTTTATGAGGCCAGCATCATTCTGATACCAAAGCCGGGCAGAGACACAACCAAAAAAGAGAATTTTAGACCAATATCCTTGATGAACATTGATGCAAAAATCCTCAATAAAATACTGGCAAACCGAATCCAGCAGCACATCAAAAAGCTTATCCACCATGATCAAGTGGGCTTCATCCCTGGGATGCAAGGCTGGTTCAATATACGCAAATCAATAAATGTAATCCAGCATATAAACAGAGCCAAAGACAAAAACCACATGATTATCTCAATAGATGCAGAAAAAGCCTTTGACAAAATTCAACAACCCTTCATGCTAAAAACTCTCAATAAATTAGGTATTGATGGGACGTATTTCAAAATAATAAGAGCTATCTATGACAAACCCACAGCCAATATCATACTGAATGGGCAAAAACTGGAAGCATTCCCTTTGAAAACTGGCACAAGACAGGGGTGCCCTCTCTCACCACTCCTATTCAACATAGTGTTGGAAGTTCTGGCCAGGGCAATTAGGCAGGGGAAGGAAATAAAGGGTATTCAATTAGGAAAAGAGGAAGTCAAATTGTCCCTGTTTGCAGACGACATGATTGTATGTCTAGAAAACCCCATTGTCTCAGCCCAAAATCTCCTTAAGCTGATAAGCAACTTCAGCAAAGTCCCAGGATACAAAATCAATGTACAAAAATCACAAGCATTCTTATACACCAACAACAGACAAACAGAGAGCCAAATCATGAGTGAACTCCCATTCACAATTGCTTCAAAGAGAATAAAATACCTAGGAATCCAACTTACAAGGGGTGTGAAGGACCTCTTCAAGGAGAACTACAAACCACTGCTCAAGGAAATAAAAGAGGATACAAACAAATGGAAGAACATTCCATGCTCATGGCTAGGAAGAATCAATGTCGTGAAAATGGCCATACTGCCCAAGGTAATTTACAGATTCAATGCCATCCCCATCAAGCTACCAATGACTTTCTTCACAGAATTGGAAAAAACTACTTTAAAGTTCATATGGAACCAAAAAAGAGCCCGCATTGCCAAGTCAATCCTAAGCCAAAAGAGCAAAGCTGGAGGCATCACACTACCTGACTTCAAACTATACTACAAGGCTACAGTAACCAAAACAGCATGGTACTGGTACCAAAACAGAGATATAGATCAATGGAACAGAATAGAGCCCTCAGAAATAATGCCGCATACCTACAACTATCTGATCTTTGACAAACCTGAGAAAACCAAGCAATGGGGAAAGGATTCCCCATTTAATAAATGGTGCTGGGAAAACTGGATAGCCATATGTAGGAAGCTGAAACTGGATCCCTTCCTTACACCTTATACAAAAATCAATTCAAGATGGATTAAAGATTTAAACGTTAGACCTAAAACCATAAAAACCCTAGAAGAAAACCTAGGCATTACCATTCAGGACATAGGCATGGGCAAGGACTTCATGTCCAAAACACCAAAAGCAATGGCAACAAAAGCCAAAATTGACAAATGGGATCTAATTAAACTAAAGAGCTTCTGCACAGCAAAAGAAACTACCATCAGAGTGAACAGGCAACCTACAAAATGGGAGAAAATTTTCGCAACCTAGTCATCTGACAAAGGGCTAATATCCAGAATCTACAATGAACTCAAACAAATTTACAAGAAAAAAACAAACAACCCCATCAAAAAGTGGGCGAAGGACATGAACAGACACTTCTCAAAAGAAGACATTTATGCAGCCAAAAAACACATGAAAAAATGCTCATCATCACTGGCCATCAGAGAAATGCAAATCAAAACCACTATGAGATACCATCTCACACCAGTTAGAATGGCAATCATTAAAAAGTCAGGAGACAACAGGTGCTGGAGAGGACGTGGAGAAATAGGAACACTTTTACACTGTTGGTGGGACTGTAAACTAGTTCAACCATTGTGGAAGTCAGTGTGGCGATTCCTCAGGGATCTAGAACTGGAAATACCATTTGACCCAGCCATCCCATTACTGGGTATATACCCAAATGACTATAAATCATGCTGCTATAAAGACACATGCAGACATATGTTTATTGCGGCATTATTCACAATAGCAAAGACTTGGAACCAACCCAAATGTCCAACAATGATAGACTGGATTAAGAAAATGTGGCACATATACACCATGGAATACTATGCAGCCATAAAAAATGATGAGTTCATGTCCTTTGTAGGGACATGGATGAAATTGGAAATCATCATTCTCAGTAAACTATCGCAAGAACAAAAAACCAAACACCGCATATTCTCACTCATAGGTGGGAATTGAACAATGAGATCACATGGACACAGGAAGGGGAATATCACACTCTGGGGACTGTTGTGGGGTGGGGGGAGGGGGGAGGGATAGCATTGGGAGATATACCTAATGCTAGATGACGAGTTAGTGGGTGCAGTGCACCAGCATGGCACATGTATACATATGTATCTAACCTGCACAATGTGCACATGTACCCTAAAACTTAAAGTATAATAATAAAAAAAAGGTTCAAATGCTGCCAGTCATTCCTTACAGAGTTCACTCAGTGAGATTCAGTTTGAATGATTTTTCTTGACTATACTGACTAGTTGTATCCATATCACGTAAACCTAGACATTTTTCTACATAAAGGAATTAATAGATTTTTCTTTATACACTCATGTCGGATGGACGTTAACTCTTCATTTGCTATCATATCACTTAATTAACTAAGTATATTAACTCTTCACTTGCTATCATATTGAGCCTGATATATATGATGTTCACGGTTTAAATTTTCTGGCCTGGAATTCAGCAAGCTCTGACACAAATTAGCCTTATCCTTCTTATTCGTCATCACCTCCCTATTTTACCCAGTCCTGTAGTGTTTATTTTTGCACTTATGTCTCATCTGAATTAGGACTAGCTACATTGTACGTGCTCAGTGGCCACATATGGCTAAATGGATGCTATACTAGGCAGCACAGTCCTAGAATATTTTCATCAGATTTCTCTATCCTTTTCCTCGCCCTGTACCTCCTCAGTTATATCTCAACTCCCTCTTCCTTAATACAGTTCTAAAACTAATGTTTTTTATTATTGGGGAATTGCTGGCTCTTCCTATGCAAATGGAACACCTCTGGCTTTAATAGTCACTTCTTATACCTTATACTCAGGACAATTCAGGACAAGTTGTTTGTTTGTTTGCTTTTTAATTGTGGTAAAATATGATAATACAAAATTTACCATTTTAATCATTTTTAAGTATATGTTTCATTGCCGTTAAGTACATTGACATTGTTGTGCAAACATCACCATCATCCAACTCCAGAACTTTTTCATCTCCCCCAACTGAAACTCTGTACTCATTAAATAAGAAATCCCCATTCTTCCCCAGCCCCTGGCAAGTACAGTTCTATTTTTTGCCTCTGTGAACTTGACTACTCTGGGTATCTCACATAAGTGGAATCAATATTTGGCTCCTTGTAACTGGCTTATTTCACCTAGCAGAATTTCTTCAAGGTTCATTCATGTTGTAGTATGTGTCAGAATTTTGTTTTTTAGGCTGAATAATATTTCATTATATGTATAGGCCACATTATATTTACCCATTCATTTGTCAATGGACATTTTGGTGCTTCCATCTTTTGGCTACAGTGAATAATCCTTCTATGGACATGGATGTACAGATAGATGCTGGGGTCCCTGCTTTCATTTATTTTGAGTGTACACCTACAGTTGGAATTGCTGGATCATATGGTACATCCGTATTTAATTTTTTGAGGAATCACCATTTCATTTTCCACGGTGGCTGAGCCATTTTACATTTAAGTAGAAATGAATAGGGTTTCAATTTCTCCACATACTCACCAACTCTTGTTACTTTCTTTTTTGATTTTGTTTATAACAGCCATATGTTTTCTTTTATTACCATTTCTGAATGACTTTAGGAATATTTAGTGAAGTTAAGGCCAACTTAAATCTTGATTAACATACAGACATAAGAATTCAAACACTGATATGTCAGTCATTTTACATTGTTTGTTGGATAAATTATGGTATTTCTGATTTTATTCAAAACTCTTAACTAGGACCTTGAAACCCTAAATATTCATCCTGGCCCTGCCACTACTCACTCTCTGACTTTATGGAAGTGGCTTAATTTCTTTTATATTTAAAAAAAATGGGGGTGATAATTTCTCACCTACTATATTCACTGGGTTATAATTGTAAAATTTAGTTAATCAATTTAAAATTGCTTTGAATACTCTGAAATGATATTGAGGCTGCTATATACATCATGGTGATTTTCGTTTACGTTTTGCACATATAATGCACTTTAGAGAACACTTACGCCTTGTTTCCTTCCTTAATTTTGTTTCATTATTTACCATGTACATTCAGAATAGCAGTCATTAAGCGTTAATGCAACTATGGATGGTAGTAAGGCAGTTATATTACTGAAGGGAGGTACTTTATTCTTTCTTTGCTTTCTAATTGGATTATGGTCTTTAAATTATATTGTAATTCAGAAATTTGATTGAGACTTATTCCCCTTGATTTGTCAGCTTCTTAGATATATTACTGAATCCTAGGTCCTGTAAATAACAATGAAAATTAATGCTCAAGAAATTACATTTAATCTATTGCTTTGACCAAGGTTTTGCTCTCCGTATTTGTATTTGCATGCAGTTTCTAGAATAACTTTAGTTTGCTTTCTCTGAACATCTTTTTATTTTGGTTAACAGAAGTATAGAAATTCAAATACCTATTTGATTTATTGAGGAGGGGGGCAGTTTTCATCAGTGAACTGGAAAACCTACCTTTTACTTGTCGTTTTCTAACTGGGACATGAACTAGGTTTTCAAAACCGTTAATTTTATTACTCCATTTAGTGCAAAGATTGGGAAATTAGAAAATGAGTTGTATGAGAAAAAGAGCAAATTTTACATCTTGCTGTGGCACTGGTGACTTTTGGTCTTTTTGAAACACTGTATATTTTCAGATGTCAATTTGCAATACCGCTCAATATAAGGATGGCCAGCAGGGTTAAATTACTGGAAAAGTTATCTGCAGCAGTAATTATAACAGTAACATTGTGTGTTGACACAAATGAAGTATTTTATGTGCAAGTGAGAAATAGAAAACAAAACAAAAAAAAAGATAAAAGTCCAAGTGAATGTTTTGGGTAGAATCTGTGGCATAAAAAAACTAAAAAGGAAATTGCAACTCTAAGAAACTCAGCTTAAAAAGTGATAAAAATATACACTTTAGGCCAGGCGCGATGGCTCATGCCTGTAATCCCAGCACTTTGGGAGGTCGAGGCGGGTGGATCACGAGGTTAGGAGATCGAGACCATCCTGGCTAACACGGTGAAACCCCATCTCTGCTAAAAATACAAAAATTAGCCAGGCGTGGTGGCTGGTGCCTATAGTCCCAGCTACTTGGGAGGCTGAGACAGGAGAATGGCATGAACCCGGGAGGCGGAGTTTGCAGTGAGCCTAGATAGCACCAAAGCACTCCAGCCTGGGCTATAGAGCGAGACTCCGTCTCAAAAAAAAAAAAAAAATATACACTTTAATGAAAATTAGAAAATTTATTCCTCAAGTATCCCTGGATGAAGCTTAAGGATTTGCAGGTCAAAATATATTATTTTTGAAAAAGGAGATTTTTGTAAATTCATTGAGATTCTGATTTAGCAATCTGTGGGGTGACCTGCAGATGTGTAAGTTTTCACAGCTGATTAGGTGACAGAGTTGGGAAGAACTATTTTATGGTATCATATGAATAGTGTTCCAGCTAAATCACCTCGTTGCTTCTTGCGTTCCCCTGTGCATTGAGCAGTTTTATGTAAATGGTTGTATTTTGCACAAATAAAAAACTATGCTTTAATTTTGGAGTTTTTAATTTTTTTTATAATAGAAAGAGAGGTAAGCACCATTAGACTTAGGGAACTTCAAGATTCTGGCAAGATATTCCCTAAGGATCTTCTATTTGTTGAAACAAAAAAAGAAGAAGAAAGACAAACTTGAATGACTTACTTGTGTCATTTGAAAATTATATGATCTACTCTCTGAGCTGGTTTCCTCTGTATACTCTGTTACTTCAGCCAAGGGCATTTAGTCCTTTGGGGATGTTGGAAGAGCCATCCGTGCAGTAATTGAAATATTTTTAAATCTCATTAAAATATATGTGGCTAATTTACATAACAGCCTTAACACACATATTTTATTCATATATTTTCTGCTACTCAGAGTGTAGTCTGGGTTTTATCAGCATCAACATCACCTGAGATCTATTTAAAATGGAGACTCTCAAGCTCACTACAATCCTTCTGATTCATAATCTGCATTTTAACAATATTCCTAGGTGATTCCCATGTACGGTAACATTTAAGAAGTTCTGTAATAGAATATGTTGGAAGAAATCTGTCTCCTCATCACTGAACCAGTCTCAGGAGACTCTCACTTGTATTCTAAATTCTGTTTTAGTCTAGTTTTGGATTTAGAATACTTTCAGCCAAAACAATTTATTTCTATATTCTCTGAAGATCTGTTATTCAAAATGCTCACAAAGAAATCAGCTCCTTAATTTTCATAAACATTTTTTGGTACTTGCTCTATGCAAGGCATTTAATCTTCATAAATATGCAATTTTTCATTTATGAAAATGTGTCCAAATTAACAAGGCTAGGAGATGGCTGAGTCAGGGTGTGGATCCGGGTAGCATGGTTCGCAAATCGGTAACCACTCAAAGTTCAAGGGAGGAAGCTATTTGATGTTGGAAGTAACATTCAAATTATCAAATCTTTGTAATGATGGTTTAATAGGTGGAGATACCTGTTTGTTCCTAAGCCGAGGATAAAAGTAACTCCTGATATTTACCTGAGACATATCATATACTCTTATCTAGTCACATTTGTCTATTTCACAAGAGTGTAATGAAGCTGAATTAACGTGTTTTGTAAGAATAACTTGAATAATTTGAAAACATCGTTCTTTCTAAACAATTATCTAGGAATAGCCATGATGGCTCACAGATGACTGAACTTTACAGCCAGACAATACAATAGAGGAGAAAAGAACGGTTTATATAGATATGAACTGAAGTCTCATGCTTGCATAATCACGTTCCCTATTGATGAAAAACTACAAAGTCACGGACTGTGTTTCTTACTTTAGCTAAATGTAGGGCAGTCGGGGAAATTGCTTCATCTTTTTTCCTCTTCTCTGTCCTCCCTTATTTTTTTACATAGGATGCCCTGGAAATGGCAATAAATATTTCAGTTTGATACATTATATTTCCTATGGTAGGGTAAAGATTAGCAACATGTAAATGAATATTTTTTTACCTACCCGAATTAGACTGCAGACTAAGGACCAAAAAGCGAAATATTTCCCATGTCTCCTCTGACTCTGGATGAAAATCCTCTTTTCTAGGTTAGGAAACTGTAAAGATTCAAGCCTTATCTATGAGAGAACAGAAACAACTTACTTAAATGTCTGCAGTTCAAGAAAAGTTTAAAAGGTTGTGACTGAAAGAACTGAAAGAAAATTAAGTGTATTCACTGATTATCAAGTTAAAACTGTTTTTTTATAATGAGAAGAAGAGCTTGTGATGAGAGTGAAGAATATTGTAAAATCAAATTTGAAAAGCTTATTGAAGGAAATTTATGTCCACTGTCATAAGTAATTTTTGTTATTTTGCCTTTCAGTGTGTATGTACAGAGAACCATCGCTACATGAAATTGGAGAAAAACAAGGGCGTTCAAGGAAAAGTTCTGGAACACCAACCATGAATGGAGGCAAAGTTGTGAATCAAGATTCAACATAGCTGAGAACTCTCCCCTTCTTCCCTCTCTCATCCCTTCCCCTTCCCTTCCTTCCCATTTACCCATTTCCTTCCAGTAAATCCACCCAAGGAGAGGAAAATAAAATGACAACGCAAGACCTAGTGGCTAAGATTCTGCACTCAAAATCTTCCTTTGTGTAGGACAAGAAAATTGAACCAAAGCTTGCTTGTTGCAATGTGGTAGAAAATTCACGTGCACAAAGATTAGCACACTTAAAAGCAAAGGAAAAAATAAATCAGAACTCCATAAATATTAAATTAAACTGTATTGTTATTAGTAGAAGGCTAATTGTAATGAAGACATTAATAAAGATGAAATAAACTTATTACTTTAAAGGAAAGGATTTGGAGAATTGAACTCACAAACTGATGTTATATACTCAATAGCTTAAACTCATGATAATGCTGCGATGTGTGGTTTTGCTTGATTTTGTATTTTATTTGGGCATCTGGAATTGACACACCATTACATTCTGTTTGCAGGATTTTTTTTGTAACCATGAAATTGAACATTTCCAAATTATAAACTATGTTAATACCTATAAAATATATAGCCAGGAACCATTTATCATCAAGAAAAGTGTAAGAAATTATTTTTGAGATGTAATTTAAGATTGTTTTATGTAAAAGGAAAATCTTGTATGGCATCGAATAGCCTTAATGAGTTTAATTCTTTCACAAAAATGATTTCAAATTATCCTAGAGTATAACATTTTTATCAAAGATATTATTTCCGGAGTTCTTCTTTCTTTCTTTTTTTTTTTTTTTTAGTAATTTAGCAAAAACATTACTGTTCTAATGCTGAAGTGACTTTTGCCAGTGCCATGTCCAGGTGGTGAGGTATAAGTTACTTGCTCTTAGCATTTGGTCTGATTTTTTTGCTTTGTGGACACCTTTGAGAGTATCCACAAAGCAATGTCTCAGGTGTGGACACCTGAGAGCATGTTTTAGAAAGCTTTGTACCCTGTCTTGTGGCAGGAAAGAAAGAACAGGGGTTTTACATAAGGAAATAAGTCCTAGGAAATTAGTCAACGCAAATTGCATTTGCGTTTGTACCTTACCACAGTCTTATATTGTTTTTTAAACTCTGCCATGAAATTTGGAGACATGACTGTGAAATTCCTAACTTACTATCTTACAAAGCCAGTAGCTAATTTGTTGCTCTATGTATGATCCTGTTACAAGTCCAGTTTGCAATTCATTTGTTTCCTAGAACACAGAAGGGTACCAGTAATACACTAAATTTTCAAGGTGTGTAGAGAAATAATATGGAATTAGCAGCTATGACTCCAACAGACAGGATTGTGTGAGCAGCTGAAAGGAGCAAAAAAGAACTCAGTGTAAGAGAAGGCACATACATAGTTAAGAATACTAAAGTATTTTTAAAAATCAAGGAAGAAATAAATGTTACACAATTTGCATTGGAATAAATAGATCTATTTAGTCCTACAAATCAGGAGTGGTGTAGAGACATCCAAATTTAAAGAAAAAAAAACACAAAACAGAATGTTAAAAAATGTATGCAGATTTATGGATATTATCAATGAGAAGACATAGCATGTAACTTCTCCTATATCTCTACTGTCCAGCATGTATTGTTCCAAATATGACTCCCTAAAATATATACACTTTGCAGAAGCTCTAGGCCCTCACCTCAAACCTTGCCATTGGTTGCCGTATTTCAAGGTCAATATAGTTTCCCTCACTTTACACAATCATTATTCTTCAATAGTGGACCATATCCTTCACCAGGTATCCTATTTCTGTTATCTAGAGGTTAGCAGAAAATGAAATGAAGGAATTTCCCTAAGCAGTTGGGAAGAACAAATTGTATGCATGTAGGCAAAGATTTTGAAGATACATTTGCAAGAGATATTTGTTTAACCAAAATATTTGGAAAGTAACAAATAAAGACATTTAAATTTTCTAAAAATGGACTTGCTCTTCTAGGAAAAGAATACCCCTGGGGCAAAAATATAACTCTAGCTGTATTTCTTCTTGTCACTCTTGATTCAACTTGATTATAAATACACCTGTCACTACCAGAACCAAAAAAAAAAAGAAAAAAATCCCAAGCACAAAGCTTATTTTATTTGAAAAAAATAAAAAAGAAACTTCAACACTATGGGACACTGGCTCTTTTAGCATGAAATGACTTGAGCTTTTGTAGTGATGATACACATACACACTCATCAGTAAAACGATGGTTTCATAAATAACACAATTGATGCAAATCATAAAAATCAATTACAATTATGATTTCATGACAAAATATATTTAATTAAGTTTGTTATGAAAAAAATAGAGATATGAATCACTAACAAAATTCCTCCATTTTCAGTGGCTATTCATCATTTATCATCTAGACTCACATTTGTCTCCTTCCTGATAGCAGTTAAGAAAAAATTCTAACCACACAATTTGTATATTGTTTTTCTCCGTATTATGTTAAGCAAATGTTCACTGCAGTAAAATGTTTTGGAAATTAGCTTTGTCTTATTTCCAGTTTAGTTCAGAGAATTAATTGGAAACCTGATTTCTTTTACACATAAACCTGACAAAAAATGTAGCTTAGAGCAAAGGGTGAATGTTTGCTTAACTCCTGCTTACTTCTCAAGTACATGAAAACTTTAATAGAATATGCCAGTATTCACTGAGTTTTTAAAAATATTACCATGTGTAAACATATAATATCCAACTTCATCCAAAAATATGGTTGAGTTTAAGTACTTTGTTTTTCAGGCTTATTTCAAGTATAATAATTCTTTGATTTTCATTGTTCTGATTTCTGGGTCTTCAATTCATTCGTCACTTTTCCTTTTTAAGTAAAATAAGCTTTTTTTTTTTTTTTTTTTTTTTTTTGGAGTTGCATTGGGATTTTTCCCAGGAAAAAATATGGCTTTTAGTAATGCTTTGCAATTGGCTACGCAGATATAAATTAAGATATGTTTATTCTGAGTTCTTATTGGAATAAGTTTCAAAATCAACGAGCTTAAGAATGAAAACAAAACTTTTGAGAGTCTCACAAAATAGCTTTCTGGTCAATACACCTTACTTGATTTTTAAGCTCGCAGAATAAAGTATAGAAACAAATGGAGCTGAAGTTCCATTTGCTAATTCAGAGACTTTTGTGCTTCCGCAAATTGGAGGGCAGCAAGCCATCCTATTCTCATAGTAATCGTTTTGGCTTTGAAATTTACATACAATTTAATAGCACATTTTTAGCCATTATGGATTGGCGCAATAAAGAGATATCAATGTAATGCAATGTGATGCTTTATGGGCCTCATTCTAATTCAGAAAGCTTGTTTAAAAGAACTAAGACTCTTCTGTTTAATAAAATAGCAACAATCTAATATCTAGATTGGTAGTCCTGCGGTGCCACTAGTGGGAGATGAGAGTATTAAGACAAGAGTAAGGACAAGGAAAGACTTAAAGGTTGCATATTGAAAAGTTTGGAATTCCTAATTTGGGAGCACTGATTTCTTGGTGAAGAAGTAAGTATGACTACGTTGCCAGTAATTTTTTAAAAACATAGACCCAGAAATAGCAAATCGATTTCACCCTCATACCTTAGTCTACAAGGCCTTGCTCTTGAGAAGGTTTTCCATGATATTGCTTAATTTCATCTGCACAAGATGAGACACAAACATAAAAATTCCCTGCTCATTTTAATACCATAAAAGGCTGAGGTTATTTCTCTGTCATAAAATTGTAAATAGCATTTTTTAAGTCAAAATTACATTTAAAACAGTGGATTGTTCTACAAATATATATGTGTATATATACATATGCTTCTGAAATAAGGATATATTATATGAGTTTTTATTTGATTTGTGGTCTTTAGTCATAGGTAATCAAAAATAAAGAGATTTGAATGCAAAACTTTATACATTAATGTACATTTCTAATGATGGTACAAATTGCCACTTTATAATAAAAAAGAAACAGGTGGGAATAATAATCAAAGCACGTGTTCCTTCAGTACTTTGGTGATTTTTAATCCCCCTTGTGATGCACAGGAAATTATTTTTTAGTTACAAAAAGTTATCTTAGAAATCTATACTTCCCAATACAGATTTCATGTTAAGTCATATCAAATTGAGAATTTGTGGTGAAAGAATAGGAAAAGGATGCTAGATGCTGATCTTTCTTTTTCAGGATTTTTCCTGGAGCCCAAGTTAAAAATTCAATACTTAAATCTAAGTTAAGTGAAAATTAATAATGTTCAGAATGATGTATTGAGCTTTAGTAACAGACGGAAGCAAAAAAAAATAAGAATATTTAACATTATGATAATAGCCTTAAAATAATGTAATAAAAATTGCATCATTAAATGTTCTATTAGTTGGAAAGAATGAGCTGATGTTTCTTTGTCTTTGCTCCAAGTACAATTTAAAGACAGTGACATTCATTTTACTTAAAATTGTTCAAAAAGTCCAAAACATACTCCCATGGCTAGAATTGGTATTAGCTCCAATACAAGGTTAAATGTTACAATCTTAAGAAATTATTGACACTGAAATGTTTAGTAAACATGTTGTATGAGAAACTAAACAAATTAATGTTTCATTTTTCCATTAAAGCACAGATTATTCAAATCATTGTTTTCTGAGCTCAGATTTGTAAAACGTTTATACATCATTACCCTCCTGGAATTAAAAACAATTAAAATCCTGAGATGCTCATGCACGTAGACGAAATACTGGCACTTTTTTTTAAACATTAAACTTCTTTGAGAAGTCTACCTTTTTTTTTTTAGTGTGTTTATCCTATATTGCTGAAAAAGCGCTGTGTCTTTTTAAGAAAAAGATCAAAAATTGATTTACAGATGGGAAAGATGTCTAATTTTGTAGAAGAGTTGAAAGAAAAGTAAATGTTTCTTTGTAATTACGTAGCTACTTGTCTCAACCTGACATCTTGCTTTCAAGGATTAAGAACTAAAGTACGTTCATTTATTCTTTTATTCATAACATACCAACTAGAGGCTCAGTTGAGTTTAGGCATCATACACTGAATTGCAATCTCAAAACAACAACAACAAAGGCAGACACATAAATAAATAATGCAATACCTAAAAGTATGTGCTATGATAAATGCAAAAAAGATTTTATATACCACTGAGGAGGCAACAAAGGCATCATCAGGGATTAGAGGCAAGACAGCGATTGAAAAAGAACAGATATTTGCTGAGTGATAAAGGGGGACGACAAAGGCCTCTCAAGTAGAGGAAATCATTTGAATGAAAGATGGATACTTGGAAAACAGGGCTTGGTTGGGAAGAATGTTCAGAAAAGGAGGTGGAAGAAAAACTGAGTTGAGATCAATAAAAACGAAAAGTTACTCAAAGGTTTTCTTTTTTTTTTTTTTTTTTTTTTTTTTTTTTTTTTTTTTGAGACGGAGTCTCGCTCTGTCGCCCAGGCCGGACTGCGGACTGCAGTGGCGCAATCTCGGCTCACTGCAAGCTCCGCTTCCCGGGTTCACGCCATTCTCCTGCCTCAGCCTCCCGAGTAGCTGGGACTACAGGCGCCCGCCACCGCGCCCGGCTAATTTTTTGTATTTTTAGTAGAGACGGGGTTTCACCTTGTTAGCCAGGATGGTCTCGATCTCCTGACCTCATGATCCACCCGCCTCGGCCTCCCAAAGTGCTGGGATTACAGGCGTGAGCCACCGCGCCCGGCCTCAAAGGTTTTCAATACAGCCTTTGTATTTGTTTGAACATCTGTATCTGCTAGGATGCTTCTGGTTGCTCAGACAGAATCCCCAAACCAAACTGGCGCTTCATCTCGAATATCTAGGTACACAGCATCACCATCGAGGCTTACTTTGTAGTTCTCTCAGCTCTGTCCACCTCCATGTATAACTTCTCCCTTAGAGGCAGAATTTCCTTTAGTAGTTTCAGAACCTGCATGCTTATATCATCTATTCTCTATTAGAATCCCCCAGACGACATCTTACATTTCGTTGGCCTGATTTAGATCATCTGTCCACACTTCAGTGACTGACCATGGCCAGAGACTTGAGATATGTTGACTAGTGTAAGTCAACCAAGACCTGGAGGTTGGATTGTCCCCCAAGATACAAGTCTGCATGGTTGAGGAGTAAATATTTGAATGCAATTCAGATCCCTTTTATCAAGAGGAAATGTAAATGAAGAGCAAAAAGTAGCAAATCTCCATTACTAATGAATAGATGTATTTTCTATCACAAGTCATTGGCTATTCTAAAAATCCGCAGAGAAATGCAAATATTGATTAATTAAAGCTACTGCCATAAACCATAAGAACAAACAAAAACATTGACAATTCAATTCCCTAAGCATTATTAAGTGACTGCTATGAAGAAGGCACTGTGCAGGTCACTGATGAAGAGATAAACAGCTGCAATTTTAAAGAAAAGTGGTACATTTGACAATAACTCGATATATCTGATATGTTCAATGCTTTTAGATGACTCTCATGGAGGGGGTTAGAAAATGCAGCTTGCTTATTCTAGATCAGAGGTTCATATCATACCTACTTTTATTCATACCCATGCAAGCACTGCTAGGATTAGGCCATTAGAAAATGCTGCACTTCAAAATCACCTGCAACAACCGTGCATGTCTTTCTTTCTTTTTTTTTTCTTTTTCTTTTCTTTTTTTTTTTTTTTGAGACGGAGCC
Source organism: Homo sapiens (assembly GCF_000001405.40). Lineage (NCBI taxonomy): Eukaryota > Metazoa > Chordata > Mammalia > Primates > Hominidae > Homo > Homo sapiens. Next base: position 192,137,328 of record NC_000003.12, on the reverse strand, counting down.
TCGCTCTGTCGCCCAGGCTGGAGTGCAGTGGCGCGATCTCGGCTCACTGCAAGCTCCGCCTCCCGGGTTCACGCCATTCTCCTGCCTCAGCCTCCCGAGTAGCTGGGACTACAGGCGCCCGCCACCTCGCCCGGCTAATTTTTTGTATTTTTAGTAGAGACAGGGTTTCACCCTGTTAGCCAGGATCGTCTCAATCTCCTGACTTCGTGATCCGCTCACCTCGGCCTCCCAAAGTGTTGGGATTGCAGGCACCCCACCTCGCCCGAACGCGTGCCTTTCTTGAATCTCCTCTACAGAACATAGCACGTGTTTTGAACACTTTGAATGACACTAAGTGTATTAACAATCCAAACTACCCTATTCCATTTGTGAGAAGTATTGGTTTTATATTTATATTGGCATCAAAACCTTGGGTTACCATCTTTCAAAAAAAGTCTTGATTTTCCACTGACTTTCAGGTTTGTTTTTTTGAGAGGATTGAATACATTTTATTTAAAAGTAAAGTGCATCTTCTGAGCACATACTTTCACAATTGTTTTTCTTATGAGTATAAAATAATATTGCTGTTGTCACATTATTTTTCTAATTCATTTTGACAACCTTATCTGAAAGACAATGTATCTTAATTTCTGTGCTATGTCTCTTATATATTATACCTACTTGTGTATTAACCTTGCCTACCCACTGCAATTTGCTGTCTTGAAAAATATGTTCCTGACCCAGAGAGGCACACAAAGACATACACAAGAAGAACATTGCAGGAGGAGTATTTAATATATGAATTGCATGTCAGTCATGCTATGACTTGTCTCTGATGTCATTTTCCTTGCCTGTTTCATCTTTTTGTTTCTTATATGCATTTTCGGTTGTACCACTGCTTCATTGACTGACTTAACTCTGAATTTGTTGATGATATTTTTCCCTAGTGTTTTGAGTAATTATTTTCTATGCTGACGGCTTCACCTCATAAGCATACCCTCATAATAGATCTGATTGGTACTTTACCTTTACAACCAAGAAAATAGTGGCTAAATTAAATTGGAAGGTTGTGGGTTTGTTTGCTTTTTGTGTGTGTGTGTAATGATAAGCCTGAATACAGGCATTCCACATGTTATTTGGACCATTCAAAGACATCATGACCGAAGTCTCTGCAATTCAATGTACTTTTTCTTCAAAGTACCATTTATTCACAGTCCAAAATGGCTGCTCCAGTTGTAGGCATCATGCTCACATCTAGGACACAGAAAAAAGGAAGACAGGGAGGTGGAAATATGTGGTACCTCTAACATGGAAACATCTTTTCCAGAAACCCCCAGCATAGGTCTCACTGGCCAGAACTGGAGGTTCGTGGGTAAGGAAGAAAAAGGAATTGAAATTGGGTAAGGAATTAGACACTTCTATCACAAAATGTGAACTGCCCTCGAGGTTTGTACTGGGCATATTCACAACCTCTTCCATTGTCTAGTACGTCCTCCTGCTGAAGGTACTAACACCAACAGGCTATAAGGTCTAGGTTAACGATGTTTTTGTGGTCCAGGATACTTGTTTCTCTGGCAAGTTGAGCCACTGTCATTTCTGATCTCCTGTACGACAAGGAAAATAACTAACTAACCTACATGCTGTCTGGGTGTTCCCTATAAGAAATCAAAGAGAGGCACACTGGATGTATGAGGAGATGAGTTCTTTCTTTGAACAGTGTGGATTAGAGTAGCAATATTCTCTAAATCGTATACCAAGAAATCTTGGTCAGATCACCCTAGAATGATAGAGCATAGATGCTATTACTTCACCATATCTAGTTCACTAGGAGAATGATCATCACAACACCGCAATTTGGGGGTCTCACTGAATTAGAAACTTGCCCACACTACTAGCAGATGACCTGTGCTGGGACATCTCAGCCCAAAGGTGAACTAATCATGGAATTATGGACAAGAGTGATATGAATCTGCTTTACTAACTCACTCTCCATCTTAAATGCCAGAGCTATTTCTAACCTGGCTCGAAACAAGTGACTGTGACCTGTTAGAATATAGCCAGCATAATTGTCCATGGACTTGGAGATGGCCACCCACTTCCCTGATACAGAGCATATAGTTATCTGGAACTTGGTTCTAAAAGCAGGAATTGGAGGGATTAGCTCTCCCTACTTCCTCACTGTTTCCCCCATCCAAAACCCAGCACATCATTGCCTCTATAGTTAGGGCCTAGGTTCTGGTCAAGCGTACGTATCCTTCTTCCAGATGGAGGAGTCTAAGAGGCATCTCATCAAGAATGCATAAGATGGTTTCATTTTCATGATTTTGTTTCTTCAAGGAAATAAAAGTAATTGATTATTTCAGTATCTATGTAGTTATCATATGTTGTTACTATTTAGATTTCATTACTCTTCTTGCTTAGGATATATTCATTGGTTTGTAACCTCAACTGCATATTAGAATTACCTGACAACTTCTAAAAAATATACTGAGGCTTAGGCCCCACCCCTAGAAATCCTGATGAAATCAGTTTGGAGTAAAGGCAGGTGATTCTTTCTTGCAGATTTGAGAATCACTCCACTGAATGAACCCTTAATAAACCGTAGTTAACATTTATTAAGTGCCTAGTCAAGGCTGGTTGAAGTCAACTTTCCAGAGAAATTTTAAGTTGTAAATGTGCATGAGAGTTATGAGTAGAAGACTCTCTTATGACAAGGTTTAGACAATTTTAATAGCAGGGGATATTAGATGCTAAGTTTCTGCAATGTCCCTGCCATATTTCAGCATCATGCCTAATCTCCTAGAGGTGTTGTAGTGATATATTTAAAGATTTCTTGATACGGAGCTGGGCCTTGTATTAAGATGTTGCCCAAATATTCAGAGTTGATTCAAGGACAACTTCTTCTGTCTGAATCCAGAGAGATACTTGTTTAAGCAATCGCGTTATGTGAGTGCTTACTTTATGAACAAAATATTTGGATCTGAATTAGGTTAATAAATGTGGCCACCGTCTTGAAATGGTAGCCCCCCAAATTATTAACAGCATATATTTAAAATCTGGACCTTTACAAAAATAAAGTTATATTTTTTGCTTCTGCTGTAATGGTTCACAATGCTACTTTATTTAGTAGTGAGAATATGTTAAGACAGACTTCTCTGTCACTTGGAAAGGAGTTCACTTTCCCCTGACAATATAGTCCTGGCTAAGAATGTCTCTTAGCTCATGAGTAGTCAGATTTATTCTCTTGCATCTGAGCACCCATTCTCAGGACAAAATTAAATTACAATAGCTTTTTTCACACTTTTACTCAGAGCACACTGTCTCCTGCAACCAAAACTGTCACACTTGTGTTTTATTTCTTTTTCTTCGCCCAGCACTACACTCTAAAAACAAAGAGGTAACATATGACTCTTCCTCAATTACATGTACACTGACTGAACCCATTATAAGGAAGAAAACAGAAATCTGTGTCTCCTCCAGAAAGCTAGAAAGCTAGGTAATTCAATAGTGCGTGTTTCTGTATTTTACTATTTAAGTCCATGTACCCTATATTTCTCTAGTCCTTGCCCTTATTCTTTCCAGCAGACACACAACTTGTCTCATAAAATTCCTCGACTTGCTCCAACAATAAGGGAGGGGAAGTCAGAAATTCACCATAGGTTACTCTGAGTTTCACTGCTTAGAACCTGCTGAATGCAAGCAGCATATATCAAAAGAAGATACCTGGTTACCAGGTCACTTTCTCTGCCTTTGTCAGAATGTATGCAACTCTCCTCATGAAAAACCTAGAGAAATTTGCCTCACACTTCCTTTTTTTCCCAAGAAGCATGCTGGAAATTGGGTCAGATCTAGTATTGTGGTCAATTTTATGCGTCAACATGACTGTGCCACAGGGTTCCCAAATAGAAACATTCTTTCTGTGTGTGTCTGTGAGGATGTTTCCAGATGAGATTAACGTCTGAGTTAGCAGTGTCGGTAAAGTAGACTGTCTTCTTCAACGTGGGTGTCCATCATCCAATCTGTTGAAAGCTTGAATAGGACAGAAAAGTGGAGGAAGGAGGAATTTACCCCTTTTGGCTTCCTGCCTATCTCCTTGAGCTGGGACACAGGTATTCTCTTCCCCTAACTGGGATTTGCACCATCAGCTCTCTGGTCATTGAACTTGGGTTAGAATTACACCACCGGTTTTCCTGGATCTCTAGACGGCAGATGGCAGATCATGACACTTTTCAGCCCCCCACAATTGTATGAGCCAATTCCTCATAATAAATCTCCCCTCTCCTCCGTGTGTGTGTGTGTGTGTGTGTGCGTGTGTGCATGTGTGTATCCTATTAGTTCTATTTCTTTGAAGAATCCTGACTAATATACCCAGTATGACCCCTATGGGGTTGATGCCACTTTAGCCATTATTGACTACCTCCCTATATGATGATGGGCTTTTTCAATGGCTTTCCTAGTAACATACTCCTCTGGCACAGGGTCAGGACCCTCCTGACATTTAACTCTGAATTCAGTCCTGAAACAATGCAATCTAGCTGTTCCCACTTCCTTATTCTTTATCCCAGCAATACCCTAGAGGGCTGGGACAAGGTCTTTTGTGAAGTAGTAGGAAGCAATATCTAAGAATTTAGAAAAACTGTCCTCTAAATCTGGTTGCTGTAGGATCTTGAACAATTTATTTCTCCTCTAAATCTCTGTTTCCTCATTGTAAGACAAAGACAGTTTTCAAAGCAGGGATTAATTTGATTGTCTAATATTCCTTATCCACCCTAAAAATCTGTGTCTTTTAATAGATGTGATTTGACCATTTGCATTTGATGTAATTCTTGATATGTTTGGATTTAGGTTTACTGTTTTATTATTTGTTTTCTGTTAGTTATTTCTGTTTTTTCATTTCTCTGTTTCCTGACTTCTTTTTTGTTATTTCACGAAGGATTACAATATATGTATTTAACTTTTTACAGTCTACTTAGAATTAATATTTTACCACTTTTGGCTGAATGTAGAAAGCTTACTACCATTTGGATCACTTTAGCTTCCTATTTATGTCATGATTATATACATACATTGAAATCTCATTTGACAATGTTGTAATTTCTGCTTTCAACTCCCACACACTATTTAGGGAAAAAATCTATTATACTTACCCAAACATTTGCCATTTTCATTGTTGCTTCTTTGTATTTATTTATTTATTTTTTTAAACACAAAGTCTCGCTCTGCTCTGTTGCACTGCAGTGGCACATTCTCGGCTCACTGCAACCTCTGCCTACCAGGTTCAAGTGATTCTTGTGCCTCAGCCTTCTGAGTAGTTTGGATTACAGGTGCATGCCACCACGCTTGGCTAATTTTTGTATTTTTAGTAGAGGCGGGGTTTCACCATTTGGCCAGGCTGGTCTTGAACTCCTGACCTCAAGTGATCTGCCTGCCTCAGCCTCCCAAAGTGCTGGGATTACAGGTGTGAGCCATTGTGTCCAGCCTCCTTCATTGTTAATGTTCCATGTTTCCTTCTTATATTAATTCCCTTCATCCTAAAATCCTAAAGAGCTTTTTTTTTTTTTCACAATGCCTTTAGATCAGGTCTGCAAGGCAATAAATGCCCTTAGTTTTTCTTCTTCTCAAAGTGTTTTTATTTCACCTTCATTCCCGAGGGATACGTTCATTGGGTATAGAATTCTGAGTTGAAAGTTATTTTCTTTCAACACTTCCTTCTGAGCTATGTCACTGTTCTTCTATTGATAACGAATCTTTTTTTTCTGGGTGGCTTCTGGGCTTTTTTCTTTGTCTTTAATTTTTAGCAGTTTGATTACAGTGCTTCTGGGTGTGGATTTGTTTGCTTTTATCCTGTTTGGCATTCACTGAGCTTTTTGAATCTTTATGTCCAGTTCTCTTGCCAATTTGGGGACATTTTTATCGATTACTTCTTTAACTTTTTTCTGCACTGCACTTTTTCTTCTATCCTTCTGGGACTCAAATAACAAAAACACTAGTTTTTTTGTTATTTCCCCACAGATGTCTAATGTTCTGTTAAACTTTTCATTTTTTAAGAAAACTTTCTATGGTTCTGATTAAATCATTTTTATTGATTTTTCTTCAAGTTCATTGATTCTTTCCTCTGTCATCTCTATTCTGCTACTGAGCCTGTCAAAGGAGGGTTTTAAATTTTGTTTTGTTTGTTTCTTGTTTTGAGGGGGAAGTTATTACTGTTGTTGTTATTTTTATAATTCTAAAATCTTCATTTGGTACTTCTTGACAGCTTCCATTTATTTTGTGTACTTTCTATTTTTCCTTTGGTTTCAAGAATCAGATAATTCCAACATCTTTGTTACTTCATATTTATATCTGTTGATTGTCTTTCCCCATGAAAGTTGAGATTTTCCTGATAGTTTACATACCAAAATTTTTTTCATTGTATCCTGGACATTTTGAATATTATGTTATGTTATGAGACTCTGGGACTTCTTTAAATCCTATGGAGAATGTTGACATTTTCGTTTAGTAAGAGTCAGCCTGGTTAGGTTCACTCTTAAGTTCGAATCTGCCTCTCCTGTGTGCTGTGGTTGCAATGCTAGCATAGTCTTCAAAGCATTCGCAGTACTATTTGGATCAGTCCAGTTCATGTGCCACCTAGTGGCCAGTCTCAGACATTGGGCAGTGGTGTATCTTCAGTTCTATCTTTTGTACACTAAATAACATCAGATCCACATGTGCAAGCTTGGGAACGAGTCCAAAATTTATAAACAATTATTTGGAATTGATTTCCTGAGTTTTCCTTTTTCTCCATAACTTTCATACTTTCTGGTTCCTTGGGGTCCTTCTATATCAAGGAAGCCAGGGTTTTAGTTATCCCACTCTGAGGTGCACTTCTGGTGTGCCCACATCCAGGTCCAAACAATGAAAGGACAATCCAGATGGACGACAGTGGTGGTCAGCCTCACTCTCTTGGAACCAAGGATCCTCTGCTGAAGATATGAGACAGGAGTCCCCTTTTATCCATGGTTTGGCTCTTGGCAGTTTCAGTTACCTGTGGCCAATCAAAGCCTGAAAATAGGTGTATACGTGACAACAGGATATACTGAGAAAGACAGAAAGAGACTACATTCACATAGCTTTTATTACAGCATATTGTTATAATTGTTCTGCTTTATTATCGTTATTGTTGTTAATCTCTTACTATGCCTAATTCATAAATTAAACTTTATTGTGGGGTTGTGTAAGAAAAAATACATGGGGTTTGGTACTATTGGTAGTTTCAGGCATGCGTTGGTGGTCTTAGAACATATTCCCCACAGATAAGGGGGGACTACTCTAATAGAAACTTTCCCCACCTAGAATTTTGGCTCCACAGGATTGCATAGGAACTAGGCCATGGGAGAACAGAAAAAAGAAAGAAAAATAAAACAGGACATTTCCACACTCTTTCGGAATATTTTAAGTTCCCTTTCTTGCTTCTTGAGCCAGAACTAGGGAGAACTTCTTAGAAGAAGCCAGAGTTAGGCTTCTCCCAAGCTCTCTCTGCCAACTCCTTTGTGATCACTGCTGTGTTGGTTGTGAGCATTAGAGGAAAAAAATGATAAATTCATCAGTATTTGAATTCTGGGCTTCTTCCCCAGTTTGCCTTCTATTTATCAGAGTCCTCAAAGAGCTGCTCTGTTGCATCTGTCTAGTCTTTATTCAGTGCAGAAGACTGAGTCACCAGTGTTTATTCCATCTTATCCAGACAGGACCCCTGATATTCTTTAAAACCCCCCAAATTTAATGACATTTATTTATATTTCAATTATTTTATCTAGTCAGTTTTCCTGAATGAAAATCTCCCCTTTTCCCCCTCAGAGTTCACTTAACAAATTAAAATATAAAACCTAGGATAAATGAACCTAATATATCAAATATTCCAATACGCTACCAATGCTGTGTGATGTGGGGGAAAAGTGAAATATCCCCATCTAATCCAGTTGACACCTGGATATATAAAATGTGATACAGTATAACTTTCAAATTATAGTTTTTGAAATAATATTTTAAAAAGTAAAGAAGATGTGAAAAACTAATTTAACCTTTCTGTTTAATCCACTGATTCATATTTAGAAATTTGGCCAAAAAATGGCCCTCATCATAGAGCCATCCTACAACTTTCGTTACAGCTTAGTGCTTCAAAGGAAATACAAAAGCTGGCTAACCATAGAAAATGCCTACACCAAAAACTGCTGACCCTTTTTTCCCCCAGCAACACCTACAGCATGACAGAGTAAATGGGGCACTGAGGGGAAAGTCCACAGTGACAGCTATTCATGGTCCATTTCCTCTGTAAATACATAAATGCACTTTACGCACGATTATGTCAGAGACACATTGACTACGAAGTCTGCAAAATTTATTAACAGAAGACTCAAAGAGATTGGGAAAAAAATATTACTTCTCTAATACCTACATAATAATCACCAGGTATAAAATGCCAACAAGAACATGTATACACTGTCTTATTTTGACAGATCCTCCAAAGAAAATATTTTATTATAATTGAGGTTCAGTTCCAAATTTTGGTTTTGTGAGACAGTTTTTAAATGTAGCTAAGGTTTTCTGGACTATATGTAGTCTTTTTTTCTTTTTTAAGAATAAATACAACTGATTTCGTTCCTCTCAGAAAGAATCATGTTACATTTGTACCTAGATGTAATTTGATTCTTCAACTTTTCACACTATTTTATTTCTTTGAGCACAGTCCCCTCTCTTGGACTGTAAGCATTTAAAGGCCTGAAATGAAGTCTGTTTAACTAGATTGGCACAAAACTGAATTTAATAAATTTTCATCAAATTGTTTCAAATATGAAAAAGATCAATCATAAAATTTCAGTAAAAGGTGATGGGATTTTTAAGCTAGTCACATCAAAGAAAAATATCCTGGCAAAACATATTTTAAAGAATACTCATGAAAAATTCATTTTCTGCAAAACGATTCTTGCAAATTAACTATACAGTATGTGACATTTACTGTACTACTGCTCGATTTTTTTCTTCCTTTATTCAAAGTGACTTTACTGGTAGAAAAATGTAAGCCAGTATTCTAAGTGGTGCGTGGGTGTGTGGGAGTCTTCTCTGAGCACATATCTTGTTAATATATAACGGAATATGTGCATATATTTTAACACCCACATAATTTTCTAAACTGCTCTGCTGAAGTCTATACAGCTTATTATCAAGTTAAATGGCTTTCTGCCTGGGACTCTAGTTGAAATCATCTCAAGGCTAAATGTCTCCTTCTGTTGGGTTCAGATTTAATAGGAAGAAAATTTTGGTTATCAAAACCTTCACTCTAGATAAATCTTCACCATTCTATGGTTTTTCAGGAAGCAAAGAATATAGAACAGTGTTGCCCAACAAATATGTATTGGGAGCCATGTATATGATTTAAACTTTTCTAGTAAGCACACTGAAAAGGTAAAAGAAATAGGCAAAATTAATTTTTATAATACAAGATATTTAAGCCAATATATCCAAAAATCATAATTTCAATCTGTAACCAATATACAATTGTTAATAAGAAATTTTGCACTTTCTTTTTTTTTTTTTTTTGGGGTGTGTGTGTCTCGCTCTGTCACCCAGGCTGGAGTGCAATGGCACGATCTCAGCTCACTGCGACCTGCACCTCCAGGATTCTAGTGATTCTCCTACCTCAGCCTCTCGAGTAGCTGGGATTACAGGCCCTCACAACCACACCAAGCTAATTTGTTTTGTATTTTTAGTAGAGACGGGGTTTCACCATGTTGGCCAGGCTGGTCTTGAACTCCTGACCTCAGGTGATCCACCAGCCTAGGCCTCCCAAAGTGCTAGGATTACAGGTGTGAGTCACCGCACCTGGCCTGCAGTCTTTTTTATACTATGGTTTCACAACCTGGTGTTTAGTTTTTTATTTACAGCACTTCTCAATTCAGACTAGCCACATTGAAAGAGCACAGTAGCCACATGTGGCTTATTGGAAGCACAGATTTAGAAAAAAACCCAAAATGAAAACACTGGAAGACACCAGTGAAGTACTCATCCAGCTGCTTATATAATATTTGAATATTACCTTAATTTCCATAAATACTTTTCTGTAATCCAAAATGCTTTCCAAGTCTCAGTACGCTACTTGGTTTGACACCACCTTCCTGCTTCTCTGAGCCTCCTGCAAACGCCACTCTCTTTGTTCTAGCCTTACGGCACACCTTTCCATTATTGAATCTCTACTTGGATGTTTCTACTCAGGTCTGCGGCATTCATTGTTTTCCTCTATACAGAATACAATTTATTTTTGCCATTCTCAATTTAAAAATTGTCACAGCTCCCTGGTTTTTTGATTAACCAACTCCTTTCAGGTTTGAAATTAAATTTATCTTTCTCAGGGAAGATGTCTCTGAGTCTCCAAGAGTTTTCTAAGAGCAGAGGCAGTCCATCATATGAACTACTGTCTTCACAATGCTTACATGGTGGTTCTCCTTCTGATAAAGAAACACACACATCGGGTGGTAGAGTCATAAACTAAGTACATAGTATGTGTTCAATTAATATTGTTTGAATGAATGGCTGAGTAAGTGAATGAAAGAAAAATCAGAAAGAAGAAATGAGTTGCTGAAAGTCTCATAGCCAATAAAGGATAGGTCCCGGGCAGTCGTCCAGCTGCGCTCACACAGTTCAAATATTTAAAGAGACTACAGTTAAGAAGAGACTTATCATTACAGGGTGAAGAGCAGAATTACAAATCACCATGCATACATTCAAGAATTTGGGGCCATGGCAAGGTTACCATTTCTAAAGACAACATAAAATACACACTGCTGATGGTTGTGCGTGCTGGCATAGCTGTTCTTGAAAACAATATGTTTGTCAGTAACTGGACGATACGTATGATCCAGTCAGGCCACATTTGGATATACATCTCACATTCTAATAAAAAATGCTTAAAGAAAAAGGCTTGAAGATGTTCATTGCAACGTTGCTTATGTTGGCAAAGAATTGTAGACAGTGTAGGTATCCTTCACTGTGGCAGAGGGAGGGGTGGATGGGTAAAACATGGTGGATACACTCAAGTGAATACTATACCACAGTTAGAAACAATAGACTTGATGTGTAGACAGCAACAATAGTGCATCTCAAAAACATGGCACTAGTAAAAAAGTAAGAAAGAAAACAAGATATTTATGTAAGGCACCATTCATATAATTTAATAATACACATATTCATACAAAGGAAATAAACACATTTTAAATATGTATATATAAATATAAGGATACACAATAAACATCAAAATATCAAAATGATTATGTATAAAGGAAGGATATAACGGTAGTGGGGAATCGGGACAAAATAAAATCAAACAAATGTCTCATACAGGTAACATTAATTGAGAAGTATAATTAACCCTCAGAGATTGAAATCCAAAAATTAAAAGCAAAAGTAAAAAGGAAAAACAACAAAATATTATATACGTTTAAAATATTTACCTTGTCTAACTCATTTATACTCATTAGTTGTACTTCCTTAAAATATTTCTTTAAAATATCTCTTCTATCCTTTCATTCTTCTTTACCTTTTCTCCCCTCCTTCTCCTCTCCTCCCTTCCCTTCTCTTGCTTTCTCTATCCTTCTCTTTTGACCCCCTTCCTTACCCTCTCCAACACTGTCTCTCTCTCCTTTCTCTTTTTATCTTGAACTAATTTACAGTGGTCATTTTAGAGCTAAACAGCTGTTTTAGAAGTTCAAGAGGGCTCTGTATTATATTGCTAATCATCTAGTTTATGAAACAGCTTGTTAAGTGGACACAGCAGCCATGTTGCCTACATAAATAACTTGGCCAAATTATCTCCTAACAGAAACAGTGCTTATGCCTCCCTTAGCTATGCGCCCTTCTTAACTCAACTCTCAGTGCTGCATTATCAATGTATTTTTTTCAAGTGTTTACTTAATCTTATTTTGTTAGATGCTCTGGACAAAATCATTTTTTGAATATACTTAGATAGTCCCCCTCCTAGGTGATGCACACAGGAAGATTGATAAAATAATATAATTACCAAATTCTGGAAGATGCTATATTAATGAAGAGGCACATGGCAAGGAATTTCATCATAAACTAAGTTTTATAGAGTTGGTTACATAATACTCTGCTACAATTAGTTTGATGTTAGCCTTCTTGACCATGTATATATTTTTTCACATACTAAGCCCAATTCACTGCCGGAGATCAAAGAACAAGGAGCTAAAAACAAATCACCAACACCAATTCGATTCTTTAGAAGAGTGCCATTTACATAGCATGCTCTCAAGATGGAGGGAGGATACACGAGACGTTTTTCTACTGCTAAGAAAATTACGTGGTAGAAGCTAAGCACACAATCTAAAAAAAAAATAAAATATAAACAAAGATAAAGAAGGAAGCTAGCTGTGGCACAAATATTTTGATTTATGAGTCCAAAATAGGCACATATCCTACATTACTCAGAGGATTAGGGAGTGTTTCATGGGAGACTAGCATTTCAATCAGAAAAACAGTATTGGAAAGAAGACACCTGGGACAACATCCATAGCAGCCAGAGGCCAAGATGTATGTGGCATGTATGAAAAATACCAGAGACTTTATTATGACTGAGAGAATGTGTGAGAAGGACAGTACTGAAGCTGCAGTGATAGGCTAGAGACAAATCTTGCAAAGATATTAATGACAATTTAAAACATGGATCCATGTTAGATTTAAAATACATAATGATAGGTTTACAAAAGTAACTGGGATATAGGAGTGTCATTTCATTTATAACTGATTGACACATCTCACCAAAGCATTGGTTAAAAAAGGGACACTGGAAATTGTAAGTGCATAAACCACGTTTTTAAAAAGTAATGATGTTGACACCACAGTAAACCACTTTAAATCATTATATTATTTATACAGTATTTTTAATTTGATGAAAGACTTCTCTAGGTGGGATTCTATAGCTGAGGATTATTGCTACACCCTTGATTCCCTTTTGATGGGAAAAAGGAATTATCAACACCCTTCTTTTCTGTCAGCCCAGTTGTCTGAAGCTCCCTATTCTGTACCCCGTTTATGTTCATTGTTCTTGAGAGATTTCTTGTTCATTTCTTGTTCACTTTCTCATTGAACTGTCCATTTAATGTTTTTACATTCAGTGCCCTTGAGATTGGTTTAAATAACATTTTCATTTATCTAAATTAAGATTTGAGAGAACTAAAATGCCTTAGTATGTGGCATTAATTCAGGTAAACTGACATTGCCACTTACGCTTTGGATAAATTTCATCTTGTAATTCTGGCTATTTTAGGGAACATTTGTTTCTAGTATCCATGGTGAAAATTCAGAAATCTGCTTCCTGGTGAAGTCTGGTCTTTGGTTATGGCTAAATTGAAAGATCAGTACAGATTAGTCCAATTTGACTGAGAAAGCATATTATATTAGTATACAGTTCATATAATTGTTTTTCTGTAACCACAATGTCTCACTTATTATTGATGCTTATTATATTGATAAAAATGTGAAATATTGACATCGATCTTCCTCTCTGATTACTAAATCTTGTCAATTATAATCAATGCTTAACTAAAATCTCTTCTGGCCTGAGAAATTAAATTCCATCAAAATATTTTAGAATCAGAATCTCCCTAAAACATACATTCTATTAATTTCATGACTTTGATACACTGAAGCTTCAATGAAACTTGAACGCAAGCAAGTAATCTTCGTGATTTTTTTTTCTCTGAGTCAACTTGGCTAAGTGGGAAGTTCATTCTCTCAGATTCTTTTTCTGGATGCTTCTAACTCAGGGTTGACGAAAATAAGTATTTGCCTGAGGCGTAGGAGGAAGAAGTGAAGCGAGAGTTCCTCCTTCTTGAAGGTCGTAACAGTCAAAACATTGAAAGATGAACCTAGAGGTACTGGTGGGTTCGGCATGTCCTCACCGCTCATTTATGTCTAGTTCTTTCTGACTTCTGGCGCTACTAACCAACTGCAACGCTGGGCTGACCATGAGACGCAGAGCTGACAGCTTTCCATAGAGTTTCCTGACAGCTCCACATTGTGGTCACACACCAACAGATAGACATGCCTGGCTTCCCAGATTCCCCTTGCCAGGGCTTCAGACTGGCAGCTTAGCAACCTGGCTCGAATCTTCCAGCTCCTCCATTCTAAACCTTAATCTTCGTCTCTTCTCACAGTTGAGTAACAGCCAACTCTGATAGTAAAGTCCTCATTCCATAATACTCGTAGTGGTTCTTCTTTCCTGACTGAGCTTTGACTGCCACAGTCCTTGCAGGTAATGTCATGGTAGCTATTGGTAAAGAAAAGGAAGTAGTTTTTCTTCTGAGCAATTGCCGTTTAACTAATGGAGTCTCCCTTTGACTCATGATCCTCTTTATTGTTTTGGCTCCAGAAGAAACTTTTTTTCTGTTCTGTGAAATCTTACTTCCTCTATGTTCTCTGTGAAGCAGAAATAATTACACAGTCATATGAAATGTTCTGGAAGTTTTCTTCAGTAACTAGCATTAAAATGTTTAAAAGTAGACACTAATAATATATATCAAATGATCAGAATTAGTCTTTAGTCATTAAAACAATTTTCCAGCTCATATCCAAATATGTTTATTAAAAGGATTTGTATTCACATGTGTGTATAGTTGAAATAAATATCTGAAGAAAATAAATGTGAAACGAATATTAAAATAATTTTAAGCACTATTTTTTTCCTTCTAGTAAATTGTGTCAATGTTTAGGCAAAGAAAATAACTGATGGGGGAAGATTTTTATGAATAGAGAGAGTATTCAATTCATGTATAAGACTGGTCTTTATCTTGATGTAAAATTTGACCTAGAACATTGTTATGATTTGTGAAGAGAATAGGTTAAAAAGTAAAAATCCACTAAAAAAGAAGGAAGGCAAGAAGACAGTTGATACTGAACTCTGCACTTTCATTTGTATCATTTCAATGGAATATGGGAACAGTAACAGTAACCACAGTATCTGTCACTTGGATGTAATCAACCTGAAGTGAAGAAATGTAAGGAAATGATAACATTCTGTTCAAATGGCCATCATGATTATGACGATCTCCCTTTCATTTTTTCTCTCTTTTTCTATCTCATACTCATAGGCGTTTCTTGCTGATATGAGCTAATTAGATAAAATAGTCCATAGAACTCTGCCAATGAGACATGCTGTGTTCCCAGGCAACGGATGTTTATTTTAAATATGGTCTTGCAGAAGCTATGGTTTGTCATTGTTGTGTAAGTCAGAAGTGACATTTAACAATGGAGACCTTAAGGGAGTTGGATCTTTCAGCAGCCTGATCAATTCAATTCAGCAAACAGTAACTGAACACCTACATTGTACTTTCATGCTTATTCACTTGTTGGGAAGTATAAGCCAGGCCCTTAGTTTAGAACAGAAAATCAGAGATACATCCAGCCTGTACAAGCCTTCCTCTCAGTTTCCACTACTGCAGGGATGACAATACCAAATATTATTTTAACACATAATAGAATATATATTAAATGCTATAATAAAGATTTAAACTAAATGTTAGAAGAGGAGGTTATAACTGAGTGGAGGAAACCAGCACCTCAGTCAGAATAAATGGCCTGAGCAGAGGTAGAAGGTTATGAAGATATACTCAAGGCCACCTGAAATGTTGTTAGGTGTTGCTGGCTAGTGAATAGCCCAAGACCATCTATTATGATGCTGTTTTCCAAAGTTCAGTGATTTAATAATGACATTCACATTTTTCTGTATCCAAAGATTTGCCAAATATAACATTATTTATTTTTTATTTAATTAATTTTACATTGATTTTACTTTTTAGCTAAAATTCTTCTAAGCATCTAAGTTTGATATACTAGTATTATTTTTCCTAATGAATATTAAATATATTTAAAATTACTGATATTAAGAATTCTACTCATCTAAAATAATATTGTGCATTAATAATGGTCTGTTACTATACATTGAGAAATTTATCAAGGACTTTGAATCCATAGTATAGACTGTACTTTGTGCTTACGTACAAAAATGTTAAAAATTGTTGCAATGCTCAGAACTGTGCATGGTGATTTAATACTAGAAGCACTAATATTAAAAGGTGGAGAGACAAAATTAGGTAAGGCAAAGACTGATCTCCATTCCAGCTTCATTCTTTAAGAGCCATCTCAAACGTTACCTTAAATGAAACCTGCCCTACCTTGACCAGGAGCTAGTAAATTACTTGTCTATGCTGCATTCTAAGTATATTTATCTATACTGCATTGAATCTAGTACTTTACATGTATATCCTCCTCCTCTGTGGATTTGTCGAGATGTGTCTTCTTCATAAGTAAATTCCCAGAGCCCCAGAGTATATGGAAAATATAAAGGGCTAGCGTTTTTGTAAATGATAGAAATAGGATAATAAGGAGATGAGATAAAATCTGCTTAATAACCTAAAAATTAGCTAATTAGAGTCTACAATAAGAGGATATGAATTCCAGAGATTCTTAAGAGATAGAATTATAATATCTGGGTGAATAGAGATATCCCAGATCAAAAATGTTTCTGAAATTTCAATCTGTTTGAAGAACATAACAGAAGGAACAATATGTCAAGTAAAAATCCAGCGACTAGGAAATGGTGGTTTCTGAGCCAATTACTCTGTTTCACTTCACTCCTCCAAGATAAAACTGTAAAACATGTTTATACATTTGTGAGATCAATTATACACAAGGCTTAATACACCAGGTTGCTGATTGAATGTGTGAATGGTTGACTACTGAAATGTAGCTGTGTTGTAGTGGAAGAACAAATAAACATTTTCCAATTTTGGCTCTGTCACTTGTCACCGTTTATCCATAAACTGGCCATTCCATCTCAGCAAATTGGAGTTCCTCCATTAAGCCAATGGCTGTGATCATAATTTCCCTGCCTTTTTTCATGTTGCAATGGTTGTGAATGTGGTTTTAGAATTGCTTCTGCTCTCGTATCCACAACAATTGTGTTCTGTATAGAACAATCAAAGTGTGATCTTTAAAAAACATAAACAAATGATGTTATTTTCCTTCTGAAGAGTTTCAATAATTTCCTATCTTACATAGTTTAAAATCTGTACAGCTTACTAGGAGCATAGGCAGAGTCCTTGCACATCATGTGTTCCTTATTTGTTCAGAACTGTATTACTACCACAAGTACAGTGCCTGGCCCATAGTACATGCCAATAAGTCTTGTTGTTTGTTTGTTTGTTTCAGACAGAGTCTTGTTCTGTTACCCAGGCTGAAGTGCAGTGGTATGATCTCAGCTCACTGCAACCTTGAACTCCTGAACAGCAATCCTCTTTCCTCAGCCTCACAAGTAACTAGGACTACAGGTGTGCATCATCACACCCAGCTGATTTTTAAATCGTTTGTAGAGACAGGGTCTTGCTACGTTGTCCAGCCTAGTCTGGCCTCCAGCAATTCTCCTGCCTTTGACTCCCAAAGTGCTGGGACTATAAGCATACACCACCACACCCAGTCAAGGTAATAAGTATTTAATAAATGTATGAATGCGTGATAGAATGAGTAAGTAAATGAATGAGTTGACTGTGACTTCCTGGCTAAGTAGTTGGCAGATTCAAAGCTGGAAGATGGGTTTCCTGATCCCAGGACCCTTTATTTCCACTGTCCCCAAATTGTTGTAATTCACAAAATTCTCTTCTTTTACCTCTGTGGGACCTAGGCCTTAATTTTTGAGGTGTTTGCCTACAGTTAGAGGTGAGATCTCTGGCTAAGAATCATGCTACAACACAAAACTTACCATTCACTTTAGCCGGCAAGCACAGCTTTTTGATCTCATATGTTTACCATCTGATCTTTGTAGTACACACAGACTCTTCACATATGTATTTTCATTTTGTAATATGGCAATATGCATTTATCTGCTTCTTATTCATACATTTGACAAGATAGATACTTCCATTTTAAATTTATTTTGGCAAAGTGTAATATTATTCCAGCATTTTATAAATGATAAAGAACAAGGTTAAAGAAGGATTGGATTCATCATGTAAAGGTTAAATAATTCTAATTTTAAGGAATGAATATCAATTGCTCTTTTAAGATGTGTTTGAAGAATTCTTGTCATTGAGGGAAGCATTTTTCAAGTCTGTTGAAATCCGTTCAAGTGTAAGGAGAGGGCTGAAGAATGCATGGTAAACAGATGACTTTTGCATATTAAGGTATTTTGAATTGTACTCTTCTTGCCATAGGAATAATGGGTATCTTTAAAATCGGGTATTCTTGCAAAATTGTAGCATAGCTTTGTGGTAGCTTTAAACACTCAGAAAAAGGATTCTTGAAAAACGAATGAAATTCTGGCAAAAACAAACAAACAACAAAAAAACAAAACCACCTAAATACTAAGTAGTTTAGATTA
Organism: Homo sapiens; assembly: GCF_000001405.40. Classification (NCBI taxonomy): domain Eukaryota; kingdom Metazoa; phylum Chordata; class Mammalia; order Primates; family Hominidae; genus Homo; species Homo sapiens. Next base: position 192,118,931 of record NC_000003.12, on the reverse strand, counting down.
TTTGAATGAAATATTTTCCCATGCTGTCAAATTTACATCCAATTTTCTATGTTTTATTCAAAGAGAGTTCTGTCATACAAAGATTAGAGGTTCACCAAAAACGGCTACTACATCTTATTGTTTTCTAAACCTGACTTCTTCATATATAGGTAAACAATTTTAGATAAATTTAACTTTCCATGTATTTGTTTCACCATTTGTAAACTGAAAGAATTGGACTTAGATGATCTTTAGATTCTGAACTTCAGAGACTTTGTGTATAATAGCTAAAGTAGAGATAAATTCAATATTTGCAGGATGGTTTGATTTGTAATATCTAGATAGATACACATAAATAGATTGAAACAGATAAAATACTTGGTACACCTGGAAACACTATATATATGAAAATTAATAGATGATAAAATGAATATGCAGATTGGTAAAAACAATAAATATGTACTTGAACACTTAAAGAGAAAAACTCTAAATAAAGTCATAGAGGGGATGGTAGAGATGGCCACAGAAAATGACCACGGAGAGTATTATGAAGATTGCAAGATTAGACATTGATGATGTAAATTACTCCCTTTCTAGATAAAATAATCCATAGATGTTTATGAATCATATTTGTATGATTATTGCTGTTACTATTATTTTGACACATTATTTATTATTATTGTTGTCATTATTATTACCATTAAGATAGCAGGCGTAAAACTGTACGCAGAATGGCTGCAGTGTGGAGAAGATGAGGATCTCCAGGAAGAAAAAAAGAGGTTGCTCTCACTAGAACATGCCTTTTAATTGCCAAGGAATTAATAATGCACCTTTTTTAAGCTTCAGTTGCGCTCAACTCAAAAATCTACTCTACAGGATAATTGGCCTTTCCTTGCCTATCTCTTTGCTTCTTGCAAGGAGTAATAAAATTAAACATACTCTCAATGAGTAGGAAGTTTCTAAGATGCTTAGCCTTGATATGTAATTTTCAAATATGTGCTTTTTTAGAGATTTTTCTATTTTTAGCTTAATCTCTTTCTGCTGCTGCTTCCATTGAGTCTTTTCATCAGACAACTCCCTTCTTCCCTTTCGGAATATAAGTTCCTTTAAGGTTAGAGGTAATATTCTGTTCACTTCATCCTCTTATTTCCAAACATGATTCCTGGCATACAAAGGGTGCTTAGTGAATTTTCTGAATGAGCCACAGTATGCAAATTATAATGAAATTCATACCCCTAATGTTGTACACACCTAAATTTGATTTACAGCATAATTTACTGTGGTAGTCTGTGTACAGACAGGTTTTGCTGTTCATTAAAATAAGATCACAACCTCCTTCCTATACTCTCAATATAATAATTTTAAAACTGTACTAAATGTTAGAGTACTTAAGATTATTGATGTATTCAGAGACAGAGTAGTACATGATTCAGTACCAACAGGGCATCATCACAAATTTAGAATTGTGCTCACATTTATGGAAAGATGGTTTGCATTCAACTGAGAATAAGTATTAATTTATTTGATAAATATTTATGGAGCACCTGCTATTAGTAATTTTTCTAAGCATGTGGGATACAAAACTTTCTCTATGAAGTTTATCATTCAGGGAAGAGAAACAAACAGTAAATAATTAAAATGACAAATAGGTCAACTGTGAAGTATGCTATAAAGTGCTACGTGGGAAATACAGAGATGGGGCAGTAGGATGTGGTATGTGAGTTGAGGAATATTTTGTAGGCAGTTTGTAGTTTTAAATAAGGGGAGTTAGTGTAGGTATCATTGGTAGGACGATATATGAGCTAAGACTTGAAGGAGAGGTGAGATCTAGCTAAGAGGACATCTAGAGGAAGAGTCTTCCTTGCAGAAAAAAAACAGTATGTCTGGAAAAAAATATAGAACTGCAAGAAGCCAATTATGGCTGATGATGGGTCAGATGGAAAGGGAAGAATGTTAGTAGAAAAATACATCAGATTGGAAGCACAGTATCCAATGAATATTGAAGGAATTTGTAAAAGTTTAGTTCTATTATAAGTAAAGTGGCTCAGCACTACAGGATTTTAAACAGAGGAGTGACAAAGCGGACATATTTTCAAAGGATCATTCTGGTTGATATGTTAAAGAGAGGGCAGAGCTAGGAACATGGACACCTACTAAAATCTGTTTTACATTAAAGTGGGAAATGATGATGACTTTAGCCAGCATGGTAGTAATTGAGATGGAAAGTAGTTGGATTCTGGATGAATTTGAACGTAAATTCAACAGACTTTGCTGATGTATTAGAAATAGCTGTATAATAGAGCGAGAGAGAGAAGTCAGGGATAAATATTTTCCACCTGAAAATTATCAAGCATTGTCTGTGGGTCATAGTAGCTATTGATAAAATGTAGCTTGAATAACATAAGTAATACATAACTGTGATTTAATGTATGTTTTATTTGGAAAGGCATAGATGCTGATATTCCAAACTCAAGAGAAGCAGACTTAATTAGCCATAATATGAAGTAAAGAGCTGAGCCAAAAGTAGGTCCTAGATAAATACAGGCACACCTTATTTTATTGTGCTTCACTCTTCTGCACCTCACAGATACTGCATTTTTACAAATTGAAGGTTTGTAGCAATCTTGCTTTGGGCAAGCCTATGGGCACTATTTTTCCACCAACGTATGGTCACTTCATGTCTCTGGGTCAGGTTTCAATAATTCTCCCAAATTTTCAAACTTTCTCATTATTATTTTATCTGTTATGGTTATCGGTGACCAATGATCTTTGATGTTACTGTTGTAATTGTTTTGGGGAGCCACAAATCACACCCATACACTACTGTAAACAAAGTAGCCAAAAATAAGTGGCTACCTCCTTTTTTTTCTATTCTTTTATACATACGTATTTGCCCTTTCTCCCTTGTCACTTGACACTCTTCTTTTCCGTGACTAACTATATACTTGCTTAAGATTTCCAGGAACTAATATTGAAACCATTCAGCTATGAAGGCGAGATTTCAGGATACTTTTTTTCCAGAGAAGGGATCAGCAAGCAGTTAATCCACAACCCAGTCATGGTGAAGCTGACACCAGCCAGGCTTCTAGATGGTCCTTTACTCATGATAGCCATTGGAATAAGACGTGTAGACCTGTGCCTTGCACCACTCCTGCATTTTAGTTTCCATGGTTCCTTTCTCCTTGAAATCCCTTTGGTCAGCCTGAAAATTTTGAGATGTTTTTGTGACACCATCTCCTCAGGTTGTGTCCACCATCTCCTCAGGCTGTCAGCTTTTGAATAAACCTGTATTTTCTTCCACCAACTCTTGTACATGTCTCTCACTTTAAATCGAAAGCCACACATAACTAAGCTTAGTGAGGAAGGCATGTCAAAAGCTGAGAGAGGCCAAAAGCTAGGCATTTTCTGCCAAACAGTTAGCTAAGTTGTGAATGTAAAGAAAAAGTTTTTGAAGGAAATTAAAAGTGCTAGTCCAGTGAACACACAAATAATAAGAAAGCGAAACTATGGTTGGTATGGAGAAGGTTATAGTAGCTTTGATAAATGATGAAAACAGTTATAACATGTACTTAAGCTAAAGTCTAATCCAGAGCAAGGCAGGCCTTAACTCTCTTCAATTCCATGAAGGCTGAGAGGGTTGAGGAAGCTGCAGAAGAAAAGTTGGAAGCTAGCAGAGGTTAGTTCATGGGGTTTAAGGAAAAAAGTCATCCCCATAACATAAGAGAATGAAGTGGAGCCACAAGTACTGATATGGAAGCTGCATCAAATTATCCAGAAGATTTAGCTAAGACAATTGATAAAGATGGCTACAATAAACAACAAATTTTCAATGTAGATCAAACATCCTTATATTGGGAAAAGATTCCATCTAGGACTTTCATAACTAGAGAAAAGTCAATGCCTGGCTTCAAAGCTTCAGAGGAGAGGCTGATTCTCATTAGGAAATAATGCAGCTGGTGACTTTAAGTGGAAGCCCATGCTCATTTACCATTCCCAAAATCCTAGGGCCCTAAGGAATTATGCTAGGTCTATTCTTCCTATGCTCTAGAAAAGGAACAACAAAGCCTAGATGACAGCACATTTATTTGCAGCATAGTTTACTAAATACTTTAAGCCTAATGTTGAGACCTACTGCTCAGAAAAAAAAAGGCTTTCAAAATATTACCATTCATTGAGAATGCACCTCATTGCCAAGAGTTCTGATTGAAATGTACAAGAAGAGTAATGTTTTCATGCCTGCTACCACAACATCCATTCTATAGCCCATGGCTCAAGGAGTAAAGTCTTATTATTCAAGAAACAGATTTTGTAAGGCTATAGCTTCCATAGATAGTGATTCCCCAATAGATCGGTGCAAAGTAGATTGAAAACCTTCTAGAAAGGTTTCATAATTCCAGATGACATTAAGAACATTCTTGATCCATGGGAAGAGGCCAAAATATCAACATTACTAGGAGTTTGGAAGAAGCTGATTCCAGTCTTCATGGATGACTTTCAGGGTTTCAAGGCTTCAGTGGAGGAAGTAACTGTAAATGTGATAGAAATAGAAAGACAACTGGAATTAGAAGTGAAGCCTACAGATGTGACTGAATTCTTGCAATCTCATGATAAAACTTGAATGGATGAGATATTGTTTCTTGTGGATGAACGAAGGTCATTTCTTGAAATGGAATACACTCCTGGTGAAGATGCTGTGAACATTGTTGAAATGACAACAAAGGATCTCAAATATTACATAAACTTAGTAGATAAAGCAGCAGTAGGGTTTATGAAGATTGACTTCAATTTTGAAAGATGTCTTACTATCAAACAGAATCACCAGTGACAGATAAATCTTTCATGAAAGGAAGAGTCAATTGATGTGACAAACTTCATTATGGTGTTTTTTTTTAAGTTGCCAAACACACTCTGACCTGTAGCAACCACCACCCTGATTAGTCAGCAGCTATCAGCATGGGGGCAAGAACTTCCACCAGCAAAAAGGCTAGGACTCACTAGAGGCTCAGATGATTGTTGGCATTTTTAGCAATAAAGTATCCTTAAATTAAAATCTGTAGTTTATTTTTAGAAACAATACTATTGCACACTTAACAGACTACAGTATAGAGTAAACATATATTTTATACACACCAAGAAATTAAAAAAACTTGTGTGACTTGCTTTATTACAGTATTCACTTTATTTCTTTATTTCTTTATTTCTTTATTTCTATGGTCTGGAAGAAAATCTGCAATGTCTTTGAGCTATTTCTGTCATTAAGCCCTCTGGAGGAGATGGAAAAAACTTAGTGTTGGCCAAGCATGGTGGCTCACGCCTGTAATCCCAGCACTTCAGGAGGCTGAGGCGAATGGATCCCTTGAGGCCAGTAGTTGAAGACCAGCCTGGCCAACATGGTGAAGCTGTATCTCTACTAAAATGCAAGAAAAAGAGCCAGGCACTGTGATGCATGCCTGTAATCCCAGCTAGTTGGGAGACTGAGGCACAAGAATCTCTTGAACCTGGAAGGCAGAGGTTGCAGTGAGCCAAGATCACGCCACTGCACTCCAGCCTGGGCGAGACTATGTCTCAAAAAAAAAAAGAAGAAGAAGAGAGAAGAAAAGAAAACAGAAAAAAAATCAGTGTTTCTCCTTTCCTACTTTCACATAGCCATTCAACACATCCCTTTCTGACATCAGATGCGTGGGGGTTTTTAGCTACACACCAAGCAGTTCTGCAGTGGACATCATCTACCTGGTGTTTTCAATTCAACATCGACACTATCTACCTGGAGGTAGAGTCAGATTCCACAGGTTGAGGGCTCAGTTTCACAAGACTGCCCATCACTCCAGACCCAGTCATAACTGCAGGTTTTTACCTAGACTTCTGACCAACTGGGTGTAAATGGAAAGTGCCCATGACCCCTTGCATGGGTTCCTTTAATTTCCTAGAGTGGCTCACAGAACTCAGGGAAACACTTTACTTACATTTACCCATTTATTATAAAGAATATTACAAAGGATAGGGATGAACAGCCAGAGGAAAGAGATGTATAGCGTGAGGTATGGGAGAAAGTGCAAAGCTTCCATGTTCTTTTTGGGTGTGCCACCCTTTAAGAACCCCTATGTGTTCAGCAATCCAAAAGCTCCTGAACCCAATCCTTTCGGTTTTTATGGAACCTTTATTTAATAGGCATGATTTATCATATGGTTGGCCATTGGTAATTAATTCAACCTTTAGCCCCTCTCCCCTCCCTAAAGGTTAGAGGGTTAGGGTTGAAACTCCCAACCCTCTAATCCTCCCTTGGTCTTTTAGGTGACTGGCCCTCATCCTGAAGCTGTCTAGGGGCCCCCAGCCACCAGTCATGTCATGAGTATCCAAAAGACACTCATCACTCTGAAGATTTCAAGGGCTTTAGGAGTTGTATGTCAGGAAATGGGGACTAAGACCAAGTTTATATTTCACAGTATCACTGTCCTACTGACATATGAATACACATCTAATGTTCTGGGCTTATATTTATATACTGTGTGTATGTATGTACATGCACAAAAAACTAAACTGTGATTAACAAAGAATGGAGATGAGTATATATATATATATATATATATATATATACTCATCATTGATTCATTATTCATTATTTCACTATTTTTATATATAATATATAATATAATATCATATATATATATATATATGCACACACACACTCATCTCCATTCTCTGTTAATCACAGTTTAGTTTTTCCTAGGAAACCTTTCATGCTTTCATGTAGGTGTTAGAGGGCTCTTCTATGTAGTCATATAACCATGTGTACAGGCTCTACTATAACATTTACTGCAATATATTTGCCTACTAATTTGTATTCTGCCTGATCAGAGTATAAGATCCATGCGGGCAGGAACTGTATTTTGTTTACTGCTATATTGCAAGTATATTCCAGCATCACACCTTGAACATAGCGGGTTCCCAGAATATTTGTGTCAAGTTTTAAAAATAAAAAAAAGTGAAATAATGAATAAATGAATCAATGATTTGTTTCCATGAATTATTGCCATGGCAGCCCCCAAAGTCAGATATATCTCAATCCATAATTGAGAGCAAATGAAGACATTTTTAAAAACTGCTAATTGGGTTCACTGTGAACTCATGTTGTAATGTTATAGCTACTTCCCATTTTTTTTCTCCAGTTGACTCTATAGTCAATGGAAAAGTTTTCCACCTTCTTAAGGGTCTTGTTGCTACCACTACATTTTTGTAAACATGATTGTCTCTTCTATACGAGGAAAATGTCAAAGGAAATAGAACTTGTTTCAGTTATCTTCTCTTCTCATTATGTTTGCCTCAGTTTTTATATCCACTAAGCCTTTGTTTTTCTATCTGGAGGAAAGAAACACACCTCTACTCTAAGAGTTATTTCTTCCTTCCATTATTATTATTATTAATTTTGAGACACGGTCTCACTCTGCTGCCCAGGCTGTAGTACAGTGACATGATCGCAGCTCACTGCTGCCTCCATCCCTGGGCTCAAGTGATCCTTCTGCCTCAGCCTCCTGAGTAGCTGGGACCACAGGCTACTTTTTGCTCCTTTAAAGTATCCTATACATCATTACTAAGTAAACCTCATTAAACGTAACATACCTCTAGCAAAGAGTTTTAATTGCTCCTTATTGCTTAGTAAAGTGCAAACCTTTTAATCATTGTTCAAAATAACTAATCTTTCCAATTTTATCTCTGACTGCTCTAGATAGTTTCTTTTCCTTTCATTAGCTTCGAGTTTTCGCTAGTCTTCTTAGATTTACAAGCAGTGCCACATATGCCTACCTTTTCATCTCCATTTATTGAAAACAGCCTAGAAATTCTAACATAAATGTATTTTTTTCTCATGAATTTGGCTGCAAGTAGTCCTCTCATGTCTGAATTTTGGTGGTACTTTATCTTTTATGGCACTTTCAACTTTTTAACTTGTTTGATAGTTTTCTATTCATGGTTCATTTTCTACTTGAGAGGTTGTCTAAGAGCAAGAATCATAGTTTAATTAGATTTATAACCAACCCCAAGGGTTATCATGGTAGCTACCATGACTACTGCTCAAAATCGTTTACTGGGTAAATAAATGTGTGAGTAAATTAATGAATAATTATAGAGTCATGTCTTTCAAAAATTAAGGATTTTTTTTCTTTCTGGAAAATTGCCTCCCTACAGCAGTAATAGCCCAAGTTTTTAGTTATTGCCTTACGTTTTTTTCTCCCAACTTAATATGCAAATCATTGACTTAAAACAAGTGTTTCATTTACTGATGAAAATGCTTAAGACAACAAAAACGGGGCATATTAAGAATCAGTAGAAGCTGCTACATTTGTATCTTTTTTAACACCATCTGTCTCCCAAGTTGCTAGATGAATCCAAATCCCATCCAAATTTTGCTGGTCTGCAACAGTAAAATGGTTCAATGGCAATTTTAGACAGATCGAACATATTTCAGTTAGACAATTTAGTTGCAAGAGCATTGTCTTGGTGGATAACCCTCCAAGGATTATAATGAATACAGCTTAATTGGTTTATTAAGTGAAATTTACAAAAGCCAGGAGCCTGAGTTTGAAAAACTTCTTAGTGATGTATGGATTTTGCATGTAATAGATGTGATGAACTCCTGTTGTTGTGGAAGAATTGCTGATTGGTTGTACATGTTGAATGACTATTCTGGCTGGTTGAGAAGTAGCATCTATAAACACAAGTATATTTTTTAAATAGTTATGACATAATATACACCTAGAACTAAGGCTATATACTAAGCCTCGGTGTGGTGCCTTATCAAGAAATCCTGGCCTGAGAAACAGAATTTTAAGATTCTAGGCCTGAATACCTAAATTAAAGAATATAATTAAATTTCCTTAGTCATTCAGCAAGGCCATAGTCATAAATATCATTATCATTACAGAGTCCTGAAAATTAAGCCTTTCCATTTGCACATATTGGTAGATAGACAAAATAAGATCTGGTGTTCACTCCTTGTATAATTATACCTATATTTATATAATTTAATATTTAAGAATATCTGAAGTTAGAGGTAAAATACATGTTCTTAATGTTTGCTTGTTAAATCCACATACCTAACTTATGAGATGGCACAGAGGTACCATAAAAAGCAAAAATCATTTTAGTTGGAAAAAAATTTTATATTTTAGATTTCTAAATCCCTCATCAAACAAACGTGGGAAAGAGAGGGTTAGGAAATGCATGACAATCCTCATAAAGACAGTTCTCCAAAGTCAGACATCTAGATAGTTGGTCAATATGGAATCAAAACCCATGTTTTCTGCTTCCCAGATGGCTACTTAGGTGACTTTTACAAGTAACTAGCAAACTCTTGTTTCCAAAGACTGACACAGTGAGGAAAATCAATAGAACCTCTAAAGGTGAAAAAGTGATTGGGAAGCTAAAGAAAAACCCAAAGAAATGCAGTCTAAAACTTCCTGACTCTAACTATTTATACACAATTCAACAAGAAACTAACCATGATTTCCAGAAAAATCTCTTTCATTCCACTAAATAATTATAGTCATCACAAGGTACAAATATTTTTCTAACTTAGAACTTTATTCTTTAGTGTTATCAGGGAACTATAGTGTACCTTATGTTACCATGGGGATAAAAGTAAATTAAATTCAAATCAGTATGCATTTTAATATTCTACGTTTAAAGCATTATTCTGAGCAGTTTGGGGAATAAACATAAAAAAAGAATATATTTGCTAATGTCATAGTTTATAAATTCCTTGTTATGAATTGAATTATATCATCCCTAAAGATATGTTTAAATCCTAATACATAGCACCTGTGAATGTGCCTTATTTGGAAATAAGGTCTTTGCACATACAATCAAGTTAAGGTGAGGTCATTAGTGTGGGCCCTAATACAGTAAGACTGGAGTCTCTATAAGAAGAGGAAGTGGCATGTGATAACACAGATAGGGAGAACACCATGTAATTACTGGCAGAGATTGGAGTGATGTAGCTGCAACCCAAGGAATGCCAAGGATCTATGGGCACCCCCAGAAGCTAGGAAGAAGCAAGGAAAGATTTTATCCAGAATCTTAGAGGGAGCATGGCCCTGCTGACACCAGCCCCCAGACTTCTAGTTCTCAGAACTATGAGAGAATAAATTTTTGTTGTTTTAAGCTATCCTGTTTATGGTACTTTGTTATGGCAGCCCCAGGAAATTGACACTATTGTTCATAATTATCAAAATTTAAATCGCTCAGGGCCTCTCCTACTTTGAGCCTAGATATTCAAAAATTATAATAGAGAAGATTGCACATGCAGAGATAAAAGGCTCACAGGAAGGTAGCTTGGAGTCTGGTTAGATTTGGCATGGTTCCTGGTGGGAACTGTGGAAAGGGAGCAGAAATACTGACATAGATAAGTACAGCACTCTTGAAAAAGGATCATTGATGCTGAAAACAAATGAACTACATACTTCAAATTATTTCATTCATTTCCATAGTCCTAGGAAGAGAGAGAGGATGTGTCCATGTTTTATTATCTCTAAGTCTAAGGAAGAAGATAAAAACCAAACAATGTGGGCCACTTACAGCAATAAGAATCTTATTGTTCCCATCTCATTAGATCTTAAGAACGTTGGAGAGTAGGCAATATAAATAGGGGAATAAAATCAATAATTACATTGGGGATATACAGCTCTACACCTTTAATATCACATGAATCTTTAGATTTCTAAAGGATTGTGAGTAATTCCTGACAGCAGCAAGTGTTAAGTCATAAATCTCTGTGTATCTGAAGCTTACCTCTTACTGTTTCTTGTTAGTAAGTCAATTGAAGGTAATTGGAGATTAATCATTGATCTTATCAAGGAGAAAATCTGTTTGTGTCATAACAGATTCAGAGGTTTGTGTATTACCAATTTTAAATAAGATCCTCTTACTTTCACAATTTTTTTCTGGAAAATATTTGAACGTTATTAACTTCATACTTTTGAAAATAATAGTAGAAACTCACGCTTATTGTGTGTTTTCTATGTGCCAGGAACTACTAAGTGCTTTATATGAATTAAGTTTTTAAAAAATATCCTCTGAGGCTTTGGCAGATGATAAAGCAAATAAAAGGTAGTAAAGTAACTTGCCAAGAGTCACACGCCTTAGAAATGGCTGAAATAAGTTTCCTTAGCAATGTTGCTCCATAGCTCCTGTCCTAAACCACCATCCTCTTCCGCCTCTCAGAGCTATATGTTGTGTATGATATTAAAATCACATGTAGTACTTATTACTTTTCCTTATATCTATTTTATCAAGTCAAATACCCATCTTCACATATATAGAATTTCATCTTCAACAACCACAGGGTAAATGAGATCAGTCTTCATCCGTTTCCTCTCACCTTCCATTCTTTCTCACCATAAATTGTTGGTGACATCCACTGGACTGCCTTATGAGTCGTCCTCCATACGTGATTTATAAAATCCATATGAGTGTGGCTTTTACCCTCGTAACATGACATTATCCTTAACTGCAATGTGAACTCTTTCATATCAGGCAGGAACAAGTCAGGATTACTGTGCTTGCAGAGTGCTAGCTTTTTTTTTCGTGTGTGTGTGTGTGTGTGTGTGTATCCTCTTAAATTGTATTTTGTAAGCAAAAGAAGAAAAACAAGTGATCAATCATCAATGAGTGAAAAGTAGTAAGATTACCTCATAGAGAATATTTCTGATTCGGAAGGAATATCTTTCTTCCACTTTATGCCTTGTGAATTCCATCAAAGGTAAGAAAGACCGTATATTATCTGCCCTGACAATGTCACGTAGATATTATAGTGATCAAACTCTAAATTGATTTATCAATAAATATGACAAGGTATTACCAATGGGTTGCTATTATCTTCTGCTGTTTACTTAGTGCTTGTGCATATTTTATTGTATTTTCCAACTTCAGTCTGTCTTCTAAGCCAAATGTTAAAACAGTTTTCACATGGTAACATTTCACCTTACATTATTTACTTCCCTATTATGATTCCTATGTGAATATGTTAATAAACTTGACATTTTCTAGGTAATAGATTTATTATTGTCCCAAAGAAATGATCATTTGAAAGTATCTGTATCTATCTGTACGTCGTTTTCCTCTTTTTCATCCTTTGAAATGAAATATACATTCCCTTGAACTGCAGGAGGTGGTAGCATGAGGGGAATAAATTGTTTCAGCAAAAGAAAAGGTCGGTTAGCACAGCTGGCATGCCTGAGTGTCAGTAATCATCCAGGACATCATTGAGCTAAGGCTTCTCCCACTGATCTTTCAAATAATACCTTTAAGCTGAGGACTAACAATATCAGCATCTGTCAGTTCATTTACTAATTAAAATAAGTGTGGTTAAAAATACGTTAAAATTTTTAATGTTATGTTCATGAAGGAGAGAAATTTATAAATAAAAATAATCACACCATTTTTTTTTCCAATTCTCCTAACTCAGCCTAGAAGTTGATTCCTTTTTTTCCCCCTTGGTGCTATGCTTCAAAATCCTAGGAAGGAAATAAATGGAGGATTATTTCCTATGGAATCACTGATTTAAGTGACATTTGGTGCTCTTATAAGAGGTGTCTGAGAACATAAGATTTGCCCATAGTTCTCGTGAATGATCATCCAGATTTCTCTTATCTAGCTATAAGTACATATTGTAGTCCTCTGGAGAAATTAAATCACTTTTTCTCCCTACTGTGCAGGAATGTATTGTGGAGCTTCTATCTTATTTAGCTCCTAGAAACCCCTATGTTAGGGAAGTACCTGAAGATCCTCAATTTCACTGCCTCTGAAGACTTTGAAGTGGAGCAATAAGAAGTTATTGCTAAAGGTGAACAGCAGGGGCACTTGCTTTGGTCAGGGAGAATTCTTTTTTATAGGATTGCAAATTTAAATTCTGCATTCTCCTTGTTTGTATCTTGGCAATGATGCCCAGAAGTTCAGTTTTGCTCTCGTTATTGGAGGGATCGAAGAACAACACTAAATACTTTTTTGTAATCACCATGATGAAGTTCCAAATCTACTAGTATTTTGACATATCATGAAAGCCCTGTGGCTGTGAGGATTCCAGTATATGGAAAGGAATCTATTGGAGGACATGAAGGATTTCAATAAAGTAGGCAACGAATTTTGTATAAAGTCTAAAAGGGCTTTTATTCTTTAATAACCAAGTGCCTGCTAATACTAGACTTACCCAACACTTCAACAACTCATATTTAGATGAAAAATTCATGGATCTTTAAAAGTCTAACACTGTCAGCTTAGCACTTATTGGCCATTTACTTTGTGTGAGGCTCCATGCTAAGCGATATGGGGGAAATAAAGAGATAAATAAGACAAGAGATATGCTCTCAAGAAGTCACTATCTGTTTGAATTGTCAATCTCTCTGCCAAAAGTTCCCTACCTCCTCAGAACTTCTGGAAAGACCATGCTGTGACTTCACAGGTAACATTAAAGTAAAGTAAATATAATTTGCCTTATTATTTTAGATTTTCACAATGATCCTTGAAGTAACTGGAGTTATCAGTTATTATAACTAGATACCCTAAATCATGCCATAAACAATCTTTTATATATAAAAGATTCCTTGAAACTGATTCCTTGAAACTGATTTTGCACGTTTACAAAACAATGACCAATGCTTTGGATATTGACCCTATGGCACCAAGAATTCTTACAGTAGGTTCTAATGGACAAAAACCATGCAAAGTAATTCAAATTCTTAAGAAAACATATTCTGATTTGAAAAACAGACAACCTAGCTCTGGCATATGCAGTTAGTCTCAAGTAATCAGAATACTTCATTAGACTGAATATTAAAATCTTGGAGTATGCTTGAAAGCAGCTCAAGGTTTCTGTGTACCTAATTATGTATGTGTGTGTTTGCATTTGTTTATAAAGAGTTCATTGTTAGTACTTTTCTCAGCATGGATACTGTTCAAATTAACGAAATGAAGATTTTGGTTTTACTTTCCATTATTCCAGTGTCTAAAAATTTAAGCCAGAAAGAAGAGATGTGACAGTGAATTTACTTACAGATGCTGATCTGTAAAGTAAATGTAGCCTACTTTTTTTTCTGTTTCTGTCTTCTAGTCCTCTTCACAATCTGTCAGATAATCTCATAATTATTCAAACAGTTCTGATACTGCATATAGAGCACAATAAAAACTAGCACACCATGCTTCAACAGTTCTATGGTCATTTATTATCAAGATTGGAAATTCTTAAGAAAATCATGTTTTAACTAATTCTACTTTGAGGATTCAGTAGACAGGGAGGATGAGATAGAAAAAGGACAATCACACTTTTTAAAACTCTTTGTGTTTTTCATTATTCAAGTAACAGTAAGGAAGATAATGCATAAGGAAGGAATATACTATCTAAACACTTTTAAATAAAACATACACAATTACATCTTAGCTCTACTTATAGTAAAATTTGAGGGCAATGATTTTTTCTGCCTAAAATCTCCATGTGGCTACAAAAATGTGTGCATGCTGTAATAATAGAACATATTTACTAATATTACTATAACAAAATAATTATGATCTCATTAATAATCTTGGATGTTAAACTCAGCTTTAGTATTATTATAGCAAGAACAAAATGCCATCTATTTTTTATTTTAGCCATGATGTTAGATCAACAAATGAGTTTGCTCTCAGGATATTTCCAAATCTATTTTGCTTTCCCTCAGGAAGTCTTGATAAATCAGTAAGTGTTGTTAAATATCTGCATATTTTTTCAGAACATAACTTTGTTGAGGTGTTTCTTAGAGCACCGCTGTCAGTGAGATGCAGTTGGAAGAGCTTTAGACTTGGACATAAATACCTGGGGTTCAAGTTTTAGACCTCTTAATAACTACAACTTTAGTAATGTCTTAATTTCTCTGAGTATTAGACTCACTTTCCTGAACACAGTGGTATTATTTCTTTCTTACAGTGCTTCAATAATACCCTAGATCAAAATCAGTTTGTAAACTGAAATGCACTGCTTGCTTGTGCATTATCATGGCAAATAAATAGTTTGCATGTGTATGGTGGTAAAAGAATTGGACTGGACACCTACCAAAATGGCAAGAAAAACTATTTAAGACTATTGCAATAGGGGTCAAGATTACTGCAGTGGGGAAGAGATTGAATTCAACTCTGTTGAAACAAAAGGTGAGAGGATTTTTAAATGCTGGGTGAACTAATGGAAAAGTACTGGAGGGTATTACGGGAGAGGTTAGTCAGTGTGATTAGGCCATCTGTGTTCACTAATTGTTGCTTATTAAAGTTACACTCCCACATTCCCCACAGAGATTGGGAAATAGAGGCCCCATCTTTTGTTTGTTTGTTTGTTTTAGACGGAGTCTCACTCTGTGCCTCAGGCTGGAGTGCAGTGGTGCGATCTTGGCTCACTGCAATGTCTGCCTCCCGGGTTCAAGTGATTCTCCTGCCTCAGCCCCTGAGTAGCTGGGATTTCAGGCGCCCACCACCACACCGTCTAATTTTTGGATTTTTGGTAGAGATGGGGTTTTACTATGTTGGCCAAGCTGTTCTCAAACTCCTGACCTCAGGTGATCCACTCGCCTTGGCCTCTGAAAGTGCTGGGATTACAAGGGTGAATCACTGTGCCCGGCCTGCCTATCTTTCTTGATGATTATATTTCAAAGTCAAGAGGATGGGAGAAGATTTGCATCTTAAGAAGCAGAGGCAGAGAAATAATTGACAATGGCAAGTGTTCTAAAATGAATGCTCTAAGAATAAGATAAGGAACTTTGGTGGCCTATAGTCAGAAAGAAGCCTGTCTAAAGTTCAGTCAATCTAAGGATGCCTTGGTCAATGTGTGTCAAGATGCTGAAATTCCATAGGGAAAAAACAAACAATCAGCAGTCACATCTCTACTTTATATTCCCTTTCTGTTCACTGCTGGCTGACATTCAGCCATCCGTGCTACTATACGCTGCAATTCATTGCTACTATACGTTGAAATTCACTGCTACTATTTGATGAAATTTCCTACTATATGCTGAATATATAGTAGCAATGTTTGGAATTTATTTTTGGTATTGGAGTTGTAAATGCATAATTAATTATAGGCAAGTGCTTAAACGATAACAATGACAAGGACTTTTGCAGTGAGTTTTTTTTTTCCTGAGATTTATTGATGTACGTATCCAGATGAACTTACGTCATAAAAAACATATGCAGACTTTGCCCCTTAATTTAGGTAAATAAAGTAATGGTAGAACATAGTGTTGATAAATTCCTTCAGACATTGCTGCCAGAGACTATTGCTGCATAGACTATTATCCATGCAGAGTCACATACCTCTGGACAGCTTAATTTTTCCTGGGTCCTTGCTCCAACCTTCTGTGGGGGAGGTATTTGACCTTCTCAATCCTTTTTTCAATGGTCTTGCATTTTTATTGCAGTGGTGGAACTCAGAGTTGCTAAACAGCCCTTGTTTAATATGGTAGGGGTGTTCTTTGACCATCTTAAAATGTTGAATCTTCACCGTATTTTCTGATATAGCCAGTGACCTGGGTGCTCATTGATTTAGTGAATAATGAGGTTCAGAATTTAAATTCCCACAATTCATTATAGTGAGACAATGAAAAATAGCAATTACATTGTTTAATACCTTATGGTTATAAAGTACTACCACACACATGGATTTATTTGCTTCTTACAACCATCTTGTAAATTTAGTAAATCTTGACTTCATTGTACAGGAAATAAAATAGGTTTAGGGAGATTATGTAACACGTAAAAATTTGCACAGAGAGTAAGAGTTAGATCTGGGTCCGGAAGTCTATTCTGCAGGGTGAGAGAAACAGCATGGGGATACTGGCCAGAATACAAATTTTAGAAACACATCAGATCTTTTGCTCAAACACTTTACTGACTAAATTGTTTTATTTAAATTAAGTCAAAAGCTGGCAATTCTTTCTTCATTTATAAAAAAAAATAAAAAACACATAAAAATCTCATAAGTGTCTTACATATAGAAGGGATTTGTCTCCATTAATTGTCATTCCACTTTCTATCATAGTCTCCTCTTTCCCTCTCTGGCTGTGAACACATTATTCTTTCTGTCACATCATGCATTTTTGCTAAAAAGTAAAATAAGAAATCTGAATATGTTATTCTATAATTTTAAAATCAACTTCAGGTATAATTTCCATACAATAAAATTTACCCATTTTACCTGTATGATATGATGACTTTTGATGTATATACACAATAGTATAAATACTACCACAATCAAGATTCAGTGATAACTCATGCCTCTTTTTTCGGCATTCTTTATCCCCAATTTCAGCATTTGGCAACGTTAAGGTTTTGTCTTTTCCAGAATGTCACATAAATGGAATCATACAGTATGTAGCCCTTTGATTCTGGTTTCTCTCACTTAACATAATGATTATGTTAATCATCTGTGTTGATGCAGGCATCAATTGTTGGTTCCTTTTTATTGCTAAGTTTGGATGTACCATAATTTTTCTGTTCATTTACTTGTTGATGTACATTTCATTTGTTTTCAGGTTTTGGCTATCTTGAGTAAAGCTGCTTTAAACAATTGAATATAAGTCTTTCTGAGGGCATGTGATTTCATTTTTCTTGATTAAATACCCATGAGTGGAATTTCTGAGTTAAATAGTACTATATAGTTAATTTTATAAAAAACTTCCCAACCGTTGTTCAAAGTGGCTGTAGGATTTTGCATTCCTTAGAGTACTGTTTTAGGGTTCCAGTTCTCTACATCTTTAGTAACATTTGGTATTGTCCGTCACTTTACCCATTCTACTGGATGTGTAGTGCTATCACACTGAAGTTTTGCTTTGCATTTTCATAACGCTTAACAACAATAGGCATCATTTTATGTGCCTCCTAGCCTTTGTTCAACTTCTTTTGACAGTAGAAGTTGAAGAGAACTCTATTTTGTTAAACTGATCTGTAAGTTTATCTTTCCTCAGATAGAACACTGGCTTGACAACTATAGCTTTAGATTAAGTCTCATAATAAAGTAGTACAAGTCTCTCAGTGTTTCACCATTTTTTTGGCTACCTGGGAGCATTCATATTTTTAAATAAATATGGGAATCAGCTTATCAGCTTGTACAAAAAGCCTACTGAGATTTTGATTGGGATTGCATTGAATATGCAGATAAATATGGGAAGAATTACTGGCTTAACAATATCGAGTGTTCGGATCCATTAACATATTGTATTCTCCATTTATTTAGGTCTTTAATTTATCTGAGCAAAGTATATAGTTTTAGCGTACATGTCTTACACATATTTTATTAAATTAAATTACACATATTTTATTAAATTAATCTTACACATATTTTATTAAATTAATCTTATTAATCTTGAGTATTTTGTGTTTTGATGCTATTGTAAATGATATTGGTTTCTTAATTATAATCTATTGGGATTACGCTGATATACACTTAAATTTTGTTTATTGACCTTGTATACTATGAGTTTATTAAAATCACTCTCTGGTTCTAGCAGATTTTTGGATATACCTTATGCTATACAACAACAAAAACCATAACATTTTTGGATACAAAAGATTTTACTTCCAATATGTTTTTCTCCTACTCCTTTTTCTCAATTTATTGCAGTAGCTATTACTGGAATAGAAGTGGTGGAAGACATTCTTCCCTTCATCCTGATATTAAGATGAAGTCATTTAGTTTCTGTTTTGTTTGTTTGTTTGTTTTTTACCACTAACAACATGATACTAGCTGTAATTGTTTGTTTGTTTTGGTAGAAGCCTTTTATCAAAGAGATAGGTTGAGCTGGTTCCCTTCTACACCATTGGTGATAATTTTTTTTTAAATATCAAGAAAGGGTGTTGCATTTTGTCAGTGTTCTTTCTACATTTATTGATAGGATATCCTTTCAATATATTGCTGCGTGTTGAGTATAATTTACCTATTCTCTAATTTATTGAAAAGAAGTGTTGAAATTTCCAAATTTAATTTAAACTTATCAATTTTTTCTTTAAAGTCAATTGTGTTTTATTAGAGACAAGGTCTCACTCTGCTACCCAGGCTGGAGTGCCGTGGCATGATCATAGCTCACTGTAACCTCAAACTTTTTGACTCAGAGGACTCTTCTGCCTCAACATCTTGAGTGCTAGGACTACAGGTGTGTACCACCACACACAGATACTTTTTATATTGTTTTCTGAGGATAGGATCTTACTATGTTACCCAGATTAGTCTCAAACTTCTGGTCTCAAGCAATCCTGCCACACCCTCCCAAAGTGCTGGCATTATAGGTATAAGCCACAACACCCAGCCTAAATTCAGTGTTTGAAATGTATTTTGAGGCTCTTAGATGTATACATATTTAGGTTTTTAATGTCTTCTTGATGAATTGACTTCTTTGTTATTATCAAATGGCTTCTTCATAATTTCTTATACTTTATATTGTCTGATACTAACATGGCAACTTCAGTTTTCTTTGGTTTAATGTTCGAACACTGTATCTGTACCTTCCTATTATTTTATCCATATATTTGTTGCTAAAAATATTTTTAAGACAGCATATAGTTTGGTCTTGCTTTCTTATTTATTCCAGGAATTTTCAACTATTACTCGGAATTTTAATGCAATTATTGCTTAATGTGATTTTTAAACTTTTAAGAAGATAAAATTTGAGAAAACTGTCTTTTGTGCTTAACCACATGTGCACCATCTCCAAATGCTCTTCATTAATTTGTGCAGATCAACATTTGCATCTGTTATCATTTTTCCTCTGCTGAGAACTTCCTTTAATATTTCTTCTAGGCCTGGTGTAGTGTCTCATGCCTGTAAATCCCAGCAGTTTGGGAGGCTGAGGTGGGAGGATTGGTTGAGGCCAGGGGTTTGAGACCAAACTGGACAATATATCAAGACCCTGTCTCTACAAAACATGAAAATTTTAGCTGGATATGGTGTCTTATGCCTATAGTCCTAGTTACCAAGGAGACAAAAGTAGGAGGATAGCTTGAGTTCAGGAGTTCGAGTTTACAGTGAGCTATGATCATGCCATTACACTCCAGCATGAGCAACAGAGCAAGACCCTGTGTCAAAAAAACACACACATATATGTGTGTGTGTATGTGTATACACACACATTTATATGTATATATGTAAAACTCTACTAGAGCTATATATATATATACTACTATATATATGTATTTATATATATATATAAATTTCTGCTAGAATGAGATTGCCAGCAGTGAATGATCTCAGCTTTTGTTTATCTAAATCTGTCTTTATTCCAACTTCATTTTTTGAAAGATATTTTTGCTCTGTGTAGAATTCTAAGTTGACAGCATTTTTTCCTACAGTACTTTCTCAGTATTTCTCTGTCTCTGGCTTGCATAGTTAATTTTTACTTTTTAATTTTTAACTTTTTATTTTTTTCACTTTTAGTTTAGATTCAGGGGTACATGTGTAAGTTTGTTATGTAGTCATATTGCATGTCTTGGGAATTTGCTATACAGATTATTTTGTCACCCAGGTAATAAGCATAGTTACCTGATAGGTAGTTTTTCAATCCTTAAATTCCTCCCACCTTCCACCTCAAGCAGATCCTAGTGTCTGTTGTTCCCTTCTTTGCGTCCATGTGTACTCAACGTTTAGCTTCCACTTATAAGTGAGAATATGTGGTATTTGGTTTTCTGTTCCTGTGTTAGTTCAATTAAGATAATGACCTCCAGATCCTTTCATGTTGCTGCAAAGGACATGTTCTCATTCTTTCTTATGGCTGTGTAACGTCCCATAGTGTATATGTACCACATTTTCTTCATCCAGTCTACCATTGATGGGCATCTAGGTTGATTCCATGTCTTTGCTATTGTAAATAGTGCTGTGATGAACATACGAGAACAATTTTTGGTAGAACTTATTCCTCTGAGTATATACTTAATAATGGGATTGCTGGGTTGAATGGTATTTCTGTTTTTAAGTTCTTTAAGAAATTGCCAGATGGCTTTCCACAGTGGCTGAACTATTAGGTTCCTAGCAGCAGTGTATAAGCATTCCCTTTTCTCCACAACCTCGCCAGCATCTGGCATTTTTTCTTTTTAATAATAGCCATGCTGACTGGTGTGAAATGGTATCTTATTGTAGATATGACTTGTATTTCTCTAGTGATTAGTGATGTTGAACATTTCTTCATATGCTTGTTGGCCATGTGTATGTCTTCTTTTGAAGAGCATCTCTTCCTGTCTTTTGCTTACATTTTAAATGAGTTGTTTGATTTTACTTGTAAATTTGTTTAAGTTCCTTATAGATTCTGAATATTAGACCTTTGTCCGATGTACAGTTGGCAAATATTTTTGCCCATTCTGTAGGTTGTCTGTTTACTCTCTTAATAGTTTCTTTTGCCCATTAGTTTAATTTGGTCCTATTTGTCAATTTTCATTTATGTTGCAATTGCTTTTAGTGTCTTTCTCATGAAATCTTTGCCAGGGCCCATCATGTCCAGAATAGTATTTCCTAGGTTATCTTCCAGGATATTTATAGTTTTAGGTTTTACATTTAATTATTTAATCTATCTTGAGTTGATTTTTTATGTGATATAAGGATGGGTACCATTTTCAATCTTCTCAAATCCCTAGGCAGTTATCCCAGCACTATTTATTGAATAGGGAGTCCTTTCCCCATTGTTTGTTTTCATCAACTTTGTCAAATATCAGTTGGTTGTAGGTGTGCAGTTTTATTTCGGGGCTATCGTGTTATAGTTGTCTATGCATCTGTGAAGACTGTTATTGGTATTTTTATAGGGATTGCATTGAATCTGTAGATTGTTTTGGGTAGTATGGACATTTTAACAATATTGATTCTTTCAATCATAAACATATTTTCCCATTTCTTGGTGTCCTCTTGAATTTCCTTCATGAGTGTTTTATAGTTTTCATTATAAAAATCTTCCACTTCTTTGGTTAATTTCTAGGTATCAAATTCTATATTTGGATATTATAAATGGGATTACTTTTTAAATTTCTGTTGCACATTGTTCACTGTTGGCATATAGAAATGCTAGTGATTTTTGTATATTGATTTTTTATCCTGCAAATTTGCTGAGCTTTTTTTTTTTTTTTTTTTTTACCAGTTCTATTAGTTTTCTTGTGAAATCTAGGTTTTTCTAAATATGAGATCATATCATCAGCAAATAAGAATAATTTGACTTCTTTTCCAGTATGGATGCCTTTTATACCTTTCTCTTGTCTGATGCTCTAGCTTGCACTGCCAGTGCTACATTGAATAGCAATAGTGGCAGTGGGCATCCTTGTTGTGTTCCAGTTCTTAGAGGAAAGGCTTTCGGGTTTTTTTTTCCCCCCCACTCAGTGTGATACTAGCTATGGGTCTGAAGTATATGGCTGTTGTTATGTTGAGATATGTTCCTTTTATACCCACATTTTCAAGGATTTTTATCATGAAGGGATGCTGAATTTTATCAAATGCTTTCTCAGCATCATTCAAAATGATTGTATGGGTTTTATCCTTTATTCTGTTTACATGATGTGTCATGTTGATTGATTTATGTATGTTGAACCATCCCTGCATCACAGGGATAAATCCCACTTGGTCATGGTGAATAATCTTTCTAATATATTGTTGAATTTGGTTGACTTGTATTTTGTTGAGAATTTTTGCATCAATATTTATGAGATATTGGTCAGTTTTTTTTGTTTTGTTTGTTTGTTTTTTTGGATGTGCCTTTGTCTTGTTTTGGTATCAGTGTAATACTGGCCTCATAAAATGAGTTTGGAAGTATTTCTTCTATTTTCAGAATAGTTTAAGTAGGATTAGTTATTACTAGTTCTTCTTTAAATATTTGGTAGAATTCAGCAGTGAAGCAATCAGGTCACGGGCTTTTCCTTACCAGGAGAATTTTTATTTACATTTTCTATCTCATTAATTGTTATTGGCCTGTTCAGGTTTTGGATTTCTTTCTGGCTCAATCTTGGTAAGTTGTATGTATCTAGGAATTTGTCCATGTCTTCTAGATTTTCCAATTTAGTGGCATATACTTGCTAATGGTAGCCAATAATGATCCTTTGAATTTCTGCAGTATCAGTTGTAATGTCTTCCCTTTCATTTATGATTTTATTTATTTAGATCTTCTATTTTTTTTAGTCTGGCTAGAGTTTTGGCAATTTTGTTTAACTTTTCAAAAAACAACTTGTTTCATTGATCTTTTGTATTTTTTTATTTCAATTTCATTTATTTCTGCTCTGATCTTTATTATTTCTTTTCTTCTATGGATTTTGGGTTTGGTTTGCTGTTGCTTTTCTGATTCTTTCAGATGTATTGTTAAATTTTTTAATTTGAAGGTTTTTCTCTTTTTTGATATAGACACTTACAGCTATAAATTTCCCTCTGAGTACTGCTTTTGCTGTATCCCATAGGTTTGATGTACTGTATTTCCATTATCATTTGTTTCAGGAAGTTTTTCAGTTTTCTGCTTAATTTCTTTATTGACCCACTGATCATTCAGTTGCATGTTTAATTTTCATGTATTTGTGTAATTTGTGTAATTAATACCAAGAGGAATTTCCAAAATTCCTTTTGTTATTAATTTCTAGTTTTGTTCAATTGTGGTCCGAGAAGATGCTTGATATTATTAACATTTCAATTTTTTGAGTGTTTTAAGACTTGTTTTAACCTAACATATGGTCTATCTTTGAAAATGATCCATGCGCTAAGGAAAAGAATGTGTATTCTGCAGTTCTTGAATGAAATATTCTGTACATAATCTATTAGATACATTAGTTCTACATTGCAGAATAAGTCTGATGCCTCTTTCTTGATTTTCTGTGTGAAAAATCTGTACAATGCTGAAAGTAAAATGTTGAAGTCTTCAGCTAGTATTGTACTGGGGCTATCTGCATCTTTAGCTCTAAGAATATTTCCTTTATATATCTGAGTGCTCCAGTGTTGGGTGCATGGATATTTAAAATTGTTCAATGCTTTTGCTGAATCGACCTCTTTATCATTATATAGTGACCTTCTTTGTCTCTTCTTACAGTTTTTGTTTTGAAATCTAATTTTTCTGATGTAAGCATAGCTACTCCTGCTCTTTTTTTGTTTCTATCTGCATGGAATATGTTTTTCCATCACTTTTTCAGTCTTTGTGCTTCTTAGTAAGTGAAGTCTTTCAATGGGTCTTGCTTTTTTATCCATTTACCCAGTCTGTCTTTTCATTGAAGAGTTTAATCCTTTACACTTAAGGTTATTATTGATAAAAAAGGACTTACTCCTGGCATTTTCCTATTTGTCTTCCAGTTGTTTTGTAGTATTATCTTCCTTCTTTCATTTATTCCTGTCTTCCTCTAGTGAAGACAATTTTCTCTGGTGATATTATTTAGTTTCTGGCTTTTTATTTTCTGTGTATCCAATGTATGTTTTTAGGTCTGAGGTTACCATGAGGTTGCAAACACTATCTTATAACCCATCATTTTACCCTGAAAACAACACTATTTGCATAGACAAATAAACAAGCAGAAATAAAAGTAATAAAAACTCTCCTTAACTTTATCCTCCTACTTTTTAACTTTTTGTTGTTTCCATTTCTATTTTACTGTCTATGTCTTGAAAAGTTGTTGCAGTTATTTTTTTTAATTAGTTCATCATATAGTCTTTCTGTTTAGGACAAAAGTAATTCATACACCACAGTTACAGTGTGATGATAATATTCTGTGTTTTTCTATATACTTACTATTACCAGTAAGTTTTGTACCTTCAGGTGATTATTTATCACTCATTAATGCCCTTTTCTTTTTGGAGAAGTACTCCCTTTAGCATTTCTTGTAGGATGGGTCTGGTATTGATGAAATCCCTCAGCTTTTGTTTGTCAGGGAAAGTATTTCTCCTTCATGTTTGAAGGATATTTTCAGCCAGATATACTATTCTAAGCTGAAGGTTATTTTCCTTCAGCACTTTAAATATGTCATGCCACTCTTTCCTGGCCAGCAAGGTTTCCACTGAAAAGTCTGCTGCCAGATGTATTGAAGCTGCATTTTATGTTATTCATTTCTTTTCTCTTGCTGCTTATAGGATTCTTTCTTTATCCTTGACCTTTGGGAGTTTAATTATTAAATGCTTTGAGAGAGCATCATTTGGATTAAATCTGCTTGGTGTTCTGTAACCTTTTGGCGCTTGGATATTAATAGCTTTCTCTAGGTTTGGAAAGTTTTCTGTTATTATCTCTTTAAATAAAATTACTACCCCTATCTCTTTCTCTAGTTTTTCTTTCAGGCTGATAACTCTTAGATTTGCCTCTTAGAGTTATTTTCTATGTCCTGTAGGCATGCTTCATCTTTTTCCTTCCTTTTTTTAATCCTCTGACTGTGTATTTTCAAATAGCCTGTCTTCAAACTCACTAATTCTTTCTTCTGCTTGATCCATTTTGGTATTAAAGGACACTGATATGTTCTTTATTATGCAAATTGCATTTTTCAGCTCAAGAATTTCTGCTTGATTCTTTTTAAATATTTCAATCTGTTTGTTAAATTTATCTGATAGAATTTTGAATTCCTTCCGTGTGTTATCTGGAATTCTCTTGAGTTTCCTCAACACAGCTATTTTGAGAGCTTGTTTGGAGGTTCTAGCAGGGGAATGCAGCTACTGATATACCCTTGTCCAAAGACAGGTCCTCCTCTATTGGAGATTGTCGTCTTCTTTGACCAACCACCCAGCTTTGGGAAGGATGTACATGGAGCAGTGAGGGAGTAAGGGGACACCTGCCTAGCCAGCCAGATCAGGTGAATCAATTCTGGACATCAATGGGGTGACAGATGTCACAGCCAGATCACTCTCATATTCAACACAGCTCTTTTGAATTCTCTGTCTGAAAGGTCACATATCTCTGTTTCTCCGGATTGGTCCCCAGTGCCTTATTTAGTTCATTTGGTGAGGTCATATTTTCCTGAATGGTGTTGATGCTAGTAGATGTTCTTTGCTGTCTGGGCATTAAAGAGTTAGATATTAGTTGTAGTCTTCATTATCTGGGCTTCTTTGTAGCTGTCCTTCTAGGGAAGGCTTTTCATTTATTTGAAAGGACTTGGATGTTGTGACCTAAGCTGTTTCTGTTTTAGGGGACAATCCAAGCAAGCAATGCTGTGGTTTTTGCAAACTCATAGAGAAACTGCCTTGATGCTCTTGGACAATACCCTGCAGAATAATCTGGGTTACCAGACAAAGACTCTTGTTCTCTTTCCCTATATTTTCCCAAACATACAGAGTGCCTGTCTTTGTTCTGAGCCACCTAAAGCTGGAGATAGAGTGACACAAAAAGCCTTGTGGCCACCACTATTATTTTACTGAGTCAAACTTGAAGCCATCATAGCACTGGGTCTTGCACAAGGCCTACTGTAACCACTCCCCTGGCTATTGCCTATGTTCCTCAAGGCCCTGCAATCAGTATGTGGCAAAGTCAGCCAAGTTTGCGTCCTTCCTCTTAGGATGGTGAGGCCCCCTAGGCCCTGGCTGGCTCCAGGAGAGTGGTCTGGGAGTCAGAGACTAGAGTCACATTTCTTAGATAATTGCTTCTAGCAATTTATCCTCTCTTCCTCTCTCTTTCTCAAGGCAAAGGAGGCTCACCCCGTAGCCACAGCCACCCCTGACCAAGAGGAATACTGACAGACTACCACTAATGTTCCCTTAAGGCCCAAGGTCTCCTAACATTTTTTCTTTCATTTCGACCATGGAGAATCTGATGACTATGTGTGTTGAGGATTATCATCTTGTATAGTATCTTACAGGGGTTCTCTGCATTTCCTGAATTTGAATGTTGGCTTTCTAGCAAGGTTGGGAGAATTTTAATGGATGATGTCCTCAAATATATTTTCCAAGTTGCTTTCTTTCTCTCCATCTGTTTCAGGAATGTCAGTGAGTCATCAAATTGGTTTCTTTACATAATTCCATATTTCTCAGAGATTCCATTCATTCTTCTTCATTCCTTTTTCTTTACTTTCGTCTGGCTGAGTTATTCTGCAGAACCAGTCTTTGAGCTCTGAAATTCTCTCCTCAGCTTGGTTGATTCTCCTGCTAATGAGGGAAGAGAGAGACCCTCTCATATTGTTTTATATTGTTTTATACTCAGTACCTGTTTTAAGAAAACAACAAGGAAGTAAAACCAAAGCCAGGCAGCCCGGCGCCAGGCCCAAAACCAGGCCTGGGCCTGCCTGGCCTAAACCCAGTAGTTAAAAATCAACTGATAACTTAGAAACTGATGTTATTCATAGATTCCAGACATTGTATAGAAGAACATTGTGAAACTCCCTGCCCTGTTCTGTTTCTCTCTCACTACCAGTGCATGAAACCCCTGTCAGGTATCCCCTAGATTACTCAATCAATCATGACCCTTTCATGTAAAATCTTTAGTGTTGTGAGCCCTTAAAAGGGACAGAAATTGTGCACTCGGGGAGCTTGGATTTTAAGGCAGTAGCTTGCCGACGCTCCCAGCTGAATAAAGCCCTTCCTTCTACAACTCGGTGTCTGAGAGGTTTTGTCTGCGGCTCGTCCTGCTACACTAATACTAGCAATTGTGTTATGAAATTCATGGTGAGTTTTTCAGCTCTATCAAATCAGTTTGAGTCTTTCTTAAAAGGGCCATTTTTTCTTTCAGCTCTGGTGTCATTTTATTGTATTCCTTAGATTGAGTTTTGACTTTCTCTTGAGTCTTGGTGTTCTTCTTTCCTATCCATATTCTAAATTCTATGTCTGTCATTTCAGCCATTTCAGCATGGGTTAGGAGCCATTGCTGGGGAACTAGTGAGGTTGTTTGAATGTAAGAAGACTTGCTGGCTTTTTGAATTGCCAGAGTTCTTTCACTGATTCTTTCTTTTCTGTGTGGGCTGATGTTCCTTCAGTCTTTTAAGTTGCTGTCTTGTGGATGCTTTTGTCCCCTTTTGTCTTCTTTGATGCCCTTGGGGGTTTGATTGTGATATAAGGTGGGTTCAGCTGACTGGCTTCATTTTTAGAAGATTATGGGGGGACAAGGCTCAGCTCACTACTCCTGGGCTATGAGCTCTAACTCTGGTGTTCTGGTACTAAGTCCCTTGTTTTGTTTTCTGCCCCCTGGAGGTTAGGAACCTGCTGTGCTGGAGGTGCTGAGGTGTTCCTGGTTCACTAGCCACAACACTCTGAAGGGGAGTGCTGGCCAAAGCACTTTGTTGGAGTGGTGGCTGTGGAATCTGTGCTCACTCTTGTGTGCCAGCAGCTGCAGCAGCACAGTGGGGTGCATGCACATCTACTGGGGTGAGGCAATGGTGGTAGTGGGGCAGCAGCATTACTGTGCATGCTCACATTGGCAGCAGTGGTGGCCCATAGTTTTTTTAAAATAAGATTTCTGCTGTAATTCTTATCTTTGTTCCTCTGTACTTGATGCAATTTTTTCTGGCTGTTTTAAATATTTTCTCTTCAGCACTGTTTTTTAGCAATGTGATTAAAATATTATTTGGTTTGACTTTCTTTATGCTTATTTTCTTATGGGAGGGAGTTTGCTCTTCTTGGGTTTGTGAGTTTATAGTTATTACCAATTTTGAAAAAAGTTGGTCACTATATCTTTACATATTTTTGTTTTCTCTCATTTGAATCTCCTGAAACTCCAATTTACATATATCTTAGACTATTTGATTTCACCCATAAGTCATTGAGTTTTTATTTTTTCACCCTTTTTTCTTTTTTTCTCTTTTCTCTCAAAATATTTATTTTGCATTTTGAAAATTTATTTTGCAGTATCTAATCTACAGTCAATCTTGTCTAATATTTCCTTTTTCAGATACTGTATTTCTCATTTATGTAAATTTTTTTAGTTTTTAAATATATATCTTACATTTTTCTCATCATCTTCATGTTTTCCTTTACCTCCTTGAGCATATGGAATATATTTATTACAGCACTTTAATGTACATTTCTGCTAATAATCTCATCTCTGTCATTTTGGGGTCTATTTCTATTGATTGAGTTTTTTTCCTACAAATGGGTCACATTTTTTCACTTTTTCATATGCTTACAGTTTTTGGATTGTTGATACACATTATTAACTTGATAGTTTTGCTCTCTAAATTTTGTTATATTCCTTTGAAAAGTGTTAGACCTTTCTGGTGATTAGTTAAGGTACTTAGGTATGAGTTTGATCATTTTTAGGTTTTATTCTAAGTGTTTTAGGTTGGGCCTAGAGTAACCTTTAATCTAATACCTATTTATCTTTATACATAAGTTATTACATGTTTGGGTCTTTACTGAATGCTCCTTGTGTTTCACAGGTATCTGCACTCTGGCTAGAGGGAGCTTGAATTGTTTCCTATTCTGTGGGAGCTCTGGGAATTGTTCATTTTACATCTCTTCAATCACTATTCTTGCTTCAAAAATTATTTGTATCCAATATCATTGTGTTTTACTCTATGTAGGCATGAATTGAATATTCAGTCAAAGACTCAGGTGATTCTTTATGTGAATTTCTCTAAGACTTTTTTCCCTTCTTTTTAGCTCCTTTCTCACAGGCATTCTGTCCCAAATATTTAATCTCTTTGTACACCCTGAACTCTGATGATAGTTTTTTCTGCATTCCAGGATTACCTACAGGCATGAAACTTAGTTAATTGCAGAGCTCACCTCATTTGTTTGTTTCTCTTTTTTAAAGGGGTCACAGCCCAGTGCTTTCCAATTTTAGAAAATGGTTGTTCCTTATAGTTTGTTCATTCTCAAAAGGCATAATTTTCTGTTAAGTCATTCACTTTCTCTCATGATAAATATCATTCCAGAAACTGTAGAATAATGCTTTTGAAAAAAAAAAAAAATACCCTACCATCAATAATAGGGTTGTGATGGTTTCAGAAATCCTACTATAGTTCTAATGTGACCTTTTCCTAAGGTTTGTTCTGCTGGATGAGAAAAAGAAATTATTCAAACTGGCTCACTGTCTCCATAAACTAAGAAGACTAATTTAAGGAATTTGCATAAATTATAGTAATGTTTACTCTGGTTTTAGGGGCACCATGTTTTTGTGAAGTCATATAAATTTGTCTTTAAATCTTACTTTCTAACCCTATGACCTTAGAAAAAAAATTCTCTTTTCTGAAGCTCAATTTTCTATTCATAAATTATTAATATTATTTACTTCAAAGAGTGATTGTGAGGATTAAATTGTCTTATGTCGTGTTCAATAAATGTTAATTTTTCTTCATTACTCCCCAATAGCCTTTTAAAAATTCTGATATAGTACTGAGAGTTTTACAGATAAGTTCTCTTTTTACAGATATTAAGTTTCATAGGAAGTAACTTATCTAAAGTCATACAAATTAAGTGTTCAAGTCAGAACTAGAATTCAGAATGAGCATCTCACCTATTGCTCTCTTCTCCATATCAGGCTTGTTCTCATCGTAGATTATTAAAGACAATGTTTTAAAGTAGTTTGACTTAGAACATATCTCATAGTGAGTAAGGAGATACAGTGGTTTAAGACATCGAACAAACTAGTGGAGGTCAGTAATTTGAAAAATCTAATTATAAGAGAAAAAATGGAACTGAGATCGGTAACTAGGTTAGGAGATATATGTATGTGGACGAGTGTGTGTGATTGTGTGTGAATGCTTTCTTTATCTTCAAAAGAATAATATTTTTTTGGTAAAATTTATGTCAGAAGAAATAGGTGAGTGAAGGAGAAGAATAATTTCCTGAGAAAGAAAACACTGAGTGTTAAGAATGTAAAAGGAGGAGTTTGTGGTAGAGTAGCAGGCATATATAGAAGTACAAGCTTATTTATCTGAAGCTGGTGGACTGCTCACATAGTCTAAGAAACCATAAAATATAACCCCATTTCTTAACACAATCTAATACATTAGTTGACCAGGCCAGCAAAATGTTTATTAACACTTCTATGTTATTTGAATTTTTTTTCCAATTCATTAAAAATTGAGACAAGTGGGCCAAAGGCTGACTGCTGTGACTCATCCCACAGAAATTTACAAACTTATTAACCAAAACTAACCACATCAAGTTGCATGCATATTAAAACCGAATCAATAAAGTGACCCAATTCTTTAATTTGTTGACAATGTTTTCTCTTCTGATATGCAAATACAAGATCAAATGGCCTAGTGTCTCTTAAGGATTCTGTAATCCTAGGCAGGAGTTTAAGAAATGCAAGACTTTTCTTCTGCTAGTAAAATATCCATTTTTTGAATTAACCTCAAATTTAATATGTTAAATAGATTATATCTTTGAACATATTAGCATTAATATATTAAAATTAAGCTTATTAACTTTTGGTTTAAGCTTTGACCTGTAAAAAGAATGAAAATCATCACTCACATTCTTACAAGAAAAAGCTGAAAAAACCCTGAAAACAAATGTCTTTTCTAGAACTCATTACAAAACTAAGGTTGCAGGGCAAATTTCCACTAAAAAATCTGGAGTGATGAGACAATCCAGAAAGTAACAGCCAAGATCTATTTACATGGAATAGAACGTGCTAATGCCATAAAATGCTAAGAACATTTAATTTTGACAGGTTACTGGAGATGGAGTATAGACTAATATGAGAATGAGAACCTCCTAGGGACAGTCTTAGTGGAGAGTATATTCAAGGGCTTTATACCCAGGTACTTCAGAAGATTTTTAAGCTGAATTTATCTGGAAATGGGAAAAAATGAATAATCATTGTGATATAGGTCCAGAGCATTTTTACTTAACAAAGACCTACCCTCCAGGAATGAAGATTTTACCAGACTCTACCCAACTGAAGTAAGAATACTCTCACCCTTCCATTCCCTTCTAGCCTTCTTGTTTATCTAAGGGCAAAAATCTATACCACTAGGTTGACACTTATGATGGTCACAGCCTCAAAAGTCCCCAAAATTTTAGGATTAAAAGTCCACTAAGATTTAATCCTAAGGTTATAGAATGTTTTTCCTCCCTCAAACCTTACCACCACCAAAGAGAATTCCAGTATGTCAATGGTAAGTTACGACTGAATTTGAAGATGCTGGCTCTGAGGAGTACATAGTGAAGTCTGAGTCAAGAGTGAGACAAAAGTAAGGACAATAAAGTCATTTAAAACCTCTGACAATTGCAGCTTCAGCAAACATTAAACACAGCCCAACTTCTAGCCAGATTAACGGAAATTCTAACACTAAAGCCTGTTTGTCTATTACCCAACACCACATATTCAGCTTTTGACACCATATTGTAAGTCATTCCAAAAGACAAAACAAAGTCTGAAGAGACAATGCAATTATTAAAATGAGACTCAGATATGAGACAGATGTTGGAATTATGAGACATGGAATATAATATAGTTATGATCAATATGTTCAGTGCTGCAATGGAAAAAGGAGAAAACGTAAAAGAATAGATACACACATTTAAGTGGAGGATTGGTAATCCTAAGAAAGAATCAAAAGGAAATGCCACAAATCAAAAACACTGTCACAGACATAAAAAAAAATGCCTTTAATGTACTAATTGCAGCACTTGACATTGCTAAGGAAAGAATTAATGTGTTAAACAATACATCAGTAGAAACTTCCCAAACTGAAATGTAAAGAGAAAAAAGGAAAAACAAAACAAAACAAAACAAAACAGAACAGAACCTCCAAGAACTATGGATGTAACAATTAAAAATATATATATGGTAATTGGAGTAACCAAGGAAAGAAAGAATGTCACAGAAAAATATTTGAAATAATAATGGCCCAAAACTTTCTACAGTTAACAACAGCCACCAAACCACTGGATTAAATTGGATTAGAGAACACTCAACAGAATAAATATGACAAATCTACATTCATTTATATCATATTCATACTAAAGAAAAATGAGAAAATCTCAAAAGGAGCTGGGGATAAGGAATGGCAAAACAACTTACTTACAGAGAAACATGAAAAATAATTAGAGTGCACTTCTCATTAACAAAAAAAATAAATTAACAAACCAAGAAAAGACAGGTGACTCACAACGTGTATAGCTAAGTTGTAGGAAGTCAGCCTAAAAAGCCTTCAATTGCATAATTACAACTATATGACATTCTGAAAAAACAAAACAAAACAATGGAGATCATGAAAAGTGAATGATTGCATAGGGTTTAGAATTGAACAAGTGAAGTTCAGGGTAATTTGAGAGGTGGTGAAGCTATTCTGTATAATACTGTAATGGTTGATACATGACACCGTGCATTTGTCCAAACTCATAGAAACTTATAGAGCCAACAATGAATCTTAATATACACAAATATTTAAAAAATTATTTAGTACATTGGAAGACCCCAGAATGGAATCAAGAATGTAACAAAAACATTTACCTGTACTGCAAATGTGTGAACCAACCTCACTGGAAGGTATGGGGAGAAAAAGATGCTGACCTAAGGAAATTTGGAAGTGAGTAGAGTCTGGAAGCTTTAAGCTCTGGACTCTTTTTTTTTTTTTTTTTTTTGAGATAGAGTCTCACTCTGTCGCCCAGGCTGGAGTGCAGTGGCGCGATCTCAGCTCACTGCAGGCTCCGCCTCCCGGGTTCACGCCATTCTCCTGCCTCAGCCTCCCAAGTAGCTGGGACTACAGGCGCCCGCCACCATGCCCGGCTAGTTTTTTGTATTTTTAGTAGAGATGGGGTTTCACCGTGTTAGCCAGGATGGTCTCAATCTCCTAACATTGTGATCCACCCGCCTCGGCCTCCCAAAGTGCTGGGATTACAGGTGAGAGCCACCGCGCCCGGCCAAGCTCTGGACTCTAATTGATAAAACTGTTTCCCATGGGAGTATGAGTTAACAATTCTGAAATGGCTGCACATATATACTCAAAATGGACAATTAAGCAAATGTATGGAGAACGGTAAGCATCAGATTTTTCACTTTTGAAGTGGAAGGGTACAGATAAGCAGTAGGAGGAGGTTAAATGATCCAGTGGTAACAATCAGTCAGAAACATCAGTATAATCTCATTTTTAGTGTAATGTAGACATATGTGTTTAAATACAGAAATATTTGTAGATATGTGCGTGGAGTTAGAATATACACCGTAACCAGTATTAGCTGAAAGTAGCAGTGAGTATCCCAGTAGCAATGAGCACACTAGTGCCCTGAATCTGGTTTCTAAACCCATTATCCAATAACAGGAGCCAAGGCTCCTTCAATAAATGATTGATTCTAGGATTGGGCAGGAAATATACAAGATGGACCTGGAGCATCTTGTGGTGTCAGAAAGGAGGACAGTATTCAAAAGCAAAACAAAAAACAATACGATGATAGTGGTATGCCAAAGAGACACAGGAACCAACTGAAATTGCTTCCAATGACCAAAGTTAGAAAACTTTGAGCAACAAAATAAAGCAATATTAGTTTATAACCCAAAGTGTAAAATTAATATCAATGATTCTATACTGATATGAATAAATGATTGAGTAAAAATAAATGAACGTGGGAGAATAGACAAATCTTCCATTCAGAACCTCAAATAATTTATGTAGAAAGCCATACTTAGAGGGCTGGAGCCAAACTCCCCACACCTCAAGGGTAGCCTACACATAGTGACTTCCTTCTAAAGAGCTCAATATGGAAAGGGGAGGGGAGGAAAGAGTAACATTGGAACTAGACGAATTGATGAAATAGGAACCTGACAAATGCTGCCGCATCCAGGTAATCAAGTTTACCATCCACAGTGATAAATCATGTGCATAGTATGTACTCTGGATGTGAAACAATACAAGTGGTGCTTTACCTAACGGATCATCCTCTCAAAAGCCCATAACCTCAGTCTATTCATGAGAAACTTCCCCAGTTGAGGAATATTCTACAAAACTCTTGATAACGGCACAACTTAAAACTGTCAAGGTAATCAAAAACAAGGAAAGACTGAGAAACTTTCGCAGCCAAACAAAGCCTCAGGAGACTTGACAACTAATTGTAATACTGTATCACAGATGGGATCCTGAAACAGAAAAGGAACTTTAAAGTAAAAACCAAGGAAATCTAAATAAAATATCAATTATAGTTAATAATAAGGTATGTATATCAGTTTAATAATTCTAGTTAATATACAACACTACTGTAAAAAGTTAATAATAGGAGAAATTGGGAATGCATATGTGAGAACTCTCTGTATTATTTTGGAAATTTTTCTGTAAGTCTAAAACTGTTCTAAAACAAAAGATTCATTTAAAAATAAGCTTATCAACTTTTGCAAAATGTCATTCATCCAAGAATCTAATTTAAAATTGAGAAGTCATTCTCCTCTTTTTTATATTCCTCAGTGACACATGTATCACCAAGTTCTAATTTCACTCCAATTTCTTTCTAATTTATTTTTTTGTCTCAATGTATCATGTTTGCTCCAGTTCTCATCATTTCATCATGTCCTCTGAGACTAGGGGTCCCAGCCCCCTTGACATATGTCAGTACCTGTTAGCAACCAGGCCACACACCCAGAGGTGAGTAGCTGGTGAGCCAGCAGAAGCTTCAGTTGTTTTTACAGCCACTCCCCCGCTTGCATTACCAGCTGAGCTCCACCTCCTGTCAGATCAGCGTTGGCATTAGATTCTCATAAGAGCTCAAACCCTATTGTGAACTGAGCATGTGAGGGATCTAGGTTGTGCACTCCTTATGAGAACCCAGTGCCTGATGATGTGCAGGCTGCAGCTCTAAGAGGCTGCAGTTCAAAAAGTGGCATGTGCTCCTCTTTTGGCTAGCACCATAACTAGACAAACTGATGAAACAGCAGAGCATATTGAGGCACAATTGTTAGAGAGGATGAATGAGTCACAGTGGTACACAATCCAGGTTGACAAGTCTACCGATGTTGACAACAAGGCAACAATGCTTGCTTTTGTGCAATGTATTTTTCAGGAAGATGTTCATAAAGATGTGTAATATGCACTTGCATTGCCATCCAACACCATAGCTGCAGAACTATTCAAGTCTTTGAATGATTACATATCAGGAAAACTAAATTGGTCATTTTGTGTCAGTATATGCATGAATGGAGTGGCTGCCACGACTGGGTGGCTTTCTGTTTTCACTACTGGGGTCAAAGAAGTCACTTCTGAATGTGAGTCTACATGCTGTGTCATCTATAGAGAAATGCTGGCTAGCTGAAAAATGTCACTTGAACTTACCAATGATTTGCAAGGTGTGATTAAAATTATCAACTGCATTAAAGTGCATGCCCTTAACACATGTCTGTTCCTGCAGCTCTCGGAGGAGGTGGACACAGAGCACATATGTCTTCTCTTATACACATAAATGAGAAGACTTTCTAAAGGCAGATGATTGGCCAGAGTTTCTGAGTTATGAGAGCTACTTCAGAGGTTTCTTTGAGAAAAAGTCACCATTGGCAGCACATTTTAGTGACACAGAATGGATCACAAAACTTGCTTATTTGTGTGATATTTTCAACCTGCTCAACGAACTCAATCTGTCACTTCAGGGGAGAACGACAACTGTGTTCAAGCCAGCAAATAAAGTGGCTGCATTCAATGGCAAATTGAAATTATGAAGGTGATGGGCGAACATTTGAATTTTTGACACGTTCAAACATTAGCAGATAGTTTGAAAGAGACAGGGCTTTCTTTCTCCCAGCTGGTGCATAATCACCTATCTCAGCTTTCAAAAGAGTTTGAGCATTACTTCCAACCACAAAAGACCCCCGAACTGGGAAGGAATGGGACCATTACCCATTTATGAGTAAGCCAGGTGAATCAACTTCGTCTGTTCTGCCAGAGGATCAACTGCTCGCGATCACAAATAATGGTGGCCTTAAAAGTATGTTTGAGACAAAGTTAAATCTCCATATGTTCTGGATTAAAGTCAAGGGGTAATATCCAGAGATTGTCACAAAAGCACTGAAAAGCCTACCTCCATTTCCAACATCCTTTCTTTGTGAATCAGGGATTTTTGCAGTGACAGCAACCAAACCGAGATTACAGAATAGACTGGACATAAGCAAAACACTTAGGGTGTGGCTGTCTCCCATGACCCCCAGATGGGACCATCTAGTTGCAGGAAAACAAGCTCAGCGCTCCCACTGATTTTCTACATTATGGTGAGTTGTAGAATTATTTAATTATATATTACAGTGTAATAATCATAGAACTAAAGTGCACAATAAATGTAATGCACTTGAATCATGCCAAAACCAGCCCCGCCAACACTGTCTGTGGAAAAA
The DNA here is from genome assembly GCF_000001405.40 of Homo sapiens. NCBI lineage: Eukaryota > Metazoa > Chordata > Mammalia > Primates > Hominidae > Homo > Homo sapiens. The sequence continues at coordinate 192,081,789 of NC_000003.12, read as the reverse complement.
TTGTCTTCCATGAAACCAGTCCCGGGTGCCAAAAAGGTTGGGGACTGCTGTCTCACACTATCTGAAGTTTCCTACCTAGCTGCATCCCTACCTGTTGCATATTAATAATTGTATTAATTAATGTGTTAATTGCTTAGAAAAGAGTGGAACTTGAAAGACATTACAAACTTTTTTTTTAAGGCCATTGATTTAATAGGTTTGATGGTCCTGGGGTTATTTGGGGGGGAAAATAAAGTGATGATTAAGAAGACAATATTAATTAAGCTGTTTGCTTCCTGCTTTGGTTCTATTGCTACACTTAAGCCGCTTATCTTCCTTATGTATTCCTAGATATATTATTTCCCAAAGTTCTTTGCCAAGATACAAATTATGTGATTGTCTTCCAGTGTCTCATGAGAACTTGTTTTGAAGTTAGGGCATTTAGGTGATTGGCTTTACCTATTCATAGTTTGGGATTCAATGTGCTCCCAAATATGTAATGTAGAACATTCATATTACATATTTGATAATCTATTGACCTTCCAAGAATTATTATGTAAGTTACTAATTATCATTGTTTCCTGGAGCTAGAATGAATTCTTGATGAAGTAGCAAGTAACAGAATGATTAATTTCAATATGTATCTTTTAATGAATGCTCAAAGGTAATGTAGACTGTTTATGATTACTTTTTGTGGACTTTCACGTAAGAGAAATAAATATCCATTGATTGCACATTAACAAAGCCAGCCTTTTTGAATTACATGTGATTATATTTAAATTTGGTCTAAAATCCTTTTTCAGTTTTGTGTTAGACCTTCATAGTTACAGTACGTCCCTGTGACAAAATATGATTCACCCATAAATATATATGTTAATTAATATTTTGGGGGAACACACTTAATGCATAAAATGAAGTCAAGCTACATTAGCTATATTAGTTGCTCAAATCCGTAAAACCACATCTGTCCTCCAGGTAAAATGTTCATTGATTTTTTGATGTTTAAAAGATTTTGTTTTAGGATCTGAAGCTTTGTGTTTTCAGTTGTTCAGAAGGTTTGACAAGGAAGCCTGAGGGAATAGTGAGAAAATATTTGATTTTGAGGCTCAGATTTTTCATCTGAAAGGGAGTTAAAATGGTATCTACCAGGAACTGCTCTAGCAGACATCAAACTACAAGGTTGAAAAAGCAGCCTTTGATTTGTCTTATCTTCCTGGAAGGCATGCTTATCAGAAAAGATTAGGAGTGCTGAGTTAATGCTACCAGCAGGACTGCCACCCCTGAAGCTTTCATTAACCATCTAGGACAACCTATTCTTTTAGCATTGTGAAACAATTGGTAATGTGCTTTATGTTTCTCAATCTAACAGCATTCGTGAACATTCCCTTTGGAGACAAAAGTAAAATCTGGAGCCATAAAAAGCAAACAAGTTCTGATGAAAAACAAATGAAGAACTAAGATGTCTGTAAATAAGATAATGAAGATAATGAAAGGGAGAGGCTGGAGTAAGAGAACCGTGCACCTAAGAGGAGGGAATAGATGATTTTGGCAAGCAAAGAGGAAAAGTAAGGAATGAAAAACAAGTGCAAACAAAAGGAAGGGTAGAGGTAAATTAAGAAAGTGTTTAGAAAACAAATAGTGTGAGACTGAAAATAAAAAAGGACAAACAATATGAGTGGCCATAAAAGGTGGAAAGGAAAGGGCTAATTATTTAAAAGCTGTTAGCGCTCTCAAAAGGCAGTGAAACTAAAGGTGGTAGTAATCCTCAGAGCCCCAAAACCAAGAAAAGCTAGCTGTGATTCCCCTTACTTGCTTCCAGCTTCTAGCATTTAGACCTGGAAGCCTTTCTGCTACCCAAAGTGCCACGTGTTGGGTTGAAGCAGGCTGCCTCAGGACAACCAGTCACTCGGAGCACTTGCCTCCATATCCAGGCTAACCAGTGTGTTGGTATAAGTGGTTTTCAAGTAGCTGCCATGGGGGGAAAATTCACAGGAGGAAAGGGGAAGGGGAAGAGGTCAAATCACCACTGAGCAATAGTCAATCAAAGATGAAAACTGGAGAGTGATAATGTTGCTGGGTAGTCATAGCATTCTTTTTCTTTCTTTCTTTGTTTTTGTTTCATAAGAAGTTCAGATGGTATGCACATTATGTAATTTTGCAGCAATCAAACAAACCTTTTCTTCCCCTTCTCCTTACCTTCTCCAGTGTGGCACCGTTATTTTCTAAATGCAAGGGTCCGATGAACAGGCCAGAAGAAGTTCACTAACCTCCCTCTACGCTTTCAGTCTGCTTCCACCTGTTAAACATAGGAAAATAGTCAACAGAAGCATTCTGCACCAGGGGAACATGGGCCAGAGGTCAGAGCAGCCTTTTCTTTTCTCTCACTTGAACGCTTTTGAAGAAAAAGTACTGCTATTGAGTCATGATTCAGCAGGGGCTGTCATTAATGGCAGACCAAACAGCCAGGTGCCACAGTTTGCCACTGGCTTCCAGCCTCCTCATCCAGCTGCCAGGAAGTGGAAAGGGTAGTAGAGAGGGATGGCTCACTGGAGTAGAGCCAAGAGGAGTAAGAGGCTGACAGGCACCTTTCTGCTGTGAAGAGCCAGGCTACAGCTGGGCCCATCAAACAGCTCCATGGAGTACCTACATTGTAATAAGAAAAAGCAGGAAAGAATTGACCAGGCAAGGTTTTTTTGGAACCTGAAACACATTTTTCAAGGTGGCACAAACAGTGGAGCCTCTGAAAGAATAACATGGCACGTCAAGCATTCTGATCACTTAACTTTATTATTGGCTTTTGAAAAGGAAACCAACTACTAAGCATGCAAGCTGAAAATTAAAATAATAGAGATGATGAAATAACATTTGTTAATCATGCTGAGCACACTACAAAGTGAGGCAAACAATGCATTCTCAAGCTCTACAATTTAGCCATTAAAAAAATAGTAAGGAGGTTTTTTCTGTTCTTTAACTTTAAATGTTAAAAACACAGTCTTATGTCTCACCACAGCCCTTTGAGGCTGACAGGGTAGAGATTATTGGCCCTTTTATGCAGAAAAAGGACCTAGGATCAAGAATGATTGTAAAACTGTAATTGTTCTCCGACCATGAGTTCATTATTTGCTCTTTCTCCCTTGCCATCAGAGCCTGTGGTTCATCTTCTACATAAAATTGGATATGGAAGGGAAGAATCATTTTTCAGCTGCAGCATTTTCTAAAGTGCTATCACTAGACCTGAACTAAAGCTGAGTTTTTGATGGGGACAGGTCACTATTTTTTCTGTCTTTCATGCTGATGTAATGTGTCAATTTAGCCCAAGTCCTTCTATTTTCCAGTGTAATCACTGAATTTCTATATGATCTTGGGCTTTAGGTTCCATTTCCAGGAAATAAGAGATTTAGGAAATTTTTCTTCCTTATGTCTTGCCTCCCCATCCCCCCATAGTCCTGACCCTCTAGGTTCTGCCGAAGCACTTTAGCAGTCTCATGGGTGAGAGCAGGAGCTGGGGAAGGAGCACGAGCAGTGCTGGTTTTGGACCACATATCACTACAGCTACTGCAGCCCTATTTTTATCTGGTTGATAGGAAGTGCCTTTCAGTAAAATTTAGCTTAAAGAAAGGGCACTCTCCTTTGAAACATAAAAGGTTTTGAAACCACTAACCCGATGATTTCCAAATTCCTGCCAGCTTTGATATCACATGATTGCACGTCTCCAATCAACATTTTTAGGTTTAGGTTGGAGTGTGCTAACTCTTTCAAAATACAAGGATCTTGCTGGATACTCTGATAAAAGGCCATAAATTTGAGATCAAAGCATTCTAACTTTTATAACAAGGAGAGGTCACAGCATGTGGCAGCTGAAGGGCATTCGATTTGATTCCCTATTTTTCTTTCATTGGCCAAGTCAGTGGCTGATGAAGTAGAGAATGAGGAATTGCTTTCCTCATTCTTTGCATCTGCTGCAGTGAACCTGTGCTCTCTTCCCTCTAAGACTTAGTTTCTCATCTATAAAGTGGGTTAATAATACCTATGTAAAATATCATTGCAAATAGCAAATGGAATAAAACATTTAATGTGCTTAGCATAATCCCTTGGCAAATTTTGATGCTCAAAGATTGTTAGCTCTCTCCTCATTCATTCCTCTGACCTAATCCATCCTAAGGTCTTTAACAACATGTTAATTAGCCTAGTCCATCTTTTTTTTCCATTTTTGAGATAATACACCATTTTTATCAGCAAGGAATATTCACTCTTAAAGATGTAGTCAGGTATTAAAAACTCATTCAGTTATAGAGAACAGGCAAGTAATGTGAATTGAAAAAAAAAAAAAAAGTCCCTAATGCAAAGTGACAGGGATTGGTTTAGACTGTGGCTAACTGCTTCTTTTACCTGGCTGAGCTTTGCCATTGGACCTAGTCAGTTAAGAGAGGCTGGATATCTGCATTCTCCTCAGAAATTAGCCACTTAAAAATGTTGGTTCATTTTCTTCAAACCAAAACACCTTCATGTAGTGACTTTGGCAAGCCTAAGGAGTGTTTATGGTACTAATTTGGAGTGTGGGGAGTTGGATGAGAAGATTCTGAATTTATTTTATATGTTTCAAATTCACACTTCTATACAATTGTCCTTGAGGTCCTTGGGTGACTGGGTCAATAGAAGAGCCAAGAACTGACCCTGAACTTTTCTTTGTATCCACTTTTGTTCTCCATTTTCTAAATGACAGCTAATTTAAATTGAGATTATTTCAAGGTCTGAATTCAGGGGTCAAGTAGATAGAAATAGAAAAGAAGACATGGTATGGACTTTTAATGGGTAGTTTTCAATAACTTATGCAGTCCAAAAGTGAACGAGTTGTCCAAACACATCCACTTCCAGGGAGTCCTACAGGAGCTGCTAGTTGTACATATTAAAGTTTCAGGTCTAGAGAGTTCAGAACTGAAACAGGTTAGGATTGTCAGGCCTCTGAGCCCAAGTTAAGCCATCATATCATCCCCTGTGACCCGCATGTACACATCCAGATGGCCGGTTCCTGCCTTAACTGATGACATTCCACCACAAAAGAAGTGAAAATGGCCTGTTCCTGCCTTAACTGATGACATTGCCTTGTGAAATTCCTTCTCCTGGCTCATCCTGGCTCAAAAGCTCCCCCACTGAGTACCTTGTGACCCCCACTCCTGCCCGCCAGAGAACAACCCCCTTTGACTGTAATTTTCCTTTACCTACCCAAATCTTATAAAACGGCCCCACCCCTATCTCCCTTGGCTGACTCTCTTTTTGGACTCAGCCCGCCTGCACCTAGGTGAAATAAACAGCTTTATTGCTCACGCAAAGCCTGTTTGGTGGTCTCTTCACATGGACGCGCATGAAATTTGGTGCCATGACTCAGATCGGGGGACCTCCCTTGGGACATCAATCCCCTGTCTTCCTGCTCTTTGCTCCATCAGAAAGATCCACCTATGACCTCAGGTCCTCAGACCAACCAGCCCAAGGAACATCTCACCAATTTTAAATCCAGTAAGTGACCTCTTCTTACTCTCTTCTCCAACCTCTCTCACTGTCCCTCAACCACTTTCTCCTTTCCACTCTTCAATCTCTCCCTTCTTTCAATTTCAATTCCTTTCATTTTCTGGTAGAGATAAAGGAGACACGTTTTATCCGTGGACCCAAAACTCCGGCGCCAGTCACGGACTGGGAAGGCAGCCTTCCCTTGGTGTTTAATCATGCAGGGACGCCTCTCTGATTATTCACCCATGTTTCAGAGGTGTCAGACCACGCAGGGACGCCTGCCTTGGTCCTTTGCCCTTAGCGGCAAGTCCCGCTTTTCTGGGGTAGGGGCAGGTACCCCAACCCCTTCTCTCCGTGTCTCTACCCCTTCTCCGCCTTTCTGGGGGACAAGAAACCCCCAACCCCTTCTCCTTCACCCTTAGCGGCAAGTCCCGCTTTTCTAGAGGAGAGGCAAGTACCCCAACCTCGTATCTCTGTGCCCCAATCCCTTATTTCCATGCACCGACCTCTTATATCTGTGCCCCAATCCCTTATTTCCGTGCCCCAACCTCTTACATCTCTGTGCCCCGATCCCTTATTTCCGTGCCCCAACCTCTTATATCTCTGCGCCCTGATCCCTTATTTCCACACCCTGACCTCGTATCTCTGTGCCCTGACCCCTTTCCCACTTTTCTGGAGGGTAAGAACCCCCGAACCGCTTCCCTCTGTGTCTCTACTCTCCCTTTTCTTTAAACTTGCCTCCTTCACTATGGGCAACCTTCCACCCTCCATTCCTCCTTCTTCGCCCTTAGCCTGTGTTCTTAAGAACTTAAAACCTCTTCAACTCTCACCTGACCTAAAATCTAAGCATCTTATTTTCTTCTGCAATGCCACTTGACCCCAAACAAACTCGACTGCAGTTCCAAATAGCCAGAAAACGGCACTTTCAATTTTTCCATCCTGCAAGATCTAAATAATTCTTGTAAAATGGGCAAATGGTCTGAGATGCCTGACGTCCAGGCATTCTTTTACACATTGGTCCCTCCCTAGTCTCTGTGCCCAGTGCAACTCGTCCCAAATCTTCCTTCTTTCCCTCCCACCTGTCCCCTCAGTCCCAACCCCAAGCATTGCTGAGTCTTTCTAATCTTCCTTTTCTACAGACCCATCTGACCTCTCCCCTCCTCCCCAGACTGCTCCTCACCAGGCCGAGCTAGGTCCCAATTCTTCCTCAGCCTCTGCTCCCCCACCGTATAATCTTTTTATCACCTCCCCTCCTCACACCCGGTCCAGTTTACAGTTTCATTCCTTGAGTAGCCCTCCCCCACCTGCCCAGCAATTTCCTCTTAAAAAGGTGGCTGAAGCTAAAGGCATAGTCAAGGTTAATTCTTCTTTTTCTTTATCCCAAATCACAAGCGTTTAGGCTGTTTTTAATCAAATATAAAAACCCAGCCCAGTTCATGACTCCTTTGGCAGCAACCCTGAGCCACTTTACAGCCCTAGACCCTAAAAGGTCAAAAGGTGTCTTATTCTCAATATACATTTTATTACCCAATCTGCTCCCGACATTAAATAAAACTCCAAAAATTAAATTCCGGCCCTCAAACCCCACAACAGGATTTAATTAACCTCGCCTTCAAGGTGTACAATAATAGAAAAAAGTTGCAATTCCTTGCCTCCACCGTGAGACAAACCCCAGCCACATCTCCAGCACACAAGAACTTCCAAACGCCTGAACCGCAGCAGCCAGGCATTCCTCCAGAACCTCCTTCCCCAGGAGCTTGCTACAAGTGCCAGAAATCTGGCCACTGGGCCAAGGAATGCCCACAGCCCAGGATTCCTCCTAAGTCGTATCCCATCTGTGTGGGACCCCACTGAAAATCAGACTGTTCAACTCACCTGGCAGCCACTCCCAGAGCCCCTGGAACTCTAGCCCAAGGCTCTCTGACTGACTCCTTCCCAGATCTTCTTGGCTTAGCAGCTGAAGACTGACACTGCCCGATTGCCTCAGAAGACTACGGGACCATCACAGATGCTCTAAGTAACTCTCAGAGTGGAGGGTAAGTCTTTCTCCTTCTTAATCAATACGGAGGCTACCCAGTCCACATTACCTTCTTTTCAAGGGCCTGTTTCCCTCACCCCAATAACTGTTGTGGGTATTGACGGCCAAGCTTCAAAATCCCTGAAAACTCCCCCACTCTGGTGCCAACTTGGACAACACTCTTTTAAGCACTCTTTTTTAATTATCCCCACCTGCCCAGTTCCCTTATTAAGCCAAGATATTTTAAGCAAATTATCTGCTTCCCTGACTATTCCTGGACTACAGCCCCATCTCATTGCCGCCCTTCTCCCCAACCCAAAGCCTCCTTCACATCTTCCTCTCATATCCCCCCACCTTAACCCACAAGTATGGGACATCTCTACTCCTTCCCTGGCAACCGATCACATGCCCATTACCATCCCATTAAAACCTAATCACCCTTACCCCGCTCAACCCCAATATTCCATCCCACAGCATACCTTGAAAGGATTAAAGCCTGTTATCACTCACCTGCTAGAGCATGGCCTTTTAAAGCCTATAAACTCTCCTTATCATTCCCCCATTTTACCTGTCCTAAAACCAGACAAGCCTTACAAGTTAGTTCAGGATCTATGCCTTATCAACCAAATTGTTTTGCCTATCCACCCCATGGTGCCAAAGCCATATACTCACCTATCCTCAATACCTCCCTCCACAACCCATTATTCTGTTCTGGATCTCAAACATGCTTTCTTTACTATTCCTTTGCACCTGTCATCCCAGCATCTCTTCGCTTGCACTTGGACTGACCCTGACACCCATCAGGCTCAGCAAATTACCTGGGCTGTACTGCCGCAAAGCTTCACAGACAGCCCCCATTACTTCACTCAAGCCCAAATTTCTTCCTTATCTGTTACCTATCTCAGCATAATTCTCATAAAAACACACGTGCTCTCTCTGCTGATCGTGTCCGATTAATCTCCCAAACTTCAATCCCTTACAAAACAACAACTCCTTTCCTTCCTAGAAATGGTTAGTGCAGTCAGAATTCTTACACAAGAGCCAGGACCGCACTCTGTAGCCTTTCTGTCCAAACAACTTGACCTTACTGTTTTAGCCTAGCCATCATGTCTCCGTGCAGCGGCTGCTGCCGCCCTAATATTTTAGAGGCCCTCAAAATCACAAACTATGCTCAACTCACTCTCTACATTTCTCATAACTTCCAAAATCTATTTTCTTCCTCATGCCTGATGCATATACTTTCTGCTCCCCGGCTCCTTCAGCTGTACTCACTCTTTGTTAAGTACCACAATTACCATTGTTCCTGGCCCGGACTTCAATCCAGCCTCCCACATTATTCTGGATACCACACCTGACCCTCATGACTGTATCTCTCTGATCCATCTGACATTCACCCCATTTCCCCATATTTCCTTCTTTCCTGTCCACACCCTGATCACACTTGGTTTATTGATAGCAGTTCCACCAGGCCTAATCGCCACACACCAGCAAAGGCAGGCTATGCTATAGTACAAGCCACTAGCCCGCCTCTTAGAACCTCTCATTTCCTTTCCATTGTGGAAATCTATCCTCAAGGAAATAACTTCTCAGTGTTCCATCTGCTATTCTACTACTCCTCAGGGATTATTCAGGCCGCCTCCCTTCCCTACACATCAAAGCCGAGGATTTGCCCCCACCCAGGACTGGCAAATTAGCTTTACTCAACATTCCCCAAGTCAGATAACTAAAATACCTCTTGGGCTAGGAAGACACTTTTACTGGATAGGTAGAGTCCTTTCCTACAGGGTCTGAGAAGGCCACCACAGTCATTTCTTCCCTTCCGTCAGACATAATTCCTCAGTTTAGCCTTCCCACCTCTATACAGTCTGATAACAGACCAGCCTTTATTAGTCAAATCAGCCAAGTAGTTTTTCAGGCTGTTAGTATTCAGTGAAACGTTTATATCCCTTACGGTCCTCCGTCTTCAGGAAAAGTAGAACGGACTAAAGGTCTTTTAAAAACACACCTCACCAAGCTCAGCCACCAACTTAAAAAGGACTGGACAATACTTTTACCACTTTCCCTTCTCAGAAGTCAGACCTGTCCTCAGAATGCTACAAGGTACAGCCCATTTGAGCTCCTGTATAGACGCTCCTTTTTATTAGGCCCCAGTCTCATTCCAGACACCAGATCAACTTAGACTGTGCCCCAAAAAAACTTGTCATCCCTACTATCTTCTGTCTAGTCATACTCCTATTCACCGTTCTCAACTACTCATACATGCCCTGCTCTTGTTTACACTGCCGGTTTACCCTGTTTTTCCAAGCCATCACAGCTGATATCTCCTGGTGCTATCCCCAAACTACCACTCTTAACTCTTGAAGTAAATAAATAATCTTTGCTGACAGGACTATGCTGAATCTCCTTAGGTACTCTAATTAGATGTCCTAGGTCCTCCCAATTCTTAGACCTTTAATACCTGTTTTTCTCCTTCTCTTATTCTGTTTAGATTTTCAATTCATACAAAACCGTATCCAGGCCATCACCAATAATTCTAAATGACAAATGTTTCTTCTAACAGTCTCACAATATCACCCCTTACCACAAAATCTTCCTTCAGCTTAACCTCTCCCACTCTAGGTTCCCACGCCGCCCCTAATCCCGCTCGAAGCAGCCCTGAGAAACATCGCCCATTATCTCTCCATACCACCCACCAAAAATGTTCGCTGTCCCAACACTTTACCACTATTTCGTTTTATTTTTCTTATTAATATAAGAAGACAGGAATGTCAGGCCTCTGAGCCCAAGTTAAGCCATCATATCATCCCCTGTGACCTGCACGTACAATCCAGATGGCCGGTTCCTGCCTTAACTGATGACATTCCACCACAAAAGAAGTGAAAATGGCCTGTTCCTGCCTTAACTAATGACATTGCCTTGTGAAATCCCTTCTCCTGGCTCATCCTGGCTCAAAAGCTCCCCCACTGAGTACCTTGTGACCCCCACTCCTGCCCACTAGAGAACAACCCCCTTTGACTGTAATTTTCCTTTACCTACCCAAATCTAATAAAATGGCCCCACCCCCTATCTCCCTTCGCTGACTCTCTTTTCGGACTCAGCCCACCAGCACCCAGGTGAAATAAACAGCCTTGTTGCTCACACAAAGCCTGTTTGGTGGGCTCTTCACACGGACGCACATGAAAAGGATAATTTCAGATATTCAATCCATGCGCTGTGCAGCGATATACCTCTGCCGTCCAGATGGTCTGTGAAGAAATTGCTCCAGGGCAAAGGCCCTCAAAACTTAAAGTGCATTAGAATCACTTAGAAGACATGTTTTTCTTTGTGGCCTTTAAATTTGTTTCTCTTGATTACAAAATTAGCAATTGTAATCTTTTTTTGAAAGAAGTAAAAAATACAAAAGGAACAGAGAAATATGTCTTCTATATGCAATTACTCGTAGTTATTATTTTGTCACATTCTCTTTTGACTGTTTTTTTTTAATATCAACTATTTAACTGACTGATTAAACAAACACGTAAGCAAGTTTTTTGGGTTTATATAAGCATATATTTTGTATTCATAAAATTTCTGGCAAATATAAGCAAAGTTCAATTTATTCCATTAATTAATTCTTGACTATTTTACTATAATTCTCACTTTCTCTTCATTTTTTTACCCCGTGAGAGCAGTGTTCTTAAACACTGATATTAGAACCTTTAGAGTAGCTTTTGAAAAATATTGATGCCCAAATACCTAACAATAGAATCTAAAAAAAGATGGGCACTTAAAAATTATTTTTATTTTGAAATATTAAGAATTTTACACTTATAGAAAAGTCACAAAAATAGTACAGAGAGTTCCCATGACCCGTAACCCATGTCAGATAATGTTAATATTTTATTAATTACAGTATAATGATCAATCAAAACTAAGAAGTTAACACTGGTTCAATACTATTAATTAAGTTACAGACTTCATTTGAACTTGATTTCAACACCAGCTTTTCCACTGTGTCTCTTTGTGTTCCAAAATTGAATCCAAGATTCCATATAGTATTTAGTAGTTACGTCTTACTTAACCTCAGCCGTCTTCAATCTGTGATACTTCCTCAGTCTTTCCTTGTCTTTCATGACCTTAGCACTTCCGAAGAGTTCAGGTAAGATATTTTGGAGAATGTCCCCAATTTGGGATTATCTGATGTTTTCTCAAGAGTAAGTTGATTGGAGAAAAATACCATAGATGTTTAGTGTGCCCTTCTTAGTGCATCAATATATTTTATTACTGGTTATATTGACATTGACAACTTTCTTAAGATAGTGGAAGCCAGATTTCTGCACTGTAAATTGCTATTTCTTCTTTTGATAAATAATAAATATTTAGGGGGTGATATATCAAATATACAAATATTGATTTACTTAAACTTTAACCTACTACTTTTAGTATTCCAAGGAACTTGCCTGCAACAATTGTAACTGTGATGTTTAAATAGTGATTTAAAAATTTTTTTTTCATTCTATGTTAATGGGAATTCTATAAGGAAGAGATGCAATCCTTTTTCCCCTTTTGTATTTATTTAATCATTTGTTTGTATCAATGTGGAATCATGGATATATATTTTACTTTTTGGGTTATAATCCAATATTGTATTTACTTACTCTGTTTCTCAAATTATTCCTCATTTGACCTTTGTGAACTCTTCCAGGTTAGCTCCTGCATAGATTCTACATGCCTCGATTCTTTATTTATTTAGTTCATTAATTTATTTTTTCTGGCACCACAAGATGCCTGAAGCTCAACTTATATTTTCACTGCTCTCTAGCCCTGATATCAAGCTCTTCTCCAAGAAGCTTGTTTTTTAATTGGAAAATGATACTAAGAAACTGAAATATGTGTGTTAGGTGTTATAACTCTTAATAGGATATCACTGCTTCTAGGACTCCTCAAATATCAGAGGTAGTAAATAAATATACATGTATACACACATGTATATTTATGTCTATACATATCAACATACATATATAGTTTAAAAACCAAAAAGGAAAACATGAGTGTATTAGTCTGTTCTTTCACTGGTAATAAAGACATACCCAAGACTGAGTAATTATAAAGGAAAGAGGTTTAATTTACTACAGTTCAGCATGGCTGGGGAGAACTCAGGAAACTTACAATCATGGTGAAAGAGGAAGCCAATACATTTTTCTTCACATAGTGGTAGCAAGGAGAAGCACAGAGTGAAGTCCGGGAAAGCCTCTTGTAAACCCATCAGATCTTGTGAGAACTCAGTCACTATTATGAGAACAGTGTGGAGGTAACTGCCCCTATGACTGAATTTTTTCCCACTGGGTCCCTCCCACAACACATGGGGATTATAAGCACTACAATTCAAGATGAGATTTGGGTGAGGACATAGCCAAATCATATCAGTGAGTTTATACAGGTACCTCCAATTCAAATCCAACCACACAGGGCTCCTCCTAGCAGTCTCCCTTTTTTCTTCCCCTCTTATTTCCTCTTTATTTTAAATTCTTTCTTTAATGGTGAGAAAACTGGCTCTCATCATATATCATATATTTACTTAGCAGTTCACCCTTTCCGTAAATAAAAAGCAGTTTCAGAATTGCTAATTCATAACCCTTTGAGAAACTAACTTACTCAACTAGAGTACAATGATTATATACAGTTCATTTTGTCTTTAGCCTTCCAGTATCCGGTTTAAACACTGTTGTCCAAAATTACTTAGATTAGATCCTTTCTTCCTTACCTCTTCAATGTGGTTGTGTCTTTTATTTATAGTGCAGTGAGAATGGTCACAATAGGCATTCTGTTTTCAGTTCCTTGATTTCCTCCCAATACTTGTTTATTTTTCAAAATTTAAATTTGCATGTTGTAGAAGTAAGTCTGTGATGCAGAGTTCCACAGTCTTTGAAAAATACATGCAATTGTGTATCCACCATCACAGTATCAAACAGAAAGTTTGAACATCTCAATTACTCCCTTTGCTTCTCTTATACACTATACTCATCGTTGCTAACCCCTGATAATGCCAATCTTTTTACCATTCCTATAATGTTGACTTCCCCAGAATCCCATATAAATGGAAAAATGCAATATATAGACTTCTGGGTTTGGCTCTTTCATTTAGCAAAATGTAAGATTCAGACATGTTATCGTATAAATCTATAGATTGTTCCATCTTTACTGCCAAATACTATTCCATTGTATGGATATACTGCAGTTTGTCTAGTTACTTGTTGAAAGGCATTTGAATTCTTTTCAGATTTTGGAGTTATGAACAAAGTTGCTATAGACATTTATGCATAGGTTTTTGAGTATTTGGGTTTTCATTTCTCTTGAATAAATACTGAGCAGTGGGATCGCTGGGTTATGCAGTATGTGTATTTTTAACTGTGACTTTCCCAAAGTGACTGCATTATTTTGTACTCCCACCAACAATGTGTGAGAGTGGTATTTCTACATTCTTGCCAGCACATGACACTGTCATTTTTAAGAAATTAAATTTTTGATGGTAAAATAGGTCTGGGTAGGGACATTTTGTTGTGATTTTGATTTATGTTTTTCTAATGACTGGTGAGTTTGAACATCTTCTCATATGTTTATTTTTATCTGTATATCTTCCTTATTTTGTTGAGAACTTTTGCTCATTTTTTTCCTTTTTTAGATGTTCTTAGAATTCTTATATATTTTAGATAAAAATCTTTTATCAGATATGCACTTTGTAAATATATTCTTTTAGTCTGTGGCTATCTTTTACTTATCTTAGTAGTATTTTTTCAGTGCAAAAGTTTAAAATTTTGGCAGGATATCATTTGTTATTTTTTTCTTTTATGCATTATGCTTTGGTGTTATATCTTAAAAAAAAAAAGCAAACCAAATCACGCAGTTTTTCTCCTGTTTTAATCTAAAGTTTGATAGTTTTATATTACACCTTTATATCTATGATGGATGCATTTAAAAATAATTTTTGTAGGAGTTATGAAATTTGTATCAAAGTTTTTTCTGCGTATGGACATCTGCTTTTAGTTCTAACAGTTTTTATTTCATGTAGTTTAAACATTCTTGCTAAATACATACACATTTAGGATTATTATGTACTCTTGGAAAGTTGACCTTCTTTTAAAAGGTAATGCCCCTTTTTGACCTTGATAATAATCTCTACTCTGAAGTATAATTTGTCTCATTCATGTGGTTACCTCAGCTTTATTTTGATAAGCATAAGCATGGAATATCTTTCTTCATCCCTTTACTTTCAACTTATCTATTTTTTATATTGTGATCTTTTTGTGTGTAGTAAATAGTTTGATATTGCTTTTTTATTTACTCTGATAACCATTATTTTTTAACTGGAGTGTGTATATGATTCCTATTTAATATTTTATAGGATTGAATTAATATCAAATATTTTCTATTTGTTTTATCTATTCTTTCTATTTTTTGTTTCTACATCTTATCTTGTATCACTTGAGTGTATTTTTATCTCATTTTATATCATCTGCTGACTTATTATTTATATCTCCTTTTAATAAAGTTTTGTTAGTGATTGTCCTAAGGGTTATACATTCTCTTCCTTTTTTTTTTTTTTTTTTTTGAGACGGAGTCTTGCTTTGTCGCCCAGGCTAGAGTGCAGTGGCACAATCTCGGCTCACTGCAACCTCTGCCTCATGGGTTCAAGCGATTCTCCTGCCTCAGCCTCCTGAGTAGCTGGGATTACAGGTACGCGCCATCACGCCAGGCTAATTTTTGTATTTTTAGTAGAGATGGGCTTTTGCCATGTTGGTCAGGCTGGTCTCAAACTCCTGACCTTGTGATCCGCCCGCATCGGTCTCCCAAAGTGCTGAGATTACAGGTGTGAGCCACCGTGCCCGGCCCTCTCTTTCAATATGTATATTTAAATACATATTACATATATATTTAAAATTAATTACAGCCTTTCTTCAAATAACATCGTAATGTTCCACGTTTTGTTAAGTAAACATTCTCATTGCTTCTCTCCTATCGTTTGTACTATTGTTTTTATGTCTTTTACGTATGCTATAAATACGAAATAAATTGCTACAATTTTTGTTGTCAAGTCAGTTATATTTTAAAGTAATTTAAAAGGAGAAAAAATTATATTACTTTAATTTATTTTATATTTAGTTCTCTTATCTCTTTGAGACACCAACTTTTTGTCTGGTGTCATATTCTTTCTATCTGAATAAATTTCTCTTTCATATCTTGTAGCTTATGTTTACTGGCAGGAAATTCCCAGAGTTTTTGTTTTTCCAAGGAAAGTATTTCTTCTTCATTCTTGTAAAATAATTTTGTCTAGTATAGAATTCTGGCTTAATAAGTTATTTTTTCTTTAACATTTTAAAGATGTCAATCTATTATTTTCTAGTTTGTATGATTTCTGAAAAAGAAGTCTACTTTTATTCTAATCTTTGTTCCTCATGTGTGATGTATGTTTTTCTTAGTCTACCTTCAAAATTTATGTATTTTGTTTTTTGGTTATTCAAACCTAACATGCCAGGATTGTGTGTGTGTGTGTGTGTGTGTGTGTGTGTGTGTGTGTGTGTGTGTCTGGTGTTCCTATTCCATTTGCTATCCCTCACAATGGATCTGTCTCTAGCAAGTTACTCGTTACTTCATGTATGCAAACCCGGAGGGGAGTGGAGGGCATTTTCTGTACTGAGTGCAACTCCTTCTTAGGCACACTGGGAGAATAGATGTGTGGCCTTCTCAGTGTTTCTGCCCCTCACCCTGCATAGTTCTGCATATAGCATGCATTTACTCCTCATTACAAACACATATGTTAATTATAACGCTTGTGAATAATGTCTTCTTAGCAGAAATCTCCATTTTATTTAGTATTGATCAGACACAAGACTCTGCCATTATAATTGTAAAAGTGGCAGACACATAGTAGGTGTTCAGCAAACAATGGTAATTTTCTTCTTGCCTCTGCTTAAAATGTTGGTATCTTAGGGAATGTTGTCAGGAGGGAATGAGTACGTGGGCAAAGAACAGATTTTCTTTTGTGCTAGTATTATTTTGAACCTAGACAGACTGTCCTTTTGCTTTGTTAATCTGGCAATTACTTCTTTGCAGAATCAGCAATTAACAAGGTCACTCTGACCTTCCTTGAGGCAAACTATTAAGTTAGAATGCCTACTGTGCTCTAGCTATTTGGCTGATGTGGTTTCTGGGGTTTGTGGGAATCCTGCCACATTTGTAAGATTATTCATGTTCTCTTTGCATTCAGGTACAAATAAACACAGAAGTAGCATATTTCACATGTATATTCTATAAACATTTGCTTCAAACAATAAGACACTTTTTTTCTGAATTGATGGCTTTTACAAAAGGCAGTGGATTTCAAAAAAGCTAATTTTTAAAAATTAACATTTCTAATAATGAAATCTCCAATGTCCACTTTTATTTTCTATGGCGTCCTGTTAAAATATAGAACATTTAGAAAATGATTTTAGTGACCCATATATTTTAAGATTTTTTTCTCTGTTGTTTGTTTATTGATCAGGTTGTCTTCCCTAGACTGATTAACACTGAAGATTAATAGACAGGAATATAATTACCCAATTAGAAACAGAGCCTTCCCGTGTGGCCAGCTAATTCTCATTTAACTGTTTCAGAATAGTTTATTCCAGTTATTAGATCGAGCAGTGGATATGTTCAGTGGAGACCTAGACAGACTTGATGGACATGAAAAACAAAAAAAAAGGAGAGATGGAAGGAAGATGAATCATACACATTCTTATATGAATTTTTAAGGATACATTGCATAAGGAAGTGTTCTTTTGAAAATTTATGGCTATTTTAAAATATTGAGGCACAACCTGGGGCAATATGAGCCCTGTGATTAAAGTAATCGAATGATGTCTATGCCTCCATTGCCAATAAAGTGCTCCTTTACCCTTTGGTGTGGCTGCTTCAAGGTCTTTCTTGAGCAAGACTTACTTCTTTATGTCAGATTTGTATTTGACTTCTCTGTTTTTTCACTTTGTTTTCAGGAGATTGCGTTTCTTATATTTCACCAAGGTAAGCTTTTTTTTAAAAAATGTGCTTTGATTACCCACCCTCCCAAATTCTTAAGTACATCCATCTAGTAACTATCACTTCTCTATAACCATTCCCTTCATCTCTATTGGTTGCTGCCTTGTAGCCTAGTAATATTCACATAATTTCCCTGTTCCTCTCAGAGTACCCCACGCATCCTTCCTTGTTACATTCCACCTATCAATATCTTCTTCTTGAGGGACTTTTTCCTTAGTTCAGCTAAGAGCCAGGTCCTTATCACACGCCACAAAAAATTAGCCTTGCAGACCATTTGAAAGGCGAGAATAATGGGATTTACTGGGAAAAAAGGATAAAAGGGAAACAGCGACTCTCCACAAAGCCAGAACCCCTGGTGGTGCGCTTCTCGCCTCGCAGTTTTAAAATCCCGGGTTCTACACAGGAAGAGGAAGGGCCAGGCTCCTCTCTGCTGGAAACGGTACGAACTTCCGTGGCTCCACCCCAGGGCGCACTCCTCCCAGTGCACCGGCGGGTTGCAGTTCTGCCAGGAAGCCCTTCCCACCCGGCTGTCTCATTGTCATTTGCGTATTTTTTCTATTTATGTCAAACTCAGCCTAACAGACTGCGTCTACTTCCTCACTACCTAGCCACTTTTTTCGCCTCAACATTTTTAAGCATTTACTCAGTTCAAAGAGCCACTAGTTCTACCAGATTTGTTATGACAAAAAATGATTCACAGACCCTTTTTCCTTATTTCCTCTTTTCCAGAGACAATCACTTTCAATTACTCTTTATGTACGTACGTTAGTATCTCTAAATAACATGGCTTGTTTTTTTTTTTTTTTTTGAGTCTGAGTTTTGCTCTGTAACCCAGACTGGAGTGCAGTGGTGCCATCTTGGCTCCCTGCAACCTCCATCTCCCAGGTTCAGGCGATTCTCCTGCCTCAGCCTTCTCGGTAGCTGGAATTACAGGCGCCCACCACCATGCCCGGCTAATTTCTGTATTTTAGCAGAGACGGGGATTTCACCATGTTGGCCAGGCTGATCTTGAACTCCTGACCTCAAGTGATCCACCAGCCTTGGCCTCCCAAAGTGTTGGGATTACAGGCGTGAGCCACTGCGCGTGGCCCACTATTTTCTTATTTCCCACTATATATATATATATATATGTATGTGTGTGTGTGTGTGTGTGTGTATGTATGTATATACATATGTGTGTATATGTATGTATATACATATATGTGTGTATATGTATGTGTGTGTGTGTGTGTGTGTGTGTGTGTGTGTGTATATATTTTTTTTTTTTTTTCAGATTTGGCACTATTGACTACCCACTATGACAGATGAGAATTTAGGTTCTTCCCACTCCACATCTCCAAAGATGTGTGCAAACTTCCATCTTATTCTTCCAAAAGATATTTATTATTATTTTGGTTAGAACAATATTCAGTCTTGGAAATTTTTCTTGAGTGAGCCCACTGCTTTTTCCCTCTGCTTTCTTCATCTTTTTGGATTACCTTTTTAAAGATGTTTTCAACTTTATCCTCTGAAAGTTATATTGAGTTTTACTCTTTTCCCTCAAGCTTTAAATTTTATAAGATATCTTTTTGTTTCATGAGTAGTTCTTTTCCATAATACCGAAAGTTGTTTAATGAATGGAATATAATATCTTATTTCTTTGAAAATATTAGTAATACTTTTAAAAAATATCTTTTCATTTGCATAGTCTCAACTTTCTGCAAGTTGTTTTCTTCTGTCTATGGCTTTGGACTCCCTCTTCCATGTTAGTGGCTTTCCATACTTACCTAGTGATCCTGGCTGTCTCTTCATATTTGAGAGTGTTGTGGGCTAAAAGGCTAACTAGAAACTCTGAGTAAGTGGATGAGTCTCACTGACGCATCATTTCACCGTGACAAGATTGGGCTAAGTCATCTGTTAGAGAAGACGTGAAGTCCAAATATTTAGGCTTTTATTTTATTGGAAGTCAGACTTCATAAGAACCTTCTGATCTGTAGTCTGGAGGGTCAAGGCCTAGCTGCTGATATTTTGTGAGTGGGAAAAGAAGGCTGAGAGATCAGCATTTTATATGCATCAATTTCTTTGGTCTCTCTGTTCGCATAAATGATACCAGCCCTAGACCATCCCTATAGTCCAATAGTCCAGAGACCCTCTGCTGTCAACTTGGTTAAGCTGAGAAATATGTTTTCTAGACTCTCTTTTCCTGTATTCTTCTATGTTAGAGTGGCCAAAAAATAAAAAAAAAACTTTAATAAGATTCAGAAGAAAGAAGTGAAGCATCACTCAATACACTGTGAAGCTCTTTTCATGGTCAAATAGGTCAGACACACAATAAGGGTTTGTCAGGTTCCCACTTGTCCTCCCTCTCCTGAACTTCACATTCAGTGTTTCTTGCAAAGTGTTTGCCATGCTGACAACAGGGGCCTCAGGCCCACAGTTAGATGCTTTGCTGAAGATCTATAGGCATAAGAGCTACCTAGAAGCAATAGTACCCCCTAGACCTTTCCGTGAGCTTCCTCTCTGCAGCCCCAATTCACTGTTGGACATGTGTGGCTTCTTGGATTGAATGGGTGGTTATTTCTCTGATTCTCCAGTGTCTTCTACAACTATGTAAATTCTAGTTGCCATGACACACACCTAATTACATAACACTCATAGTCACCCTGCTTCTCTGTCTGAACCTTGATAGATTCTCAGCTTTAATCTCTTCAGAGGATAAACCTGCCATCATCTGCTCAGACGTGTGCTAAAACAGAAGAGGTCTTTGCAAGAAATTTTAGAAAGAGTTGGTTTCCTAGGTGGAACTCATGTGATTAGAAAGGAGATCACTTCTCTAAACACACACACACACACACACACACACACACACACACACACACACACCCCACTCCACTTCACCAAATACTCCCAGAGTTATCTAGTGCTATTGGTTCCTCAAGTCGGTTCCTAGCTTTTCCCATTGCAGTCTTAGGGTATGGCTTTCTCTCTGCTGCTACATCAGTTATCTTTATTCCATCTATGTTCTAGCATTCAAAATTTTTAGTTTATTGATTTCCCTGCTCCTAATCCCCCCATATTTGTAGATTTATGCCTTAAATATTACTTGATATTTCAGTGGGATTTCAGTTTTATTGGGATTTCACCAGGAAGTAAACTCAGAAAAATTTAGTTAATTTACCATATTTCCTGAATCACCCCATTTTCTTTCAAAATTTATGGCCTGGCTACTGGCTGTCAACCCTACTGCTGTTCCTTTTTTATGAATAACCTAATTGTCACATCAAAGGGCCTGCTTTTTGAGTCCTTGTTGTCCTTATTTTTCCTTCAGTATTTGACAATACTGACCTTCCTTCTCCTGTATTTCCTCTTCTCCCTCCTTCTTTCCCTCTCTGTCTCTCCCTCCCTCTCTCCTTTTTTCCTTGTATACTGTCTCTACTATCACTAACATTTCTGGAGTATTCATTTTATGCCAGCTTTTCTGTTAGGCATCACCTTTCCTCTTCAGAGGATGCCAGAAACTTAAACCAAAAGACTGGGTAGCAGAAAAACCTGTAAATTATATTGTGCCTTCATTGATAGCATGTGAATAATTCCTCCCACTCAGTGAGGAAATTACAGGTTGTAAATTACCTCATGCTACCAGGATTTAAAACAGACAGCAAATCAGTCTGCATGACTGCTTCCTTCTAAGGCGGCCTGGCTGTCCATTATTTTAGGGTTTACACTCCTCTGCAGGACATCTGGTTAATAGAATGTGGGCTTTGGCTCTGCTAGACTAAGCACTGAACAGGGACTCCAGTGAGGACATGGGGAAAGGTCCTTTTCCAATACACTGGAGACGAGTGTTCAGTCTGAGGGAGGAGCTGGCCTTCTGCTTTTGTCAGAAATCCTGAAGTGGAAGTCAAATAGAGCAACCGAGAGAGTAACCACCACCTGTTGTCACTGTGGAACTCTTAAGGAGAAAGAACATGGTTTTCTGCAAACAAAAATCCTGGTCCCTTTTTATAGGGCAAATGCAGAGTATTTCCTTCAGATTCATTTTAATTAAAAAAAAAAAAAAAGCTTAGCTAGAGAAGCAAAGAGTATTTCTCAAAAGGGCTTAGAGAAAATGAAAAAGAATTAATTATTGGTGCTTTAAAAGAGAAGAAAGACTGAGAAAATTCAAACAGCAGCAGCAGCCACCATTTTAACTACAAATATCAATGCAGCAGGCTACTCAAAGTTCTCTATGTGGTAGGACAATGAGACTAATTAGTAAGAGGCTAATCTCCTGTTTCATCTTCACTAATTGTTATTTCACTTTTGATCCTCCTTGCTCTGATTTGGGTAATATCCACATAAAGAACCTGAATTTTCCAGAAATAAATAAAAAAATAGATGAAATAATAACCTCTAATAGTTTGGGAAAACAATACTGCTAAGAGAAGATAGGACAATTCTCCATTTCTTTTATAGATGTTTCAGAACTAGAGTTGAATATAGTCATTCCTCATTATTCCTGGATTCCATATTTGCAAAATTGTCTACTTGCTAATATTTATTTGTAACCCCCAAGTCAATATTTGTGCCACTTTCCCAGTCATTTATGGACATGTACAGAACACCAAAATGTCGAGTCACCCCAGGTACAGGTAACTAGCTGAGAGTGAACAAGAGGATACTCTACCTTCTTGTTTCAGCTCTCATACTGTAAACAAGTGTACTTTCTGTGGTCTATTCAGTACCACGTATTTCTCATTTTTGTTCTTTTTCTTCATGTTTTCACTGGCTCCTGAGTGTAGCGCTGAAGTATTGTCTAGTGTTCCTAAGGGCGAGAAGGATGTGATGTACCCTACGAAGAACAAACGTGTTAGATAAGCTTAATTCAAGCATGAGTTATACTGCTGTTAACCATGAGTTCAACATTATTGAATCAGCAATATATACTAAATAAGGTGTCTTCGAACAGAAACAAATATAAAACAAGGTTATGTGTTTATTAACAAAAATGCTGTGACCAGAGGCTCACAAAAACTTAACTCCATATTTTCCCTAGGAGCAATGGTTTAATATTTACTAATTCAGTGTTTGCTGCAACTTTGTAGAACAGAACTACTGGGAATAATGAGAACTGACTACATGTGTATAAATAGAGGGAGGTCAAAAACTAATTTGAAGCCCATAATATCTGTACTACATCAAGCACATTTACCTGTTTTGTATGAGTTTACATTTCGTTCTAAAATTTCTGAGTTCCCTCTTGGGTTCTTTCAACATTCATAACCCCCACCCTCTTCCTCAGCCTTCAAATAAACAAAGGTACTTTTACCTGAAAGCTATAAAATAATGCGAGATCCTAATGGGAAAATATTACTGCACTGTCACCTGAAAGCTTATGCATTTTTAGGACTACATGAAAGAGTAAACAGAAAGGTTTACTCTTATCTGTATTTTTCTGCTTTCCAAATTTGAGATTATTGCTCACTATTGAACTATGAAACACATGATTTAATCTTTCAAGAAGCTACAGTATTATGAAAGACATTTTAAAAATTCTGTATGTCAAGAGAAAAAAAAAATCAGAAAATACCCCTTAAAATAGATGATAATTTAGTTTCAGGATAAATAGGAATTAAGCAAATAAAAAAGAAAAAGAAAAGGAGGGGAATTCTAAGAAAAAGGGAAGGTACATTTGAGCTGAAGGTAGTTGGCATGACTCTGATACAGGTGCAAGAGAGGGCATGACAGAGGGCATGGTGGAGATGCAAGCAGAGCTCACTGTATTTAGGGACTTAATGATTAAACAAGAAGCTTGGCCTTCCTATAGTAAGCACATAAAGTGGGGCCATTACACCTTCTTATTTACTTCTTTGCTCATTTATTTACTTATTTTAGAATGATCTCTCTAGCCACATTGTGAAAGATGGATGAAGCAAATTGAATTTAAAAAACAGTGATGTCAGGAAGAACCCTCAGGAGGCTATTTTAATATTTTTATTGCAAAATGATGAACATCTTTGCCAAAGCAGTAATAATGTAAAGGAAGAGGTGCATACAAATTACAAGGGCATGTAGGCCTTAGGATTTAAAATGCGAATCACTAATCAAATATGGGAGATAACTAGAATCTAGAATGGCTCACCAATTTTTATTTATTTACTTTAGTTCTCTCCCTTCAGATTTCTAAGTTCCACGAACAAACATTTTTTAAGAAAATATTACATGAAAGTACTGAATAGAAACTGGGACTAAGACAACGACTTAGACATTATCCCTGACTTTCAGAAGACAGCAGAGAGAGAAAAGCTAAGCCAGTAAGTGATGTGTACTAAGTTATCACACAAGTGAACTGAGGGTCTTCGTCTGTCATGGGTATAATTTAGATGATTGCCGTGGTATGTTGTAAATGTAACATACTAGAATTCCGCAACTCCTTGCAACCCGACGAAGACACGCAGTTATTGCCAGATCCCAATTTGGTGGTTACTATGGCCTTGAAAATGTATTAAGCTATAAAATAATGTGAGATCCTAATGGGAAGATATTACTGCACTGTCACCTGAAAGCTTAATCATTTTTAGGACTACAGAATGTGTGAAAGAGCTTCTTGTTTTCAGATTGAGGTAGATAGAGCTCAGTTCCTAGGTTATGAGTTATCCTACATCAGCTCAGTGACTGATGGGAAGCTCAAAGTTGTTTTAGGTCAAGTTCCATGGAAACAGAATCTAAACTGAGATTTATGTACAGGAAGCTCATGGGAGGGTGTATTCAGGAACAACAACTCCAAGGGATTGGGACAAGCAGGACTGATCGGTCAAAGGGATAATTTAAATAGCAATGTAATTAAAGTGGAGGTCTCCTCCCACTCTCAGTGTGCGGGGGTAATCTCTGGAGCGAGGGTGGCTCTTTAGACTCAAACTTTGTCAAGGAGTCTGGCCTTTGTCTTATGGCATCCCAGAGTTATTCAAAGCCCCTAAACAGGGCTTGTAAATTTAATTGAGGCAGCACCCTTGGGGGGGAAGGTCTGGAAGGGGACACACCTGGGAGCCACCAGAAATCAACTTTCTCAACAGCTGTAGTATTGTATGCCTGGATTCTGAAGAAAAGATCTGGATGGGACGACAAAGAATCTACTGCAAAAGGCAAAGCCAGTTCAGCCTAATAACAAAATATCCAGTAGCACTCTCATTTCAATTTATCTTTCCTTGATACCTGGACATAAATTCACCCTATGTCCACTGCACCTTTGTAATTATTTCTTTCTTCTAGGTGTGAAGGTATGTCTGTTCACTTATTAATTTGTCCTCAATCAAATGTTTCTTCTTTTCTATGCTCCTTTGCCTCTTTTCCAGCAATCTTTTGTTTCTCTCCATTTTTTGCCCAAAGCCAACTTCTCCCCTTATTAGCAGGAATGCATCTTTAATCCATCTTTCTTTTAAAAGACTGACAATGACTTTACCTAAAAGCTAATGTTTCATTCAATTATTAAAATATAGAGGTACTCCCCTGGGCAGCCTTGAAGTTATACACAGCCTCCCCTGAAGTTCAGTAACTCCATAGCAGTAGGAACTACATCTTGCTCAATTTTTGTCTATTATAGCTCTATTGTCTAGTAGAGTAATGGGCACAAAATTAATTGGAATAAAGATCAATTAACTGTTTCCCTCTCATCTTTTGATAATGGAAATCAAGCGTTTTAGGTGAGTATGTGAACACCCTTCTGCCGATATTTTTACTGTTGTTGTATAATTGCATCATGTGTGCCCATGAGACTAAATCTGTATCAGTACTAGGTAAGTGTAAGTAACTATGTGTACAACTTATGGGCATTGTAGACTCCTTACTTCTCTCTGCTAGCTGGATAATGGTAATGACTTACAGTATAATCAAAAACCTCTCAACCAGTCTTGGATTGCTCACTTCTAAACTATTATAGTAGAGACAAAAATGCTTTTCTTATTTAAAAAAAAAAACTATTTTTTTTTCAGGGGGTGGATGGATATTTATCTTGGATCTCAAATTGTTAACCATTTCCTGAAAATAAAATATGATTCCTGGAAGTAGGTTGCTATTATGAAAACAGTGATTATGTGTAACATGGGTAAAGTTGCATATGGAAACTTCACAAATATTGTGAGTCGGGAAACTGGAGAACATAATTATGCTGTGGCAAAATGTTTGGTAAAACTGTTGTTGACCTAGTGTGGAAGGCAGATCGTGTCCTCCTGAGATTCTAGCTCTGAGGAAGTTAGTTGACAAAATTCAGAATGATTCTGCATGCTGGCTGCTCCTCGTATGTTTAGTAAGTGGCTACAGAAAGGAAACTGACACAAAAACTGGCTGGGTTTGACATGGTTATGGATTTCAGAAGAGTGCCGGTAAGGGAGGATTGTTTGTGTCTAGGAAGTTAAAGTGATGGAATATCTAGACATTTTGAACCTTTCAAAGTTAAAAAGTCTAATGCTGTCTGTGTTTCAAACAGCAAGAGATAAGATGATTGCTTAAAGTTACCCAGATGTAAAGTCAGATCAAGAACATCCATTCTCTTTCTATTGTTTTAATTGGCTTCATGAGGAGAAATATTGCTGTTTTAATGATTTTGAACTGTTGAGATGTTTAGATGTGCCCCCTTTTACTTGTACTGACTGGAAGCAAAGAGTAAGAAAGAAGATATCCTACCACGTAGGCAATAGATTGCCTGGTTTTGAAGAGCCAAATTCAGATATGATAAAGAAGATTGCACATCACAAAATCCTGGATTGGGGGCTGGATGCAGTAACTGCATGGATGCTTACATGGCCAGAGTGGTGAACTGAGGGTTATTCTAACTGCTCCTAGTTTATAGTTTTCCATGCTTTCTTTTAGAAACAGATACTTTGATATTTAGCTAAACTCATTATCATCCAACAACATAAGTGTCTCCTTGTCGCTTCTATAGCTAGTTGTCACCATGTGACCAATTTTAACCAATGGTATAGGAGAAGAATTTATGCATTAAATTATTAGGTCATTTCATAAAAGATACTTTTGCTGGCCTTTCTCTCCTTTGTTGGCTATGAAATGGCAACAAATGTAACTACTGTGAAGTCTTATGTTTTACCTGGCAGAACTTCCCTGCCAGCCCTGGACCACTGAACCATGACATGGATGTCTCCGGATGTTGGGTTAAGAATAGACTCTAAGTTGGCAAGGATGGAAATGAGGTAATTGGGAGGCTATTCCAGGAATTTGAGTAAGAGTTTGAGACAATGGGTTGGGCAAGAGTGGTAACAGTAGACATAACGAGATTCTGAATACATTTTGACTTTAGGGTTAACAGGATTTCCTGACATATTGGAAACAGAGTTTCAGAATCATAATGTTAAGGGTGTTTTCTAAGATTTTAGTATGAGGAACTGGAATGAAATATATAAGATGTGGAATACTGCAGGTAGACATCTTTTGGAATGAAAGATCAGGAGTTCATGTTTGTCCATGGAAAGTTGGAAATGTTATTCACTATCTAAGTTGAGACTTTGAAAGGACAGTTGACAATGTGCATCTGAAGTAGAGAGAGTAGTTTGGACTGGGCATATACATTTAAGAATTTTCAGCAGTTATTTAAAAATTATTTCCCCAGCTTTATTATAAAATGTTTCAATTGAAAAACATTTCCAATATAAAAAGCTTATTAGAAACATTAGGATAGTTCATCCCTAAGTGCTTCAAACAGGGTATTCCACCACATTAATTATAATATCAGTGTCATGTCTAAGAAAAGTATTTTCTCAATAGTATTTAATACCATAAATAATATTTATGATATTATCCAATAAAACTTTAGTAAGACCATCTTGTCTTCTCCAATTATCTCAAATTTATTAACATAAAATAATAACGTATTTTATTACCTTTTCTTTCTTCAAATCACAATATAGTCAAGGTTCAAATATTGCACTCGGTTATTACATATCTTATAATCAGAAAGAATTCCTTCACATCTTTTTGTCATGAAATAGACTCTTCTAAATGACAAGATTAGTATTTTTGTTGAGTATTTCACATTTCAGATATGTCTAATTGTTTCTGCATCATGTAATAATATTTTTGTAGTACCTTTATTTTTAGTAAACTCAAAATTAGGTCTAATGCCTTAAATATGTTTGGCTTAAACACATTTGTCAAGACTACTAGTTGTGCTAAATTTGGTCACACCTCTAAGGGGATTATGTGAACCTATATTTCCATTGTAAAGATACACATACACACTTACACACACACACACACACTCCAGAGGTTTATAAATGTGTATGCATTGTGTGGAAAGAGGGATGATTTTTTGCATTGTGCATTTTGGATTCTTTCTCCAGAAACTTTTTGTTCCTAATAGTTGTAGCAATTGATGATCCTTGCCTCAATCAATTACTTTACAACTGCAAATTGTGATTTTTTTCAAATTGTAACATTACGTATAATATATATGATATGGTTTGGATCTGTGTCCCCCCAGATCTCATGTTGTATTGTAATCCCCAGTGTTGGAGGTGGGGCTTGCTGGTAGGTGATTTGATCATGGGGGTGGATTTCTCATGAATGGTTTAGTGCCATTCCTGCTTGGTGCTGTTCTCGTGATAGTGAGTGAGTTTTCATGCGATGGGGTTGTTTAAAAGTGTGCAGCACCTGCCTCTTCACTCTCTCTTGCTCCTTCTCTGGCCATGTGAAGTGCTGCTCCCCTTTTGTCTTCCACCATAATTGGAAGCTTCCTGAGGCCTCCCCAGAAGTAAATGCTGCTATGCTTCTTGTACAACCTGCAGAACCATGAGCCAATGAAGCCTCTTTTCTTTATAAGTTACTCAGTCTCAGGTATTTCTTTTTCTTTTCTTTTTTTTTTTTTTGAGATGGAGTCTCACTCTGTCGCCCAGGCTGGAGTGCAGTAGCGCGATCTCGGCTCACTGCAAGCTCTGCCTCCTGGGTTCACACTGTTCTCCTGCCTCAGCCTCCTGAGTAGCTGGGACTACAGGAGCCCGCCACCACGCCCGGCTAATTTTTTGTACCTTTTTTCAGTAGAGATGGAGCTTCACCATGTTAGCCAGGATGGTCTCAATCTCCTGACCTTGTGATCTGCCCGCCTCAGTCTCCCGAAGTGTGTCTCAGGTATTTCTTTAGAGCAGTGCAGGAATAGACTAATACAATATATTTGCTGGCATTCTTCTATAAAGAGATTTTCTTCATCAAACAAGAAACTCATTTCTGTATATAAAGAGCAGGTAGATAATTTTACTTTAATTATCAAATTTTCAGAGTAAATCCTTGGTGAAATAGTCTACTTTAATGATGGTAAATTTTTTTTTTCCTTCTCATCTTTTAAGTATCTCTATTCATTCTTGGATTTTTGTTTACTCAATATTTTACAATCAATTAGAGTCTGTAATTTTTTTTTTTTTTTTTTTTTTGAGACGGAGTTACCCTCTGTCACCCAGGCTGGAGTGCAGTGGCACGATCTTGGCTCACTGCAACCTCTGCCTCCTGGAATCAAGCAATTCTCCTGCCTCATCCTCCTAATTAGCTGGGATTACAGATGTGTGCCACCACGTCTGGCCAATTTTTGTATTTTTAGTAGAGACAGGGTTTCACCATGTGGGCCAGGCTGGTCTCAAACTCCTGACCTCAGATGATCTGCTTGTTTCAGCCTCCCAAAGTGCTGGGATTACAGATCTGAGCCACTGTGCCTGGCTGAGTCCATAAGTTTTTGATTTTCAACTCTCAAAATGTTCACAAAAGAAACCCATTCAAGCTGGCTTCTGTGTCCCCTTGATACATTGCAATTAGTCTTGGATATTCCTTTTCTTTCTGGCAAAATAAGATGTCCCAGTATCACCTGAATGTTGCCAGAGCAGACATAAGGTCTTCGATAATTTTTGGTTCCTTTGCACAGAGAATGGTGTTTAGAAACCAAGGTCTGTCTATAGATGTGCTTGTTGCTATTGATGCCTTTGTTTCCAGATTCCTCTGGTGGATAAAACAAAATATATTTTAAAACATAATGAGTTCCAAATAGATATTTCCAATTTCAATTATTCGGTATTACAAAACTTTTCATAACTGATAGAAGCCTGTTACTGAGTTTTCATAAAGCTATTCAAAACCTACATTGCCCTTAGAAAATAGAGATTTCCACTAAGTGACACATATCCCTTAACTCTTCCATGCCTAATTCCTCATGGCTCTCTTATATGGGGGAGGTTAGTGAAAGGAAGAGGGAGAGAGTCTAAAACATATCATAATATATTGAGACGTTGCTAGCTCAATGATTTTTTTTTCAGAAAGAGTTTCTGCAAGAAAAATGGGATAGAAGCAGGTCGAAAAATAAGGCCAATAATTATATTTTTTGGCCGCTGTAATTTTGGAAATTAACATAATAAACCTTATATAAATACACATGGTATAGATGAATATTCTTCTGAAAGCTTTCAAGTGTCTGTATCTACTAATCATAATCTGGCTTCCTTCTTTTGCATTTCCAACAAAATTTTCTTTCAGCCAATAGAATGTCACTATATATCTTCAAATTTCTGTATCTAGTAGACTCTTTTAAGTCCTTATCTTACTTGATGGCTTTGTGATATGCAACCCAAAGTTATGCTGCTATGCTTTTTGGTTGTCTGTGACACGGCCTTTTTTCTCTGGACTTCTTTCTACTCTTTAGGCCGCTTTTTTTTCTTACCTTCCTGTATGTTCCCCTGTCTTTCTGCCATTCCTTTAAAACCATGATAACCAACATTCATCCACTGGCCTTTTATCCTCAGTATATGAGGTCTCATTTTACCAATGCACTTTTATTTCTTACTTACTATTCACTGGACCTGGTGTAAAAGTTTTAATTTATTGCTTGCTTTCCTAATGAAAACAAATTAAAAAACAGAAGCAAAACTCTCTGGCAATTCAAAAATCTTCTTTTGGTCTGTGGACAGTTTGCTTTGTAGTGGATACGGGTGGCTATAACAGAGGCAAGTGAAAATATTTAACACCTTTAATGTAAATGAAAGGCTTTTTTGTGTTCAATAGAACAAAAACTTATAATAATTTCAATTAAGAGTTAGACACTTTAAATGTGGTGAAGTCATCTTTGCTGGACTTATTTTGTGGACAAAGACATTGGGATTCATATCTGATTTTCCAAATAAAATTAGAACTTGAAGCTGATTTTTAAGTTATCCTTTTGGAACAATTGTCCTTTAAATGCATTTGGAATAAATGCAGATAGGAGACAGAGACAGAAGTGACACTTGGAATGAATTCCCATACATTACATGAATAATGATAATTGTGGCTCTATATTTTCATGATGAGATAAATTTAATCGACAAATGGGCTGCCATGGAAATGACTTTCAAATGCACCTCTCATTTGTTCAAGGTTAAAACTATGATTTGATTGCAACTGCAATTTATTATTTCTTCTCTGATACTATTTTATTTATTCTTTATGATCCACACTAAAAATTACATAGTTTTACATTATTGTAAAATATGGAAGGCTTTTTGGTACTTCACCTAATTATGTAAAACAAAAACAATTTACTCAGCAGCAAGAATAACTTAGGCTGATTTTAATGAGCTTTAGGTAATTATGAAATATAACTTAAGATATATTCCAACTGATTGAGGTTCAAAAGCTCCGAATATAAAGGGACTTGCTTAAATTTATATCTCCTAATATTTCTAGTATTCAGTGAATAGATTTATTTCATTGATTTGTGTTAGTATTCAATTTATTCTCTTGCCATATATGCAACAGAGAACATTATTAGATCAATGCAAAGTATTTGCCAAGATGAACAAAACCATTCTTTATTCTCTCAGATTTATTATTCTAATCCAGTGGAGGTTTGTTTAGCCCAGAAAAGAGAAAAATAATGCCATATCCAAAGAAGCAAAATAAGAGATTAAAAAGTCAATATTTATACCAAAATTTCAAAGATGATTAGAATTTAAAATTGAAAAAGACTGGAATGTCACAGAGAAAAAAGTTACTTTAGTGGTTTTAATATATGTGAAAATACCCACATATACACTCTGATCTAGAACATACTTATGTATTATACATGAGCTCATTTGTTTAACAGCATTTGCTAAATGTCCTAAATATCTATACTATCTCATTTTGAGGTTGACTCTGAGTTTATAGAATTTCTAAATCTGTAAAGATGTCTAAAATATGTAGCTATTGTGGAAATGTTTACTTCAGTACTATATAAAAGAAAACTGATGCTAGTCACATATGTAATTTTTATTTTATTTATGTTTAATTTTTGTAGGTATATACTTATGGGGCATATGAGATCTTTTGATAAAGTCATATGCATAATAATCACATCAGTGTAAATGTGATATCCATCACTTTTATTCTTTCTTTGTGTTACAAACAATCGAATTATACTCTAAGTTATTTTTAACTGTTTAATAAATTATTGTTGATTGTAGTCATTCTGTTGTACTATGAAATACCAGATCTTAATCATTCTAATTGTATTTTTGTATTGATTAAGCATCCCCATTCCCCACCCCACTCACTACCCTTCTCAGACTCTGTTAACCGTCCTTTTACTCTCTGTCTCCATAAGTTCAATTATATCCAAGTTTAGCTCCCACAACTAAGTGAGAACAAGTGAAATTTGTCTCTCTGTGCCTGAATTATTTCACTTAACATAACGACCTCAAGTTCCAACCACCTTGTGGCAAATAACAGGATTTCCTTTTTTTTATAGCTGAATAGTACTTCATGGTGTATTTGTATCACATTTTCTTTATCAGTTCATCTATTGATTGACACTCAGCTTGATTTCAAATATTGGTTGTTGTGAATAGTGCTGCAATAAACATGGGAGTTCAGATTTCTCGTTGATATACTGATTTGCTTTCTTTTGGGTAAATACATAGCAATGGGATTGCTGGATCATACGGTAATTATATTTTTAGATTTTGAGAAACCTCCAAACTCTTATCCATAGTGGCTGTATTAATTTACATTCCTGCCAACAGTGTAGGAAGGTTCCCTTTTCTGCACATCCTCACCAGCATTTGTGATTGGCTGTCTTTGGATAAAAACCATTTGAACTGGGTGAGATGATATCTCATTGTAGTTTTGATTTGTATTTCTCTGATGATCAATGATGCCGAGCACATTTTCATATATCTGTTTGCCATTTGTATGTCTTCTTTTGAGAATGGTCTATTCATATCTTTTGCCCATTGTTATTGAATTATTAGATTTTTTTTCTACTAGAGTTGTGTGAGTTCCTTATATATTTTGGTTATTAATACGCTGTCAGATGGGTAGTTTGCAAATATCTTCTCAAATTCTGTGGATTCTCTCTTCTCTTTGCTGATTGTATCCTGTGCTGTGCAGAAGATTTTTAAATTGATGTGATCCCATTTGTCCACTCTTGCTTTGGTTACCTGTGCTTGTGGGGTATTACTCAAGAAATCTTTACCCAGTCCAATGTCCTGGAGAATTTCTCCAACGTATTCTTGCAGTATTTTCATAGTTTGAGGCTCAGATTTAAGTCTTTAATCTATCTTGATTTAATTTTTGTATTTGGCAAGAGAGAGGGTCTCGTTTCATTCTTCTAATTAGGGATATCCAGTTTCCCCAGCACTATTTACTGAAGAGACCATCTTTTCCCCAGTGTATGTTCTTGGCACCCATGTTGAGAGTGAGTTGACTTGCAGATGTGTAGATTCATTTATGGATTCTCTATTCTGTTCCCTTGTTCTCTCTGTTCTGTTTGTATGCCAGTATCACACTGTTTGGGCTACTAAAGCTTTGTAGTATAATTTGAAGTCAGGTAATGTGATTCCTGCAAGTTTGCTCTTTGCCCATGATAGCTTTGGCTTTTCTGGGTCTTTTATGGTCCCATATAATTTTAAGAATTGTTTTTTCTATTTCTGTGAAGACCGTTATTGGTATTTTCATGAGGATTGAAATAAATCTGTAGATTGCTTTGGGCAATATGGACATTTTAACAATATTGATTCTTCCAATCCACGAACAGGGAATATCATTTCATTTTTTTCTGTCCTCTTCAATTTCTTACATTGAAACATCAATGTTTTACAATTTTCATTGTAGAGATCTTTCACTTTTTTTGTTAAATTAATTCCTAGGTGTTTCATTTTATTGTAGTTATTGTACACAGGATCACTTTCTTGATTTCTTTTTCAGATTATTTGCCGTTGGCATATAGAAATGCTACCGACTTGTGTATGTTGATTTTGTATTCTGCAACTTTACTGAATATGTTTATCAGTTCTAATAGTTTTTTTTTTTTGGTGAAGTCCTTAGGATTTTCCATATCTAAGATCATACCTCTGCAAACAAGGATAATTTGACTTTTTCTTTTCCAGTTTGGATGCCCTTTATTTTTTTCTTTTGTCTGATTGCTCTAGTTAGTCCTTCTAGTACTATGTTGAATAGCTGTGGTGAAAGTGGATATCCTTGTCCTGTTCCAGATCTTAGAGGAAAGGCTTTCTGTTTTTCCCCCTTCAGTATGATACTAGCTGTGAGTCTGTCATATGTGTGTTTTATTTTGTTGAAGTGTGTCCCTTCTATACTCAATTTTTTTAAAGCTTTGTATCACTAAGGAATGTTGAATTGTATCAAATTTTTTTTAGCATCAGTTGAAATGATTGTGTGGTTTTTCATTCTGTTGACATGATGTATCACATCAATTGATTTGCATATGTTGAACCATTCTTTCATCCCTGGGATAAATCCCACTTGGTCATGATGAATTATCTTTTTAATGTGTTGTTGAATTCAGCTTGCTAGTATTTTGTTGAGGATTTTGCATCAGTTTTTATTATGGATTTTGACCCACAATTTTCTTTTTCTTTTGTGTCTGTCTTGTTTCAGTATCTGTGTAATTCTGGCTTAAAAGAATGAGTTTAGAAGTATTCCTTCCTCCTCTATTTTTCAGAATAGTTTCAGTAGGATTGGTATTAATTCTTTAAAAAATGTTTAGTAAAATTCAGCAGTGAAGCCATTGGGTCCCAGCCTTTTTTTTGTTTTGTTTTGTTTTTATGGGAGGCTTTTTATTATGGTTCGGTTCACTGCAACCTCCATCTCCCAGGCTCAAGACATCCTTCCACCTCAGCCTCTAGAGTAGCTAGGACTACAGGCACATGGCTGATTTTTGTATTTTTGTAGAGATGAGGTTTCACTATGTTGCCTAGGCTAGTCTTGAACTCCTGAGCTCAAGTGATCCACTGGCCTTGGCCTCCCAAAGTGCTGGGATTACAGACATGAGCCACCATGCCCAGCTTTTAAGTTTTCTTCTTAATTTCTTCATTGACCCACTGGTCATTCAGGAGCATTTTGTTTAATTTCCATGTATTTTTATAGTTTCCACCATTCCTCTTGTTATTGATTTCTAGTTTCATTCCATTGTGGTCAGGGAAGTTACTTGATACAATATCAAAATTTTTTTTAATTTTTAAAGACTATTTTGTGGCCCAAAATATGGTCTATCCTTGAGAATAATTATCGTGCTGAGAAGAGGAATGTATATTCTGCAGCCATGGAATGAAATGTTTTGTAAATATCTATTAGGGTCAGTTGGTTTATAGTGCAGATAAAGTCTGATGTCTCTTTGTTGATTTTCTGTCTAGATGATCTGTCCAATGCTGAAAGTGGGGTGTTAAAGTCTTTAGCTATTATTGTATTGGGGTCTATCTCTCTCTTTAGCTTTAATAATAGTTGCTTTATATATCTGGGTGCTCCAGTGTTGGGTTCATATATATTTACAACTATCATATTCTCTTGCTGAATTGACCACTTTATCATTATATACTATGACTTTCTTTGTCTCTTTTATAGTTTTTGCTTCGAAATCTCATTTCTCTGATGTAAGAATAACAACTGCTACTCTTTTTTGTTTCCATTGACATGGAATATCTTTATATATCCATTTATTTTCAGTCTCTGTGTGTCTTTATAGGTGGGTTGTGTTTTTTTTTGTTGGCGATAGATCATTGGGTCTTTTTTTTAAATCCACTCAGCTACTCTAGGTCTTTTGATTAGAAAGTTTAGTCCCTTTACATTCAGTTTTATTATTGATAAGTAAGGACTTATGCCTGCCATTTTGTTATTTGTTTTCTGGTTGTTTTTCAGTTTTCTCTTCTTTCTTTCATTTTTCCTGTCTTCCTTTTAGTGAAGGTAATTTTCTCTGGTGGTATGTTTTAATTTCTTTCTTTTAATTTTTTCTGCGTCTGTTCTATGTTTTTTGATTTGAGGCTACCATGAGGCTTACAAATAATATCTTATTACCCATTGTTTTAACCTGATGACAATTTAACACTGATTGCGTAAATAAACAACTAACAGACAGGCAAATGGAAAACTAATAAAAACTGTACACTTTAACAACTTTTCTCTACTTTTTAACTTTTGTTATTTCTATTTTCTTTTGTACGATCTGAGTCTTGAAAAGTTGTTGTACTTATTAATTTTGATTGGCTCATTTGTTAATCTTTCCACTCAAGATATAAGTAGTCTATACATCACAATCATGGTGTTATAATATTCTGTTATTCTGTGTACCTGCTTTTACCAGTGAGTTTTGTACCTTTGGAAGATTTCTGAAGCCATTTCTTGTAAGACAGGTCTGATGTTGGTAAAATACCTCACCTTTTTTTTTTTTTTTTTTTTTTTTTACTGCTTTTAGGATTCTTTATTTATCCTTGACTTTTGAGAGTTTGGTTATTCAATGTCTTGTAGTCTTATTTGGGTTAAATCTCCCTGGTGTTCTATAACCCTCTTCTACTTGAATGTTAACATAGTTCTCTAGGCTGGTGAAATTCTCTGTTATTAACTGAACAAACTTTCTAACCCAATCACTCTCTCTACTTCCTCTTCAAGGCCAATAATTCTCAGATTTGCCCTTTTGAGGCTATTTTCCAGATGTTGTAGGCATGCTTTAGTTTTTTTCTTTCTTTCTTCTTTTGTCTCTTCTGTGTATTTTCAAACAGCCTGTCTTTAAGCTCAGTAATTCCTTCTTCTGCTTGATCAATTCTGCTGCTAGGAGACTCTGATGCATTGTTCAGTAGGTCAACTGCATTTTTCAGCTCCAGAATTTCTGCCTGATTCTTTAAAATTAATTGAATCTCTGTTAAATTTGTTTAATAGGATTCTGAGTTCTTTCTCTGTGTTATCTTGATTTTTTTGATTCTTCAAAACTGCTATTTTGAATTCTCCATCTGAAAGGTTTATAGGTCTCTGTCTCTCCTGGATAGATCACTGGTACCTTACTTACTTTGTTTGGTGAGGTCATATTTTCCTGGACATTCTTGATGCTTATAGATGTTCACTGGTGTCTGGGCATTGAAGAGTTTTGTATTTACTTTAGTCATCACAGTCTGGGCTTGTTTGTAGTGTCATTTTTGGGAAGGCTTTCCAGGTATTCAAAGGGACTTCAGTGTTGTGATCCAAGTTTTCAGTCACAGCAGCTGCATCTGCATTAGCGAACACTGCAAGCCCAATAATGATGTGGCTGTTGAAGACTTGTAGAGGTATCACCTTGTTGAACTTGGGTAAAATCTGGAATAATTCTCTGGATTACCAGGCAGAGACTTTTGTACTCTTTCCTTACTTTCTCCAAAACAGACTCCTTGTCTCTATACTGAGCTACCTGGTGCTGGGTGAAGGGGGACACAAACACCCCTGTTGCCACCACCACTAGGTCAGACCTGAAGGCCACACAGCACTGGGTCTTGCTCATGGCCCCTGGTAACCACTGCCTGGCTACCACCTATGTTTGTTCAAGACCCTAGGATTCTACAATCAGCAGATGATGAATCTAGCCAGGCTTCAGTCCTTTTCTTCGTGGCTTCGAGGTCCCCCTGTTCTTGGTCAAGTCTGGAAATGGTGTCTTAGAACCAGAGCCTGGAATTGGAACCCTTAAGAATCTACCTGGTTCTCTATTACAATATGGCTGAGCTGGTACCAAAACCACAAATCATAGTTCTTCCCACTCTTGTCTCCTTTTTCCACAGGCAGAGGAATCTTTCCCCATGGCCACCATCATGTCATGCCCACAACGAGTACTGCCTGGCTACAACTAATGTTCATTCAGTGACCAAGAGCTGTTTAGTTAACCTGTGGTGACTGCTGCTAGGCTTCAGACACTGCCTTTAGGATAGTGGACTCCCCACTGGCCCAGGGCAGGTCCAGAAATGTTGTTCTAGAGCCAAGGCCTGAAATTGGGGACCCCAAAAGCCTGCTTAGTGCTCTACCTTACTGTGGCCAAGCTGGTATATAAGCTGATTTTTCATTCTTATGAAAGTGCTTTTTGTGAGGATAGCTGATCAATTTGGCATTTCTGCAAGGAGGACAATTGATGGAGGCTTCTAGTTGGCCATCCTGCTGCACCTCCCACATATGTCATTTTAAATATCCTAATAACCACATTAAAAAAAGCAAAAAGAATTAGTGAAACCCATTTCAACAATATATTTCATTAAACTCAATCTATCCAAAATATTACTATTTCAACATATAACTGCTATAAATTCATTACTGAGATATTTTACATTTTTTCATACTACATTTTCTAAATCCACTCTGTGTTTCACTCTTTAAACCCGTCTCAGTTAGAACTAGTCACACTTCAAGTGCTCAACAGCCACGTGTCACTACTGGCTACTGTATTAGACAGCACACATCTGTATTATTGAATTGGGTATTAGACAGCACACGTCTGTATTGTTGAATTGTGTAACTGTGGACTTGCATGTGTTTATCAAAATTAGCTATTAGAAAATCTTTGTGGCCGAGTGTGGTGGCTCACGCCTATAATCCCAGCACTTTGGGAGGCTGAGGCGAGTGGATCACAAGGTCAGGAGCTCGAGATTAGCCTGGCAAACATGGTGAAACCCCGTCTATACTAAAAATACAAAAATTAGCCAGGTGTGGTGGCAGGTGCCTATAATCCCAGCTACTCAGGAGGCTGAGGCAGGAGAATTGCCTGAACCCAGGAGGCGGAGGTTGCGTGAGCCGAGATCGCGCCACTGCACTCTACCCTGGGTGACAGAGCAAGGCACCATCCCCCACCATAAAAACAAAAACAAAAACAAAAACAAAAAAAACTTTGTTATTAACTTACCCTTATCCCTTCATTCAGCTTACGCTAGGTATCTGTATTCGTTTCCAATTTTTTCTTTTTCTTTTTTTTTTAACAGATCACCTCAAATTTAGTAACTTCCAACAACACAACTTTATTATCTTACAGTTTTAAAGATCAGAAATTTGAAATTGGTCAGCAGGGCTGTATTTCTCCTGAGAGCTGTAGGAGAGAATGAGTTCCTTGCCTTTTTCAGCTTCTAGAGGCTGCCTTTTTTTTTTTTCTTTTTTCAGTTTGTGGCAGCATCACTCCAATCTCTTCTCCCATGGTCATGTCTCTTTCTCTGACTCTGGCTCAAATGTCCCACTCTCGTAAAGACCTTGGTGATTATGTTGGGCCTACCTGGATAATCCCAAGACAACCTCCTCATCACAAGATCCTTAATTTAATTGTGTCTGCAAAGTCCATTTTGCCATGTAAGGAAATAAATTCATAGATTTTGTTGGTGAAGAAATGGGCATATTTAGGGAAGACAGCCTACCTACCACAGTACTCAATCTGTTCAAGGCTAGATCAAGTCTAGAAAATTGTCCAGGAACTATTTATAGAATTTTTAGTTCTAGCTCAAGGACCTAGGGTTCGGATTCAAAAAATGACAACGGTATTCATGTAGTCCTTTGCCACGAATGTGTCTAAAATAATAATAAAAAGATCTCTCATTTTGTGAAATGCAGTAACCCATAAAAACGCCTTTAGTGATTAGTCATGGACAAATGTGTCAGTTCCCAAATTGTGTTCACTTTGTGCAGCTCTGCTTATTTTTAGCTGTTTGTACACCTGGTTTCATAATTTGTCTATCTTCAGCCACTCCAATTCTAGTCTCTCTTGCTGTCTCACTTCCCTTTTCATGAGACCTCATTTGATTCTTCAAATGTGCCCTATTTTCTCCAACCCAGGACCTTTGCATATGCCTTCTTTTTTTGCCCGAAGGACTCTTTACCTACCTCTTTAACTAATAATGGTTTTAAGAAATTTTTAAAGGCATAGAACCAATTAATTTCTCACCTTGTCTTTCTCTTTCTTTCATTAAGTAATCATTAGATTGAATTGATCACTCCAGTGTGTATGTTGGGCAAGCATAAGACAGAGGCCTCTGGTTACAGAATCTTAAGAGTTGTTTTCCTTACTCCAAGCCCAGTCAGAGACAGGCAACTGTTCCTAGACTACTCTTCTACAAAACGATCAGCCATGTATGAGTTCAGACGTTATGTAGGGATCTCAATTCCAATTCTTCATTTTATATGAATATAAAGGCCTCCTCTGCTTTCGATATGTGGGCATCAGAGAAGAAGTCCCAGAGATATAAAGCCCATAGTCTCTGTTGGCAGGGTCTGCTTCTGTTTACATTGTTTTGTGTTGTGTGTTGTCCTTGAACTTCATTTCTTTTCTGTTCTGTTCTCTTTTTTCTTTCCTTGTCTTCCTTCCTTCCTACTTTCTTCCTTCCTTCCTTCCTTCCTTCCTTCCTTCCTTCCTTCCTTCCTTCCTTCTTTCTTTCTTTCTTTCTTTTCTTTCTCTTTTTCTTTCTTTCTTTTTCTTTTTTTTTTTTTGACGGAGTTTTGCTCTTGTTGCCCAGGCTGGAGTGCAATGGCACGATCTCACTTCACTGCTACCTCTGTCTCCCAGGTTCAAGCGATTCTCCTGCCTCAGCCTCCCGAGTAGCTGGCATTACAGTTGCCCTTCACCATGCCCGGCTAATTTTTTTGTATATTCAGTAGAGACGGGGTTTCACCATGTTGGCCAGGCTGGTCTCAAACTCTTAACCTCAGGTTTCCACCCACCTAGGCCTCCCAAAGTGCTGGGATTGCAGGCATGAGCCACCGAGCCCAGCCTGTCCTTGCATTTCTTATCAGCTGGGATTTCTCTTTTTTGCAAACTCAGCTACTCAGCTATAGATGTAAAAGGATGTTCGCTATATCTTATAGTACATTTCTAGATTGTTTGCTGAGCATTTCTCTGTTTTTCTTCTACATTCCAAGAACAAGAAGTCTCCAGCACTCATTTATTTTCATTTATGTTCTGTAACTTAATTCTAAAAACCACATTGTCATCTCTACATCCTAGAGAAATAAAATGAAAGTCATATATACTCTAGAGAAAAAAATAAACTGGCTTATGGACAAACAGCAACAACAACAACGACAAATAAGAAAAATAACAAAATAATGTCCATGGGAAGGCTTTATACTTCCTCTTTCTAGGTGTATTTGAGAGAGATTATACGTGATTGACATTACCATGCGTTTTGTGTTTCAGCCATAGCGCCATTCAGAGAGCAGCTGCCACTCACAAGCTGGTAGCCTCCCAGACTACAAAGTGAGGAGGATAAAAGAAATACTATTTTAACTGAGGCAGGATGCAGAGGGAATTCATGCCAATGTATAAGATTTAGTGCATACAGAGGAACCCAGGGACAGACAGGATACTGGCATGCCTGAAACTCCTGTATCCTTATCTAAAAAAATAGTGGACAGTGTGTTGTATGCATAGCACATTAAGGTTACCTAGGAATTTTCATTGTTTATTTGCAGTAGACAGTAGACATATTTCCTAACAAATACGTTCTGTAGTGCTGAGCTCCATACATACTTTGCAGCAATTTTACATATCTTTTATTGTGGGTATTCCATATTCAATGGAGTGCTCAGAAAGAGAAATTTAATACTTAGAAATCATTTCTAAAATGCACAGAGTATGACACATCAGTTAAATTCAATTTTAGAAGAACAACAGGAAATAAATATGTAATTTAACTGCATATTTGCATATTTATTTACATTTAAAACATTAGGTTACATCTTCTGGCTTTCATTTTACTCCACCCCACCTCACTACTCTCTCCCTCTCCTTTCCTCTTTCTCTGTCTCTCAGCCATGTATCCTCCAATACCAAAATCTCACAGGAGGTAAGGTGATCAAGTTGACCAGTGAGAAAATTCCAGAGAAGGTGTGCTGTAATTCAAATAGATATTAGGGGGCTGCTTAATCATCTTTTTCACTGCCTAACTTAGCCTTAATAAGTGATTTAGGTGTCAAAGGAAATTTACAGTTGTAACATAATACATTTTTATCCATTTTTATGTTGGTAATAAACATCAAATAAAAATAAATTTTAAAAATATTTTCTTAATTTCTCAATCTTTACTCCTCTAGAACTCTTTATTCATCTTGAAATTTCTGCTGCATGTATTGCTTGGCCAATATTTTATAAAGATTAGCATTTAAAACAGCATGTATGACATAATCTCAACTGCCTCAGCAGCACACTGGCACTGTGACATCTTAGTGTTGACGAAGCGTCTTTCTCCTAACAGGGCACAGCTTTACCTGCCGTGAGGGTTCTGGGCTTGGTGGTTTTCCTTTGAC
Organism: Homo sapiens; assembly: GCF_000001405.40. Taxonomy (NCBI): domain Eukaryota; kingdom Metazoa; phylum Chordata; class Mammalia; order Primates; family Hominidae; genus Homo; species Homo sapiens. The sequence goes on along the minus strand of NC_000003.12, from coordinate 192,039,758 downwards.
TCAGCAATATTCAAGGACTAGTTACCTACCACTGAAAAAGAAACACCCAGTCCACTCTCTCCAGTGCTCTTCTGTCTTGAAAAGGGCCTTTCGCCCGTGATCCCTGGTAACTAGTTGTTTACACAATAGTGGGCCTATTTAGTGAACACATCTATCATCAAAGATGAAAAAACCAGCATTAAAATGACTAGTAGAGTTGAAGACTAGTGGCTGAGATGAGCAGAGCTAGCAGAAGAGAGGTCCTAGTGTAAAAAGAAATTTAATTTTAAAGTGTGTCTTTAAATACATATGACAGCTTGACCCAATTATTGTACAAACCAAGAAAACAAATAATTGTATACATGTTTGTGAGGCAAAGTGACGGGAAATGTATTTCTTTTTCTTTTTGGTATGAAATATTTGTAAAAAATAATTGAAACATCACTGACTATTTTCAGATCAGTCTTGCTTTATTTCCATGTTTGAACTGGAAACCAAGACATCCGAGCTTGCTTTTCAGCTCTGTAATTAAATAGCTGTATGACCTTGGGCCTGTCATTCTGTCTTTTGAGCTCTTAGATTCCTAATCTATAAAACAAAGGATTGGATAAAATGGTTTCAAAAACCCCTCCAGGTCTAAAATCATTTTATGTTGTGGAATAGTAAGTTGTTCAATTGTCTAGGGCCCTAGCAAAATAAAATCTTATTTTTAAAGTATTTTCTTTTTCAAACTAATTAAAAAGAGGCAGTTTATTTAATGGCCTAAATCAGTGCTTTAAAAGCATTCATGTTCAGTTGAATCATCTGAGATTTGATGATGATGCAGATTGTGATTCAGCGAGTCTGGGGTGGGGCCTGAGAGCCTACATTTCTTTCAAGTTCCCAGGAGATGCTGACGCTGCAGGTGTAAGTAACACATTTTGATTAGCAAGGACCTAACTAACTGTGGGGATTCCCGCAGAGATATGGCCACACAGGTAGTTTCTGTGGAACATGCAGACATGATTATGATCACCCAATCAATGTTTTATTTTAAAGATAAAATTTAAATGTTTTTCTCCAGCTAACATCAAACAAAACTAAACCTTCAGAATATTTTTAATTAACTTTTTCAATACTTTATTTGCATTTAAAATTAAATAAATTTAGTTGTGCTACTTTTATACAATTTAGTGATTTTTTTTTTAATTGACTGTTTTGGTCTCCTGTCAGTAAAAATACGATGCTTTGTCTCAACTTGCATCTTCTCTCACCCCACAAAAGGACCTCAGGATGCTAAGTTCACTCTTTAGAAAGTCATCATAATGATGCAGCTGGGAATAATCACTGTATTAAAAAAAAACCTGTACATACAGGTGCTATGGGATTTATTTTCAAGTTCCATTAACATTTCTCCTTCCACTCAGTCTAATTTATGTCAGGTACTGAACCTATGAATCTCATATTAATTTTGACAGCTGGTCTCTGCCTCAAAGCCAAAGAGCTGGAAGATGTTTTATTCACTCCATTCCCTTGCCCCCCTACCTCCACCCTGCCCACACACTAGCTTCACTCTGCTATAATCAAAGTCAAAATGTAAAGACAACATGTTGTTAAGTCAGTTAATTAACATATTGCTTCTGGGATGAGTTTTTTTGTTTTCCATTTGGTAATTATGCTCTATTCTTGAAGATAAAAATCTCTTCTGCACACTAACAACTAACATGACAGAACCTTTCTTGTAATTACCGCAGTGATTCTAACTATGTTAAGTACTTCCTAGACTCAGGCTCTTGTCAGTAGGGATCTGGGTCCCTACAAATACTAAGTCTCGTTTAGTCCACCAAATAGATTCTCTTTCTAATGAAGAGCTGAGAGTTTATGCCAATTTAAGTTCTAGAATATTGTATTATCATTGTTGTTGTTGTTATTCTGATGGTGGAATAGATCCCAGAGGCTCTAATGGAGCTGGAGAGGGGAGCTGGGCTCTTGTACTAGAGAGAAGTTGTGAAACAAAAGAATCAGCTAAGAAACTTTTCTGAAATGCAGTTCTCAATTGTTATTTATTCTGTGTCAAGATATTCATGGCCTGCATTACGATGCATTAGGTCTGAGTAAGTTCTCCAAAACTCAGAATTTAACAAATATCATATGTGATTCTAATGCAGGTGTGCATGGATCATATTTTGATAATAATTTCACTTGTACCTTCAGTCTTGAAACATTGAATATGAAAACCAACATCTGAAAATATGGGTGTTTAGAGTAATAGAGATTCTTAGTTATGCAGACTACTGCAACTTATAGTCAAACTTCAAATATAAATAAATTTAATACAAGTCTGTGTTTATCATGTAGCTGGACGCATGCCTATCATTCCTTTAAAAGATGAGAATGACGCCAGCATTTTGTGTTGAGTTGAATTATTGAATGCAAAGCATAGAAAGACCCGTAAGTAAATGTTTTTGAAATTGAAGCTGTCACCTGTATTCAAAATAGATTTTTGACTCAATTTATTCTAGATACTTAAAGATCATCCTTCAGATATTGCCTACACACTCACACACACAGAGAGAAAGAGAAAGAGAGAGAGAGAGACTCTATATACCCAGTATAAGAATGTACCACAGGTATATTAAAATGACCTATTTTTTTCATCTACATTAGAATTAAAATTACTCAGAGGGAAAACATTGAGTACCTTACACAGACCAGAAAATTTGTTGGTGACTTTATGATAATTTATGAACTAGGAAAGGTAGACCGGGTACTTTTACTAGTGTCACAAATTGCAGAATATAAATTGAAAAAAACAAACAACCAAAAAGCATTTTTTGTTTTGGTAAAAAGCTTGAAACAGCTAAACTAGTTTCACCTCTTCATTGTAGACATTAGGGAAATAAGGTGTATTGATAAGTGACTTGCTAGCTGATGGAGAGCCAGAACCAGAGTTAAGCCTCTGAATTCCAGTCCATGGTTTCCTACTTCAGTGTACAATTGGTGTCTCTTGTTGTTGAACAGTAAATACATCATAGAACTATATTTGTTTCAGTGCGCATTTCTTAAATGTAACTAAAAGTTTCTAAATGTTCCTAAAAGTGCTTGGAAAGAAATGGTATAAAATGTATGGGTATTATAAACACCAAGTTCATAATGATTATTCTGATTGGGAAGGACAGTGAAATAGGCATGTGAAATGACAAGGTTGTGCGTGGCCTTCAACTCTGTTAGGAATATTTTATTTATTTATTTATTTTATTATACTTTAAGTTTTAGGGTACACGTGCACAACGTGCAGGTTAGTTACATATGTATACATGTGCCATATTGGTGTGCTGCACCCAGTAACTCGTCATTTAACATTAGGTATAGGGACATGGATCAAGCTGGAAACCATCATTCTCAGCAAACTATTGCAAGGAATATTTTATTTCTTAACAGGGGTTCCTGTGCATTTTCTAAAAAATACTGTAAGTAGTTTCTAAATAGATTTTTAAAAAGACATAGTGTTCTCTGAATCTAAAATTGGTGTGGATTTTGATCTGTACAGTTAATGGGTCAAGACTTATTGTGATTACTTTTAGACATAGTTGCTCTCCCTCCTTCCTCAATATGCATTTGCATATTGTGTAAAAGATGTCATGTACTTCCAATTATAAAAACACACACAGACTGGGCACTGTGGCTCACATCTGTAATCCCAACACTTTGGTAAGCTGAGGCAGGAAGATCACTTGAGGCCAGGAGTTGATACCACGTGGGCAACATAGCAAGACTCTGATTCTACAAAAAATAAAAGTAAATAAAATAAAATAAAATAGATAAAAATACATACCATAATATTACCCTGTAAACTTCTCTCCTATGCCATATTTCTACCAGGGATTTATAATAATTGGAATACTATTTTCACCAACCACATGTAAATTTACTCTACCATTCCAAACAGGGTTATTTACCCCAAAATATTATAGGGTAAACCATCTCTCTTCTTAAAGAGATGACAGCAGGAAATAATATGACAATTTAAATAACAATGATGAGATTATATACTAATGTATTAAATGAAGGTGCTATTAAATTTTTAAGCAAAAGAGTAGAAAATATAACAATATTGTAGTTGTTATTTTAAATCCAAGGGATAATAAAATATAAATTATTCTTTTTATTATTTTTAAATAAAATTTTATTCAACACACAAAAAATTATGAAATCAAGTACAACTGATTATTGTCCCAGTTTTGAGGAAGAAAAGAATTACATCACAGCAAAGGAAGTTCTCTATCTTCTTGGGCATTAGGGGTAGTGCCACCAATTGAAATTGGTGCCAAAATTATTTTCTGGCTATTGTAAGAATTTTAAATAAGGCCTTTTCATTGAAAATCATTCCTTCCTTCAATTATCCTATATATAAAATAAATTATGTAAAAAATCTATTTATAGATTCTGAAGTCTCAAAAGAAATTCAGAAGATATTGCATATAACCTTCATTCTGCTTCTCTTTCAGCCACCATTTCTTCTTGAATCTCTCTGGGGATGAGGATGCCTACGATGTTCTGATGCAGTGTATTCTATTATTGGGTAATGATAACTTAAAATGTTCTTCTTATATTGAGTTGAAATACTCCTCTTGTAATTTGCTCCTAGAGGTGTAATTCTGAATCGTGATAACATTAAAAAAAATCCTACCACCTTTCTTTTAAAGACTTTCCTTTTGTAGGATAAACAAAATAGTATGAGCTCCTTCCAATATTCTAATTCAATTAAATATTGGCTGAAATCATCCGCCGTTCTCTTGAAGGTGCTCCATCTGTGTTTCTAAAGTAACATGTCTAACTTGAGAGTTAAACTTATGCCCGGTCACATGAATTTTAACAAGGTTTTGTATTTCAAGCAATAAAATGGTAAATAGATAAGTCAACCTAGGATGCAAGACTCTAATCCCTCCTGCTGCTCCGTGCATCTCTGCTTGGCCTGTGCATGGAGAAGACTGTCCAGGTCTTCTTGCTTTTTGCTACTCTAACCAGATGATATGTGAGTTTTCAGTCCCATATGTAACCCCAGACCAGATCTGGTGAGTAAATGCCTGGCCTCATAGTGCTTAGGTTCATATGAGCAAATATTACCACCAACAAAAACAATAGAAATACCTGCAAATTGTTGCCAACTATGATTTAATTAAAACTTCTATTTGGGTATTTTACAGAATGTAAAACACATCACAAAATATTTTTGTAAACTTTCTATTTTGATATAATTGTAGATTTATATGTAGTTGTAATAAATAATATAGGGAGCACCTGTATACCCTTTAACTAGTTTCCACCGATGGTGATATCTTATATTACTATAGTACAATATCATAACCGGAGAATTCTCATAGAATCCATTCATCTTATTCAGATATCACTAGTTTAATTATGTGCTTGCATGTATTACCACAGTCAAAAAACAGAATACTTCCATCAGGAGGATCCCTTATGCTACTCTTTTATAGCTGCAGCCAATTCAATTCTTCCTACCACTCCTGAGCCTGGCAACTACTAACCTATTCTCCATTTCTGTAATGTCATTTCAATAATACTATATGACTAGAACCCTACAGTGTGTGTAATCTCTTGAGACTTTTTTCCCATTCATCATAAAGACCCATCCAGGTTGTTCTATGTGCCAATAGTTCTTTGTTTTTTTGTTTCCCTTTTTATTGCTGAGTAATATTCTATAGTGTGGATGTATCACACTTTGTTTAACCGTTCATCCATTGGAGGACATCTGGGTTTAGTGTTGGGCTGTAATGCACTTTTTTGTACAGGTTTTTGTGTGAATATCAATTTTCATTTCTTCAGGTTAAATGACTAAGAATGCAATCGCCAGGCCATATGACAAGTGCTTGTTTAGTTTTTAAGAACCTGCCAAACTATTTTCCAGAGTGGCTATACTGTTTGACATTCCCATCAGCAATACACATCTGATGCGGCATGTAAAGCTGTCTTCGATTCCAAGAACTCATTCCAAGAGCGTTTGACTATTAGCTTTGGTTATTATTGGCTTGTTATTCCAACCATCTCACTATTGGAATTAAAGTACCCTTCTAGGATTTTTTTTTTGCTCGTTACATCCGTGGAATGGATAGTGTGTTGTGCTGTCTAGACCCACTTCAGGGGTCAGGCTGAAACTATTGTCTACTAACAGCTCACAAATACAATAACTCTTTCTACGATTTGCTCTGGACTGAAGAGAGCTGCCTCACTGAAGATAATACCCCACCCCTTGTTGCAACCTGTTAAAAACTGCTTGCTGTGGGAGTACAATGACTTGGCCCTCCAGACTTACTCTGGGCTGGCTCAGCTCCAGAGCATTCCATGGGATCATCTGAGTTCTCTGTTACAACTTCATCACAGTTCAATTCCTCCCTATGCTCAGTTCAGCTTTCCTCACTTCTGGGAGTTGATCTTTAGCACACACCCTCAAAAGTTCTGCTGCATGTAAATTCATCTCCTTTTCTAAGGAACCCAACCAATGACAGTTGATATTAGGGTACCAGGGGTAGTACAAAGACAGATACTAAAGTGGAATTTGAGAGTTGCATCACCTACAAGTTGGTAGGAGGAGGAATGATAACCCTGGCAAGATATAGCAGTACAGTTGTCCAATGTTTCAGTGATAGAGGACTGCGGAAGTATATTATTGGATGAAAAAGCTCTTCCGGTACAATATATCAGGTAATTGAGAGGTACAGGGAAGTAGTCAATAAAAGGATTATGGGATTGGTTGGCTGTTGCTGGGAGCTATTGATGCATTGGAGAAAGATAATGGAAGGCTAAATGTGATTAATCATTAAGAAGTTAAAAATCATAGGGTGCCCATGCCACTTTATAAACTTATTTAATCAGAATAGATGAGCAAGATTTGGCAAAAAGTTTAGAGGTCTGGAAAAATACATGGACAACAGATGATAAGACATAAAACCTATAAAGATTCAGATATCTGCCACATGAGAGGAACTACTGAGTGTTCAGAGGTTCAGAGCAGCAGTTGGCAAACTGTTTCTGCAAGTGGTCAGACCCAATAGTTAAGATTTAAGGCTTTGCAGGCCAGACACTATCACAACTACTCAGCTTTGCCGTTGAAGCACAAATATAGCCATACACAATTTGCAAATGAATGGGCTGTATGAAAATACAACTTTACTCACAATAAACAGGCAGTGGGCTAAATTTGGCCTGTGACAAGTAGTTTGTTGACCCTTGGTTTTGAGGGCAAAGTAAGGGACAAATTAATCCGTTTGAAAAGTTCCACCACTAGGAAGGAAGCACAACCTCTTATAGGCCTCTTTTGGGTGAAGTTAGCATATTCCATACTTGGGAATACTGCTGTGGTCTATTTACCTTGTGAAATGGAAGGCTGTCATTTTTGAGTGAGGTTTACAGTAGGAAAAGGCTCTGTAGAAGTTCAGACTATAGTGTAAGCTCTCCCAGCAGCACAAGACGTATCTATGGTGAAAAAAACATGTCAAATGATCTTTAGAACATGCTCCAATAAGAAAATCAAAGCTAACCCAGCTAGTTAGTGGTGGAGTTGAGGTTTATGTATAGATTTGCCTGGACTGTGAGAACAGACACTTAATATTTCCTATATTCCTTAAAACAACAAGCATAGGCTTGCACAGCGTAGGAATCAAGTAAATATATATTCGACTGTGCCAATAGTTTTGTGGTTTAGGCAACTAGGGAGTATTTGTTAAGAATTGAATCCTCTTTGTGCCTGACACACATTGGCAAAAAAGAACTTTTTGTTAAACACATTTAAAGAAAGACTCAGGTGATTTTTTTTTTAATTTGGAAATACACAGCTTCAGGATTAAAAGGATTCTAGTTTATGGGAAGAAGCTTCATTGGGAGTCACAGTTAACTTTAGGTTCAGAAATTATTAGTAAGAGTTTTCTTTTTACAGAGTCCACAGATGCATGGAGGTCTAACAACATATTCCTTGCCACAAGCAAAGAACTGATTCTTTGTTTTTCTCCTTCCTTATTAACAGAAGGATTATGCTGTGTTTTTAGTCTGGTTTATAAAAAGAAAGCCATAAGGCTTTGCTCCCAAGTAAGATCACATTTGTAAGAAGATCCTTATTAATATTTGGAGAGTGTTAAATATTCCTTAATGAGAAGCAAGACTGGGCAGACTTATTAAGATAGCTGCTGCTTCCAAGCCCAGAGTACAGATCGAGAGGCAGAGCAAACTCTTGTTTCTGTTCCTTCTGGGATACCAGGAGTGTTCTAGCTGCCACTGGGGTAGAATTTGTATCAGAGTGGTCACAGAGCCTGCTGAATGAAGCTGAAGGAGGAAAAGATGTGTATTGATAATGCAAATATAACAGGAATAGCTCTTTTTAAGGCAGATATGTCTGCGGGCAGCAGATGACAGTCAAATTTTATTACATTCAGAGTTTATATAACACATGGGTTGTAACCTTTGGCCTTGGGTTCCTGGGTGGAAAAAGATGAGACAGTTAATATCTGTTGAGAGCATATTGTGTGCCAGGCACTGTGACCATAAACGTAATTATCATGCTTTATTTGCTGGTTGAGAAAACATAATTATCGTGCTTTATTTACTGGTTAAGAAAAAAAAAATTAAAGGCAATACTTTCCTCCTTTTAATACCAGCTAGTTAATTTAGTTTATTCATTCCCTTCTCTTCACTACTAGCAGGAGGTCAGTTATAGGTCACAAGTGTATGACAGTATTTTCCAGGTTTCTCTTAATAGATCAGATTTTATCTCATGTTCCCTGTGATTGTAATAAAATTTGACAATGTACTGAATATTTTATATTTGGACTAAAAATTGCATTGCCTGGATTTTCTCTTGCTGTTGGAAATGTCAAAAAATTCAGAAACTTGCTCATGTACTTTTGGATGGAATGCATTGTAGGAAGACACTGAAAAGTTTGCTGGAGTGTCTGATTAGTCCTTATTTCCAGTGGTCCATATAGTTCTAATTCAATGTGGGCCAATGTGGTCTTTAATTATGGGCCACACAGTTTCTGTACAAAGTAGCACTCAGTTTTTTCATTAAAATTTTTTTTAAATTTTAATTGTAGTGAAATATTAAGTATTTTAAATATAACAGTAAAGCTTTGAAGGCATTAATTTAATGAACAGGAGAGTACTTGGAACTATACACATCTACTGAGTCATGGCAAGGCCCATGGTAAAACAAATGGAGAGGTCAATCTAAAACTAGAGAGCAGCCGAGCTGAGGGTTCAGTGTGCATAACCTGTGCCACTAGTCTGGGTAACAGTGGGGTAGCATGGCGCCTGAAAACAGGCCAAGGCTCAGGGTCACTTCTCCAGAGGTATGTAAAGTAGAAAGAGTACCTTTTTTTTTTTTTTTTTTGAGACAGAGTCTCACTCTGTCGCCCAGGCTGGAGTGCAGTGGCGTGATCTCCGCTCACTGCAAACTCCGCCTCCTGGATTCCTGCCATTCTCCTGCCTCAGCCTCCCGAGTAGCTGGAACTACAGGTGCACGCCACCATGCCTGGCTAATTTTTTGTGTTTTTAGTAGAGACGGGGTTTCACCGTGTTAGCCAGGATGGTCTCGATCTCCTGACCTCGTGATCCGCCTGTCTTGGCCTCCCAAAGTGCTAGGATTACAGGCGTGAGCCACCGCGCCCGGCCAGAAGAGTACCTTTTTTAACAATAAGTAAAGGTGAATATATTAAAGATTCAGATTAAATAAATATACACTCAAGTCATACCTTGTTGTAGTATTATGCCTGGTGTTGGTCTGGACACACACACACACATATGCACACACACATGCACTCTCTCTCTCTCAATATATCCTCATATCAGCAAAGTGAAATGGACAGAGGTGATCCAACTTCATACCTCCTTGGAGATTGCTGAGGCTTCTTTCTGTATAAATATCAATTAGATAAAGTTGATTAATAGTGTTGTTCATTTCAATTATATCCTTGCAGATTGGCCTGATGATGGATTAATCAATTACTGGTAGAGATGTGTTGAAGTCTCCACCTATAACAGTGGATTTGTCTATTTCTCCTTGCAGTTCAATTAGTTTTTGTCTCACATATTATGATGCCCTGTTGTTGATACATACATATTAAGGGTTGTTATGTCTTCTTCAAGATTTGACACATTTATCTCTATGCAATGCCCCGCTTTATCCCTGAGAATATTTCTTTCTCTGAGGTCATCTTTGTCTGAAATAAATATATCTATTCCAGCTTTCTTTTTATTAGTGTTAGCATGGTATATGTTATGTATTTACTTTTGAGCTATCTGTGTTTTTATATGTAAGGTGGGTTTCTTGTAGACAATATATAGTTGGGCCTGCTTCTTAATACACTCTGATGATCTCGTTCTTTTAATTGGTATATTTAGACAATATACATATAAAGTCATTATTGGTTTAGTTGGATTGATAGTTGCCATGTTTATTACAATGGTTTTCTATTTTCTGCATTTTTTGTGTGTGTGACTAAAATCTTCCCCTCTTTTGCCTGTTGTGACTTTGAGCATTTTACAAAGTTCTATTTTCTCTCCTGTTTTAGCATATCAATTATAATGCCTTAACAGAGCTTTTAATGGTTGCTATTGGCTTTGAAATATACATTTTCAGCTAATCCACTTTCAAATAACACTACATTCCTTCATGGGTAGCACAGGGACCTTCTAACAAAGTCCATGTGCTACCCAATTCTTCCCTTCTATGTTCCCTTATAACATGGCTGTCATTTATTTCACTTATCCAAATGCCATAAACATCCAATATACTGTTAATTTTCATACTCTGAATATGTATTTATTAGACCAATTAAAAATCAGAAAAATAAAATCTAAATTAACACAATTAGATTTAAAAATTACATTTTGAGCATTTCCTCTTGTAGAAAAATTGTTATGTTTAAATGCTGTGTCAGTATTGGGAAACCTTCTCCCTGAAGAACTTCCTTTAACATTTCTTGCAAGGCAGGTCTATGGGCAACAATTTTCTACAATTTTTGTTTTTCTTAGTCTTTATCTCCCTTACTTTTGAAGGACAATTTCATCATATGTATAATTCTTGATTTTTTTTCTATCAACACTTTAAATGTTTCATTGCAGTGTCTTCTTTTTTACATGGTTTCCAACAAGAAGTCTACTGTAATTTGTACCTTTTTTCCTCTATAAATAAGGCTTTTTATTTCACTCTGCTTCTTTCAAGAATTTTCTCTTTGTTTTTGTTTTTCTCAATTATGATATCGTATGCCTAAGTGTATATCTATATATATATATATATTTTGTATTTATCCTGCTTGTTGCTCATTGAGCTTCCTGAATCTGTGGTTTGGTGTTTATCATTAATTTTGGAAATCCTCAGTCATTATTGTTTCACATATTTATTCCACACCATTCTCTGTCTTACCCTTCTGGTATTCCAATTATGTATGTCTTATGCCTTTTGAAATTGTCCCACAATTCTTGGATATTCTCTTTTGTTTTCTTTTTTTCTTTCTTTATTTTTCTCTTTGCATTTCAACTTGGAAATTTTTTATTGACATATCTTCAGTCTCACTGACCCTTTTCTTGGTTGTTTCTGGTCTACTGATGAGCTCATCAAAGACATTCTTCATTTATGTTAATCCTTAAATTTATATTTTTTGGTTTTTTTTTTGACATTTCCACCTCTCTGCTTACATTACCCATCTCCTCTTGGGTGTTGTTTACTTTTTCTATTAGAACCCTTCACTTATTAATTATAATTATTTTAAATTACCTAGCTGATAAATCCAATATCCATACCATATTTGAAGATGGTTCTGATACTTGGTTTATCTCTGCAGATAATGTGCTTTTTTTCTTCTTATAGAATGGTTTATACTTTTTGTTAAAAGTTAGGCATGATGTATGATGTAGTAGAAGATGTAAATAGTTCTACAGTGTGAGATTATATGTTTACCTGGCTAGGAGCTGGCCCGTGTTTAATGTTTGCTGTAGCAGTACGTGCCAAAAGTTTCCATTTTCCCTACTGTTCTTGTTTTGTCTGTCCTTTTTGGGGGTTTGTGGGGGTTCCCTAAAAGCTCTTTCCTAAATGGAGTCTGTGTCTTGAAGCTCTTTCAGTCATAATCCACTATTATTATATTGGAAACCTGTTGATGTATTGTTAAATAATAAGGGAGTGAAAACATTCTATAATCTTTTGATTAAATCTCAGCCTTTTGGAGAGTCTTTGTCTCCGAACTATAATCTTCACAAGTGTTTCTTGGCTTTTTTTTCCCCTCCTTTAGATGAGACAGAAAGGCAAAGGGGGCTGGAGGTGACCCTACCTTAGGTCATTTAGCACCCCAGTAAAGTCTTTTCTACTGGAGAGCTAGTCTTCACTATGAAGAACACTTTATAAATACTTCAAAATGGTTAGTTTCCCTCTTGCCTGTCCAGACCTGTCAGTGGATTTTTCTTGGCTCATTTTGAGAATCTTGTAGGGTTCCTAGAGGTAAAACCCATGTAAATATGGGGGCTTCACTAATATTATGGCCACCAAGAGTTTCTCTCTCTCAAATTAGTCTGCATTCAGCCTCCAGGAATTCATAAAAGTTATCATTTAACCACTACTAGAAGTTCATGGGCCATTGGCTTTTGCTCCAGAAAAATAAATCTTGGCTGTATCTCTCTTGATGTGCCTGTGTCTTCAGATTTTGTGGTGATGCCCTTTGACCTCAATTCTCTAATATGTCCAAGAAATGTCATTGATTTTTAGTTTGTCTAGCTATTTCTTGTTATAAGGGTGGGAGAAAGGATTTCCAAACATTTTGTATGTCAGAGCTGAAACTAGAAGTCCAGAGTTATTTCTCTTGTTTAGAAATTAAACTCTAACCTTGTATCCCAGCTGCAGCCGTAGCTATGATACATGGTGGTATGTGTGTGAGGCACTGTGTTAGGAAACCTAATTCCAAAGCACAATATTATGAACTATCAGCGTGATCTGTGAATAAGTTACAAAACCTCTCTCTGAGCTTCAGTTTTTCTATCTCTGAATCTACTAATATTTGCCTAGATTGGTTGTTGCTTTAGATAAATCTTAGTAAAAGACCTTGTCTTTGGTTAAAAAAATAGAAACTCTGGAAAAGTATAAAATAATATTATCAAATATTTATTAACTCAGTGTTAAATTTGAAGTTCTGTGATAATTTTAATTTCTAAAAATTTAAATAAGCCATTCTTAGTAATTTATGTATCAAAGAATACTGGGCTCTGGAGTCCTAGATATCTAATAAGAAGATTATGGTATAAACCATGTTTTAAAATTGATGCTTGCAAGAGACATTCCCTTGCCATCTTCTGATTCTTACACATTTTGAATATAGGATAAAATATAGATAAGATTTAATATATAAAGGATAAATACATATAGGATAAAATGTATTCAGGTGTTCAGGATATTTTCATCCTGAACAGAGGATAAAATATTGCTCAGGATTTACAAAAAGGCAATTTCTCCTTTTGTAACATTTTACATTTATAATTAATACAACATATATAGTAAGATAATTTTCTCTAGGTATTACATGCCATGTCAAAGTTAATTATTGTAATTTTAACTATGGACTACTTTTAATCACTTAATGTTAATTATTCATTTTTAGTCTTTTTGCCAACTGTTTTTCTGTCTATCAAAAAGAAGATAACTCAGAATTTCTTTAATGGTGTTCTGTTCTCACCTTTTAGAAAGATTCTTATCATGGCATCAGCTGTGATTCTAAATGCACTAAGGAAATGTGAATGATTTTCAAAATTCTTAGAAAAAAGGTTTATAACACATCAAATGAAAAACAGTACATTTTTTGTCTTCATAAATACAAGCTCCACAACTTGTATACAATTTATCCAATGTTATTTAGGACAAATGACTTGCCTTCCTCTAATGATATAAAAGAAAATAAAACCAAATTCCTAATTTGAAGAGGAGTGCACCTAATATAGAGAAATATGTATGATGTAATCATATATTGTGATATGTTCTGTTCTCGCTCTCTCTCTCTCTCTCTCTCTCTCTCTCTCTATATATATATATATGAATGCTGTTTGAAAATAATTTACACAAAGAGGATTAAAGTGAGGTAAGGGAAGCTTCACAAGGGAGAAAATATGTCTTAAAGAACAATGTTCGTTGCAAAGATTGAGAAAATAAAGATGGTAACTTCAGGTACCATCAATACAACTGGTATTAGCTGGTGTGGAAGAAAAGTAGGGTAGTGGTAGGTAAAGCTGTAAAAATAGGCAGAGACCAAAAAATAAACAGCTTTATGTGCTGTATGGATAAATTCCATCATAGTATATCATCAAATGTTTAAAACAGGAGTTTAGGAAAAAGTGGTGAATATGGTTCAATACAGTTTTTAGAATTACTTTTCTTTAAGGGATTTATTTTTTTCTTCTAACCCAGTGGACTGTTGCCTTGTTTTATTTTTAAGGGTTTATTTATTTTTTTAAAAAAGAGGTAGAAGTTAATAATAAACAATGTCTATATTTTGAGATGTTTTAAAATAGGAAGGAAATACAAAAGAGGTTATGGAGTGTCTTTCCCTGAGAAATCCGAGACTAAGAGAATCTTCTCTGTTAGAGAATTTAAGGAAAGCTGACTAGAGATAGGTTAATGAATGTTGCTAGTGAATGACCTTACTGGGTCCTCCAACTAAATGTTTCAGTAATTCTGTGATTTTTAGAGTTGCAAACAAGCTTTGCCAGTTCATGATAAAATTTGTAAAGCAGCTTATGGTTTGCAAGGATTAGTGGGGCTCTGTGTGTCCACGGATTAGCCTTTATGTTTAATGTGCTTGCCCTCACAGACAGAAATCACATTGCTCCTTCAGCTTCAATAGGCTATGCACTGTCAATTATTTTTCCAGTCCTGGCAATACTGAACTCTTTATTGTAGTCAAGGTCATACACATTGTTGCTAGCTGGCAAATGCAGAAAAAGGTGATTTTGTTTACCTTCCAAGAGATGATTAGGAGGAAGTTCATAAAGGCACAGAATCTCTGAATGGGAAATTTTCTTGGGGTTACTTAATTAGATCTTTAGTTGGATTCAGAATCTGTTCAGGGTCTCATCTGATCATATCTTTGAAAAGATGAGATAGCATCGAAATTTCTCATGGGGAATGCCTGAGGACAATCTTTGTGCTTGCTCAAATGTACTGAAGTGTTATTTCAGGTCACCCTTTGGAACAAGGGTTTAGATGCTCCCCAAAAAGGAAAACAGAAAACAAAAGGGGGAAGAAATTCTAAAAGGAAAAAGCTACGGAGCAGAAAAACAAAAAATAAATAAAGATAATGCATGTTCAATTACTAACCCTCCAGGGCACTAATATCAAAGAGTGTCCTACACCTAACAGAGGTATGCATATTCATGGACTTAAAATGCATTCCAAAATCACCCAAATTTTTCCATAGATACCCTTGTGGAGGTTCCATATAGGCAGAGCTTTGATACCTAGTTCAGGTCTCCAACCACCTTTAAAAATCTGACAGAGAGGGAAAGGAGCCTTGTTACTCACACATTTAAAAGATTAGTATGTCTGTAAAGCAAAAATTTTAATCCACATTTATTAGGTAGCCCCAAATTTATTTTTCACATCTTACTGCTAACATGTATCTGTTTCATATACATAAAACTGTAGGTGTCAGATGAGTCAAAATAGCCATTCTTGGGAGGCTGTAGTGTGAAATGTTGTTGATTCCCAGGGAAGCACTGTCTGGTAATTAACCGTAATTGTTGGTATAGCAATCTCTCCCTATCCATGTTAAAATGGCTCATGAACTTCCCACAAGAATCTGTAATGATTTGTTTAACTTGTTGTCATTGATATCCTATTGCTCCAGCTCTTCCCCTGTTCATTTTATTCTTCAATCTGAAGAGGCTGTGGGGGCCTAAGACCCAAGTACCATTCAGCTGAATGCAAACTGTATAAATTCTAATTGTATAATATTGTGATATTTATTTTTATTTCCAACTGATAAATGGTTACAGATCATATTCCTAAGTTTTTATAGCTCTAAAATTTAAATACACTGTAAAGATTCTTAAAGACTTACAATACTCTGTATCCTTCAGCCTTTGTCATCCAGATTGGATCTTGTATGTAGCCCCTTTATATACATATCCTCCTAGAGATGTTGAATTTTGGATTTTAGGAAGATCTTGCTTTTCTTATTGATTTGAGTGAATGTTTGATAATCTAAATAGAATGTTTCTTAGTATTTTCAGTAATACATATTTTAAAACATTTATCTAGTTTACTTTTCTTTCTTGTTTTGAGGATTAAGACAAATGTTCTCTGTTATATTTCCACCTTGTTTTTTCTTATATTCCATTTGGATGGTTGAAATGCATGGCTTGACCCATATTCTGCTACAAAATGACCAGAATATTATCAGCAGAATTTTCATAAAAAAGAAAAATTTATGTAGTGAACCAATTGCAAAGCAAAATTTGAGTGCAGAATAGTGGTATACTTGAGCCTTTCTGTGCTATATAAAGGACTCTCCTAGCACTGATAATAAGAGAAGTTGTAAAGTCATTCACTACCTCTCACTATTAATAAATGCCCAGCAAGACAACAAGAATGAAAGTTGGCTGACTTGATTAAAAGGGACATTGATCTTTGGAGAGAGAGCTCAGACATGGAGATGGAATTCAGGGGTGTTGGTCTCTAGATTGTTTATTTTTTTCCCTGCTGTTTTGTCTTGGAAAGTCTGTGATGACTGGAAAAATTTCCAAATTTAAATCTGTAGAATTTGAATTCTGGGGATTCTGAAAAAAAATTAAGAAAAATTAGAATTAGGGAACTATGGAACTTCACTTTGTATAGCTTTTGAGTGCTTATAATTATTAAAAGCAAACAACTCCACTCTACCTTTCATGTGAAAAATGTGTGCCAGTAGTTTGAGAAAGTTTTATATAATTTGCCTGATAAGCTTACTTCTTTCCCTTAAATAACTTTTTCTATGACACTCTTTGGATATGAATTAGTTTGACCTCCACGGAACTCACTTCAGTTTGCAGAATTGTGTTTGGGGGATCTGTATGGAAGGATTTGTCAAGGTAACTGCAGAGGGAGGAGGAGGCTCTATTGCCAGAAGCTGATTCATTAATTTTCAGACAGATTCATGGTTTGTGAATCAACAGACGAGAATTCTCTTGGCTAGAAATGAGAGAGATTGCAATAGGTTCAGTGACAGACATCTGTTATGTCTGCCAGGGAGCTGTACAGTTCAGTCAGTCTTCAGTGATTTCATCCTTCTTATATTTCTAGAGTTGAATACAGATGTTATTTAAATTGAGTTGAACCAGAAGAGGTTTTTTTTAAACAATAATTGTGACCTTATCATTTTCTATCAGTAGTGCCATCTTACTAGTGTGGTACTGATATTCTAATAGTTAATGTATGTTGTATCTATATGACTACTTTCCTAGCTAAGTCAGTTAAATGTTAGTTATAAATGATAGCTATATCAGATGGATTGTTTGACTGTAAGAAAGAGAAACCTACCGGACCTAACTTAGACTAAAAGAATAATGTATTGGTAATATGGTAGGCAGCTTTTAAAGAATCAAACAAAAGAAAATGAGTCACCAATACTCAAAAAAAAAAAAAAGAAAAGAAAAGAAAAACAAAGTAGTTCTTTAAAACCGCTGATTGATCCAGCTTTGTCAGGTGGTCTTCTCCCCAGACTAGGAGGGGGTGCATTTGTTGATGTCACCACCAAGATCACACTCAATATTGCACAGGTAGTTTCCTAAATGAATATTGAGGTCCTTTTATCAAAAGAAAGAGGAATGGGTGCTGACAGTGTAAAACAACAGATACCCACTTACTAAACCTGTAACTGCAATTCTCAATGAATGTCTATGAAGAGAGTTTAGCATTAATCTCAAGCTTCACATTCATTCCTTCATTCATTCAAGAAATATGTGGACGCCTCGTTTTGCCAGGTCTTATCCGTGAAAAGACAGATATAGTCCCAACTCTCATCAGATATCTCTTATAGATATATCCTCTCTTTCTATTACCTCTCTGGCTTTATTGAGGTACAACTGAAAAATTAAAATTGTACATATTTAAGGTGTCCAACTGATATTTTTAGATACATATATATTCTGATATAAAGACCAAATCAAGCTAAGTAACATATCTATCACCTCACACAGTTACCATTTTCTTTCTTTCTTTTTCTAAAAAATCTTTTTGTGATAAGAATACTTAAGATCAACCTTCTTAGGAAATTCCAAGTACACAATACAGTATTGTTAACTGTAGGCACATTACTGTACATTAGATCTCCAGAAACTATTCATCCTGCATAACTAACAATTTGTATCTTTTGATCAATGTACCTCCATTTTCCCCTCCCCCTAGACTCTAGGGGTCTAGACCTCTATAATAATAGACCTCTGTAAGTCTATTTTAGAGTGGCTTATTTCACTTTTTGTAATGTCTTCTAGGTTTATACATGTTGTCACAAATGGCACAATTTCCTTTAATTTTAAAGTTGAATAGTATTCCATTGTTTATGTATGTGTGTGTATATAATCACATTTTCTTTATCCATTCATCTGTTAATGAACAATTAGGAATATATTGCTATTGTGAATAATGCTGAAATGAACACAGGAGTGCAGATATCTCTTTGAGATAATGATTTAATTTCCTTTGGGTTTATATTCAGAAGTGAGATTGCTGGATTATAAAGTAGTTATTATTTTTTTTTAAGAGACAGCATGTTGGTCTGTCATCCAGGCTGGAGTGCAGTAGTATGATCATAGCTCACTGTAAACTCAAATTCCTGGGCTCAAGCAATCTTCCTGCCTCAGCCTCTCAAAATGTTGAGATTACAGGCATGAGCCACCATGCCTACTAGTAGTTTTTTTAATTTTTATTTTTTTAGAAACCTCTTTATTGTTTTTCATAATGGCTATATCAATTTACATTTCCATCATCAGTGTACAAGGATTTCCTTTTCTCAACATTCTCACCTACACTCATCATTTTGATAATAGCTATTCTAACAGATGTGAAGTGATAGCTCATTGTGGTTTTAATTTGTATTTCCTTGATGATTAGTGATGTTGAATACTTTTTCATACATTTATTGGCCATTTATATGTCTTCTTTAAGAAGTGTCTGTTCAGGCCCTTTATCCATTTTTTAATCAGGTTGTTTTTTGTTGTTTTATTTTGTTTTTGCTATTGAGGTGCATACGTTCCTTATATATTTTGGATATTAACACCTTTTCTATGTTTGTCAATATTTTCTTTCATTCTGTAGGTTGCTTTTTTCACTGTACTGACTGTTTCCTTTGTCTGTGAAGAATCCTCTTAGTTAGAAGCAATCCTTTTTGTCTGTTTTTGCTTTCGTTGCCTGTGCTTTTTTTTGTCATATCCAAAAAAAATCATTGCCCAACCCAATGTCAAGAAACTTTTTCCCTATGTTTATCTAGTTTCCCCTAGGTTTATTTAACTTTTTCCCTAGTTTTGTGGATTCAGGTCTAGTGTCTAAGTCTCTAGCCTATTTTTAGTTGATTTTTTAATACAGTGTGGGATAATGGCCTAATTTATAAGATAGCAAATTCAACAGCACATTAAAAGCATTACATAAAAAAAAGCATTACATAAAATGACTGAGATTTATCTCTTATATGCAAAGATGCCTCAACATATGCAAATCAATCAACCACATTAACAGGATGAAAGAAAACAAAACACATGATTATCTCAATAGATGCAGAAAAACATTTCTCAAAACTCATTTTATTCAAAACATTCATTTATATGGAACTCTTAACAAAATAGGCATAAAAGGAACTTTTCCTCAACACAATAAAGTCCATATACTAAAATCCCACAGCTAACATCATAATATATAGGGGAAAATGTAAATATTTTCCTCTATGTCCTGGTAGAAGGCAAAGATACTCCCTTTTGCCACTTCCATCCAATATAGTACTGGATGTCCCACACAGAGCAATAAGACAAATAAATGAAATAAAAGGTATCCAAGTAAAGGAAAAGGAATGAAAGGAAGAAAGAAGTAAAACTATCGGCTTGCAAATGACATGCTCATATACTTAGAAAACCTTATAGACTCAACAACAACAAAAACAACAACAACAACAACAAACAGAACTAAAGAATGAATTCACTAAAGTTGCAGGACACAAAATCAAAATATCAAAATCAGTCATGTTTCTATATAAAAACAATAAAGTATCTAGGAGGAAATTACGACAATAATCCTACTCACAATAGCAGCAAAATGATAAAATATTTAGGAATAAACAGGGAAAGAGATGAAATTTATGTACTGAAAATGATAAAACATTGATTGTGTCTTCTATAATGGAATAGCTAGACAAAAATGGAAAGACATTCTGTGTTTATGGATTGGAAAGATTGATATTATTAAAATATTCATACTACCCTAATTGATTTACAGAATCAATGAAATTTCTATCAAAATCCCAATGGCATTCTTTATAGAAATATATATTAAAAAAACAATCTCATAGAACCACAAATTCTAAGTAACCAAAACAATCTTGAACAGAAAGAACAAAGCTTGAGGCCTCACATTTATTAATTTTAAGATATAGTAAAGAGCTATTGTAATCAAAACAGTATGGCACTGGCATTAAAAAAGATGTGTAGACCAATGGAACAGAAAAGAGAACCAAGAAATAAATCCACACATCTACAATCAACTTATCTTCCACAAAGTTGCCAAGAGCACAGAATGGACAAAAAGATGGTTTTTTCAGTATGGCATTGGGAAAACCAGATATTGGTGTGCAGAGATAGAGTGTCTCTTTACCAAATACTGTCACTGACTACCATCAAATAAAACATTATTAGGTGGAATCAACATAAAATGTTTCTGATGTCACCTTTATTTTCAATTAATTTTAATTAGTAGATAGTGGGTAGCCACAAAAGTAATGATATAAATACAACTGTCTTGAGGGAATATTAATCTGATGGTGGTCTGAAGAATAAACTCTTAGGGAGAGTGACAGAGGAGGCTAAAATGCCAAGTAATTAACAGGAGATTATCAACTGCTTTCATTCTGATAGAGTCCAGAGAAAATATCACAATAATAAGTTTAAAATATTAATACTTAGAGCTTAAGTGATTTATATGCATAAATTTATCCATTCCCATAATTATTTATATTTCCCATATTTATTCAACTGTACAAGGGAGGTAATAGATAAGGTAATTGAGGTAGAAAAAGATTTGCCTTAAATTTCTTATTTAGTGAATGGAGGAGGTAAGATCAATATAGATTAACCTACCAGCACTTTGATTCTTTAACATTCTGTAGCTATTTAACTATTGGTAGGTAGAGAGAAGTGAAAGGATATATTATGAAGAAAGCAGAGAGTAGGCAATAAATCTCATATTTTTGACTAGGACTAGCTATGGGGGATGACAGTTAGGTTTCCTTGTCTCAATTAAAGCTGGATATCAGCAGGGAATAATTCTTTCCTGAACCTTTGTGACACAAACAACTATTAATATAGCTTTTATCAATAAATTTAAAAAAATAAATTTATGAACATTAACCTAATTTTTAATAATAAAAAATCTATGATGGAAAATCAGATTAAGCAGCTCAGATCTTCTGTCACATCTACTGATTAATTCTCAGGAGGAAGTGTGCATATGAGTTTGAATTTTATTTCTTAATATTTGTTTTTGTGGGGAACTTTATGCAAACAATGGGATTCTCTGTACTGGTCCTTTTTGCATTTAAATGTCTCAATTTAAAAATTTCGTTTGATTTTGAATTAATAATAATTTTCCTTATTTGGAATCTTATTACAAATTTATTTATCACATTTCCTATTTCCATTTTCCATTTCCCAGCAAGCCACACTTATTTTTCAACAGGGTAGGCAATAATCTATTAAACCACATTTCCACCTCTGTAAATATCAAACACCTGTGGTTCCCTAAGTAAAGTTGACCTTTTTTGAAATTATTATTGACTGTGGCATCTAAGGAAGAAATATATAGGAAGAATAAATGAAACATTTATAAAACAGAATTTTTATACATTCATAAATAAATATTATAAATATAATTACTCTTTAGTTCATAATGCTGCAATGAAAATGACAATATCGTGTGTTCATCTGTTTTTCCAGTTTCTCCTCTGCAACAGGGAGAGAGTAAGAAATTGTGGATTTCATAGTAAGACAACAACAACAAAAACTCCACAACCACCAATCTTTTCCCACAGTGTTAATATTGATTGGCTACTTGCATAATCATTTTTTCTACCAACATAAAAAAATAACAAATTAATTTTTCCTATTCTATTGCAAAATATAAGAAAAAAAGTTGTGAGGGTTTTTTTTGTTTTGTTTTTGTTTTTTTTGGTATTTGCCAATCAATACAGAGAGGCAATATGCAAAGGAAAAAACCATTATCTTTGAGTGAAGATGGAAGAGACTTTATGTTGCAGGACAGAGATAATAGACTGAAAGGAAGGAAGGCTCAGTATTGAAGAAAGTGGGGCTATGGGATGGGAGAATGAAATGATCTTTGCTTATTTGATTTATAATATTAGGTTCAATGGCTGCACCTTTATGGTGCTACAAGTCTTTGCTTAGAATATATTTGTAAACAACGATGCCTTTGTTTCATTGAAGTCTCACACTGAAATCTTACTTGCTCTGGTTTGAATATGTCCCCTAAATTTAACGTGTTAGAAACTATTCCTTAATTCATGTGTTGATTGGAGATGAGGCTTTGGGAGGCAATTTGGATTAGATTAGATCATCAGGGTGGGGCCCCCATGATGGGACTTGTAGCTTTATAAGAAGAGGAAGAGGGACGTAAGCTGGCATGTCCTTGCCCTCTTGCCAAGTGATGCCCTCTGTCATGTTATGCCAGTACAAAAGCCCTTTCCAGAACCTGCTGCCATGCCCTGGGACTTCTCAGTCTTTGGAACTATGATACAAATAAATTTCTTTTCTTTATACACTACTCAGACTCAGTTACTCTGTCATAGCAATAGAAAGCAGATGAAAACACCACAAAACTCTTCTGACCTTGAGAAACCAAATATTATGAGAATTAAGCATGTTTTTATACACTAATGGAATCTGAAGCCAAGAATCTGAAACCACATTCATAGAAACTCAACAATTCTAAGTACCCTCCTACTGACTAAATGAAGGGAAAGGCATGGAACTACATTTGCAGGCTGTGTAGACTGTGTAAGCACACAAGTCAAAAGTGTGGAGGATAAATAATCTTTGTCAAAGCCGGGGAAAAGACCTAGGTCCTCCAACTCATCTGTTCCCCTACAATTGATATTTCTTTTTATTTCCCATTTTCAGGCTACTTTCCCAGATAAAAAGACATAATTAAGTTTGACAAGAAAGCATTCTTTTTGTATAAAGAGAAATGTTTTAATACTCTCACACGTTTCTACTTTATTCCTTGATAATTCATGATGTTGACACACAAAAGTGTGACTAGAGAAGGATAACCAGTATGATAAAGAATTAGCCAATCATCATCATGTATAGAAAACATATAAAAGGACAGGGAGTGAGTGGTTTAAAGAAGGGAGTATATTAAAAGCTATCTATGATCACTAGGCTGTCCTTAGAAAGATGAAAAATGCTTATGTTGGGCAATATCAGAAGATAAAACTATTCTAGGGACATGCAGTTTACAGCATGATTTATTTCACTTCAATATAAAGGATTATATATATATAAAATTGTGCCATTATTGGGCCTCATATTCATTTATTATTCATTAAGTAACATTTATTTACTGCTGGGTATGAAAATTAATAAAACATGGGCTCTACTGTGGTGAAATTATGCTCTATCCAGAGGAAAGGCACAGTATCATACATATAGTAGAGGGTGGTTAGGACTGTAATAGAAATAAGTACCAAATGATCCTTTGACACTTCACAGGCAGCAAATGTCTTGATATCATGAACTTTGACTCATAATCTGTCCCACTACCTAGCTTTGTAAAAGAGAATGCTCAATATTTGAATGAAGTAATTAGATCCATCCATCAAAGAATAGACTACTTTGTGTACATTGTACATGTGTACTCCCTCCTAGGGAATATTCAAGAAGCAAGACATAGCCTAGTTTGAGATGCAGTGGAAGTCATTTCAATATTGGTGAGAAGTTTGAAACAGAAGAATAACCAGTAAAAACTCTCACAGCCTTAAGTTTTTGTGGGTCTGTCACTAACATAGAAAAATAAAAATTCATTCTTCACTTTCTTACCATCCCAGCCTTAATAAATGTATTTCTTTATGAAGAGCTCAGGAGATAATCTATTAATAGATTTTCATACTGTTAAAATTATGGGAACAATCTAAATGTTAAGTAGGTATTATAAAAATAATTGGATATTGATGAAGTCTAATTATCATATTTTATTATTAAATTGGAAACATTTTCTCCAAATAATGTAACGCCTATAAGAAAATAAGGATTGAAAACTAAAGCAGCCAAGTATTCCCCTCACATTGACTATGTTTATGAAAACTGCTTTGTAAGATATGGTCTTCTTAAAATTCAAAATTCCAAACAGGGAAAGGTTAGAATAAGGAGGCTATTTAAGTGATGTATGCTGACAATGATCAATTAAGATATTAACAATATAGACCTTCTGGAACCTGCCTCATTGGGAAGTATACTTGTAAGACACAGCTCTTACTCTAAAGTAAATGCTTTGTTTGTGTTTAACAGTGTCAGCTTGTAGGTTTAGGTGTTGCACCCAAATTCTTCAGCAAGGGAGGGAGGGAGAGAGAGAGACAGAGACAGACACAGACAGAGAGACAGAGAGATGGGGCTTGGGGAGGGTGTGCTTGAAATTGCATCTGCTCCTTGTAGAAAAGTTCCATTTATTTATACTGAATATGAAGTATTATGATGAATATTTACCAAAAGGAAGTATTTTATCAAAATTTAGAGGCTTGAGGATTGATAAAACCTTGAGTTTTGGCCAAAGTATGGCTGGGGATGGTGATTCATGCCTATAATCCCAGCACCTTGGGAGGTGAAGTCGGGTGGATCGCTTGAGTCCAGGAGTTCACAACAGCCTGAGCAACATGGAGAAACCCTGTCTCTGAAAAAGAAAAAAAAAATTTACAAAAACTACTCTGGCCTGGTGGTGCATGCCTGTAGTCCCAACTACTCAAGAGACTGAGGTGGGAAGATAGCTTGACCTCAGGAGGTGGAGGTGGGAGGGTTGATTGAGCTCAGGAGGCAGAAGTTACAGAGGGCTGAGTTTACACCACTGCACTCCAGCCAGGGCAACAGAGGCAGACTCTACTTTAATAATAGTAATAATAATAAATATGATGAAAAAATACTTTATTTTGTATAAGTTTTCCAGTTTATATAATATTTACCAACAACAGTAATCTCTCATTAATTTTCCCAACAATCTTGTGAGGTCTTGAAAAATTTATCTTTACAGATGAGAAAATAAGGATCAGAGAATTGATCTGCCTAAAGATACCTTATTAGAAAGTGTGACACTCAGAACTAAAGTCTAGGCCTCCTGGTTCCAAATTTTTTGTTCTTTAGTACCCTATATAGATGAGAAGTTCACCTGGAAAATTACATGCAAAGTAGGCAAATCATGATTAGAGTAATGACTCTGAAAACATGTGTTTGGCACGACCTCATCCAGAGGACCACGTGAGATACTTTGAATACATCTTGTGTATTATAGACCAACATTTCCCTTTCTGAGGACTGTGGAAGCTAGTGGGAGAAAGTGAAAAAAATATAATGACCTATGAGGAAAATCATAAGAGACACAATTTCACTAATCCTCAGATTCCTTCTTTATTTAACAACTTTTTCCTTTTTTGTGTAGTTTTTATTTTATATATTTTTACATAGTTAAGATCATGTCATGGTTATATATTATATCTTTATTTGTTCACATAAGTCATAATCAATTTTCAACGTCACTTAAATTCTTTGTAGGTAATATTTTTATTATATGTATAATATTTCACTTAAACATATATACAATATTACTTCAATGCTTTCCTAATGTTAGACATTTAGGTTGTTTTCAATTTGAGACTCTTTTAGATAACATTGTGATGAAATTATTGCTACTCTTTTAAAAGTAGAATACTATTACCTATATTGTATTGTTTTGTTATATAAATCATTAACATTTATACAACATATATATTTTTATTTATATATGATTTATATCAATAGCAATAATTAGAATGGGCAGAAATTATGAATCTAATCTAGAGGTGCTCTAAGTGGTAAACTATAGATAGATAAAGGTAGGGAGAAAGAAAGATGTAGTAAGAAAGAGAAAGAAAGAAAGAGAGAAAGGGAGAAAGAAAGGGAGAAAGGAAGAGAAAAAGAGAAAGAAAGGAAAGAAAGAAAGAAAGAGAGATAAGACAGAAAAAGAAAGAAAGAGATAAGACAGAAAGAAAAAGAAAGAAAAAAGAAAGAAAGAAAGGAAGGAACGAAAGAAAGAAAAAGAAAGAGAAGGAAGAAAGAAAGGAAAAGAAAATAGTTTAAGCAAGGAAGCATAATGAAGGCATTCTGGGACAATGTATTTAGAAACCAGGGGATATATTTCCTTAGAGGATAAGAAGAATTATATGTAAAGCAAGAGCAAAAATTGTTAGGGATGGGTTAAATGGGTTGGTACATATTTATTATTTGGAGATGTTAGCATGAGGCAATAGAAGTCCTCTGTAGAATTTGATTACTATGGGAGTCCTAGAAAACTTGATGTATTAGTCAGGGTCCAAACAGGAGACAGAAAACACAGTAGTAATTTGACAAAGGAGATTTCATATAAATAATTTTAAGTAGGTATAAAGTTGCCAACAAATAAAGAATAATTCTAAGGTGTAGGAGAGGTGGAAACTGTAGAAGCTGCTGCCATCCTTATAGCTGAGAAAACAAAAGGAGCAAGGGAGGAAGGGTGCTGTAGATCTTTAAGTCACACTGCTCAGGAGGGAGTTCCGCTTCTGTGCTGCTGTTGTCTCTGAGCTCAGAGGTCTGGCCTCATGGGTTCTGGGACTCATACCTCTGAGGAAGGGATGCTGCTGCTACAGGAACAACTGCTAACTATTATGAGGACAAAGCTTTCTTGAGGTCCTGATCATGAGAACCACAAGGTCACAAAGAGCCCTCAGGAAAACACAAAAGCAAGTCCTGTCTTCTTCCAAGTATGCAGCCTCTTTGTAGCAATTTTTGTTGACCAGCTCTAATGGAAAGGCTGCCAAAGCACAAGTTTGCAGTCCCAGCCTCAGCATTTCAAAATAGAGTATAGAAGGGTGGGTTTGAAGTTGAGAAATATCATAACAACAGGCACTATTCATATGTTCTTACATGAATTAAATAAGAGGAAAATTGAAGATAATACATTTATTTATGACGAGCCACTCAGCCAAAACTCCTTCTTTACTTCTTGGGTTTTGGAAATGGAAAAGCTTAAAACTAAAAAATTCCAAGAATCATTTTTTGATGCTTTTTTAAAAAAGGGAGCTACATTAAAAATCACATATGGGTCAGAGTTCCTACTTTGCCACTAGATTATCTACTATGACCCTAAGTAAACTATTTCCTTCTCTTAGGCTCAGTGTACTCTCTAATCCAATGAATCTATGTCATTGCATCTAATAAAGCTTTCGTGAGAATCAAAATGAGGTATGACACAAGTGCTTTGTAAATCACCAAATCATTGGTTTTCTTTCCAAATCCAGATAGTTTCTAACATGACAGGATGAACTTCTGTAATATCTCTTATATTTATTTTATATTTATTCTTATTATAAGCACCTTAGTTTACTTACATATTACATGAACCTTTCTGAGCAGAATTTAATCTCTGACTTTATTTTCTCTCCTATGTGTATTTCAAACATTGATGGATTTTTGGATTAATCTTACATATTATTGATTGAAATGCATCACTATCTTATCTACCTATTGCTCAGTAACTTCAGTCTACACTGCCCAACTTGTGGGCACACACGATTTCACAATTATTTTACATCTTATTACATCTTCATCTCTACCTACATTTGCTAGTGTCTTTCTCCACAACATATTTTTGTATCATTGAAAATAGGCATATTCTCCTTTGACCTTCTACAACAGAAAAGTTTATTCTGTGTGAGCACACGGTACATGCATGTTTGTATGGAAATCTCTTTATTTTATAGCATATTTTGTCATTTGTTGACAACATTCTCCTTAAGAGGTGGTAAGCCTTCAGGGATTAGAGGCCATTTTTGTATCAGTGCCTCTTGCAGTATTTTGTAGGTCAGCAACAGACAATAGACTTGTTGCATAATGTATTAGAGGAAGACTTGGCAGAACTTTGTGTTCAGTGTGGTACAAGGGATGAAGGAGACAAAGAAACCAAAGATGACTCATAGTTGTGAGCCTAGGAGTGTTAAGGACTTCATGTAATATATACATTTGGAAAAGATGGATCAGAGGAAGGTCATGGACATTTGTAAACATGCTCAGATTTAGTTTTAGGAGAACGCTTAATTGAATTCTATTCAATTATTAAACTTTTTTTAGAGATTAGGCAAAAGAACAATAAGCAATGTTATGGTTATAGATTTATACCTTAGAGGTTGAAATTTAAAACAAACAAGTAAGTGAATTTCTTAAAGCCTAAGAGAGTGCCTTTCACAAAATAAATTTTATTAAACAGATACCATGTGCAATGAAACATTGGTGAATACAATGGACAAAGTTCTTAACTTCTGAAGCTTGCAGATTTACTGCTGTAAATGAGTAGAGGCAAGATAAAAAAATAAAACCCATAAGTTTGGGTTCTTTCATATTCAGTCATTCAACAAATATTTTTTGAGTGTCATTCATAAACTAGTTTTTGGGCTATATTCTTGGGGATATAGCAATAAATGTATCAGAGAGTTTACGGTCTTATAAAAACAAGTAATATAAACTTGATGAGTGTTATGAGGTGCAATAGAGTAGCATGCTTTGAGAACACTTGTCATGGGTACTCAACCTAGAGTAGGCTGTCAGGAAAGACCTCTTGGGAGAATGAGGCATAGGGATGCAGCTGGTGGGAGAAGTGTATTTTGGCAGAGAACATAATGATTGAAGAACCGAAGGTGAAAAATAGTATATCAAGTTCAGGAGTGTAAATAGCACTGAATGAAAATATGGTAGGGATGCAGTGTAGTGTGTGTGAAAGGACTAGAGATACAGGTGTGCCCACATAATGGGGAACTCTGTAAATTATGTTACTAACTCAGAATTATATTTTAAGCACGTTGTTAAGCCACTTGTAGCTATGAATAATTGATAGAATAAATTGAAATCAAAGAAGCTATCACCAAAATATGGCTCTAATTTCCCCAATGACTACGTTTAACTGAATGATGTCTACTTTCCTTTCTCTCTTCTTTGAAAACATTCTAGTAAGATCTGTCACCCTCCATTTTAAAACTGCTTTATTGAGTTATAACTCAATTCAAAACTATATACAAATTTAAATTGTGGAATTTAATACATTTTGACATATGTACATGCCCATGAATCCATCATCACAACCAAGACAATGCACATATGCATCACTCCTTAAAGTTTCCTCATCCTCTGTGTCATCCTCCTTTTCTCACCCCCTTACCCTACCCTAATCTCACCAGCCCTGATCTGCTTTCTGTGACTGTAAATTGGTATTCATATTCCATAATTGTGTGTAAGTGGAATAAAACACGATGTGCTCTTTCTGTTTGTCTTCGTTCACTTAGTATAATTATTTTGAGATCCATCCATGCAGTTGCATGTATCAATAGTTCATCCCTTTTTTATAGACCAGCAGTATTTCATTAAGTGTACAACACTTTATTTATCCATTCACCTGCTCATGAAGATTTGCTTTTCCTCACACACTTGGGTTACCAGTACTCAGCTGAAGACTTGAGGGACCTCTCTACAGCTAGCTATCTAGAACTCTCTGTTTGCTCAGCTCTGTCTTCTCCAGTATTCTGTCTAGAGAAAGCTGAACAACTTGACATCCCTGGACCCTCAGGTCTCTTAAATTAGGGACACCACTGGGCTTTTTTAGATTCCTTTCCCTGCCTCTCCATAGGGATCTAGAACTCTCTCTTTGCTTAGCTCTTTCTCCTCCAGTACTCCCTCTAGAAAAAGTTACACACGATGACATCGCTGTACCCTACAGTCTGTCTTAATTTAGCATGATGGCTGGGCTTTTTTCAGGTTCTTCTTCCTGCACAATGACCTGTATACTCTCTATAGATTGTAAGCTGGGGGCTATCACACAAATTACTTTATTTTTTCCCTCCTCAATCAGGAATCACTGTCTTGGGCTGCCTGATATCCAACATCTAAAATCTGTTGTTTCATATATTTTACCTGGTTTTGTTCATAGTTTCCATTGTAAGTGTAAATCCAGTCCCTGTTTCATCATCATGGCTAAAAGTGGAAGTTTCTTTTTGGTAATATTCAGTTATAGAAGTCTTATTTTTATAACTATGACTTATTTTAATGTATTAAAGATATAGTCGAGTCCAACCACAAAATGCCAGCCTCTTGTTCATTTCCATGCCTCACTCCTCTTTTAAATGGATGCCTCGCTCATGGCTCAGGGATCTGCAGTGGGAAAGAAGTCATAGTCTGTTTTCTCACTCTTCTTCTGGCTCTTTCAATTATCATAATCTCTCAAGCTGTGGACTCTTCTGAGGCTGGGGCAGGGGAGTGGAAGCCAGAAGAAAGGCGGGTGGGCTTTAGGTAATTTTTACTATTTTATTTGTACTCTTTGGTTTGATGCCCTTGATATTTGCAAAAACTCTCTCATGAGTTGCATTTTTGGGTTCTTTGGAGGCCTCACAGAAACTGCCAAATGACAGTTTCCACACAACTAGGAAATATACCTTCTGACAGAACGTTTGCAGATGCTTCCTCCTCCAGCTGCTATGTGGATATGTAACCACATTCACCCTTGATATCTCTTTATTTCACCAGGCATCCTACTGAGATGAATTCTCTTTAAAAGAGCTACTTTCCATGGCATCCATTTGGCCAATAGAAAATTCATCATGCTTACCACACCAAGTAGCAGGAAGGCAGGCTTGTCACGCTGTACCCTCCTTCCTTGCCCTAGTCTCCAGTACTGCTCCAGCTGGCCTCTAACCTCCAGAATCCTCCCATTAATATGCAGGTATGAGTTTCTAAATAACGCACACATACACCCTACCTCTCCCTAAGGGGCCGTATCTCAAGCTATCCCCAAATGTCTTCATATTTCTTTTTTTTTTTTTTTTTTTTGTGACGGTGTCTCACTCTGTCACCCAGGCTGCAGTGCAGTGGCTCGATCTTGGCTCACTGCAAGCTCCGCCTCCCGGGTTCACGCCATTCTCCTGCCTCAGCCTCCTGAGTAGCTGGGACTACAGGCGCCCGCCACCACGCCCGGCCAATTTTTTGTATTTTTGGTAAAGACGGGGTTTCCCCGTGTTAGCCAGGATGGTCTTGATTTCCTGACCTCGTGATCCTCCCGCCTCAGCCTCCCAAAGTGCTGGGATTACAGGCGTGAGCCACCGCGCCTGGCCCATATTTCTTTAGTCTGGTAATCTACATGTATATCTTAGTAATTTAGTAAACATTCAGGAGCAAAGTAAAATGGCAGTCCCTAATTTTTGCAAGCAACTCAATCTCCCAGATGTTTTATTGTCCTTAGCATTTTCCTCACTTGGCTTGAGAGGTTGATGATACCCCTCTCTTATCTTTCCCTTAAGGAAGGGTAGGATTAATATTAAAGAATATGTTAATATTAAAACATGTTAGTCTCCTATTAAAATAGATATTTGAGTTTCTAATGGTTGTTTCATTCTCTTTGCTGTGTTTTAACAAGTCCCGCATGAGTGTATCTAGAAACTTTCTTTAGAATGTGATTATAGTGATTCATTCCCATCCAAAATTCAAGACATAAGGAATTTTGTCATTTAACATCTTGTTGAGACTGGATCAAATATTCCTTTTGGAATGATCACTATAGCTGCAGTGCAGGAAACAGAAGAAAGGGAGGACAAATAGGACATTATTTATTTATTAATACTTTGTTCTTAGCTTTGTTGAGGTATGATTAACACATATAAATTGTATGTATTTTAGGTGTACGACGTGATATTTTTGCTAAATGTATACATTGTGGAACGACTACCACAATTGTGCCAACATATCCAACAACTGGCCTATTCATCTTTTGTGTGGTGGGTTGGGGGACAGAGGGGTGAGAATACTTGAGATCTACTTTCTTAGCAAATTTTGAATATAGGACACATTGCTATATTAACTATAGTCATCATGCTGTACATTAGATCTACAGACTATTTGTCTTATAACTGAAATTTGGTATTCTTTGGCCAATATCTCCTCTTTTCTCTCATATTTAAAAGACTATGGTTCATAATAATTCCAGGTATCAAGCTGAAGTTACTCCTGAAAGATACAGAGAACAGCTTTTTTTTATTATTATTAAAACTTCAGAGGCACTGCAACTGGGATCTAAAATCCCGGGGAGCCAGCAGTAAGGGTGTTGAGGCTGCTACTGATAGAGACAATGATTGGAGGTGGAGGTCTCCTTTAATTGTGTCTAAGACAAGGAGATTTATTCTATTTGTCTTGGTTCTCTTGTGGGTCAGAGTCCAGGTTCTCTAATTTCACATTTATGGGACCAAACCATTAACTCTTGCAGAAAGTATGAAAACCATCTCAAAAGGTATTTCTGGCCTACCAAGGAGGGTATGTTAGATCTAGAAAATTCCTCCTATATTATTGAAACCAAATTTAAGAGAAGCCTTAAATTCTCTTCTTAGCACACATTTTTTACACCTCGGGGGAATAGATCATTTAGATCCATCTTGAGCAGTTCTTGGGGCACCGTTTGGCATGTTTGTCTCTTATTAGGCTCCATTTTTCTAAATCTTAGTTAAAAAGAGGGATAAATTTAGATAAATCAAATTTCTGTTCAAATGCCATCTCCTCAGAAATATTTTTTCTATCAAAAGAGCAGCTATCATTTTCTATCCCTTTATCCTACATTATTTTCCTTTATAGCTCATCTTATTACCTGACATTATTCTGTATATTTTTATATTTATTTATTGTTTGGCTATCTCATTTAAATGTTAGTTTTATGAGGATAGAGACTTAGTGTGCTTTATAAGGCTAGAGACTTAGTTGCTTCTGTATCTCCAGTGCTTAGAACAATGCCTGACATATAATAAATGTTCAGTAAATACTTGTTGAATTACTATGTTGAGTAGAAGACTGGACCTTTGTTGAAGTTCTCTCTCAGCACAACATCATTTCCATTATTTCTTTGTAAGAATTTGATGCTGAGGATTTCCCTTCACAGTGTTATCTAACCCTTTTATACAGGAAACAGTCCCAGTACTTGGCATGACATTGCAGCTAGACATAGGATCCAAACATCTAAGGTGGCATTGTGGAAAGAGACAGTTTATCACATGGACCCACGCCCAGGAAAACAAATAAAGAGTCCAGTTATCTGAGTTGGTGTTCTCAAAACAGGAAGTGGCTCTTTTACTAGAGTTGGAACATATAAACCAGTCAAGATGGCTTGATTATGAGTCCCTTTAACACTGAGCCAAACTTTAATGTTGCTTTGGACTAAAGACTGGATTGTTAACTACATTTGCACAAAACTAATCCTGAAGTGGAAGGTGAAGTAGCTCCACCTGAGGGAGAAGGGAAGATGAACTGTGAAGAAGCAATAGACACTTCGGGCTTTCATGTAACTGTGGCAACAGGAATCCCAGTCAGTTCGCCATGATGTTGAAATTGATGGTTACCAAAATGGTCAAAAAGGACTTGCTTCACTAAAGTGACCAGAAAATTTCATTCAAAATTATCAATTGTGTAACACTTTTAAAACATAATAGAATGGCCATTTATATGACTACGAAAGTATTTATCTTTAAAAGTTCCAGGGAACATTTCTTTCTGGTGTTTAGGGTCCATCCAAAAATCAACGAGTACTTAGCAGCAATACAGTTGGAATTAAAATCCCATTAAGTCTCACTTTGTGAGTTTCTCTAATTAAAGTCTCACTCTACTTCTCAGTAAATATTTATTAGAGGAATCATTAGGTGAAGTCCCAAATTATTAATGTTTGAATATAAATATCAAATATGCTACAACAAGTATCCAAATGTTTCACGCAGTGTCATTAATATAACTGAATTAGTCTGGAAAATGTCATCAGAAATGTCTTCAATGTCAGGGAGGGTAGCAGGAGGGGCTGCTACTCTCACTGATGATCAGGAACTTGTTTTTCCTTGTCCTCCTACATTTACTCTAATTCGAGCAAAATGGCATTCATTTTTGAAGAGTTATAAACAGGATTATCTCAAAGATACCTTTCAGTCTCAAATCCCTTGTACCTTTAATTGTGCTTTTAAGAGTTATCTGTTTTCCTCCTAGGTCACTATCAGAGTCCTGTGTGTGAACTGAGGTGAGGATTCCGGTCAGGCAGACACTTCAGTCCATCAGAGCAACTCTACTTTTATCTCTTTTTTAATACTGGGATTTGCAGTATATTTTCATTTGAAGACTGTTTTGTGTATAAAAGCAAAGCATTCTGGGGGCAAAGAAGATACAGTGGAACTGAGTACAGGCCAAAGAATCTCTAGATAAAAGACTTTTTTTGTTGTTATTCAAAGGTCATTTAAATATGGTTAGATTTATCACCTCTATTATTGATTAATATTTACATATATTTGTCATATCACTCAATTACCAATGCATAAGCACCACTTTTCTGAGGAAAGGAATATTGATGCATCTCAGCCTGCTACTTAAGTGAGATAATTAATATATCTCTGGAATTATCTATGCATGGTAGACCTTGATGTTTGTCTGCAAAGGATAACCAAGTTCATTCCCAGGAATAAATTACATATGTTTAAAAGACATATTAAAGAGACCAATTAGGTGGAAAAAGCTTCTTCTTCATATTAACACAATACATTTAATTATAGCAATGAGAATGCAAAGAAAATGGTACTTGAAGAGGGAAATTTAAAGGGTGAGGGAAATTCAGAATCCAGAATAATCACAACGTGAGCCCAAAGAAGGTAAATATTTTTGAGGAAGTTATAGTTTAACAATAATTTGATGTGACACTTTTCTTTTTTTTCTTGAGATGGAGTCTTGCTCTGTTGCCCAGGCTGGAGTGCAGTGGCGTGATCTCAGCTCACTGCAAACTCTGCCTCCTGGGTTCAAGCAATTCCCCTGCCTCAGCCTCCCGAGTAGCTGGGATTACAGACATGTGCTACCACACTCGGCTAATTTTTGTATTCTTAGTAGAGATGGGTTTCACCATGTTGGCCACGCTGGTCTCGAACTCTTGACCTCCTGATCCACCCACCTTGGCCTCCCAAAGTGCTGGGATTACAGGCGTGAGCCACTGTGACCGGACCAAAACTTTTC
The DNA here is from genome assembly GCF_000001405.40 of Homo sapiens. Taxonomy (NCBI): domain Eukaryota; kingdom Metazoa; phylum Chordata; class Mammalia; order Primates; family Hominidae; genus Homo; species Homo sapiens. The sequence goes on along the minus strand of NC_000003.12, from coordinate 192,004,229 downwards.
AAATATAGTATTCAACTTGGCATTATTATTAATCTTAGGTTCTATACCTTGGGAACAATATGAATTGCAATATGAGATACATATTTGGGTAATGATAGAGCAATGATTATTATGGCAGGGAACCTCTGATTTAAGAGAAACATTGAGCAGTCTGAGTTAAAAGACAAAGAAGTGGGGTCCTGAGCCAAGCTTTACCAAACATTACTGACCATAGACAATTCACATTCCCTGTCTAGGTTCCAGTTTTTCTATAATTTGAAGATGTCGAATTAGTGATCTTTAAAGTTATTTCAGTTATAGCATTATACAAATGAAAATAAAATAAAAAGCTTAGATTCAAAGCACATGTGGTATCCCAATGAATTGATTTCTGATAAAACCCACTTGAGTTAAAAAAAAAAATGTGATTTTATAGCAGCCTGTGTGCAGGGGGCAAACAATTTTTAAACCAGAAGATAAATAGAAGGAGTGATTGTAAGAGATTATTAAGAAAACTGAAAAGAATATATTTGGCATTCATGAGGAAAGTGAACACTGCCTCTCAAATTATTTTTGCTTGAGAGGAGAGTGGCCTTTGGCTTCTCACCTGTGTTTTGGTTGGCTTTAAAAACTTGGATTTAAGTCCCACCAAAGTTGAATATAAAATGTATAGAAAATTCCACTGCTCAAAAAAAAAAAAAAGAACACTCCTTCCACAAATTGCCATTATGTATGATAGTTTGCCATTTGAGACAATCATTGAATATTCTTAGTTGCAAACAACAAAATTCACTCCAATAGTTTTAGTAGGAAGTGATTTATTTGAAGTCTATTGGCAGCACCAGAAAACCTGTATAGACCAAGGGGACCAGGCTTAAATCCTAAATATCTAGGAAAAATATGCCTTTGGGAACAGCTGTCCAGGAGCGATGCCAAGGGAATGCTGTAGCAAAATAGCATTTTCATCAGTTGATGTTTGCAGCTGATTATGCTCAGAACTTTATGGTTAGGTATTGCCCCCCTTGTGGATTTTAGTATTTTTCAATGATTCTGGCAGATTAGACACAGTCCATATTGTCCTCACCATAGCGAGGTGAAATCCATGTTGTTGAGCTTATAGTTAACTTACCTTCCTGACTATATTCAGGAGCCCTTTGAGCAAATACTAAAGTACTTGAAGAAAGAGACTACGACTACAATACAATTTTCACATTTTTGTAACTCTACTACAGAGGAGTCCTTTTTGGTGAGTATTCACATAAGATATAAATATTCTCACCTTTGGCTCATATCTCTTTATCAGTCTTCTTTGTCAATAATTATCCAATTTCATTCCTTCCATGTGACTGCCCATTGGGTGAAAACTTTAGCCATTGCCAATTAACTGGTAGATGTCTACATCTGACCCTATCACTGGATGTACTGTAGTTTGTTTAAACATTAATGCATTGAAGGACATTTGTGTTGCTTCCATTTTTTGGCTATTCCAAATAAAGCTCCTGTGAAACTTCTAATATACGTTTTTATAGAATGTCATGTTTTTGTTTCTCTGGAATAACTGTTCCCAAATAGAGTTGTTATATGATAGTTGGCTGTTTATTTTGTTTGTATTTTTCTTTTTCTGTCTTTTTTTAAGAAAACACCAAATTGTTTTCTGAGTGACCTGATTTATCTACACCCTTACCAAAATTTGGTGTTTTCACTATTTTTGGTTTTAGTCATTCTGATAGGTGTGCAGTGATCTCAACGTGATTTTACTCTACCTTTCCCTAATGACTAATAATGTCAAACATCCTTTCATGTGCTTATTTGACATCTGTTTATACTATTTGATGCAATGTCTGTTCATGTCTTTTGCCCAATTTATTACAAGATGTTGAATTATATGAATGCTTTATATATTCTAGCTACTAGTTTTTTCATTGGATACGTGATTTCCAAATATTTTTTCCAGTCTATAGAAAATGCCTTTACTTTCCTCACATGGTCTTCTATAGAATAATAGTTAAAAAAATTGATGAGGGCTGGGTGTAGTGGCTCACGCCTGTAATCCCAGCACTTTGGGATGCCGAGGTGGGCGGATCACGAGGTCAGGAGATTGAGACTATCCTGGCTAACACGGTGAAACCCCGTCTCTACTATTTTAATAAAATATTTGTAGGATTTTAACAAAAAATTAGCCGGGCGTGGTGGCGGATGCCTGTAGTCCCAGCTACTAGAGAGGCTGAGGCAGGAGAATGGCGTGAACCCGGGAGGCGGAGCTTGCAGTGAGCCAAGATCGAGCCACTGCACTGCAGCCTGGGCGACAGAGTGAGACTCTGTCTAAAAAAAAAAAAAAAAAAAATTGATGAGCTCTAACTTATCAGTTTTTTCTTTTATGGGTTGTGCTTTTGATGCCAAGTTCAAGTACTCCTTGCTTTTAGCCCGTCATCCTAAAATTAGTCTCTTATTCCTTGATTTGTGATGACTTGGTTGAATTATTTTTGTCAAATTTCCAGAGGAATTTACACTTTATATCCATCTGATAAGGGGAGAAAGGACATGAGAGGAGTAGAAAAGCATGGGCAATGTATTGTGTCACAAAGAGCACAGTTTTTGGTGTCAGATAGACTCAAGAGTGAATTGATTGGTTTGGCAACATATTGGCTATGTGACATTGGTTGATTTGCTTCTGTGTATAACACTTTTTGATTATCAAAAGAGGAATAAAATATCCGTATCACAAGTTGGCATTATAGATTAAAGAACAGTGCATTTGGCATTTGATATGTACTCAATAAAGAGAAAAAACAAGCTGTCAAGATTAATATAATTTATCATACAACAAAGCATGTGTCAGCATTTATTGGTGTAGGGGAATTTAGTTATAACACCTTATATTCTTATATTGCCATTCAAGGTACTGAAGAAGACAGGAACTTGAGATATTATTTTGAAGTAAGAGAGCATTTCTTTGGGTAGCAATAAGGAACAGAAATCACCAAAGAAGATATAAACAAAAAAATGAGCACGGTGGGAGATGTGTTAGATATAACCAGTACTCCTTAATGTCTTGCATTCTTCTCCATCCTGGTCAAACAGAAGACTACACCTTCTAGCCCTTTGTTTTGGTGGTGACATGTGACGATATCTGGCTAATGCGCAGTGAAGAGAAATGGCATGTGTCACTTAGAACTGAGGGAGCAGACCACTCTACATCATCCTCTAGCTCTCTTTTCCCACTCTGTGGCATCCTAGAAACTATGTGGCATGTTGGAGCCTCAAGTTAGAAGTAGGTTTTATTTCTACTATAGTCACCAATGGAAGGGAGCTGCCTATGGGAGAGTCTTCAGAGGACCTTGAATCAGTAAGAAGTAAGCTTTTCTGTGTGAAGTCAGTGGCATTTCAGTTTATTTGCACAGCTTGAGCTAGCCAATTCTTACTAATACAGAATTTTTTTTTTGAGACAGAGTGATCTGGGCTTACTGCAACCTCAGCCTCCCAGGTTCAAGTGATTCTCGTGCCTCAGCCTCTCAAGTAGCTGGGATTAAAGGCACGTGGCAACATGCCTGGCTATCCTGATCTCAAATTCCTGACCTCAATTGATACACCCACCTTGGCCTCCCAAAGTGCTGGGATTACAGGCATGAAAGACCATCACTGGCCCAGAATATTTTCCAGTAATGGTCACAGCTTAGTCTGGCAGTGCTTCTTACTAAAACTCCATAGCAAGGTACATCTTAATATGTTTACATTCAAGTGCTCGACTTTTTGGAAGTGAACTTGTGGAACTTAAATGTGGGTTAAAAATAATTTATAGCAAATTAAAATAGTATTATATATTAACTATAATATATATCACAATATATGGATTACATTATTTTTATTTAAATTATCAATAAAATAAGTTGCAAACAATAGTGACCAATTAATTTTAATATAATGTTCCATGCTGATATTTTTAATCTTCACAAATATGAGACTGTATCTTATCTCATTTAATATTAATGAAGTTATTATCTTTTTGTTTTGCATTTGGTGCTAGTAAGAACTGAGAATTCTAATTTGAAATATTTACTATTGAGAACTACAAAATATATTTCACTTTGTTAAAATATTTGTAGGATTTTCTTCTTAATATTAATCTGGAATTAACAAGGGGACCTATTTACTTTGGAGATCATTATCTGTATAAACATAATTTCTTCTGTAATATGAAAATCAAAGTCTATCATCATTCTACTTGAAGAAATTTTTTTGTCTCATCTCATTTATTTATTTATATTTATTTAGAGGCAGGGTCTTGCTCTGTCACCCAGGCTGGGGTGCAGTGATGTGATCTCAGCTCACTGCAGCCTCTGCCTACCAGGTTCAAGCAATTCTCCCACCTCAGCCTCCCAAGTAGCTGCGGTTACAGGTGTGAGCCACCACGCCGGGCTAATTTTTTTATTTTTTTGTGTGTTTTTAGTAGAGACACGGCTTTGCCATGTTGCCAGGGTGGCTAATCTTATTTTCCTACACCCAAGAATGATCAATTTTTTTTTTCTTACAATGATACCAATTGCTATGTAATTGAAGAAAAACTAATTTGGTACTATAATTTATATAATAAAATGTTAAGATTTTTTCTATTACTCTACCTACAAAATAACTGATTTTTATCTGAAAAGCTAGTAGTTTGTCTTTAAAATTTTAAATGCATCAAAAGACTTTCTTATCTGTCTTAAACCTGCAAAGTGAATTATAAATACTTGCTTAACACTTATTAACATTTATTAATAACATTTCAATCTTTAAGTATTTGCAAAAAATATTTTCTACCTTCTTTTCAGCTATACTATTATTTACTAGATATTAGCACATGTAAGTTCTAGATACAACATTTTGTTCTTTTAGAGAGCTATCTCAGTTTGGTGTGCAAAAATAAATGTTCATATTAGCCATTCATAATTTAGCAGTTATTTAGAGCTATATGTTTTAAAGGTATTAATTATTTATAACTTACATTACTTCTATAGTGTGGTCAAATTAAGTAGCTAAGGTTTGGGTAACTTCTTTATTAAAAAAGAAAAAGAAAAGAAAAAGTGTGATCTTTGTGCTTGCTTGAGATATTAGGACTCTTACCTGCAGACTTCTTTTTATTACATAAAAAAAGATCTGAATACTGTCAGCCTAGAGTGGATTCGAATGAGCTGTATGTGAACAGCTGCCCTAAGCAGTTAGATTCCCTGAGCCTTTTGCAAAAAGACAAGCATCTCATGCCCTGGAAAGGGAGCCTGGAGCTTAACAATACAAAAGTTGGAACTGGTTGAGAGTACTACAACATCTGAGGATCTGAAACTGACTTATTTTGTTTACCACTTCATTACACTTAGCATTACATTCATACTGCATGAGACTATTCCCCATTTTTAACACAAAACTGTACTTTTACTAACTTCAGGCACCCTGGCTTATACCATCAACCTTACGCTCTATTACTTTTCCCTCCCTCCTCTAAATGTTCAAGCTCTACGTCTTCATTTGGGCTTTAAATAGTAAATAGGTATACTATATATTGAAACACCACCTTACAATACTTTACAATACTGAAGAGTGATTTAGATAACACTTGCTCTCTTGCTTTCATATGCTAATGTTACCATTTTGGGGGGATATTTTGGGATTGGTTTTCTTGATTGATGAAATGGCCCACGGATGCAGTCAGTGAGTTGGAGTTCATGAAGGTATTCAGGGTTGAATATCTACAAAGTCTGCTTTTTCTGCCTTTGAGAACTACGATTTCATTATTGAGTTTGTCACATGGTGAATAAGCAAAGAGAAAACAATTTTCATGAAGTTTCAGCTTGATTGCCAAAGAGTGGTTTTCAAAATGGCAATTTGCTGCTTCCATGTTGTAGGATAACATTTTGTTTACCCTTAATTGTTAAAATCAATTGTGGTTGCAATTCCAGAGGGGCCTACCTTTATAGTGTAAGGTTTGAATGACTTGTCAAAAGTGCTAAGCTCTAGATTTAGAGTTTCAAAAAATACCTTTTGATTTTCCCAAAGTGATACTATGAACCTTTGAAATGGCTTGACTTTGCCCAGGCATCAGGTTTCCCTGCAGAGCATACAGGCTTTGTGTTCAGTATTTTGATCCCCAAAGGAATGCCTTTTGGAAATGCCAAGCTAGCACAAATCCTAAAGCTTCTAAGTGCCTGCTGTTCTACTACTACTGTTGTGTGTCTTGTTGACGTTTCCTTTATGTACTTCAAAGACATTGAAACAAATCAGAAAACTGTATCAAGGGGTGAGGGAAAATAGCAGGAGAGATTACATTTCATTGTTCCTTTTATTCTTCAGCTCTGGTTCCTAGACTTTCAGACAAGTTGAGTGAGATGAAAGATGGTGCCTGCTGTTTTACTGAAAGAGTCTTGGTTCCTGCTGCTCAGGTACAAGCTCTAGGATGAATATATCACAGCTATATCTTGAGAATGTCTTAGTTCTCTTCTGAAAGAGAGATATGCAGCTGTGCATTTCTAGGGCATGCAACTGGGATAGGAGAAAAAAATAAACATGACTTTAGGCTTACTGTGGCCACAGAAAGACTTCATAAGGAAACCAAAAATTTTAAGACTTTATTGGATTATTTTCACTCTTGTTGCTGTATATATTTGGGAGCTTATCAAGCTGTCTTTCCCTGTGTTGTTGGGAGAAGAATGTTGGACCAGAAATCCATAGAACTGGGGGTTGGAATTATGGCTTCAACATTCTCTAGCTCTGTGAATTTGGCCAAATTACTTAGTTTCTCTACTTATATCTTTTCCTTTATAATAGGACAGATTTGATAATCTCAATATTTTATACTTTACAGGACTATTGTGAGGCTGAAGCACTGAAGCAATGTAAGAAATTATTGGAATTGCCTCATAGAATTTGGGCCCAGCAGATCTTTGGTACTTTTTCCAACATTTATGTAAACACATTATCTCACCATGTGTTTGCTTAGTAACATTGCAGATTTCAATAGGCATACTCACTAAATTGTGAGTCTTGTACTGGGAGAGTAGATTGGTCTGAGATTTTCCCTGGTGTCATAGGCTTTTACCAACAGAGTGTTCAAATTTCAGGTATTCTACCTTGTTTACATTTTGGATTGGGTACCATGTGCTAAAGGAATGTGCAGTGGCCTGAGAGACTCCTGCTGTTTTCAAGAAGATTCTGCCTCGGGAATTAACTGCAGAATAATAACACAATGGATTAATGTGGTACTTTTACTTTTCTCCTTTTTATTGTTTCCTTCCTGCCACAAACAGCTGTGCACTTACAATCTATCTATATGAACAAAAGAACTATTCATTCTAGTGCTCACATTTGCTTGTAGGAGTTCGAATTTTGTTATCATGAGTTTAAGTCTTTAGAAAATTGGATATGCAATATCCACTTAATTTTTCAACTTATCTATTCATTGAAGGAAAGGCAATATATTTCAGTAGAAACAACAAGAAAATATGAATATGAATTTGGTGCACTGATTTCTTATTTGGCCATTTTTCTTTTTGCTGAAGAAAGAGAGTCTGTAAAGAGATGAAAAGATCTGTTTGGAATAGACTATGACTTATGGAATGGAAATACCTTTTATTTCGGCATTGAGGGTGAGTGGAGAAAGGGTCTAATTTGTTTGCATCGCACCTCTATGAAATAAAGCATGGCATTGTATTTATGCCACTGTCTTATTCCATTCAGTGTTGCTATAAAGGAATATCTGAGGATAAAAAGACACTCATTTGGCTCATTCTGCAGACTGAACAAGAAACATGGCACCAGCATTTGCTTCTGGTGAGGGCTTCAGGCTGCTTCCACTCATGGTGGAAGGTGAAGGGGAGCTGTTTTGTAGAGATCACATGGTGAAAGAGAAAACAAGAGAGCAGTAGAGGTGCTGGGCACTTTCTAACAACCAGCTCTAGCAGGAACTAATAGAGTGAGAACCCACTCACCACCCCCACACCCGCTCCAGGGAAGACATTGATCTATTCATGAGGAATCCGTGCCCAGGACCCAAACACTTATTAGACCCCACCTCCAACATTGGAATCAAATTTCAACACGGGATTTGGAGGAAACAAACATCCAAAATATAACACCTACTAATACCTTCTGTTCTTATAGTCAAGATTCTCACTCTGAATAGATAATAAAGAAAGAAGAGAAAACCCATACCACCTACCTAAGCAGTTTAACCCAATTTTTTGTTTAAAAATATACAAATAAGTAAACATAAATCAATTAGCAGAAATTTAATCAAAGCTAGCAACACAAAAGACAATGAAAAAGGGGAAAAAAGAAAAGAAAAAGACAACTGGCTCTGGATAAATCAGTAAAATTCATGGAAGAAAATATAACTTTAAATGCATTTTGTTTAAATGCTTACAGCAATTCAAAGATTTTTCTTTCATTAAACAAACAAATATGCTCCTTTTAGAAAAGAGAAACCTTCAAAAAGGAAGAGTTAATGTCAATTTAAAATATTGGCCAAATTTTTAGAAGTTAACAGTAGAACTGGAGAAAAGATCAAGTAAATCTTGTAGAATATTATTTAAACAAAGATGTAAAGTTTGACAGAAAAGATGAAAGATATAGAGAGACGACATCCATCTAAGTGAAAATAAAGCAGGGAAGCTTTGAAGAAACCTCAGAAGAAATACATACAGTGCTAAACAGGGTTAAAGGAGAAAGATAGAATGTAGTAAAAAAATTTTTTAAAATTATTTCCATAGGTTATTTGGAAACAGGTGGTGTTTGTTTACAGGAGTAAGTTCTTAAGTGGTGATTCGTGAGATTTTGGTGAAGCCATCACCTGAGAAGTATACACTGCACCCAGTCTGTAGTCTTTTATCCCTCACCCCCTTCCTGCCCTTTGTCCAAGTCCCCGAAGTCCATTGTGTCATTCTTATGCTTTTGCATCATCATAGCTTAGTTCCCACTTTTGGATGAGAATATACAATATTGCTGTGGGTTTCTCATAGATGGCTTTTATTACATTGAGGTATGTACCTTGTATGCTGATTTTGCTGAGAGTTTTAACCATAAAGGGATGCTGGATTTTTTCAAATGCTTTTTCTGCATCTACTGGGATGATCATGTGATTTTTGTTTTTAATTCTGTTTATGAGGTGTATCACATTTATTGACTTGCATATGTTAAACCATCTCAGCATCGCTAATATGAAACCCACTTGATCATGGTGGATTATCTTTTTGATATGTTGTTGCATTCAGTTAGCTAAATTTTTTTAGGGATTTTTGCATCTATGCTCATCAGGGATATTGGTCTGTAGTTTTCTTTTTTGGTTATGGCCTTTCCTGGCTTTGGTATTAGGGTGATGCTGGCTTTATAGAATGATTTAGGGAGGATTCCCTCTTTCCCTATCTTGTGGAATAGTGTCAATAGGATGGGTACCAATTCTTCTTTGAATGTCTGGTAGAATTCTGCTGTGAATCCATCTGGTCCTGGACGTTTCTTTATTGGTAATTATTGTGGGAAGTCAGGGACCCCGAACAGAGGGACCGGCTGAAGCCATGGTAGAAGAACATAAATTGTGAAGATTTCATGGACATTTATTAGTTCCCAAATTAATACTTTTATAATTTCTTACGCCTGTCTTTACTGCAGTCTCTGAACATAAATTGTGAAGATTTCATGGATATTTATCACTTCCTTAATCAATACTCTTGTGATTTCCTATGCCTGTCTTTACTTTAATCTCTTAATCCCATCATCTTCGTAAGCTGAGGATGTATGTCACCTCAGGACCCTGTGTTGATTGCATTAACTGCACAAATTGTTCATAAAGCATGTGTGTTTAAACAATATAATCTGGGCACCTCAATAAAAGAACAGGATAACAGTGATGTTCAGGGGACAAGGGAGATAACCATTAGGTCTGACTGCCTGAGAGCCAGGTGGAACAGAGCCATATTTCTCTTCTTACAAAAGTGAATAGGAGAAATATTGCTGAATTCTTTTTCTCAGCAAGGAACAGCCCTGAGAAAGAGAATGCATTCCCAGGGGTAGGTCTCTAAAATGGCTGCTCTGGGAGTGTCTGTCTTATACGTTTGTAGATAAGGGATGAAATAAGCCCCGGTCTCCCGCAGCACTCCCAGGCCTATTGGGATGAGGAAATTCCTGCCTAGTAAATTTTAGTCAGACCAGTTGTCTGCTCTCAAACCCTGCCTCCTGATAAGATGTTATCAATGACAATGCGTGCCCCTTGGGATATGAAACTTCATTAGCAATTTTAATTTCACCCTGGTCTTGTGATCTCTCTCTGCCTTCATTTGCCTTGTGATATTTTATTGCCTTGTGAAGCATGTGATCTCTGTGACCCACACCCTGTTTGTACACTCCCTCCCCTTTGAAAATCACTAATAAAAACTTGCTGGTTTTGCGGCTTGAGGGGCATCACAGAACCTGCTGACACGTGATGTCTCCCCCAGACACCCAGCTTCAAAATTTCTCTCTTTTGTACTCTTTCCCTTTATTTCTCAGACCAGTTGACACTTAGGGAAAATAGAAAAGAACCTACATTGAAATATAGGGGGTGGTTCCCCTGAGAGGTAATTTTTTTTTAATTGCAATTTTAATCTCACTGCTTATTATTGATCTGTTCAGGGTATCTAATTCTTTCTGAGTTAAGATAGGAGACTTGTATCTTTCCAGGAATTTATCCATCTCCTCTAGGTTTTCTAGTTTATGCATGTAAAAATATTCATAGTAGCCTTCAATGATCTTTTGTATTTCTGTGGTGTCAGTTGTAATATCTCCCGTTTCATTTATAATTGAGCTTATTTGAATTTTCTCTCTTCTTTTCTTGGTGAATCATGCTAATGGTTCATCAATTTTATTTATCTTTTCAAAGAACCAGCTTTTTATTTCATTTATCTTTTGTATTTTCTTTTTGTTGCAATTTCATTTAGTTCTGCTCTGATATTGGTTATTTCCTTTCTTCTGCTGCATTTGAGTTTGGTTTCTTCTTGTTTCTCTAGTTCCTCGAGATATGACCCTAGATTTTCTGTTTGTGCTCTGTCAGAGTTTTTGATTTAGGCATTCTTAGTACCACCTTTGCTATATCCCAGAGGTTTTGATAGGCTGTGTCACTATTGTCATTCAGTTCAAAGAATTTTCAAATTTCCATCTTAATTGCATTTTTGACCCAATGAGCATTCAAGAGCATGTTATTTAATTTACATGTATTTGGATGGTTTTGAAGGTTCCTTTTGGAGTTGATTTCAGTTTTATTCCATTGTGGTCTGAGAGAGTGCTTGATATAATTTCAATTTTCTTAAATTTATTAAGTCTTGTTTTGTGGCCTACTAGATAGTCTATCTTGGAGAAAGTTCCATTTGATGAATAGAATGTATATTCTGCAGTTGTTGGGTAGAATGTTCTATAAACGGGTATACTGTTCTGTAAATATCTGTTAAGTCCATTTGTTCCAGGGTATAGTTTAAATCCATTGTTTCTTTGTTGACTTTCTGTCTTGATGAACTCTCTAGTGCTGTCAGTGGAGTATTGAAGTCCCCCACTATTATCGTGTTGCTGTCTGTCTCATTTCTTAAGTCCATTAGTAATCGTTTTATAAATTTGGGAGCTCCATGTTACTTGCATATATATTTAGGATTGTGAAATTTCCCTGTTGGACACAGCCTTTTATCATTATATAATGTCCCTCTTTATCTTTTTTAACTGCTGTTGCTTTAAAGTTTGTTTTGTCAGATATAAGAATAGCTACTCCTGCTTGCTTTTGGTGTCCATTTGCATGGGATATATTTTTCCACCCCTTTACCTTAAGTTTATGTGAGTCGTTATGTGTTAGGTAAGTCTCTTGAAGGCAGCAGATTGTTGGTTGGTGAATTCTTGTCCATTCTGCAATTAGGTATCTTTTTTTTTTTTTTTTTTTTGACGGAGTCTCGCACTGTCTCCCAGGCTGGAGTGCAGTGGCGAGGTCTCAGCTCACTGCAAGCTCTGCCTCCTGGGTTCACGCCATTCTCCTGCCTTAGCCTCCCAAGTAGCTGGGACTACAGGTACCCGCCACCACGCCTGGCTAATTTTTTGTATTTTTAGTAGAGATGGGGTTTCACTGTGATAGCCGGGATGGTCTTGACCTCCTGACTTCATGATCCACCCATCTCAGCCTCCCAAAGTGCTGGGATTACAGGCATGAGCCGCTGCGCTTGGCCTATGCATGTTTTAAGTGGAATATTTAGGCCACTTACAGTCAATGTTAATATTGAGATGTGAGGTACCATTCCATTCATCATGATATTTGTTGCCTGTATACCTTGTTTTTTTAATTGTATTTTTGTATTATAGGTCCTATGAAATTTATAATTTAAAGAGGTTCTGTTTTGATATGTTTCCAGGATTTCTTTCAATATTTAGAGCTCCTTTTCGCAGTTTTTATAGTGCTGGCTTGGTAGTAGAGAATTCTCTCAGCATTTGTTTGTCTGAAAAAGACTGTATCTTTCCTTCATTTATGAAGCTTAGTTTTGCTTGATACAAAATTATTGGCTGATAATTATTTTGTTTGAGGAGGCTGAAAATAGGGCCCCAATCACTTCTAGCTTGTAGGGTAACTGCCGAGAAATATTCTGTTAACCTGATAGGTTTTCCTTCATAGGTTACCTGGTGTTTCTGTCTCACAGTTCTTAAGATCCTTTCCTTTATCAGATAACCTGATGACAGCGTGCCTAGGCGATGATCTCTTTGTGATGAATTTCCCAGGTGTTCTTTGAGCTTCTTGTATTTGGATGTCTAGGTCTCTAGCAAGACCAGGGAAGTTTTCTTCAATTATTCCCACAAATATGTTTTCCAAACTTTCAGATTTCTCTTATTCCTCAGGAATGCCGACTATTCTTAAGTTTGATTGTTTAACATAGTCCTAGACTTCTTGGTGGTTGGTTCATATTTTCTTCTTCTTTTTTCTTTGTCTTTGTTGGATTTGGTTAATTTGAAAACCTTGCCTCCAAGCTCTGAAGTTCTTTCTTCTGCTCATTTGATTCTATTGCTGGGACTTTCCAGAGTATTTTGCATTTCTGTGAGTGCATTCATTGTCTCCTGAAGTTTTGATTGTTTTTTTGTTTATGCTATCTATTTTACTGAAAATTTCTCCCCGCATTTCTTGTATCATTTTTTGGATTTCCTTAAATTGGGCTTTGCCTTTCTCTGGTGCCTCCCTTATAAGCTTAATAACGAGCCTTCTGAATTCTCTTTCAGGTAAATCAGGAATTTCTTCTTGGTTAGGATCCATTGCTGGTGAGCTAGTGTGATTTATTGGGGGTTTTAAAGAACCTTGTTTTGTCATATTACCAGAGTCGGTTTTTTGGTTGGTTCTCTTTTGGGTAGGCTCTGTCAGAGGGAAAGTCTAGGGTTCAAGGCTGTTTTTCAGGTTATTTTGTCCCAGGGGTGTTACCTTGATGTAGTACTCTCCACCTTTTCCTAGGGATGGGGCTTCCTGAGAACAGAACTGTAGTGATTGTTTTTTTTCTTCTGAATCTAGCCAGCCAGCAAGTCTACCAGGCTCCAGACTGGTACTGGGGGTTGTCTGCACAGAGTCCTGTGATGTGAACTGTCTGTGGGTCTCTCAGCTGTGGATACCAGCACCTGCTCCCGTGGAGGTGGCACAGGAATGAAATGAACTCTGTGAGTGTCCTTAGCTTGGGTTGTTTAATCCACCATTTTTGTGCTGTTTGGCCTTCTGCTAGGAGGTAGCGCTTTCAAGAGGGCATTGGCAGTGATAGTGTGGGGAGGAACAGGGTAACAGGTGGTGGGTGGGGCCTTAAAACCCCCAAGAGTATATGCCCTTTGTCTTCTGCTACTAGGGTGGGTAGGGAAGGACCATTAAGTGGGGGCAGGGCAAGGCCTGACTGAGCTCAGATTCTCCTTGGGAGTGTCTTGCTAAAGCTGCTGTGAGGATGGGTATGTGGTTCCCAGGTCAACGGAGTTACGTTCCTAGGAGGATTATGGCTGCCTCTACTGTGTCATGCAGGTTGTCAGGAAAGTGGGCAGAAGCTGGCAGTTACAGGCCTCACCCAACTCCCACACAACCTAAAGGGCCATTCTCACTCCCACTGTGCCCCCCAACAACAGCACCAAGTTTGTTTCCAGGCAGTGGGCAAGCAGGGCTGAGAACTTCCCCCAGGTTACCTGCCTCCCAGCTGTGAAGGCAAATAGGGCTTTTGTGCTTATCCCATCTGTGGAGTCTGCACACTGGATTCACAGCCTCCCCCCAGGTTCTAACCAGGAGACTTCTCGATCAGTTCAAATTGTTACAAAGTTCAGCTGGAGGTTTCCTTCTCCATGTGGCCTTTACCCAGTGGCTCTGGCAGCCCTCCCCAAGGACCCCTGTGAGGCAGAAATGGCTTGCTAGGGGATCCAGCAAGCCCACAGGGCTTTTTCCGCTGCTTCCTCTACCCTTGTATTTTGCTCAGTTCTCTAAAGTGACTCAGCCCCAGGTGAGGTTAATTCTTCTCCCGTAACCTACATCTTCAGGTTCCCCAGTGAGGGTGTGTGTTCAAGACTGGATGATCCCCCTTTCCCACTTCCACAGTTTGGGCACTCACAGTATTTGGGGTTTCTCCTGGGTCCTGCAGGAGCAAACCATTTCCTTCAGAGGGTCTGTGGGTTCTCTTTGCTTCCCTGATTCATTCCTGCAGTCATTCTGGAGCAAAAGTTCATGATACGAAACTCCAGACACTGCACTGTCAGACTGTCTGAGTGGGAGCTGCAATATAGTCCTGCCTCCCCTCCACCATGATCCTACCATGATTGGAACCTACCCTGGTTTAATTCTAATAAAACGTCATGTTAGTATAAACTTAGTAAAAACTTCCTTCTTCTCTACTTCCTCCTTCCTCTTGTTAAAGAAAAACACACACAGACTCTTTCTTTCTCTGTCTCTGTCTCTGGAAGCTTTTTCGAATGTAGTGAAATCTAATAAACTTTTGTGAAAAGAGAAGGTCTGAAGACTTCTACAGAGAAAACAAAGAAACAATACTCAAATTGTGTATCTATAAATTAGCAAACACCAGATGACATCATACTTTTCATCAGCTAGTGAGCTCTTAGAAGACAGTGGCCTCAAATGTTCTGATAAAAAATAAATATAACCTAGAAATCTCTACACAATTGGGCTTTTACAGTCCTTAGGTTTCACATCTGCAGATTCAACCAAATGAGGCTTGAAAATATACTTTGGAGGCTGAGGTGGGAGGATCATTTGAACCCGGGATGAAGAGGTTTTAGTGATCACACTACTGCACTACTCTAGCCTGTACACTGGGGAACAGTGTGAGGAAAAAAGAAAGGAAGAAAAGAAAGAAAGGAAGGAAAGAAGGAAAGAAAAGGGAGGAAAGAAGGAAAGAAAACGGAAGGAAGGAAGGGAGAGAGAAAGCGAAAGGAAGAGAAAGAAAGGAAAGAAAGAATATTAGAACAGAGTGAAGAGAGAACCTATGGAACGGGAGAAAATATTTTCAAATCACATATCTGATAAAAAGTTAATATCTAAATAGAAGGAACTCAGCTCAATAGTAAGAAAAGTAAAAACTCAAAAACTGGGCAAAGTATCTGAATAGACTTTTGTACTCAAAAAAAGATATACGAATGGCTCACAGATATACGAAAAAATGTTCAACATTACTAATAATTAGGGAGACAAAAATTAAAACTATTATGAAATTGTACCCCATACCTGTTAGTGTGGTTATTATCAAGAAGAAAAGTAACAAATTCTGGTGAGGCTGTGGAGGAAAGGTAACCTTCATACACTGTTGTGGGGAATGCAAACTAGTACAGCCACTATGGACAATTGTATGGAGGTCCACCAAAAAATTAAAAATAGAACTACAATAGGATCTAGCAATCCCACTTCTGGAAATATATCCAAAATAAATGAATCAGTATGGTGAAGAGGTATCTGCACCCCATGTTCATTGCAGCATTATTCACAGTAACAAAGACATGGAATCAATCTAAGTGTTCAATTACTAATGAATGGATAAATACACTGTGACAAACACACACACAATGGAGTACTAATGAGCCTCAACAAATAAGGAAAGTATTCTGGCATCATAGATAAACCTGGAGGACATTACACTAAGCAAAACACGTCAGGCTCAGAAAGACAAAGGCTGCATGATCTCACTTACATGTGGTATCTGAAAGAGTTAAACTCATAGAAGCAAAATGTAGAATGGTGGTTCCTACAAGCTGAAGGTGGGGGTGGAGGGAGTAGGGTGATGTTACTCAAAGGGTACAGAGTTTGAGTAAGGATGAATAAGTTCTAGGGATGTATTTATAGCACAGTGAGTTAATAATAATATATTGTATGCTTAAAAGTTGCTAAGCAAGTAGACCCTAAATATTCTTGCCACTCATTCACATACACCAAAAAATAACTATGTGTGGTGATGGATATGTTAATTATCCTGATTGTGGTAATCATTTCACAATGTATACATCTATCAATACATCATATTGTACACTGTGTATATAAGCTATTTTTATATGTTTACTATACCTCAATAAAGCTGGGGGGAATAAAGAAAAAAAAAGATACTTGATGGTTATCTGAAGAGAAAATAAATTGAGGCATTGGAGACAGACAGGAATTAAGACTTCCTAGATATTCCTTGAATATAGTTTTGGTTTTGGAGACAGATACTTATGTGAAAAATCAAAATGTAAAGTAAAATTATTTAAAACTTGAAAATAGAAAATATTTGAGAAAACAATAAAAATAGCAATACAACAATAAAAATAGTAAAAATTTAAAACAGCATTATAACAACTATTTAGATAGTGTTTACATTGCCTTAAGTATTATAAGCATTCTGGAGATGATTTAAAATATAAAGGAGAATGTGCATAGGTTATATGAAAATACTATATTATTTTATATGAGGAGTGTGAACATCCACAGATTTTGGCATCCTTGGCAGTTCTGGAACCAATACCCTACAGACACTGAAGGACAACTATACATAAATTACCATTCAAGTGTACTTGACAAATAGAGATTTATTAAAGGATTCATAAAGTTTATATAAAATAATATGAGGGTATAGTTAGGCAAAATGAAAATGAAATCCAAGAATGAGGAAAAAAAGTGGGAAATGATCTTCAATGCTTATTTTATCTGCTAAGTCGATGCACACACGTATACACAAGCACAAATGAAAGCTTAGCATCTGGCATTGAATACGCTTAGGATGGCACTTCTACCCTGCCTTAGTAATCAAGGAAAAGACTCAGATTTTCTTAGAATAGACTAAAAAAAAAGAAAATGATTCAGCATAGATACTTTGTAATTTTTCGCTACAAACCATGTATTTTTTGGTAAACTTAACTTCTTAACTTGTACACCTACTTTTGATGCCAATCAGGGTTGCACATGGCAACAGCCAATCCTTGCTATGTGAAAACCGGCTGATAACAAATTTCACCACTATTCTTCAACTGCTTGTTAAAAACTGAAGAAAGAATCATATAAAATTAGTCAGCTAGTAGGGTTGTGAAAAAGAGTCATATAGTATTGGGTGGAAAATGAATAAATTGGCTAAGAGTTATTCTGAGTGACAACTTTTCAATGCTGATGTTGATGACGTTGTTAATTTAGTAAAAAAAAAATGCTTGAAATTAATATCGTGAAGAATACATGCCACCTTACTTTCAGAGCACCGAACAAGTGTTCTGTTTTTTGACAGGTATGTAAAAATGGAGGGGGGAGAAGGCATGAAGCATATTACGAATCTAAAGCCATTATACCAGAGATACAAATCTGAAAACATGTGTGTTCATCTTATTTTAATGATTTTTCTTTAGATAGGAACAAAGCAAGTTCTCTAGCTTAAATGGTGGATTTGGGGCTTCTTGCATTAGTTTGGCCAAACCCATGTGAGAAAAATATAGCCTATAGTGTCTGGATGGGAGGTAATTTTTATCCAGCACTCAGCACCTAGGCAATGAACCACGACATGAATGCAAATCCTCGTTGAACGATTGCATATATAGCACTGCCTGTGTTTTCCAAGTACTCTTCTAGTCCTATTCATACAAAAAATGATCAAAATAGGTAACATATTTTGCCCTGGTAACATAATGGAGCTTAAATCCTAGGGGTAGAATATAGAAAAAGTAAAGTATATGAATATGTTAGGTGATAAATGTTGTAGAAAAAAATAAAGTAAAACAAAATGCTGGAGACTTGTGTTCAATTTTTAAGAGAGTAATCAGGCAATGTTCTCTGAAAAACTGTCATTTAAGCAAAGATCTTTATAAAGTGAAGCAATGAGTCATGGGATAGCTGCACGGAAATAACTGGGCTGGTATGTGCCAGGAATACTAGGAAGTCCAGTGTGGCTCCAGCACATTGAGTGAGGAGATGAGTATTCTGAGATAAGCTCACAGAGTTGAGGGCAGGTAGTAGGCCATATCGGACTTTAGAGTTCTATGCTTCACTGTGGTAGCCACTAGTCACTTTTGGCTAGCTGTTGAGTTCTTGAGTGCTTGTCTAAATTGAGGTACGTATTAGATGAAAAATATACACTGACTTTCGAAGACTACCTACTATAGAGAAAAGAATAATTATCTCATTAATACATTTTTATGTGGATTATATAGCAAAATGATAATATATTTATTGGGTAAAATATAGTATATTTAAATATTAATTGATCTGCTCCTTTTTATTTTTTAAGTGGTTACTAGAAAAAATTGTGGCTACTGGCTGGGCACGGTGGCTCACACCTGTAATCCCAGCACTTTGGGAGGTCGAGGCAGGTGGATCACCTGGGGTCAAGAGTTTGAGACCAGACTGGACAACGTGGTGAAACCCATTTCTACTAAAAATACAAAAATTAGCTGGGTGTGGTGGCTCGCGCCTGTCATCCCAGCTACTCGGGAGGTATAAGGCTGAGGGACACCAATGGTATTACATTTAGGACATCCATTTATTCATTTCTCTCTCTGTCTCTCTTGGTTTTTGTTTGTTTTTGTTAATCCATATTTAAGGTAGCCAAAGGGAAAGAGAATATTGTCTTTAATATTTCAAAAAAGAACTTCTTTCAAAAAATGTATTTCTATATTACAGCTACTTGGGAGGCTGGGGCAGGAGAATCGTTTGAATCCAGAGGTGGAGGTTGCAGTGAGCCGAGATGACGCAAACCAAGACTCTGTCTCAAAAAAAAAAAAAATAAAATAAACAAAAATAAACACATAAATACATAAAATAAAAAACTGTGGCTACCTTTATATTTCTATTGGAGAGCATTGTTGTAGACCGTTATAAAGATTTTAACTTTTACTCATAGGGAATTAAGGAGCCTCTGGAAGGTTATGAGTTGAGGAGTAGCATGATTTGACTTCTCATTTAATAGGATCACTCTGACTGCTGTGCAGAGAATAGACTATAGAGGGTTGAAGGGCAAGGTAACTACATAGGAGACAACTTCAATAATCGAGGCAAGAGGTGATGGCACTTGGACCACAGTGAAAGCAGTGAGGACTCAGATAATTTTTAAATGTGCGTTTAGGCACAGTTGGTGATAAACTGGGTGTAGAATTTGGAAGCAGCCGAAGATAAGGACAAGATTTCTGACCTAAGGAAATGATAAGTCTGGGTTTGCCTTAGTTAATTCATTTGAGATCAACTTCAGGAAGAACAGGTTTTAGGGGGAAGATCACAAGTTCAGTCTAGGACTTACTAAAATTTGATATACCTTGGTTTTTCTGATAATATTAATTATTTATATTCTATTTAATCATATACATATTATTGCTTAACTAGATTATTTGTTACATATATTGTAGCAATTAATACACTTTTGCACTAATCTTATATATTTAGAAGTATTCTGTTTAATTTAATTTCACAGAAGGTAATTACTGGGTCAAAACATAAGAATATATTTAAGGTTCTTGAATATAATGACAAAACATTTTTCAAAAATAGCACATAATTGAACACTCTTACCTAAAGTGCATAAATATGTATGTCATTCTTCCATACCATTACCAGCCCTGTATAATATACTTTTAATACAACTGCTTATTTTATAGAGATTTTGACAACTATATTTTGTTCAAATTTTTATTACTTTTAAAAATAACTTTGAGGATTAACCTTCATATGTTTGTGTAATAACTTCTTTTGTACATTATTTTACTATTTAATTTTATTTATGAAATATTTCTGGGTTTACATATTTTAATCTTCACTTCCATTTCTTCTGAGATTATTGATATATTAGATTGTTATTACAGGATAATAATAATGAGTTTAATAAATATCAATACAATATATTTAGTTTTCTGTATACTAAAGTGGTAATAACCTATTCTTCTATTTCGCTGACTCTATAAGCGTAGAGGTAGCCTAGGTGAATCATTATAGTCCATTGTATTAGCACTGAAACATGCTGATTACTGAGGGCTGTTGTTTTTCTTCCTAGCTTTTGGAAAACTAAAGATTTATAATAGGTGCTACCTTTATTTCAGAGTGTCTACTTTACCTCTTCTCAAACTGGAAATACAGAATCCTG
The DNA here is from genome assembly GCF_000001405.40 of Homo sapiens. Classification (NCBI taxonomy): domain Eukaryota; kingdom Metazoa; phylum Chordata; class Mammalia; order Primates; family Hominidae; genus Homo; species Homo sapiens. The sequence goes on along the minus strand of NC_000003.12, from coordinate 191,983,689 downwards.
AATGGTTCTTAAGGTATAAGGCTGAGGAACACCAATGCTATTACATTTAGGACATCCATTTATTCATTTCTCTCTCTGTCTTTCTTGGTTTTTGTTTGTTGTTTCTTTGTTTTTGCTAACCCCTATTTATGGTTCCCTACTTTAGACACAGAGGCCAAGCCCTTATGTTTTCTTTAGAAGACACACATTTCAAGGCTGTAATATAGAAAAACATTTTTTGAAAGAAGTTCTTTTTTTGAAATATTAAAGACAATATTCTCTTTCCCTTTGGCTACCAAATATAGTCTATGTCCTATGCCAATTTTGTAAATATAAAAATATGGCTTCTCTGATCTATAAATAGAAAGAACGGTGCCCAGACTTGGCATTTGTCAATACACAACACTTGTAGAACATTTTTAGAGACCATCAATATTACTTGGTTGCTGCAAATGTTCCTATTTCACAGGTAAACTTGAAGGGCCATAGATATACCCATCTCATTTGGGACCACAAAGGCAGTATGCCTTTGAAGTCAGATGGCCTGGTCAGTCCATGCTCTGCCTAGGTGAGTGAAATTGGACATTATATTGAACTTCTTTAACACCACTTCCGTAATTTTTAAAATGGGAAACCATAATGGTACCCTGTTTATATGGAGGTTGTGAGGGTTAGAAGAGATACTTCATATCGAACATGTAGCACAGGGTCTAGTGTATCTTCAGCAATCTATAAATATCAGCTAGGGTGGCTATTAATTCAATAAAGGCTATGTGGACTGAGATTAGCGTTCTGTAAGCTAAGCAGATGCACCTAGTATATCTTGGAACGATGTAGAATATAAAGTGCTGTATTAATCTACCTTCCAAATATGAACTTTTCTAATTAGTTTTTTTATTCTTTTGCAAGTAATCATGCCTGAATATATTATCACACCACTGGACAGGATATGATGCCTATCTCCCTCTTCTCCTGGGTGAACTACATGAAGGGAATGATAATCTGAATGAAAATTCCTGAAGAGAGTTGTTGATTCAGACAGGGAACTGACTCATCAAAAGACCGTTCTACTGTAGTTTGTGACAGCTGTATCTTTTTATTTATCAGTGCATCCCTGCATCTGGGAATCAGGTGCAGAGAATGAGGATGGATCAAAATATTTTCTCTCCTCTGAGAAATCATCTGCTCTTATGGTTCATGTGATACGTTGTTTAACAAAGGTTCGTCCCAACACATCTAAGCCAGGCAAACTCAGCCTTTTGGTACTTTCTCATTGTTTAAGTTTTCTGTTTAATATTTTTTTTTCTCAGTAGTGTTTAGAGAATGAGTGTGTGTGTGTGCGTGTGTGTGTGTGTGTGTGAAAATGCTCCCAGTTTTATTTTGTCACAAAACACCAAGAAAATTATAAAAGGATTTGATAATTTACATGTTAAGTAAAAAGGGCATATATAGTAAATTAAATGATTTTAGTTATCTAATAGTAGAATGACTATCCATTATCCAAATAAAGATATTTGAGAGTGAAAAGGGGTGCTGAAATAATAATTTATAATTTTAAAATTTTATAGTTATTACCTAGAGCCAGTAAAATTCATGGTTCAAGACCAGTCTTACAGTCACCCAAATCTGCCCGCAATTTTGAGAGGCCTACTGCAGTGAGCTTGCCAACTGCAATGTCTGAGGGAGCAGCCCTCCAGGACTCTTCATCTCAGACACGAGCTGCAAGTGTAGGAGTTCTCAGGCTACCCTGACTTCACACCAGCTGCCTACAAACTTGAGGGTCCTTACGGTCATTCACAGCTTTAATAATTAGGTATACACTAATTGGTTCTGGCCATGTGCATTTGATATCAATGTGTTTTCTGCTGTTGTTGAGTGGTGTCCTATAACATTAATTAGATCTTGTTAGTTATGGTGATCAGTTATTCTATATTTTGGATTTTTGTTTAATTCCTCACCATTACTGAGAGATTATTGACATCTCCAATTATGATTGTAGACTTGTGTATTTACTCTTTCAGCACTATCAGTTTCTGCTTCTTTTATTTTGAAGGTTTTTTTTTGTTAGGAACATATACCTTTATGCAGTTGTTATGCCTCTTTGGTGAATTAACTCTCACATCAACATGTAATAGTCCACTCTATCCTTGTTAGTTTTCATTGCTCTGATGTTCACTTTGGCTGATATTAATATAGCCATCCAGCTTTTTTTTTTTGGTTTCATGTTTGCATGGTATCTATTTTTCTCCTTTTATTTTTAACATTATTCAATATATTTGAAGTCAGTTTATTAGAGATAGCTTATAGTAGGAATATGCTTCAATATCATTTCTGATAATTTATTTCTTTCAGTTGGAATGCTTAGACCAATTATATTTAATGTAAATATAGGTGTGCCTGGAATTTGGTCTACCAACTTATTACTTATTTTGGTCTGTTCTTTCTCATTCCTGTTACCCCTTTCCTGCACTCTCATGTGTTACTTGGATATATTGTCATACTGTATTTTAATTTGCCTACTGTGATTTTGACTGTGTCTCTGTGTAAACATTTTTATTGATTTATCCTGGGATTACAAAATCTGTAGGTATGTATCATTGACTAAATTTTGCAAGTTTTTAGCCATTATTTATTAAAAAATATTTTCAGCACCATGCTGTTTCTTTTTAACTTCTGGTATTTCAATGATACAAATATCAGACTTTTTGTTGATATTTCACAAGTCCCTGGGACTTTGCTAATGTTTTCATTGAGATATAATTTATAGATAATAAAATTCACCTATGTAATTACCTTCATCAGTGCTGTTTATTTCTTCATGTGGAATCAAGTTATTATCAAGTGTATTTTCATTTCAGCCAGAAAAACTTCCTTTAACATTTCTTTTCAGGGAAGTATGCTAGAGAAAAACTTTCTGAGCCTTTGGCTATCTGGGTATGTCTTGATTTCTCCTCCATATTTAGAGGAAAGTTTTTCTTCATATAGAATTCTTTGTTTGCACTCTCTGTCCCTCTCTTCCCCAGGACGTTAAATGTTATCCCACTGTCTTCTATCGTACATTATTTCTGATTAGAAATCAGCTGTTAATCTTATTGAGGGTCCCTTAACGCATGATATCCACCTTTTTTGTGCTGCATTAAAGATTCCTTGTCTTTTTCTTCTGATTTTTTAAATTATGAGTTATCTTGTATCTTTGAATTTATCCTAATTAAGTTTTGTTGAGCTTCTTAGACGTGCAGCTTAATATTTTTCATCAGATTTTGAAAGTTTTTGGCTATTTTTCCTAAAATATTCTTTCTATCCCATTTCTCTGTTTCCTCTCTTTCAGGGGATATTATCATGTGCATTTTAGTATGGTTGATGTTATGCCTCCCATCTCTGAGGCTCTGTTATTTTTCTTTAGTCTTTTTTTTTCTTTTAGTCAGGCTGTAATAATTTCAATTGATGTATTTTAAAGTTTTTTTTTTTTACTTCTTTTTTACTTCTTTATTTTACCTGCTCAAATCTACAGTTGAGCCCCTCTAGTGTATTTTTCTTTTCTTTCTTTCTTTCTTTTTTTTTTTTTTTGAGATGGAGCCTTGCTCTGTCACCTAGGCTGGAGTGCAATGGCACAATTTTGGCTCATTGCAACTTCTGCCTCCTAGGTTCAAGTGATTCTCCTGCTTCAGCCTCCTGAGCAGCTGGGATTATGGGTACCTGCCATCATGCCTAACTAATTCTTGTATTTTTAGTAGAGACGGGGTTTCATCATGTTGGCCAGGCTGGTCTTGAACTCCTCACCTCAAGTGATCCACCCACTTCAGCCTCCCAAAGTGCTGGGATTACAAGTGTGAGCCCTGAGCCACCATGCCTGACATGAATTTTTTATGTCAGATGTTGTACTTTTCACCTTTAGAATTTCTATTTAGATCTTTTGATTGACTTCTGTCTTTATTGATACTCTCAATTTGGTGAGACATTTTTCTCATAATTTCCTTTAATTTTCCAACATAATCCTCTTCAGCTCTTTGAGTATATTTCAAATAGCTAGTAGTATTTCTCTTGTAAATCCAACATCTGGACCTTTTCAGGGAAAATTTCTATTGACTGGTTTCTTCCTTCACTCTATGCATTTTCTGTACTTTTTTGCATGCATCATAAATGTTTACTGAACACTGAACATTTTAAATAAAACAATGGCAATTCTGGAAATGAGTTCTCTCTCCCCTCATCCCCTCACAGTTTGTGGTTGCTGTTTGCTGCTGGTGTTTGTTTAGTAAATTGTCTGAAATAAATCTGTATTTTTTTGTTAAATGTGGCCACTGAAGTTTCTGCTCACTTAGTTGAAGATTGAATCACTTATGATTAGACAAAGATTTACTTAAACCCTCAAACCATTAAGACCTAGTATTTTCTGAACATCTCTATGTGCATATTGGAGTATACTTTCAATACTCAGTCAGGGAGTTTACAAATCCAGCTTCACCTTTACTTCCTGCTTGCATAATACCTCATGATTAGCCAGTGATGACAGCCTAGGGCCTTTTGGGGTCTCTCTTGAGCATGTGCACAGACCTATGCATACTTTGAGTACATCCTTTGAGATTCCTAAGAACATATCAGAGCTTTTCAACACCCTTACCCCCACCCCAACATGGTTACCTCATTACTTTTTCCTTTTAAGCTTTTTGTTTAACCTGTTGTTTTCTCTAAATATTGTCACTGTCTCATGAAGCTACGATGCTAAACAATTGCTTCTGATTTTATTCAATGAATAGACTTGGAGAAAAAGCTACTGCCACTGGGAGGATTCTGAGTCAGTTCACATAAAAGCCACCTTGCAAGTGGGGTCTTTCAGGAGACTACCAGACAGGACACAGAATGATCCTTCTCTAGGAATAAGGCTTTGAAGGACCTCCAATTATATTCTCTTCCATCCAGTGGCATCTAGGCTGTTGGTTTTCAGTGTGATTATGTCACAAATCTCCTTGATATTACCAACATTCAGCCATTTTTCTTGACAAAATGCTTCCCAGATTACTGAAAGCTTTTAATTAATTTTTAGAATTCTGAAAAAGTTGATTTTGACAAGTTTTGCTAGTATCTTCATACTTTTATGGATGAGACAGTTTTGGAGATTCTCACTCCATTATTTTCACTGATGTTCTGCATCCATCTTTTTTTTAACTTTTATTTTAAGTTCACAGGTACATGTGGAAGTTTGTTACATAGGTAAACTTGTGTCATGGGACTTTGTTGTACAGATTATTTCATCATCCAGGTATTAAGTCTAATATCCATTAGTCATTTTTCCTGATCCTTTCCCTCCTCCCACCTTCCACTCTCCAATAGGCCCCAGTGTGTGTTGTTCCCTCCTATGTGTCCATGTGTTCTCATCATTTAGCTCCCACTTATATGTGAGAACCTGTGGTATTTGGTTTTCTGTTCCTGTGTTAACTTGCTAAGAATAATGAACTGCAGCTCCATCCATGTCCTTGCAAAGGACACAATCTTGTTCTTTTTCATGGCTGCATAGTATGCCATGGTGTATATGTACTACATTTTCTTTATCCAGGCTGTCATTTCTTTTAAATTCATTTTTTATTTCAATAGGTTTTTGAGGAACAGGTGGTGTTTGGTTACATGGATAAGTTCTTTAGTGGCGATTTCTGAGATTTTGGGGAACCCATCACTCAAGCAGTGTACACTGTACCTAATATGCAGTCTTTTATCCCTCACTTCCCTCCCATCCTTTCCTGAGTCCCCAAAGTCCATTGTTTCCTTCTTATGCCTCTGCAGCCTCATAGCTTAGTTCCCAATTATGAGCGAGAATGTGCGATGTTTGGTTTTTTATTCCTGAGTTACTTCACTTAGAATAATAGTCTCCAATTCCATCCAGGTTGCTGTAAGTCCCATTATTTCATTCCCTCTTGTTTATGACTGAGTAGTATTACATGGTGTTTCTGTGTGTATATTATTTTGTATATTTTGTAGAGATGAAGTTTCACCATATTGCCCAGGCTGGTCTTGAACTCCTGGGCTCAAGAGACCTGTCCACTTTAGCCTCCCAAGGTGCAGGAATTATAGGGGTGAGCCACTGTGCCAGTCCTCCAATGCACCCTTACACATTCTCAGCAATGCACAAGGGTTCCAACTTCTCTACATCCTCACCAACACTTACTATTTTCAATTTAAAACCATCTTAATGAGTGTTAAGTGTTATTTCATTAGAGTATTTATTTGCATTTACATGAATAGTGATATTGGCCATCTTTCATATGCTTATTAGCCATTTGTATATCTTCTTTGGAAAAATGTCTATGTAAGTCCTTTGTTCATTTTAAAATTAGGTTGCTTGCTTTTTCTATTGTTGAGTTGTAGGTGTTCTTTAACTATTCTGGATAGGAATGCCTTGTCAGATATATGACTGCAAATATCTCCTCTCATTTTGTGGACTGACCTTTCAGTATGTTCACAGTGTCCTTTCATAATGGTCTTTTTAAAATATTTTTTTCATCAATCTATTGTTCATTAATACTTTCCCTTTTACCTTTTGTTTCCAGAGTATTTGTAATTGCTTGTTCAAAAAAAATTTTTAACAGCTATTTTTAACATCTTTTTCAGAAAATCCAAAATCTGTGCCATCTTATTGTTGGTGTCTATTGATTGTATTTTACAATTCCAGCTGGGATTTTTGTAGCTCTGTGTATGCTGAGCACTTTCTTATTGTATCCTGGAAACTTTGAATATTGAAATGTGTGAAGCTTGGTACTGTTTAAATCTATGGAGAATGTTAATATTTTTGTTTTAGCAGCCACTTGATCTAGTTAATGCCAAACTACATGTTCTGATGTGCTTTCTTTCGCCTGTGGTTCCAATGTCAGTTCAGTTCTCTAGGGCTTTGCAATGATGTTCAAATATGACTATATGTGCACCTCCCAGAAGACTGTCTTGGTAGATTCGTTCAGCTCTGAAAGCTTTCATATGTCAATTAGGAACAGATCCCAGACATGTATAAGTCAGGAGCAAACCCAGGAGTGCATAAACAACTTCATGTGGTTGCTTTCCAAAAAACTCTCTCCCTGCAGTATCCTCCATATTTTTCTGTTCCTGGATGTATAGAAAAAAATTAATGCAGCAGGCCTGAAACAGATCCTTTAGAAAGACCTGTTTTCAAGAATGGCCCTTGGTTGGTTTTTGTGAAATTGGATTTCAAGAGGCTTCCCACCATGCCAAGATAATAGTTGTTCACTGTGCTTAAATTGTTTGTAAAAACAATATGGTTTATTTTGAAAGCAGGCTTTTCTTCTGAGTGTCTGGAAGTTTTTCATTTTTGTTTCATGCCACACAGAGTGCCTGTGTGACCAGCCCCCAACCAAAACCTAGGACACTGAGTCTCTAGTGAGCTCTTCAGGTAGACAATATTTCACACATTGCCATAACTTGCTGCTGGGCTTAAGTAAGTGCCTTCTGTGAAACCCTATTGAGAGAGGACTCCTGAAAACTTATATCTGGATTCCTTCCCACTTGGTCCCATGCATTTTTGCTTTTGCTGGTTTCGCTTTGAATCCCTTCTCTGTAACAAACCACAGCCATGAATACAATTAGTATGCAGAATCCTATGAGTCCTCCTAGTGAATTATTGAATTTGAGAATGGCCTTAGAAACTAACCAATTGTGTGATTTCATCACATTGTTGACCCAATGGTGGGAGTGTGTGTGTGCACATGCACATGCACGCACGCGCGCACACACACACACACACACACACACACACGGAGAGAGAGAGAGAGAGAGAGAGAGAGAAGCAATAGGGTTAGGTCTTGTTTTCTTGGTAGCGCATTTCTACTGTATGCAGACAAAGGTTCACCTGTCTCAGTGTTTTGAAAGCCCGACAAGCTTCCATTACTGGCCCAGTTTCTAGACTGTTTCTGAGTTGTCATTAGTCAATGATTTCCTCTCGACCGTGAACAGATTTCTTTGCTTCTTCCTGTGTTTCATAAGTTTTGTTTTTTATATTGAACAGTCTGTGTAAGAGAACAACAGAGCTAGTAGTAAAAAATAATCACTTTCCAAAAATGTGGCGCCCTCATTCTATAATTGGGCGAGGGTGTAGTTTGAGAGAATCTAATCTGTAGTAGGTATAGCCTGAGACTTATTATAGCTCTTTATACTCAGTTTGCCACTGGTTTCAAATATTTCTGGAGTTACAGTAGGACTTTCCCTTTAGCAGCCTTAGAATGTGAGCACTGGTGAAATTCTGGAGGTTCCTCCTTTTGCTTTATACTCAAGGCGCCAGCTTTCTGAAATGTGAGGATATCATTGTGTTAAAGGCCGTATGCCACCTTTTCTGGTATCTAGGCCCTTCTCTTTGCTCTCCATTCCTGCCTCCAGTTCTCTGGAACTTTGCAGATGGCTTTATACTCTGCTGTCCTTCCAATAACCTTCAGAAGGCCACTTCAGTGCACTAAGAGAAGGCGCAGCAAAACTCAGGCAGGTTTTTATCAGTTCTGCCCAAGTTAGGCTTTCACAGAGTAGCTACAGTGTACTTAGTGAAGACCCAGAGAACCTCAGAGAGATGTCTTTTAGCTCACCTCCCCTGCCCTCCATCTTCAGCAAGCTGCTTGCACATGCTAAAGAACCTGCACCCTTCAGAGTGATCTCTCTTAGTTCTCCTTAGTTCTTCCCTCAGACCTTACTACACTCATGTACTCAGTGAAGGCCTATGAGAAAGAGTGGCAGATATGTGCAGACTAGGAATGTGACTGGGGCTCCCTGGATTTCAAATCCATCATACGAGACTATACATGCCCATTAAAAATCTGCTAACATTTGACTGCTTTTTTTCATACCCCTGTCTAAGGTATATTTTCTCTACTCTTCCCTTTATTCTGCCAGAGATGAAAGCAGCCATGGATTTCTTTACTCCTAAATATAGCTTTTTTATATTTTGAAATCCACTTCCTTTAGGTTTCCTTACATACAGATGCTCCTTGGCTTATCATTGGATTATGTCTTGATAAACCCATCATAAAGTAAGAAAAAAATTATAAGTCAAACCACCATAGTAAGTCCAGATACAGTCTGATTTATGATGGAGTTATGGCCAGATAAACCCAACATAAGGTTGCAAAAATTATAAATTGAACCATCATAAATTGGGGATGGCCGGTATTCTGTTCTCTGATGGGTTAAAAAATACCATAATTCTGTAGTTTATCTGGCTGGCTCTTATTGTTACATTTGGGGAAACTTTCTCCTGTACTTTAGGGGAAGCATAGCAAGTAAAAAAAGAACTGCTTTTATGAGAAGTGACAACTCATACCCCAACAAAAGCAACGTTTTACTTTATAACCATAAAGTTAGCTCTCAGTTTTGTCTGTAATTGGACTTCATACAAATGGAATCATATATAATATAAGGTTTTCTGTTCAACTTCATTTTCTCATTATCAGCCTGTGAGATTATTTGCTCTATGGAGGGGTACTGCGTTCTTTTCAATGTTGCATAACATTTCAATGCATGACGTCTACTTTGGTTTTATTAGATGGATGTTCGTGATGGCAGTGGCTGCTCCAGAAGGCCTGCAGCTGCCACCATGCCAGCTGCAGCAGGGGCAGGCAGCCTGAGCTGCACACTCCATGAAGCTGGTGGAAGCCCAGGACAAGTGGGAGCCCCGCCCCTTCCAAGCTGGGGTGGGAGATCCCCGGGTGCTGCTGCAGCTGCCCAAACCATGGCTGCAGACTTGGGCTTCCAACTCCATGCAGCAGACAGTAGCCCCACCCTCCTGCGTGGAGTGGCAGCTGCCCAAATTGTAGCTGCAGATCTGAGCCTCCCTGTGCTCTTGAGGGGCCAGCAGCAGGCAGGAGCCTTGCCTTCCTGGGTACAGCAGCAGGCGCCTAAACTGTGGCAGCAGACCCAGGCCTCCCACTTCAGACCTGGGCCTCCTGCTTCTCGAGTGGATCCCCTCTTTCCTTAGCAGCTGCAGCTGTGAAAACCATAGCTGCAGACTCAGGCATCCTTGAACTCTTGGCGGTCCAGGAAGGCCCCCCTGCCCTAGCAGGCTCAGAAGTGCTTGCTCCTGATGCCTGGCTTCTCCCTGCTGTGAGTGCCCTCTCCAATGGAGCAAAGTCAGGGCCCAGCCCAGGCACCATAAATGTAGCAGGAGGCAGACAGGTTCCTGGGTGAAAGGGGTTGGGTTTCTGGTGAGGCCTCAGCTTCAGTCCAGGGAGGACCTAAAGGCTGGGGGCCATCTGCCAGTCCCACCACTGGAGTGGGAACTTGTGGTTCCTTTTCCAAGCTCACCTATGGCCAGCCATGAACTAATCGGTGTGCACTTTCTCCCCTCTGAGGCCCACAGAAGCCCTGGGCTCAGCCAGAGTTCAGCAGAGAATGGGTGACCAGCAGCAGAGAGGAGCTTCCCACTCCAGGGATGACCTGCCTGCAGAGAGGAGCCACCCACCACATGGCTTCCTGCTCTCTGCTGAGGGCTGAACACTCATCGTGACACTGTGGCTGCAGGAAGGAGATACCTACAGTGGGTCTCTGAGCTGGTCTACTGCTCAATAAAGCTCTTCTTGGTTTTGCTCATCCTCCACTTGTCTGCGTGCCTCATTGTTCCTGGTCACAGGACAAGAACTTGGACCGCCGAATGGCAAGTCTAGAAGACCTGTAATACAAACTGGTCTGAAACATGACCCTTGCTCACCACATGGTGGGTGAAGAGAGGGAGAGAAGAGGTTTAGCCCTTCAAGCCAGGGCTGTGGCTCTCTCTTTAAGGCCCTGTGGTTCCTGGCAACTCTGAGCTTAGGGACACCACTGCATTTCCTGCTGCCAGCTGAGGAAGCTGCTTGCAGTGCACCTGGTCCAGCCACAGCCTTGCAGAGCTGCCCACCCGACTGTAGCAGCTAGCATGCCTGACCATGTGCAGTGACTGGATCCCATGCTTACTCGCTCACACACCCCTTACCCCTCCACGCCTGGCTCATCCTTGGCAGGCGTGGGATCCAGGCCCACTGCATGAGCCAAGTGCAGCCTGGCAGGCTGAATGGATGGAATGAGCTGGGCAGGCCCAAGCAAAAGTCAAGCAAAGGTGCCACTGGCCACAGAGGTTTCTGACCAGAAAAGCAACACTTCAAAGATCCTGTAACATTTGGAGTGTTTCCACTTTGGGGCAATAATAAATAAAACTTCCAGTAATCTCCATTTTATTTTTTTTGTCTTTGGTGAATGTGTAGACTCCATGCTCATGGAAATGCATCTCCAAGTAGAAATGGTGGGTCGTAAGAGTGGCATAATATCAGCTTTAATAGATATTACCAATAATTTTCTAATATGTTTTTATCAATATATCCTCTTGCCAGCAATGTTTGAGAGTTCCAATTGCTCTACACACTAACCAACACTTAGTATTGTTAGTTTATTTAAGAAAAAAGTTTTAGTCATTCTGATAAATACATGTTGGTATCTCATTATGATTTAAATTTGCATTTCCCTAGTGAATAGTACTTTTTCATATACCTACTTGTTACTAAAATATCTTATTTTCTGAAATACTTACTTAGGACCTTCACCTATTTTTGAAAATTTGATATTTTAATACTTAATGTTTTGAAGAAGCTCTTTATATGGAATTAGAATAAGTACTTTTCAGATATTCATATTACAATGTCTTTTCCAGTCTGTGACTTGCCTTTTCATTCTTTTATTGATGGCTTTTAATGAAATAAAATTTTTTTTTACTTTTAATAATGTTTGCATATCTGTGTGAATGTGTGGAATATATATGTGTGTGTGCATATATAATTTCTTCTTCTATATTGTTAATCTTCATACTCTTTAGAGGAACTAACCTAATGCTTTCGGATTAAATACTTTTAAAGTTTTATACATCTAGATACCTCAATTTAACATTTAATTTTTATTTTCATTTGAATAGTTTTAAGGTTACATTTTGGGAAATTGAAAAAGTAACTTCCCCAAGAACTGAGGAAGTGACTTCCCCAAAATCACACACTAGTTGGTATTGGAGCAGATTTCACAACAATGTCCTTTGATTCCACTGATATTTATGTGTGCTCCCAATTAGCAACAACCTCTAAATAATAAAAGAAACACATCCAGTGAATTTTTTCTAGACCTTTCTACAATTTGATTCTTCAAAATTCAGACTATTCATTTTTGTATAATTCTAGTTATTTTTTCATAAGTCACCTAATAGTTCCAAAAGCTTCCACAAGTCTGAGGCTTTTTATCCTGACCTGACAGAGCTATGGAAGAAACTCCTCAAAAAAACTGCTTTTATAAAAATTGACAATTTATGCATCCCAAAAAGCACCATTTTTTCCTTTGCTCTGAAGCCTGATTTTTTAATCTACTAAAAAAAAAATAAAAAAATAGGAAGAAAAAGAGAGAAAAAAAGATGAAAGCAGGACAAGACATCACAAAAGAACACTGTACCAAAGAAGAAAACAGCATCTCCTGATTGCAGTATTAACAAGCACTTGATTATAGAAAAAAGTGGCTTTGAAACACAATATTTCAAATAACTTGACAGAAGCTATTTTGAGCGATGCTATAAAATCTTTCATATTTCCTATTAAAATTTATAAGTGATATATAAATAATAACAGTGAGTATACATATTTCTCAAAATGAAATATCAAATGGAACTATTTTTGTTGGCTAGAATCTCATGGGGCTTCCTGGGTACAGTTGATACATATACTTCAAATGTCATTTTACACTCTCTAGGCTAATAGCTGCTGGAGACTGACGTGCTCTAACAAATTTATACTAAATGAATGCATGTAAATGCCTTGGAAATAATCAATATGGTCAGATCTCTGAAATTCCATTTACTTTGTAGTTCCATTGAGGTCACACCTTCTATATCAATCATAAGAATTTTAATGGGAATAGATATAAACTGCATATAGAGTTACCGTTTTCAGTCACCCATCTTCAAATATTGGCATAATCTTTTTCATCACCTCTCTAGAGTCTGATATCTAATCAACTGCCAAATCTTGTTGATTTGGCACTAGTCGTGGGAGAAGGGGAGATTTAGCACTTGTTCTTCATTTCTTCAACTATTACTTTAAAGGAAGCACCATTATTTCTTCCTTGAGCAATTGCAAGAGCTCTATTCAGATTCCTATTTCTCTTACATTTCTTTAATCAAGTCAACAATTGTATGCTGCCTGGTTAACTTTTCAACAATACTAACACGATCATGTTTTGGTTTTGTTTGTAATCTTCCAATGGTTTCCATTTTATTTCGACAATATATTCCAAGTACTTTTAGCCTGACATTCAAGTTTCCAGATGACTTCTCACTAGGTCATCTTTTTCAAACATCTTTTTTCCATTACTCCTTTCATAAACTTTATATTCAAAACTTCAAAGTCTCTAAGATTTTCATACTATGTACCACTGTTTATTGAAGTATTTTATAGCAATGCTTTTAACCTTCTTGCCTTGAAGAAAACCTTGACAAACATATGTAATGGCTAGACCTCTTTTTACAAGTGATTTTAGTCTTTTAAAAAAGGACTTACTATCGTGTCCAGGCTGGAGTCCAGCAGATATTCAGAGGTGGGATCATAGCACAGGACAGCTTTGAACTCCTGGGCTCAAGATCTTTCTGCCTGAGCTTCCCAAGGGACTATAGACTTGTGCCACCACATTCAGTGAACTTTAGCCATTTGTTATAAAAACACACAAAAAACCTACTATCAATCACGAAGGAAGGTTATTTCAGCTCTGGCAAGTATTATTAATATAAAATGAAAAGACTGTGTGCTGACGTCTTAATTTCTGTTTGGTGGAAGAAATCAACTATCTTTAAGATAGGGTGGTATTTTCTGGTCAAGGAGGTCATAATTCAATTAAATATATTAGATAAAAATGAAGAAACCCACATTAATTAAAGTGAAAAATAGGCAAAGTGAGCTCACTTCTATATTATCATCTGCTGTTTCACTTACTAAGAACTTTTTATCATCATTTCTCTCTAACAAAAATGGACAATATTAATGCACATATATCCTTTAAGTTATTCTGGTTTTAACGAGATTCAAACTTTCTTCTCCTGAAGGGTTTTGAGAGGTGACTCACTGTTGAGAACTAGATTTAATGAGATCCCATTTAATCAAAAGTTTTGGGAATATGGTATTTCATATAATTGAATTCTTCAGACAACTCAAATTTACCCTCTATAATTTGTTTTAATACTGTTTGAAAATGGATAAAACCATTGTTTTCTATAGCACAGGATATTGGTCCATGTTTTGTTGATATTGAGGATTATCATTATGAATAACCATTATGTTATCATAGAACAATATAGTCTACCTATGGTGGCTTTAATATCTTCTTCTCTAATGTTGTGGGGTTAGTTGGCATTTCTTTCATAATAATTTTGCTTCACAATAAGAATACTTATTTGGTTCTCTTTTTTTTTTTTTCCTTTTTCCTGTTTTTATCTTTTGGGAGGTATAAAACAGCCAAGTTGAAATCAGTAACTATATACTATGTAAAAGGGGCAAAATACCTTTATATGGTAGTTCACAATTTATAAAACACTTCAACATATTGTTTTGTGTAATAATCAGTGCAAAAATGAGTGCTAGATATCATTATCTTCACTTTATAAATAAACACAAACTCAGATGAAGCAGACCAGATTTTGTAAGTCCGTATAGCCAGTAAGTTTTAACTGTAGGCCTTGAACCCTAAGCTTTTGACTCCATGTACAATATACTTTGCATCACAGCACACTTGTCAGTAATTTTCTGATCTTCGTCAGCCTCCTTTTTTTTTCCCTTGGGTTCAAAACTGTCTGAATAGAGGTAAAGTCTCCTAATGTAAGGTTACTGACTAGATGTTGGCTACTGTGCTTTTTTATCTAGGAATACAAAAGCTAAATACAATTCAGCTCTACTCATTGTAAAATATAGTCCTGGATACCTTGACTATCAGATATTGTTAATTCCTAGAAGACGTCAAATACGGCTGCTTATATGGACTTAGAGAGAGTCTACCAGATGTTTGTGGGGACACTTAAGTGATTCTTTTTAATAAATAATTATTAGGAAAAAATACAGTAAGAACTTCCACTTGCAGAGGTTCCTAGCTGAGTCCAAACTAAATTGACACAACATAGGGGTGTGGGTTTAGGGGACTAAAATCTGAGAAAGAAGCAGGCTTCCAGATCTTTCTAATCACGTGACCTTGTGGCAGAGCACAAAAAGAGAAAGACGAAGACAATGGGAAGATCGGTATAGACTCTCCCTCTTCATTTAGAATGGATTTAATGTCCTACAAAGAAAAAGATTAGTCCTGAAGCTGAAGACTCTACCTTCACAAAATACTTTACAAGTCTCTGGTGGGTATAAGGAGTATTATTTCCTAGCCCACATGATAAAAGTGACTCCTCATTTGAATAAGGGTATCCTTTCTATTTTTACATGGGACCCCAAAAAATTGTGGCACTGAGAATCTAGGTGTGTTTTCCTAGAAATCTTGCTCTCATGGTGACCTCCTGGAGGGCAGAGATTGAAATAAAAATGGGATAAGTAAAGCAAGAGAATAAAAATAGAAAGAGAATTTAAAACTATCATTATCTTGTGATGATTATACCTGACTTTCATTTGTGAGGCAAAGGAATGAGTTTTCTTTAAGATACTGAAGACCACATGTGAGAACACTATGTGTGGAAAGTGGAGGAAGACAGAGTCAGAATGGGAAGAAGGGGATGTATAGGAGAAAAAGACTGGGATTTTGTTCTGTTGATGAATATGAAACATCTTTAAGGTCCATAGGCTGGGGGCCCAGGCAGTATTGTTCAACAGTGCAAATACAGATAGAAGCAAGGACAATAGGTCAGCTGGATATCATGGAATTTTTCTACTATACTAAAATGGAGAGAGTTTTTTAAACTGCCAAAGGTTTTTTAAAAAATGAACCAAGTTTCTTAGATTCCCTATTTAAGGAAGATTCCAGAAAATGAGAGCACACTACTCAATTACTAAACTTCTGTTTTCTTCTCTGCTAGATTAATCCTTAGGCCAGATCAAATAGAGGAAATCATCTGAAAAATAAATTTTGTCTGTAATAAGTAAGATTAATATAGCCAGCTATTTTAATAAATTTAGGCTCCTAGATGTATAAATTTATTGGCTAGTTTATTAGGAAAGCATAGAGAATCAGGTGGATGCCTGAAAACTAGGTTTATCTAAGATGATTTATGTTTAAATGCACTAAAGAAGAGCTGTCTCCTAGAAGCCACAGCGTATTCGAGCAGAAAAGAACCCTAAATATCAAGTATGACTTACTTTTCAAAATAAGGAAATTAAATCAAAGGGAGGGAAATTAATTTGGCACAAGTGAGTCCTAAAAAAAGTATCAAGCTCTTGACTTTTGCTCAGTGATTTTTTTTCTTCTTTTTGTCATATTTGGGTTCTTTGGAGATAATCTCAAGCATTGCTATGAGAAGGTAAAATAACACCAACTGCTAAAACCATATTGAGGCTAGAGTAAGGCAACTCATCATTATAAAGAGAATTTAATTTGGTAGATTTTCATCTCATTGATGCTCAGATTTTGAGTTAACAAATATATCAATCACTGAGTAAATAGTAAGGATGACTCATTATTACATTAAATAAAAGGACTGCAGATAGAAAAATCACGTTTACTTTTGAACATTCTAGTACAAAGTAAGAAAAAGAATACTAAGACTGTAGATATTTTTAACAAAACAGAGAGGAAAACACAAGAACAGCTATTAACTGGTTAAAAAGCATTTGACACTAGAAGCAAAAAGGATGCGGTTAGCGTGAGATTTTTCTTTTCCCAAAAAGTGATAGATTTCCTTAGTGCTTTAATAATAACATGGCAGTATCTGTATTTCCCCAGGAATGTTTTATTCAAAAGAAGTTGCTCCATATAAATGACTGTTAATAGGCTATAGCTCATAAAGCAATAAGTTATCTAGGTACATCAACAAAGGGAGTATAAAATTACATAGTAAAACCTTCTGGTTGAACCAGATATCAGAGAACATGGTTTACGGCTTTGAAAATGGAAAATGAATTTATAGTTTGAAGTGTCAAAAAACATAAGCCTGTACCTGAATATTCTGTGCCCAATTAACTGATAGTATGTCTCTATTTTTAGTGAAAGTCTAGAATAAAGCTTAATATATAGTATAAAAGGCTGCCTTACATGTCCAAAAACGTCAAATTATTATAGAGGCATGATTTCTGCTTTGAAAATTTTATTAAAAATTTTCAGCAGCTTAATTTTTATTGACCAGATGTACATTGTAGATCCCTTATGTGCCATACATGGTTGTAGGGACCACTGGAGATCCAAACATGGTGACCTCCCCTGAAAGTTTTATTATTTATGAAGCAAACACTTACTGTGACATAAGACTGAGAGTGATCTGTTGAAATAGATGCACAAATGGAATCTACTTCGACAAATGTGAGATAGTAATGCAAAAGGACAAAAAAAGATTCATCTTAGTTTGGGTGTTTTGGAAAGGCTTTAAAGAGAAACAGGGTTTGGGGAGCTGACCCCTGAGGCAGAAGGTGAGCAGAGTATTCCAGGCAGGAATTGTGTCCAGCAACAGGAAAGTTCCCAATAAGCTTGGAGACAGAGAAGTAATTGGCTGAAGCTGCAAAACAGGAAGAAATGGAGAGATATAGAATGAAGGAAGGCTTCTGTATGTTGTTTCATTTCCTGTCACTGTAAACTAATTCATCGTGTGGCTTTTGTGGGAGATCACACACAAGAAGGCTCCAGGAACAGCTCATGGAAGGGTCCTGAACCTTCGATGAGAGATGGAAGCAGTGAGCTTCCTGCTGTATATTTCTTGCAGCAAATTAGAAGCAGAGACTTCTCTAAATCACCAGTGACCTTCTTCATATTCCTCTATTTCCTCAGGTAGCATTTATCTAAACTCAAAACTCAATCTATCCTAGTTCCTGGTTATGTTAAATTTATCTCCACTTCTTACATTACCTGAAAGTTCATTTTTTATGTCTTTTTTATTTTTATTTTTTTTTTGAGTCAGAGTTTTGCTCTTGTTGCCTAGGCTGGAGTGCAATGGCACGATCTCGGCTCACCACAACCTCTGCCTCCCAGGTTCAAGTGATTCTCCTGCCTCAGCCTCCCAAGTAGATGGGATTACAGGCATGCGCTACCATGCCTGGCTAATTTTATATTCTTAGTAGAGAAGGGGTTTCTCCATGTTGGTCAGGCTGGTTTCGAACTCCCGGCCTCAGGTGATCCACCCGCCTCGGCTTCCCAAAGTGCTGGAATTACAGGCATGAGCCACTGCGCCTGGCCATTCTTTTATGTCTTATGCTCATGCTGCTCACAAGCTACCCCTCACTGAAATATTCTTCATCCCTTGTTGGTTTAGGCAGCTACTACTCATCCTTCAAGATTCATCTCCAATAACACTCATTCTGAAGGATTTTCTCACAGCACCTAGGTAGAATAAGTCTTTTAGTTCATCCAAAACTCTTAGAACATTCCATATCACATACCTCAATAACACATGTATTTGTGTCAACTTCATAAGAAATTAAATATGGAGGTATAGCTGAATGGGATCATTAAGATCTGTTGCTTCATAGAACATGTTATCATCATCAAACTGATTGGAATAAATTATGAAATATGTCTACCTCTTCAACAGAAGATGAGTCCAAGGAGAACAAGACATTCCATATCTCTTTGTTGCTAGGACCTAGACTAGTTTAGCCTGGCTACCTATTGGCTTAAAAGATGACTGAAAAAAAAATCCAATCATTTATTCTCATTTGGTTCTATATTACATCTTAGAAATATTTTTTCCATACAAACAGTGCATTACACTGCCAATTAGTATTTTAAAACTTCTGAGTATATTATATCTAAGAGCATTTTGCATAAGAAATTGCACAGAGAATGCTTTTTTTAAGTCGTTGCATCTCTCTACAAACAAAAGTACAAGTGTGAAAGCATTACATTTTAATTGATCATCTCAGTGGAGGATGATGTCCATTTTCTTTGCAATATTAATCACTTCCTATCACAAAGAATGCACCTCTATATACCTATATGTACAGCAGGGTGATGTTCTACTTATAAGCTTGGGAAATTAAACAGAGAAGACATCTTTTGATGGTAAAGAGTAGCAAAGCTGTGATGATTTAGTATATGACTGTTTATGGTAATAAGTAAGTTATTTAAGTTGTTATGATATGCTTAAAATACTTTCCTGAAACAGGTTGCTTTTTTTTTGTCTTTTTTTTTTTTTAGAAAGAGCTGAAAAACAAAACAATATGTTTAAGTTTCATGTGTTGTATTGACACTTTTTATGGTCTGATAGGTGGAAAATCCTATTACTGCCCAATAATATTTGTATAGGAAAAGGGTTGGATCACAAGATTTAAGAATGAAAGATGTGAGGAATCAAGTCCCATAACCTACTGTAATTCTAAAGCTTTTGGCACACAATTAAAAGGACACCAGGCTGGGCACAGTGGCTCACGCCTGTAATCCAAGCACTTTGGAAGGCTGAGTTGGGTGGATCACCTGAGGTCAGGAGTTCGAGAACAGCCTGCCCAACATGGTGAAACCCTGTCTCTACTAAGAAATAACAACAACAACAACAAAAATTAGCCAGGCATGGTGTGGGGCACCTGTAATCCCAGCTACTCGGGAGGCTGAGGCAGGAGAATCACTTGAACCCAGAAGGTGGAGGTTGCAGTGAGCTGAGATTGCGCCACTGCACTCCAGCCTGGGAGACAGGGAGACTCTGTCTCAAAAAACAAACAAACAAACAAACAAAAGGACACCAGGATATAGTTCTATCAATATGACTGATTAATAATAGCATGTGGTTGAAGCTTTACATAATAGATGAATATATGATTGGACATAATTTATTCACTGCCACCTTTTCCAGCTACTTTTTTTTCCCCCAGCCAGAGTGTGTTTCTGATGCCAATCGTGTCTTCCTTCTGTGCCTACTTTGTGGAAGACAATTATGGAAGAAAGAACATCCTCTTCACATACTTTTTTACTGTCTTTTTATGATTATTCCATTTAAAAAATATTCCTGGAATCTGTATTTTAAGATGAGGTATATGAAAATAGAATGAGCATGCTCCTAGAGAGCATATTTTATATTACCTACTGTGTAATAGAGAATTTGGCCAGGCTTTGTTCCCACTTCCTAGGAGGTAAATTCTAAATCCTAGGAATTTTTCACAGTGTCTTTGTGATTCACAGTGGGACCACATCTGATACTTTATGCTAATGAGGTGACTCACAGCGGGGGCCCCCTAGATAGCTTATGCTAAGGAAATGACTCAGGATGGGGGGCCGGCCACAACAGAAAGACCAACCAGGTGATGCCGTGTTTGAGGCTTTGAGCCATGTGATATCAGTCTGACCTCTGTGGAGATTGGGTTCAACTGTGTGACCTATGACTGAATAAGTCATACTTATTAATGAAACCCCAATAAAAACTTTCTGCATCAAAGCTGAGGTGGGTGTCCCTGGTTGGCACTCCTCTATGTACTGTCACACATTGATGTACTGGAAAAGTAATGCATCCTTGGTGACAATGGAAGCTTTGCAAGTGAGAGCTTCCCACACCTTGCCTTATGCATCTGTCTCTTTGGCCAATTCTGATTTGTATCATTTTTGATATAATAAAATGGAAATCATAAAAATAGTGCTTTCCTGAATTCTGTGGATCTTTCTAGCATGTTGTCAAACCTAGAGAACAATGGAAGCCCCTGAAATTGTAGCCGGCTGGTCTAAAGTGAGGGTGACCTGAAGACTCCTAAACTTGTGTCTGGTGTCTGAAGTGAGGGCGTCAGTATGGCAGATTGTGCCCAAAGCCTGTGAAGTTTGGCTTAACTTTGAGTATTTGTTGTCAGAACTCATTATACCTACATTATTTTTCCGTACAGGTGAATTTGAGCGCAGGTAAAGCTTAGTGATTAGGGAAAAAACCTGAGAGGGGAAATGAGGTCTAATCTCCCTCATCCCAGCGTTCCTTATGTCATACCATGCTAGATATTAACACAAAATCTTATCTTTATATCCACAATAAAATTGTGATAGGGAATAAATCAAAGCAAGGAAAGGAATGGGCTAACAATGTGAGCAAAATCCCAAAGCTCTTAACTACTATTTATGGAAGGCTTAGTAGATGCTGGGTGCTTTGCTAAGCACTTGAAAGCCACAATCTGATTTAATCTTCACAACAAAGATCTCCATTCTACAGATGAAGAAGCTGAGGCTCATGGAATCTAAGAAACTTACATAAGCCAACAAAGATAAGAAGTACAGAGTTAGCATATTGGGGAGGCAAAATAAAATCTTACAATAACAGATTCTGGAGGCAGTCAACCTTGATTCCTAAACAGGCTTCATTTGAACGGTGCCATGTTCTATGACTAATCTTTCAATCCTTTCTGCAAAGAAATACTATATTTTAAATTAAAACGATTTTTTAAAAGAGCTAGTACGTGAACGCAATGCAATCTCTCCCTTCGATCACCTTTTTTCACTTTATTTTTCATACTTGTAGTTAAGAAGTAAAGTTTAAATTGTTAATGAAGAAACAAATTTTGTATAGTATTTTAAAGAGGCTTATTCTGAGCCAGTATGACTGACTATACAGCTCACAGAAACAGTCTCAAAGAGTCCTGAGAAGGTATATCCTAGGCAGTTAGATGACAGCTGGGTTTCATACATTGCAGGGAGGCAGGAGTTACAGGCAAAGACATAAATCAATACATGGAAGGTGTACATTAGTTCCTCCCAAGAACATGGGATGTCTTAAATCAGGGGCTTACAAACCATAAGTGGATTCAGAGGCTCTTTAATCTGCAAATAGTTAAGGGACAAAATTTTGTCTAAAAACTTGGAGTTAGCAGGAAGGAATGTTTACATTAAGATAAAGATGTGGTGTCAGTCAGCTATAATGTGACCTGTTTAGCAAGATGAATGCCCTGCAGATGTGACTTACCACTTGCCTTGCATGGCCTTAGGTTTTGTTTATAATTTGGTATCTTACTGCCACAAAGAGTCTGTTCTGTCAGCCTCAGGATCCCTGTTCTAACATTAATGCTGGTCTGTGGTTGTGCCTAAACTCCAAAAAGGAGGTGGTATAATGAAGAGTGTCTGACTTTCCTTCCCATCATGGCTGGGAACTCAATTTTTAAGGTTTCTCTGGGGTCCCCTTGGCCAAAATGGGGCTCACTCAGCGAGGGGCTTAAGATTTTATTTTTTCATCTACAAAACGATTTGCATGAGATTTTTGCTTGCTTTTTCGAAAAGTTTTAACAGGAACTATTAGATAACAACCCATTCAAAGTAAGAATGCGGACTGAACATTATGTGGCCTTGAGAAAATTTCTTGTCCAGTTGAAGAGTCAGCTTTTTCTTCCGTTAAAAGGAGACAAGAATGCTCATTGTGTCACGTGGTTGCTGTGAGCTATAACTCCCTAGCTCAGTGCCCAGCACATAGCAAGCACTTGACAATAATTTCTGCCAGAGCTTGCATTGTCAGTAATTTTATTGATTAATGTCACTCAAGTGATTCAACTATTGCTGCTTAGTAAAATATGTACTTCTCTTTTGTATACTTGTTTGGTAGATGAAGGAATATTGAGGAAGGAATCAAATGATAGAGTACTTAGCCTGATGGTAAACTAGCTGACTTAAAGCTTGCTATTTTACTTTTAAAATGACAATTCTCTGAGTCAGTGTGAATGTCAACTCAGATAAGAAGATCTATTTCACTGGAATCCTTCAAGTTAAATGCAGTATAGAACATATTGACAACATCAAATTGATTTAAATAAATGATAAGGAATTCACCTATCTAAAGCTGTGCCCAGTGGCTCATGCCTGTAATCCCAGGAGAGAGGCCGAGGTGGGAGGATCACCTGAGGTTGAGGGTTCGAGACCAGCCTGACCAACATGGAGAAACCCTGTCTCTGCTGAAAATATAAAATTAGCCAGGCATGGTGGCACATGCCTGTAGTCCCAGCTACTCGGGAAGCTGAGGCAGGAGAATCACTTGGACCCGGGAGGTGGAGGTTGCGGTGAACGGAGATCGAACCATTGCACTCCAGGCTGGGCAACAAGAGCAAAACTGTCTAAAAAAAAAAAAAAAAATTCATCTGTCTATATTGGAGATGTAGAAATTATCCTATAAATCTCATCAGCCTATGTAACATATTTGTGAGATGTGGCTGAAAAGAAAAATGATTTTCAATTGGAGCAGAATGCAAATTGATAACTTAAGACAGTAATCACATATGAAGAAAATATTACTAAAATATTGAAAGGAGTACATGGCAATGGAAATTACAAAGAACGAAGGAGCCAGGATTCTCCCTCACTCAGGGCCAGATCCTCCCTGCACTGCTGTTTTACTCAATTCCTTCTGGCATCTACATTGTCATGATTAAGTAGGATAAATGTTTCACAATGAGCTTTGGAGCGTGCAATAGAAAAACAAGGCTGAATTACCAAGAATAGCAAAGAGCTTCTCTAAATTATTTCGTGTCTCAAGGACACAAGGCTGTGTGCAGAGGTGAAAAGCAGTTAAAAGAAAAACTGACTACTCACACAGCAACCACAAGTTGTTAAGTTTAACTTTTCTCAGTTGATTAGAAAGAACTGAAAAAAAGAACTGTTCATTGCTTTTAAATAGTCTGATGCTTTTCTTCCTTTAACAATATATATGAGTCCTAGGTCCTCATTTATTCATTAAAATCTACAAAGCTATTAACAGCACGATGTGAGGCATAAACATTTCTGTTAATTAGAAGGCATCCCATTAATTAGAAAATTTACTAGACAGCCAGGTGGTTCTGTGAATTAGCTTATGGTCAATTCTGGGAAAATAATACTGTTTTCTAAAATATGAATATATTTGAGGGCAAATTTTTAAAAATAAAAAAAGATCTGGATAATAGGATTGATTAATCACTGGAAGATTGTGTGTGTGTGTGTGTGTGTGTGTGTGTGTGTGTGTGTGTGTGTGTGTGCCTGTGCATGGAGAGAGTCAAGGTTGCCAGCCCTAGAAACATATTAACCTTTAGTGTGTTAAAACTTGTATCATAATAGTATATACCTATAAAGAGTAATACAGATACTCCTGTTATAAGGTGCCTGCACTAAGCACCCTCTTGTAACTTTACACTAAAACAGCTATGAAGACAAAACAAACAAACAAAAATTGAAAACTGAAAGTAATGAAAAACTAGTACTACAATTATGAGGCAGATGCAAATGACTAAAATTTTCAAAGTTTAGCTTACAATGTATCTTGCTTTTCTTTTTAAAATACATTATTGCCGAAAATATAAGTTGATCCATCTTTATTTATCTAGGCAGAGGCTCTGTAGCCAGAATTCAACATGGCAGTTAGTAAGGAAATAAATGAAGATCACTCAAATGAGAACAAACAAAGGCTATTCAGAGCTTGCTACAGCAAGGAAGTTAGCTACTAACCTGTGTGCTTTACAGAGACTCAAGAGCAGACAGAGGAATGAGGAAGCTTTATAGAGGAAGAAAAAGAAGGTTTTATGTACGCCCTGAGTAGAGGCTGTTGACATGGGAATGTTGAAGGCAGGCTAACTAGAAGCAGAGCATCCTGTGAGATTGGTTTAGGATGTATATTTGGCTTTCTCTGGTTGATCCTACGTTGGAAGCAGGAGCAAAAATAGAGAAGGCTGTTAGTTATCAAGCCTCGGCTATTTGGGATCTATTGCTACAGGGGTTAGTGTTTGGCTTCCTGGACTGGTACCGTCTTCCTGAACTGGTCACTGTAAATCGTAGGTAGGCTTCCTGGGCTGCTTTTGTAGGTAGTAGGCTGGCCTACTGGGTTGGTTGCTGCAGTTTGTGGTTAGAATTCTATGTTTATATATGGACTGCCTATGGTGTATTTGTATATTCAGTCTCTCATAAGAATTGGGATCTGGCAGTGACATGTGGCAATTGAGAGGGATAATCCTCACAAGAAAAGTACCATAGAAGTCAACAAAAGTGGGCAGCCACAAGTGTCTATGTTTGCTAGCAATTGTGCTTTTTATGTATTACATCAATTTAAATTAATGAGGAACCCGCCAGAAGGAGACAGAGGAAGATGCTACCTGCAATAGTTAATTGGATAAAAGCCAGTTCAGTGTTACATGCAGAGCTGTGCACCTATGTCCATCTTCTCCTCAGCTACAGATCTCAGGAGGGTTACACCACCCCCCAGGTGGACCCAGGGAAATTCCAAGGGTTATCCAATGACAAGACTTTGTCTTTTTATGAAGATGAGTAAGAAAAAATAAACTCAATTAAATTTAATTAATTTTTTATTAAAATGGAAGAAAAACATTAAAAAAATCAACATATACCTTAAGGGAAAATTCTACAGAATAAGAGAGCAAACACAGCATCCAGAAGATTCAAAGGAATTGCACAACTTCAGAAAATGTTTTACTGCTGGATCTAAAAGAAAACCACAGTAAACTGTATCAAGATCTTCATTAAAATTAAAGAAGATGCGTCTTCTATGAAAATGGATATGAAAGTCATAAGGGGAAATTTTCCTTTGATGAAAATGGAGATGGAAGAGATAAACAAATATGTAAAGAAAACTGAAAACTAAATAGCAGAATATGAATCTTCATTGCAAGTATCAAATCAATGATATAGCTCACAAACTTGAAACCCCCTCAGGATGAGAGGAAAAAGGCGTATTTCTATAAAAGATGAAAGACACCATTGATACGGCCAGCGGGTAAGCCAAAAACTTACAGACAATTGATATTTCTGAGGAAGAGATAGAAACAAGGAAAGAAAAAAGCTATCAAATAATAATAATGATCATATGAAATAATTACAACTAACATTTATTAAAGGCCTATTATGCCTCAAGCCATATGCCTGTATTTTATTTGGATTGTTAAATTTAATACACACAACAGTACCATGAGTAGTTATATAATAATTCTAGTTAATCAACGAGAAAACTGAGCTTAAAAGGGTATAATAATATTCTCCTAGGTTACTAAATAAAGATTTGCTTATATAATTTTATTTTTTTAAAAATCAGTCAATATATGGATACCTATATATACTTTGTCAAAAATTTTTGTACTGTTAATAAAAAAAATGCGAGTATTCTAGCTTTTCTTTCTTTCACTGTCATCTCTTCCCTTCCTCCTTCTCCATCCCTCCCTCCTTCCCTCAGCAAGTAATTCTAACTTGATGTGTTCCACCACCACAACCAAAAACTCATTAGGAAGGACCTCTATGTCTCTCTAACCAACAGCTATTTTTAGTTATGGTTTACATGACCTGTTGGCTGATTTGTCATTGTTGATCAATGCTTCTTAAAATTCTCCCTTTCTTTGGACCCTGTGTTGCCATGCATTTTTGCTTTCCATGTGCTATCCTATCTTTTTGAATTAAATAAAGGTTGCCTGTAAGAAACCGTGGCACAAAGTAAGCTCTCAATACTTACATGTTTTGTTTTCATATTATAAATTCTGAGACCTTGCACTTTCAACAACTGATGTGCAAAATTCTACTTTTGCAATGCCACTGTTCATGCCACTGAATAACTTAAGAAGTCTCCAGTTTCATGTGATCTTTAGTTCAAAAGAAAATATTTGTTGAAGTATCTCAAGTCTACTTGAGCCCAAAATAAACTGAACTGGAAAATTCAATCTACCATTGTTCCGTTTTACATTTTAAAATTCTGTGAAAATGACAAAGAGTCATACTTTGGAAAGTCAAACATACATAATAATCCCATCTTTAAAAGTTATCTTAATGAGAATGGGAGGAAATGGGGAATCACTGTGAACTGTGAATGTACATCACTGCTTGAATGTTCCTGCCTTTCCTGTAAATTATTTTGGTTATGAGGAAAGAAAAGAGGCACAAAAAGAGAAGGTAAGAAGACTGTCCTCTCCCCAAGTGAGCCTCATTTTTCCCCATCTGGAAAATGGAGTGGTTCTACATATCACAAGAGGCACTGAGTATAAAAATACAGAGCAAAATTGTGTTTCCACATAAAATTATTTTATGTATTAATCCATTTATCCAAAAAATGAAAATTTTTTGGATAAAATGTAAAGTACTATGTGGCAAGTACTTTAAAAAACAGACACATGTCATAAGTACAATACCGCAAAGAACCAATGTTCTGATGGAGAAGATAGGCCAGAAACTAAATGACCCCAGAACAATTTAATAATTGCTATAAAAGAGACATGAACAAAGTGTTGCTAGGTGTCTCATCATCTCTTCCTTTAACTTTTCCAAGTCCTCTGTCAATATTTTAGGTCTTATCCTTATGGAGTCTTTTCTCTTTTTTTAACTACTTCTTAACTGAATTATCATAGTCCTCTCTCAGGTTCTAGATTGCCTCATATCCAGTATATTCTCCACCTGACTGATGATTGATTGTATTGAAATATAGATATGAACATGTACTTCTTGCCTACAAATTATTTGACAGCTTCTCAATGTCAGCAAATAAATTCCGTGCTCCTTAGTTGAGCACAATCTTTCCTAATCTACCTCCTGTCTAGCTCACTAGTCTCATCCCTTCACTCCTCTAGAAATACGCTTAGTTCCAGTTTTATTGAAGTAGTTATTTTTAAAAACTAGCAGATTATTTCCCTCACCTGGGCCTTCATTCATGCTATTTTCTTGTACAGGGTTAACAACTCATTTCACGTGATTTTAGCTTAAATATTAGCTTTTCAGAAAGGCCTTCTTGACAACTCTTCCTAAAGTAGCCCTGAGTTAATCCTCTTATATATTGGCTCCCCTGTATCATGTCATCCTGTCACTGCCTTTTTCTTTGTTTTCTTGTGTAATGTGAGTCTCTCCCATTGGAATATTGCACCCTGAAGCAGGGAAATTGTCTGTTTTGGTCACTGTTTTATCCTTTGAGTTTAATACAGTTTCTGTAACATAATGGCTGTTCCATGAATATGTGTTGAATAAATAAAGTAAGCTCGCCCATATACCAAACAGATTCACGAGCTCTTTCTGCTTCTGCATGACTCATCTGCATGGAAGACAGAAAAAATTGGGGCATTTGATCTTGATCCTAAATCCAATTTTCTAGGAAAATAATCATGCCCTACAAGGATATGTTGGTAGTTTAAACTGGAACGAGAAATTCCCCCAAATCCCAAAACACATTCCCCCATTTTATGATGATTGATTTATATACAGGCTCACGTTTATGTTTCTCTAAGCAAGGCTCTTAATTTTTGACTCCCTATCCACCTCAGGTTAATCTTCAAAATCCCATTCCTGCCTTTTATTTTGTTCTATACGAAACTGTTCTACATATCTGTGGATTAATGTTGTGGCTTCATAGCGACAAACATATCATAAAAATGTTAAAATACGTGGCTTGCTTAATACTTCTCAGTAATTTCCTTTGTTCCTATTTATTTGACATGTGATTCATATATTTATGTAATCATTTAATAGATGTCTACTTGAAAAGTGCTCTATGCAAAGCACTGGGGGAAGCGCTAGCAGAAAATGTAGACTCTTCTCTGAAAATGCTCAGCATAATGTTGGGAATGTAAAATTATTAAATCCAAATATAATTGACAATAGCAGCATGACCTGTGAAGAACGCAAATGAGATTGGAGGAGGAAGACTTGAATCATTTTCCTGGATTGAAGAGTAAATTACTGCGTGACATTTGGCAAGTAACTTCACCTTTCTCAGCCGTAGTTTCTTATTTGTAATCCGGGATTTGAATTATACAGCACAAAATTAAATTTCCAATGTATACAGGTCTCTGTAAATTTAGGAAATTAAAATTTAAGCAATGAAATGTTTATCAATCTGTCAAATATTAAAGGAATAAAAATTATAACTTGGCAAATTTCTTTGGAAATGGACATTCTTATAAACTGCAAGCAGATATGTAAATTGGTACAACCTACTTACAAGGCATAAAAATTTGAGCTGAGCATCTAATTCTTAGTTGCAAAAATTTTCATTACAGCCACATTTTAAAAATAGCTAACTGCATAAATATCTAAAATTAAGAAAGTAGATTAGTGTTTCATGGTCCATTTTAACCATTAATTCTATTTCTGGAAGCTATTTAAAGTCCCTACAATGTATCAGACTCAGTTTTAAGTGATGTATATGTATAACTCAATTTAATAGGCACTATTAGTACAGCCACATTGCAGATGAGGTAATAGTTAAACAATTAGCTAGTGCCCGGCTAAAAATAATAGGGTCGGGATTGAATTGAGACAACTTAACTCCACAGCCCAAGCTCTTAGGCACTGTACCAAGTTCCATTATACCATGCCATGAATGGTATGAATCCAAGGTAAAATATACTTGAAATAATTCAGAAATAATAGATGAGAACTGATGAGTATGTGACGGTGGTATATTCTTACCATGATGTACCACTTATAATGGTAGTAAAAATGGAAAGGGAAAAATAGCCTGATATATGTGTGGCAAGCATTGTGGAGAATCAAATTGAATGTTGAGGGAAATAAAATAAGTTAATGGGGTTAATCAATAAGGAGATCAATAATTAAAATAATAATGCAACTACTACTTATTAGGAACTTACTATATTTCAAATGCCATGCTGGTCATTTAATACACCATCTTACAAATTAATAAGATTTGATTAGTAGAGATAATTATGTTGGATTTCATTTTAAACTCCTGGGGTTTGAGGTGCCCAAGGGGCACCCTATTGAGATATTTATAGGGAGTGAAGATGGAAGTGAATGATGCAGAATAAATCAGAGAAGATGCTAGGAGGAGGTTCTTCTCAAGAGACATAGGAGTCTTAGAAAGCATAGGGCTAAATTGGTATCTACGTATCATATAGTGTGTGTGTCTCTTCACTGTTATCAGCATTAATTCTATAAGATGCAGAACTCACACTCATCCAAAAGAAATCAGTTCTTTTGTGTGTGTGTGTAACTGATCTAATTTTTCTTATTAGCCCTTACCTACTATGTGGTAACAAAACAAATACACAAATAGGTAAACTAACTTTAAACACTCTCTATTATCTGAACTGTCTCGGTGTACATTACTTTTCAAAATTAAGATAAAAGTAGAAGAAACAGTATAAACCCTAATTACCAATCACATAATTTAATAATCAGTAGCATTTGGCAAGTTAGTTTTTCCTTTTTTCTTACTCTATTTTTAGAAAGTTAATCACAAACGTCATTCCATTTTACCTCCTAAATACTTTATATGTATCTCTAAAAATCAGATTTTTTCTTTATATATTTTCTATGATTATTGTACCTTAAAAAGTAACAATATTTTAATACCACTTAATATACAGTCTTTTTTATTTATTTATTTATTTTTTTTGAGACGGAGTCTCGCTCTGTCGCCCAGACTGGAGTGCAGTAGCACAATCTCGGCTCACTATGCAGTCTATTTTTTAAATCCTCTAATTGTCCCCAATGTGTGTTTGTATGACTTTGTTCAAAGCAGGATCAAATCAAAGACATCAACTGAATTTTGTTAAGCCTGTAAGGTTTTTTGAAATTTAGAAGTGTCCTACGTTTTTCTTTTGATATACCATTGATTGACCTGCTGAAGACACCAGGCGGATTATCCTGTAGAATAACCCAACGTTTGGGTTAAACTCTTTCAGAGAGAATACGTTGGATGATGCTGGGTGCTTCCTACCGCATTATGTTAGAAGGCACATGACTTCCAGTTTTCCCACTGTTCGTGATGCTAAGGTGGATTACTATGTTACAGAGTTTGTGCAGCCTCTCCGGGCGGTGCTCCTCCGCTTCGCGCCGCTACGTGGGCCTGCCGCGCTGCTGCTCTGGACCTTGCCCCTGCCCCTGCTCAGCTCCATCGCCTTCACCATCGTGGCGATGCCCAGGATGGCGGCAGCAGGCCCCCCGCAGGATGGCTGCCAGAGCCTCGTGGAGTACGTAGGAGGAAGAGCAGCCGCTGCCATGCTCTTCTGTGGCTGTATCATGCTGGTGACCTGTTTCATCCTCACCTTCTTTGCCCTCTGTGCACCCCTGACGCTAGTCCTCCTAAGAGTGAGTTGGAGGCCTCCCTACCCTGGCTGCTGTGTTGCAGGTCATCTCCCTGGTAATCAACCCTGTGAAGTATACCCATACCTTCAATCTTCATGCCAACCCCGCCGTCACATCACATGTGTCACTGGACCCGTGGCTTCCCGTGGGTGGCCACAATTATCCTGATTGGCTGTCCTTTCTCCTTCTGCTGCGGCCCGAAGGGCGAAGACAACCTCCTGGGAGGCGCCAAGCCCAGGTACTTCCACATCCGCCTGGCTGGGGAGGAGACCCGGAGAAGACGCTGCCGAGAAGGACTCCAGAGGAGGAGGCTGTTTCCCTAGGCGACTTCCAACCTGTTTTTTGGCAGTGTTCACATTATTAAATTAGTAGAAAACGCTACAATAATTTGGGAGAAAATATTGTGTTATAATTTCATATTCACCTTTTATATATGTTTTTTGGAGTTGACATGTTTGCTTTCACTAACCTTATATCTATCCATAACAGTTATATTACATTTATAAGAGAATATAAACATGAAACTTATCACTTTATACAGTAAAAATGAAAAAGCCTCCAAGACTTAATAATCTGATCAAGTTTTTGTTATTTCCAGATAGAATGGACTGTATCTATTAAGGGCTAAGGAGAAGAGAGAGATATTAGTAAAAAAATTGTCATTGATCAAATATTCTATAAAGAAATGCAAAACAAAAATTTTTTGTGAGCCTTCAATTGTTTAAAGATGCAAAATAGTTTCCTAAATACATATAATTTGTGAGAATTTCTCATTAATATCTTGAATAATTAATTGGTTTTGCTAAGCTTCATGTTGACTTTACATGCCATTTAGGAAATGATTGTCTCATGGCCAAAACATGTTGCAGTGGTAAGGCCTTCTTAAGCAGTAAAATGTTTAGATGAAGTTTTCTCGTTTAAAATTCTTAAAGGGTGAGGGTGTGGGAAAATGCTATATTAATAAATAAATAAATCTGCACTGTTTCGTGTCTATATGTTCAGAACCAAAGTAGACTGGGTTGAAAGATGTACTGGGTCTAATTCATCATGACTCATAGTCCTGATTAGGTTGTGTAGTGAAGCATTAGAAGGGCCATTCCTATCACAGGAGTGCTATTAAAACAGCCTAAGAGGAAGAAACAGCTTGTGTTTTTTTTTTTTTTTCCCTCAGGCCTAACTGGGTTGTAGTCACATAGACACAGCTTCTGGTAGATTGCAACTGCAAGCAGACACCTACATATAGTTAAAAATCTGGTCTTTTTTGGTAAAGAGATGTAAAATGTCTGATGTAAACCATGCAACAGGGATGTGAGTTTCTCTGAAAGGCATATGTATGATATATCGGATTGATTATTACTATTTTTTACCATTTGTACTTACATAATGAAAACGAACTCATTTTATAAATCAAAGTATTATTTTGTAAGTTGTAGAATAAGCAATTGAAATTTTAATTATGACTTTTTCCCCATAAATGAGGTATTCTAAAAAAAGAGTTTGTATAGTTACATTTCCCCTTGCAACCAGATATTTTATGGGTTCATGTTTTGCATTCATGCAGTTATCCCGCTCTCTCTCATCATTTCACTTAATAGTTTCAATGTCCACTGTTGATCTTTGCTTGAATAAGTTATTTTATTAGGGTTGCAAGACTCAATCTCTTTTGGATAAATATTCAGTCTTTCAAACATTTCACACCTCACAAAAATATGCACGTTTTTTTCCCCCAAATTGATAGTTAGGTGCATGAGAGAGTTTACCATGTGCTTGAAGAAAAAAAAAATAGAGGTCCTCAAATCCATATAGAAACTTCTAGATTCTCTTAACTATGGGTATTCTTCAACTTCTGATCCATTCTCTTTTGTCTCAGACAGGACCTGGTGCTGCTACCTATCTGATTTTGTATCTCTGGGTTCTTGTTGGTGCTACATGACTTCTGCTTATCATCTACCACCTTCCCCCTATTGTCCATGGCTTAAGCTGTCCATGACAACACATTGCCATGAAGTTTCCTCATTCTGTGCTAAGATGTGTACTCCATGGAAGGACAAATGTTATTAAAACTGCTGAAACATGTACACCAGACCCCCGTGAAATCACAGGATTCTTGAGTCTCTTGTACATAAAGCAAGTATGGTTTGGGAAATAAGATGAAGAACTAACTGTTTTGGCTTGCCTAAGCTTGAGAGGTTTCCAAGGAAGCAAGAAGTTCAGTGCTAAAACTGGGATACTTCTGTGAAAACCAGTTGCTCATCCTATTGGAAGAGCCAAAAAGAAGTCTTCTCTTTGCCTAATAGTACCACACTGCAGGGTATACTTGGCTGGGGCTGCTCCAGGCTGGCCTGGGGCTGACACACACAGTGGTCTTTCAAAGTCCTCTCTGCCTTCATATCCCTCTCAGCATCTCCAACGTGTCTCTCTTCTGGCACTTTGATCTGGAGATGGCGGGTGGGCAGAATTACTCTACCCTCTGCTTTGTTGGCTCAATGGAATCCTTTATTCTCCCACAATCTCTTAGAAGATGTATGTGTTTCTGTTTTGCTTTTCTCTTTTTGGATATGCAAGGTTGTTCTTCATCCATTGGTGAGACAGCCTAGATGTTTGCTTTTTCCAGGCCATATTCTTTTGACTCAAGCCTTAGTGCTAACTAGTAGACTAGTAACATCCTTACATGTTTCACTAGTTATAGAGAGTTCTCAAGGCTTTGGTTAGAATTTAATCAAAATTCTTTAATAAAAATGTCTCTCTGCCTCAAGTATAAGATCTCATCAGCTGCATTTATATCAATCCAATTGATTCTTCTTGTCAATAGCTATTGAAGAGATCTGTCCAAATGCTGCAAGTACAGGAGATGTTTTCTCAAATGTAAATATGCTTACCAAGCCAGGAAGCTCAGCAACACTCCTCTTATGAGTGCTTTACAGAGGGGTGCCATAGTCTTCCAAGGAAATGAATTTTTCTTCCCCAAGCTTGAGGGAGGAAACACAGTAAAGACTAGGGTACAAGAGAAAAAGATGGCCTTCTTTATAAGGGAACCTGATTGAGAAATATTTCAAGATTATTTTATCTCAAATATCTATTTTACTTCATAGGAAATAATACCTGTCATGTTTTAGGATATAAAGTTAAATTTATGGTGGCTTTATAAATCATGATATATTAAAGGAAAAAAGGCTCCTGAAAAAAGACACACTAGAAAATTCTGTTCTTGCTACTTTCATGATGTGAGTTGGCTTGATGATGAATTAAATGGAATTTGAAAGCATCTGGAGAATATTCTAATATTGGTACTTCTAAAATCTTTGTGAATATTTTTATTTCTCAGTCAGTCTCAGTCAGCATTTTGCCTGATATCCATTTATATGGTAGACGTTAGTTATGTGGCTAATAAAATTCTTTAATATTTGTAAGCCATATGGCATGTTCCTCTTTTAAATTATCTCGAGTGCTATGACTATCAGGGTATAGGTATCACAGGAAATCTACATAGAACGTGGAATGATTTATTCTACAGAGCTTGTAGAAATGGGGTATAAAGTCATTTTTTTCTGAGTGTCTGTTCAACATGGTTTTCTCTTATAACAGACTGTCTATTGTATCTCGACTGGATTAAAAACTCCCAGAAGACAATGTGCCTTCTGGAAGAGAGAGCACATGGAATGATATATAGGTCTTTTCATTTTTTTTCTATGAGGAATATCATAGACAAAGAGGTAGTGCTGGGAGTAGAGTTGCAAAATTTAAGGAGCTGCCCCAAAACTCAGCAACCAAGATAAATATTTTAATGCAACATTTTTAAAATTAAAAAGTTATGCAAATACATTAAATAGCAACTATTAATATTAAAATAAAGATGGGATAAATACTTTGCAGATTTCTTTCTGCTTTAGGCTCTAATATAGTTCTGTATGGCACCACAAGAAAGTTCTTCAAGGAAGGAGCTGTAAGAGGTCAGCTGTCAACGTCTTTAGTGTCTCCCTTAACTGCAGATTCCTCCCCTCCCTGAGGTCCACCCTTGCCAGGATGTCCACATGCATAATTGAAGGAGGCAGAGGTAGAAAGGCCCAGCTATTTTGGCCTGATCAGAGAAAATTCTGAGGCACTGCTCTCTTTAGAATTCCTTGCCAGATTGGCCAGGCTTTATCTCATGTACACCTCAGTTCAACTTCTTCAGCCCAATTTTGTTTCCCCTGCCTTCCTTCACACGTGTTGATCTTTAAAACATCTTGCATCCGAAATTCTGACTTAGTATCTGCGTTCAGAGGACCCAACCTGTGACTGGGTTACAGCTGCCAAACTCAGCTCCAACTAGGTAATATGGTTTAGATTAAAAATGTAAGTTTGCATATTCTCTGGTTTCTTTTCTTAAAAATTTAAAGGTGCTGTTACACGTCAAGCTGTTTAGGAGAATAGGAATTGACTATAGACAATATTCTAGCAATTAACTGCACACACACAGTTATTAGCAGACTGAATTATAAATAATAGTCAATCATAGCTACACAGTGGTTTTACTATTGAAAATCAGTCCAATCTCAAAGTACAATTAAAGCCCTGTGCCTAGATTTGTTAGAGTGCCAATTTCTCATGGTTATAGTTTGCATTCCCCTTTTTGGTTTATATTTCTTTTTTGTTCCTATTTATCCCATGATCTCATATCCGACTAGTAACATCCTTACATGATTCACTAGTTATAGAGAGTTCTCAAGGCTTTGGTTAGAATTTAATCAACTTTTTTTAATAAAAATGTCTTTCTGCTTCAAGTATAAGATCTCATCAGCTGCATTTATGTCAATCCAATTGATTCTTCTTGTCATTAGCTATTGAACAGATCTGTCCAAATGCTACAAGTACAGGAGATGTTTTCTCAAATGTAAATATGCTTACCAAGCCAGGAAGCTCAGCAACACTCCTCTTATGAGTGCTTTACAAAGGGGTGCCATAGTTTTCCAAGGAAATGAATTTTTCTTCCACAAGCGTGAGGGAGGAAACAATATATTTTGGGTTGGGTGTTACCAGAAAGATTGCCTCCCTTGAGGTAAAGTCCTTTTTATCTATGATATTCCCTCCTCTTTCCCTGTCTTCTTCCTTTCTTCCTTCTTTCATCAACTGCAGAGCCCCACCTTAGCCGAGGGTCCCACTCTTCCTTGGCTGCTCACATTTAGGAAATGCTGCATTCTACCTTTTGCCTTCCAGCCTCAATGAGGTTTTAATTTTAGTTGTTCTGTGTTCACTACATACAAGTTATATCTGTATCCGGGTAGACAATAATTTTTTCTTCACCAGAATGCCTCCCTCCATCCCCAGCCCCCCCAAAAAAAAAAGAAATCAGTGGCCTGGAACTCAGAACCAAAGGGTTGTCGTATTTGCCCTACTGCAAATATTGTACTTGACACCGACTAATCACCTGACTTGTCTGAATTCCAACCCTTCTCTCTGGTTTACAGAGACATTTGCTGAATTGTTGTTGAAGCTTTCAGTTTCAAAGCAGAATGACATTCTGGGCCCATTCTAGGGATAGCGTTGAAAAATTGAATGTGTAATCTTAGAGATTTGGTAGGATTATCGATATATGTGAGGGCTATGGAGTGAGTTATAGATATGAATTCTAAGGTTACTATATAATAGCTGGAAGGCTTTCAACATACCACACAACCTCTCAGATTCTTAGTCCATTTATATGTGAACAGAGATAAAGGGGATAATAATAATTAATTTCCATGGACATTTGGAAGAATTGAGACTCATCAAAAAAGAGTAATTCATGGCTTATAATAGTAAGTTTATAATTAAATTGTTTGTTATCATTATCATTGGAAAATTTACAGTATTTTTGTCAGACTCACTTTCTTTTTTAAGTTAACATTTTTGCTTCATTGTATTTAGTTTCTGAGTTTATAATAGGTATTAATTTGCATGGTTTTGTAATATATAAGGTGCTTTGAGCTCTCTGAGGAAAAGCCTTATGTAATTAGAAAACATTATTCACTGCACTGATGTGTGAATGCTCAAGGCTCTAGACACATCCATCTTAAAGGAAATATTAACTTCAA
Organism: Homo sapiens; assembly: GCF_000001405.40. NCBI lineage: Eukaryota > Metazoa > Chordata > Mammalia > Primates > Hominidae > Homo > Homo sapiens. The sequence goes on along the minus strand of NC_000003.12, from coordinate 191,946,550 downwards.
AATCTACATAAACCCTATAAATACATACTTAGAAAACACTGACAATTTGTAATTTTTCACTTTTCTGTTAAAAGGAAAAGCAAAGACAAAAAGTTATCATAGTGCAAAATTTATGACATGATTATGAAATGGTAGAATTCAAATCTTTAGTATCAATTTTCTATAATTTAAATGTAAGAAATTATAATTAGGACTCCTGCCAATGTTTGACAATTACAATCAAAATTCTGTCTATATGTGTTTGAGCTATGCACATTTCCTTAGTGTTATATTAGCTTTCTACATTTGCATATAAGTTAACAGCACATTTATGAATTTTAAAAATCATCCTCATTATTCTGCTGGAATAAAACAGACATTATTAACCCTTTGTATTATGAGAAAATAGAGGCACAGAGAGTTTAAGTCATTTGCCTATGATCCCATTAGAGACTAAATTTACACTATTGTCACTCTGGTGATGGTCATCTATAAAACATAAAAAGAATAATGATTGCTCCAATTTTATCGGAATGTAGATTTGAGGTGTAGGTTAGAACAAGTTCAAAGCGTACTTGAAATTAATGCTAAGAAATTTGGGTATTTTTATGAATAGAATTGAAGAGAAATATTTGAAGGCTGTGAAACAAACGACTCCCCAAATCAGAACTGTGGTATGAAAAGATTAATTTGGAGGGACCATAAAGTTCAAGAGGAATAGAGGCAGAGACTGGATGATTGGACTAGTTCAGAAAATAACACAATGATGAACAAAACCTTCAAGGAAGCAATCTAAATACAGAGAAGACTAAATTGTTAAAAAACTTGGGAAAATAGGGATTATAGAGATTAAAGAGGGTACAATGATTAAATCCCTCTTCTTTACCTGAGTTCTGAACCAATCAGTTGTTAAATAGGACATGGGAATCCAATAGATATAGGTAAATAAATCAGCTTAATAGCTGGGGTTTTTGGATGAGCCGGACTGTAGCCAATCGTCTTGCTGCACTGTAGTTAAACAATTTGGCTGGATAATTGTAGGCCTCCCTGACATGGATGCCTTTGTAACTAGCCATGGAGAAGTGGAGAATGCTTAGAATGTATGTTTTTGTGGGCAATATGCTTCTGAAAAAGCAGGAAAGTTGGAGTTTAACTGAGCATGGCTAGTTCCTCTCTCCAAATTTGCTAATCAGAAAGGTACCTCTCCTCTTGCCAGGAATAGAGAAAAAATGGTAAGGAAAGAGACCAAAAGATTATTCCAGGGAAGTTCTTCCACAGGAAAACATGAAGACTTGGAAATAAGTGAAAAATCATTAAAAAGTCATCCTTGAATGACTTATATTTAACTTAAGTCTATAGGAAATAATTAGTGACAAATTCAGCCTAAAGCAGGGTTTTCCAGCCTAAGCACTAATAAAATATTTGGTCAGATAATTTTTTTTTAATTTTTTCAGAGATGAGGTCACACTCTGTGACCCAGGCTGGAGCATAGTGGTGTGATCATAGCTCACTGCAGCTTCACACTTTCGGTTTAGCCTCTCAGGCAGCTGAGGTTACAGATACAAGCCACCCCAGTAGGCGGACAATTCTTTTATATGGGGAACACTCTTTGTGTACTGTAGGATGTTGAGCAATACGCTTGGCCTCTACCTACTAAATGCCAAGCCAATATCACACCTCCAGTTTTGATACCCCAAAAGTTTCCATACATTGCCAAATTTTCTTCAAGGAGCAAAATCTCCCCAGTCTCCCATTTGAGACTCATTGACTTAAATGGGGAAAGATTTGAACCATGGCTTTGTGATGAGGTAGGTATTCCTGTATCTCTGTGACTATTCTTTTTAGGCCCTTGGAAATCTAAGCTTTAACCTTTCCAAATATATTGTGCATGAGTCTCTGCAGGTATGTTATCTTAACTTTTGTTTAAATTTGAAAATACTATGTCTATCATTATGGGGAAATAGAATTTTCCTTGACCCTGAAATTTTAGAGATACATTGACAGCTGGAAATGGCTGAAAAATGCTACTGGAATTCTTTATGTATAATACTTATCCTAGTTTGGAAAGAAATATTTTACTTTTAAAATATTTTTAAAACCCTCTTTGTCAGGGGTAGAAGACTCTACAACTTTTATACAAGGAAATAGGTAGCACTGTGATTAGTAACACCCCAGTCATTATTGCTTTTTAGCATTCAGTTATGTGCTCTCTGAAGATATTGTAGCATTGGGCTTTATTTATTTATATTCATCTGGAATATAAATGAAGGGGGGATGCCACTCACTATGGCAGTTTTGAAATAAAAAATAAAAAGTCAAAAAATAATTTTTTCCCTCTACAGTTGTGGTTAGCACAAATAGCCCTAGGATTTAATAACAAGACTTAGGTTCAAGGCTTAGTTTGGCTCCTGACTAGATTCTTTACCTTGAAAAAGGCATTTCACCTTTCTAGGACTAAGGGGATGTGTGGGACTCAGAACAACTTTGCACAGTGCTGTGTAGTTGCTTGGATGGATTGGATAGTTTTTTTCCGATTCACAGTTGTCCTGAAAGCATACCTTTGTCCCCTAGGAGGGCTCTCCAATTGGTAGTTCTTAAAGTTTGCTGTCTTTTTCACCGCAAAACTCAATTTCCTAGCTAGGCCCTGTATTGCAGACCTGTGGTCCCAGCTCTTCAGGAGGCTGAGGTGGAGGATCCCTAATAGCCGGAAGTTCCAGGCGGCAGTGCACTGTGATCACACCTGTGAATAGTCGCTGCACTGTAGCCTGGGCAACAGAGCGGGACAACATTTCTAAATGAAAAATTTTAAAAAGTCAAATTCCTATTCAATTAAGTAAGCCACTGTAGCGCAAAAACAACTTCTAGCCTCAACCTACTGCTTTATTTTCTCCTCTTCTGTTAGGCTCTAGTCTTGCAATTGTTTCCCGGATTTTCAGTGCTTTGTGGCTTCTTTGTTATTTTCTCTCGTATTTAATGATAGGTGAGTTGCCACTGTCAGAAATGGGAAATCTGACACATTCAATGTAAATAATTGGTATACGGAGGAATATAACAATTGAAAAGCACTACAATGTAAGTATGAAGAACAAATCCATGAAACTTTTGGGTAATTTATTTCCATTTTTACCAAGGTATTTATATTTTGTCATATTGAATACATCACTTTATATTACATTTTTGTCTTTATACGGTTTTATAAAGAGTTTAATACACACAAATGAATATTTATATTCCTGTTTTCATTTAACATAAGTGAAAGGTGTAAATAATAGTAAGATGAAGAACTTGTACCCACTGTGTAATTTAAACTGAATATTGTAAATTTTTTTAACCCCAAGAGTGAACTATTATTCTGAATTTTGTATTCATTAATCCTTTGCTTTCTTGCATCATTCTTAGGTTGTTACATATTTATCACATTTTTGGTAATCGTAAAAATTTCTATGTACACACACTGATTATTGAATAATATTTCGTGAATTGTATATAATTATTTATTGAACTCTTCAATATTAGACATTTGGTTTGTTTTCACTTTTAAAAATAAATCATACTGGCTGGGCGCGGTGGCTAACGCCTGTAATCCCAGCACTTTGGGAGGCCGAGGTGGGTGGATCACGAGGTCAGGAGATGGAGACCATCCTGGCTAACATGGAGAAACCCCATCTCTACTAAAAATACAAAAAATTATCTGAGCGTGGTGACGTGTGCCTGTAGTCCCAGCTACTCGGGAGGCTGAGGCAGGAGAATCGCTTAAACCTGGGAGGCAGAGGTTGCAGTGAGCTGAGATCGTGCCACTGTGCTCCTGCCTGGGTGACAGAGCAAGATCCCGTCTCAAAAATAAATAAATAAATAAATAAATAAATAAAAATAAATAAATGAATTATGCTGTTATCTCTAGGCATGAGATTTCCTTTATATTTCTGTATACTTGGGATATAAGATCAAGAAATTAAATTAAGGTATTAAAGAATTTTGTTTTAAATCTTTGATTTTGCACTTAAATCCTTTTCAGAAAAGTATGTACTTGTTATCAGGGTAGTACTGTGATTAAGGAGGTAGAATCTTTAATCAGACCACATGAGTTAAAGCCCCAATTTCCCTTCAGCTAACTGCCTGCCTGGGCAAGTTTTTAATTGCTCTGTGTTTCTTTATTTATGTTTGTAAAGTGATGTAAATAAAATACCTACTTCATAAGGATGTTTGAATATTTAATGAAGTAAAAGAATTTACGTAAATATGCTGTATGCAAAAGATTTAATAAGTGATCAATATCAGTATCAATACGAGTGTGCTGTACTAACAACATACTATCGTGAAGAATAATTTGCATATTTTATGAAATGTTTACTAGTATCTGAAGTAAAAATTATATTTTTAGTTTATGTTTCCTTTAATTACTATTTATTTTTACATACGCATTAACTATATATTTTATAAATCAGAAAGCCATAACTGTTTCATTGACATAAAGGAATACTTGTATTCTTATGAATTTTTATTAACTCTAATGACCAACATATTTAGCTGTTTTTATACAATGCTTTTTGTAAATGTTTCTCCTATTTTACAATTTTTCATTTTGTTTTTGTTTGAAGATACAGATTTTAAAATTTGCAACGCAATAAAATGTTTGGATTCTAACTTTGGTGACTTCTCCCATTGGAATTATGTTTAGCATGTGTTTCTTTATCTTAGAAAATATTAGTCTAAAAATTTCCTTTCAGTTAAGCCATTTTACTTTGGAAATTAAATACATCAGGAATTTATTTTGGTCTAAGTTATGATATTATTTATGCCCCCTCATTAATTCCAAGAGCTATTCAGCAGAAATCCTAGAGTATTGAAGAAAAAGAAGTTGTTATTGGAAAATGATTATAGTGTCTCTCTTGCCAGTAGCTCTTATTAATTTGTCTTATTGTTGCTTGTTGCAAACTGAAGAGCTGAGCTGCCAGTGTTTCTCTGTTAAGTATAATATTTGCTACTGGATTTCAGAATAACAGACGCTTTTTATCACGTGAAAAATACCCTTCTATTTTGGATTTCTCAGCATTTTAATGAGGAATAGTTATTAAACTTTATTAAATTTCTTTCTCATATTGTTAGAAATGTCAATTTCTTTCTCCAATATCTTTTTAAAGGGCTATGCACAACTGAGGAAAATATGCAAAACAAACAGTCCAGGTAATTGCACATTCTGTACTTTTTAGACTTCTGTATCATAGTTGTACATATTTGGGGGAACATGTGATATTTTAATACATGTATAAAATGTGTAATGATTAAATCAGGGTAATTGGGATTTTTGGCACCTCAAACATTTATCTTTTCTTCGTATTGGGAACATTACAATTATTCCCTTCCAGCTATTTTAAAATATACAACACATTAATGATAACTATAATTTCTCTACTATTGCACATTCTGTATTATTAGCTAAGGTTTTGAATCTAATATCTTAGATGTTAGACTTGGATCATGTTCTTTCTCATACGAAGCTAAATTCTCCCTATTAATTTTTTCTATACAACAATGTAAAGAAGTGATAATAATAATGATGTTGAGAGTTAATATAATGATGACAATGACAATGACTATAGTTAATACTTACTGAAAGTTTACTATCTATTACTTCATGCACTAAACTTCTCATGCTTTATTTTATTTAATATTCTTATTAAATGAGAAACAGAGAAGTTAAGAAATATAATAAACACGGATCGTCTAAATGGAGATGGGGTGAGAGAACAGACATTTGGAATGTGGAGTCAAGTCACTCACCTTTATTTCTTGGGAAGACTTGCTTCTGTATATTTTCCCATCAATGACCTCATTTAAAAGGTTTTGTTGGCCAGGCGCGGTGGCTCATGCCTGTAATCCCAGCACTTTGGTAGCCACAGTGGGTGGATAGCCTGAGGTCAGGAGTTTGAGACCAGCCTGGCCAACATGGTGAAACCTCGTCTCTACTAAAAATACAAAAATTAGCTGGGTGTGGTGGTGGGTGCCTGTAATCCCAGCTACTTGGGAGGCTGAGGCAGGAGCATCGCTCAAACCTGGGAGGCAGAGGTTGCAGTGAGCCAAGGCCACACCATTGCACTCCAGCCTGGGTGACAAGAGCGAGACTCAGTTTAAAAAAAAAAAAAAATTTTGTTTTTTCCTGATTTCTGTGTCTCAAGAAAGACCCAAGATATCACCTTTAGAATACTTTTATATTCAACATTATATGAATAGTTGAAATCCTTATTGGGATTTTGAAAGAGAAAGATAATGGTAAGTAAGGGGAAATAAGGGAAAATGAGATGCCCTGGTTATTTTTAGTGTTCTAGAAAGTTCCTGTTCAAATAGATAATTGCAGTTTATTTCTCAGGTTAGTGAAGCTTCTGCATCCCAGAATTCTAGCAACAACAGGGTTTAATACTTCTTTGATACTGTTTGTACTATTTTCCATCAGAAGATAGAGCATATGGTTACTAGTTTTTTACAGTGTTTCTAAACTTTTCCTCATAATTGATGTAATCGGGGTAAAGTCTCTCTGGATTTGGGTATATTTCTTAATCCATATTTAGTTTATATTCCTGTTGCTATATTTTCTTTCTTTTGTTTCTGTGATATGCATTTTAATAGGATGGGAGACAGAAATCTACAAAATTCCCTGGTCACATAACCTAGAAATCTAGTTTACTATTTAACTATAAAGTGCTGTTGGATTTATTGAGTTTCACATGTAGGATTGTTTGCACAGATTTGATCATTTTGTTACTGTATTAATCAGTGAAAGCAAATATCTATCTGGTACTATGTCCAAAAATAACAGATAATTGAAGATTAACACATATAAAATAATTTTAGTGCTGCTGGTATTAGATGAGTCCACAAGACATCTTAATGAATTATAATTTTACTTGTACATAGAAATAAGCGGCTCACTAGTTGCTTTCTGGTCATGAAAATGTTAACATATCTCAAATAGTTGACCATTGGTGACTTGAAAATAACACTTAGTTGAAATATTTACAGATATGAAGAAACAGGCATAGCCGATTTTGTAAGATGTGAAAAGATATAAACTAAAGTCAGATTTAAAAAATGTAGAACAGTAGTAGCAATTTAAAAACTGCATGAAAACAGGAAGTTCACTTACTTTCCCACCTGAAACAATCTAAAGAAAAAGGAGATATATAAAACAACTATTTTTTTGTTGTTGTTGAGACAGAATTTTGCTCTTATTGCCCAGGCTGGAGTGCAATGGTGCAATTTCGGCTCACTTCAACCTCCGCCTTCCAGGTTCCAGCCATTCTCCTGTGTCAGCCTCCCGAGTAGCTAGAATTACAGGCACCCACCATCACACCCAGCTAATTTTTGTATTTTTAGTAGGGGCGGGGTTTCACCATGTTGGCCAGGCTGGTCTCGAACTCCCAACCTCAGGTGATCCACCCGCCTTGGCCCCCCAGAATTTGGGATTACAGGAGTGAGTCACCACATCCGGCCTAAAACAACTATTTTTAAGACACTGAATATCAGGTGATTACGGAAAGTAATTCTTGAAATAGCCTATTATTTATCTCCATTGACTGCATTCTGAAAGTTTCCAGGCTGTAGAACAGGAAGGGGGAACCATGGCAGAGCCTACAGAATACCTGAGTTGAGGTGACAGAGTCTGGGGAGATCAAGGGGGCACTAGAGGGTTCAGGGTATAGAAACAGGGGCGATGTGTTTAGAGACAGAGCTCTGAGATCTGTAGAGTTCCCTTCAATAATTCAATAGAGTAATGATATCCACATGTGGGTGAGAAAACTAGCTAAGAGTGAGAAAGAACCGACTGAAAGAATTAGAGGCAACAGTGCCCTAGATAAAACAGGCCCAGAACTAGTGTCTGTTTTCACAAGCCACGCTGCAAAAAATAAATAAATCAATCATTGATGGGATATTGGGTAGAGTACTCAGATATGTCCTGCGGCAGTAGTGGGAATAATTAGCCTTAGGGTAAGTATTTCTCAGAATCCAACTGAAAACCACAAAAAGCAAGATTCTAAAGAATTAAACCATTTTCAATTATCTTGACAGCACCTCGGAACAAAGCTGAAGAAGTTTTATAAGAATACAAAAGTTTTCAACACTCAACTAGGTAAAATTCAGAGTCTGACATCCATTAAAAATTATTGGAATACCAAAAGAAGGAAAACACAATTCATAATGAGGGAAAAGCAAGCAATCAATAAAAATGAATACAGACCTGGCATAGATATTAGAACTACCAGTAAAGAAAATTAACAGATCCTTTACCAAATAATGGCTGCAGATGGCAAATAAGTGCATGAAAAGATACTCAACATCATTAGTCACTGGGGAAATATGAATGAAAGCCATAATGAGATATCACTATACATCTACTAGAATGGCTAAAATTAAAATTACTGACTATACCAAATGCTAGTGAGGATGTGATAGAGCTGGTATTCTCATACACTGCTGATGGGCATACAAAATTGCACAAGAACTTTCAACAACAGTTTGGCAATTTCTTTAAAAATTTAAATATAAACCTAACATATGATTCAGGCATTTCACTCCTTATTGGTAAACAATAATATCGATTACAGCTTTCTACTAGTAAAGCTTCTGTAAACATTTGTACATAAGTCTTCATATGGACATATGCTTTACTTCTCTTGGGTGAAACTTTTAACTCTAAAAGAGTAGAAAGTTTTTCTGTCTTATCCACTACCCCAACTTAGTGCTTAGCACAGTGTGTGGCCACGGTAGAAGTTAAAACACTCGTTGACTAAAATAATATGATATCTTAGAGACTTTATCTTGTCAACAGGTCAGTGGATGGACAAATTATGGCTATATCAATACCATGGAATATTGCTTCACAGTAAAAGAGAAGTGTTATTGATTTTCGCAGCAAGATAGATACATCTCAGGATAATTATTTTAAGTAGAAGAAGTCAGACCATAAAGAGTACATACAGTTTGATTCCATGTATATAAAATTCTAGCCAATTAAAAGCAAGCCTTGCATTAATAATGACAGAAGCAGATCAGTGATTACCTGGGGAGTCAGAGGGTCAAGAGGGGTGGGAGGGAGAAGTAACAGAGGCATGTCAGGAAAGCTTTGGGGGTAATAAATATGTTCACTATCTTGATTGTGGTGAGTTCACAGGTATATATGTACATTAACACTCGTCAAATTGTACATTTTAAATATGTGCCACTTATTATGTGTCAATTACATCTTAATACACATGGTTATCACACCCTCCTCCCCCAAATAAAGTAGTAACTGTCAGCTCTTAGGATCTTATTCTAGTAACAAAAATGTATTGGAGATACGCAACTCTCTGTTCCATATTTTCCTCTCATTTGCTGTTTTATCTTCTTTGGACTGTTCTTTAGCTCTTGGTCCTTCTTAGAATTCTCTATCTCCCTGCTCTCTCTATGTGACCTCCTTATGTGAATTCCTTATACTTTAATGTCTTCAAAACACCAAATATATTTCTATAATTTACATACATTTCCATAGCTCCTGATCTAAATACAACTATATCTTGGAAATGTTTCTTACCTTATTTTTTCTCCTGTTACTTGAGACAGAAAGAAATTCTGTTCGTAATGGAGAATGTTCTTTGTGTATTCCACAGTTGCTTTCCACCTGCACCTAAAACACAGAGCATCTTTCTCTATCTTCACTGTGAGAGTTTGGTGCAGAAACCATGATAGAGTCGGTGGACACCTAAGATCCCAGGAGTTTGGTTTCCACTTAGCCTCCATCAGTTCATCAACATTACTATCTAAGTGCTACTACCAGTAACTGGTTCTGGCAGTTTATGCTTCAAGCAAGCTTATCTTGACTATGGTTCTCTGTATTTGCCTGTCTCAAAATTTTGGAGTGGTGATTTTTCTGTGAGCTCAATTCTGAAATCCAAAATAAGGTGTTGACTTTCAGTTTGTTCAGCGTTTTTTCTTGTGAAGATGAAAGTGACTACTTCAAAGTTTTTCCATGTCAGAGCTAAAACTATATGTCATTTTGTTGTATCCATATAAGAAGGTGTTACTCAGTGATTAAAAAAAAAAAAAGAGTAAACTCTCAAGGCACGAGAAGACATGGAGGAACCTAAAATGCATGTTGCTTTGTGAAAGAAGCCGGCCGAAATGGGTACATACTGTGTGATTCCAACTACATGGCATCTTTAAAAGCCAAAACTGTAGATAATAAAAAGAGCAGCGGTTGACAAAATTCAGGGGAAAGACAGGAGAAATGAAGAGGTGAGGCACAAGAGATTCTTAGGGTGATGAAACTATTCTTTCTGATACTGTAATGGTGAAAACATGACAGCATACACTTGTCAAAATCCACACAACTCTACAACACAAAGAGCATTAATGTAAACTATGAACTTTAGTTGATAATGTATTGTTCACTAGTTATAACAAATGCACCACATTGATGCAAAATGTTAACAAGAAGAGAAACTGTGTGTTTGTCAGGAGGTGGCTATGGGAACTCACTATCCTAATTGCTCAATTTTTTTTCTGAAAAAATCTAAAGCTATTCCAAAAATAGTCTATTAATTTAAAATATACCAATCAGGAAAAATGATTGAGGAATTTTCTTGCACTAGGATCACTGCAAAAATCATTTTATTTCTATGGAAGAAAAATAAACAGTTATAACATAAATTTGAAATTAAAACATACCAGTTGAAATGACATAATAATACAAAGTACCTAGAAAACTTTCTAGTAAAGGACATATAAGATTTTATGCAGGAAATTATAAAACTTTATTGAAATATATATACTAACACATAAATAGAAAGGCCTTGTTCATATATTGAAATATTCAATTTCACAAGGAAATGATTTCCTCCAGAATGATTTATATATTCAGTATAATTTAATAAAGGTTTTAAAAATGATAGAGAATATAAATAATCAAAATAACCATGTGTCTTAGTTCATTTGTGTTGCTATAAAGGAATACCTGAGGCTGGTAATTTATGATTCACGATTCTGCAGGCTGTGCAGGAAGCACAGCACCAGCATCTGCTTCTGGTAAGGGGCTCAAGAAGCTTCCACTCATGGCAGAAGGAGAAGGGGAGCCAGCATATGCAGATCACATGGCAAGAGAGGGAGCAAGAGTTAGAGAGAAGTTGCCAGACTCTGTAACAACCAGCTCTTGAGGAAACTCTTGCAGGAACTAATAGATCGATGATGGCACCAAACCATTCATGGTGGATCCACTCCCATGACCCAAACACCTCCCACCAGGCCCCACCTCCAACACCAGAGATCAGATTTCAGCATAAGGCTTGGTGGAGCCAAACAAACCAAATCCAAACCATAGTACCACGAATAACACATTTCCTAACAAATTTTCAGTACTTGTTATAAAACTATAGTAGTTAAGACCTATATTAACCTAGTTTTAGATACTTGGACCAATGGATCAGAATAGCACAGAGACAGGCCTACATAAACATGGGCACTTGATATCATAGAGGTGATTTTACAGATCATTGGAGTAAAATTGAATTTGAGAATTGGTATGATAATATTTGTTATCCATATGGAAAGACAAAATTGAACTCTAAATAATAATGTGACTGTTTAGTGAAAAATCAATGTTATTTACATTAAATTTCTAAATGTAAAAGCTAAAACTGTAAATATTTTAAAAATTCATGTAGAATATCCTATATTGGTATAGAAAGCAAACAAAAAGACATAAATCATAAAAGAAAATATTGATAACAAATATATTACAGTTACAAAATTTTAATCCAAAAAATAAAGATACTGGACATTGGCTGGGTGCAGTGGTGCATGCTTGTAATGCCAGCGCTTTGGAAGGCCAAGGTGGGTAGGTGACTTGAGCCCAGGAGTTCAAGACCAGCCTGGGCAATACGGCAAAACCACATCTCTAAAAACTGCAAAACTTAGCTGGGCAAGGTGGCATGCAGCTGTGGTTCCAGCTCCTCCTGGGGCTGAAGGTGAGAGGATCACTTGAGCCCAGGAGGTCCAGGCTTCAGTGAGCTAAGCCCAGATTGTGCCACTGCATTACAGCCTGAGTGACAGAGCAAGAACCTGTCTCCAAAAAAAAAAAAAAAGAAAAGAATAAAAAAAGATACTGGATACTGAGACACAAACTGGGAGAATGTATTTTCAACATATAAACTCAGGAAATAATTATCATTTAGATTACATGAAGTAAATATAATCAATGAACAAGAATAAAAAATAAAACAAACAATGGGCAAAAGAGTTAAGAGAAATTTCAGAGAATAGGAGAAACTAACAGATAATGGAGTAGCCCATGGACTCAACATGCTAGTTATAATCACTAATAGAAAAAATTAATTGGAAACCATTCAAAGATACATCTTCACAACTAGCAGATTGTCAAGAACTACAGTCGGACAATATCATGATTTGGTGAGGTTTGATGAAGTGGAAACTCCCATGTACTCAGGGATACATAAACAGTAGTAGATGCCTCAACTAGTTTGCAAAATATTTTGGCATTGCCTAGTAATCTTGAAATGCACCTACTCTGTCCAACAATAATTACTGTTCTGAGTATAACCATAGAAATTCCTGGCATACGCATGCGGGGAGATATGTATAAGACAGTAGCATTCTTTATAACAGAAAAGAAAAAAGCAGAAGTTACTCAATTCTCTGACATGGTAGGATGAAAAAAGGAATTACAGCATATTCTTTAAATGAAAACATATATTGCAATGAAAATAAATGCAATACAGCTATAGTCATTGAGTGAATTTCTAAAATATAACACTAAGGTAAATAAGCAAGTTACAGAAAAATATATGCTATATAATTCTACTTATAAAAGTCCAGAAAGAGTAAAAAATAAGCTTTCATTTAGGTATATGCACTTAAGAGACATAAGTAAAAGCAGAGGATGATTAACACAATGTTCAGCATAGTGGCTGCCTGTAGAGGGGCGTGAGTAGTGTACAATTTACAGAGGAGAGAATAGGGGATTTCTGCTATTGGTATAACATTCTATTTGTTGGCCTAGGTAATGGGGTACAGAGTTATTTGCTTTATCCTTTTTTCCAAATACACATGTATGTATTTACATACTCACATGTGGGATATATTTAAATCTGAAGAAAAAGAAAAATTAATTAAAACTGTAAATACTAACCATATATTTTTCTCTTGAAAACTTAGGAGTAACTTTTAGAAAACTATGCTTTTTTATACCATTTAAAAAGTTATTACTTTTCACCTAAAACATACATCCATTTATGTTGGTGTATTCCTTAATTCTCCAAGTCCCCTTTGTAATTTGTAGATAAGATATCTAGAAGATTTCATCAGCATTCACATTTTATAACACTATCTATATGCTGATAACTCAAAAATCTATCTCTACAGCTCAGGTTGATATATGGTGTTCCGAATTATTATTTATAGAGTCTTAGCGAGTATCTTAACCTTAAATTTTAAGGGTTTGAAAAGTATGATTGTACTAAGAAAAATATTTTAGATTTCCTAGAGAAGAAAATTTTGTCAAAGAGTAGAAAAAAGTAGGCAGTTGAAGAATCTGAGGCCCCAGAATCACAGGGTGATTTTAGATTGAGATAGTGAGGCAGCTAGAGGAATGAAAGGCTGGGCTTAGAGTGAAATGTTGGAGCTTACATGCTTTGAGATAGACAATTCCTGGACAGTAATATACTTCAATCCATTTTTATCATGACTACTTGAAGAGTATGAATAATTTGAAGATTTTGGAGAAGAAACAGGTAAGACATTTATTGATCCAAGTCACCAGAGAGTATAAAATAAAGGGGCAATGCTGTACCAGACACCTACATAAAACAAACCAAAACACTGTGGTGACTAATGCAAGAAAGTTTGGTAAAGAAAGTTATAGCAAAGTTGCACAAATCTCAATAAAAGCCAGACTTTTACGTGTGGAAGAATGTGGTAGGAAGAATTCTAAGATGATCCCCATGATCTCCGATTCCCTACATTATGCCTATAATAATGGCAAAAGGGATTTTACTGATGCAAGTAAGTCTCCTAATCAGGTGACTCTGAGTTAATCAAAAGGAACATTACGTAGGTGGGTGTGACCTTTTTTATATGAGCTAGCTAGATTTAGAAGTCAGAAGCTGGGAAGTCAGAAAAATCCAAAGCATTCAGATAATTATAATTATTTTAGTCCTTTTTATAATCTTACGATGATTTAACATTTTATTAGTAGTTTTAGCAAATGCAGAAGAAAAGCAAATTATGTAATGGGGCAAATATTGGAAAAGAAAATATAAAAATATCTCACTGTTCTGCTGACAGCGTGTACCTAGAAAACTAGTTAGAACGGCTAAAATTAATAAGTAAACATTGTATGTTGGCTGGAAAAAATGCAAATATGTAAGTACTAACTTTCTCTACTTTAGAAAAGTAACTGACAAGAAAACATAAGAAAGTATGTTAATAATAGCAACAAAAGCTATCTGCAACAAATATAACAGTAAAAGTATCAGAATATTGAACTAAATACAAGATCTTGTAATCAGCCATTTTCAAAAGACAGATAACCTACAATAGGGATTGATAAATACTCTGTAAAAAGATATATCATATTTTAGACTTAGCAGGTTTTATATGGTTTCTGTCACGTATACTTCTTTGTTATTTGGTACAACCCCTTAAAAATGTGAAAGATATTCTTAGCTCATGAGCTGTACATAAACAACACAGGCAAGATTTGGACCACAGGTAATTTGCGAAAACTTGACCTACACTAGAATGACATTGAGAATGGCATGAGACTTTTCTTCAATATTAATGAAAGCAAGACACCAGGGGAACAGTATCTAAAAACAGCTGACAGTATGAAAGTATCAATATGTAATTTTGCTTCAAGAGAAACTATTATTCAAGAAAAATGACCAAATAAAAGCTATTTTTATATACATCCAACTAGGAAAGTAATCCTAGAGGAACAGTATAAGTTGTAAGAAGTGATGTACTACAATAAAATGGTTACCAAAAAAGCAAAAATCATGTAAACCCAAACACTATTTATGTACCATAGTCATTATTGTGCTAAATACAAAATTAAAATTAAAGATAAAACTAAGTTTGCCAAATTTAGTATTAAAAGTATAGGGTAGGCTGCTCTGTCTAGGGAGTAGATATTCTTTTGTTTCTTTAGTACTCTAGTAAACTTGCTTTCACTTAAAAAGTAAATAAATAAAAATAAAAATATAGGGTACTCTTTTAGATTTCAATCTTTGGAAAACAACATAAATTTTTAGTATAAATATGTGCCAAATACTGCCCTGGTCTACATTATATTATAAAATTATACGTTGCTTATCTGAACTTCAAATTTAACTGTTAGGCCTGTATTTTTCTAGCAACTCTGGACAAAACTAAAATACCTGGAAATATTTTGAGCCCATAAATCTAAATAATTTTACTGTGTGAGTATGCAGGTTCAGGTATAGTTAATATTTAAATTATAATAATGCTAAAATTTTATAGTCAATTACTAAAACAATAGAAATGCCATTCTTTGGAAAGGCTAACCAAATAGACAAGTCTGTTGAGATGATTCAAGAAATAAGCAGAATGAAAGTGGAATAAAGGGAAAATTATTAAAAAAAGATACTCAACTCTCCAAATTTGGGATGGAAAGCAAGAAAGAAGAAAAGAACATAAAAATAGAACAAAAATGTAAGTAAAAATAAAAGGTGATTAAAAAGTACAAATATATTAATTATCAGGCAATATGTAAGTGAAATCAACTGACTATCAAAAGTCAGAAATTTGAGACTGAATGTTAAAAACTAGCTATGTGGACTTTAAAAAAAATTAACGTAAAATGCACTGAAAATGTTGAAAGTCAGAGAATGAAAAAAGATGTGTTAGAAGAATAGTACACAATGAAGATGGTGTAGCTGTATCAATAGCAGACAATATAGACTTAAGAATAAAATTAGAGATAGACAATGTCACTTTATACTTATAAAAATCTAATTGGCAGAACATAAATGATAATTTTAAATAATTACTCATTAAAATAGCTTGAAATATTGATGGATTTACAAGAAAATTAAACAAATTCACCACACATCATAAAAATTCAAAACACTTGGCAGGGCGCAGTGGCTCACACCTGTAATCCCAGCACTTTGGGAGGCCGAGGTGGGTTGATCATCTGAGGCTGGGAGTTCAAGACCAGCCTGACCAACATGGAGAAACCCCATCTCTACTAAAAATACAAAATTAGCTGGGCGTGGTGGCTCATGCCTGTAATCCCAGCTACTCAGGAGGCTGAGGCAGGAGAATTGCTTGAACCTGGGAGGCGGAGGTTGTAGTGAGCTGGGATCGCTCCATTGCACTCCAGCCTGGGCAACAAGAGCGAAACTCCGTCTCAAAAAAAAAAAAAAAAAAAAAAAAAAAAAAAAAAATTCAAAACAGTTTTCTGAATTACTGAAGGACCAAGGAGATTTTTTGGTACCATATGTTTATTCCATATTTAGGTTTTCTACTCTGTTGATTTCTTTTTTTTTTAATCAGCTTTATTTTAGATATAGGGAGTACAAATGCAGGTTTGCTACATGAGTATATTGCATCCAGGTAGTGAGCACAGTACCCAATAGTTAGTTTTTCAATCCACCTCCTTCTCCCTCCCTCCCGTCTCAAGTAGCCTATGGTCTCTTTTGTTCCCATGTTTATATGTCCATGCGTGCTCAATGTTTAGCTCCTACTTATAAGTGAGAGCATGCAGTATTTGGTTTTCTGTTCCTGTCTTAGTTCACTTAGGATAATGGCCTCCAGCTCCATCCATGTTGCTGCAAAGGTCCTGATTTCATTATTTGTTATAGCTGTGTAGTATACCATGGTGTACATGCACCACATTTTTTTTTTAATCCAGGCAAACGTTGGGCACCTAGGTTGATTCTATGTCTTTGCTATTGTGAATCGTGTGGTGATGAGCACACAAGCGCATGTGTCTTTTTGGTATAATGATCTATTTTCCTTTGGGTACATACCCAGTAATGGTGTCACTGGGTTGAATGGTAGCTCTGTTTTCAGCTCTTTCAGAAAGCTCCAAACTGCATTCCACAGTGGCTAATTTACATTCCCACCAGCAGTGTGGAAGTGTTCCCTTTTCTCCACAGTCTCACCAGAATGTCACACGTGTCCGTGTGAAGAGACCACCAACAGGATTTGTGTGAGCAACAAGGCTGTTCATTTCACCTGGGTGCAGGCGGGCCGAGTCCGAAAAGAGAGTCAGTGAAGGGAGACAAGGGTGGGGCCGTTTTATAAGATTTGGGTAGGTAATGGAAAATTACAGTCAAAGGGGGTTGTTCTCTGGCAGGCAGGGGCAGGGGTCACAAGGTGCTCAGTGGGGTAGCTTCTGAGCCAGGAGAAGAAATTTCACAAGGTAATGTCATCGGTTGAGGCAGGAACAGGCCATTTTCACTTCTTTTGTGATTCTTCAGTTGCCTCAGGCCATCTGGATGTATGCTGCAGGTCACAGTGGATATGATGGCTTAGTTTGGGCTCAGAGGCCTGACATTAAACTTCTTTAACAAACAATTGCTGGCTTTGCGTTTCTCTTTCCTCCAAAATTGCCAAGGCCTTGACTTACTTACTGCTAAAAAAGGAAGACTGTACATTTTTTAATGAAGAGTGTTGTTTTTACCTAAATCAATCTGGCCTGGTGTATGACAACATAAAAAAACTCAAGGACAGAGCCCAAAAACTCACCAACCAAGCAAGTCATTATGCTGAACCCTCTTGGGCACTCTCTAATTGGATGTCCTGGGTCCTCCCAATTCTTAGTCCTTTAATACCTGTTTTTTTCCTTCTCTTATTCAGACCTTGTAACTTCTGCTTAGTTTCTCAATTCATACAAAACCATATCCAGGCCATTCTATACAACAAATGTTCCTTCTAACAACCCCACACTATCACCCCTCACCCCAAAATCTTTCTTCAGCTTAATCTCTCCCACTCTAGGTTCCCACGCCGCCCCTAATCCCGCTTGAAGCAGCCCTGAGAAGCATCACCCATTATCTCTCCATACCACCTGCCAAAAATGTTCGCTGCCCCAACACTTCAACACTATTTTATGTTATTTTTCTTATTCATATAAGAAGATAGGAATGTCAGGCCTCTGAGCCCAAGCTAAGTCATCATATCCACTGTGACATGCATGTATACATCCAGATGGCCTGAAGTAACTGAAGAATCACAAAAGAAGTGAAAATGGCCTGCTCCTGCCTTAACTGATGACATAACCTTGTGAAATTCTTTCTCCTGTCTCAGAAGCTCCCCCACTGAGCACCTTGTGACCCCTGCCCCCGCCTGCCAGAGAACAACCCCCTTTGACTGTAATTTTCCATTACCTACCCAAATCCTGCAAAATGGCCCCACCCCTATCTCTCTTCCCTGACTCTCTTTTCGGACTCAGCCCACCTGCACCCAGGTGAAATAAACAGCCCTGTTGCTCACATAAAGCCTGCCGGTGGTCTCTTCACAGGGACGTGCGTGACACAGAATAACCGTTGTTTTTGGATTTTTAATAACAGCCATTCTGACTGATGTGAGATGATCTCTCCTTGTGGCTTTGATTTGCATTTCTCTAATAATTAGTGATGATGAACAATTTTAATATTTTTTTTGGCTGCTCATATGTCTTTTGAGAAATGTTTGTTCATTGTCTTTGCCCGTTATAATGGTGTTGTTTTTGCTTATTGATTTAAGTTCCCTTATAGATTCTGGATATTAAACCTTTCTCAGACATATAGTTTGTAAATATTTTCTCCCATTATATAGGTTGTCTGTTTAACCTGTTTTTCACGCGCATCCGTGTGAAGAGACCACCAAACAGGCTTTGTGTGAGCAATAAAGCTTTTCAATTACCTGGGTGCAGGTGGGCTGAGTCTGAAAAGAGAGTCAGTGAAGGGAGAGAGGGGTGGGGCTGTTTTATAGGATTTGGGTAGGTAATGGAAAATTACAGTCAAAGGGGGTTGTTCTCTGGCTGGCAGGGGTGGGGGTCACAAGGTGCTCAGTGGGGGAGCTTTTGAGCCAGGATGAGCCAGGAGAAGGAATTTCACAAGGTAATGGCTTCAGTTAAAGCAGAAACCGGCCATTTTCACTTCTTTTGTGATTCTTCACTTGCTTCGGGCCATCTCGACATATACATGCAGGTCACAGGGGATATGATAGCTTAGCTTGGGCTCAGAGGCCTGACACTGTTGATAGTTTATTTTGCTCTGCAGACGTTCTTTAACTTCATTAGGCAATACTTGTCAATTTTTGTTTTTGCTGCAATTGCTTTTGGCTACTAAGCCAAAAATTATTTGCCAAGGCTGATATCGGGAGGGTATGTCCTAGGTTTCCTTATAGGACATTTACAGTTCGAAGTCTTACATTTACATCTTTAATCCATCATCAGTTAATTTTTGTATATGGTGAAATGTAAGGGTCCAGTTTTATTCTTCTACATATGACTAGCCAATTATCCCAGCATGATTTACTAAATGGGGAGTCCTTTCCTCATTGCTTTTGTTGGCCTTGTCGAAGATCAGAGGATTGTAAGTAGAAGGCTTCATTTCTGAGTTTTCTATTCTATTTCATTGGTTCATGTGTCTGTTTTTGTACCATTACCATGCTATTTTGGTTACCATAACTTAAAATATAGTTTGAAGTCGGGTAATGCTTTGTTCTTCTTGCTTAGAATTGCTTTGACTATTCAGGTTCTTTTTTGGTTTCATATGAATTTTAGAATAGTGTTTTTTTTTTAATTCTGTGAAGAATAACATTGGTAGTTTTATAGGAATAGCATTCAATCTGCAGATTGCTTTGGGCAATTGGCCATTTTAATGATGCTGACTGTTTTAGTCCATGAGCATAGACTGTTTTTCATTATTTGCATCATCTCTGATTTCTTTCAGTAGTGTTTCTTTCAGTAATGTTTTCTCCTTGTGGAGCTCTTTAACCTCCTAGGTTAGCTGTATTCCTAGGTATTTCATTTTCTTTGTGGCTATTGTAAATGGGATTGTGTTCTTGATTTCACTCTAGGCTTAGATGTTATTGAATTATAGGAATGCTACTAATTTTTGTTCATTGCTTTTGTATCCTGAAACTTTACTAAAATCATTTATTTGTTATGGTAGTCTTTTGGCAGAGTCTTTAGGCTTTCCTGGTTATAGAGTTATATTGTCAGTGAAGAAACATATCGTTTGATTTTTTATTTTCCTATTTGGATACCTTTTGTGTCTTTCTGTTGCCTGATTGCTCTGGCTAGAATTTCCAGTACTATGTTGCATAAGAGTGGTGAGAGTGGGCATCCTTATCTTGTTTCAGTTCCCAAGGGGAATGGTTCTAGCTTTTGCCCATTCAGTATGATGTTGGCTATAGGTTTGTCATAGATGCCCCTTATTATTTTGAGGAAAAAAACCAAAAAGTAAACTTCAGGCCAATATCCCTGATGAACATAAATGCAAAAATCCTCAATCTGGCAAACCAAATCCAGCAGCACATCAAAAAGTTAACACACCATGATCAAGTAGGCTTTATTTTGAGGATGCAAGGCTGGCTCAGTATGAACAAATCAATAAATGTGATTCAACATATAAACAGAATTAAAGGCAAAAATCACATCATCATCTCAACAGATGGAGAAAAAGCCTTGATAAAAATCCAACATCCCTTCATGATAAAAATCTAAAAATCCTCAACAGACTAGGGATCAAAGAGACATATCCCAAGCAGATTTTTATAAAATTGCACTTCTATTGAAGATTTGAACAAGGTATTATATATGAAGTTTAGACAGTATGTGTTATTCTCAAGCACATGCAGAAAACCGTTACAAGTTTATCCTATATTATGGTGTAAATTGGTGTCAACAAATTGCTTAAAAACAGCTTTCCTGTGGGATAGCTCTTAGCAAGTTTTTTCAATGTAAAAGGCCTAAATAGGCTTTGCACAGCATACATTCTATAATATAACTACTTGCTTTTGCCGTTGTAACACAAAAAAATTAATAGAAAATATTTAAATAAATGAGCTTAGATGTGTTCCAATCAAAGTTTATTAGAAAAATACCTGGCAGGCAGTATTTGGCTCAGAAACCACAATTTGCTGACTCTTGATATAGAATGCTATCTCTGAACACAACATAATTGTTAGAATAAATAAACAAAACTTTTTAAAATTACAATGCATTTAGAAATTTATAAAAGATACTGCTAAGTAACACATTGGTCAAAAACTTAATGAAAACTTTAAATTACTTATAACAATAATAATAAAATACACAATAAAAACACTCCATAGGAAAGCTTATAGACTGCAGAGAAAGAGACTGTGTGAAGGAAATGTCTAGTTGTAAATGTTTATATAAAAGAAATAAACTGAAAATTATTTATTATATCTCAACTAATAGAAAAAAATGAAGAGGCCGGGCACGGTGGCTCATGCCTGTAATCCCAGCACTTTGGGAGGTTGAGGCAGGCGGATCACGAGGTCAGGAGATCGAGACCATCTTGGCTAACATGGTGAAACCCTGTCCTTACTAAAAATACAAAAAATTAGCTGGGTGTGGTGGTGGGCGCCTGTAGTCCCAGCTACTCAGGAGGCTGAGGCAGGAGCATGGCATGAACCTGGGAAGCGGAGCTTTCAGTGAGCCAAGATTGGGCCACTGCACTCCAGCCTGGGCGACAGAGCAAGACTCTGTCTCAAAAAAAAAAAAAAAAGAAAAAAATGAAGAGTAGGAAAAATCAACAGAAAAAACATAGTGAAAGAAAAAGTGTACATCCAGGTTTTCATCTGGTATCATTTTCCTTCTGCCTAAAGAACTTCTTTTAACACTTCTTACAGTGTGACTATACTGATCATAAATTCACTCAGCTTCTATATGTCTGAAATAGTTTTATTCCTCCTTTTATAAAAGATATTTTTATCTGGTAAAAAATTCTAGGTTAAGAGTTTCTTTCACTGAAGTGAAGTACAAAGTAGTACTTCAAAGTACTACTTTGAAGTTGTTGCTCCACTATCTTCTATTTTTCATTGTGTCTGTTAAGAAATATACTGTCTTGTATGTTTGTCCTCATATTTTTGTTCCTCTGTATCAGATGTCAACAAACTATATTCTGTGGTTTTTAAATAAAGTTTTATTGGAACACAGCCACACCCATTCATGTACATATTATCTATGGTTGCTCTCATACTACAATGGCAGGGTTGAGTAAATGTGACAGACTGTATGACCCCTCCCAAGGGCCATAAATATATATATATATATATAATCAAAATAATATATTTTATAAAATTATAAAATATAAGTTAATATTTATATTTTATTTTTATATTATATGCTTCTGTATATGTATGTATATATATTTTGAGACAGGGTCTCACTCTGTCAAGTAAGCTGGCATGATCTTGGTTCATTGCAACCTCTACCTCCCAGACTCAAGTGATCCTCCCACTTCAGCCTCCCCAGTAGCTGGAACTACAGGTGTGCACCACCATACCCAGCTAATTTTTGTATTTTTTGTAGAGACAGGGATTTGCCATGTCACCCAGGTTGGTCTCAAACTCCTAGACTCAAGTGATCCGCCCACCTCGGCCACAAGGCCTAATATATTATCTGACATTTTACAGAAAACAATTTTTGACTTCTTGGTAAGCCATTTGCTTTTCTCTCCTGCTTTTAAAATGTTTTTTCCTTAACAGCAGTTTGAAACAGTTTTATTTTCACAGGTCTTGGTGTCATTTTCCTCATGTTTATTTAGAAGCTTGGGATTATTAAACTTACTGAATCTGTGATTTTACAGATTTTACCAGATTTTAAAAACTTTTGGCCATTAGTTTTTAAATATTTTTTTCTTTAAATATTTTCTGACCCACTGCCCTTTGGAGACTTGAATTACACTTATACTTTACTGCTTGAAGTTTTTCCAACTGTTCACTAATCACCTGTTCAGTTTTTAAGTCATTTGGCATTCTGTGTTTCATTTCGATAGTATGTCTTCAAATTATGTTTTCAAATTCTCTCATCTAGAGATCTAGACATTTAAATACAAGAAGCTCAAAGAACTCCTGGGAAAGTCATTGCAAAAATATCATCACCTAGGCACATATTCATCAGGTTATCTACAGTCAAGACAAAGAAAACAATCTTAAGATCTGTGAGACAAAAGCATCAAGTAACCTATAAAAGAAAACCAGTCATATTCACAGCTGATTTCTCCACAGAAACATTAAAGTTACATCTTCAAGGGGGGAAAAAACAAATTAAAAGACAAAAAATCCAGTTGAATCAAAAATAAAGAACAAAATGAACAAATATTCTACTCAAATGAGAAGGAACCAGAAAAGTAATTCTGGTAATATGATAAATGAGGGTTCCGTAACATCCTCAAAACATCACACTAGCTCCCAAGCAATGGATCCAAGCCAAGAATAAATCTCTGAATTGCCAGATAAAGAATTCAGAAGGCTGATTATTAAGCTACTTAAGGAGCTATGAGAGAAAGGTGTTTATTTCTTTAGTGACTTTTCTAAATCAGTTTTGTAAAGACTGTATCTTTTGTTTGGTCTCTCCGTGGCCACTGACATCTTTGTTCTTTGAGCCTAGTGGTCAGCTAGTGATTTGGCGGAGATTTCTTTAAATGTCTGCACACACCTTTTGCAGACTGGCTCTGTATTGGGGCACCCTTTCAATGCTTATTCAGGCCACTTGAACTCTTCTTTAGCCTTTGCCTCCTGCTTGCACAGAACTGAAAGGTCAGCCCAAAATGAAAGCTTAGGGTGTTCTCAGATCTCTCTGAGCGTGTGTCCAGCCCATGGCATTCACGTTGCCTTCTAGATTTCCTGGTATAGGTGCAGTTTCTCAAAGCCTTTGTTCTCTTATGAATCTCCTTTCCCAGAGTTTTGCTTGCAGATATTTGGTTTGCTTGTTGCTTGCCTCAGGTGGCTACAACTAGTACGGGATATTTTTCTTTAAATATTTTCACTACTGCCACCTGGGAGCCCACCCCATCCATGAGAAAGCACTGAGGTGGGCAAAACAGAGGCAAGCTCCCAAGCCAATCCCTTAATTAGCCACCTAGCAGGTCAATGCTTACAACCACCATTTTCAGAGAACATACACCTGGTGAAGGACGTTACCCATAATAGATACAGGACTCTCCAAACTCAATCCTTATTAAGCAATGCAATCAAAAATGGGCAGGAGGACAAATAAGCACATGAAATATGCTTGACATTAGCCTTTAGGGAGATGCAAACTAAAACCACAACAAATTACCCCTATATAGTTGTTAGAATGTTTAAAATTAAACTGAACTTACAAAATATTGAAAAGGATAGAACGGAGCTGACATTCTCATGCTCTGCTTCAAGACTGTAAATGATACATTTTGGAAAACAGTTTGAAAGTTTTTTAAAAAGTTAAACATATGCCTATCATTTGATACTGCTCTTCCACTTCTAAATATTTACCTAAAAGAAATGAAAGCTTATAGACATACAAAGATGCATGCATAGCAGTTTTGTTTGTAAACACCCCTAAACTGAAACAAAACAAATGTCTGTAAAAGTTTACTGGGTTAACAAATTGTACTATATCCAACCAAACAAAGAAACAAATCAAAGGAATGGACTATTGATACATAGTACAATAGGGATGATTGTGCTGGTGTAAAGGTCACTGACAAAGAAAGATTATACATTATTCTATTTATATAAAATTTTAGAAAATTAAAATGATCTCTAATGTCAGACAGCAGGTTGGTAGTTGCTTGGGAAAGGGTTACTACTTGGTGCTACAGAAAAAAAAAACTGTTACTAAGGGGCCTAAGGAATCTTTTGAGGTGATGGATGTATTCATTATCTTGACTGTGGTGATGGTCTTATTTACTTATACATATGTCAAAAATTATCAAATTTTATGCTTTAAAAATGTGCAGTTTATTATGTGTCAATTATACCTTAAAATCTGTTTTCTTAAAAAACATCAAATTTTTTGGAATAAATTTTAAAATATCAGTGAAATTAAAAAAACTAAGAAATTAACTTATCAAATTGACATAAGAAAAAAATTGAATGACCGTTTGATAAAATTAGCACATTTTATTCTTTAAAAATGTGTAGTTTATGACATTTATACCTTTACAATCTTTTTTAAAAAACACAAAAATATTTTTGTAATAAATTTTAATATATCAGTAAAATAGAAAAAAGAACTATAATTTAATTTATGGAACTGACATAAAAGTAGAATGAAAAAATGGTTTAAAATCCTTATGCAACATCACATACAATGTTCACATAGTTTCACTGAATGTTCACAGAACTGATCATTTTGATCCTACATAAATTCTTCTAGGGACTACTCAAAAGAAAGTACTCAAGCCATGAAGCTCTTACATCAGTTTTCTTTGTATCTATTTTCTGAGCTATTTTTTCAGAAAGGGTCTTTTTTGTTTTGTGTCTTTTATTTTAATTTTTCCACATGGAAGCTTAATTATTCCAATCTAATATTATGATTTTTTTACTTAATTTTATTGTATCTTTAGATTCAATATGAATTAATGCCATGTTTTTTCATTTAAGATTACTTCTCATCTTTTAATGGGAGCTGCTTATCCTGGCCATCTCTTCTCTCACAATCCTATCAATGTCTTTGTCTTTGTTTCATGTTTCAGTATTCAATATTCCCACCTTTTAGGTAAATAGGAGTCTTCTCTTCTTGTAAGGCCCATGTAGTAGTCAGGCTTCTCCAGAGGGACAGAAGTAAAAGGATAGATATATGAAAAGGAGTTTATTAGGGAGAACTGGCTCACATGATCACAAGGCGAGGTCCCACTACAGGCCGTCTGTGAGCTGGGGAAGAAAGAAGCCAGTAGTGGTGCCGGGCACGGTGGCTCACGCCTGTAATCCCAGCACTTTGGGAGGCCGAGGCGGGCGGATCACGAGGTCAGGAGTTCAAGACCAGCCTGACCAACATGGTGAGTCTCTACTAAAAATACAAAAATTAACCGGGCATAGTGGCGCACGCCTGTAATTCCAGCTACTCAGGAGGCTGAGGCAGGAGAACTGCTTGAACCCGGGAGGCGGAGGTTGCAGTGAGCCGAAATTACACCACTGCACTCCAGCCTGGGCGATAGAGGGAGACTCCATCTCAAAAAAAAAAAAAAAAAAAAAAAAAGAAGCCAGTAGTGGCTCAGTCCGAGGCCAAAAGCCTCAAAAGCAGAGAAGCTGACAGTGCAGTCTTCAGTCTGTGGCCAAAGGCCCGAAGCCCCTAGCAAACCACTGCTGTAAGTCCAATTGTCCAAAGGCCGAAGAACCTAGAGTCTGATGTCCTAGGGTAGGAGGAGTGGAAGGAAGCATCATCACAGGAGAAAGATGAAAGCCGGAAGACTCAGCAGGCAAAGCTCATCCCACTTTCTTCCCCTACTTTGTCCTAGCCAATCTGGGAGCTGTTGGAGGATGCCCACCTACACTGAGGGTGAGTCTTCCTCTCCCTGTTCACTAAAACAAATATTAATCTCCTCTGCCAACACCCTCACAGAGACACCCAGAAACAATACTTTACCATCTATGTAGGCATCCTTCAATCCAATCAAGTTGACACCTAATATTAACCATCACAGCCCATATGTCAGTTTTTTCAAAATGTGATTATGTATTTCTCTTGAGTTGATTGTCATTAGTAACAGCAAAGCCAATCGAATCCATTGTTTTCCCTCTACACTGTCACAATTCTGCTATTTTGCAAAAATTGCTTGTCAGAGCAGTTTAGCTTATAGTGCCTTGCCTCCACCAATCATCAATGTAGAATGTGGCCCTTGGGATTTTCACACCCGTGTATGCTTTCCAGACCCTGCTGTTTCAATTAAAACATCATGAGTTGGGCAACAAAACTATAGTACGTACTTCTGAATGTGCTCCATGCAATCCACATAATATGCCTGTTCTTTATCTCTTCCTTTAAATTGGTCCCACATTTACTGTATTTGAAAATTTTCCATTACAGTTTGTAGTCAGAAGGAGTAAATATTTTCTAATGTCATTGAAAATGGCACTTTTACTCTGCATATTGTACTTTTTGTCTATTTGGTTGTTTCAGTAAGAAAGAGTGAAACAAAATTTTAAGATGCTTTTTTGTTCCAGGTATATGAGAGCATAGTTTGATAATCTTAAAATTGGAAAAATCTTAAACAATATATGAAACTCAGAAAATATAAGGCTAAATTTTGATAGATTTTTCTTTGTGGAGAAAGGAAAAACAAAAGTCATATAAAGTAAATGATACAATAATAAAATTTGAAAGACCAAAGAGAGCTAGGGTGAAAATATATATATAATATTAGAGCAGATAAATCCTTAATAAAATTATACCAAAGTCAATGAGGACAAAACGAAGAGACAATTTTACAGGAAAGTTTGCGTTGGATATTTTAAAATGTGTTAGAAAGTGAAGAGAAAACGTTGAACTCACAATTAAATGAAAAAGTAAAATTAAGCCCAAATGTATGAAAATAGGCACAGATAGTAGAAAGCATGTAAATAACATTTTGGAGAGCATTTTGGCATTATCTGTTACATCCAGCTACTTTAATCCAATAAACTTTGACCACCTAAAATCTCGAAATTCCTGTTACAATAATACTGACATGAGTGCAAAGATGGATATGTTGGTGCATACCTACATATAAATTGATATTGAAGCATTTGGTAATAGTGAAAAATTTTAAATACCCTAAAACATTGACAGATAAGAAATCATTAGATTATTAAATATGTGCAATATAAAATTATTTGGAAAGAATGAGTTAGTTTTTAAGAAATGTGCTAATATAGATGATCTCTATGAAACTTTAATTGACAAAAGTGAGTTGATAAAATACTATTACAACATATTCACAATCACTTTTAACAAACAAACCAAGAGAGAACAAATCTCATATGCATTATGTATTATACAAACACCCATACACACATACACACCCACAAACACACATATACACACAAACATACACTTAGTAACGTTCTGGTATTAAACATATTACATGATGGCCACATGCGGTAAGATTACACCTGTAATCTCAGCACTTTGGGAGGCCAAGGCGGGCAGATCATTTGAGGTCGGGAGTTCGAGACCAGCCTGACAAACAAGGTAAAACCCCATCTCTACTAAAAAATACAAAAATTAGCTGGGTGTGGTGGTGGGCACCTGTAATCCCAGCTACTTGGGAGGCTGAGGCGGGAGAATCTCTTGAACCCGGGAGGCAGAGGTTGCAGTGAGCTGTGATTGCACCACTGCACTCCAGCCTGGGCAACAGAGCAAGCTTCCATCTCAAAACAACAACAACAACAACAAAACCATATTTCAACGATAATAGTGGTTACCGCTGAGTAGTCTGTGCATGTAAGATGTTAATTCAATTTTCATTTTATATATTTTGTGTTTGAATTTTGATTTTTTATTTGTAATTTAAAATAACTTAGAAAGTGTGCGAAAAGGAATGTATGCCCCAAGCAAACAGATGCACATGAAGTGCTGGTCCTTACCTTCCATGGCCTAGCTGTTCTATTCTATGAGCCCTTGACACCCATCTAAGTTCTAGAACTCTATTCTAGATGTAAAGAATTGATTGCAGTCCTCTAAAACATCCTTATTATTTCCACATTAGCTTGTTCAAGTTTTTCCTTGAGCTTGAATATTAAGTCTCCACCCTACCTTCTATCCATGTCATGAACTGAGCTTTACTGTCTTGTAAACTTCTAATTATATTATATGGCTTGTATGTAACTCAGTGTAAAACTTTCACTATTCCAGATCAGAATTTAAAAATTCGGATTCCAAATCATGTTGTACCTATGTCTGTTATGGCAGCTGTCATTTTACTTTCTAGCTGTGCCTTTGTCTTTGCCTTCACTGACAAGATGTATACAATCTAAATAGATTCAAAAAAGGAACAATGAAAAAAAAGCTTATGTGTAGTTACCAAATAGTAAATACTAGAAATTCTTAAACTGAGTATTTCTTTTTCTTTTCTTTTTTTTTAGATGGAGTCTTGCTCTGTCGCCCAGCCAGGCTGAAGTGCAGTGGTGCAATCTTGGCTCACTTCAAACTCCGCCTCCCAGGTTCAAGTGATTCTCCTGCCTCAGTCTCCTGAGTGGCTGGGACCACAGGTGCACACCACCACGCCCGGCTAATTTTTTTGTGTTTTTAGTAGAGACAGGGTTTCATGGTGTTAGCCAGTATGGTCTCGAGCTCTTGACCTCATGATTCGTCTGCCTTGGCCTCCCAAAGTGCTGGGATTACAGGCATGAGCCACCATGTCTGGCCAAACATTTCAATACATTTGGACCTTTTGAGATTACTGTTGTTCCAAACTCTCACCAAAAGGCTCAAAGAGGGAGGCCTAAAACAAATGGATAGTAAGTAGTGGAATCAGAATTTGAGACCATGACTAGTTGATTACAGAGCCTATGAATTCTTATTACCTTGGCAACTTGCCCTTTCTACTCCCATGGCCTGGCACTATAGCTGACTCTGGAAGTTCTCAACTCACCTTTAACAGACAAATACATAAACGAACACTATGCTTCATGGTATTGTGTTTTATACAAAAACAATGAAGGTAGATTTCTGTCCTCCAGAGTTTTATAGTTTACAACACAAATAACCATAACACAAAACACTCCACATAGTGTGAGAGAAGTAAGAATAAAGTTGATGTCACGTAAGGTAAAATGTAACATATGTTGTAAGGAATGAAGAAGCATCTACAAAGATGTCATGGAAGTACTGGAATAATCATTTGCAAATTAGGTAGGATTTCACTATATAAAAATGGAGAAGTTGAGGAGATAAGGGAGATCAGGAGCAAGCATTTCTAGTTAAGAAAAATCACTAACAACTGTTAAGTAAAGGAAATGTTTATAAAATTGTAAATAGTCCAGTCTACAACAAAGCTATGACATTGAAGTCAAGTCAGAGAGATGGAACCTTGCTCTGTTGCCAAATGGAAGAGTTTGAAGCCATTTGTACCTGGAAAAACATGACCAAAAGCTGTGTTTTAGCCTAGTGTGGGGGTGTTATGTGGGGTTAAGGGGAGGAGAATATGGAGACAGACAATCTGTAGGTAGTAATCCCAATCATTGACATGAAAACTATTGAAGCTTAAATGAGAGAACAGGTAGGAACAATGGAAAAGACCCAGATTAATTAGGGAAAGATTATGAACAATTTTACTTCATGATCTTTGTTTCTGCTGTTTCATTAAATCTTGATGTGGTGTTCAGGACTAGTTATTAAGCAATGGTTTCTGACTAAGAATGAAAGAATCTGAGTATTAGGCTGAAAGGATGAATATTGTACATCTAATCATACCAAAATGTGAAACAGTTTTCTGAAATATTCTACATCTCAACAGTAAAGGTTTCTAATACCTAATAAAGAATCCTAAAAAAGCAAACAAATCAAGATGTTGCTTGTATTGATAAATGAGACATTAAGTCATTTTTAATAAACTATAAAGACAACTGAAGTTATTAATTTCTATATTATACGGTATTTACATCAAATGTGCCCCTTTCAGATAGACAGTCAGGCTTGTGATACATTTTACAGGAAATCATGGCTGATTAAAAACTCAGTAGAAACAGATGGGCTGGAAGTTTTCCAAGGGCCTTACAAAAATATTTGTTATGAAAATGTGAAGAGAATTTGCCTAGAACACTGATTTAAAATTCACAGCATTGTTGGTGCTTTAAAACGGCAGATTTCAGAATTGAAATGTCTTTGTATTTTCTCCTATTTCCCTCATATTTGCCAGATTTAAAATTAAAAGGCATTCTAATTGGAAATTAGCCTTCAGTACTAAAAGTATTGATTTTAGTACATACATTTTTGTTACTAAGAGCATGGTAAGATAATAGGGGAGCAAGTGAGATTATTCTTTAAGTCTAAAAGATCAAATGACATATGTATTTTACCTTATTTTTAGGTATGGAATGCATTTGAACAGGCATATTCCTACAGGGCATCGCCAACATGGGAAATAAGTAGTAATATGTCTTGAAATCTTACTGAGAAATTTGACTATTTTGTGAACATGGTCCTATATACACCACTTAGTTTTGGTGATGTGATGGGAATTTAGTGAAACCTTCGTATGGGTTATTTTGTATGAACTGGCCATGAAGGTGGCTCTTTTCTTACATTTTAACATGGAAGAGAGAAGAAGCATATGGCAGCCCAGAAATGCTGGACATCAGGGACTTTTTGCTTCTGTGAATACTGTGAGTGTATCTGGAATAAATTACAGTGACTCTAATAAAATGAAATGTTGAATCACTTTGGTTATTAAAGACCTATTGGATGCACTGTCACTGAGTTAAAATATGCTCTTGTAGTCAATGATCTCTATGTGGTCACCTCCATTAAATGTTAAAAAAAAACAAAAAACCAAAACCCAAAACAAAAACAGGAGCCTAAAAAATTAATGAATGAAAAGAAGAAACGAAAGGAATGAGAGTTATAAAGAGGTAAAATTAAGCTGCGGAGGAAGCCCGGAAATAATAGAGGCAAATCCTGGGCTTCCTGCCTATCTTGTCCTGTGAACACCTCAATTATAACTGAAAGTTCTTTCTTCTACACCCTCCTGACATTTTAAAATAATATCCCTTGCAATAGTTATTCTTGTTCTTAGTTTATATAATGGTACATTTTTATTCATGAAGGAACATTCCATGAAGCCAGAGACTAACTAGTGAGAGACAATTGCTAAATATTCAGGCATTTACCAGTTAGTTGAAAAACTTTGAGTAGCTAAAACTGGCTTTGCTGGGCTTATTTATATCATAGAAATTGGAAAATAGCACAGATCAGGACTTTGTTTTTGAAGAGTCTGTTTACCTGCACACTATTGCATCATTCCTCTTTATATCACTTTTACTCCTTAGCTCAAATTTGCCTCTCATTCTGTTTTTTCCTGCCTTTAATACACCTATACTGGACTCTGTAGAGAGGCTATAACTCTTTCATATACCTTAATTACTTAGGGCATGAAAGCATAACTGACAAGTGAAAGAATAAATCAAAATACCAAAAGCATTTAGAATCGTGCTTGCCATATAATCTGTACATTTTAAATATTTGTCAAATTAATCAATCAATAGTCCCAATGCATTTTCAGCAGGAAAAAATGCATATTTGTTGTATTAGTCCATTCTCACACTGCTATAAAGAAATAACTGAGACTGGGTAATTTATAAGAAAAGAAGTTTAATTGGCTCATGGTTCTGCAGGCTGTACAGGAAGCATGATGCTGGCATCTGCTTGGCTTCTGGGGAGGCCTCAGGAAACTTACAATGACAGCACAAAATGAAGGGGGAGCCAGCACTTCACATGGCTGGGAGCAGGAGAAAGAGAGAGAAAGGGGGAGATGCTACACACTTAAAAAACAAACAAACAAACAAACAAACAGATTTTGTGATAACTCACTCACTATCACATGAACAGCACCAAGGCAATGATGCTAAACCATTAATGAGAAACTGCCCCCATGATCAAATTACCACCCACTAGGCTCCACCTCCAACACTGGGGATTAAAATTCCACATGAGATTTGGTGGAGACACAGATTCAAACCATGCCAATTGTGAGTGGATAAAAGTTCAAAATAGATTCTAGCTCAATGGTTCTAGAACTTTGCTGGGAATAAGAACTACCCGAGAAATAAAACAAAATGCAGATTCCCAAGGTCCTAGCCTCAAGGAATCTTGACTTATTTGGTCTGTGGTCATTCCTGGAAATATGCATAAGGCAAAAATTCCCCAGGTGTTTCTCCTCCAAGAAGCCTAATCTACATTTTAAACATTGATTTTCTAGTTTATTAGGTTCTTTCAATATTTAAAATCCTGTTCAAAATACTCATAGGTTGATAAATAATTAAACAGATACTTAAATGGGGTGTATTATATGCACAATATTGTTCAAGCATTGTATAATTTTTAATTCATATAATTCTCATAACAACCTTAGAAATAGAGACTATTATTCTAATTTTTCCAATAAGGAAACTGAAGAATGATAATTTAAGAAAGTTGCCCACATCACAATCATACAGGTAAGGTAATTCTGTAGATTCACATATAAGACCCCATTGAAATAACTGTAAACTAATTATTCATTTTAGCAAGTGATGATTTTTGAACCATTCTACACCCATTATCTTTTTTGACCTTCACAATACCCTTTGAAATAGATTTGGCAAACATTATTATCCCTATTTGAAAGAGAAGGAAACTGAAGCTGAGAAGATTCAGAGTTGGCTCAAGGTCACATAGCTAAGGACGGATCTGTCATCCAAACTTAAACAGATTGCCATTTACATGTATTTTGTTTTTCAATCCAAGTCCAATGTCCTTTTCGTTATACTCACAATATTCTCGTGAAGTTTGTTTTTGGCAGTTACCTACTGGTAAGCTTCTCACCGTCTCTTTGTGCTTTGCAATACAGATAAAGCCCACGTATTGTTACTTTCACAGAGAGGACACAATAGACACTGGCTTCTCAGGCAGCCTCCCGTTGTTGCAAAGTAAAAAGAGGCCAGTTTTAACGTTGTCATCCCCCAAGTCCAGGATTTCCCTGAAAAATCTGCCCAGTGCGAGTCGTTTACAAGTCTTCTTCCTCTCTCTGATGCCAATGCCTAACCTGAACCCTACAGCAGACACTCATGTGTTCTTTCACTTTCTAATGGTTTACTCATGGGAGATGCCTGAGCTCTACAAAATACTGACTATTTTTATTTAATGTTTCGATTGATACTAAAATAAGCACTTCCCTACTTTTGGTGAAGAACGTCTTGAAAAGTGAAAGAATGGATTATATTCTCCATCAAGGCTACCCTTAAAAAAGAAAGAGTAAACCTATTATGATTGCCATCTTACCTTCTAGTGAGTTGAAGTCCACAGATACTACTTCTCTAAAAACTGAGAATTGGAATTTGAAGGACAGAAGAGAAATCACATTCATCAACTTATTAGAGTAATAAAGAAATTTCTCATTTTGGCTTGTTATTTAACCACTCTTCACCAGGCACCACCTTCCACTCAAAACCAGAAGACATGCATTGTCTTTCCAAACTGCATTTTTCCAGTTCTGTGAATTTTTTGCGTTACTTGTTGTACTTACACAGCACTCTCTGTTCTATCTTTCTGGGACTTTTTTAACATTTGAAACCACCGTTATGGCATCCCTAGAAGCATGCCATCATCAGTAAACTCTTGAGACATTTGCAGAAACTTTTTTTGCAGTCATGATCACTTTCTAACCTGTGTAAGTCATTGTATCCATGTCCTTTTTATTATATCCTCAAGGTCAGGATTTGTCTAAGTCTCCCTCCCAGTGGTGTGTATAAGGCCACACACATTTGATTTATTGAATCTAGGTGGAGAATAAAGTTAGACATTTAACTGACCCAGGTTCTTTAATTATTGGACTAATCTGCGATCATTAAAAAGTAAGGAAACAACAGGTGCTGGAGAGGATGTGGAGAAATAGGAACACTTTTGCACTGTTGGTGGGACTGTGAACTAGTTCAACCATTATGGAAGACAGTGTGGCGATTCCTCAAGGATCTAGAACTAGAAATACCATTTGACCCAGCCATCCCATTACTGGGTGTATACCCAAAGGATTATAAATCATGCTGCTATAAAGGCACATGCACACGTATGTTTATTGCAGCACTATTCACAATAGCAAAGACTTGGAACCAACCCAAATGTCCATCAATGGTAGACTGGATTAAGAAAATGTGGCACATATACCCCATGGAATACTATGCAGCCATAAAAAATGATGAGTTCATGTCCTTTGTAGGGACATGGATGAAGATGGAAACCATCATTCTCAGTAAACTATCGCAAGAACAAAAACCAAACACCGCATGTTCTCACTCATAGGCGGGAATTGAACAATGAGAACACTTGGACACAGGAAGGGGAACATCACATACTGGGGCCTGTTGTGGGGTTGGGGGAAGGGGGAGTGAAAGCATTAGGAGATATACCCAATGTAAATGATGAGTTAATGGGTGCAGCACACCAACATGGCACATGTATGCGTATGTAACAAACCTGCACATTGTGCACATGTACCCTAGAACTTAAAGTATAATAATAAAAAAAATAGAAAGCAAAAAAAAAAAAAAAGAAAGAGGAAGGAAACATTAATATACCTGCAAGTTCTAAACTTTCATTCAGAATAGTACCTCACGTACTCTCATCATTAATCCATTCTCTGAGGATCTGATAATTATTATGGTTACAAGAATTTAAGACATGTTTTATTATTATTACTTTTCTTTGATTCTGAAAATAAAACATTTAACAAAAAAGTGACAGAGCACATAAGTTAATTTATATCTAATCAAATTTTAAGTAAGTTAAATTGACCTTTTTTACTTCTCAAAACTAGATAATCTTTTAGAGACTAAATTTACCAGCAACTTTTAGTTGCTAAGAAGCCAAGATGTTGCATTCTCTTACACTGCATTAAGGGCCATTAGTACTCAAGATGGATTAAAAAGCTCTAAAGCAAAGTAAAAATATATATATATTTGAGTGTTTCTTGAGAATTGAGAACAGTGCAATCATTGGGTAACTGGATTACTCTATCTTTCTCTCACATTTAGAAATAGGTTGCCACTGGGGATAAAGGACTTGCAGTGGAGTTTGGTATTGATTTTTACTGAACCCTATGGAGCATTGCTCTAAATATTCTATTAGGATAAGTTCTTCAAAGGTCAGACTTTTCTCCCAGCTTCCCAAAGTTCATATCATTCAACCTGGTAATTTTCACAAATGTTCTCTACCATGAAACTCTTCTGTAGTAGGCCGTGTACCCAGTGGCAATTTTTATCACATTGTATTTGGCTAGAAAACAAAAATTATAAACTGATAAAAAATATTTAGGGCATACTATGACATGCATATTAAGTATATCATTCAGATGATCTATATATTTCAGGGTTTAGAGAATACTTGCAAAAATAAACTACTTACCAATTTTTATTCATTATTCCTGAAACACCCCATGGTATTTCAATTCCCTGCTAATAGAGGCAGATTAGTCATTATTTTAGGGGACACAAATAACTGGCATTAAAATTTTAAGTCCCTAAACTCCAGTCTGCTTACCTATGCTGCCTTTCATCTACATTTTCACATTCCAGAAATTTTTATGACCTTTGAAACAACAGATTTGACCCAGATAGGATTCTTCTGGTTTTAAGTAGAAAATAGTCTGATTTTATGTTTTCGTGTGTACTTGTGTGTGTGTATGTGTGTGTGTTTTGGGTTTCACTGCAGGGTTGAGTGGGATACATAGAAGAGAGACACATAGATATAAGCATGGGCTACACTCACAAAGTGGAAATTAAGAAAGATTCAGATGAATCCTTTCAAAGTATTAGAGAAGAATTCAG
This sequence comes from Homo sapiens, assembly GCF_000001405.40. Taxonomy (NCBI): domain Eukaryota; kingdom Metazoa; phylum Chordata; class Mammalia; order Primates; family Hominidae; genus Homo; species Homo sapiens. Next base: position 191,910,052 of record NC_000003.12, on the reverse strand, counting down.
AACCGATGTTAAAAGTGTATCATTTTCTCTGATTAAAGTAAATGTCAAGTTACTTCTGCATTCTTACTAATCAAAGCAAACTTCCTAAAAGCTAATTGAGACATATTTGGGGCTTTTGAAATTGACTCTGGTGTTTTCTCTTTCTCAAGGAATGAAAATATATCTTTAGGAAATGAAGACTGCCAAATTTCAATAAACCAAAATACATATATGCTAGGCACCAGGTAGTCTACTGATGAGAACAGAGATTTAAGAGAAAACCTTTCACCTTGAGGTCCTTTGTGACTATGTGGAAAATTAATACATGTATAACTAGAATATCAAAAAATGTAAAAATGTAAAACTGTCATTCTACTAAAAGAACTGCAATGTCCTCTTCAATTCTTAAAAGCCCAAGTTCCCACACGTTTTCCAAGTAGAGGTTCACAATAAAATTCACAGTTAAATATGGAATTACAGACTTTTCAGGTGGGAAAGTGCTCTAAGTATAAGAATTATTTGGGAGGCTGAGGTGGGTGGATAGCTTCAGGTCAGGAGTTCGAGATCAGCCTGGCCAACATGGTAAAACCCCATCTATACCAAAAAAAAAAAAAAAAAAAAAAATTAGTTGGGCATGGTGGCGCATGTCTGTAGTCCCAACTGCTAGGGAGGCTGAAGCAGAAGAATTGCTTGAACCTGGGAGGTGGAGGTTGCAGTGAGCCAAGATTGCACCACTGCACTGCAGCCTGGGCAACAGAGCAAGACTCCATCTCAAAAATAATAATAATAAAAATAAAAAATAAATTATTAGGGACAAATGTAAGTGAAGATGCAAAGCTAGAGGTAGAGAGAACACTGAATAAACTTTTACTATACAGTGTACACTTAATTCTTTGGGTGGTTATCTCAACATGCAAAGCCCTTAGCCTTTATGTACACTTGTTATATAAAGTTGGGACTCCAAAGGCTATAATAGCAGTCAACTGTCGCCTTCCCTCTGCCAAGTCATAACAAAATTGCAAGAAAAATTGCCCTGACACTCAATGAAGCAAGATAAAAGAACAAAACAAATATACCTATCCCCGGGATCTGGCACATACGAGTCAGCCAACAGGCTGAATTGCAACTCAAATCAATGTTACCTGCATGGTCCAGAAAAAAAAAGTCTGCTTCAGGTGGAGGAAGAACCACTAGTGGCTCTAGCCACTTGAAGAAGTAAACCTAAATGATCTCTGTAATTTACTAGGCTTATAGGTAGTCTCATAAATATATTGAAGAAAAATAAGAAGCTCAAAATAAACACACAGGAAAAACATACAGCTAGATAAAATAAGCAGAAACAGATCCAAATACGTTTCACATAGTTATGCACAGATGATGATATAAATGTGTTTACTGAGTTTAAATATATAAAAGCAATAATAAATTTATATAAAAATTTTTTTTTTTGAGACGGAGTTTCACTCTTGTTGCCCAGACTGGAGTGCAGTGGCACGATCCCGGATCACTGTAACCTCTGCCTCCCAGGTTCAAGCGATTCTCCTGCCTCAGCCTCCTGAGTAGCTGGGATTACAGGTGTGTACCACCATGCCTGGCTAATTTTTGTATTTTTTTATTAGAGACAGGGTTTCACCATGTCTACCAGTCTGGTCTCACACTCCTGACCTCAGATAATCCACCTCCCTTGGCCTCCCAAAGTGCTGGGATTACAGGCGTGAGCCACCATGCCTGGTCCCAGAAAATTCTTTAAAATTTATCAAACCACTAGAATTTCCAGAAATGAAAACTTTAAGAAATCTCAAATAAAAACTCCATAGAGGATACAAAATAGGAGATTAGACATGGCTGAAGAAGGGATTAGTTAATTGAGTTAATATAGAGAGCAATAAAATGAAGGAAGTAGGAGAATAAGATTGAGATGTTCTAAAATATTTTTATTCGCATTTCAGAAGGAAATAAGATAAAGAATGGAACAGAGAAAAAGGATTATGGCTGGGTTTTCAGGAACTGATAAAAGAATAGAATTCACAGGTTCAAGAATTCTAACCAATTCCACGTATAACATAAATCGATATCCACACCTAGACATATGATAATTAAATTTCAGAATACCAGATACCAAAAGAAGTTCTTAAAGCAGTCATAGCAGAAGAATTTTCTTTAAAGGAACCTCCATTCAATTTAGGCCTTATTTCACAACAGTAACAGTTGGAAGCCAGAATACAGCAAAATAAAATCTCCAAGAGTTTGAAAGAAAATAATTGCTAAATTAGAATTAGATGTCTTAAGAATTACTCCTTCAAAATTAAAGGTGGAATAAAGACATTTTCAGAAAAGCAAAAACTGAAGAATTTTATCACTATATAAAATTATAACAGATGCACTTTAGGTGTAAAGAAAGTAGTTCCATAAAACAAATCTGAGAGGTAAGAAAAAATAAAGTTTAAGTACATTCTAAATATGTAGGCTAAACAAAAGGTGCATTAACTGCACGAAACAATGTTGTTTTGCATGTTAAAAAATTGCAGCATTAAAACTCACAGTAGTAGTTCAGGAGTGAAGGTAAATGGAATGAAAGTGCCCCAAGTTGTCATGTTACTCGAGGAAATCAATTATATATGTCATAATTTCTAAAGTATCACTGAATCATTAGCAAGTGAATTAAACCATGATAGAAAAAAATGGAACAATAATGATGAAATGATACACCTGGAAAACAAAAGAAAGATGAAAAAGCAAGAAAGGAAATGAAAAGCACTATACACAAGAAACAGAATAACATATAGATACAAACCCAAATATATTAGACATTACATTAACTGGAAGTGAAACATATTTTATTTAAAATTAAGAAAATTTTTAATTGGACTGAAAATAAATTCAAACTTAATTCTGGTTATAAGAAGATTATGTATAATATAAGTTGCTGAAGGACTGAAAGTAAAATATGGGGAATATCTTACCATGTAAATAATAACTAAGAGAAAGCTCATAGACTATGTTAATATTGAATGAAATATACTTTAACAAAACAGTATTTATTTAAATACAAGGAAAATCACTTCATAATTAGAAACACTCCATTCACCAGAAAGATACAAGTTTAAATTGTTAAGCTCTTAAGAATATAGCTTAAGAAATAAATAAGCCAAAAATTGATGAAATTACATAAAGAAATAGACAAATCATGTTGGAGAGTTTTAACCACACCTTTCTCAGTAATTAATAAAACAATTAAACAAAAATTCCAGTAAAGCTACTGAAATTATTAACAGTGGGATCAACAGAACATACTTAATGAATATATATTAGACACTGCACACAACTAGAATATAGAAACTACTAAGAACAGGTGTGCAGATAACAAATCACACCACTCCAAAGGAAGCCACATTCCTCCAATATGTATGAATGATGCTCCCTGCCATTGGACAATAAACAACAAGCATGACATTACATGGTAGCACTACACTTTTAAAGCACAAACTGAACATTTCTACAATTAGACTGTATCTTTGACCATTTCTTTGCTAAGAAACTAGTTCCAAAGAATAGTCAAGTCTAAGCTGGGCTAAATGATTGCTGTCTTAAATTACTCAGAATGATCATTGTATCTAATCTGTAAGGCATTATCATTGCTTGAGAGAAGATGTGATTTTGTTTATATGCAAATAGTAAATGAAGAATGTTGGTATCTGCAGTACAGATTCTACATATGTTTTATTTTTTTTATTTTTTTGAGATGGAATCTCCCTCTCTCACCCAGACTGGAGTGCGGTGATGAGGTCTTGGCTCACTGCAGCCTCCCCCTCCTGGGTTCCAGCAATTTTCCTGTCTAAGCCTCCCGGATAGCTGGGATTACAGACACGCACCACTACACCCAGTTAAATTTTGTATTTTTAGTAGAGACAGGGTTTCACCATGTTGGCCAAGCTGGTCTTGAGCTCCTGACCTCAGGTGTCTCAAACTCCTGCCTCAGGCTCCCAAAGTGCTGGGATTACAGGTGTGAGCCACTGGGCCTGGCCTGTAGTACAGATTCTTAATTTAAACATATCTGCATGAGTGTAATAATGATCAGATTTTAAATTTGCCATTTCTATCCCTGGGAATTCAGGTAAGCATAGGGCAATACACAAGAAATCATGCATGCTGTAGAACTTGCAAAGCCAAACTTAGACATTTATCTTGATTATATATAAGCTGAACATCACATAAACTTTTTGTGGCAGAGTATAACATGTGCAAAGTAATATTTTAGGGGATCTATGATGAATTAGCTAGAGAAGAAACTGGAAAGAAAGCAAATCAGTAAGGAGGCACGTGGATAACTAGTTTGTGCTTTCCAGAAGTAATAGGATGTATTCTGGCTTTATGAAGAAAAACTATCTCCATGCACCCTTAAGAAACAGCTTTAATGTTATTACTATCATGTATAGAAAAGAGAAAACTCACAGTATTGTCAATAAAGAGAAGCATTTGGTTTAGAAGATAGAAACCACCAAAATATTTTCAATCAGCTGAGAATGCGTGGATTCATTTTGAATAAAGGACAATCAGCACACCTTTTAGTGAACCAGTTTACTTTGCTCTGAGGAGAGAACAGATTCAATAAAAGATCTAACTTTCTAGAACACTGCAAATATGGATAGCTTCAAAGGTGAATAATTCTGTCTTTTAGACCACAGACAAATTTATATAATTAATTTACACTCATGTTTGTTCATACGGGACTACCTTCAGAAAGCAAAAAGTAAGTAAAGTAAAAATTTGTGCTCTCAAGATGATTTGGGAAACAAGGGGTGTTATTGGACCAATGATTTCCTATGACAGGTCCAAAAAAGATAAAGGAAATGGAAGCTAGCCTTCAAGGTACAAACATCAAATGAATGCCTATGTATTTGTTCAACTCAGAGCTATTATTCTAATTTTTCCTATAATAACCCTAATGTTTTGTTGGAGCCAACAGAAGAGTGATCATTGGAAATATAATGAATGGAAGGAAAAATGCTTTTTTAAAAAGGCTGTATGCTTTATTGGAAAATTTTTTAGGACAACTCTTTTTATAATATTCTCATTAAGTTAAATTATGTCTGCTGCTTTTATAAAAAGGGTTTTATACACTTATAAGTAATAGCCTCAAAATAAAACTTTTAAGTAGTTTATGATAAATGAAAATTCATTAATAGTTTATAAGAAATACTTATATATTGTCCGTGTTTCTATATTTTAAAAAATCATTAGTTGGGAATGATATTTTAACTCTAGTCATTGCAATATCCGTGTTCCATGTTTTGGGGACTCACTATAAACATCTAAAGGAGAAACCGTGTGCTTAAAATTAAAAGCACCAAGTTCTAGTCCTGACTAGAAAAGAGAACTTCAACAAACCACTTTTAACATTTTTTTCCCACTCAAAAAGGGAACTTTCAGTATGAAATCATGGTGTATAGTGCTATACCATTTTGTAAGTTTGTATTACCTTTTTACTAAGTGTACATATTGCAGTGTGGCTAGAGTTCCATTCACTGAGGACTATGTCATATTTGTCCCTGGAAATATGTTCTTCATTAATTGAAAAGATGTATCATTACCTGATTAAATTGGTCATCTTTTAAAAGAAAACTTAAATTTACTAGTAAAAAAAATGACAAATTGGTTTACTAGTCAGTTCCATTATTCAAGGCTCAAATGATTGTCTGAAATTGAGCCTGATAAAATTTACTTTTCATTTTCCCACAGTGGAAAACTGGCTAAGACATTTTGCCAGGTGTCTCCTCAGCCAGCCACATTTCCACAAGCAGTACCTATGTGTGATCTTTCTTCTCCATTCAGTTTCCCAATAATGAACACTCGTATCAGCTCTCTGCAGACGGATATTTTGCATTTTTTATCTGAAATTTTTGTTGTTACTTATTTTCTGCTTTAGAGAAAATCCTTTTCTTTTTAGGGAAAGTTAGATAAATGTTTAATGTGTCATATAGTAGGTCATTTTGTTATATCCCATTTCACATTGTGTCAATGTATATAGATAGAGTACCAACTATGTGTAAGACAGGGTGCTTTCCCCATGATGATGAATAAGATACAGTTCTTGTCTTTAAAGAGCTCACAGCCTAGTGAAAGAGCACTAAAAGCTCAATGGCAGTACTATCCATAAGAAATAATGATATACTCTGGGAACATCAAGAAGGAATGACTAATCCTGCCTGAGGGATATAGGGAAGGTATCACACAGGTGTGACATTTGGGCTTAATCTTGAAGGGTGGGTAGGAGTTTGACAAGTGAAGAAGAAAGAGGAAGGAGAGTATTCGGACAGGGGGAACATCGTGTTCAGAGGTAACAGTTTGTGAAAAGACATTATATACTGAGAGAACAGGGCAGGAAGAGTGTATCTTTTATTAGACATAGAGTGAGATAATGCTGATAACATCAGTGTGCAGGATACATTGAAGAGGAGAGACTGTAGGCCAAGAGAACAAATTGGAGGAGTTAAGATACAGGTGAGATACAATATGGACTTGGAAAAGGACAGTGTCACTAAATTAATAAGAAGAGCAGAAAGTTGTAAAAAAAAAATTCCTAAAGTGTAATTGATGAGATTTTAGCATAGTTTTTAAAAGATGTGAATTTGACATAGAAAGTGAATGCCTTAAGGCAGGGATTCTATTTTGTTTATGCTTTAAGCTGGCTCCGAGGTTTGCAGTGGGGCTTGTATGGGAGAAGAAAATGCTCGTCTCAATGACATTCTCCAAAAGTGACACTTTTCAAGTTTCTGAAGATATTGTGTTGATTCATGATGATGAAGCCTGATGGTAACATGATAGAGGAAGCAAGCTGAAAGTGAGAATCTTTTGCTTTGTATGTGATTAGAACATGAGTGTTTAGACCGTGACATAAATGGAACGTGAAAGAATGGTGGTGCCACTTTATGCCTTCTTCATCTCCAACCCATTAACAAGATCAAGTTCCCAGCCTGATCCAACTCCTGACTTCCTTTTCCTGATGTCAGAGCTTCAAAATCATTCTGATTGATTCATGCTTAATCAATGCCTATTAAATATATGGGTTTAAAAATGAATGAATGATGCCAAAATTCAACTGACCACATAATAAACACTGTGTGGACATTTAAAAAAAAAGTTGTGAAATTACCCAGTGATCAATCTCAACATATAAAGACAAAAGAAGTTCTGCCATCTGTGTACAACACAGTGTGGATCATTACAATAAAATGTGGAATGACTTTATTAACTAAATGGGAAAACAAAGAAGACTCTATAAATTAGCATTCCCAGAAAAGAGAAGTGTATGTGTACTGTGTGCGGTATAGCTGGCAAGGGGACAAACGTTATAGAATTGGGCTAAAAATGTAGGCAAGGGCCAGAACAGGCATCACCCTATAGATCACTTTAAAGTTTGCTTTTTATTCTGAATGCAGTAGAAAGACTGCATTTATTTTACCCATATTTTAAGAATATGGGTAAGATAACAAGATTCATGATGTAAAGTTAGATCTGTCTGCAGTGAGGAAAACTTACTAGGTGAGGACTACAGCGAATGGCAGAAAAATCAGCCAGAGATTTTTTTTTTTCAGGGATAAGAGACTTAGGTTAGAATGGTGGCCTTGGAAATCGAGAATAGAGGATGGATTTAACAGAACCTTATAAGGTAAAAATAGAAGTTTATAATGAATTGGAAGTGGGGTGTGATGGTTAAGCAAAAGGGGACATCAGGGTTTCCAGCTTGTATGACAGGATGGACTTGACCATTAGTCAAGTCATGACTGACTTGCATAGTGGGGCCTTCCATTGTGGTAGGAGAGGATAGAATATGACCAGTAGGTGGTAGAGAGGGGACAATATTATAATTTTTGTTTTGAAGATATCCAATTGGAGATAAACTTATGAAGGGGTCTAGGATGGAGACATCAATTTGAAAATCATCTGCAATATGTAGTAGCCAAAGAAAGTTTCCCAGTGAAAATATTTGGTATGAGAAAAAGAAAAGAATATATGAATCAGTCTTGAGGAATTCCAAATATTTAATGGACAGGTTGAACACATGAAACAGAAAGGATATAACCAAAAAGGCGAGGCTAACTCAGGAGTGTGCAGGGCTGTGGAAGCCTAGAGAAAAGAGAGTTCTTAGAATGAGGGAGTGATTAATTACACAAAGCACCACCAAGGATTATATTACACATGGACTGAGCAGTGTCCACTTTGTTCAGTGACATGATGATCCTTGGTGAGCCTAGGAAAATCTGTTTCAAGAGAGTGATGGAAGCGAGGCTGGAATGTTATGACCAGTGAGAAGGAGGAGGTGAAGATATAAACAGTAAAGTATAAAATGAGGTTGTTCAAAAATATTGAAGAGAGAGAGTAGTAGGAATAAGGAGAGAGAGAGAGAGAGAGAGAGAGAGAAGATACAGACTTAAAGGAAGATCCTTTCATTGTTGTTGTGGAGACCTTATTTTTCTTTTAATAAGAGAGACTTTAGCATATTTCCACACTTGATCATCATTCATTTGAAAGGGTAAAGAATTTTAGGATGAGTTCCTCAGGAAGAACAAGAAAATGACATGCTGAATCAAAGGAACGCAAAGAGATAATAGAAAACATGGCATCGCACAAGAAATATTTCCATTGGTATACCCACAACTTGATGACAAAAATGAATATAGTTTTGAAGAAAAATAAATCGCAATAAAATGCATGGATTACAGTCATTTACTACCGGCTAAAAGATAGGTTGCAGGATATGCTCAGTTCTAGTCATTTCAAAAGTTCTGTAAAGTTATAAGTAACTTCATTCTATCCTTCACTCAAGTGAAGCAGATTGGAGTGCAAGTACAATACAATTATTTCAGGGATAATTTGAATCTTTTAAAAATTATTTTTTAAATATGTATTTAATCATTAGTAATAAGGTATTTGCAATGCATTTAAAAACCAATGAAGACAAGTGTCAGGCCTCTGAGCCCAAGCTAAGCCATCATATCCCCTGTGACCGGCACATACACATCCAGATGGCCAGTTTCTGCCTTAACTGATGACATTCCACCACAAAAGAAGTGAAAATGGCCTGTTCCTGCCTTAATTGATGACATTGTCTTGTGAAATTCCTTCTCCTGGCCCATCCTGGCTCAAAAGCTCTCCTACTGAGCACTTTGTGACCCCCACTCTGCCCGCCAGAGAACAACCCCCCTTTGTCTGTAATTTTCTTTTATCTACCCAAATCCTATAAAATGACCCCACCCTTATCTCCCTTCGCTGACTCTCTTTTCAGACTCAGCCTCCCTGCACCCAGGTGATCAAAAGCTTTATTGCTCACACAAAGCCTGTTTGGTGGTCTCTTCACACAGACACGCATGAAATTTGGTGCCGTGACTCAGATTGGGGGACCTCCCTTGGGAGATCAATCCCCTGTCCTCCTGCTCTTTGCTCTGTGAAAAAGATCCACCTATGACCTCAGGTCCTCAGACTGACCAGCCCAAGAAACATCTCACCAATTTCAAATACAGTAAGCGGCCTCTTTTTACTCTCTTCTCCAACCTCCCTCAGTATCCCTCAACCTCTTTCTCCTTTCAATCTTGGCACCACACTTCAATCTCTCCCTTCTTTTAATTTCAATTCCTTTCATTTTCTGGTAGAGACAAAGGAGACACGTTTTATCTGTGGACCCAAAACTCCGGCGCCAGTCACAGACTGGGAAGGCAGCCTTCCCTTGGTGTTTAATCATTGCAGGGACGCCTCTCTGGTTATTCACCCAGGTTTCAGAGGTGTCAGACCACGCAGGGATGCCTGCCTTGGTCTTTCACCCTTAGCGGCAAGTCCCGCTTTTCTGGGGGAGAGGCAAGTACCCCAACCCCCTCTCTCCGTGTCTCTACCCCTTCTCCACCTTTCTGGGGGGCAAGAAACCCCCAACCCCTTCTCCTTCACCCTTAGCAGCAAGTCCCGCTTTTCTAGGGGAGGGGCAAGTACCCCAGACTCGTATCTCTGTGCCCTGATCCCTTATTTCCACACCCCAACCTCTTATATCTCTGTACCCTGATCCCTTATTTCCACGCCCCAACCTCTTATATCTCTGTGACCCAACCCCTTATTTCTGTGCCCTGACCCCTTCTCTGCTTTTCTGGAGGGCAAGAACACCCTACCCCTTCTCCATGTCTCTACTTTCTTTTCTCTGGGCTTGCCTCCTTCACTATAGGCAAGCTTCCACCTTCCATTCCTCCTTCTTCTCCCTTAGCCTGTGTTCTTAAGAACTTAAAACCTCTTCACATCTCACCTGACCTAAAATCTAAGCATCTTATTTTCTTCTGCAATGCCGCTTGACCCCAATACAAACTCGACTGTAGTTCCAAATAGCCAGAAAATGGCACTTTCAATTTTTCCATCCTACAAGATCTAAATAATTCTTGTCGTAAAATGGGCAAATGATCTGAGATGCCTGACATCCAGGCATTCTTTTACACATCAGTCCCTCTCTAGCCTCTGTTCCCAATGCAACTCATCCCAAATCTTCCTTCTTTCCCTCCCATCTGTCCCCTCAGTCCCAACCCCAAGAGTCGCTGAGTCTTTCTAATCTTCCTTTTCTACAGACCCATCTGACCTCTCCCCTCCTTGCCAGGCTGAGCCAGGTCCCAATTCTTCCTCAGCCTCTGCTCCCCTACCCTATAATCCTTTTATCACCTCCCCTCCTCACAGCTGGTCCAGCTTACAGTTTCATTCCTCGACTAGCCCTCCCCCACCTGCCCAGCAATTTCCTCTTAAAAAGGTGGCTGGAGCCAAAGGCATAGTCAAGGTTAATGCTCCTTCTTCTTTATCTGACCTCTCCCAATATCAGTGAGCATTTAGGCTCTTTTTCATCAAATATGAAAAACCCAGCCCAGTTCATGGCTCCTTTGGCAGCAACCCTGAGATGCTTTACAGCCCTAGACCCTAAAAGGTCAAAAGGCCGTCTTATTCTCAATATGCATTTTATCACCCCATCCACTCCTGGCATTAGGAAAAAACTTCAAAAATTAGAATCTGGCCCTCAAACCCCACAACAGGAGTTAATCAACCTCACCTTCAAGGTGTGCAATAATAGAGAGGAAGCAGCCAGACGGCAACACATTTCTGAGTTACAATTACTTGCTCTGCTGTGAGGCAAAACCCAGCCACACCTCCAGCATACAAGACCTTCCAAACGCCTAAACCGCAGTGGCCAGGTGTTCCTCCAGAACCGCTTCCCCCAGGAGCTTGCTACAAGTGCCAGAAATCTGGCCACCAGGCCAAGCAATGCCCACAGCCCAGGATTCCTCCTAAGCTGTGTCCCATCTGTGCAGGACCCCACTGGAAATCGGATGGAAATCGGACTGTTCAACTCACCTGGCAGCCACTCCCAGAGCCCCTGGTACTCTGGCCCAAGGCTCTCTGACTGACTCCTTCCCAGATCGTCCCGGCTTAGCGGCTGAAGATTGATACTACCCAATCGCCTCAGAAGCCCCCTAGACCATCACGGACGCCAAGCTTCAGGTAACTCTCACAGTGGAGAGTAAGTCCATCCCCTGTTTAATCGATATGGGGGCTACCCACTCCACGTTGCCTTCTTTTCAAAGGCCTGTTTCCCTCGCCCCGATAACTGTTGTAGGTATTGACAGCCAAGCTTCAAAACCCCTTAAAACTCCCCAAATCTAAGCCAACTTAGACAATACTCTTTTAGGCACTCCTTTTTAGTTATCCCCACCTGCCCAGTTCCCTTATTAGGCCGAGACACTTTAACTAAATTATCTGCTTCCCTGACTATTCCTGGGCTACAGCCACACCTCATTGCCACCTTTTCCCCCAGTTCAAAGCCTCCTTCACATCCTCCCCTTGTATCTCCCCACCTTAACCCACAAGTATAAGACACCTCTACTCCCTCCTTAGGGACTGATCATGCACCCCTTACCATCCCATTAAAACCTAATCACTCTTACCTCGCTCAGTGCCAATATCCCATCCCACAGCATGCTTTAAAAGGATTAAAGCCTGTTATCACTTGCCTGTTATCACTCGCCTGTTACAGCATGGCCTTTTAAAGCCTATAAACTCTCCTTACCATTCCCCCATTTTACCTGTCCTAAAACCAGACAAGGCTTACAGGTTAGTTCAGAATCTGCGCCTTATCAACCAAATTGTTTTGCCTAGCCACCCCATAGTGCCAAACCCATATACTTTCCTATCCTCAGTACCTCCCTCTACAACCCATTATTCTGTTCTGGATCTCAAACATGCTTTCTTTACTATTCCTTTGCACCCTTCATCCCAGCCTCTCTTTGTTTTCACTTAGACTAACCCTGACACCCATTAGGCTCAGCAAATTACCTGGGCTGTACTGCCGCAAGGCTTCACAGATAGCCCTCGTTACTTCAGTCAAGCCCAAATTTCATCCTCATCTGTTACCTATCTCGGCATAATTCTCATAAAAACACATGTGCTCTCCCTGCTGATCGTGTCCGATTAATCTCCCAAACCTCAATCCCTTACAAAACAACAACTCCTTTCCTTCCTAGGCATGGTTAGTGCGGTCAGAATTCTTACACAAGAGCCAGGACCGCACCCTGTAGCCTTTCTGTGCAAACAACTTGACCTTACTGTTTTAGCCTAGCCTCATGTCTGCGTGCAGCGGCTGCCGCTGCTTTAATACTTTTAGAGGCCCTCAAAATCACAAAGTATGCTCAACTCACTCTCTACATTTCTCATAACTTCCAAAATCTATTTTCTTCCTCATACCTGACACATATGCTTTCTGCTCCCCGGCTCCTTCAGCTGTACTCACTCTTTGTTAAGTCCCACAATTACCATTGTTCCTGGCCTGGACTTCAATCCAGCCTCACACATTATTCTGGATACCACACCTGACCCTCATGACTGTATCTCTCTGATCCACCTGACATTCGCCCCATTTCCCCATATTTCCTTCTTTCCTGTTCCTCACCCTGATCACACTTGATTTATTGATGGTGGTTCCACCAGGCCTAATCACCACACACCAGCAAAGGCAGGCTATGCTATAGTACAAGCCACTAGCCCGCCTCTTAGAACCTCTCATTTCCTTTCCATCATGGAAACCTATCCTCAAGGAAATAACTTCTTAGTGTTCCATCTGCTATTCTACTACTCCTCAGGGATTAATCAGGCCCCCTCCCTTCCCTACACATCAAGCTCCAAGATTTGCCCCCACCCAGGACTGGCAAATTGGCTTTACTCAACATGCCCTGAGTCAGATGACTAAAATACCTCTTAGTCTAGGTAGACACTTTCACTGGATAGGTAGAGGCCTTTCCTACAGGGTCTGAGAAGGCCACCACAGTCATTTCTTCCCTTCCATCAGGCGTAATTCCTCAGTTTAGCCTTCCTACCTCTATACAGTCTGATAACAGACCAGCCTTTATTAGTCAAATCAGCCAAGCAGTTTTTCAGGCTCTTAGTATTCAGTGAAACCTTAATATCCCTTATGGTCCTCTGTCTTCAGGAAAAGTAGAATGGACTAAAGGTCTTTTAAAAACACACCTCACCAAGCTCAGCCACCAACTTGAAAAGGACTGGACAATACTTTTACCACTTTCCCTTCTCAGAAGTCAGACCTGTCCTCAGAATGCTACAGGGTACAGCCCATTTAAGCTCCTGTATAGACGCTCCTTTTTATTAGGCCCCAGTCTCATTCCAGACACCAGACCAACTTAGACTGTGCCCCAAAAAAACTTGTCATCCCTACTATCTTCTGTCTAGTCATACTCCTATTCACCGTTCTCAACTACTCATACATGCCCTGCTCTTGTTTACACTGCCTGTTTACACTGTTTCTCTAAGCCATCACAGCTGATATCTCCTGGTGCTATCCCCAAATTGCCACTCTAAACTCTTGAAGTAAATAAATAATCTTTGCTGGCAGGACTATGCTGAATCTCCTTAGGCACTCTAATTAGATGTCCTAGGTCCTCCCAATTCTTAGACCTTTAATACCTGTTTTTCTCCTTCTCTTATTCTGTTTAGTTTTTCAATTCATACAAAACCGTATCCAGGCCATCACCAATAATTCTAAATGACAAATGTTTCTTCTAACAACCCCACAATATCACCCCTTACCACAAAATCTTCCTTCAGCTTAATCTCTCCCACTCTAGGTTCCCACGCCGCCCCTAATCCCGCTCGAAGCAGCCCTGAGAAACATCGCCCATTATCTCTCCACACCACCCCCAAAATTTTCGCTGTCCCAACACTGTACCACTATTTCATTTTATTTTTCTTATTAATATAAGAAGACAGGAATGTCAGGCCTCTGAGCCCAAGCTAAGCCATCATATCCCTTGTGACCGGCACGTACACATCCAGATGGCTGGTTCCTGCCTTAACTGATGACATTCCGCCGCAAAAGAAGTGAAAATTGCCTGTTCTTGCCTTAACTGATGACATTGTCTTGTGAAATTCCTTCTCCTGGCTCATCCTGGCTCAAAAGCTCCCCCACTGAGCACCTTGTGACCCCCACTCTGCCCGCCAGAGAACAGCCCCCCTTTGACTGTAATTTTCCTTTACCTACCCAAATCCTATAAAAATGGCCCCACCCTTATCTCTTTTCAGACTCAGCCCGCCTGCACGCAGGTGATTAAAAGCTTTATTGCTCACACAAAGCATGTTTAGTGGTCTCTTCACACGGACGCACATGAAAACAAGAATAATATGAAAACATTGAATGTAAGAATTGCCTCTTTGGATGGCAGTAACTTTCATACACAAGAGTGTTTTATCCCAATAGTCTGGAAGAAAGAAAAACTTGTCACGGAGTGGAAAGATATGAAAACTGGAGCAAAAATATACCCTACTCTTAAAAATCATATTTATGCATATAAAAATGTTTCATTTAGCCTTATAAATTAGCTTAGTTTCTCCATTGTTCCTGGTAGAATAGTCCCATTTAGAGGATTTTCTGTATTTTTTTTGGCTTGAACAGATATTAATAGCTTAATCTTTTGGTATTACGGAATTATATATGCTCATCTGTGAGAGATTCAGAAGACTTCTCAGAAGTACAAATGAGGAATAGAATTCCATTCAGGGAAACATGGTTTGACCTTGTCTACAAACTTGCTGTCTCAATTAGAATGCACATTTTTCTTGAGCAGAAAGGAACCTCTGTGATCACCAGGTCTTCCAGCCTGGCTCAATAACTTTTTGACAGAGGCTAAGTGTAATCAAAAGAAACTGAGGACAGAGGTTATCATTCTCTTTTCCTATCAAATACCAAAACATCTCTTTTAGCTTAGTTTGTGCAGAGAAGCTAGATTTTATGAAAAGAACTCTAACACTGTGTAATTATTGGCCAACAAAAAGTCAGGATTAGGTATCAGATTACAGACCTAGGGCTTCCACATTTCAAAGAGCTATGGAGACTAACAGTGTTTTCAGTAACAAATTATCCTGGAAGAGCTACAGGGAGTGAGGTAAACTGACATAACCCATTAGAGTTGCAAACATTCCCGTAAGACAAAGGGGGACTATTGTGCCACTACCTTGAGGAATTTAAGCATAATAGTTAGATGCTAAATTTTAGATTCAAGTATCTTTTAAGCCTATTCTACAAAAGCAAATATGAAATTAATACAAATTCTGTATTCACAGTGGCAGCATAATGGAAGCAAATCTCTTGTTCAGACCAGCAACCTGCAGATGGAATGCCCCACTTAGTTACATGACTTTTTCTGAGGGTCTCCAATCCCATAGGAAATATACCAAGGATGATGGATGAAAGAGTGAAATAGAATTGTCAGTCTGTAGCTGAAGCATTGATCAAATGGCTGAGTAGCTAACATTTCACTCAGGAAGACCTTGAAAGAGAGATTACATAGCATTGAGTTTCTCCATACAATGATTATAATCTACAAATTAAATTTTTAAACTTTTTGTCCAGTTGAGATGACTCTGGCTTTTTTTTCGCCACAGAATACAACTACTGTGATTGTTTTCCAGTGGTTTGTACATACCACTTTGAACTTTCTTGCCAGATACTCCTTGAGAAAATTGTCAGAACTTCACTTCATGGTTAAAGAACGACTTGAGAATATCTAGAGGTTGAAAATATCTACATTGCTTAGGAAGGACTTTTTAGGCAGATATATCTCTGGTTATTAATCCCTTGTAAGAGAGTTAGTGTGCAAATATTTTCTCCCACTCTGTGTGTTGTCTCTTCACTTTGTTGATTATTTCCTTTGCTGTGAAGAAGCTTCTTAACTTGATGTGATCCCATTTGTCCCTTTTCGCTTTAGTTGCTTGTGCTTATGGGGTATTGCTCAAGAAATTTTCGCCCAGCTCAATACCCTGGAAATTTTCTCCAAATTTTTCTTGTAGTAGTTTCATAGTGTGAGGTCTTAGATTTACATCTTTAATCCATTTTGATATGATTTTTGTATATAGTGAAAGATAGGGGTCTAGTTTCATTCTTTTGCATATGAATATCCAGTTTATCACCATTTATTGAAGACATTGTATTTTCCCCAGTGTATGTTAAATGACTCTATTTCAAAGAAAATAAAATTAATCTTTATGACCCATGTAACTCTTCCTCTGATAGTGGAGGAAAAGAGAAGAAGGATGGGAGGAAACAAGAGTACTATTTCTCAGTGAGCAGCTTTGGAAAACTGCAAGCATTTTGTGTTTTCTTTATTTACTTATGGTACCAATGTTTGCATTAATCCTGACCCTCTATATTAATTATTGCAAGAAATTTCAACTACAGAATTAGCAAAAGACGGGGAAGATTAGATGAAAAGAGCTGGCATTAGGAGGGTATCATCAATTAACCAAAATATTAACATGAATTTCAATTCATTATGGTGAATTGTGTGCACATATTATTCCTCTTGCCTTAAAATAATAGAAAAATAATTTTCAAAAGATAAACAAAAAATTTTAATATATATTTTATTAGACAAAATGAAAGTGGAAGAATGTTGATGGATGAGTAGCAGAGAACGCTGAAAGACAGACGATACCCAGAGAGAACTGAAGGCTGAGAGAGAATCCATCTGGTTCATTGAACATTAGTGAGGCTCTGCATTCAGAGACGGCCAAGGAATCAGATAATTGTGGTAAGAAGTGGTAATAAAATTACGTGGTTTAATAGAAGGTCTTAAAACAGCAAGCTATTTTCCTTCTCTCTTTCTCATACCCACTTAGAACAACTTTGAGCTGGCTTGGGAAAACTTGGGAATGAGTTCAAGGCAACTGGGGAGGTGTGAATCAGAAGAGTCTTATGAAATTTGATGGTTAAAACATTCACTCGTGAGAAGCAGAAGAATTATGAATTTGGATGCAAAGAAATTATAGATAATTTTAGCAGTCTTCTTGACTTTTTAGTGAAGAACATTTACATTACCATAAAATGTAAATGATATGATATGTTTGTGAATGTTTTGAGTGGAACTGTGGTCTCAAAGTCTTGAGAATGTAAATATTAGTCACTTAAAAAATGTAAAAGTAATGTATAAAAAACGGCATTGGAAGTGGAACTTGGGTTGCTTACCAAATGGAGAGCCATTTAGTAGCCTATGAATGAGGAGACAAATAGGGAGTTTATGGATTATGACATGAAAAACATAGGGTTGAAGTGAAAAGAAATTAGAATAGTGACATAATTACTGGATTTAAATAAATAGAGTGGTAGTATTCCTAAGCCAAATTCTTACCTCTTAGCACAATATAAAGAGACAAGGCCTAAAGTGTCAAGTCAGTAAGTAGTAGAATGAGACTGTGTATTATTTAGGCTTATTGATTGCCTCAGAGGAGCAGAACTGGCAGAAATATACAGTCGGTCACTGGATTATAGCTGTTATGAATCCTTTTTAATACCTGACTTTAAAAATTATTCAGTTACTTTGATTAGAATTTGTAAAAATTAAATATTGGAGTAATGCCACCTTATTTTGTTAAAAATTGTAGGAAAACAATATTACAAAATGAATCCATAATTAGTATGAAAAATTAGTTGAGTGTATTTTTTTAATAGCTTCATTACTTTTGGCAATATTTCTTGCTTTAAAATCTGTGTTGAAACAGAAAATGCTTTATACAACAATTCCAGATTTCCAAAATTTGAACCTAAAGTTGATCATATAACAAATAAATGATATGCTAGATTACATTCTGTTCCTTTGCCTACAGAATAAATTTCAAGTTTCCTAACATCTGATTCAATGAACACCTTCTACCAACTTGCTACTCGGGTATTTTTCACTAAACTTAGTAGTTTATGCAGGCTTTTGAATAAGGCTATGTTCATTTCAGTCATGCCTCTGCTGTACACAAGTTGTATGATCTTGGATAAGTACTATCATGTCTCAGTGTGAGCTAAATTACACAAAGTGAGTTTTTGGTTACCTCTTTTATGAAATTGGAATCATTATTTTTATCAGGAAATACCTACCAAATGCTTAGCATAGTATCTAGCATCTAGAAAGTATGGAATAAATCTTAGTATTATCAATATTTCTGGAGTTTTCTATCTACAAAACTTTCTTCATGTAGCCCACATTGCCATCTCATTGTTTTACTCACTAGAATTTGATTATAAAACCTTCCTTTTGTAGCATTTTGCTAGCATCATCATTTACTTAACACTTCACTTTTACTTATTTTAAATGTTTCTCATTTAGAGGTGTAGGTTATACTTTTTTAAGAGTAGAAACTATATTATATTTAATTTTTATCCTAACTCATTAGTATGGTGCCTGACATATGGGAATTAAAATAAATTTTCTTAAAAATAAAATGATAGAAAAACTCTAGAAATTATGTGGAATTCTTAACACAAACTTCAGAATATTGGCTTTTAAATAGGAATATGGAGGTATTTATAATTTCCAGATGTTTTCCAATTAGCTAATTCCTTTACTCTTTACAAATTTGGTAAAACTGTTATCATTATTCTCATTTAAAAAAGATTGAATGTCAACAAGGGACCATGAAGTTTCCACATATTTAGTGATCTAGAATTTGAATCATGAGTAGGTGATAATTTAAATAATTATGGCTTTTGCACTGTGCCATGTCCCATTTTGGAAATTGTTAGAAAGTGGTTTAACTAGGACCGAAACACAGATATCAAAATTCCCAGCAGTATTTTATAACTAAACATTTCTGGCTTTTTTCGCTGGAAAATGAGAGAAACATTGTTTCATTTGTTCTTGATAATAAAATCCAAAAGAATTGTTTTTGAAATTCAAGAAAGACATTGAGCATAGACTGACAAAATGTTTATAAAGTATTAAACATATAGGATCAGGTCTATAATATAAGGCATAACATCTAGAAAACAAAATGGATTTAAGATGTTTAGGCACTTTTGTTAGTCACAATATCAATTTTACTGTTGTTTAAGACCCAAAAGTTATTTTGTGAGAGTCACATATGTTATATAATTTAACGAGAGAGGTAAATCTTGTATCATTTAAGGACCTCACTAACAATAGAGGCATATATTTTAGATAGTTTAATGATAAGACACCCAGAAGAAAATTAATCTCTGCCACTGTTTCTCTGTCTGCCCTTGCCTGAATCACTCCAAGTCTGTATGTTTCACTTTCCTCATCTGCAGCTTGCACTCAATGTTCCTTTCCAGTCTAATATGCTACAGCACTATGAACATCCCTTTAAAATAAAATAAACAGCTAAGTGGAAAATATTAGAGGAGGGTGATTACTAAAGACTTTGAGACAGAGTAGTATCCTTATCTAAAAAAGTATGTTTTCTGTAATTTCAGGATGACTTGCTGCTGCTTTTCATAATTATCGTAAAGCTTGCTAAATTGACAAAAACGGATAATATGTTGTGATACTCTATCCACGAAAATAAAAATGTTTCTTTAAGCTGAAAAAAAGACTTCACACTTCAACAGTGATTTCTATTTGAAATGACTTTATGGAAAATGGCTTACACTCCTTCACTCTAAATTACAGTACATTTTCCCATTGCATTTTTTTAAAAAACATACCTTTAAATTTGGAACTCCCTTTGGGTGACTGAGCTACAAAGCATCTGTAAGATTCAGAGGCTGCCAGAAGGAATGCTGTTACTGACAGGGGAAGATTAATAGCAATATTAGCAGTCCAGATTTGACCCTCTGATAATCTGAGACCTCTATGAAATAGTTGTCTCAGAATTACTGTTTCTATGGTGTATTTATGGAGAGGAACTAGGACAATGAGTGGAAGTTTCCAACTCTAGCAAATAATTCTGGAATTTAAATT
The DNA here is from genome assembly GCF_000001405.40 of Homo sapiens. Taxonomy (NCBI): domain Eukaryota; kingdom Metazoa; phylum Chordata; class Mammalia; order Primates; family Hominidae; genus Homo; species Homo sapiens. Next base: position 191,889,809 of record NC_000003.12, on the reverse strand, counting down.
TATTTAATATCGAGGGAGAGCAGTATATATGAAACCATGTGTGTTTTTATTTGAATAACATTTCTAAAAGCAGTAGACTGATTATGTTATTAAAGGAACTCCTAAAGAGTGTAGTATTTTATCAGAATTTTATTTTGAGGTTCTATAAAAATAGTCTTATCACAGCAGCCTCTAGTAACATGAACAGTGAGAAAAAGCTAAGGAACATCTCTGTTAAAAACAAATAGATTTTTAGGCCTTCAATGAACCATATGTCACTGCTGAATATACAGCTTTCAAAATGTTCATGGCCAAGGTATAAATAAATACAGCTTATTCATTACAGCAACATGGATTTCTATTTGTAGTAAAACATGTAGTGTGGATCCTCTAGCTCCAGATTTGATCTTCAGTTACAGGCATTCGTTATTGACTGAAAAGCCTTCTACAAATACCAAACAAGATCCCGTAAAATTTCAGTCAGTACATTTTTGGGAAGCAAAGGAAGGTGCTATAGCCCGCTGCTACTTTTGGAACTGTCTTGCTTTTCAGAGCATTGTCACTGTAGGACTGAAACATATGTGAAAATTCTAATGATCGTACATAACTCTCTTCCCTGTTTATTTATTACTTCTGTTTCTCAGACTGCCTCAGGATAGTACACAGCTGAGGGAAAAGGAACACAGAACTGTTAACAGCTTGACTTCAAGGTAACAGACGAAACACTTGCTTTCACGATTTCCTTTGACATTTGATAGGATTTGGAAGTTTGGGAAGGTGTGAGGAAAAGAGGAAAGTTTAGTCTAGCAAGTGCATTCAGATCACATGTGGATAAGACAAAAGAATGGCGACTCTTCCATAGGCATTTTCACAATAAGATTAAGACTAATGGAACTATTTATTACCTTTAATTATAGGCATAAGCATCTGGTAATTAGAACACATTCATAAATTAAAATACCTTTATATAAATTAGAAGTTTTGGGTGTTTTTTCACTCAAAAGTGTTTTGGGGAATAAATGAAAGAAGTTATACAAATAAATTAAGTACTAAATAATTTATATGGTGAGAAGAGTTTGGGAAAGCCAATAGTGGCAAGATTGCATGAAGCCCTGATTTTATTAAAGCTGGACGTGAAAATTGAGTGACATTCAGCCTTTGCCATTCCAGGCCTTACATTATCCATTTTGACTAGTAAATGCTTGGAAAAGAGAGCCAAAAGTTCCCTTCCACCATAACATTCTAGGATTGTATGAAAGCATAAATTTAAAAATTTGTTTATACTGACTTCTCTATTACAGACATTGCTTTTCTGGCTTCTTTATCTGTAAGGACTATTTATTTATATTAGTATATACATATATATACATACACTGTTATCTGAAGTACACGTAGAAGTAGTCACAATGTACGCATATATACAAGATTTTATGTTGACCTGGAATCTGGGAATATGTTGACATCTCACATGGCTTCTTAGCAGTTTCTTAGCTATAATGGTTATATTCTAAATATATTCTAAATCTAATTAAAGAATAAAGAAAATTTAAAAATTTCTCTATAAATTTTAGCCAATTATCTGCAGTGCTTGTAAAAACAATTATATTAACATAACTCACTTTGTTATTAAGTTCTATTTCCAAAATTAATCTTTGAACATAAATATTAAAATGTCAGATCCAACCATTTTATTTAAGAGGTCCTCTAAGTAGTCTAAGTAGTATCTTTTTATATATGAACTTCAGAATAATCTAAAGAAATAATACATTTCTGAATCTTGTCCCCCAAGCTCCCATACATTAAAACATACTTGGAGCATGTGCTATGAGTGAATAGCACTCATTTCTAAATAGTGCTTTGTCCCCTTCAAAGCAGTTAACTAACCCCTAATCATCAAGACAGTTCATGGAGACGGTGCGAGGTAAAACTTATTACTCTCTGTATGGACTAGAGTTTACTCCCATCTTGCATAAATGCGAACCCTTGGGAAAGAGAACGACAAGCTACAAAAAAATGGCAATTTCAGAGATTGACTCAGAGGAGAATTGGTTCTAAAAGTTAAGGTTAGCAAAGCAAAGGGAAGAACTAGACAGATAAACAAGCGTTTTCAAGCAACATGAAGAAATTCTTCTCCCTACATGTGCCCTAATTTCATTCTCTTTGTTTTGCCTTCCCTGTAGGGCTTACAGTCAAGAACTTGGGGTGACTGGAGATTCATTTGCTTCCAAATGTCTGTCTATATAAACCTTTGGATTCTCAACTGTGTTTTCATTTTGGAGTGCATATAGTCATTCCGTAGAGATCACCCTTTAACAAAATTCAGAGTATAGTACTGATATTATAATATTTTTGATTGTTGAGAAAAAGTTTTAAAAAAAGATTTATCAGCTTGATGATTAGAGTAGATGATCAGCAAAATGTATTGACCATTTTTCCTATATCTGGTAGATTATAAAATTATTCTTCACCCATGCTGCATTCTGGTGTGGCCTGGGGATTCCTCCAAGTATACTGCTTGGTAAATAACAGGAATTTAATAGACAATATTGAATGAAATATTACAAGAAATGAGTTGGTCTTCTCAGTTTATTAGCAAATGCCTATACTGTATCCATTTTTCTGAACCATTTGGTTTCACCTAAAATTTACTTTCACAGATTAACATTATGTCCGGTCTTCTTCAACAATGTGTTTTGTTTAAGTATTAATAGGTTGAAATAGATTCATTTATTCGATATGCATTTATGCATATATTCTGTATATAAAAGACTCTTTGAAAGTGAGCAAAATGTATTGCATGTCCCTGAGTTTACAGATGATTTTAGGGAAACTGACATTAATGTAATTACCAAAATAATGATCATTAAAACATATAACCAAATAGGAGAGGAGAAACAAACAGATTTTTACCTGTGGATCAGAGGTATTTTCAAAGAGCCTGTGATCATCTTTCCACAGGATGACAATAGTGGGGAATGGGTATTTCTTCCATTAAAAAAGCATGTGAAAGGACATAAGGCCATGAAATAATAACTGTATTAGAGAACTGCAAGTATTTTTATGTGGTTCGAGCATAAAATGATGATTTAAAAGATTTGAGCATAAATTGGGAAACTTCTAGTGAAAGTTGAAATGAGCTAAGATATTTAGAGAAAATTTTCTAAGAGGTCTTTTCCTTTCTATACATTCAAATTTTTTAACTTGATTCAAATTATATGATAAAACCCTATATATTTACATATTTGGAACACATGAGTTTCTTCTCTTCAGCTCATATTTCTTGTAGAAGTATTCCCACTGAGATAGTTTGAACACATTCTTCATTATCAAAAACTTTAGTATAAATTAGATTTTGCTTTTGTTGTGAATTTGTAGTTGAGCATTTTTACTCTCAAAAAATCAATTATATAACACGCCAAATGAAAAATGTACATTAGCATTTAGTTCCAGTAAATTTTTAATCTTTCTTGAGGCAATGGTAAGCTACCTCTTTTGTGATAAAAATCAGTCTAACTTTCCATGTTCTTATTTTTGCACAGTATACCAGGATATTCAGTTGCTGCGTTGTAGCTTAGGACATTGATTGGTTTCTGTTAGCATCGATTCTTGTTTTCTTTTTCTCATTTAATATTTTGTTACTTATGTCCCTTGATAAAACTCTTCGTTATTTATGCCAACATATATGATTTGAAAAATCAACATCTTAGCCAATAGTGATATGTTTCTGTTATTATTATAACCATCTTTTGCCAATTTAAAGTGTTTATTTTTCATCATTTTCAAATTAAAATGGTGTATAAAATATTACTATATTATAGCCGGGAGTGGTGGCTCACGCCTGTAATCCCAACGCTTTGGGAGGCTGAGGAGGGCAGATAACGAGGTCAGGAGTTCAAGACCAGCTTGACCAACATGGTGAAATCCCATCTCTACTTAAAATGCAAAAATTAGGCCGGGTGCAGTGGCTCACCCCAGCACTTTGGGAGGCCAAGGCGGGGCGGGCGGATCACGAAGTCAGGAGATGGAGACCATCCTGGCTAACATGGTGAAACCCTGTCTCTACTAAAAATACAAAAAATTAGCCGGGCGTGGTGGCGGGCGCCTGCAGTCCCAGCTACTCGGGAGGCTGAGGCAGGAGAATGGTATGAACCCGGGAGTCGGACCTTGCAGTGAGCCAAGATTGCGCCACTGCAGTCCAGCCTGGGCGAGAGTGAGACTCCGTCTCAAAAAAACAAACAAACAAACAAACAAACAAAAAAATTAGCTGGGCGTGGTGGCACGTGCCTGTAATCCTAGCTACTTAGGAGGCTGTGGCAGGAGAATCGCTTAAAACCAGGAGGCAGAGGTTGCAGTGAGCTGAGATCATGCCATTGGATTCCAGCCTGGGTAACAGAGTGAGACTCCATCTCGAAAAAAAAAAAATTACTATATTATTTGAGTATTACTATATTGATTACTATATTACTGAATATTTGTAGAATTTGGTAATTAGAATGTATAGTATAGTGTAGTGATATAAAATGTAGAATAGAGTATTACTATATTAATATATTATTATTTGTAGAATATAGTAAATATAGATATTTGAATGTGTTTAATATCAGTACCCATTTGAGTAATGTTTTGTTTCAAGAAGGTTTAGCTAGTATATTCTGAATCTCTTATTTTCTGCTCTTTTTAATCATTTTGGACGTTCAATTTTTAATTATGCTAATATAAATTTATTATACAAATCAATAGCAATAACTAGCCTTCCCTTTAACAATTGTAGGAGAGTTCATGTTCTGTCTGTGAGCTAATGGTTTCATTCATGAACATTTTCTTTAGTTTGTCCCTATTCCCCCTTGAAGGCTTTCAGAGGCAGGAGGACATTTGAATAGAGTCACAATTCAGTTTGGAGAGCACATATTAACTATAAATTAAGAATACAAATTACTTAAATATCAAAAAGAATAAATAAAATACAAGTTCTGCTTCAGAACAACACAAAGCCTAGTACCATGGATAAAATATACCAATAACAACAATAACACTCACTGTAAGGATATTAGTACAACGTAGTGTTAACCATTTGGCCTCTAGAGGTGCAGGTTTGCCAAACCTACCAATTACAAGTTGGTGTTACTGGGCAAGTTCCTTAGTGTCCTCATTGTAAATAGACAAGATACTAGTACATTCCTTTTAGGGTCAATGCAAGTATTAAATGAGAAAATTGATTGACATTGCTTAGAACTTTACAGTTATTATTATGAGAGACATAACATGGGAGATTGAAAGTACTATGAGGAGAGGAGCAAAGCAATATATAGTAATTACTACTGAGTGATTTAAAAGGCAGCAACTGGACTGGGCCATAGGATTTTTATTTTTGACAGGTGCAGTCATTCTAGGATTTATGTTCAAATGCTGGAGGCAGAAAAACTGGCAGTTAAGACTGACTTGGAATATGAAGTTAATGTGAGGAAACACTGAGAAATGGGGCTGAAAATATAGATAAAGGTCAGAGTGTGGAAGACCTTATCTGTCAATCTGTCTCAAAGATTGCTTAATTGTGGCTATCTCTTAAGTATCAGATTGTTTTCTCTACAGATTTTTAAGCAGGTTGTTATGTGATTCCCAGTTACATAACCTTCACAATATTAAGTAGACTTTAATTCCTACTAAATATTATAAGTCTTATAAACACTCAGAAATTATCACATTACCCCACAGGCATGTATAAACACACACACACACACACACACACACACATACACACACACACACACAGAGAGAGAGAGAGATTTCAAGGTAAACCTGTAGTAGCATGGTTTAACAAATATTGCTAATGTAAATAATATTATGAAGATGATAAGCTGTATGACCACATTTTGTGAAGAAGTAAGATGACAGTTAAGAACTCAGAATAATGATTGAGCCAGTAGGCCAGGAGTAACTTTCGCCTTATTCTGTAAAAATAATCTTATTGTTGATTTGCCCTCTTCTCTCTACACAAACTACAAACAGCAGTAGAGATGAATAATAATATAACGTAGACAATATTCCTCAGCACTATTAAAGTCCACAAAGTGAGAAAGACAGCAGAGTAAAAGCTGTCTTCTAACAATTGATTCTGTCAGTGAGTCTCTGCAGGGGATAAGAACATCCTGATTTGTATGTACCTGCTTTGAATATTAATCTTCCACCGTTTTGAGACTAAAAAACTAGCTTCAATAAGCCTTTATGGAGCATCAATTCTAAGCCAATTGCCATTCTAGGCTCTGATGGAGAGGGCAAGGGGCACACCGTTGAGAAAGTCATACATTTCATACAAGGCAAACCATGTGTAAGTGCTAATACGGTCAGTTCCAGACTTAAAATGGTTTGATTGACAATATTTGACTTTATGCTGGTGCAAAAGCAATAGCATTCAGTGGAAAGTGTCCAATACTCACAGGATGCTGAGCAGTGGCAGCAAGTTGCAGCTCCCAGTTATCCACATGATCACAAGGGTAAACAACCAATACCCTACAGTGTACTGTGTTGCCAGATGACTTTGCCCAACTGTAGGCTTAATGTAAGTGTTCTGAGGACATTTAAGGAAAGCTAGGCTAAGCTATGATATTTGGTGGGTTAGATGTAGTAAATGCATTTTTGACTTGTGATATTTTCAAGTTAATGATGAACTTATCAGAATGTAATCCCAACCGAAGTCAGGGGGCATCTATAATAGGTTTCACTGGATTCAGGATGGAGGTTAATTCCTCAGTGTCAAGGCAAAAAAAAAAAAAAAAACTTGGAGTCACAGAGGCAGTGAAATGTAAGTTGGAATTCGAAGAATGATTAGGAATTGTATAGTTTAAAATGTTTTCTGCATTGAGAATACTTTGAGAAATTATTTAATTGGAAAGATCATTCAGGCCAAAAAAGGTAAGAAAAGACCTAAAACTGGAGAAGGCCAAGTACCATATTCAGGAAACAGAGCTAATGCAGTCTTTTTGATTACAGGTCAATTTTATGTATTGATCCACACACTAAGCCCCACAACAATATGTGAAATAAAAATAATTTATCTCCATCACTCAAATTAAAAAAAAGAAAATGACAAGGCTGCATGACATAGTAGATAACTTAGGGCCAAAGGTATTCATCTTTAATGTGCATACTATTATCAGTACTATGAGCAGCCTTAACAGAATAAAGGGGGACGTGTGGGGAAAAGTGGGAATGTGGAAGAGGGTTTCCTTCATGAATGTGAGAGCCATATGCTGGGGTATAATTACAGAAAGGACTGGCCATGGATACGATGGGGATTCTAGAAGCTGACTGCCTCGGGTACATTCCTGACATACCTTTTGCTCTTGTGTAATCTTTGGTAAGTGGTTTAACCTCCCTAGACCTCATTTTATCAACTATAAATTTGAAGTGATGATATTAATAACTATCTCCAAGAGCTATTTTGAGAATTAAATAAGAAGCATAAAATGCTCAGCACAATGCCTGTAACTTTCTCAGAGATTAATACCTATTAATCATCATTAGATTTAAAACTCTGGTATCATCATTATTATTACAACCTATTTATTGTACAATGAATAATAGAACTCTACTAAGTTTAGTGTTGCCTTAGAAAACTCAAATGTGGGGCGACTTTAGTTAGGTGAGGAATCCCAGGAGCATCCCAAACCCCAATGGTCTGATGCTTAAGACATTTAGGCATCAAGTTAGCTCTATTCTATTTGTAGCTCCAGGAATCCAGAGAGCTTTCTCATTAATAACACCTGATGATTCCTATACCCAATTACACCATATATTTAATTCTTCCTTGTAGTGAAGTTACTTCAAAAGTGTGGTTGTAGTTAATTATGTAAATATAGTTTGCCTCACTCCCATCCTCACGTAACTGAAAGCTCCCTAGTGGCGTGGACTAGGCTAAATGTGTCTTTGTATACACCTTCATGACTAGGGCATAGTAGAACTTTAACAGTCATTTTTTTTTTTTTTTTTTTTTTTTAACAGTCATTTTTATAATGAGTGCCCTCCTGGGTGAATGGAGAAATTATAGAATTTTAGAAAATCTCCCAAGAGTATCATCATTTTTCACTGATTTTTTTTCCTATTCTCCATAAATAATTATAGAGTTCACTATAGAACCGGAATCTAAGTTCTCTGAGGTCTTGCTGGTCCAGTTTTTAATTCTTAAGAATGGAGCACTCTTAAGGAGCTTTTCATTTTAGCCTATCAAAATAATCAAGCTGTGTTCTTAGTTCAAAGATGATAGGTATGAGTTAGGTGACCTTTCAAGTGATGGGAATTTAAGCATGTCCTTTTTGTCTCAACGAAACTACAGATAGATTCTCCAGCCTCAATGACCCTATTATCTAACACAGGAAAAGTGTCAGAATAGGTCATTTTTTGACAGAGGAATAGAAATGGGAAGAGAGCATTGTGAGTGAAGGAAGGAGATTTGAGAACACAGATTTATTATTTTTGCTCTCTGTAACTGGATAGAATGAACTTTGAAAAGGAATGTAAAATTGCCACCCTTTACAAAGTATTTTCACAGATACTTCACTTAAGCATCTGACAGGATTATAAAACAGGTTATCTTTATTATTTTCCTATTACAGCATAGATTCTAAAGCATTATGCTATTCCATTTTGTCTGAAAATAGGTGGTCAGAAAAATGACCAACAAATTAATGGTAAGATCAGCAAACTCTCAGTAATACTGCGTGTGTTGCAGATCTTTGAAATAGCAGAATGCCATTTTGTTTTACTTTTGAATGTCCTTTGTAAGTGATTTACCTTTTAATTGGTGGTATTTTGATTATAAGAGTACATTAGAAGATTGTTACTTTCTGATAGTAATGTATTTTATTTTTTGAAGAGGACTGGGAATTCTTTCTGATTTATTACATTCTGGAAGTCTGATAGGTCTTATAGCAAACAACTATAATTTCACAAAGATAATGAGCTACTCTAGTTTATCTTCTGAACCATTTGTAAAATGTGTCTTTATGGTAAAGTGTTCATCCTAAAACCTGCTCAAATGTAAAAATAATGCCTTAAAATAATGTTTTGTTTTCAATGGAAACTTTAAGTGAATTCATCATGATTAATTCAGAAAGAAAGTAGAAAAATATCAATATCTAGCTTTTGAATGATCAATTTAATGATTCTAACCTTTTTGGGAAATTAATATTTGAATTGATTTGGGGGAGGAATTCTGTTTTAATCTCGATTTTAACATTGCTTTAACATTATCGAAGATAGATATGCACCAAAACTGACAGTAACCAGATCAATTAGGATTTTGTGTGCAGTAAATAATAAAACTCCTGGTTCAAAGTTGCTTAAACTGTAAGGGAATTTATAATTTCACTGTGGTCTACCTAGGTTGCAAAAACAGACACTACTGTTCCACAGTCTTTATCCATGCCCCTTGCAATTTGACTTGGTAGTTGCTCCCATAAGAAAGTGAAATATATTTCCTGACCTCTTGAGTCAAACCTGCTTTGGCCAAAATAACGTAGCATAAATGAAATTGTGCCAGTTTGAAGCACAGGCCTCAAGAGGTCTTGAAAACTTCTGCTTGCTTTTTGGGAATTTTGCCTCTGCCATGTGAACAAGCTTGGATAAGACCCTGGGAGGACGAGAGGTGGTGTTGACAAGAGCCAAATCACTGCATTTGTTCTAGGCAAGGTTTCGAGAATGAGAGAGAGTTTAGTGAAGACCAGCAACACCTGACTCACTACTGACTACAGGTAATTGCTGACTGAAACTAGAACCACCAAACTGAGCCTAGCAAAAATGGCTCACAATGTAACTTCATGCTGAATAAATAGTTTCAATTTTAAATCACTGAGTTTGGGGGAGGTTTGTTATGCAGCTTTAGCTAACGGACAAGTTCATACACCTGGAAATCAAGAAGCCGAGTAAGCTTCAGAGTGGATTGATACAGTTGATACAGTTTGAAAAGATCATCAAGGAGTCAGATTCTTTATATCTTTTTTTCCTCATCCATTTTCTGTGTTAGTTTTCTTACTAAGTATCAGCTGTTTCTGGTATGTCATCAACAAGGACATAGTTACGAGAAAGTTTCTTATGTCCTCTCTTCTTTGCAAAGACAAAAGCTCTTCAATTGTGTCAGAGTAATATATCCATGCAGAAATTTCCTATCACCATTCCTAAGGAAACTTACATGTTTTTAAAATCCTGTGACCCAGGAAATATCAGTAGAGAAATTGGGGAAATGGAAGAAAAGAAAAAAATTACAATTTTCATGCAAGGATTAAAACTAATGCCAACATTGAGATGTTACTGGTGAGAAGAAATCTGCTGAAGGTAAATCAAAAGCAAGAGAAGAAAATGCTGACATGTGGCATCAAAGTTAAGGCAAACGTTTTGGGGATCTGAGACAGTAGTATCAAGGCCAGAAGTGGTCACCATCAACCTAATCTGTCTTGCCTGTAGCTGTTGCTGTGTTATAAATGTATATTTCTAGTGTTGTGTGCAGCTAGCAATGAGCCATTCTTAAAAACAAAATAAATATTAATAAGTGCACATGTAAACTTTATTCACATTCTATGAATGTTATTCCAAAAAAAAAGTTTTACCAAAATAATCTTGTCAGAGGATTAAGTGAAGTATCTGGGAATTTATTTGGCATCCATAGAAGTTTATCTTACTAATCCTAAAATGTTTTTAGTGGATTCTTCAAGGTATTCACATGCAAATAGATGCAATTTTATCTATGGAGTTTTGCTTTTGTCACCCAGGCTGGAGTGCAGTGGTGTAATCTCAGCTCACTGCAACATCATCAGCCTCCCAGGTTCAAACGTTTCTCCTGCCTCAGCCTCCCTAGTAGCTGGGATTACACGCGTGCACCACCATGTCCGAGTGATTTTCCTTTTCTTTTTGTTTTTTTTTTCTTTTTTTTTTAGTAGAGACAGGGTTTCACCATGTTGGCCAGGCTGGTCTCGAACTCCTGACCTCAGATGATCCTCCCACCTTGGCCTCCCAAAGTGCTGGGATAACAAACGTGAGCAACTATGTCCGGCCTGTGTATTCCTTTTTGACAGTAGTAGTTTATGTGTTATTGCATAAGTCAGAACTTCTCAAGTATTATGCAGACCAAAATAATAAAAAAACAGTAATGGTTAAACTAGGAATTGAAAAAAAATTCTCATTAAAATGTAATTGTCTCTAATATTTCACTACTATTTATGATATTTTCACTTAAAGAAACTTAAAACACTGGTTCCTTAAAAATAGCTATAACTAGTATCTTCCATAATGTTTTCATTGCCCCACATATAAAATAAGATCTTTTGTAGAATGTTAATTAAAAGTTACAATACCATGGAATTATTTTTCCTTTTAAAAAAACATTATATCAAAAAAGAACAAAATTATATTCTATTCTTTGCAGCAACATGGATGCAGCTGCAGGCCATTATCTTAAGCAAACTAACACAAGCAAAAATCCAAATACCACATGTCCTCACTTATAAGTGGAAGCTAAACACTGGGTACACATTGACATAAAGATAGAAGCAATAGACACTGGGGACCACATGATTGGGGAGGTGGGAGAGTGTCAAGGGTTGAAAATTTACCTGTTGAATACTATGCTCATTTCCTGGGTGAGGGGTTCAATTGTACTCCAAACCTCAGCATCATGCAATATACCTTTGTAACAAACCTGCACATGTCCTTGTACCCTTAAATCTAAAAGAAAATTTGAAAAAAAATTATATCAACAATATTTTAAAAACATTTTATAGGCCAGGAAAGGTGGCTCACGCCTGTAATCCCAGCTACTTGGGAGGCCGAGGCAGGCGGATCATGAGGTCAGAAGATAGAGACCATCCTGGCTAATATGGTGAAACCCTGTCTCTACTAAAAAATACAAAAAAAAAATTAGCTGGGTATGGTGTCACGTGCCTGTAGTCCCAGCTAGTTGGGAGGCTGAGGCAGGAGAATCACTTGAACCTGGGAGGCGGAGGCTGCAGTGAGCTGAGATCACTCCACGACAGAGTGAGACTCCATCTCAAGCAAAACAAAACAACACCCAAAAAACAAACAAACAAAATAAATGTTTCAAAAATTTAAAAAAAGTAATGTTTCAAAAATAGAGAAAAGGGTAATGGAGCAGTATACATACCTAACATTTAGACTGAAGAATTATGATTATTTTGCCTTTTTGATTTGTCTATTGTGTGTATGTATTTTAATCAAATCCAAGCCAAATGGCATTTTACCCCTAAATGCTCTAGTTGAATCTCTGAAAAAAAGACAAGTAGCATTTTACACATAATCACAACACTAACTCTTATATATTATGATTAACACTAATTCTTTCCGATCAAATTTCCTAGTTGTCATACAATGACTTCTTATAGTTGGCTTTTAAAACAGGATCCAAATGCAATCCAAACATTGGAGATATCTATATATCTCTATCTATCTATCTATCTATCTATCTATCTATCTATCTATCTATCTATATATCTTAGATGTCTCTTTTCTCAGTAATCAAAAAACTTTTAACTGTAGTGAGGTAAATTACAAGCATTACTAACTGCTTAGTTTAAATAAGGCCAACTAGTTAGAATCCCTGTAGAATGATGCTTGAAATAATATTATTTTTTCTGCCAAGATATGCCAACCAGCCAACTAATTAACAAACCAACCAATTAGGCAGCCAACTAACAAACCAACAGAATCTGCTGGGGATATAAAAATCAAAGTGGTAATGCAAAGTTTTGAAATGAGTAGGATGTAATGGAAATTCTGCCTAACTTTGCACACTAATGATTTAGTTGCAAAGATGAAAAATAAAGATGTTGTATTCAGAATTCATTTTGAAAATTCTGATTTTAAAATAATACCATAATTTTATTCACAGAAAAGCTATTTTATATAAAAATATGCCAGTATATCTTGTTTCCATATTAAATAGGGATGCTTAAGTAAAAAATAAACTAAAAAGGCCAGGTACAATTGCTCACACCTGTAAGTTCAGTGTTTTGGGAGGCCAAGACAAGAGGATAGCCTGAGCCCAGTTTGAGATTGTAGTGAGCTATATGGCACCACTGCACTCCAGCCTGGGTGACAGAGTGAAACCCTGTCTCTAAAAACAAAAACTAAAAAATCTCAGCATTTTGGTGCAATCTGATATGGGTCAAACATTTCAAGAAAAATAAATTCCTGACCAATGCAACTCAGGAATGTATACATTAAAATTCTCAATAAAATATTTAAAAATTAGTCCACCACATGTAATTTATCCTAGGAAGAAAAATTGATATAACAGGTAATGAAACAATGTAATCAATCAATACAGTACAGAAATCAATCAAAAAGAAAAATTATATGATAATTTCAATGGGTGAAGACACAAGTAGGGAAGGGAAGCTGAGTCTTTGTATCTCAGAAAATAACAGGATTTACCCTTTTTTGTTTTTTTTTGAGATGGAGTCTCGCTCTGTCGCCCAGGCTGGAGTGCAGTGGTGCGATCTCTGCTCACTGCAAGCTCCGCCTCCTGGGTTCACGCCATTCTCCTGCCTCAGCCTCCCAAGTAGCTGGGACTACAGGCAGCTACCACCACGCCCGCCTAATTTTTTTGTATTTTTAGTAGAGACAGGGTTTCACCGTGTTAGCCAGGATGGTCTCAATCTCCTGACCTCGTGATCCGCCCGCCTCGGCCTCCCAAAGTGCTGGCATTACAGGTGTGAGCCATGCACCCGGCGGATTTACCCTATTTTTTTTTTTTAATCATTTCTGATAGTCTAAGAGCTCTAAAGCCACAAAGCTGGAAAAACGATTCTTACCCACCCTTCTGTCATGAAAGTTCAAGAAATTTATTTCATTTAAATACAAGCAGCAAATAACAATTAGCATGTTCAGGGAATACAGACAGAAGCTAAACTGCAGAAGTTGTTAGCATATTAATGTTTTTCCCTGATATAGTCATCTGTTGATTGCCTTGGGCATACACCATAAAATTCTAGAGCTATTATTATAATGAAGAATTAAATGATTGTGGAGGTCAATGCTAACATTTCCTCTTACTGTGCTTAGTAGATAACATTTTTTTTTTCATCTTAAAAGATCCTACTATGCCTTTTCAGGTACACTGATGTACCCGAATTAGAAAGTGGAATCGAGGCCGGGTGCGGTGGCTCATGCCCGTAATCTGGGCACTTTGTGAGGCCGAGGCGGGCAGTCACCTGAGGTCAGGAGTTCGAGACCAGCCTGACCAATATGATGAAACCCCGTCTCTACTAAAACTACAAAAATTAGCCAGGTGTGGTGGCATGTGCCTGTAATCTCAGCTACTGGGGAGGCTGAGACAGGAGAATCTCTTGAATCCCAGAGGTGGAGGTTGCAGTGAGCCAAGATTGCACCATTACACTCCCACCTGGGCAACAGGAGCAGAACTCCATCTCAAAAAAAAAAAAAAAAAAAAAAGGCCGGGCACGGTGGCTCACGCCTGTTATCCCAGCACTTTGGGAGGCCAAGGCAGGCAGATCACCTGAGGTCAGGAGTTTGAGACCAGCCTGCCCAACACGGCAAAACCCTGTCTCTACTAAAAACACAAAAAATTAGCTGGGCGTGATGGCAGATGCCTGTTATCCTAGCTACTCAGGAGGCTGAGGCAGGAGAATGGCTTGAACCTGGGAGGCGGAGGTTGCAGTGAGCCGAGATCACGTCACTGCACAGTCTCGTGGGTGACACAGTCTCGCTCTGTTTCAAAAAAAAAAAAAAAAGTGGAATCCATATTAATAGTTTTGAAATTAGATTTTATTTTTCACTCCAAGAAACATGGAAATCCAACTTTATAGCATACTTTAACAGTAACAATGGGGTTTGATATCCCTTGAAATACCTTTCTTAGAGGCTGGGCATTGTATTTTTATTCTACTGGAAGGTCTGAATTTACAACATGAAGACCATTTCAAGGCTGGGCGCAGTGGCTCATGCCTGTAATCCCAGCACTTTGGGAGACCCAGGCGGGTGGATCACCTGAGGTCAGGAGTTCAAAACCAGCCTGCCCAACGTGGCGAAATCCTGTCTCTACTAAAAATTCAAAAATTAGCCTGGCGTGGTGTTGCGCACCTGTAGTCTCAGCTACTCAGGAGGCCAAGACAGGAGAATTGCTTGAACCTGAGAGGCGGAGCCTGCAGTGAGCTGAGATTGGGCCACTGCATTCCAGCCTGGGTGACAGAGCAAGACTGTTTCAGAAAAACAAACAAACAAACAAACAAAAAAACCATTTCACAGTCAACAAAAGTTAGCACTGAGCGGTATTAAAAATTATCGTTTTGGCTGTCCATCAAATTTTTCTAACTGGACTCATTGACTAGGCTTTTCTCTATAATAAACATGCAATCCCAGTGGCATATAACACTCAGATCTCTAGACTGGCTGAAGTTGGGCTGACCAAGTTTAACTTCACACTGTCAGGTAGCATGGGTCTGCTTATTACTTTCAGTAGGTTAGCTCAGCAGCTCTGTTTCATGCATCTTGTTTAACTAGCCAGCTAACTGAATATGTTCTTCTCACAGCAATGGCAGAGGCAGAAGAACCTAATGAAAATCAACAAATCATGTAGTCAAAGCAACCTTCAAACGGGCAGAAAAATACTTTGTTCACAATGGGGCCAACCTCCAGGTGTAGATGAGGAAGGCACAGAAAATGCAGCCAATAATTTAATCTGATAAAAATTAAAGTCATTTTCCCAATAGCACACTGATCACAGATACTAAAGTATTAGTCTTTCTCTCTGGTATGTTTAAAATACTTGGTTCCAGGAATGCCTTATGGATAGGAACCACTTAAAAAGCACAAGCTCAAATGGCATATTACATAGAATATTGTTCCCCTATTTAAATTTGCTGACCTTGCATGTCTAGATTCAACTTCTAATCCTGTCACTAGTTACCTCTATGATTTAGGACAATGATTCTCAAATGTTAACATGCATCAGAGTCACCTGATCGGCTTGTTAAAACAAGATTACTGGGCCCCAGTTCCAACAGCGGATTCAAGAGGTTTGGTGGAGCTTATGCTGCTAGATCAGCTGCCACCTTTTGAGAAATATTTATTTAATGCATCCCAAAAATGAATCACTAATAATCATCTGATAATTGGTTTCTGTTTTAGGAGTCCCCAGGATTTCTTTCTCTTTACTTCTTTCAATTTTGAAGATAAATGGTTTTCCTGACCCTGTCCTACTTGCTCCATCTTTTATTCATAGACACCAATAAATCTGAGGGGATTTTTTACTTCAGCTGACTTGGGTTTTTTACAAGTGGTGGTTCTCAAGCTTTTATGAATATCAGATGAGCTTGTTTGCCTCATCACCTAATTGAGCACTAAGAGAGGAATCTGCCTTCCTATTAATTAAAAGCTTCCAGTATTTAAATGCATCAATATAAATGTGATTCATTTCAGCAAACAGGTATTCAGTCCCTACTCTAACACCCTCAGGTAAATGAGAAAACAGTAGAATTAAGAAAAGGTCTCTACTAATCTTTGTATTTTTTTAGTGAATTCCCTACAGCAGCAGACATCTATTACCAGAGACTATCGAAGATATAATAAAAGTAAAAACCATTCATTTCCTCAGATGCATTTAGGAGATGGCAAAGGCCAGAGCTGGTAAACATGATAATTTTTTAAAAGAAGTGTGAAAATGCAAATTGAAGAGCATGGAAATGGCAGTGATAGGAATCCGTTCACATCTTGCTACTGCTGCTCAGATAACAAAACAAAAAACAAAAAGCAAGTTTATTTAGGAGCTGAATACTCTTCTAAATTAACAGGGCTTTTTAAAAAGAGTATTTTCCATCTTGATGTTTTGATCCTCTTTGCATAACGTAACTAAATCTAATATTCAGGGACTGTAAGAATAGCAAATGTAATCCATTGTACAAATGAACTTATCAGGATATTGGAAACATGTTTTCAATATTGCAAACTCAGTAACAAAGATAGGACTAAAATAATTGATTTGTGATTCCTTCTGTCATTCCAGGACTCATATGCTGAGCAAAATTTTCCATTTCTCTCCTTCAGTGAAAAACGAAGATTTTTTAAAATACTAAAGCAGGACGTCATTAACCAATAGTGCAAATGAAAACATAGGGAACATTTAAAAAAGTCCAGTTCTTTTTTCTTCTTGCTGCAAGCATTATTAGCATAGCTATCCATGAAAGTAGTCTGATTTTGCCTATTTATTTTAGTTTTGCCTCTATATTCTTATTAATTACTGCTGCACACATTTTCAAGGTAGTTATAACTGAGTGTTAAAAATAACAATCTACATTTGTAAGGCAAATCCACCCAAGGAAAAAGAAAAAAACAATGATTATTTCTCTCCTTTGATGAACATCCTCCCTTTTCCCAGCTGCTCCCTTCCTTCAGCCTCTGGTAGCCATCATTTCATTTTTTATTTCCATGAGTTCAACTTTTTTAGATTCCACATATAAATGATATTATGAGGTGTTTGTCTTTCTGTGCCTGGCTTATTCCACTTAACATAATGTTCTCCAGGTTCATCCATGTTGTTGCAAATGACAAGATTTCTGCTTTTTAAAGGCTGAATAGTATTCCTTGTATATATGTCTTAGTCTGTTCTTGCTGCTATAACAAAATACTATTGGACTGGGAATTATAAATATTAGAAATTTATTTATTGGACTGGGTAATCTATAATAATTAGAAATTTATTTATCGCAATTTTGGAAGTCAGGACGTCCAACATCAAGGCTCCGGTAAGCTCAGTGTTTGGTGAGGGCTGTTCGTTCCATCAATGCTGTCTTCTCATGGTGGCATCTTCACATGACAGAAGAGGGGAAGGGCAGATAGAGAGGGAGCTCTTTGAGCTCTCTTTTATAATGTAACTGAATTAATCTCACTCATGAGAGCAGAATCCTTATCACTTAATCACTTCCCAAATGCTCCACCTCTTAAGACCACCAGATTGGCAATTGTTTCAATATGTGAATTTGCGGGGACACATTCGGACTATGGCTATATATATATATATATATATATATATATATATATATGGTATTTTATATATATAATTTATAGTCTGTGTGTGTGTATATATATATGTTATATATATGTTATGTATATATACACCATATTTTCATTATCCACTCATTTGTTAATATACACAATTATTATTTGCCACTTGAAAATAAAGTGTAAAAAACCACAATGACTCTTTCAGATAATACAGAGACAGGGAACTTACTAATGCTCCAATTTCAGAATCAAGAAGAAAAAATGTACAATTTGTTTTACAGTTGAAAGAAAACATTTAAGACCTAAAAGATTAGTGACTGAAAAGTCATTAAAGCTATTTTAACTCAGTGATATTAATTTATAAATGAGAATAATCAAAGCTTACAAAGGAAAAAAATGATCACATAGTCGATTTGTTCTTTATTTGAAACTTACCTCACAGGCTGCTGCATGAACTAAATGTAACAGAAAACCCCTTAATATTTTCTATATCTCCAGGCCAGTAAGGGATGTAAATATGAAATGAGAACAGCGTTAACCCTGGAACCTTCTCTCTAGTAGGCAAATTAAAACATAAAAATGATGTTTGTGTGCCCTTTCACAGTGAATACAACAAATGACCATAGTACAGAATATAGTCAAGAAAACATTTTCGAAAAGTTACAAACAATATGTTATTTGGCTGTGATGTAAATGATATTCATTTGCTGGGTATGGAGTTGAGGGGATCTTAGAAATACTGGGGAAAGGGCTTTGGAGATTCCCTATATGTGTATCAGATTTGGGGAAAACATTTTAAAGGAAAGTGTCAGCAAAACTACAGATGCAAAACTTTGGGGCATGTACACAAAAAGAAGATACTTTCATACGGATTTTATATAAAGGAGTAGTGAGAGACAGTCTTTAAAATTAAACAGGATCTTGACAAGCAGACCAAAGAGTTTGGAGTTTATAAAGTCTCTCTCTTGCATCTCTCCATCTCACTGATTGTAATGCCATTCTTAAATTGGGCATAATAAATTTCACTTAAGCATTCAATCAACTCATTTGTTCTTTCTTTAGATTTTCATGGTAATGTTCAAAATTATTTAAAATCTAGCCATTTGATAAGAATTCTGTGAAGAGCTCTAAGTCAGGTTATGAGAACACAGAGATGTATACAATATGGCTCCTTTCTTTGAAGAAACTGCAGTTAAGTGGGACGGAGAGCTGTGTAAGCAAATAGTTCAAATACAAATTAATAAAAGCTGAAATGTAGCTTTGCATAAGGCAGCTGGGAAACCATTTTTCCTGAAAGACTTCCCAGAGAAAGTTACATCTAATCTAATGCTTAAAGAAGAAGGAGTTTTCCAGTTGGATAAAGAGGAGGAAGAATATTCCAACACAGCATTTATAAAGGGCAAGAGGCAAAGGCTGAGTGAAATTAGGACAGGCAATTGTAACGATCACAACTATTTAAATACTATTAGGGAAGACGTGCTAGGAATACTGCTCTTATCCATAGGATTCTTTTTCCTCTAAAGGTCTCTGAAGGAAAGAAATGCGCAAGGAAACAAAGAATGCTACACACACACTTTCTGATTAACGGGGCCTTTGACTCCACACTCCAGGACTCTGTTTTTGTTCTGTATCACACATCCTGAGTAGTTCCTTTATCTGACCTAGAGGACAAACCTCTTTTCTTCCCAATAAATTCAAACCACAGTGTTAGAATTTACCAACTCCTTGAGATAAAATATCATTTCTGCTTTCACTAGAGGAATGGAAGAGAGAGCTATAGAAAGCCTAAAGTTAGGCCTTCTGCCCACAGCTCAGCATTGAGCGGGCTGATACAGTTCCCTCTGGGCTTTGCAGACAGGTGAGTGAGCCTCAGCCTGGATGGACACAGGGTGGGGAGAGAAACCCATTAGAGAGAGGGGAGGCCTGTTTACTAGGAGCCCAGGTCTCCTGGTGTAGCTACATACCATATAGGAACTAAAAAACATTAGAGTTGA
Organism: Homo sapiens; assembly: GCF_000001405.40. NCBI lineage: Eukaryota > Metazoa > Chordata > Mammalia > Primates > Hominidae > Homo > Homo sapiens. The sequence continues at coordinate 191,869,812 of NC_000003.12, read as the reverse complement.
TAATTGTTGGAATTGACCTGTTCTATACTTATTCTGAAATGATCATATTTGTATTTGAGAAAGAAAACTCAGGTGCTAATGTGGAAGTTGAATAGTTATAAAAGTATAGCTAAGTCACAGGGACCTCTGTAAGAAACATTTCAAGCTTTTTATAATGCCAGAGTCTGGTTTGTGTCTCTGGGTATTGTTAGCCCTATATAACCCCATGAGCATATTGAAAAATCCAGCACAAATTGCTATGAGACCATCATGCCACAGCTAATTTAGTGCATTACAAATATTAAATTTCTGCAAAACACATCAACATTTACTGTAAATATATCTTTGTAGAGAGCCTTAAAAATTCAATTGGTCATGATCTGATTTGTTTTTATTACTTAGCTGAATGTTCTCAATTTGAGTACGTTTGAAAATTAGAATAAACATTTACTTCTTATTTGGCTTTAGTAAAAAATTAAGTCCATTATTTGTTTGCCAAAGATCCATTATTAAATAATAAACATTTAATATGAGATCAATAGAGTCCACTCCTATGCCAATTTTAGTCAGTTAATTGAGACTTCCTGCCAAGCTGAAGAATTGTGGATTTATTTCCTTTTCAAGGGAAGCATTTGACAGGAGTCCTAAATTATAAGATTTGTTTATCAACTCTGCTTCAGCACTGTGAATTCCCAGGTTAGATTTATTGTTTGCATGGAAATTTTATTTAGATATTTTCATTATTTCTTAGATTGTACAGAATGGTTTTAGCTCTAATTTGAAGTATTTGGGATGTTTGTCAAATACCTTAACATCTATCTACTCTTAACGATTTCTTTTTTTAACTGAGATATAATATTGACCTTTTAGTAGTGCACAATTCAGTTATGTCTAGTACTCCAAAAGTTGTGTAATAACCATTATCTAATTTCGGAGCATTTTCATCATCCTGAAAAGAAACCTGTTCCCATTAGCAGTCATTATTCGTTTGTCCCTCTCCCCAGCCCCGAAGGTGGCTGTACTAGTTTACAATCCTACCAGCAATGTATAAGGTTCCAATTTTTCCACATTCTCACCAACACCTGTTATTGTCTGTCTTTTTTATTATAACTATCCTAGTAAGTGTGAAGTAGCATCTCATCATGGTTTTTCCCTAATGGGGACTAATGTTGAGCATCTTTTCATGTGCTTATTAGTCATTTTTGTCTTACCGTCTTTGGCAAAATGTCTACTCAAATCTTTGACCAGTTTTTAATCGGATTATTTGTCTTTTAGTATTGAGTTCTTTATATATTCCATGTACTAGGTCCTTATTAAATACATAGTTTTAAAACGTTTATCCTCCGATTTCTATTTTATGGCCAGATTTGTTGTCAAATTTATTTATAAATTTAATGGTACCTTTCAGCTTCTAATATTTCTTGGCAGAATTAATGACTCTCAGGCTTTAAAATACCCATGACAATATTACCATTCTAAAATAGTAGCTGCCATCATAGTTATTATGTGTGTATGTGTAAATATTGTTAAATTGTTAAGCAACGTGATCTAGGGGTAATCAATGAACAGAATTTGCATTGTACCGTTGAGGAATTTGCATCTTGATTACACTTACCCATTAACATTTTGTCAGTCAGAATTTTGTCTTTATATAAAGTCAATTACAAGATAAGTACAGGAGAGAGTCAAGTGCTAATCATCATTTTTTAAATTGAAAAATAAACAAATTTTAAAAGTTATCCAACCTAAATGTAAAGACTTTTAGCAAGTATTCAAATGCCCACATCAAATATTAAATAGTTAATTTTTCTAGAAATGTTCCAGTTTATTAATTGACTGTATTACAAAGGAACATTTATGCCTGCCTCCTAAAATAAAACTTTTGGTGACTACCTTGTTCTTTGAATGGTCTAAAAGGTGATGGTCCATAAATATGGATTGTCAAATCTTGTGGGTAAGAAAACACAAACCACAGTGATTCATTGGAATCGCTTTTGATTATGTTTATACCCTTGGAAAATAAGTTAAAAATAACAAATCTTACATATATTATGTGTCTATTTATTTTAGAGACAGGGTCTCACTCTGTCGCTCAGGCTGGAGTACAGTGGCTGCATCATAGCTTACTACAGCCTTGAGCTCCTGGGCTCAAGCAATCCCCCAGCCTTAGCTTGCTGAGTAGCTAAGATTATAGGTGCAAACCACCATTCGCAGCTAATTTTTATTTTATTTTATATTTTTAGAGACAGGGTCTCGCTGTTTCCCAGAGTGGTATGAAAATGCTGGCCTCAAGTGATCCTCCTGCTGTGGCCTGCCAAAACACTGAGTTTACAAGCATGAGCCACCATACTTGGCCATGTTATTTAATTCAAAGTTCAATACATTGATTGAAGAATAACCTACGCAGAGAATCTTGAGTTGATCATCTTAGTGTATAGTTGTAAATTTGGGCTTCATATAACTAGGTGGTTGGTTCTACTGACAAATTTCCATCTTCCTCTGGTACTTGACTATATACCTACCTATACATATTACTTCTCTTAGACGATAGTACAACTAGTGCTCAAATAAGAATAAGAATAACTCAAATAATGGAGAATGGACATGGTAGAGGAAAGTTGTATGAATAGTTTGGTTATGTGAAATTTGTTTTGGAATGTTTCTGTAATGATAATCAGTGTTATATAATTCAATTCCTTGTTTCATAATGTTGGACACTACTTCAGTAGGAAAATGCTTTTAGTGTTAAATCAACAAAGTAGTACTCTTTAATACAGAGAAACAGCAAAAGAATTTCTATCAAAATATTCCATTTAATGTGTAATATAATATTTAATTACTTATTAATGTTTGATCTGCTGATTATACATTATACATTATCTGTTGTTTTAGACAGCGTCTCACTCTGTCACCCAGGCTGGAGTGCAGTGGCACGATCTCTGCTCACTGCAACCTCCACCTCCTGGGTTTAAGCAATTCTCCTGCTTCGGCCTCCCAGCTAATTTTTTTTTTATTTTTAGTAGAGACGGGGTTTCACCATGTTGGCCAGGCTGGTCTCAAACTCCTGACCTCAGGTGATCCACCCGCCTTGGGTTCCCAGAGTACTGGGATTACAGGCATGAGCCACCCCACCTGGCCGGAAATCTTTAAAATATGTGACAGGTGTCATATTAACGGTGAATTTTTGAAAGCTTTTCTTCTAAAATAATAATGTCTGTGATAAACACCACTTTTTAACACTTGGCTGGATGTTCTAATGACTACAACCAGAAAAGGAAATAAAAGGCATAAACATTAAAAAAGAGGAAAATATTGTCATTATTTACACATGACGTATTTTGTATGTATAAACTCTAAACAGTCTACAAACTAAGTATTTAAATTAATGAATAAATTCAGTAAGGTTCCTGGACAGAAAGTCAAGTGAAGTTAATTGCATTTAAATACAGTGGCAAATATTTTTAAAAATTAAGAAATTGATACTATTTATAAAAGGATAAATATAAGATTTTTACCAGAAAACTACAAAATAGTGGAGACAAAAATTAAAGGATTCCTAAAGAAATATAGTGAAATATCATGTTCAAAGATTGGAAGACATAATTTATAAAAATATCAAATCCCCACAAATTGATCTATGTATGAAAAATGAAATATCAATCAGAAACATAGAATCTTAGAAATTAATTTTTAGTTGGGGGAGGGTGATTAAAAGCTGGTTTTAAAATTTATAAGGAATCATAAATGACAAAGATTTGTAAGGCAATTTTTAAGAAAAACAGATTTGGAGAATTAGCACTAATGGATATCAATACTAATTATAAAATTATAGTAATAGAATAGAGTCCAGAATCTTATATATGAATATTAATGTATATTTATATATTATATTATTATATATTATAAATTAATTATATTGTATATATGAATACATATATATTTTATATTTTAATAATATATAGATTTATATTAAAATATATTAATTATATTGATATAAGATATTAATTATATATTGTATATAATATTGTATAGTATATATTATATATGTATTATAGTGTAATTAATATATTTTACATATATATGGTCACCTGATTTATGATGAAGGTGACACTACAACACAGTGGGGGCAGGGAGATTCTTCTCAGCAAACAGTATTGACAAATTAGATACCCCATCCCATACACAAATATTAAGTTGTGATAGAGCTAACTATAAAACATAGACAATTTAAATATAAAATATAAACAACAACACTTTTAGAAAGAAGCAAAAAAAAAAACTTTGAATTTTTTGATGATTTGAGATAGGCTTTCGTCAATAGGACATACAAAACTTGGTAGCCAAAAAATTAGATGAATAGGACAAATTAAGATTAAGAGCATACATTCATTCAAATACAGCTTTAAGAGAATGAGAAAGAAAGACACAAGGTGTGGAAAACATTTGCAATATACGTATATGTGACAAAAGTCTTATATCTAGACTATATAAAACAAAACAATGATAAAATGCATAGAAGCTAATAGAAAAATGAGGAAAGACCTGAGAAGGCACATTATAATAGAAGACAAACAAAAAGTTGCTCAACATTTAGTCATAAGAGAAATACAAGTTAAAACTAAAATGCTATGCCAATCACAGCTGCCAAAATGGATTAATACGAAGAAAAAAGTACTGAGATTTAGTTAAGTTAGGAACAATGGGAAATCCTATCCACTACTGAGTAGAAGTATAAATGTAAGCACTTTGGAAAACTGACAGCATATAATCCAAGAATTCCATGTCTAGGCCTGTATCCAATGTAAATGCATGTTTATGTTAACTTTTAAAATGTTCATGAATAGTTATTGAAGTGCTCCTTATTGAACTAGCCATCTACATTGTTGTATAGATGGAATACTATACAGTGATGAAAATGACAAATCTTAATTACATATAACACACATGGTTCTCACAAATAAAATGTGAAGCAGAAGAAGCCAAATTTAAAATAGTACGTACTTAAGACTTCCCTTTACACAAAATTGAAAACAGGCATAACTTATCCTTGTTGGAAGTCAGGATAGTTGTTAATTGTGTGTGGTGAAGTCACTGGAAGGGGGAATGAAAGAGGCTTCTCTGGTGCTTGTAATACTGTGTGTCTTAATATGGGTGTTCATTATGATTATGTACCTGTTTTCAGCTTATAAAAAATTAATTGCAGTTTATACTCACAACTTTTCTGCTTTTCTCAATTGTACTTCAACAGAAGTGTAGAATAGAAAATTATCTAGCTGCATGAAGAATTTGTAGCAGAAAAGCTATATATTTATCTGCATAATTTTTACTTTTTGAATTATTTCTTTAGGATAAATGACTGATAAAGAATTTCTAGATAGAAAATGTAAAATATGTAGCAGCTTTCACTGTAATATTACCAGAATATTCTCCATAAATAAAGCCGGATTTCTATCAAATTTACATACACAAAAGGCAATCGTATCTTTGTAGCCTTAACTGTATTTGATCTTAACACTTTTTTTGTTATTCAAAGGAGCCTATTATTTTTAAAATTTCATTTAATTATACTTCAAATATTGACTTACTTTTTGTTTTTTCTTTTGGAGGAATTATCTATACATATCCTTTCACCATAAGTAGGCCAAGAATTTAGCTCCATGTTTAAATGTCAGTCTGCAAAGATATTCCTGCCCTCAACTTCAAACAGAAGGAGTAATGTAACACAGTTTTCAGATAATCGTAAACTAAGAAAGCAATCTAATAGATTCTGTGCTGTGTAATTATTAGTCTCTATCTGCTGAGTCAGAGCTCATTAGAGAAACGTTAGGGGGCTTCATGTCTCTCACTGATTGTATGTGTAACATCTATGAACTGTAATGGGTTTAACGTGGATACAGTCAGGAGAGGTTCAATAGGCAAATTTTAAAATAATCATTTTTGAACTGGAGTGATACACTGCAGGTTTCTCAGTAATGTGGAACTCTTGGGGACCTGATTCATTTAGCCTTTGACTTCATTTAGCACAGTATACCCACAGCAAATCTTTATGGCGTTTTAAGTGTGTTCGCTATCTTGTATTATTGCTTACACAACCAGAGTTATGTTTGCCAGCTCTATTTTTTTTTTTTTAGGCGATAGTATTTTTCAGTTTTTGTCATTGGACTTTGTTCTTAGGCACTTACTTGAATAGGGGAAAAATTGTTTTTACAATTGAAATACATCTCAGGTTTGCCATAAATAATTTTTAAGCAGATGGTTTAAAAAAATTAAATGGAAGTTTCACATTCAAAAAGCATAACTTTCTTTTCTTCATCAGGTCTTTCGCTGGCCGTCTAACTGCTGGGTCTAGATCTTTCGCTGGCCGTCTAATTGCTGGGTCTAGATCTTTCGCTGGCCGTCTAATTGCTGGGTCTAGATCTTTCGCTGGCCGTCTAATTGCTGGGTCTAGATCTTTCGCTGGCCGTCTAATTGCTGGGTCTAGATCTTTCGCTGGCCGTCTAATTGCTGGGTCTAGATCTTTCGCTGGCCGTCTAATTGCTGGGTCTAGATCTTTCGCTGGCCGTCTAATTGCTGGGTCTAGATCTTTCGCTGGCCGTCTAATTGCTGGGTCTAGATCTTTCGCTGGCCGTCTAATTGCTGGGTCTAGATCTTTCGCTGGCCGTCTAATTGCTGGGTCTAGATCTTTCGCTGGCCGTCTAATTGCTGGGTCTAGATCTTTCACTGGCCGTCTAATTGCTGGGTCTCTGGAGTTGATTGAGGAGCGGACTATAAAACTGGGGCCTCTCATGCTGTCAGAAGTATTAATGGCAAATTGTCTTTCTAGTTTTCAGTGTGAGAGTTGATAATTGACCAAGAAAATCGTGATTGCTACGTCCCTCCTCTTGATATTCAGTTTTAAGAAACACAAGCCAATTTTTCAGAGAAATTAAACTAATAGTGTTTTATATTTCAGTTTTGGGAATGAGTTCATAAAAACACTTTGTAAATGTGTAAATATTAAAAGTTCATCCACACTGGGCAGTCATTACAGACTTATAGATTAGTGGTCCTTAAAATTTTTAGTGTGATCAAGATCACCTGTAGGATTTATTACAACAAAGATTTTTGGCCCCACCCCTAAAGTTTTTATTCATTTGGTTTGCATTAGTAACAAGGTCCCAGGGGATGCTGATGCCTCTGGTCAGGAGATTTCACTTCGGCAACCACTGATGTAGATAAAAGCTATAGTTCAATGGCTAGGTGGAGAGGCAACTAGAAACTGTTTCCCTGTAGTTCAGATAACTTCATAGACTCACTTCCATTCTAGAAACTCTACCGGAATGTATCTTTTTGAGGGTCGTGTTATTTTAAGAATAATATTATTTCTATTTTATTTACTGATATGGTTTTACTGTGTCCCCACCCAAATCTCACCTGGAATTGTAATAATCACCAGGTGTCAAGGGTGGGGCCGGGTAGAGCTAATTGAATCATGGGGGCAATTTCCACCATACTGTTCTCATGGTAGTGAATAAATCTCATGAGATCCGTTGGTTTTATAAATGTGAGTTCCCCTGCACACTCTCTCTTGCCCGCTGCCATGGAAGACATGACTTTGCTTCTCCTTTGCCTTCTGCAATGATTGTGAGGCCTCCCCAGCCATGTGGAAATGTGAGTCTATTAAACCTCCTTCCTTTATAAATTACCCAATCTTGGGTATGTCTTTATTAGCAGCATGAGAATGGACTAATCCATTCACAAAATGAGTCATTTACTATGTATTGTATTTTATTGGTAACAAATTTTGCCACATCACAAGTGTGCTTGAGCACGGCAGTTGAGACTGGCTCTCCAGGGGAACAGCTTCTGGTTGCCTCTCCACCCAGCTTTTGCTGCTGTCTTCCTCTGATGCCCCAATCTCAGTTATTCTTCTGACCCCTGCCCTTGTCCTCACATATTCTCCCTGGTGAATGTTCTGAAGTTCTACAGTGTCTATCTGCATGCTCCAGAACCTTCTCTGCAGTCTCTCCAGTGATCACTGCCAAACAGTAGGCCAGTCATTTTTGATACATTCATGTTTCAATTATTAAACACCCAACCCCATCCCCATAACCCCTCCCTACCCTGTTTTTTCTTTTCACACAGCTTCTGTGTCTTTTGATTACCTGGAAATCTTCAAGTAACAGAATTTCAGTGAAAGTGCTAGAGATCACTTCACCACAGTATCTTTATGAGTCTTTTAATGCCATTTTCATGAAAACACTTGGGCAGGGCCTTCTGAAGATGACACAGAAAGCAGGCCAGTCTTTCTTGTGTAGCCCAGTGAAAACACTCTTTTACTCAGCACAGCTTGACCTACATTTTCTGATGCGCCCTGGCCATGGCGTGGTCTTAGGCTTCTCTAGGAAACCAGAGAGGTGTTCATCACCCTGTTGAAGGATCTCACCTCACCTTAAAGAGCAGAGCAAAGGGAAAGCTCCATCCTGCCCCTCACAGGCAGGATGACTTAAAAAAATGTCAAGTCAAGCTTGAATCACATTTTCCAACGCTGGTATTCAGTTTAAGCTCTAATAATGATTCTCAATTAATAACGTAAGTTAATGCAAAAAGGTGATTGTATGCCCAGCTACTTGTTGTTTTAAGTAAGAAAGGTTAAAGCATGCCAGGGCAATGTTATTCTGTCTTCTCTGACAATTTGTCTGAATTTTTATGTACTAAGTTAATTTCAAACTGCACTGAACACATTTTGGCTCTCAGAGGGTTGTCTCTAGTTTTAATCTACTTTAATGCAGTATGCATTGTTTCCTTTAAATTCATGCAGCTTTGTTTACATTTAATAGAGTTTATCTTTAACTCAATTCAGGAAAGCATCCTATGATATCCTGCTGTTTTTGCATCCTGGAATAGCCTTGTCTCTCCCGCCGCAACCCCACTCCTTCTCCATCCGTGGAAAGTCTCATCTTCTGAGGCACAGCTCAGATTCCTGCTCCAATTATTCTTTCCATCCTCATGTCCCTTGGTCTGGTCCCCTACTGGGTGATTTTACATCACTTGGCCTTGTTTGAGTCATTTTTTATTCTCTATCAGTACTTAGTAAGGTGCTTCCCATATAGAGCTGATTAATAATTTATCTTAATAAAAACCACTGATTCATTAAGTAGTTACTAAGTATTAATTATGTCTCTGGTCCTATGCTTTCTCAGTTTATGACTATCCAAAAACTGTGACAGTTTACACCTTATATTTGAAGATAAAGGTGGAGATATCTTTGTAGACTGAAAGAGAAAGAAAACATGGTTGCTCTCTCAGGGAAACTCGTAGTCTATGGAAAGACACAGGTATGCAAACCACAAAGTACAAAACAGGGTAACAGTTTTCTAATAGAGGTAACTCCAGAGTGCTCTGACAGCATTAAAAAAGATCCAAATCTTTAATTCTAGGTAATTGGGGAGGAATTTGCATAGGGGGTGACATATGAGCTGAGTCTTAAAATACAAAAATCACTGGATAGCAGAGGAAAGAAAACATCACCCAGAGTGAATGGCATATACAAATGACAAAGCTGTGAATAGACATGGTAGGTTGGGGAAAGCATAAGTCGTTTATTTCCTGGAGGGTTTCATGCAACAAAGAAAGTTTCAGGAAGTGAATTTGTGCTTCCAGCATTAGCCAAATACGTTTGCCTCCTATTTATGTCTTTCTAAATGTGTAGTCCTCTATAATGGAAGGCAAGGGAGTTAATGAATGTAAAACCACACCTCTACCACTCAAGAAGGTGCTCATGAATTCCATCTCTAAAAACAGAAAAATCAATTAGGCTAGTTGAGATTCAAGGCAGTAGACCTATCTTTCAGAAATATGGCATCATTTCTCCACTTTATTCATACAATTGGCATTTATTGAGAATCAACCATTTACATGACGCTGGATTGATTACTAGGTACAAACACAATTCAATCAACGTAATAGAGGAAAAGACAGACACAAGTAACAATATTATACAATACGTATTATACAACATTGTACAATATTGTACAATAGAATATTTTAAGCATATTCTTATACAGAGAATATGCTTAGTGTGGGAGTGTAGAGTTGAGAATTATGACTCACAGCAAGAGGAATATGGGAGTGCTTCAAAAGGAAGGTAGCAACTTTGGCGAATTTTCCACTAAGGGTAGCATTTGAAATGGGGGAAAGGAATGTTAGCCAGAGAAACTGGAACAAAAACAGTCAGTGAGTTGTAAATGAGTATAATAAGTTTAGCAATCCAGATAGCCCATTTTGATTTGGGAGCTTCTTGCCTAGCCTCTCAGGGCTAATGCACTAGTAAAAAAAAAAAAAAAAAAAAAATAGGAACTTTTTTTCACTAATTAATTTTACAGGGTCTGGAGACTGATGAAATGAAGAGCACCTAAAAGTTCAAATTCAATAATGTCATTCAACCAAAACAGATTAAATAAGCAGCTTCTTTAAAAAGAAAGAAAAAGAAACAGTTGCTGCGAACTTTTTCAGAGCCGCACATAAATTGTTCTCCTCTGTTGGTGCCTTTGAGACATAAATTATTTAAAATAAATTATGGAGATTTATTTTAATAAGACTAAATGAGAACATCATTGCAACAAAGCAGGAGCTTCTTCCATAACTGTCTGCATCAGCATCATTAGAGTTCTGGAGAAGCCATCCTTGGGTAAGCCTTGTTTAAGGCGTTATTTAGTTATGGTTAAGCTTCCTTAGACTTGGAAGCACTGAGGCAATGTCCTGCCAGGTCGGATCAACAGAACACACTGAGTAAGCTGACCTTTGCTGTTCTTTGGAGTGAAGAATATTTATGAAGCTAAATTTTCTCTTAGAGTTCAAAGCCTAGAGCAGAATTGTTACTCAGATTCTGTCACTCAATAGAAAGAATGAGGGCCTGGAATTTGGAGTCAGAAGCTCTGAAATTGAGTTGAAGTCCTACCACTTACAAGCTGACTTTCATCAAGGCACTCAATCTCTCTGAGATTCCATTTCTCCCTTTGAATACAAAAATAACTAATATATGCATTGTCTATGCATTTGCTGTGAGAATGACAAGGTGTAAAAAATCAGTGTTTTATATATTTATAATTTCCCAAATTCGTATTATTACTTTTAGAGTTGGAATCTCAGTAAAGAAGTGTTGCTATAACTAGGGTGAAATAAACTGAGGATTTTCTCATTTTTCCTTTCCTATTACCTGTTAGAATTATCTGCCCAGAGACCCCATTAGACTTTGCTTGTTTATATTCACGTTTTCTTTTTCCTCTCACACTTTCTTCTAAAGAAAAGCAATTTAAAGTGACAGTTTCTCACTCTTAGGCCTTTTGCCATTTCCTCAAAATGCAAAGCTTCTCACATTAGCCCATCTGGTATTTGGAGTAAAATATACACCCCCGTGATGTGCTAATTGTCTGAAGAATGTGGCCTCACAATTGTAATTAGTTCTTTTTACAGTTTCTTCCCCTCATGGATAGTATTTTTGTGAATAAATGATAATGTGGGATTGTCTGTGTCAGAGCAACAGCCCGTTGTTTTCTAGAACATGCATCTCAGAAGCCAAGAGAAGATTAGCCTTCTGTCAAGGGCTGCCACTGTCCTTGTCACTCTATTGCTACACTCTCTGTGGAAGTGATCTCAAATTGTACCCTTAGATAAGATTAGGGAGATCAGCTTCTGAGGTAGAAAGCAATTAACGTACCAAAACATTCTTTCATTGTACCCCCAAAAGACACAAGCTGAATATAAATACATCATTGAAATATTAATGCAGACATAATCAGAACTGTGAATTTAGCATGTCTGAATGTAACTTTTTTTTTTTTTTTGAGACGGAGTCTTGCTCTGTCTCCCAGGCTGGAGTGCAGTGGTGCAATCTCAGCTCACTGCAAGCTCCACCTCCCGGGTTCCCGCCATTCTCTTGCCTCAGCCTCCCGAGTAGCTGGGACTACAGGCGCCCGCCACCACGCCCGGCTAATTTTTTTTTGTATTTTTTAGTAGAGACGGGGTTTCACCATGTTAGCCAGGATGGTCTCGATCTCCTGACTTCGTGATCCACCCGCCTCGGCCTCCCAAAGTCTGAATGTAACTTTTTAAAATCTGGTAATCACATATAGTATTTATATGCTATATATCTTTATGTAACACTCAGTTTTCTTGATGAAAAGGAGTTGATTCTGGCAACAAGCATGCTAAGACTTTGGCAATATTTGGAATGAGAAAGAAGATCTGGGAGTTATTTTTCCAAGGATATTGAGAAACTCATCTCTAACGGCAGCTCGAGGCCAAGGTGCACCAATAAAGGTACTTAAACACAAAACTGCAATGTGTTAAACAGTCTGTTACGGATAAATTTCTAGAGAAATAAGAAATTGTGAGCTAAGGTGGAGGTGGTAGAAATGGAGAGAAATATATCAAAGAGAAATTGGGAAAATAAAATTGACAAATGTGAGAAATGTTTGGATATGGGGGTTGAGGGAGGAAAGATTAAATAGTAAAGGATAATTTCCAGGTTTCATGTTTGAAGTAGTAGGTGGTACTAATAATTCATATGGAGATTATGGTGGAAAATTAATTTTAAAATAGGACAAAAGGTCTATTGATAATTTGAACATTCAACAGGGATATGCCTTTGGAGTTCAGGTAGAAATATCCAGTAGGTAATCGAGTTGTTTGAACTCCCTATATATTTTGGACACTGTGGGAATATAAATTAGTACAGCCATTATGGAAAACAGTATGGATGTGTCTCAAAAAATTAAAAGTAGAACTACCATATGATCCAGCAACTGGGTGCAGTTGCTATGTTATAGTTTTGTGTGTGTGTGTGTGTGTGTGTACATACATACATTTATTTACTTATTTTATAAAGAAATCAGTATGTTGAAGAGATATCTGCCCTCTCATATTTATTGCAGCACTCTTCACAATAGGCAAGATATATAATCACCCTAAGTGTCCATAATGGATGAATGGATAGAGAAAATGTGGTATATTTACACAATGGAATACCATTAGGCCAGAGAAAAAGAAGAAAATCCTGTCCTTTGCAACAACATGGATGAACCTGGAGGGCATGTTAAATGAAACAAGCCAGGCACAGGAAGACAAATGCCATATGATCTCACTCACATGGGAAATCTAAAAATAGTTGATCTCATAGAAATAGAGAGTAGTAGAATGGTGGTTATCAGAGTCTGGGGTGGTACAGGAGGAGGGGGATGTGGAGAAGTTGATCAAAGGATACAAAATTGCAGTTAGCTAGAAGGAATAAGTTCAAGAATACTGTGCAGCCATAAAAAAGAACACAATTATGTCCTTTGCAGCAACATGGATGAAGCAAGAGGCCATTATCCTAAGCAAATTAACAGAGGAACAGAAAACCAAATACCACATGTTTTCTCTTACAAGTGGGAACTAGAAATTGAGTACACATGGACACAAAGAAGGGAACAATAGATACCAAGGACTACTTGAGAGTGGACTGTGGGAGGAGGGTGAGGATTGAAAAACTGCCTATCAAGTGCTATGCTCATTACCTGGGTGATGAAACAATCTGTACACAAAATGGCAGCAACATGCAATTTACCCAGGTAACAAACCTGCACATGTACCCACTGAACCTAAAATAAATATTGGAAAAAAAGATAACCATATGAGATAATGCATATATTAATTAGCTAGATTTAACCATTTCACAATGTATATGTACTTAAAAACATCATGTTTTTACATGATAAATACAATTTTATCTGTCAATTTAAAATAAGTAAATTAAAAAAAATTAAAAATTAAATAAAGAAATACCCAGTAGGCAATCCAGATAGGCAGTTAAGGTATAATTGTATGGAGCTTGGAGAACTATTCAGTCTGAATTTACAGATTTGGGATTCATTTATTTATAGATTCTAATTAAAACTATGAAGTGGGGAGAAGTGAGAAGAGCACAGAAAATGGAAAATACCTCTGAAGGATACCAAGGGTGGGCAGAGTAAGAAAAATTATTGACGGAGTTTTAGAGGGAACGGTTAAGAAAGAAACTGGGTGTTAATGATCTCAATGGAAGAAATAAGTTTTAGGAAGGAAAGATTGGTCAATACTACTGCCAATTTAGACAAATGTTATAGAGTATTCATTGAAATTAGTACTTGGGATGCCTTTGTTGATGCAATGGAAACTATTTGTTTCAATGGAGTGGTTCTGGCACAACTACCAGTGGGCTATGGAATGATTGGGAGAAAAGATTTTTAGAAATGCAATCTGCAAGCACGGATGGCAAGAGAAAGAGAAAAATGTGCTCATTATATGCAGAGAAGGATGTAGGTTCAAAGAGCTTATCGGTTTTCTGGGTGAAGAAGAAAAAAACTTGAGGAGTGATATAGTCAAAGAAAATAATGGAGAAAGAATTGGGAGGTAAAGAGGAGGGAGGAAATAATAAGTGGAACAAGAATTGTACAATGTCAAGAAAGGTTGACATTCAGGTGTTTAAAATTCACATTTATTATGTTTTTTACCTTTTGTTTTAGGTTTAGGGGAACACTTGCAGGTTTTTTTATATAAGTAAATTATGTGCCATGTGGATTTGGTGTGTGAATTATTTCATCATCCAGGTAATAAGTACCTGACTGGTAGGTTTTCAATCCTCTGTCTCCTTCCATCCTCCACACTCAAGGAGTCCCTAGTGTCTGTTTTTCCCCACTTTGTGTCCATGTATTTTCATCATTTAGCTCCCACTTATATGTGAGAACATGAGGTATTTGGTTTCTATTCCTGCATTAGTTTGCTAAGGATAATGGCCTCCAGCTGCATCCGTGTCCTTGATGAAAAGGATATGACTTTTTTGTATGGCTGCGTAGTATTTCATGGTGTGTGTGTACCACATTTTCTTTATCCAGTCTACACATTTAGGTTGATCCCATGTCTTTGTTATTGTGAATATTGCTAATTTTTTATTCTTTTTTTTTTTTTAATTATAGAGACATGGTCTCACTATGTTGCACAGGCTGGTCTCAAATTTCCAGGATTATAGGTGTGAGCCACTGCTCCTGGCTTAAATTCACCTTTAAAATAAAGAGAGGCACCTCCTTCTTCTTAGAGAAGGGAGTGAAGAAGGTAAAGTTTCATTCTACCTAAGTTCAGACAGTTGGATGGGAAATCAAGGCAGTCTCAATGTGTCTGTTCGTGTCTATAGAAGCTTTTATATGCTTGCCTTTTATATACACAAAATTGGCTTTGGGAGGGAAATATGTACAAACTATGGTTTATCAAATTAAAAAAGAATTGTCTTAGTCGTCATATTTTTTAATGTTATCTGTGAACTACATCTAAAGCATTTTCCTGTCCCAGAATCTAAGACTCACGGCCTGAATTAAGCAATTCACAAAATTATAAATTATCTTCTTTTCTTCTAAATCTTTATGGAATTGTTTTCCTTAACACATAAAATACTGGGAATTGAAAATCCAATAGTTTCTGGGTTAGAAGACCTCTCTAGCACATTAAAATGCTATCAGCAGATAACTTTCTAGAGATAAATCTTAACATTTTCAAAAGGAGTAGAGATGCATTTGTTTTCATATCAAGAAGAATGTCCCTTCAGAGAGGACTATTGATTTCAAAAAGAATAATGGCCGACTAAAAATAACAGTAGGGGTGAGAAATGATACTGCTGTAATTTCTTAGTAAACATAAGAAATCAGATTACTCAATTAAGGCCAAATACATCTGATTCTTGCATGCCTTCAGAAGAAACACCTTCTGCCATACATTCAGGACAAAGATTGCACCTTGATCATTTCTAAAGCTCCAGGACCTGGCACAACATCTAGCATAAGAGTAGAGACAGAAAGTGTGGAAAAACATGTAGAAGTAAATACATAATTTGCATTGAAGATAAAATAGAGAAAATAAGTAATAATGAAAGAAAGAAAGAAAACATAGAAGAGTTGAATAAACCGTGGTATATGTCCCCCAAAGAGCCAGAACTCTTGCCTAATCAGATATAAAGGGTCCAGATATGACGGTTTCTGACGGTCAGACCACATCTGGAAGTTATATACAGTTCTGGGTGCCAAAGAGGACCTCACAGAATAGTAAATAGTCTAGAAACCATGTCATGGGAGTTGAAACAATTATAGTTGTGTAATCAGAAGAAGAGAAGAGCAAATACTTATAGAATAATTGTATGGAAGATGGAACTAATTGTTGTGATTTCAAAGGAATGAACAGAATAGGGGTTTTGGTTTCTTTTTTGGAAACTGTAACTACCAAGGGTTGGGTCAATTACCCTATTCAGTTTGTAGCACCTTTCCATCACTGATTTTTACCATGATTCATCCATTTAATTATTCCCTCTATCCTCATAATTGATCTACTCTTACTCTACCCCATAGGCAACCATGTTTCATATGAATTTTTTTCTTTTTATTCTTGAAAAGCATATGTTAAGTGTTATAATATTGTATATTATAGTTCTTAATTTTTTTCAAGCTTAATGATTCTAATATCCATTTGTTATATTATGTATGTACCTAATCCTTTGCTCTTAACTGCTGCATAATACTCCATGGTGGATATCTACCACGCTTTACCTATCTGGTCCCTAAATGATGGGCAACAGGATTGCCTCAAACATCCACCCTTCCTGCTTCCTCATACCACCACTACAAACAAGCCATGAAAAACATTTTTGTATGTGTCCCTTTTTGTACCTATGTGAGAATTTATTTAGATGTGTATTGGCCAGGGTACTTTAGAGAGAGAACCAACAGGGTGTATCTGTAGATATGGAGAAAGATAGACAGATATGATAGGTAGGTAGATAGATAGATAGATAGATAGATAGACGGACAGACAGACAGACAGATAGATAGATAGATAGATGAGAAAGGGCTTATTAGGGAAATTGCCTCACACAGTTATGGAGGCTGAGAAGTCTCACAATAGGCTTTGCAAGCTAGAGAACCAGGAAAGTAACCTGGCCTAGTCTAAGGCTGAAAGCCTCAGAATCAGTGAAGCTGATTATATAATTCTCAGGCTGAGGCATAAGGCATGAGAACTCAGGAAGTTGCTGGTGCAAGTCCTTGAGTCCAACGGCTGGAGAACCAGAAGTTCTGATGCTCAAGGAAAGGAGAAAAAGAGTGTTCCAGCTCCAAGAAAGAGAGGATGAAAGCAAATTCACTTTTCTTCTGCCTCTTTATTCTAGCCAGGCTTTCAGCCAATTAAATGGCTCCTGATCTACCTTGGGTGAGGACAGATCTTCCTTACTCAGTCTACTAATTCAAATGCCAGTCTCTTCCAGAAACACCATCACAGACATAAACAGAAATGATACTTTACCAGCTATGTGGATATTCCTTAGGTTGACATTTTAAATTAACTCTCACAGGATATGTACGCAAAAAAAGAATTGCTTTGTCAAAAGTTATTCCCATGCCTAATTTGCCTAAGTGGTACAGGATTACTCACCAGAATACCTGCCCTGTTCTCTAATCTTGCCAGCAGTGGATGAAGGGTCCTCTCCTTCTAGCAATACTGATATTATCCAGCATTCTAATTTTTATCAGTCTAATAGTGGTAAAATGGCATCTTATTATAGCTTTAATTTGTATTTATGTGGTCACTATTGATTTTGGGTATCTCTTCTCATGCTTGCTGGTTTTTGTTTTTCTGTAAACAGTCAATTTATATCCTTTTAAATTTATCTGTTATAGTCACATTACTTGTAACTATAATATATGGGAATTTCTAGTCAAATTTGAACATCAAAAATAGTTTTTGCCATACTAATTGGGCCTAAGGTGTCCTTAGTTGAACCACAAATCTTTATTTATTTAATTTTTTTTTAAGTTTTATTTTAAGTTCAAGGCTACATGTGCAGATTTGGTATATAGGTAAACTTCTATTGTGAGTGTTTTTTTTTTTTTTTTAAACATTGAGTCTCACTGCTTCTTCTATATTGGATATAGTTTTGATAGGCTTGTAGTTAAAGTGCCTTTACAAGCTACAAAACTTGGAAAAGTTTGCTCAGAAGATACAGATCCACTATCTGATCTTAGGCAGCATGAAGTTATGAAAACATCATTGGATTGCAAGTAAGGTATCTTGATGTTCTTTTCTTTGAATCTGCCAATTATGTTTTTGTGTATCCTTGCATGATTCTCATTTCTTAAATTCAGTATTATCTACGTAATTTACAGTCCCAGTAAGACTCCATGTTCAAAAACTTTCTGTTGGCAATAGCACAGAGGGTTGAATCAAGCACAGACTTTTCTAGGGCTCTGTGCAACTGCACACGTCACATGCTCATGAAGCTGACCCTGCCACATATTGGCATGTTGCTCTTTTATTTTCCTTTAATAGATGCAGGGTCTCCCTCTGCAGACTAGGCTGGAATGTAGTGGAGTTATCATAGCTCACTGCAGCCTTGAACTCCTGGGTTCAAGGAATCCTCCCACCTCAGCCTGCTGACTAGCTAGGACTATGAGCACATGCTACAACACCTGGCTAATTTAATTTTTTTTTTTTTTTTGAAACGGAGTCGTGCTCTGTCGCCCAGGCTGGAGTGCAGTGATGGCATGATCTCAGCTCACTGCAACCACCGCCTCTGGGGTTCAAGTGATTCTCCTGCCTCGGACTCCCCCGTAGCTGGGACTACAGGCGCATGCCGCCACGCCCGGCGTTTTCTATTTTAGTAGAGACAGGATTTCAAACCGCGTTGCCCAGGCTTGTCACTAACTCCCGAGCTCAGGCAATCCACCCACCTTGGCCTCTCAAAGCTCTGGGATTACAGGCTGTCATGAGTAGTTTTTGTTTGTTTGTTTGTTTGTTTTTGTACAGATTATTTCATCACACAGATGTTAAGCCTAGCGCCCATTGGTTATTTTTTCTGATCCTCTTCCTCCTCCAAACCTCTACCCTGTGGTAGGCCTCAGTGCGTGTTGCTCCCCTCTATGTGTCCATGTGTTCTCATCATTTAGCTCCCACTTACAAGTGAGAACACGCGGTATTTGGTTTTCTGTTCCTGCGTTAGTTTGCTAAGAATAATGGCCTCGAGCTCCATCCATGTTTCTACAAAGCACATGACCTCATTTTTTTAATGGCTGCATAGTATTCTATGGTATGTATGTACCATGTTTTGTTTATCCAGTCTACCATTCATGGACATTTAGGTTGATATCATAAGCTTATTTTTTATACAATTAATTTCATTGTAGTTTTTCTCTATGGGTTACTACTTAATAAAATTTTAAGAAGTCTTTCTCAGTCATTATATCCCAAAGGTAAACTGCTAAGTTTCCTTGATATATATATACACATATATTTTTAAAAAATTTATAGTAGATAAATTATTACTACTATTATATAGTAGTAAATTATTATATATATAATTTGCTTTAACATAGAGAAAAGTTTTCCAGGCATTAGAAATAATATAATAAAATTAAAAAAAAAGAAGAAAAAAAGCGATTTACCTTGGAGGACGCTAAATGTCTCCACTTCTGAGATATTTGAGGTTGCTGTGAAGGGTCATTGACAAATAAGTTTGACTAGATTATATGGTTAGGTCTTAAAGAGAGGTTGTGAAATCTCAGATGTAATCTGGAGTAGAAACATCAAATTGCCTACTACACATTATGGTATGAAATTATCTAAATTATTAAAAATTATTAAATGTATAAATTCTATTGTTTAAAACTATGTTATGGGAAAAAGAGTGTTAGAAAGTTATCACAACTTACGGTAGAAGAGATTAGGAATGGGGAAGATTTAGCCATATAATAATATTTTATTTAAAAGAGAACTTTGAATCAAAAAAAGCAAAATGTTAAAAATTGTTAAATCTGAGAGAGGAACCCATATATGTGTCTCTTACACATTATGTTTTACACTTTTCTATAGTTTAAAACATTCCAGAGTTAAAAAAATTACAAAGAAAGCAAATTGAAAAACATCTGAAATTTATTGAAACAATATGTTTCAGAAGTTGATGGTTACTGAAACGCAACTGCTCATGTTTAATAGACTAAATTCAGTTGCTCGACTCTTTGAGATGAATCTCTATGTCCAGACATCATAAAAGATTCATCAGAGTCCAGACTGATGATATAGAAGATTATATATTCAGGCAGTGTAAAAATATTCTTTTGGGGAATTTATGAAATGTAGGTTTATTAACTATAAAGTCAAAAAAAACCTCAATTAATAGAAACAGTTCTTCAAAAATCTGCAGAAGGGCCTATAAAACATCACAAGGGGCATCCTGCATTTCACATGAGGACGCAATTAAACATGTAATTGGATGCTGTAAAACCATATAAGCTATCCAAAAAAATCAAATGTTTCTAGTTCTAGAAACCTACAGGCTAAAAATGATAGACAGATAGTTTTGCCTCCTATCATTCCACAAATCCCTGGTCACCTCATTTCCTCTCAAAAACCCAAGTACATCCAGAATAAAATCCTCAAAATTATTTATTCTTCAAAATTATCATCATCTCAACTCTATCCTCAAGATTAACTATGCCTTGACTTGTCTGACATGATTTTCAACAAATTTTTCTCCTCCCAAACCATTCTACTATATATTTTGAACCCATGATTTCTAATCAGCAACAGATCTGAATTTATTTAAACATTCACCTAGTATCACTATGTTCCATGCAGTTCTTTGGAGAAGGGATTGTTTCTTTTCTTAAATATCACATGTCTCAGGCTCTAAAAGAGAGTGAGTGTTCTCTTCCTTTCTCTCTCCTACTTCTAAACTGTTTACAAACTCTTTTCTCCAGATTTTCAGTCCATGCCATCAGGTTTTACCACCTGTTACTCTTCATGGTCATTTTCACTTTCTGACTCTCAAGTTACTTCCCCTCATTGACTGAAGACTTTAGTTCCTGAGTTATTATCTTCTTTTCTTCCATACATATCATTTCCAAATTTCAGTATTTTGTCACTCCAGTCTTAAACTTCCTCATTACCAATTACAGTGTTTTATACCTACTTCTGCCATCTTGTCCTTTGGTAACACCTATCACCTTGGAATCACTTATAATTTCACTACCTAAAAAAAAAATGCTCAACTTCCTACCCTCTATCCTATCACCCACACCTCCTAGGCTTCATGCTCACCTGTTGTCTAGCATTTTTACAACTTTTTTAAAGTTCCTTTGAGACCTCAATCAATTGACCCTATCATATCTTCACTCTCCTTAATCCCTCCCTTCCTTCTTTAGACTATGTAATACAGAATCACACACACTGCTTTGCCAAGACTTCTGACTTTCTCATCTTTCCCTTCCTTTGTTGTAGTAGTCTTGAATTGTAGTTAAATTTAACCATCCATCACTGCCTGGAGAATTGGACACTGATGAATGAAAACACAAAACCAAATTGACTTGTCTCACTATAAATTCTTGATGACAAATATGAGTCTTCAATGCTGCCTGGCAATTCTGCTACACTTCCCTAAACTTTTTTCCTACTCCTTCAAATAATTATTTTATTCCCTCTATTCTTTCTTCAAAATTCCAATATGACCCAACCTCCCCCTAACTAAGACTCAGCTGTTGACTTTGTCACATACTGTATTAAGGAAGTAGAAGCCATTGGCAAGGGAAGTCTCTCATTTTACCACAACCAATATATTCTGCTTTCCCTCTGTTACTAAGATGGAATGTCTCTGCCCTTTTCAAGGGAGGCCTTCATCCTCACATGCACTAGATCCACTGCCACCACCTAAGTATAAGCCATAATTACCTCTTGCCTACATTGCTGCGACAAGTTCCTAATAACTTTTCTCTCTGCTTTTCCATGTTTTCCTTCCTCTTGCCCCACTACAATACATTCACTACCTAGAAGCCAGTGTTCTTTTATAAAGATGTATCATATTTTATCACACCTGCTCAAAAGCTTAAAATCATCCAATAGCTCTCCAATTAGTATAAGATTTAAAATTTTCATGTTGTTTTAAAAAAATACATAGTTCTTGGTTACTATTTCTGCCTCATCTTCTGTTGTCTTCATTCCCCTTTTCTCCAGCCATGGACTCCAGGCTGATTCCTGTTTTAGAGCCCTTATATTTGTTATTACTTCTGCCTAGAATGCTCATCTCATCCATATTCATAAGGACGGCTCCTCTCTGTCCTTCAGATGTTGGCTTTAAAAATCATCTTTTCAGAAATGACTACCTTCATTATACAGTAATCCAACTTTAATTTCTATCACTAAACTGATTCACATGTCTTAATGGAAATACCACTATCTGATATCTAGAGGAAGAAGACAAGGGAAGTTAATCCACAGCAGACTGCTACCTGCTACAGGGTTGCTGAATTCATAGTTCTCACAAAATATGAGCAAGAAATAAATCTCTCATTTTTATAACAGCAAGTTATTGGGTGGTTTGTTTTCACAGCAAAGCTGACCATTAACAGCTTGTATTAGTATAACTATCTTGAAAACCACACGAACTAGTTACCCTCTGAAACTCAGCAAGGACTCAGCTACAGTGGAGAGAATAATTGTGTGAGCTTTAAAGAAAAGGCAGCTTGCTGGATGGACAAGTGGGATGTCCTATTCTAAGCAAAGTGATATATGCAATGGCCTGGGGAACAGAAGGTATGTGAAATGTTGACAACATTCTAAGTTGTTTAGTGAACTGAAATGTGAAGTGATTGAGGGAAAACTGTGAAACACGAGGAAACAATAAGCTGGGCCAGACTGTGGAGGGCCTGAAACTTAACCTGAGTCCTATCTATAGTCCAACGATGTAAGCTTTAAATTAGGGCTGCTTTGAGCAGAACTGGGTATTAGAAAGTTTACTCGGGAGGGAATTTGAAGTACCCAGGGAACAGTGAAAAGATAACAAGGAAATTTACATAAATAATATTGGTAAGCTATTTTGAAGGTTTGGAATAAGATAATCAGACATTTGATTATTTCTAGAGGAGGAATCTGTGAGACTAGATAACATTTTTTTCACTTTTCTTCTTTTTGTTTTAGTCTTAGTGACTCAAAGGCTCTTATATTTTCCTATGTCTTAGGCAATTAATACATTAATTACTTACATCTAAACAGGAGAAAAAATAATATGCTATCAAGGTGGCAAAAAGGAAAGGCCAAATGTCACTACTTTTCCTTTACACATGATCTGATTACCTGCCCATGCCCCTCTATCTTTTATTTAAACATCACTTTTCTGAGTGTGGCATTGTTTCAAATGGTAAAAGGTATCACAGAAAATCAAAAGTAATTACAACACAATCTCTGTTTCTCTGTCTTCTGCCTATTTACTTTGTGCCACCTTGAATTATTTTTGAACAAGCTGTCATCAACCAGGCTGTCAGTCACAATCTCATTCATTCACCCCTTAATGCTGTTACTTTATAGTTCCCATAACATGAGCTTTTCATTCACTTTCTCAAATCTATATCTCGAACTTACACTTCTCTTTTGACCTTTGGTTCTAAACACACACACACACACACACCCCTATCCTTAGACACTTCCTAATGCAGTTGGCTCACAGAATGTATGGTGATTATTTTTAAACTGACTTTCTTGAAACTGAGATAGAGAAGAAAGTATGGGAAGTAATCTGACACACAAAAACGAGACAAAACGTTACTATTAGATCACTCAAGTAAACTGAACAGTAAACCTTGGCAACTCTTTATGGTAGTTATTGTTTCTCATAATTTAAACACATATCAACATACAATTTGAGCCTCAAAAGAATTCTATAGTTTACGTTCGTGGAGAGTGTTTGAATAAAAAAAGAATTCTATAGCTTAGTCTGGGTACATAGATCATGCTGATTTTATAAAAACCATACATGGTCCAGGAGTGGTGGCTCAAACCTGTAATCCCAGCACTTCAGGAGGCTTAGGAAGGAGGATTGCTTGAGGCCAGGAGTTCAAGACTAGCCTGGGCAACATAACAAAACCCCAGTCTCTAAAAAAAAAAAAAATTAAATTAGCCAGGTGTTGTAGCATGTGCTCATAGTCCTAGCTAGTCAGCAGGCTGAGGTGGGAGGATTCCTTGAACCCAGGAGTTCAAGGCTGCAGTGAGCTATGATAACTCTACTACATTCCAGCCTAGTCTACAGAGGGAGACCCTGTATCTATTAAAGGAAAATAAAAGAGCAACATGCCAATATGTGGCAGGGTCAGCTTCATGTGCATGTGACGTGTGCAGTTGCACAGAGCCCTAGAAAAGTCTGTGCTTGATTCAACCCTCTGTGCTATTGCCAACAGAAAGTTTTTGAACATGGAGTCTTACTGGGACTGTAAATTACGTAGATAATACTGAATTTAAGAAATGAGAATCATGCAAGGATACACAAAAACATAATTGGCAGATTCAAAGAAAAGAACATCAAGATACCTTACTTGCAATCCAATGATGTTTTCATAACTTGGTGCTGCCTAAGATCAGATAGTGGATCTGTATCTTCTGAGCTACCTTTTCCAAGTTTTGTAGCTTGCAAAGGCACTTAAACTACAAGCCTATCAACACTATATCCAATATAGAAGAAGCAGTGAGACTCAACATTTATTTTTCTCTGTATTGAAAATAATATCAGATCTCAGGCCAAGTGTTTTTGACTGAGAATGAATAGCTAGCAGGAAAACGAATCCTAAGACACACTCATTCATAGGGAAGATGGTTGTGTGTTATTAAAACAGATGGAATTCCTGAGCCTGACAGCTTCAGTTTGAAGCAACAAGGCCATTAGGAATAAACAGAATGCATATGAACATGTAGAACAATAAGTGTCTTATTTGTATAAATGAAAATTATAAAGGCCATTAATCGCCCACACACTGATACTGTGCCCCTCTAACTCTACCAGGGATTAACTGAAAACTTGTATATTGGGAAGATATGAAAGAAAAGATAGTTTGCCTTTAACTTTTCAAATATCCATTTCAGCAAATAACATGCCTAAATCTTCCAGAGATGCATCATTTTACTACAGTGAAAGAAATTCTCTTCAGGCAATATGTATGAAAATATTTTGAGAAGATCTGTGCACTTTTCAACAATACGGGGACATATAAGGTGCAGGCAATGAACATTTTGGCTTTTAGAATGCAGGTATGAATTAACCAAAATAGGGCAAAATGAAAGACACAAAGTGTTTTCCAGTTTTCCACTTAGGGCCTTATCAAAAACTCTTCTCTTTTTTTTTTTTGATACAGGCATACCTCATTTTTTGTGCTTCACTTTATTACATTTTGCAGATTTATCTTTTTTAAGGAATTGAAGGTTTGTGGCCACCCTGTGTTCAGCGAGTGTTGGCGCCGTCTTTCAACTAGCATGTGCTCACTTTGTGTCTAGTTGTCACGTTTTGATATTTCTCACAATATTTCAATTTTTAATTATTATTATAATTTCTGATATAGTGATCTGTGATCAGGGATATTTGATGGCACTATTGCAATTTAAGGAAGAGGGACGCCCACCACCAACTTACCCACAGAGATGATAAACTCAAAAGATAAATGTTTTTTGTGTTCTGACTGCTCCACTGACTGACCATTCCCTCATTTCTTTCCTTTTCCCTGGGTCTCCCTATACCCTGAGACTAAACAATATTGAAGTTAGGCCAGTGAACACCCCTACAATGGTCCCAAGTGTTCAAGTGAAAAGAAGAGTGGCCCTTCTGTCACTTTAAATCAAAAGCTAGGATGACAAAGCTTAGTGAGAAAGGCACATCAAAAGCCAAGATAGGCCAAACTCTATGACACTTGTGCCAAACAGCTTGTGAGTGCAAAGGAAAAGTTCTTGAAAGAAATTAAAGGTGCTACTCTAGTGAACACACAAATGATATGGAAATGAAACAGCCTTGTTGCTGATACAGAGAAAGTCTGAGTGATTTAGATAGAATACCAAACCAGCCAAAAACATGCCCCTAAGCCAAAGCCTAATCCAGAGCAACTACTCTCTTCAATTCTATGAAAGCTCAGAGAGGGAAGGAAGCTGCAGAGGAAAATTTAAAACTAATAGAGATTGTTTCAGGAGACTTAAAAGTAGAAGTGGTCTCCATAGCATAAAAGTACAAGGTGAACCAGCAAGTGAGTTGCTGATGCAGAAAGTTATGTGGAAGATCTAGCTAAGATAATTGATGGAGATAGCTACACTAAATAAGAGATTTTCAGTCTGGAAAAAACAGCCTTCTATTGGAAGAAAATGCCATGTAGGACTTTCATAGCTAGAGAGTAGAAGTCAGTATCTGGCTTCAAAGCTTCAAAGGATAGACTGCCTTTCTTGTTAGGGATTAATGCAGCTGGTGACTTTAAGGTGAAGCCAATGCTCATTTACTAGTCTGAAAATCCTAGGGCCCCTAAGAATTATGTTAAATCTACTGTGCTCGTGCTCTGCAAATGGAACAACAAAGACTGGATGATAGCATATGTATTTACAGTACGGTTTATTGAATATCTAAAGCCCACTCCTGAGACTTATTGCTTAGAAAAATAGATTCCTTTCAAAATATTACTGCTCATTGACAATGCCCTTGGTCACCCAAGAGCTCTGTAATAAAGATATATAAGGAGATTAATGTGGTTATGATGTCTGCTAACACAATGTACATTCTGCAGCCTATGGACCAAAGATTAATTTCAACCTTCAAGTTTTAATATTTCAGAAATATGTTTTATAAGTCTAAAGCTGCCATTGACAGTAATTTTCTGATTGATCTGTGCAAAGCAAATTGAAAACATTCTGCAAAGAATTCACCATTCTAGAGGCCATTAAGAACGTTATTCATGGGAAGAGGTCAAAATATCGACACTAACCGGAGTTTGGAAGAAGTTGATTCCAACCCTTATGGAGGACTTGGAAAGATTCAAAACTTCAGTGGAGGAAGTCACTGCAGATGTTTTGGAAATGGCAAGAGAACTAGAATTTGAAGTGGAGCCCGAATATGCAACTGAATTGCTGCAATCTCATGATCAAACGTGTACAAATGACGAGTGGCTTCTTATGAATAAGGAGAAGTGGTTTTTCAGATGGAATCTAGTTCTGGTGAAGATGCTATGAACATTGTTGAAATGACAACAAAATATTTGGAACATTACACAAACTTGGTAAAGCAGCATAAGGTTTGAGAGGACTAACTCCATTTTGAAAGAATTCTTACTGTGAGTAAAATGCTATTAAACAACATCACATGCTACAGAGAAATCTTCTGTGAAAGAGTCAATTGATGCAACAAACTTTTTTGTTATCATCTTTTAAGAATTGCCACAGCCACCTCAACCTTCAGCAATCACCACTTTGTATAGTCAGCAGCCATCAACATCAAGCCCATACCATTCACCAGCAAATAATTATAATTTTCTGAAGCACAGATCATCCCTAGCATTTTTTTAGCAATAAATTATTTTTGATTAAGGTATGTATATAGTTTCCTTTTCTTTTTTTTTTTTTTTTTTTGAGACAGAGTCTTGCTCTGTCGCCCAAGCTGTAGTGCAGTGGTGCGATCTCGGCTCACTGCAAGCTCTGCCTCCCAGGTTCATGCCATTCTCCCGTCTCAGCCTCCCGAGTAGCTGGGACTACAGGTACCCGCCACCACGCCTGGCTAATTTTGTTTTTGTATTTTTAGTAGAGACAGGGTTTCACCGTGTCAGCCAGGAAGGCCTCGATCTCCTGACCTCATGATCTGCCCGCTTTGGCCTCCTAAAGTGCTGGGATTACAGGCGTGAGCCTATTGCACACTTAATAGACTACAGAATAGTGTAAACATACCTTTTATACGAGAAAACAAATAAAAAATATGATTTGCTTTATTGAAGTATTTGCTTTGTTGCAGTGGTCTGGAACTAAACACACAGTATCTTCAAGGTAGGCCTGTATGGGTGACATCAGTGAGTTTTTAAATCCTTTTATGTTGTAAAAATACCTTGAGGGAAAGAAACTACTTTAATTGTTTTGCACTTAAAAGTACTTTTAAAAGTGGACCTTAATGATTCAGTTCACATATAAGTACTATTAAAGGTAGGACCTGGCCAGGCACGGTGGCTCACGCCTGTAATCCAAGTGCTTTGGGAGGCCGAGGCGGGCAGATCACGAGGTCAGGAGTTAGAGGCCAGCCTGACCAATGTGGTGAAACCCCCTCTCTACTAAAAATACAAAAATTAGCCGGGTGTGGTGCGCACATGTCATCCCAGCTACTCAGGAGGCTGAGGCAGGAGAATCACTTGAACCCAGGAGATCACACCTCTGCACTCCAGCCTGGGCGACACAGGGAGACTCCATCTCAAAAAAAAAAAAAAAAAAAAAAAAGTAGGACCTGTCTCTTTTGTTCGTAAAGTATCCTGTTCATGTAGACCAGTTCTTTCACATGGTTTTCATTCAGTAAATATCTACTGATTAAGTGAATAGGATTAGGTTGAAAATACAAGGGTCTAGAGAAGTTGCATTTGTTCCTCAATATGACAAAAATTTGTGATCAACAGAAAAAACATTCAGAATTATTGCAAGATATTTTGACTACAGAAAGCAAAATTCTGATTAATTATAAATGCAAACATAGCAGGAAGAATTTTCAATTGTACCAGATTTGCTTGTCTGATTATATAAAGGGAAAGTCAGTGAAGCTAACTGTTTTAAACCAGAAGTATACAGCTGGTGCCTCATGGGTTGTATCAAATGAGCAGATGTATTTATGTGTTATTTTTAAAAAATTGAGCCAATTTCTTAAAAACAGTAAGGGGATATCACACACAAATAAAGCTTTCTATAAAAATATAAAGATCTTATACTACCAGATCTGCATTTCTAGACAGACACAATTTGCTGAAGATAGTAAGCTGCTGATCCCAATAAGAGATCATAGATGCAACAGTTTTCCATAGTCCCCACTAATCTTTTCTTCTTATCTGATATTTTATCTGGCCTGTAATTAATTTCATTTCCCGATCTGACCCCTATATGAAATTCAGTTTTTGATTGTGCTTCAAATAACGTGAAGATTAATTGACATGCATGTTAACCGACTTTTATCTGAAGATCAACTATAGTGCGTGAATAAATTCTGATTCTATCTGCTAAAACCTTGTGTAGGCAAAGACAAAATTATATCCCTTTTTAAGGAGGCAGGCTACAAGTGTATTCAGATGGAATATTATTTTCTGTCCTTCCAAAGGCATTGACAAGCACTCACCACTTATTTTATTTTATTTTATTTTTTATTATACTTTAAGTTCTGGGGTACATGTGCAGAACGTGCAGGTTTGTTACATAGGTATACACGTGCCATGGTGGTTTGCTGCACCCATCAACCTGTCATCTACATTAGGTATTTCTCCTAATGCTATCCCTCCCCTAGCCCCCCACCCCCTGACAGGCCCCCATGTGTAATGTTCCCCTCTCTGTGTCCATGTGTTCTCATTGTTCAACTCCCACTTATGAGTGAGAGCATGTGGTGTTTGGTTTTCTGTTCTTGTGTTAGTTTGCTCAGAATGATGGTTTCCAGCTTCATCCACGTCCCTGCAAAGGACATGAATTCATCCTTTTTATGGCTGCATAGTATTCCATGGTGTATATGTGCCACATTTTCTTTATCCAGTCTATCATTGATGGGCATTTGGGTTGGTTCCAAGTCTTTGCTATTGTGAACAGTGCCACAATAAACATACGTGTGCATGTGTCTTTATAGCAGAATGATTTATAAACCTTTGGGTATATACCCAGTAATGGGATTGCTGGGTCAGATGGTATTTCTAGTTCTAGGTCCTTGAGGAATTGCCACACTGTCTTCCACAATGGTTGAACTAATTTACACTCCCACCAACAGTGTAAAACTGTTCCTATTTCTCCACATCCTCTCCAGCATCTGTTGTTTCCTGACTTTTTAATGATCGCCATTCTAAGTGGGGTGAGATGGTATCTCATTGTGGTTTTGATTTCCATTTCTCTAATGACCAGTGATGATGAGATTTTTTTCATATGTTTGTTGGCTGCATAAATGTCTTCTTTTGAGAAGTGTCTGTTCATATCCTTTGCCCACTTTTTGATGGGGTTGTTTGTTTTTATCTTGTAAATCTGATGAAGTTCTTTGTAGATTCTGGATATTAGCCCTTTGTCAGACGGATAGATTAAAAAATTTTCTCCCATTCTTTAGGTTGCCTGTTCACTCTGATGGTAGTTTCTTTTGCTGTGCAGAAACTGTTTAATCAGATCCCATTTGTCTATTTTGGCTTTTGTCACCATTGCTTTTGGTGTTGTAGTCATCAAGTCTTTGCCCATGCCTGTCCTGAATGATATTGCCTAGGCTTTCTTCTAGGGTTTTTATGGTTTTAGGTCTAACATTTAAGTCTTTAATCCGTCTTGAGTTAATTTTTTTAAGGTGTAAGGAAGGGATCCAGTTTCGGCTTTCTGCATATGGCTAGCCAGTTTTCCCAACACCATTTATTAAATAGGGAATCCTTTCCCCATTGTTTTTGTCAGGTTTGTCAAAGATGAGATGGTTGTAGATGTGTGGTGTGATTTCTGCGGCCTCTGTTCTGTTCCATTGGTCTACATATCTGTTTTGGTACCAGTACTATGCTGTTTTGGTTACTGTAGCCTTGTAGTATAGTTTGAAGTCAGGTAGTGTGATGTCTCCAGCTCTGTTCTTTTTACTTAGGATTGTTTTGGCTATGTGGGCTATTTTTTGGTTCCATATAAAATTTAAAGTCGTTTTTTCCAATTCTGTGAAGAAAGTCAATGGTAGCTTGATCGGGATAGCATTGAATCTATAAATTACTTTGGGCAGTATGGCCATTTTGACGATATTGATTCTTCCTATACATGAGCATGGAATGTTTTTCCATTTGTTTGTGTCCTCTCTTATTTCCTTGAGCAGTGGTTTGTAGTTCTCCTTGAAGAGGTCCTTCACATCCCTTGTAAGTTGGATTCCTAGGTATTTTATTCTTTTTGTAGCAATTGTGGATGGGAGTTCACTCATGATTTGGCTGTTTGTCTGCAATTGGTGTATAGGAATGCTTGTGACTTTTGCACATTGTTTTTGTATCCTGAGACTTTGCTGAAGTTGCTTATCAGCTTAAGGAGATTTGGGGCTGAGACGATGGGGTTTTCTAAATATGCAATCACGTCATCTGCAAACAGAGACAGTTTGACTTCCTCGTTTACTACTTGAATACCCTTTATTTTTTTCTCTTGCCTGATTGCCCTGGCCAGAACTTCCAACACTATGTTGAATAGGAGAGGTAAGAGAGGGCATCCTTGTCTTGTGCTGGTTTTCAAAGGGAATGCTTCCAGTTTTTGCCCATTCAGTATGATATTGGCAGCGGGTTTGTCATAAATAGCTGTTATTATTTTGAGATACGTTCCATCGATGCCTAGTTTATTGAGAGTTTTTAGCATGAATGGCTGTTGAATTTTGTCGAAGGTCTTTTCTGCATCTATTGAGATAATCATGTGGTTTTTGTCATTGATTCTGTTTTTGTGATGGATTATGTTTATTGATTTGTGTATGTTGAACCAGCCTTACATCCCAGGGGTAAAGCCAACTTGACTGTGGTGGGTAAGCTTCTGGATGTGCTGCTGGATTCGGTTTGCCAGTTTTTTATTGAGGATTTTTGCATCAATGTTCATCAGATGTATTGGCCTGAAATTTTCTTTTTTTATTGTGTCTCTGGCAGGTTTTGGTATCAGGACGATGCTGGCCTCATAAAATGAGTTAGGGAGGATTCCCTCTTTTTCTATTGTTTGGAATCATTTCAGAAGGAATGGTACCAGCTCCTGTTTGTACCTCTGGTAGAATTCAGCTGTGAATCCATCTGGTTCTGGACTTTTTTTGGTTGGTAGACTATTAATTGCTGCCTCAATATCAGGACTTTTTTTGGTTGGTAGACTATTAATTGCTGCCTCAATATCAGAACTTTTTATTGGTCTATTCAGGGATTTGACTTCTTTCTGGTTTACTCTTGGGAGGGTGTATGTGTCCAGGAATTTATCCATTTCTTCTAGATTTTCTAGTTTGTTTGCTTAGAGGTAGGTGTTTATAGTACTCTTATGGTAGTTTGTATTTCTGTGGGATCAGTGGTGATATCCCCTTTATCATTCTTTATTGCTTCTGTTTGATTCTTCTCTCTTTTCTTCTTTATTTGTCTTGCTAGTGGTCTATCTATTTTGTTGATCTTTTCAAAAAAAAAAAAACAGCTCCTGGATTCATTGATTTTTTGCAGGGTTTTTCATGTCTCTATCTCCTTCGGTTCTGCTCTGATCTTAGTTATTTTTTGTCTTCTGCTAGCGTTTGAATTTGTTTGCTCTTGTTCTCTAGTTCTTTTAATTGTGATGTTATGGTGTCAATTTTAGATCTTTCCTGCTTTCTCTTGTGTACATTTAGTGCTATAAATTTCCCTCTACACGCTGCTTTAAATGTGTCCCAGATATTCTGGTATGTTGTGTGTTTTTTCTCATTGGTTTCAAAGAACATCTTTATTTTGGCCTTCATTTTGTTATTTACCAGTAGTCATTCTGGAGCAAGTTGTTCAGTTTCCATGTAGTTTTGCGATTTTGAGGGAGTTTCTTAATCCTGAGTTCTAATTTGATTGCACTGTGGTCTGAGAGACTGTTTGTTATGATTTCCATTCTTTTGCATTTGCTAAGGAGAGTTTTACTTCCAATTATGTGGTCAATTTTAAAATAAGTGTGATGTGGTGCTGAGAAGAATGTATATTCTGTTGATTTGGAGTGTAGAGTTCTGTAGATGTCTATTAGGTCTGCTTGTTCCAGAGCTGAGTTCAAGTCCTGGATATCCTTGTTAATTTTCTGTCTCATCGATCTGTCTAATATTGACAGTGGGGTGTTTAAGTCTCCCACAATTATTGTGTGGGAGTCTAAGTCTCTTTGTAGGTCTCTAAGGACTTGCTTTATGAATCTGGGTGCTCCTGTATTGGGTGCATATATATTTATGATAGTTAGCTCTTCTTGTTGCTTTGATGCCTTTACCATTATGTAGTGGCCTTCTTTTTCTCTTTTGATCTTTGTTGGTTTAAAGTCTGTTTTATCAGAGACTAGGATTGCAATCCCTGCTTTTTTTTGCTTTCCATTTGCTTGGTAAATATCCCTCCATCCCTTTATTTTGAGCCTATGTTTGTCTTTGCATGTGAGATGGGTCTCCTGAATACACTACACCAATAGGTCTTGACTCTTTATCCAATTTGCCAGTCTGTGTCTTTTAATTGGGGCATTTTGCCTGTGTACATTTAAGGTTAATATTGTTATGTGTGAATTTGATCCTGCCATTATGATGCTATCTGGTTATTTTTCCCCTTAGTTGATGCAGTTTCTTCATAGCGTCAATGGTCTTTACAATTTGGTATGCTTTTGCAGTGGCTGGTACTGGTTGTTCCTTTCCATGTTTAGTGCTTCCTTCAAGAGCTCTTGTAGGGCAGGCCTGTTGGTGATGAAATCTCTCAGCATTTCCTTTTCTGTAAAGGATTTTGTTTCTTCTTTGCTTATAAAGCTTAGTTTGGCTGGATATGAGATCCTGGGTTGAAAATTCCTTTCTTTAAGAATGTTGAATATTGGCCCCCACTATCTTCTGGCTCATAGGGTTTCTGCTGAGAGATCCGCTGTTAGTATGATGGGCTTCCCGTTGTGGGTAACCTAATCTTTCTCTCTGGCTGCCCTTAATATTTTTTCCTTAATTTCAACCTTGGTGAATCTGACGGTTATGTGTCTTGGGGTTGCTCTTCTCAAGGAGTATCTTTGTGGCGTTCTGTGTATTTCCTGAATATGAATGCTGCCCTGCCTTGCTAGGTTGGGGAAGTTCTCCTGGATAATATCCTGAAGGGTGTTTTCCAACTTGGTTCCATTCTCCCCATCACTTTCAGGTACACCAATCGAATATAGATTTGGTCTTTTCACATAGTCCCATACTTCTTGGAGGCTTTGTTCACTTCTTTTCACTCTTTTTACTCTAATCTTGTTTTCTCACTTTATTTCATTGAGTTGATCTTCAATCTCTGATATCCTTTCTTCTGTCTGATCTATTCGGCTGCTGATACTTGTGTATGCTTCACGAAGTTCTTGTGCTGTGTTTTTCAGCTTCATCAGGTCATTTATGTTCTTCTCTAAACTGGTTATTCTAGTTAGCAATTCGTCTAATGTTTTTTCAAGGTTCTTAGCTCCCTTGCATTGGGTTAGAACATGCTCCTTTAGCTCGGAGGAGTTTGTTATTACCCACCTTCTGAAGTCTACTTCTATCAATTCCTCAAACTCATTCTCCACCCAGTTTTGCTCCCTTACTGGTGAGGAGTTGTGATCCTTTGGAGGAGAAGAGGCATTGTGGTTTTTGGAATTTTCAGCCCTTTTGCGCTTGTTTCTCCCCATCTTTGTGGATGTATCTACGTTTGGTCTTTGAAGTCTGTGACCTTCGGATGTGTTCTCTGAGTGGACGTCCTTTGTGTTGATGTTGATTCTATTCCTTTCTGTTTGTTAATTTTCCTTCTAACAGTCAGGCCCTTTTGCTGCAGGTCTGCTGGAGTTTGCTAGAGGTCCTCTGCAGAGCCTGTTTTCCTGGGTGTCACTGGCAGAGGCTGCAGACCAGTAAAGATTACTGCCTCTTCCTTCCTCTAGTAGCTTTGTCCCAAAGGGGCACCTGCTAGATGCCAGCCAGAGCTCTCCTGTATGAGATGTCTGTCGGCTCCTACTGGGAGGTGTCCCCTAGTCAGGATACACGAGGGTCAGGGACCAACTTGAGGAGGCAGTCTGTCCCTTATCAGAGCTGGAATGCCGTGCTCGTAGGTCCACTGCTCTCTTCAGAGCTGCCAGGTAGGGATGTTTAAGTCTGCTGAAGCTGCACCCACAACTGCCCCTTCCCCCAGGTGCTCTGTCCCAGGGAGGTGGGGGTTTTATCTATAAGTCCCTGAGTGGGGCTGTTGCCTTTTTTTCAGGGATGCTCTGCTCAGAAAGGAGACAGTCTGGCCACAGAAGCCTTGCTGAGCTGGGGTGGACTCCGACCAGTTCAAACTTCCAGGGGCTTTGTTTACACTGTGAGGGTGAAACCACCTACTCAAGCCTCAGCAATGGTGGATGCCCCTACCCCCACCAAGCTTGAGCATCACAGGTTGAGCTGAGACTGCTGCTGTGCTGGCAGCGAGAATTTCAAGCCAGTGGATCTTAGCTTGCTGGGCTCCATGGGGGTAGGACCCGCCTAGCCAGACTAGGCTGAAGCTCCCTGGCTTCAGCCCCCTTTGCAGAGGAGTGAACGGTTCTGTCTCACAGGCATTCCAGGTGCCACTGGGGTATAAAAAAATATTCCTGCAGCTAGCTCAGTGTCTGCCCAAATGGCCGCCTAGTTTTGTGCTGAAAACTCAGGGCCCTGGTGGTGTAGGAATCTCCTGGTTTGCAGGTTGTGAAGACCATGGGGAAAGCACAGTATCTAGGCTGGAGTGCACGGTACAGTCCCTAATGGCTTCCCTTGGCTGGGAGAGGGAGTTCCCCAACCTCTTGTACTTCCCAGGTGAGGCAATGCCCCACCCTGCTTAGGCTTGCCCTCCTTGGGCTGCACCCACTGTCCAACCAGTCCCATTGAGATGAACCAGTTACCTCAGTTGGAAATGCAGAAATCACCCGCCTTCTGCGTCAGTCTCTCTGGGAGCTGCAGACTGGACCTGTTCCTATTAGGCCATCTTGCCAGCCTATCCGCACTGACCACTTATTTAAAGGAATCTCTACTAGAGAGAATTTTTATAGAAAAATTTCAATGAAAGCACTCAACATCCAATAATAACTCTTATTTAAACAGCACAGCATGATACAAAACAGTAGTGAATATAAACTTAAGAGTTCAATAATTTGATTTCAGCAGCTTTTTACTTCCAAATTTGACCTTGAGACCAAGAGAGCTATATAAACAGACTTACAACTAGAAGGCAGCTAACCCATAACTGGAAATAAATTTGATCAGAACTGAAATAAATCAAATAAAAAAACTATAACGTTACTAGTGCATAAAAGCAGCTGACAAGTAAGTGGTCCCTGAATTGGAATACATATTAATGAAAAAGTATCAAAATATTACATGTACATTGTACAAGAACAGAGTACATGAAATCTACATCAACAGTGTGGCAGTTGTGATGAAAAAAAGTGCTAGGAAAGGAGTCTTGCTGATAGCCCGAAACCATCTTATAAAAATGTCCTCAGGTCCATCTGCAGTGACAACCTACTTGAGGAGGGGACCTGCTTTGAGGTGCCACCAGAGTCACCTAATTCAGTGGTGTGTTAATTAGGCACCTCCTGTCTAACTACTATGTAAAGCTTAATTTGGGCTATTGTGAGTAATGTTGCCATGACTCACACATGTATACACATCACACACGTATACACATCTTAAATGAACATAAGCACCAGTTTCCCTTCAGTATACACCCAGGAATGAAATTGACGTGTCCTAAAGAATATAAATATTTTTAATTTTATTAAATACTGGAAACAGCTTTCTTGAGTAGTTTTACACATTGACACACAATTCTATTTGTGCTTACACTTCATATATTTTCTGTCTTTTTCATCAGAGCCATTTTCATGGTGTCTTACTGTAGTTTTAATTTTCATTTTTCTGATGACTATGAAGGTTGATCTATGTAGATATCCTTTTTTTGTGAAGTATATGTTCAAAACTCTTTCCCCATTTTGTTTCTTTTTTTTTTCCTGTCTTTGTTTTGCCTATTTTTATGGGCTGTTATCCTTTTATCCTTTCTTTACTGATTGGTCAGAATTCTTCGTACATTTGATGTATGAGTTCTTTGTCGGATATGCATATTAAAATTATATTCTCTGAGTCTCTGTGTTGGCCTTTATTATTTTAAATTTATGAAATTTAATTTACCAATCTTTTCCTATATATTTAGTTCTTTACAGATCTTATTTAGAAAAATTTTGGCCATCCTAAAATTATGCAGATACTTTTTTTTTTTTTTTTTGAGACAGAGTCTTGCTCCATCGCCAGGCTGGAGTGCAGTGGCATGATCTTGGCTTACTGCAACCTCCGCCTCCTGGGTTCAAGGGATTCCCCTGCCTCAGCCTCCCAAGTAGCTGTGAGTACAGGCACATGCCACCACACCTGGCTAATTTTTTTGTATTTTACTAGAGAGGGGGTTTCACCATTTTGGCCAGCATGGTCTTGATCTCCTGACCTCGTGATCTACCTGCCTCAGCCTCCCAAAGTGCTGGGATTACAGGCGTGCGCCACTGCGCCCGGCCTTGTTTTCTTTTTATACCTACTTTATAGCCAGGATATAGTTCCTTTTGACAGATGGCCTATGCATGCTTGCTAACAATTGTATTCTGCAGTTGTTGGAATTTTTCTATGTATGTCCGGTAGGTCAAATCAGTTAATTGTATTGGTCAGGTATTCTCACTAAATATTGTCTGCATGATCTGAAAGTTATACAGAGTTGTGTTAAACTATTCAACTATTCCAGGAAATATGTGAAAATTCGTAAGATTGTTAATTTGTCCATCCTTCATTTTAGTTCTGTCAAAATTTGCTTTATATATTTTAAAGCTGTTACTTGACACATACAAATTAGGATTAAGAGATCTTCCTTTTGAATTGACCAACTGACTCTTTAATTTTATAAAATATCTCTTTTTATTTCTTCTAATATCTATTTCCTTACATTTTTCTGATTTTAAAATAACACCAACTTTTTTGTGGTTATGTCTCTATTTCTTACAACTTTTATCTGTTCTTATATCTGAAATATATCTCTTAGAAACCGCATATACTGTAGTTATATAGAGTTTGACTTATAGATTTTGACATTATTTTTATTGAAGTGAACAAATCATTTTCAATTAATGTAATAACTGTTATAATTGGGTTAAAATTTGTCATCTATTTGTCCTTTGTTCTTTCATTCTTTCTTTTTCATCTTTTCTTTGTATAGCTCATCTTTATTATTCCGTTTCTGTCCTGCATTACCTTTTAAATTACACTGTCTTTTACTATTGTTTTAGTGGTAACCTTAGAAATTAAAATATGCATTTCTATTAATACTGTCTACTTTAAATTTGTACATTGTCACTTCCTAATCATAATAAGATTACTACATTTTTACTCTTTGTATTGACTTTATGCATTTTGTGTTTCTGTTTTCAAATATTTTACCCATATGTATGCTCAAAATCTCACATATCATAATTTTTAATATCATTACTCTATTGTTTTAAACAGGTAATATTTATTTCCATATGCCCATATGTTTAACATTTCTGTTACCAGTCAATCTTTTACTCAGTTCCAGGGTTCAGTCTAGAATATTTCTCTTTGAGCTGTTTGTTTGTTTGTTTTTTGAGATGGAGTTTCGCTCTTGTTGCCCAGGCTGGAGTGCAATGGCGTGATCTCGGCTCACTGCAACCTCTGCCTCCCAAGTTCAAGCAATTCTGCCTCAGCCTCCCAGGTAGCTGGGATTATAGGCATGCACCACCATGCCCGGCTAATTTTTGTATTTTTAGTAGAGAAGGGGTTTCTCCATGTTCGTCAGGGTGGTCTTGAACTCCTGACCTCAGGTGATCCACCTGCCTCGGCCTCCCAAAGTGTTGGGATTACAGGCGCAAGCCACCACGCATGTCCCTAGTCCCTAGCTGCTGCTGCTTCTTTTTTTTTTTTTTTTTTTTTTTTTTGAGACAGAGTCTGGCTCTGTCGCCGAGGCTGGAGTGCAGTGGCGCGATCTCGGCTCACTGCAAGCTCCGCCTCCCGGGTTCACGCCATTCTCCTGCCTCAGCCTCCCAAGTAGCTGGGACTACAGGCGCCCGGCTAATTTATGGCCAGACCAAATTGTTCTGTGTTGCTGTTAATTTCTAATTTCAGGTTCTTGATATTAGAACGTGCCATGCATAACAGGTTCAGTTAGTCCACATAAACCTCCACTAAGTAGTTGTTGAAAACGAAACTAGATTTAACAGATATTACCTGTCTGGATAATCTGTGCTGTGCGGTTGGTGCCACAAGATATTTTGGAGGTAAAAAGGCTATTATTATTATTATTATTATTATTATTATTATTATTATTTTATTTTTTTCCAAGATGGAGTCTCACTCTGTCTCCCAGGCTGGAGTGCAGGGGCACGATCTTGGCTCACTGCAAGCTCCGCCTCCCGGGTTCACGCCATTCTCCTGCCTCAGCCTCTCGAGTAGCTGGGACTACAGGCACCCGCCACCGCGCCCGGCTAATTTTTTGGATTTGTAGTAGAGACGGGTTTTCACCATTTTAGCCAGGATGGTCTCGATCTCCTGACCTCGGCCTCGTGCTCCACCCGCCTTGGCCTCCCAAAGTGCTGGGATTACAAACATGAGCCACTGCGCCTAGCCCCTAGCTTCCTTTAATATTTAATTTTTTATTGTGTTTTTGTATTCCCCTCAAAATTTGTATCTGTCAGTTTAAATTTAGAGCACTTGAAAAAAAAATTTTCCCTATGTATTTTTTAATTTTTAATTTTTATGTGTATATAGTATGTATATAGAATTATGGAGTACAGGAGATATTTCGATACAGGTATATAATGTGTAATGATCACATCAGGGTAAATGGGGTAGCCATCACCTCAAGCATTTATCATTTCTTTGTGGTATGAACATTCCAATTATACTTTTTTCGTTATTTTTAAATGTACAATAAGTTATTGTTGACTAAACTCACCCTGTTGTGCTGTCAAATACTAAATCTTTTCCATTCTACCTAACCATGTCATTGTACCTATTAACCATTCCTGCTTCCCACCCTCTCCACTACCCTTCCCAGCTTCTGGTAACCATCATTCTACTCTCTTTCTCCATGAGTTCAATTGTTTTAATTTTTTGCTCCCACAAGCAAGTGAGAATATGTGCAGTTAGTCTCTCTGTACCTGGCTTATTTCACTTAACATAATGTCCTCTAGTTCCGTCCATGTTGTTGCAAATGACAGGATCTCATTTGTTTTTATGGCTGAATAGTACTCCATTGTATATAGGTACCAGATTTGCTTTATTCATTCATCTGTTGATGGACACTTAAGTTGGCTCTGAATCTTGCCTGTTGTGAATAGTACTACAGTAAACATGGGAGTGAAGATATCTCTTTGATATAGTGATTTATTTTCTTTTGTGATTATACCTAGCAGTGGAATTGCTGGATCTCATGGAAGTTCCATGTGCAGTTTTTTGAAGAACTTTCATACTGTTCTCCACAGTGGCTGTGCTAATTTCCTTTCCCACAACAATGTACAAGGGTTCCCCTTTCTCTACATCTTCTCCAGCATTTTTTACTGCCCATCTTTTGGATAAAAGTCATTTTAACTGGAGTGAGATGATATCTCATTGTAGTTTTGATTTTCTTTTCTCTGATGATCAATGATGTTGAGCACCTTGGCATATGCTGGTCGGCCATTTGTGCGTCTTCTTTTGAGAAATGTCTATTCAGATCATTTGGCCATTTTTAATTGAATTGTTAGATTTTTTTTCCATATAGAGTTGTTTGAGCTCCTTATATATTCTAGTTATAAATACCTTGTCAGACAAGTAGCTTGCAAATACTTTCTTCCATTCTGTGGGTTGCCTCGTCACTTTGTTGACTGTTTCCTTTGCTGTGCAGAAGCTTTTTAACTTGATGTGACCTCATTTGTCCATTTTTGCTTTAGTCTCCTGTGCTTGTGGAGTATTACTCAAGAATCCTTTGCACAGATCAATGTCCTGGAGAGTTTCCCCAGTGTTTTCTTGTAGTAGTTTTATAGTTATAGGTCTCAGTTTTAAGAATAATATTTCTTTTAGAGAAGATCGTTTGGTGATAAATTGCATGTGGGTGTCTATTTGTGTACAATACATTTTTATTTTACTTTGAATTTTGAATAGTATTTTGTTAGATATAGAATCCTAGGTGGCATTTTTTTCATTTGGTACTTTTAATAGTCATTTTTTTCTTGATGTGTTAATACTGTATTTTACTTACAATATTCTGATGTACTTAAGTGTGGCTTTATTTTTATTATTTTACATTTATTGTTTTATTTTAGATTCAGGTGATATTTGTTACGCAGGTATATTGCATAATACTGAGGTTTGGACTTCTAGTGAACCCATTACCGAAATAGTAAACATAGTACCCAATAGGTAGTATTTCAACCCTTCCCTACTTAGATGTGGTTTTATTGCATTCATTCTGCTTGGGGTTTCTCATGTTCTTGAATGTGTAGGTTAATACATTTCATCAGATTTGTTAAATACTCTACAATGATTTCTTCAAATATTCTTATGTTCTATATCTCTGCTGTTCTCTCTCTTCCTTCTGAGATCCCAATTACACAGATGTGAATATTGTGAAGTGTCATGCATATGTCTTGCACTCTTTTATTCACTTTTCCTTGGAGCTGTGATTTACCTGTCTTCAAGTTTCTAATTCTATCATCTGTTGTTTCCAGGCAGCTGTGAATTCTTTCATTCAGTGTATAGTTCACATATCTGGCAGTTTTTACAGTTAATTCTGGACATAGTGAACATCTAAGTTATGCGGTCTATCTCTAAAATATGTGAAATTTTGTTCTAGAAAACTGTCAGATCATCAGCGTTTACTTTAATCTTGTCAGAGCTTGATTTTAGGTTTGTTAGACTACGTTTCTTTTAGTCTTTCCTTTACTTTTATGTCTTATCCTTTATTTTTAGGGCAACATCCTTAGAACATAGCTTATTTTAGCTATCTCAATTAAGATAGCTATTCCAGGTATCTTAATTGAGATCCTGGGTCTCTCCACTCTGGCTAAGTATGGCCTTTCAGATATTTGATTAGCTTTTTGGTCTCTCCACAGATGTTATGTCAAAGCCTTCTCAGAATTTTG
The DNA here is from genome assembly GCF_000001405.40 of Homo sapiens. Taxonomy (NCBI): domain Eukaryota; kingdom Metazoa; phylum Chordata; class Mammalia; order Primates; family Hominidae; genus Homo; species Homo sapiens. Next base: position 191,828,001 of record NC_000003.12, on the reverse strand, counting down.
CGTAGCTCACGTGCAGTTTAGTAGTCATCCAAAGATCCAGGGAGAAATCTCAGCAACTATTTTAGAGGTTTTTCCATGTAATCCTCCTCTAAGCTATCTTGCCTCCTAAATCACACTTACCTGGGTAGCCCCACACTGTGATTTATACTTTCTCAACTCATTTAGACCAGTACACTTAGACTCTGTATTTCTGTATTACATTTTTAAAATGCCACCAGGGAGAAAGCCAGGGTAAAATTGGGGATCCCTTTGCTTACCTCCCTTCTCTTAATAATTCCAGTTATACATTTGTTTCTATCCAATGCCTGCAAATCATCATTGCTGCAGGTTAAGCGTGATACCATTTATTCTCTTGTGAAAGTCATCGGGATATTTTATTTATCTTTGACCTCAGTAATCTTCCTGTTATATCTAAATTGCTATAAAATTACTGAGTTATCAACTTCAAATTTTGTATTTTCCTCTTCTAGAACATGCATTGGTTCCTTTTTATGAATTCCAACTCAGTTAATATTTTCTACCACTTCATCTATTTTATTGATCTTTCATCCATCTTTCATAGCACATCAGTCATAATTATTTTAAAATCTTCCTTTTCCTCCTCCTTCTTCTTCTATAGTCTTGAAATATTGTGTAGAATGAGTATTATTTCTTCATTAAATATTTTCCAGTGAAACTATCTTAACTTCGTGTTTTCTTGTATGGAATATTTAAAACTATATGTTCAGTTCCTCTAATAAGAATGGAATAATTCATATTTATTCTTGTGTGAATATTGATAGCTCGTGAATTCCAAGGAATTGATCGATTTTCATATAAGCTTTACAATTTATGAAAATAGGTTGTTTATATTATTTCCATATTTTTCTTTTAATATCTGTGAAAACAGTAGTGATATTTTCTTATTCATTCCTGATATATTTGTGCCTGTTTTTTTTTTTCTCTCAGTCAAACTAGTTAAAGTTTTATCAGTTTTCTTAATCTTTTCAAAGAACTAGCCTTTTGGTTTCATTGATATTACCTATTGTTTTCTCTTTTTTAATTTTATTGATTTTTACTGTAATATTTACAATTTTCTTCCATCTGCTTATGTCAAGTTTAATTTACTTTTATGTTTCTAGTTACTTAAGGTTGAATCTTAGATTACTAATTTTTTTATATTTCTTATTTTCTAATAGAAACATTGAATGTCATAAATATCCGTTTCACTTTAGCTGCCCCACTTTGGCTGCGTTCAACAAATTTTTATGTTTTACATTGCAATTTTAATTTAGTACAAATATGTTTAATTTCTTTAGAATATTTTCTTTGATGAATGGGGTATTTAAAAATGTATTGCTTAATTTCCAAATATTTAGAGATTTCTCAGGTATTTTTCTATATCAATTTGTACTTTAATTCTATTATCATCTAAAAACCTACTTTACATGATTTCTAACCTTTTAAATTTGTTAAGATATATTTATGCAGTCTATCATTGTGAATGTCCTATGCACAGTTGAAAAGAATGCATCTTCTGCTATTGCTGGTGGAGTGTTCAGTATATGTCAAACAGATTTTGTTGGTTGATTATGTTCTTCAGATCATCTAGAACCGTATTGAATTTCTGCCTACTTGTTTTATCAATTATTCAGAGAAGTGTGTCGAAATACTCAACCATAATTGTGGTTTGCCTATTTCCCTTTTCAGATCGATCACTCACTCTTGCATGCACACTGAAGCTTTGTTTTTAGGTAAATATTCATTTGTATTGTTATATTCTCTTAAACAATTGGCCCCTTTATCATTATGTAATGTCTGTACCTTTCCCTGATAATGTTTCTTATTTCACTGTCTACTTTGTCTAAAATTAATATAGCTATTCCAGGTTTCTTTTCATTCGTTTCTGTAGGATATCTTTCTCCATCCTTTTCCTTTCAAACAACCTAAACCACTTATATTTAAAGCATGTTTTTGTAGAGAGTGTCTAGTTAGGTTTGCTTTCCTTGATTTTTTTTTAAACTTTTATTTTAGGTTAGGGACATGTGTGCAGGTTTGTAACATAGGTAAACTCTTGTCACGGGAGTTTGTTATACAGATTATTTCGTCAACCAGATACTAAGCCTAGTACCCATTAGTTATTTTTTCTGATCTTCTCCCTCCTCCCATCTTCCACCCTCCACCCTCAAGAAGGGATGCTGCGTATTGTTCCATACACACTGGAAAAAAATGCATTCTGTTTTATTTGTGAGGTAATGGGATTGCTGGGGCAAATGGCAGTTCTGTTTTTACCTCTATGAGGAATCCCTACACTGGTTTCCACAAAGGTGAAACTAATTTACACTCCCACCAACAGTATATAAGTGTTCCTTTTCTGCTGCAACTTCACCAGCATCTGTTATTTTTTGACTTTTTAATAATAGCCATTCTGACTGCTGTGAGATGGTATCTTATTGTGGTTTTGATTTGCATTTATCTAATGATCAGAAATATTAGTTTTTTTTCTTATACTTGTTGGATCCATGTATGTCTTCTTTTGAAAAGTGTTCATGTCCTTTGTCCACTTTTTAATGTTTTTTTCTTGTGAATTTGTTTCCTTATAGATGCTGGATATTAGACCTTTGTCAGATGCATAATTTGCAAATATTTTCTCCCATTCTGTAGGGTATCTGTTTACTCTGTTGATAGTTTCACTTGCTGTACAGAAGCTCTTTAGTTTAATTAGATCCAATTTGTCGATTTTTGTTTTTGTTGCAATCGCTTTTGGAATATTTGTCATGAAATCTTTGCAAGTTCCTATGTTCAGTATGGTATTGCCCAAGTTGTCTTCCAGAGTTTTTACAGCTTTAGGTTTTACATTTAAGTTTTTAATCCATCTTGAGTTGATTTTTGTATATGGTGTAATGAAGGGATCCAGTTTCAATCTTCTGCATATGGCTAGCCAGTTATCCCACCACCATTTATTGAGTAGGAAGTCCTTTCCCCATTGCCTGTTTTTCTCGACTTTGTCAAAGGTCAGATGGTTGTAGGTGTGTGACCTTGTTGCTGGGCTCTCTATTCTGTTCCATTGGTCTATGTGTATGGTTTTGTACCTTGCTGTTTAAGTGACTGTAGCCCTGTAGTATAGTTGGAAATCAAGTAATGTGATGCCTCCAGCTGTGTTTTTTTTTCTTACAATTTCCTTGGCTATTCAAGGTCATTTTTGGTTCCCTATGACTTTTGAAATAGTTTTTTCTAGTTTTGTAAAGAATGTCATTGGTATAGCATTGAATATATAAATATCCTTGGACAGTATGGCCATTTAATGACATTGATTCTTCCTATCCATAAGCATGAAATGTTTTCCCATTTCTTTGTGTCATCTATGATTTCTTTGAGCAGTGTTTTGTAATTCTTATTGTAGACATCTTTCACCTCCCTGGTTAGCTGTATTCCAAAGAATTTTTTTCTTTTTTGGCAATTATGAATGGGATTGTGTTCCTGATTTGGCTCTCAGGTTGGCTGTTGTTGGTGCATAGGAACATTGGTGACTTTTTGTACATTCATTTTGTATCCTGAAATTTTACTGAAGTTATTAGCTGAAGGAGCTTTGGGGCTGAGACTATAGTGTTGTCAGGATATGGAATCATGTCTTCCACAAACAGGTATAGTTTGACCTCCTGTCTTCCTATTTGGATGCCCTTTATTTCTTTCTCTGGCTTGATTGTTCGGGCCAGGACTCCCAATACTATGTTGAATAGGAGTGGTCATAGAGGGCATCCTTGTCTTGTGCCAGTTTTCAAGGGGAATGCTTCCAGCTTTTGCCCATTTATTATGATGCTGGCTGTGTGTTTGCCATAGACGACTCACTGTTTTGAGGTATGTTCCTTCAATATCTGTTGTATTGAGAGTTTTTAACATGAAGAGGTGTTGAATTTTATAGAAAGCTTTTCATGCATCTATTGAGATCATCATGTGGTTTTGGTCTTTAGTTCTGTTTTTGTGATTAATCCCATTTATTGATTTGCATTTGTTGAAACAACCTTGCATCCTAGGTATAAACCCTATTGATCATGGTGGATTAGCTCTTTGACATGCCACTGGATTTGGTTTGCCAGTATCTTGTTAAGGAATTTTGCACTGATGTTCATCAAGGATATTGGCCTGAAGTTTTCTCTTTTTTATTGTGTCTCTGCCAGCTTTTATTATCAGGATGATGCTGGCTTCATAGAATGAGTTAGGGATGGGTACCTCCTTATTAATTTTTTGGAGTAGTTTCATTAAGAATGGAACTAGCTTTTCTTTGTACATCTTGTAGAATTTACCTGTAAATTCATATGATACTGGGCTTCTTTTGGTTGGTAGGCTGTTTATTACCGATTCAATTTCAGAGCCCATTATTGGTCTGTTCAGAAATTAAATTTTTTCCTGCTTCAGACTTGGGAGGGTATATGTGTGCAAGAATTTATCCATATCTTCTAGGTTTTCTAATTTTGTGTATAGAGGTGTTCATAGTAGTTTCTGATGGTTATTTGTATTTCTGTGGGGTCAGTGGTAATATCTCTTTTGTCATTTCTCATTGTGTTTTTTTGGATCTCCTCTCTTTTCTTCTTTATTAGTCTAGCTAGTGGCCTATATATTTTATTAATTTTTTCGATAAACCAACTTCTGAATTCATTGATCTTTTGAATGATTTTTAATGTCTCAATTTCCCCCAGTTCAACTCTGGTTATTTTTTGTCTTCTGCTATCTTTGAGGTTATCTTCTTGGTTCTATAGTTATTTTAGTTGTGATGTTAGGTAGTTAATTTCAGATCATTCTAACTTTTTGATGTGGGTGTTAGTGCTATAAATTGTCCTGCTAACATTGACTTATCTGTGTCCCTGAGATTCTGGTATGTTGTATCTTTGTTCTCATCAGTTTCAAAGAACTTCTTGATTTCTGCCTTGATGTCTTTATTTACTCAAAAGTCAGTAAACCTACAGGAGTAAACAACCTGTTTAATTTTGCTGTAATTGCATGGATTTGAGTGATTTTTTCAGTCTTGACTTCTATTTTTATTGCAATGTGGTCCAAGAGTGTGGTTTGTATGACTTTGCGTTTGCTAAAGATTATTTTATGTCCAATTATGTGGTCTATTTTAGAGTATATGACATGTGGCTATGAGAAGAATGTATGTTCTGTTGTTTTGGGGTGGTGAGTGTATGTATTTCTGTCTATCAGGTCAGTTTGATCCAGTGCTGAGTTCAGGTCCTGTATATCTGTTAATTTTCTGCCTTGATGATCTGTCTAATACTGTCAGTGTGTTGTTGAAGTCTCCCACTATTATTGTGTGGGAGTCTAAGTCTCATTGAAGGTCTCTAAGAACTTGTTTTATGAATTTGGATGCTCCTGTGTTGAGAGCATACATATTTAGAATAGTTAGGTCTTCAGGTTTAACTGAACCCGTTACCATATGTAATGCCCTTCTTTGTCTTTTTGTATCTTTGTGGGTTTAAAGTCTGTTTTGTCTGAAATTAGGATCGCAATCCCTGCTTTCTACCATTTGCTTCGCAGGTTTTTCTCCATCCCTTTATTTTGAGCCTATGGGTATCATTGCATGTGAAATGGGTCTCTTAAAGGTGGCGTACCATTGAGTCTTCTTTATCCAGCGTGTGTGGGCCTTTCTTCTTTATCCAGCTTGCCACCCTGTGCCTTTTAACTGGGGCATTTAGCTCATCTACATTTGGTTAGTGTTGATATGTGTGGATTTGATCCTGTTATCTTGTTGTTAGTTGGTTACTATGCAGACTTGCTTGCGTGGTTTCTTTATAGCGTCACTGGTCTGTATACTTAAGTATGTTTTTTTAATGGCTGGTAACAGTCTTTCCTTTCCAAGTTTAGTGCTTCTTTCAGGAGCTCTTATGAGACAGGTCTGGTGGAAATGAATTCCTTCAGCATTTGCTTGTGTAAAATGAATCTAATTTCTCCTCCATTTATAAAGCTTAGTTTGGCCAGATATGAAATTTTGGGTTGATAAGAACATTAGGCAAAGATTGTTCCATCAAACCTTTATATGCCTCACACTAAGGAGCCTGGATTATATCTCACAGGAAATGATGATCCATTGAATGCTTTAAGAAAAACCATAATCCAATTTCTATTTTCCAAAGATCCTTTTCTTTAAAAATATTTAATACATGCCCCCACATCTCTTCTGGCTTGTAGGGTTTCCGTTGAGAGGTTCACTGTTAGTCTGATGGGCTTCACTTTGTAGGTGACCAGTCCTTTCTCTCTAGCTGCCTTTAACATTTTTTCTTTCAGCCCACCTATACCTTTAATCAACAAAAAGTTTAGCAGTTTTAGTTTATAACAAGAGTTTTATAGTTTATAGCAAGGATTTTCCTGCTCTAACAATTTTTAAAATTATGCAGATTATTTACAACTAAATGAAATAAGTCCATTTGTATCTGAAAAATAGAAACTTTAAAGCATCTAATTTTTGAAGGTACTAACAGCTTATTGGAGGTAATTCTGTGATTGGAACTCAAATTAAAATGGGATTTTGTATTGATTTTTTCTGCTCCTGTTTGGCTCATGTCTGAAGACAAAAGTAATTTACAAAGGTTAGTGAATTCTTAGATGTGACTCCAACTGTCTCAGTTTCCATTTACCACTAATTGGCATCGAGGTAGGTCACATATTACTTAAACCAGTAAAGTGAATGCCACTTTGTCCTTAAGTTATTTTTCTAGTAATAACAAGAAGAAACAAAACCAACTCAGATTAGAATAACCCTCAGAGCCTCTAACAAATTCTTTTTCTCCTACATTTTCTGTCATTTTATCTCCTATTAAAAGAAAAACTACTAATACTGTGAATTTTAAATTAATATGCTTATATTTTTCAATGTATGGAGAGGATTTATGTAATTCTATTAAATTCCAATAAGAAATAAAGATTGAATCAATGTCTGTAATACATTAAATCTTAATTATGCTTATTTCAATGTGGAAGCTAATTCTCTTAAGAGACCACTCTGTTCTTCTGTATTCAATAAGCAGTGTAGCAGACTCAAATAACACTTATAAACCAGAATATGCAATTCACCATTTAATTATATAAACAGCAGTGAAATTCCACTTATTCAGGAATTATGTGGTCATAATCTGACATCATCAGGATGACTGCAATCTAAGGAGTTACTGAAGGGAATACCTGCCAGAGGTTCATTTGGAGAATCTAAAAACAGGGTTAGTCACAATGACATGAAGTGGTACATTGGTTCACCAAAGAGGAGAATGAGTGAATCATAATTGTATTAACAGATATCTGCTCATATACTTCATCAATCTTTCAATAAATGTTTATAACTACCTTTTATGAATCACACTGTAAGGGCATGAGAATTAAAAAGCGAATAATGTATCAGCCTTTGCCTCATAAAGTAGAGGAAATAAACACAGACACAAATGGGTTAAACAAATAGACCATGGTAAGTGCAAAATAATTATCTGGATACACAAAGGAATACGTGAGATATTGTGTCTGAAGGGTAAAGGATAGTTGAACAAAACAGGTTGTGTAGGCCTTTTGCATATTGGGGGAAAATTAGATGTGTTAAAAAAAAAACAAATACAAGGGGCAGGAACTTAAAACATCATGACATGAGGCATTTGCAAGCAATCCAATCTTACAAGGTAATAGTGTTTGAGGATTCACTGTGACAGAGGAGATAAGAACATTCGGCAAAGATTGTTCCATCAAAACCTTTATATGCCTCACACTAAGGAGCCTGGATTATATCTCACAGGAAATGATGATCCATTGAAGGCTTTAAGAAAAACCATAATCCAATTTCTATTTTCCAAAGATCCTCTGATATCTTGGTGTTCCTTCAAAGCAGAGCCTGAGACAAAGATTTGTGATGAGTTGTTTATTTTCAAGATGGTCCCAGATAGAGTAGAATTCCTGGGATAATGAGGCAGGAAATAAGGAAAAAAGAGTATGAAGATTGAATATTGGGGTCACTATTGTAGGCAATGCTAGCTTGTTTCTATCTAGAACTTTTGAGAAATGTAGAAATGTTTCCCAGAATTATCTGTCTGAATAATAGGAGGTGGGAATGTTATTCGTTGGCTCCTTTTCACAATGGGTCAAGGGTTGCACCTGGGGATTTTAAGTCCCCCATTTCTGAACTATATTTGCACTCCCAAAGTAAGCTCCCAGAGACAGCCCTGGGTCAGAAAATAAAGAAGTTTCATGTACCTTTTGTGGAGCACTGTCAGAACGAACTATTTTCTGAAGGATGTGAATATGGACATGGAAATCATAGAATACATATCTTCTTGGAGTACAGATTATTTAATAGCAAGTATAGTACCTCAGGATAGAAATATGAGGAAAAAATGAATAGGTATGAGAAAGGAGAGCAGCTTTCCTGACTGTTTGTAATATATTAGGAGACAAGGTTGATTCTATTATTAGAAACTTTGGTAAATCTTGGTTCTGGCTGGGTAGTTGGCTTGGATACTGTGCATTGCAAATCCCAACAAATGTTTTTACTGTGCTCAAGTAAAATCTTAAATATTTTTTAATGGGAGGATTCTTAGTACAGTGGCTGTCGTGGCTAGTTGATCACCACAAGATTGCATTAGAAATGTTTTCGTTTAATTTGCATTATAGCCTATGACATAACTCTGTGTGTGCTAAAATATTAGCAGCTTTGGAAGTTCCGTATGTTTGGTGCCTTTGTTACTTGTCATTAGTGTTTTCCAAAGCAACAATGATTTCTGGTGGTTTAATGTTTACATCAGCATTTCTCATCCCTCCATGCAAGGTTTTTATATGACACTTTGATTTATTTCTTATAGCTTATTTCCTTTATTTCACAAACGTCAGTATAGACAATCTTTCTTTTTTTTTTTTTTTTTTTTTTTTTTGAGACAAAGTCTGAGCTCTGTCCCCCAGGCTGGAGTGCAGTGGCACGATCTCGGCTCACTGCAAGCTCCGCCTCCCGGGTTCATGCCATTCTCCTGCCTCAGCCTCCCGAGTAGCTGGGACTACAGGCGCCCGCCACCACGCCTGGCTAATTTTTTTTGTATTTTTAGTAGAGACAGGGTTTCACGTGTTAGCCAGGATTGTCTCAATCTCCTGACCTCGTGATCCTCCCGCCTCAGCCTCCCAAAGTGCTGGGATTACAGGCGTGAGCCACCGCGCCCGGCCAGTATAGACAATCTTTCAAAACCTGCTAGGAAAACCTTCAAACACATAAGAACATATTTGTCTTTTTATGGTGGGTATTTATTTATTTGAGATGAGGTATTGATAAGAATCTTCATTGTGAAGATATTTAAGATAAAACATAGCCAAGGCAATTGGGAAGTCTCAAAAACAAATGTCTCCACAAACACAGTGAACTAGGCCTTTAATATTGTAAATATTGGATATCAGTAATGCTTGATTCCCCTGCCCTGAAAGTAAGTTATCAGAATATTAAAGCTTGTTAAAACAACTAATAGATATTTTAATACTCAGTGTGTTATTGCAGTTCATTCTGACTTCTTATTTCCTTATGATTGTTTTTAAATTTAGAGTTAGTCTTCCGTGTATCTTATCCACAGCATAATTTTATAAAAATAAGATGGAATATTTTGCTGTGTCATAATTAGACCAATTATCTTTAAAGCCCCTTCTTTAGGCAGTGGATCCTGTTTTACTCTCACTGTATCCTGCCGAGGATCAAAAATACTTTTCAGTAATGCCTTTATTATTCTTTGCTGTTAATAACACACCCTGAATTCTTTGTGGCACCTATTGTATTTTCTTCAACAAATATAATTTCTTCTCCTGGTTTGTTACAAAGATGGTAACTCCAGGGCATGAGTTATTGACAATGGTCCTGGCTTGCTGGGTTTAGTTCTTCTCAGTTAATCTCTCCCCCAAGAAATGACTGGTCTTGAGAGAATCCTTCAAACATATCTCGTATAGGGACATGGAGAGAAAATGGAGGTAGTTAGAAATAAGAGAATATTAATTCTCTGTAAATATTAGAAAGATTATCAAATGGAAGAATTTTGTTTACCACTCTCACTGTTGGAAATGAAAAGAAAAAATATTTGGGTTTGGTGTAAAAATAACAAAGATATTCCCAAATTTTGTGACTAAAAATATCACCATGAGTGAATACTGAGGATGTGAAATCATCCCTCAAAATTTATATTTGAGGTGTTAGATGGGCAAAAAAGCATGTTAATAAATATCACAGTTAACAAATATAGGCATATGTTTGGGACAAACATGAATTACACCTTACAGGTAGAATCAATTTAAATTTGAATAAACTACTTGCATTAATGAAACTTCTAAAACATTTCAAATAAAATAATTCAAATTATAAAAACTTACAGTGACAAATAAATAAACACTTTTACCCACCACCCATTTTGTCATATTTGCTTCAGATTATAGATAGATGATAGATAGATAGACGGATATGAATAACATTACGGTTACAGCTGCAGCCTTACCCACAGATAAGTCCATTCAGATATTTGCCTATTTTTAAATCAGATTATTAGATTTTTTTTTCCTATTGAGTTACTTGTATATATATTCTGGTTATTAATCTTTTGTCGTAAGAATAGTTTGCAAATATTTTTATCCCATTCCGTGGACTGTCACATTTTCTTTATCCATTCATCTGTTGATGTGTTTCTCTCTAATTTCAGTTCCTTATGTTCTATCCAAGAAGAAAACACAATCTGAATTTACTTCAGAATGCCCAGGATTTCCAAGGATATTTTTATATTGTCACACAATATGTATGTGGTGTATCTGAAAAATATATAGCTTCATTCACAGTGTTAAAAGATGTATAAATAGATATAAATATATCAATTTTCAGCTTGCTTTTCATCTTCAACATTCATGTTATTGATGTCTATACTGATTCATGTAGCTATAGCCTATTTATTGTAATACCTGTATAACAAAACTACCATTTTTAGAGGTGTAAAAATTTATGTAATATGCTTTTTAATTTTATTTTTTCATTTATTTTATTGTGGCAAGATGCACATAACATAAAATTACCATATTCACCATTTTTAAGTGTACAGTTCACTGGTATTAAGTACATTAATACTGTTGTGCAAATATCACCACCATCCATCTTCAGGACATTTTTCATCATGGAAAACTGAAACTCTATATTCATTAAACAATGACTTCCGATTCTTCCCTCCTCTCAGTCCTTGGCAACCACCATTCTATTTTCTGTCTCTGTAGTTTTATTTTTTAAAGAAAACAAAAAAAAAAAAAAAAAAAAAAAAAAAAACAAAAAACAAAACCCCAAAAAACAAATTGTATTGTCTCACAGTTCTAGAAGCTGGATGCCCAAAATCAAGATGTAATCAGAGTTATTATTTCCCTGAAACCTGTAGGGGAGGAATCTGCTTTTCCCCTTTCTAGCTTCTGGTGGCTTACCCACAGTCATGGGCATTCCTTGGCTTGCAGCTGAAGCACTTTGACCTCTTTTCCATTGTCACATGGCAGATTCCCTGTGTCTGTATCTCTGTGTCTCTTCTCCTTTTATATGGGGCCCACCTTAACTTCACTAGTACCTCATCTCAACTATACCTACAGTGGCCCTAGTTCCAACCAAGATCACACATTTTAAGTATTGGAGGTTTGCTTCCATGAATTTGAGTGCTCTAGATACCACATATAAGTGGAATCATGCAGTATTTGTCTTTTGCTGACCGACTCATTTCAATTAGCATAATGTCCTCAAGATCCATCCATGCTACAGCATATGTCAGAATTTTCTTTCTAAAGCTGAATAATAGTTCACTGTATATATATATATATATATGTATACACACACAGTAAAATGTGGTATATATTTCACTATATAAATATATACAGTAAAATGTGGTTCATATATATATATGTATACCACATTTTGCTAACCCATTGGTGGTGGGTGGACACTTGAGTTGATTTCATGTTTTAGCTATTGTGAATAATGCTGCTATGAATTTTGGTGTCGAAATCTGTCTTTGAGATTCTGCTTTCAATTCATTTGAGTATATACCCAGCAGAGGAACTGCTGAATCATATGGTAATTTTCTTTTAATTTTTTGAGGAACCATACTATACTATTTTTCACAGCGGCTGTACCATTTTACATTGGTACCAATAGTGCATAAGACTTAAAATTTCTCTGCATCCCTGCCAGCACTTGTGATATTTTTATTTTTATAGGTACATAGTAGATGTATATATTAATGGGGTACATGGGATAGTTTGATACAGGCATAAAATGTGTAACAATCACATTAGGGTCAATGGAGTATCCATCACCTCAAGCATTTATTCTTTCATTATGGTACAAACAATTCAAATATACTCTCTTAGATACTTCAATTGTACAATAAATTATTGCTGACTGTAGTTAACCTGTTATGCTAACAAATACTGGATCTCATTCATTCCAACTACATTTTTGTACCCATTAACCATCCCATTTTCCTTCCCATCTCCACTATCCTTTCCACCTCTGGTAACCATCATTTTACTCTGTATTTCCATGAGTTCCATTGGTTTAATTTTTAGCTCTCACAAATAAGTGAGAAAATGCAACATTTGTCTTTCTGTGTCTGGCTTATTTAACTTAATAATTTCCAGTTTCATCCATGTTGTTACAAATGACAGAATCTAATTCATTTTTATGGCTGAATAGTACTCCATTGTGTATAGGTAGCACATTTTCTTTATCCATTCATCTGTTGATGGACACTTAGGCTGCTTCTGAATCTTGACTATTGTGAACAGTGTGGTAATAAATATGGAAGTGCATATATCTCTTCAATATACAGATTTTCTTACTTTGGAGTATATACCTACAAGTGGGATTGCTAGATCATATGGTAGTCCTGTTAGTTTTTTGAGGATCCTTTAAACTGTTCTCCATAGTGTCTGTGCTACTTTACATTCCCACTAACAGTGTACAAGGGTTCCCTTTTCTCCACATCCCAGCCAGCATTCATTATTGCCTGATTTTGGATAAAAGCCATTTGAACTGGGGTGAGATAATATCTCATTGTAGGTTTCATTTGCATTTATATGATGATCAATGATGCTGAGCATGTTTTCATATGCCTGTTTGCCATATGTGAGTGTACTTTTGATAAATGGTCATTCAGATATTTGCCCATTTTTAAATCAGATTATTAGTTTTTTTTTTCCTATTCAGTTGTTTGAGTTCCTTGTATACATATTCTGGTTATTAATCTTTTGTCATAAGAATAGTTTGCAAATATTTTTTCCCATTCCATGGGCTGTCACTTTACTTTGTGGGTTTCCTTTGCTGTGCAGGAACTTTTTAACTTGACGTGACCCCATTTGTCCATTTTTGTTTTGTTGTCTGTACTTATGGGTATTACTGAAGAAGTTTTAACCCAGATCAATGTACTACAGAGTTTCTGTGATGTTTTCTTTTAGTAATTTCATAGTTTGAGGTCTTAGATTTAAGTCTTTACTCCATTTTGATATGATTTTTGTAAATGGCAAGAGATAGGGGTCTAGTTTCAGTCTTTTACATATCGATAGCCAGTTTTGCTAGCACCATTTACTGAACAGACTATTCTTTCCCCAGTGTATATTCTTGGCACTACTGTCAAAAATGAGGTGAATGTAGATGTATGAATTTGTTTATGAGTTCTCCATTCTGTTCCATTGTTCTATGTGTCTGGTTTTATGCCAGTATCATGCTGTTTTGGAGTACAATAGCATGGTAGTTTAATTTGAAGTCAGATATTGTGATTTTTCAAGATTTTTTCTTTTTCTTCAGGATAGCTTTGGCTATCCTGGATCATTTGTGTTTCCATATAAATTTTAAAAACATTTTTTTCTATTTCTGTGAAAAATGTCATTGGTATTTTGATAGCAATTGCATTCAATCTGTAGATTGGTTTTGGTAGTATGGGCATATTAACTATATTGATTCTTCCAATCCATGAACATGGAATATCTCTTTATTTTATGTCTTTTTCCAATTTCTTTCATCTGTGTTCTAGTTTTCATTGTAGAGATTTTTCATTTCTTTGGTTAACTTAATTCCTAGGTATTGCATTCAGCTGTAGCTATTATAAATGAAATTACTTTCTTGATCTCTTTTTCAGATTATTCACTGTTAGCATATAGAACTGCTTTTGATTGTGTAGGCTGATTTTGTATCATGCCACTTTACTAAATCTGTTGATCAGTTTTAATAGCTACTTTGTTGACTCTTTAGGTTTATCCAAATATAAGATCACATCATCTGCTAACAAGGATAACTTGACTTCTTCTTTTCCAATTTGGATTCCCTTTATTTCTTTCTGTCATCTGAATGCTCTAGCTAGGACTCCCAGGAATATGCTGAATAACAGTGGTGAAAGTGGGCATCTTTGAGTTGTTCCAGATCTTAGAGGAAAGGCTTTCAGTATTTCCCTGCTCAGTATCATACTAGCTGTGGGTCTGTTATATGTGGTCTTCATTATGTTGAGATATGCTCCTTCTATTCCCAGTTTTCTGAGGATTTTTGTCATGAAGATGTTGAATTGTATCAAATGCTTGTTCAGCATAAACTGGAGCAATCATATTGTTTTTATCCTTTATTCTTTTGATATGATTTAACACATTTGTTGATTTGTATATTTTGAACCATCCTTGCATGCCTGGGATAAATTCCACTTGGTCATGATGAATCATCTTTTTAATGTGTTGTTAAATTCAGTTTGCTAGTATTTTCTTGAAGATTTTGTCATCAATATTCATCAGAGATATCGGCCTGTAGTTTTCTTTTTGTAATGTGTCTTTGTCTGCTTTGGGGATCAGGGTAATATTGGCCTCACAGAATGATTTTGGAAGTATTTCCCCTTCTATTTTTTGGAATAGTTTGAGTAGGATTGGTATTAGTTCTTTAAATGTTTGGTAGAATTCAGCACTGAAGCCATCAGGTCCTAGGCTTTTCTTACTAGGGAGTGTTGCTATGTCACCCAGGCTGAAGTGCAGTGGCACGATCTTGGCTCATTGCAACCTCCTCCCCCAAGGTTCAAGCAATTCTCCTGCCTCAGCCTCCTGAGTAGCTGGGATTACAGGCACCCACGACCACTCCAGCTAATTTTTTATCTTATATTTGGATAAGATGGGGTTTCACCATGTTGGCCAGGCTGGTCTTGAACTCCTGACCTCATGATCCACCTGACTCGACCTCACAAAGTGCTGGGATTACAGGCATGAGCCAGCATGCCTGGCCACAACTTTTAAATACATCTTCAATCTCATTACTTATTATTGGTCTGTTCATGTTTTGAATTCCTTCATGGTTCAATCTTGGTAGGTGGTATATGTCTAGGAATTCATCCATTTCCTCTAGATTTTCCAATTGGTTGGCATACAGTTGTGCATAGTAACCACTAATGATCCTTTGAATTTCTGCTGCATCAAATTTAATGTCTTTTTTATATCTCTGATTTTACTTAGACCTTCTCTTTTTTTCTTAATCTAAATATTTTACTTATTTGAATCTTCTCTCTTCTTAGTTAATCTGGCTAAAGCTTTATCTTTTCAAAAAAACTTTTTGGTTCACTGATCATTTGTATTGGTTTCTTCATTTCAAATTTATTTATTTCTGCTCTGATCTGAATTATCTCTTGTCATAATTTTGCATTTGGTTTACTCTTGCTTTTCCATTTTTTAAGGTGCATCACTGGGTTATTTATTTAAAGTTATTTATTTGAAGTTTTTCTTTTCTGATGTAGGCACTTAATAATAGCTATAAATTTTCCTCTTAGTAATGCTTTTGCTGTATCACACAGGATTGGGTATGTTGTGTTTCTATTATTTGTTTCAAAAATTTGTCAATTTATTTTTTAAATTTCTTTATTAATCCACTTGCCATTCAGAAGCACACTGTTTAATTACCATGTGTTTCTATGGTTCTCAAAATTCGTGTTATTGATTTATAGTTTTAATCAATTGTGGTCAGAGAAGATGCTTCATATTAAGGTTTTTTTTTAATGTTTTAAGATTTGTTTTGTGGCCTAACATATGGTCTATCCTTGAGACTGACCATGTGTTGAGGAGAAGAAAGTGTATTCTGGAGCAGATGAATAAAATGTTCAGTAAATATCTGTTAGGTCCACTTGTTCTATAGTTCAGACTAAGTCCCATGTTTCCTTGTTGAGTTTTCTGTCTTGAAGATCTGTCCAATGTTGAAAGTAGGGTGTTGAAGTTTCCAGCTGCTATTGCATTGGGGCCTATCTCTCTCTTTAGCTTTAATAATATTTGTGAAATATATCACATTGCTTTAACATTGAGTGCACATATATTTACAATCATTAAATCCACAAGCTGAATTGACATCTTATCATTATATGATAATCTTCTTTGTCCCTTCTGACAGTTTTTGACTTGAAATCTATTTTGTCTGATATAAGAATAGCTACTCCTGCTCTATTTTGGTTTCTATTTTCATGGAATATCTTTTTTCCATCCCTTTGTTTTCAGTCTATGTATTTTTATAGGTGAAGTGTATTTCTTGTAGGCAACAGATCATTGGTTTTTGTTTTTTTAGCCTTTCAGCTACTCTATGCTTTTTGATTGAAGAGTTTCATCCATTTACATCCAATGTTATTATTGATAAGTAAGGACTTACTCCTGCCATGTTATTATATGGTTTTTGGTTGTTTTGTGGTCTTTTTCTTTCTTCCTGTCTTTCTTTTAGTAAAGGTGAGTTTCTCTGGTTCTATGCTTTAATTTCTTGCTTTTTAATTTTTGTGTATTCATTGTATTTTTTTTATTTGAGGTCACCATAAGGCTTGTAAATACAATCTTTTAAATCATTATTTTAAGCAATGAAACTTAACACTGATTACATAAACAAATAAACAAGTAAAAAGAAAATTAATAAAAACCCTACATTTAACTTTATTCCTCTGCTTTTTATCTTTTTGTTCTCTTTATGTCTTATTGCACTACCTATATGTTGAAAAGTTATTTATGATTTTTCATTGGTTCTTCATTTATCCTTTCTATTAAAGAGTAGTTTATACACTACACTTACAATGTCATAATATTCAGTGTTTTTCTATGTCTATTATCAGTGAGTTTTGTACTTTCAGATGATTCATTATTATTCATTGATGTCTTTTTTTTCAGATTGAAGAACTTCCTTTAGCATTTCTGGTAGGGCAGATCTGCTGTTAGTGAAATCCCTCAGCTTTCATTTGTCTAGGAAGGTCTTTATTTCTCCTTCATGCTTGAAGGATATTTTCACAGGATACACTATTCTAGGAAAAGTTTGTTTTTTTTTTTGTTTGTTTTTGTTGTTGTTTTTTCATCAGTACTTTAAGTATATAATGTCACTCTATCCTGGCCTGCAATGTTTCCATGGAAAAGTCTGCTTCCAGACATATTGGTGCTCCATTTTATGTTGTTTCTTTTATCTTGCTGCTTTTAGAATCCTATCTTTATCTTTGGCCTTTGGGAGTTTGATTATTAAACACCTTGAGGTAGTTAAATCTGCTTGGTGTTCTATAACTTTCTTGCACTTGAATGTTGATATCTTTCACTAGGTTTGGGAATTTCTGATATTATCTCTTTGAATAAACTTTCTAACCTTATTTCTCACTCTACCTCCTCTTTAATGCCAATAACACTTAGATTTTCCATTTTGAGGCTATTTTCTAGATCTTGTAAACATGCTTCATTCTTTTTTATTCTTTGTTCTTTTGTCTTCTCTGACTGTGTATTTTCAAATAACCTGTCTTCAAGCTTATTCTTTCTTCTGCTTGATCAATTCTGCTGGTAAGAAACTCTGATGCATTTTTCAGTATGTTAATTGCATTTTCCATCTCCAGAAGTTTTGCTTGACTCTTAGTTTTTTCAATATCTTTGTGAAATATATAAATAGTATTCTGAATTCCTTCCCTGTGTTTTCTTGAATTTCATCATGCTTCCTCAAAACAGCTATTTTGAATTCTATGTTTGAAAGCTTATATATCTCTCTCGAAATTGGTCACTGGTGCCTTATATAGTTCACTTGGTGAGGCCAGGTTTTCCTGGATGTTCTTGATGCTTGTGGATGTTCATCAGTGTGCGGGCACTGAAAAGTTGTGTATTTATTATAATCTTCTCAGTCTTAGCTTGTTTGTACCCATCTTTCTTTGGAAGACTTTCCAAGTATTCCAAGGACTTGGGTATTGCAAGCCATGTTTTTTGTCACTGCTGCCATATCTCCATTTGGGGGCACCCCAAGCCCATCAACACTGTGCCTATGGCAGACTCATAGAGGTATTGCTTTGGTGGTCTTGGTTAAGATGAAGGAGAATTCCCTGGATTACCAGGCAGATACTTCTTTTCCCTTATGTTCTCTCAAACAAACAGAGTCTCTCTGTCTCTCTGAACTGAGCTTCCTGGAGCTGGGGGAGAGGTCACACAAGCCACCCTATGTCCACCACCACTAGAACTGTACTGGGTCAGATCCAAAGCCAGCACAGCACTGGGACTTGCCCAAAGTCCATGGTGATCACTGCCTGGCTATTACCTATGTTTATGCAAGGCCCAAGGGCTCTACAATCAGCAGATAGCAAATCCAGCCAGGCTTGCATTTTCCCTTCAGAGTGACAAGTTCCCCCTGCCTCAGGTGGGTCCAGAGATGCCATCAGGGAGTCAGGACCTGTAATTGGGCACTTTAGGACTCTACCTGGTGCTTTATTTTACTGCAGCTGAGCTGGCAGTCAAGCTGCAAGACAAAGTATTTCCCATTCTTATCTTCCCTTTCTCAAGCAGAGGAGTCTCTCCCTGTGGCTACAGGCCTCAAGCCCTTGATGAGTACAGCCTGACTACCACCAATATTCACTCAAGGCCCAAGAGCTCTTCAGTCAGCTTGTGGTAAATGCTGTCAGGCCTGAGTCTCTCCCTTCATGGCAGAGGCTCCCCTCTGGCCCAAGGCGGGTCTTGAAATGCCGTTCAAGAGCCAAGGCCTAGAATTGGGGATGTAGGAGCCTGCATGCTGTTCTCTTCCACTATGGCCAAGCTAGTACCCAAGCTGCAAGGCACAGTCCCATTTACTCTTCCCTCTCCTTTCCTCAAGCAGAAGGAGACTTTCTCCACAGACACCACAGATGGGAATATACTGGGTCATATCTGAAGCCAGCATAGCTTTTAGTCTCTCCCAAGGCCCACGGCAGGTATTGCCTGGATACTGCTGCTGATTGTTCAGGGTCCATGGACTCTTTAGTAAGCAGGTGATGAATCCTGCTAAGATTGGTTCCTTCTCTTCAAGGCAGTGAGTTCCCTTCTGGCCCAGGGTGTGTCTAGAATTGTCATCTGGGAGCTACAACCTGGAATGGAAGTCACAGAACTCTGCTTTGTTCCCTATTCTATTGTGACTGAGCTGGTATCCTAGTTGCAAGTCAAAGTTCTCTTTAATCTCCCCTCTCCTCTCCTCAAACTTAAGGAAGAAGTCTCTCCTGAAGTCACGAGCTGCATTGTCTGGGGTTCGGGTAGCTGTGAAGCAAGCACTCCCTTGGCCACTCCAGCTGGTGTCTCACTAGGTAATGTGCCGCAGAAGACCACTGACCCAAGCCCAGCATAGCACCAGGACTTGTCCAGGAATTACACTCTTTGTGGCCTAGAATACCTTTCTAGTTTATTTAAGACCCAGAGTACTTTAACGCACAGTGGTGAGCTCTGCTGGAACTGAACTTCTGAGTACTGGGATGAATAAATTGCCTCTGGGTAGGGCTGGTCTAAATGCTTCCCCAATGGGGTGAGCTGTGTTCTGTCCCATGTTGCTATTTACTGTGACAGGCAGCACCAATTTCCAGTGCAAAGTTCCACAATTACTGCAGTATCCTTTCTCAAGTTATCAGATTCTTTCTCAGTGCCATGTGGCTGATGCTGTGGGAGCAGGGAGGAGCTATGTCGGCAATTCAATACAGTCTTTCCTATCCTCTTCAGTGCCTCTTTCTTAATACAATGTTAAACCCAGGTAGTGTGATTGCTTGCCAGATTTTTAGTTCTTATAAAGGTGTCCTTTTCTGTCTGGATATTCAGTTAGGTGTTTCTGCAAGAAGGATGACTGCTGGAGGCTTCTCTTTGGCCATCTTGCTCTGCTTTCCCCTCCTACTTTTTTTGTGATAGTAGCCATATTAATGGATGCCAGGTGGTGTCCCATTGAAGTTTTAATTTGCATTTCCCTAAGGATTAGTACTCTTTGCATGTGCTTAGTAGCCATTTGTATACTTTTTTTGGAAAAATGTTTACTCAAGTCTTTTTTCCCACTTTTGAATCAAGTTTTTGTTGTTGCGGTTGTGTACAGTTTTAGTTCTTTATATATTCTATACTTATCAGATATATGGCTTTCAAATACTTCATTCCATTCTGTGTGCTGCCTTTTTACTCTGTTGATAGTATGTTTTTAAAATTATTTTCATCCCTTAAGTTTTTTGTTTTGGTCATTTTTTTACCCCTGATTTTAATGAATTGTTTTTCTGTACTTTTTTTTTTTTTTTTTTTTTTTGAGACTGAGTCTCACTCTATCACCCAGGCTGGAGTGCAGTGGCACGATCTTGGCTCACTGCAACTTCTGCTCCAGTTCAAGCAATTCTCGTGCCAGAGCCTTCTGAGTAGCTGGGATTACAGGCAGGCGTGCCACCATGCCCAGTTAATTTTTGTAGTTTTAGTGTAGATGGCATTTCACCATGTTGGCCAGGGTGGTCTTGAACTCCTGACCTCAAGTGATCCACTTGCCTCAGCCTCCCAAAGTGCGGGGATTACAAGCATGAGCCACCGTGCCTGGCCTCTCTGTACTTTCTTAAAGTTTGATGTGCTTTCTTAAAGCAATCATTTTGAATTCTTTATCAGGCAGTTTGTATATCCCCCTTTCTTTAGCGTCAGGTACTGAAAGATTATTCTTTTTTTTTGGTGATGTCATGTCTCCTTGATTTTTAAATATATCTTGTTGTCTTTTATTGATTGTTGTGCATTTGAGAGATAAGAACTTATTTTTATCTTTGCAAACTGGCTTCATATGGGAAAGACATTCATGAGTCAGTTCACTCCAAATTTCTGGGGAGGCCATCTGGCATAGTTAATGGTGAGCTTACTGCTGGAGTCCTCAGCCTGACTGGCTTAGTATCTGGGTTAGTGGTAGTTGAGTTTGGTGCCTAGGCACTTGAGGTTGAGACTGAATCCTGAATCCACTGAGGTGGACCGATGGATTGGATCTGTCTGGAACAATCTATAGCCTGGGCCCACAGAAGCTGATCTAGCACTAAGGTTGGTGATATTGTTTAGATTTGTATCCCTACGTAAATCTCATGTCAGATTGTCAACAAAAAGAGTCAAACTCTGTAAAATATTTTAAGAGATTTATTCTGAGCCTAATGTGAGTGACCATGGCCTGTGACACAGCCCTCAGGAGGGCCTGGGAACATGTGCCCAAAGTGATCAGGGTACAGCTTGGTTTTATATATTTTAGGGAGGCATGAGGCTTCAATCAAATACATTTAAGAAATACATTGGCTTGATTCAGAAAGGTGGGACAACTCAAAGTGGGGGCTCCCAGGCTATAGGTAAATTTAAACATTTTCTGGTTGACGGTTGGTTGAGCTTATCTGAAGATCTGGGCTCAATGGAAAGGAATGTTCAGGTTAAGATAAAGGACTGTAGAGACCAAGTTTTATTGTGCAGATGAATTTCTAAGAGAGCAGACTTCAGAGAAAGAGCAGGCTGTAAAATGTTTCTTATTGGACCTAAAAGTGTGCCTGGCTCTTAGCTGATTATCTCCTGTATCTGGGAACAAAGGAGAAAGGGGTTTCTCTGTAGGATGTAGATTTTTCTCACAAGAGACTTTGCAGGGCAATTTCAAGGTATGGCAAGGAAATATATTTTAGGGTTAAATACTTTTTCCTTGTCTCATAATATTATGCCAGAGTTAGATTGAAAAGTAAGTCACTATATATAGGGTCAAATAAAATCCATCTGATGAGAATTTATGGTTTGTAGGGCATGACTCTCTAGACCCCTTAGGTAGGAGTTTGGGCAAGATAAAAAATCAGAGCTTAGTCCTCAGATTGTCATTGCCAGTGTTGGAGGATGGCCTGGTGGGAGGTGATTGGATTATCGGGGTGGATTTCCCCCTTGCTGTTATTGTAATAGTGAGTTCTCACGAGCTCTCATTGTTTAAAAGTGTGTAGCACCTCCTCCTTTATTCTTTCTCCTTCTCCTGCCATGTAAGACATGCTTGCTTCCCCTTTGCCTTCTACCATAATTATAAGTTTCCTGAGGCCTCCCTAGCCATGCTTCCTGTACAGCCTGTGGAACCAGGAGTCAATTAAACCTCTTTTTTTAAAAAAATAAATTATTTGGTCTCAGGTAGTTGTTTATATCAATTTAAGACCAGACTAATACAGTGGGCCTGAAACCTGAAACCTGTGTCTGTTGTGGTGGGTCCTGGGTCCGCAAGAGTTGATCCAGAGGCTTATTCTGTGAGTTGGTCTTGGAGCAACATTCCACAGGTCTGACCTATGCCAGGGTCTACTGTGTGGCCCTGGAACCTAGTTCTTCTGCAGCATTTCTGAAACCTGGGTCCTTTAGAGCTTGACACCAGCCTAGTGGTGGTGCTAGCATGGAGTTTGGGTCCCCAGGGACTTGTCTGGAGCATAAAATCATGGCTGCTGGCCTGGTAACTGGAGCTAGTAGATCTGCCCTTGAGCTTGAGGCTGTGGAAACTGGCCTGTAGCCTGTGATCACTGGTGCAATCCTGGATGCTGAGTGTGCAGTTGCTGGCCTAGGGGATAGATCTATGAGGGTTGGCCTGAATAGGGCCAATCTTGAAGTCTGGGTTTGTGGGGACTGGTATAGTACTGGGGCTACTGGAACAGGCTTGGACTTGGGTCTGCTGGAGTGGGATGCAATAGGGGCTGGCCTAGAAGTTGGGGCCACAGAGACTGGCTGCACACTAGGCAGGCCTGGAGTATCTGTCTACAGGTGCCCACCTGGTGTTTGAGACTAGAAATTCTGACCTACAGCTGGTATAGACCTGAAACCTGGGGCTGCAGGGGCTCGATTGTCTCTGGGTTATCCTAAATGTTGTGTCTTCAAGATCTATAAGTTCCAGCTTGATGGCTAGGGCTGTATGAGTTGCACCAGTGCTAAGGAAGTTCTGAAGACTAGGGCCACTGGGGCTGGCCTGGTGCTGAAGTGGGCCTGGAACCTGATTCTTGAGGCTGGCATGGTGCTGTGGTGGTTCTGGCATTTATGGAAACTGGGGCCTGTCTAACACTGGGGTTGGTCTAGGGTCTGAGGGCACTGGTGTCAGCCTGATTTGGGGTCACGTCCAGAGACTAAGTTCAACAGGCATTCCTGGAATTTAAACCTGTTGCTCTGGGCTTCATCCTGGTTCTAGGGATTGTCCACAGCCTGGGGCTGCTCTGGTCTCTTGGATGGTGGGGGCTGTTCTGAGAAAGGGGCCAATGAAGTCAAGCTGGCAGTGGGATGGCCCAGAGAACGAGTCACCAACATAGGCTGAATAATTCAGTTTGTTACTGGGGCAGGCCTGGAGGCTCAGTCTGGAGTCTGGGGCTATGGGTTTTGCTTAGCCCTGGTTTTTACTGTGATCTGCCCTGTTATTCGTCCATGGCAAAATTCAGTGTTTACTTCCCTCTTCTTTCCCCATACAGAGGGTACCTCTCTTTCTGCTATGCTGCCCAGGATTGGGGTAAGGATGATGTAGATAATGTAAAACTATCCTTCCTATACGCTCCATGCCTCTGTTCTTGCTCCTGTGTTACACTCAGGTGCTGTAACCTCTCCTTGGATCTTGTTAGTGTATTTTTGTCCATTTGATTTTCTTTCATTGCCTGTCTCTTTGGTGTTATATTCAACAAATCATTGCCAAATACAATGTTGTAAAACTTTTGGCCTATGCTGTTTTTAAAGAGTTTTATCAGGTCTTACAATTAGGGAATTTTTCTGGTTTAATTTTTACATATGGTGTCAGGTAATGTCACAGCTTCATTCTCTATATGTAGATATCTAATTTTTCCAGCACCCTTTGTTGAAAAGACTGTTCTTTTCTCAATTGAATGATCCAGACATCCTTGCCAAAAATCATTTGACCATACATTCAGGGGTTTATTTCTGGACTCTGTATTATATATGATTGGCCTATATGCCTGTTGTTATGTCCATACCACAGTTTTGATTACTGTAGCTTTGTAGTATATTTTGAAATCAGCAAGTAAGTTCTCCCAGTTTAATCTTCTTTTACAGAATTGTTTTGGCTATTGGGGGTTGCTTCAGATCTCATGTGAATTTTAGAATGAATGTTTCTCTTTCTGCAAAAATAAACAAACAAAATCACTGGGATTTTGATAGAAATTATAGTAAATGTATAGATTTTTATTAACCTCTCAACAATATTAAGTATTGCAATTCATGAACATTGGGTGTTTTTCCATTTATCTGTATCTTTAATTTCTTTCAGAAATTAGTAAGTCTTCTACTTTCTTGATTAAATTAATTCCAAAATATTTTATTTTTTTGGATGCTGCTGTAAATGGAATTATTTTCTTAATTTACTTTTTGAATTATTCATTCATTGTTAATGTATAAATATGTATGTAATTTCTTTGTAATAACTGTATATCCTGTTACATTGTTGAATTCATCTATTAGTTCTAACAGTGTTTTTGGTAGGACTACTAAGGTTATTTACATATAACACTATACGATCTGTGAACAGAGATAACTTTATTTATTCATTCCCAATTTGAAGACATTTTATTTCTTTTTCTTATAGAATTGCTCTGGCCAGGACTTTGATTACTAGGAATAGAAGTAGTAAAAGCAGTAATCCTTGCCTTGTTCTTGATCTTAGAGTATCTTTAGTATTTTGCCCTTGAGTATGATGTTTATTGTGGGCATTTCATACATGGTTTTCATTATGTCAAGGTAATTTTCTTCTATTCCCAGTGTTAGGCGTTTTTATCATGAAAACATGTTAAATTCTATCATACGGGTTTTTTTCTTCATCAATTGAAGAGACCATATGGTTGTTCTTTATTCTGTTAATGTGGTGTATTACATTGCTTGACTGTCACATGCTGAACCATCCTTGCATTCCAGGAATAAATTTGAATTGGTCATGGTTGATAATCCTTTTTATATTCTGCTGAATTTGGTTTGCTAGTATTTTTTTTGAGGATTTTTGCATCTATATTCATCAGGAATATTGGCCTGTAGTTTTATTGTTGTTTTTGTTGGCACTTTATGGTGTCCCGTATGTCAGAAAGGCTATGCTCATTTTTTAAATTCTTTTTTCCTTATTTTTGTCTAACTAGGTTATTTAAAAAAACCTATCTTCACATTCTGCAATTATTTCTTCTGCTTGATGCAGTCTATTATTGAAGCTTTTGAATGCATTTTGTGCTTCATTCAATTAATTCCTCTGTTCCAGAATTGTTTGATTCTTTTTAATGATATTTACCTTCTTGTTACATTTCTCATTCATACCAGACATTTAAAAAATTATTTGCATTGTTTTCAGAATTCTGTTATATCACACTGAGCTTCCTTTGAATCAATAACTTGAATTCTTTTGGGGAGGATTTCATGAATTCTTTTTTTTTATTGGGATCCATTGCTGGAGAATTGTTGTCTTCCTTTTTTGTCATATTCCTTTGCTTTTTCATGTTTCCTGTGCCCTTGCATTCTATGTACACATTTGGTTTAACAGTCACTTCAAAGTTTTTGAATTTGCTTTCACAGGAGAGGACTTTTCCCTGAAGATTTCTCTATAGAATTGATAGAATAGGAAATTTTGGCTCTGATTCTGGGTGTGTGCAGTAGTGTAGCCTCTGCATGATTTCTTTGGCTGTAAACAGTATCAGTAGTGTCTGTGCTTTCCTTAGTGGCTTAGCCTGTAGTTATTAGTGGAACCGGTGGTGAAGTTTTTCTAGGGACTAGGATGCCATGTAAGTCAGTTTTCAGGCCTCAGTGGTGGCAATAGTGGGCTAAGTGTGCCTGTCCTTGGGCCCCAGGTTGCATATGCTGGCACTAGTGTGAGTCCAGGCAGGCTGACCCTTGGGCCTCCAGATGGCTTACTCAGATACCAGTAGTAGGTTCTTGGCGTGGGGAATAGGTTCTTGGGACTCTGGGCACTGGCATGGCAGGAGTGATGACAGTAGCAGTAGCAGGATGACATCATGGATCCTGAGTTGTGTGCACTGATATTGGCAGTGGCTGTGACAGGCTGGGCAGGTCACTCTCTAAGTCCACAGGTAGTGCATGCAGGTAGGTGCCAGCTGTGGCAGTAGAAGTTGGGTGGGTAGGCCTAACTTCATGCCCCTGGAATGAGTGTGCAGGTGCCAATATTGGTTGACTGGGATGGGCAGTCCCCTGGCCCCTAGTCTGTGTATGCTGGCATGGGGTAGGGGTGAACCCAGGCTAGGATGGCTTGTCCTCAAGTCCCCCAATGGTGAATTCAGGAACCAGCCATGGAAGGCAAGTGAATGGTGATCCCTAGCCACTAGAGGAATGATAGGGTTGGGAAATGGAGTGGCCATGCTGCTTTCTTGCCACTACGGAAGGTAATGTCACCTTTAGTGGTGGGCAATCTAAGCTACTGGGTGGGGAATGTTTATGTCACTCATTCCTGAGCCCGGGTGGCACTTGCCCTTGAGTCCATACTGCAGTAGCTGGCACCTTAGCTTTGATGACAGTAACTCACACTTTGGTTGTGCTTTACCCCTAGTGTGGTAGCCTGTGGTTGCTCACAATTAAGCTCTGGAGAAACTGAGCTTCTCTTGTAAGACTGTGTTTAATTCCAATTTTATTGAATATTCCAGTTTTCCTTCTGTTATTATTTTCTAAATTCATCCTGTTGTAGTCAAAGAAGATATTCTGAATGACAGCTATCTTTTAAAATCCACTGAGACACAATTGGTGGCCTAATATAGAGTCTATCTGGAAAATTTGCCTTGTGTCTAATGTGCACTCAAAAAAATGTGCATTCTCTTGCTTGATAGAGTGTTTTTTGTAACGTCTCTTGGTTCTAGTTGGTTTATTGTGTTGTTCAAGTATTCTACTTCTCTTCTTACCTTTTATCTGATTGTTCTGTTCATTATTGAGAGTGAGATATTGAAGTCTCAAACCTTATGGTAGAACTATCTCTTCCTTCAATTTTTTCTAATTTTGTTTCCTATATTTAAATGATCTGATATTAGGTGTGTAAATGTAAATTCTTACATCTCATTGTATTGAAACTTTTGTGAATATAAAGTATCTTTCTTTGTTTTTCCTTTTTTGATATAAAATTTATTTTTCTGATGTCAAATAGAGTCTTCTGTCTTTTGGTTACTATTTGTAAGGAATATACTTCTCCACACTTTTACTTTCAACCTCTGTTTCCTTGGATCTAAAGTAAGTTTCTTGTAGACAGCATATAGTTGGATTAACATTTTTTTATTTATTCTGCTAATCTCAGTCTCTTTATCAGAGAACTTTATCCATTTATAAAGTGATTACTGATAAAAAAAAGACTTCTGTTATTTTGATATTAGCTTTCTATATGTTTTACAATAATTTTGTTCCTTATTTCTTGCATTACTGTCTTCTTTTATGATTAGTTCATTTTTAAAAAACTAGTGAAATATTTACATTTTCTTCCTATTTCTTTTGGTGTTTATTTTTTTTCTTTGTGACTAACAAAGTAATTCCATTTAATATTCTAAAACAACACTCTAATTTAAATTTATAATGCATGAACTTTACTAACACAGCAAACCAGTGCTCCTTTAAAACTGCCTGTATCCCTTTCTTTCCATTAATTTCCTTTTTTTGATATGTGGAACTCAGAATTTTATTGTAAAGTGCTGTATTTATTTTTTTCTTAATTTCAACTTTTATTTCAGATAGCAGAGTACATGTGCAGGTTTGCTACATGGGAATATTAAGTGATGCTAAGGTTTGGGGTGCAAATCCTGTCACCCAAGTCATGAGCATAGTACCCAATAGGTAATTTTAAAATCCACACTCCCCTTTTCCCTTCTCCCTGCTGGTAAATCTTCATGTCTATTTTTTCCCCATATTTATGTCCATGTGTACTCACTGTTTAGCTCCCACTTATAGGTAAGAACACGTGGTATTTTATTTTCTGTTTATGCATTAATTCACTTAGGATCATGTCATCCAACTATATGCATGTTGCTGCAAAGGACGTGATTTCATTCTTTTTATGGATGCATAGCATTTCATGGTGTATATATACCACATTTTCATTAGCCAGTCTACCAGTAATGGGCACGTTGGTTGATTTCATGTAATTGCTATTGTGAATAGCACAGTGATGAACATATAAGTGCATGCATTTTTTTGGTAGAATGATTATTTTCCTTTGGGTATATACCCAGTAATAGGATTGCTGGGTTGAATTATAGTTCTATCACATTCTTTGGGAAATCTCTTGACTGCTTTCCACAGTGATTGAACTAGTTTACATTCCCACCAACAGTGTATAAATTCTCCCTTTTCTCCACAGCCTTGCCAGCGCCTTATGATTTCTGACTTTTGAAGAATAGCTACTCTGACTAAGGTGAGATGGCATCTCATTGTAGTTTTCATTGGCATTTCTCTGATGATTAGTGATGCTGGGCATTTTTTATATATTCATTGGCCACTTGTATGGCTTCTTTTGAGAAGTGTCTATTCATGTCCTTTGCCCATTTTTAATGGGGTTATTTTATTTTTCTTGAATTGTTTAAGTTTCCTAGAGATTCTGGATATTAGGACTGTACTGGATGCATAGCTTGTGAATAGATTCTCCCATTGTGTACATTGTCTGTTTAGTTTATTGATAGTTTCTCTTGATGTGCAGAAGCTCTTAAATTTAATTAGGTTCCACTTGTCAATTTTTGTTTTTGTTGCAATTGCTTTTGGAGACCTAGCCAAAAATTATTTGCTAAGTCCAATGTCAAAAAGGATATTTCTTAGATCATCTTCTAGGATTTTTAAAGTTTGAGGTCTTACATTTAAATCTTTAATCCATCTTGAGTTAATTTTTGCATATGGTAGAGGTTCAGCTTCAGTCTTCAGTATATGGTTAACCAGTTATCTTAGCACCATTTGTTGAATTTGGAGCCCTTTTCCCATTGCTTGTTTTTGTCAGCATTGTTGAAGTTTAGACGGCTTTAAGTATAAGGCTTCATTTCTTAGTTTTCCCTTCAGTTCCTTTGTTTGATTGTTCGGTTTTGCACCAGTATCATGGTGTTTTGGTTGCTATAGCCTTATTGTATAGCTTAAAGTTGGTTAATGTGATACCTCTGGCTTTGCTCTTTTTGCTTAGAATTGCTTTGGCTATTCAAGCTCCGTTTTCCTTCCATATGAATTTTAGAATAGTTTTTCTCTAATTCTGTAAAAAATGACATCAGTAGTTTGATAGAAATATCATTGAATCCATAAATTACTTTAGGCAGTATGGCCATTTTAATAATATTGTTTGTTTCAATCCATGAGCATGGACTGTTTTTCCATTATTTGTTTTTATCTCTGATTTCTTTCAGAAATCTTTTGTAGGCCTTCTTGTAGAGATATTTCACCTCCTTTGTTAGCTGTATTCCAAAGTATTTTGTTTTCTTTGTGGCTATTGTAAGTGGGATCGTGCTGCTGATTTCACTCTCAGCTTGGATATTGTTGGTGTATGGAAATGCTACTGATTTTTGTACATTGATCCTGAAACTTTATGAAAGTCATTTACCAATTGTAGGAGCCTTTTGCCAAAGTCTTTATGGTTTTCTAAGTGCAAAATCATATTGTCAGTGACCAGAGATACTTTGACATCTTCTTTTCCTATCTGGAGGTCTTTTATGTCTTTCTCTTGCCTGATTTCTCTGGCTAGGACTTCTAGTATTATGCTGAATAGGAGTAGTGAGAGTAGGCTTCCTTGTCTTATTCCAGTTCTCAGGGGGAATTATTCAACCTTGTGCCAATTCAGTATGATGTTGGCTGTGGGTTTATGATAGATGGCTATTGTTATTTTGAGATATGTCCCTATGATGCCTAGTCTGTTGAGGTTTTTATCATGAAGGGATTTTAGATTTTATCAGAAACTTTTTCTGTATCTATTGAGATGATTATACGTTTTTTGCTTTTAATTCTGATTATGTAGTGCATCACATTTATTGATTTGCATATCAAGAAATGCAAATGAACTAGCCTAGCATCCCAGGGATAAAGCCTAGTGAACATGATGTATTAGCTTTTTGATGTGTTACTGGATTCGGTTTGCTAATATTTTGTTGAGGACTTTTGCATCTACGTTCACCACGTATATTGACCTGGTTTTCTTTGATCATTATGTCTCCGCCAGGTTTTGGTATCAGGCTGTTGCTTGCTTCATAGAATGAATTAGGCTGGAACCCTTCATCCTTGATTTTTTGGAATAGTTTCAAGTTTCAGTATAACTTATATCAGTTCATCTTTATATGTTATATGGCTCGTAGAATTCAGCTGTGCATCCATCTGGTCCATGACTTTTTTTGGTTGGTATGTTTTTTATTACTGATTCAATTTCAGAAGTTTACATTGGTCTATTCAGGGTTTCAGCCTCTTCCAGATTCAATCTTGTGAGATGGTGTGGTTCCAGGAATTTACTCATCTCCTCTAGGTTATCTAATTTTTGTGCATAAATTGTTCGTAGTACTCTGAGAAACATTTGTATTTTTGTGGGATCAGTTGCAATATCATCTTTGTTGTTTCTGATTATACTTATTTGAATCTTCTCTTTCTTTTTCTTTGTTAATGTAGCTAATGGTCTATCAATCTATTTTTTAAGAAACCAACTTTTGATTTCATTGATCTTTTGTATGGATTTTAGCATATCAATTTCATTAAGCTCTTCTCTAATTTTAGTTATTTCTTTTCTTCTGGTAGCTTTGAGGTGGGTTTATATTTCTTTTGTCCAATTCCTTTGGTTATAGGGTTAGTGGACAATTTGAGATCTTTCTAACTTTTTGATAAGGCCATTTAGGGCTATAAACTTTTAACACTGCTTCACCTGCATCCCAGAGATTTTGGTAAGTTGTGTTTTTATTTTTATTAACTTAAAAGAATGTTTTGATATCTGCCTCAATTTTGATGCTTGCCCATAAGTTATTCAGGAGCTATTTGTTTAATTTTCATGTGTTGTGTAGTTTTGAAAGATTTTCTTTATACTGATTTCTATTTTTATTGCACTGTGGGCCAAGAGTGTGCTGGTATGATCTCAATTTTTTTGAATTTATTGAGACTTGCTTTATGACTGAGCATGTGAGTTCATCTTAAAATATATTCTGTGTGCATGTGAGAGGAATGTGTATTCTATGTTTGTTGAGTGGAGTGTTTTGTAGATGTCCATTAGATCCAACTGGCCAAGTGTAGCATTTAAGTTCAGAGTTTCTTTGTTAGTGTTCTGCCCCTATAATCTTTGTAATGCTGTAAATGCAGTATTGAAGACTCCCATTATTATTCTGTAGTTGTCTAAGTCCTTTGTAGGCCAAGAAGAACTTGTTTTATGAGTCCATATGCTCCAATGCTGAGTGTGTGTATATTTAGGATATTTAAGGCTTCTTGGTGGATTATACTCTTTATCATTATGTAATGACCTTCATTGTCCTCCGTTTTTTTTTTTTTTTTCAAATCGAGTCTCACTCTGGTGCCTAGGCTGGAGTGCAGTGGCAGGATAACTCCAGCCTCAACCTCCCAGGCTCAAGCAATCTTTTCAGCTCAGCCTCCTGAGTAGCTGGGACCACAGGCACATGGACCATGTCTGGTTTTTTTTTTTTTTTAGATGAGGTCTCACTATGTTGTCCAGGCTGGTCTTGAACTCCTGGGCTCAAGCAGTCTTCCAACATCAGCCTTCCAATGTGTTGAGATTACATGTGTGAGCCACCATGCCTGGTCTTTCTTAATTTTTATTTGTTTTAAATCTGTTTTATCTCATGTAAGAATAGTGACCCCTGCTCTTTTTTTGTTTTGTTTTCTGTTTGCATGGTAAATCTTTTCCATTCTTTTGTTTTGGTCTGTGGGTGTCATTACACGTGAGTTAGGTCTCTTGAAGACAGCAGGTTGATGGGTCTTTTCTTTTTATCCAGTTTGCCACTCTGTATCTTTTAAGTGAGGCATTTAGCTCATCTACTTTCAAGGTTAGTATTGATATATGGAATTTTGGTCCTGTCATAATGTTGTTAGCTGGTTGTTATGTAGACTTGATTGTGTAGTTGCATGATAGTGCCTATTTGAAATGTATTCTCTCTGCATTTGCTTTTCTGAGTAAGACTTTATTTCTCCTTCACTTTTTCTTTTGCATTGACCTTGGTGAATCTGATGACTGTGTGCCTTGGGGATGCTCATCTTATATAGTATCTGTCTGGGTTTCTCCATACTTACTGGATTTGCATGTCAACCTCTCTAGGGAGATTAGGAAAATTTTTGTGGACTATATTCAGTTTACATCTTACTCTAATCACTTGCACAGAGGTAGCCTACAACAATTGAAAAAAAAAAAAAAACGCTCTGGAATAAGAGGAGAATCTGACTTCCAGAATTGCCACACTAATAGTTTCAGATGACTAGTTTGCAATAAAAATGTCACAGGGCATATTGCAAAATAGTAAACAATGGCCAATTCAATGGGAAAAAAATCCAGAAAATGTCCCCACAAAACACCTGGCAGCAGATCTACTAGACAAAGATTTAAAACAACTTTCTTAAAGATGCTCAAATACTAAAGGAAAATATGGAGAAATTAAAAAAAAACTGTAAACAAAATGGAAATTTAAATAAGAGAATAAAAATCCTGGAAAGAAACCAAAAGGAATTATGCAACTGAAGTACGCATAAAACAAAATTTATAAATTCACTAAATTTGAATCTGATGACTTAATTTTTTATCAGTTTATTTTATCTCACTAATATTTAATGGAACCACCTTTATGTAAAAATGTCATGTATATATATATATATATATGTGTGTGTGTGTGTGCCTTTACTTCAGTTTTTCTGTTCTATACCATTGCACTGTTTATCTCTGTAATATTACAACATGGTCTCAAGTATGATAGCCTGTCAATTACTTTAGATATTGAGTAGAGAAAGTACTCCCTACCTTTTCTTCTTCAAAATTGTCTTAGCTATTTTAAAATTTTTTCCACAATCAGCTTATTAAGTTTTACAAAAATCTTGCCATAATTCGTATTGAAATTTGATTGCATGTCTAGATTCATTTAGGGAAAATGGCTCCTTTAGGAAATGGAATCTTCAAATGCAAAATATGTGATCTTTATTGTTTATCTCTTTAATACTCTGACTTTTTATGTCATTTAATAATGTTTTGTAATATTCTCCAAATCTGATTGCAGCTCTTTAGAAATATTTTCTAAGATATTTATAAATTTAATTGCTATTTTTAATGGCATATATATTCTATTTCTAAATAATTATTACTAGTATATATATATAAACGTTATTAGTTTTGGTACATTGATTATTATTCTAGAAACTCTCTTAACTTTCCTTTTAGTTCTAATAACTAGTAGATAATTGATAAGGTTCAATATGAAAATTGTATCATAACCAGTTTTGCCTTTCTTGCCTAACTTTATACCTTTTAATTCTTTTTTTCTATTTTACTATTATGGTTAGAATCTCCTGTGCAATGCTGAATGGAATTAGTAACAGCAGTTTATTACCTAGTTTCTAATTTGAAAAGAGTTTTTGCCATAGATTTTAATATCTATATTAATTGTGAGGTCTGACTTCCATTTTTAGAATTTTTATTACACAGAAGTATTAAGTTTAATGGACTGCTTTCCTATGTACACTGATATGATCACAAACTGTTTTCCTATTTTCTGATATTGAATTTTTCTTACATACCTAGAATAAAAGCATATTGGTTATATTTGTACACAAAGATAAAATTGTTTGCTAAGTAATGTTGAATCTTTTATAATTACTATCATAAGGGACATTTATCTATAATTTTATTTCCTTGCATAGTCTTAGTTAAGTTATGCCATCTGACTCATACCAGCTGAATATTGTTTTACACATTTAACTTATATTAAGAAAGGGCCTTCCTTGGCTTGTCTTCCTAATGAATTGGAGCTGATGTTATGTGAATTCATAATTTAATCAAATTTTCAAAATTACTATCATATAATTTTTCATGGTGTTTTTTATTTAAGTGGGAACAAACACTTCTCTTTCTGTTGCTTAGCCTATTTTTTAATTGGTAATATGTTTTCTTATCTGTGCATTTTTTTCTTTACTTATTATATCCTCTTAAATATTTGCCTGTTTCTGCTCTTTTTAAATAAATAGGTACTGAATATATCAATTCTTCTGTGGCTTCGTCATTTTCTCTTACTTGTGCTTTTATTTCTGGTTTTAATGTTTATTGTGAAAATACTGTTGTAACATTTTTAGTTGATTATTAAACTTATTTACATAAAAGTAAGTATCCTCTTTTCTTAGCAATTATAGTAAATACTACAAATTATGCTCTAGATATATATATTTAGCTGATTTCTCCAATACTGATATGCAATGCTTTTATTGGCATTTTTACTGGAAAGACCAACCTCTACCAAGGCTGGAAATTATATGATATTACATTAAAAAAATATTCTTTGCCTTGTTTTGGATTGCCAAAGGCCCTATCTTGTTATTATAGCTTCAGGATGTGACATATCCTACAAAGAGAACTGTAAAGAAAAAAACCTACATTTCACACCTACATTATACAATTTGGGTTGTAAACAATCTCAAGAGTAACCACTAAATTTACTTTTTTTAAATGACAAATTTAATAAATCATATTTGTCTTTTGACCTGATTAATTGCATATTTATGTATTACAGCAAAGAGTAATAATAATTATAATGCAATATTATCATAGTGTCTACTATTTCCCAGATACCCTTCTAGACACCATATATGTGCATATGTTTGTGTGTGGGTGTGGTTATAAGAGATTATGTGTGTGTGTGTGTGCCTGTCCGTGTTTGTATCCCTCACTAGAATTCTGTGGAGTAGATGCAACTATTTTCCCCATTTTAATCATAGGGAATCTGAAACACAGAGATGTTACAGTACTTTCACCAAGGTCACACTGTTTGTAAGAGGAGATAAAAACCAAACACGGGAAGTCTTGCTCTTAGTCACTACACTGTATTATTTCCATGTATAGACTGTGGCACAGCAAGGCTGTTGGAAAGGAGCTTATTCATTTATTAATGAGTCATCCTGTATAGCTTCAACAAATTTTAAAAATTGACCTGATGGTTTTTGTTTTTCTTACCTGAGAATCTCATCACTTTTGCATCCTTTCCTTTGCCCCCAACTCTGATTTTATTATCTGTGGCAGACATTATTAGTTACCTACTAATTACCCATTATTTCTTTTTATTTGCAAAAGAGAATACTAACTTTGATGGGGAAGCAATCTCAATTAGGAACTATATTTCTCAAGTCTTTTTGTAGGTCAGTCACTCTTTTGGCCAATCAGTTATGAGTAGATGTTGCTGACGGAAGCCTTCCTCATGGAAGTAATCAGTTTCCCTCTTATTCCTGACTGGAACCATAACATAATGCTGGAGTTAGAAGAGCCATCCAATAGCCATGAAACAACAAGCCCATGAACAAGGTGACAGAGAAGAATGAGAGAAGCAGTGCGGGATGCTGTTGTGATTGTGGACTCATCACATGACCCTTGGGGAGTCTATTTCTGGATTTTGATTACTTAGAAATATAAACAAGCCTAATTTCTTTACACAATAGGGTTTACATTTCTGCAGTTTGTAATTGATATGGTTTATCTGTGTCCCTACCGAAATCTCATCTTGAATTGTAGGTCCCATAATCCCCATGTGGTGTGAAAGGACCTGGTGGGAGGTAACTGAATCATGGTGGTAGGTTTTT
The DNA here is from genome assembly GCF_000001405.40 of Homo sapiens. Taxonomy (NCBI): domain Eukaryota; kingdom Metazoa; phylum Chordata; class Mammalia; order Primates; family Hominidae; genus Homo; species Homo sapiens. The sequence goes on along the minus strand of NC_000003.12, from coordinate 191,792,049 downwards.
CCCATGCTGTACTCTTGATAATGAATAAGTCTCATGAGATCTGATGGTTTTAAAAAGGGCAGTTTCCTTGCACACATTGTCTTGTCTGCCACCATGTTAGGCATGCCTTTGCTCCTCTGCCTTCTGCCATGATTGTGAGGCCTCCCTAGCCATGTGGAACTGTGAGTCAATTAAACATTTTCCTTTATAAATCACCCTGTCTCTGGTATGTTTTTATTAGCAGTGTGAGAACAGATTAATATAGTAAATTGTACTGGTAGAATTGGGTGCTGCTGTAAAAATACCCCAAAATGTGGAAGCGACTTTGAACTGGGCAATAGACAGTGGTTAGAATAGTCTGGAGGGCTCAGAAAAAGACAGAAAAATGTGAGAAGGTTTGGATCTTCATGGAGACTTGGGGGGCTCAGAAGACAGGTAGCTGTGGGAAAGTTTTGAACTTCCTGGAGACTTGTTGAATGGCTTTAACCAAAGTGCTGATAGTGATATGAACAATGAAGTCCAGGCTAAGGTGGTCTCAGATGAAGATAAAGAACTTGTTGGAAACTGGAGTAAAGGTCACCCTTGCCATGCAAAGAGACTGGCAGCTTTTTGCCCCTACCCTAGAGGTCTGTGGAACTTTGAACTTAAAAGAGATAATTTAGGGTATCTGGCAGAAGAAATTTCTAAGCAGCAAAGTGTTCAAGAGGAAACAGAGAATAAAATTCTGGAAAATTTGCAGCCTGATGACACAATAGAAAAGAAAAACCCATTTTCTGGGGAGAAATTCAAGCCTGCTGCGGAAATATGAATAAATAACAAAGATCAAAATGTTAGTCACCAAGACAATGAGAAAAATGTCTACAGGGCATGTCAGAGACCTTCATGGCAGCCCCTCCCATCACAGGCCTGGAGGCTTAGGAGGGAAAAATGGTTTCTGGGTCCAGGCCCAGACCTCCCTGTTCTATGCAGCATCAGGACATAGTGCCCTGCATCCCAGCTGCTTCAGATCTAGCCATGGCTAAAAGAGGCCAATGTATAGCTCAGGCTGTTGCTTCAGAGGGTGCAAGCCCCAAGTCTTGGCAACATACATGTGGTGTTGGGCCTGTGGGTGCACAGAAGTCAAAAATTGATGTTTGGGAACCTCCACCTAGATTTCAGAGGATGCATGGAAATGCCTAGATGCCCAGGCAGAAGTCTGCTGCAGGGGCAGAGCCCTCATGGAGAACCTCTGCTAGGGCAGTGCAGAAGGGAAATGTGGGGTTGAAGCCCCCACAGAGTCCCCAAGGGGGCAATGCCTAGTGGATCTTTGAGAAGAGGGGCACTGTCCTCCAGACCCCAGAATGGTAGATCTACCGACAGCTTGCACCATGCTCCTGGAAAAGCCACAGACACTCAATGCCAGGCCATGAAAGCAGCCAGGAGGGAGGCTGTATCCTGCAAAGCCACAGTAGCAGAGCTTCCCAAAACCATGGGAACCCACCTCTTCAATCAGCATGACCTGGATATGAGACATGGAGTCACAGGAGATCATTTTGAGGCTTTAAGGTTTGACTGCCCTTCTGGATTTTGGACTTGCACAGGGCCATTAACTATTTTGTTTTGGCAAATTTCTTCCATCTTTAATAGGTGTATTTATCCAATATCTCTACCCACATTGTATCTAGGAAGTAACTAACTTGCTTTTGGTTTTACAGTCCCATAGGTAGAAGGGACTTGTCTTGTCTCAGATGAAAGTTTGGACTGGACTTTTGAGTTAATGCTGAAATGAGTTAAGAATTTTGGGGGACTGTTGTGAAAGTATGGTTTTGAAATGTGAGAACATGATATTTGGGGGGGCCAGGGGCAGAATGATATGGTTTGGCTATGTGTCCCAATCCAAATCTCATCTTGAACATAGTTCCTGCAATCCCCACATGTTGTGGGAAAGACCCAGTTGGAGGCAACTGAATCATGAGGTGGGGTTTTCCCATTCTGTTCTTATGATAGTGAATAAGTCTCACAATATGTGATGGTTTTATAAAGGGCAGTTACCCTGCACATGCTCTCTTGCCTGCTGCCATGTAAAATGCACCTTTGCTCCTCCTTCACCTTCTGCCACGATTGTGAGGCCTCCCCAGCCATGTGAAACTGTGAGTCCATTAAACATCTTTCCTTTATAAACTACCTAGTCTTGGGTATGTCTTTATTAGCAGCACGAGAATGGATTAATACAGTAACTAAATACATTTTATACCTGTTAGAACATTATAACTCTTTTTCTGTTGAAATTATTCATTAAAGCACAAGAAAGAGAAAATTAATTTTAAAATATTGTAGCTTTATTTTCTTTTTCTATTAAGATAATTTTATTCAGTGACTCTATTGGGATGTGTGGCACTTTGATATAGAAAATGTTCTTACATGTTCTCCCCAAAATTATTAAACTTACAGCATTTGTTTTACTATACAATAGTTCTTTCAACTATTCTTAGAACCCCACCTCATTCCTGAGCTTAATGCAATCCAAAGGTAAGGACTGTGAGTGTGGCAAATAACAAGAATTGGAAAAGAGATGGGGAAGATGAAAACTGTGAGAGTTTCCAAGGATGGATAAGAGTTAAGAACATCTGTTGTACACATTGAGAAAGATAATTTTGAAATAGTTTCTTATTTTACTTAACTTCTTTTAAATAGCCTAAGGAAGAGGCATTGTAAATTAAGTAATATCAAAATGTTCTATTTCATCAAAATATACAGTCTATTTGGGAGACGTAATTATACCTGTGCCTTGTAACTATTTGGTCTTCACAACTTTTACATCGATTATGGATTAGGAGGAAAAAAGAACAAAATGTTAAATTAATATCTTCCTTAAAAAAATAATATAAGGAAACTAGCTCCTGAGGGAACAGAATCTACTGAACATTGGTTGGGTGTACAGTGATCAATTCATTTACAATGTCTAATATACCCAAAGTCCTAAGATAAACTGTCCTGCCCATACATCCCTTCTGTGAGCATTGGTCTTAGTACCTGGAGAAGGACTGGCCATATTCTGCATCATATGACTCACTGCCTCTACTGATTAGAATTCACTGGGTAAGGCCAGGCATTTCACTTAATGTACACCAATGTTTAGTCTGGCCTGTGGGTTGTGAGATATCCTTGTGGCCAAAGCTAAAGAAAGACCAAACATAATGATTTGAGAGTTCTTCCTAAAGTCTCCATTAGGGAAACTGTGAACTTGAAAATAAATGAACAAGTAATTAGGTACAAGGAAGAGAAGCTATAAGAAAGATACTATAGAGATACATGGACAGAGTCAAAGAATGCTGCTAAGAGATATTAAGAGAAAAAAGAATAAAAGAGCTCTTGCTATTAAATAGGCAGTAAGTTCCCAGAGCCATGTGATAGACTGAATTATTGTTCAGTGTATATTCCACCCTGTCACTCAACCCTTTAGAAATATACTTCCCTTCCCTAATTTGTGAAATTGGCCACTGACTTTCTTCAGCTAATGAAATGGGAATAGACATGATGTGTGTGGCTCCACTTGTCCTCTTGTGATAGTAAGATCTACCATGAGAAGAGTATGTTTTAGAAAACTCATAAAGCCAAAGGGAACTCAGTATGCAAGAAGCTCAGCCATAATCAGTTACAGCTGAACAGTCCCACAGAACTGTGAACAAGTAGAGTAAATATTTGGGGTGGTAAGGCCCTGAGATACTGAAGTTGTTATACACAGACAAAAAATGTTCAATAAAAGCTCATTATATACTTCCACTTTCCAAATATCATTTCAGTTTTCAAAAGGCCTAGTTATATGGATATTCCTGCATCCTTGAGGGTTTTTATTCACATTGTCATCATACTGTCACATTATATGCTCTGTTTGTGGTACTACAGGTAGTTTCCCTGCTTGAAACCAAAAGAGACCAATGCAAGGTCTAAGAAACCCCAGTTAAAGGCAAGTTAACAGAAAACGTATTTAATTATCCTTTTAAAAAACTTACAAATACTATAGGAGGTATGTACAGGAAAAAAAAACACCTCTAAACAAATAAGATTAACCATTAATAAACACCAAATAAGTTCATCCTGGTTTTATAAAAGCACACTAACACTCTTAAATTTAAAAAGTAAATGAAATGAAAAAATATGGCAAATTGATTAAAATTAGAGTTGAAACTAATAGAAAATAATTTTGAATACAGATTTATAAAAGCTTCTATGTGGTTGCTAATTCAGAGGAGAATAAAGTAATTAAGCTACAAAGCTTATTAATCTTTTGCAAAAACCAATCTGATCAACACGTTGTTCATCATTATTTTTTTTTTTTTTTTTTTTTTTTTGAGACGGAGTCTCGCTCTGTCGCCCAGGCTGGAGTGCAGTGGCGGGATCTCGGCTCACTGCAAGCTCCACCTCCCGGGTTCACGCCATTCTCCTGCCTCAGCCTCCCAAGTAGCTGGGACTACAGGCGCCCGCCACTACGCCCGGCTAATTTTTTGTATTTTTAGTAGAGACGGGGTTTCACCGTTTTTTAGCCGGGATGGTCTCGATCTCCTGACCTCGTGATCCGCCCGCCTCGGCCTCCCAAAGTGCTGGGATTACAGGCGTGAGCCACCGCGCCCGGCCTGTTCATCATTATTTTTAATTGTCAGATGTCTTTTGTGTGCCTTTGAAGACTATTTTCCAGTTATTTTAGTGAGGATTCTCACTGGCACTCTCATTAATTTTGTTAAATCCTATCTTATTATATTACTTAAAAATTTTTATTTGTTGCTCAAATATTTGTCTGCTGTACAAGTTAATATCTTTAAGAGTTATGTCTTTATTAAATATCTATTACAAAAAGCTGAGTTTAATGTTGCCTTTAAAAATATTTCCTATTTATCATTGGAAACATATCAAATATTTATTGTAGAATTTTTTAAATATTTGAATGACTAACTAATATTAACTTCCTTATTTTAGAGATGAGTAAAAGGAAATCCAAAGTGGAGGTCTCAGTTTCATTGGTGTGTTTGTTGCCTACATTCACATATGTTTAATGGCAAACCAAGTCTAGACAGAAGGCTTTCTCAAGGTAAAGTTGTCCATCTTTACACTTGCTTTTAGTTATTAGGCAACTTTGTATAGTGGGTAAAAAGTTTTCACAATTTCCTATTTTTTTGGCGGACAAGGAGGTGGTGATGATTTATTTATTTATTTTTCCTCTTTATTCATTTAAGAAAAATATTTCAAGAAACAATTGTTTAAGTAAATAATCTTGAATATAATTTAAAGCTGAATTCTGATTTCCAGGATGTCTTTGCCAATGTAATATCAGGAAAGAAAATATTTATATCTAGAAAAATAAAATGGAATATGCATGAAGCTGTCAATAATGTCTTCATAGGTAGTATACTAAAAAGACATGACTGTTCAAAAAAATCTGTTGCTTAACAAATTAGATGTGGTTTTTTTTTTGCAAACCATAAAAACTGGCTGGCTAAGTTAAGCAGTAAAAAAGTTATTGTAAGCATAAGTGTTCACAGAATCAAAGGGAAGTCTAGAAATTCTAATTTAGAAATTATTATAGTTCTTAAAGACAGAAGTAGCAGGAACTTATAAACCATCTCATCAGGATATTACATGCAGAATAAATGAGGTTTAGCCATTTTTATTTTCTTATGTCATTCTGCTGACAATAACAAACTCCAGAGATGTGTTAATTTACTTAATTGGTTAATTGGATAATGTGGTCAACTCTTGGCTAGGAAAGAGCAGGCCAACTTAATTAACTGCCTTCCAAGTTTGCACCCAATAGGAGATAATGACCTTTCCCCAATCCCCAAAAAATTTTGGTGCTATTATTCAAAAAAGAGAAATGGATACTGGGCAGACAAAATTTAACAAATAATCAGTCTAATCATTCCTGTTACACCAAATCTACATAGATCTTTTGTCCAATGAATATAGGATCCTCCAAATAATCCCTGTCTAACAAAATACAACTGCCATGTCTACCTGTAAACTCCTTCAAGCTTTCTTCAAGAGAAAACAAGCAGTTTCATGACTTATTTTTGCTTAATGTTCTGGATCTCCTATAGATGTTTACTCTTCCCCTTGTTTCATCAGAATGCCAACTCTTACTCTAAAACTATAGGGAGCCTATTGCTTATTTGTTCATATATATATATTAGGGATAAAAAAATTGAGAAATCATTAAAACTAGGCAAATACATTTGAATAGGTAAAGAAGGAAATCGGTAAAGTTCTTTCAATAACTAATCCTAAGGATAGAACTGGTATTTATTTTTCCACAGCCTCTTTTCCACAATGTCTTCCATGATCCCTTCCCCTAGTCAGGGTAATTTGTCTCCACTCTGATGCACCAAATCTTCTTTTCTGAGGAATCTGGTTGTTTGATGATCACACAAATAAATATGTAGCAGTTTCTATTAAACTTTACCCTCTAGAATGGTATAAAAAAGAGTAGTCTTAAAGATTAGATAGGTTTCATCCATACTCTTCTTTGCCCTCATTTCATATCTGCAAACCTTTCTCTTTATAATCATCAGAGTCAATCATTCCAGCCAAAATAAATATATAGTCCCTTTCTGTGTCTGATATGATTTGGCTGTGTCCTGACCCAAATCTCATCTTGAATTGTAGCTCCCACAATTCTCACATGTTGTGGGAGGGACCAAGTAGGAGATAATTGAATCATGGGGTGGGTCTCTCTCATGCTGTTCTTGTGATAGTAAGTCTCATGAGATCTGATGGTTTTATAAAGAGGAGTTCCCCTGAACAAGCTCCTTCTCTTTGCTTGCTGCCATCCATGTAAGACATGACTTGTTCCTCCATGCCTTGTGCAATGATTGTGAGGGCTCCCCAGCCATATGGAACTGTGAGTCCATTAAACCTCTTTCTTTTATAAATTACCCAGTCTCAGGTATGTCTTTATTAGCAACATGATAACAGACTAATACAGTAAATTGGTACCAGTAGAGTGGGATGCTGCAGTAAAGATACCTGAAAATGTGGAAGTGACTTTAGAACTGGGTAATAGGCAGAGGTTGGAACAGTTTGTAGGGCTTAGAAGAAGACAGGAAGATGTGGGAAAGTTTGGAACTTCCTAGAGACTTGTTGAATGGCTTTGACCAAAATGTGGACAATTAAATCCAGGTTAAGGTGGTCTCAGATGGAGATGAGAAACTTGTTGGGAACTGGAGTAAAGGTGGCTCTTGCTATGTTTTAGCAAAGAGACCAGCAGCATTTCGCCCCTGCCCTAGACATTTCTGAAACTTTGAACTTGAGGGAGATGGTTTAGGGTATGTAGTGGAAATAATTTCTAAGCAGCAAAGCATTCAAGATGTGACGTGGGTGCTGTTAAAAGCATTCAGTTTTAAAAAAGAAACAGAGCATAAAAGTTGAAAAATTTGCAGCCTGATTATGCAATAAAAAAGACAAACCCATTTTCTAAGGAGAAATTCAAGTCAGCTGCAGAAATTTGCAAAAGTAACAAGGAGCCAAATGGTTATCACCAAGATAATAGGGAAAATGTCTCCAGAGCATGTCAGAGACTTTCAGAGCAGCCCTTCCCATCACAGGCCTAGAGGCCTAGAAGGAAAAAAATGGTTTCATGGGCCAGGCCCAGGGCCTCTCTACTCTATTCAGCCTAGGGACTTGGTGCCCTGCATCCCAGCCACTCCAGCCATGGCTAAAAGGGGCCAAGCCCAAGCTGTTGCTTCAGTGGGGGCAAACCTTGGTAGCTTCCACATGGTGTTGAGCCTGTGGGTGCACAGAAATCAAGAATTGAGTTTTGGGAACCTCCAGCTAGATTTCAGAGGATGTATGGAAATGCCTGAATGCCCAGGCAGAAGTTTGCTGCAGCAGTGGGGGCCCTTGTGGAGAACCTCTGCTAGGGCAGTGCAGAAGAAAAATGTGGGGTCAGAGCTTCAATTTTGCATAGAAGAAAGAGTTCACGGATAGAAAGTTTGATCTGCAAAGGAAATAAAATGCAAGGAAAATGGTAAGCATGTGTGAACATAAAAACCAGGAATGAATGTGTAAAGTAATAACACTAATACTAATGATACTAACAACAACAACAACAACAACAACAACAACCTCTTGGGGTTTTAGAAAAGATAAAACTAAAACAGATGATAATAATAGCACTTAAGTCAGTAAAGCTACAGTTCAAGTTAAACTCCTCTAATATCTTTGTATTTTGGGAGAAAAAGGTAAAGACAATAGTTAATTGTATAATTTAAGTATACAGATTAAAACATGTGACATAATTTTCTAAAGAAATTGGAATACAGTGTGAAATTTATCAGTATTAGACAAAAGTGGAATAGTAAAATTATTTAATTTACACAAAAAGAGAAATGAAGAGAGAAAAGGATTATGTGAATTGCAGGGATAGAAAATAAAGCCAATAAGATAGACTATAGACCACAAAAAGATCCCAAACACATGTATAACCTTAATTTATGTCAGAGACAACATTCCTGGTCAGTAGAAACAAGATGGATATTTCAGTAAATGATGCTGACATGCTTATTTATATATATATTTGGAAACGAAAAATAAAATTGGAACCCTAGTATTACACAATATGTAAAAGTCAATACCTGATAAATTACAAACTTAAATGTGAATAGCAAAAGAATAAAATTTATAGATGATAAATATTTCTATGAACTCATTGTGGGAATGGATCTACTTGTAATAATTAACAAATTATACCATAAAATTTATACTTTCCTTCATTTATTTCATGATATGATCTTCAGGGTTTCAGATACTGAACCTGAGTATTAGTGAGCTTATGACTCAGAGTCCACAAATGATTACTTACATAATAGCTATTTTGCCATTACATACTATAGAGTGGTAGATTTCTACTGTGAAATAGGAAAAAGAGATATTGCCTCATACAATATTTGATCTGGAATACCATTTCCAAGCACTTTACATTTCCCAGAGTCTACTACTTGCACCTCACCCTTTATTGACATTTTCTTTATTATTATATCTTTTCTTCTCAGCAACATAAATTCTGACTAACTTAAACACCATAGTCAATGAGGCTTAAACACAAACTTAAGCCTCAGAAAGAGACAGAATCACAGCTCATCCAAGAGTCTAAATAGCAAAAACAGTCTTATATGATCCCATAACCAGAATAATCTCTAACATCTTTTTCTTGTTGACACTTAAAAGTTTATAGACTTAATCACTTTTCTTTTTCTTTAAATTTCAAATTTTATTATAGATTCAGGTTTACATGTGAAGCCTTGTTATATGGGTATATTGAGAGATGCTGAGGTTTCGGGTACAACCGATCCTGTCACCAAGGTAGTGAGCATAGTACTCAACAGGTACTTTTCAGCCCTTATCCCACTCCCTCCCTCGCCACTCAAGTTGTCCCCAGCATCCATTGTTCCCATCTTGATGTCTATGTGTACCCAATGTTTAGATCCCATTTATAAGTGAGAACATGCAGTATTCAGTTTCCTGTTTTCGTGAATAACAACTTGTTACCTTGCATTCCTCTATTCAACACCCACACTTCTAAGGAGAAATACATCACCAATAAGTTAGACTGCTCTTTCTAAAGGAAAAAGTGCAATAGGGAAAAACAAAAATAATAAAAATATATGTCTTTTCAGTTCTAGTATTTTTTTAAGGTTTCACAGTACCTGCTATTATAATGAAATACCTTGACTGTGCATACACAGTTAATTCTCATTATTCATAGTAGTTACAATCTATAAAGTTACCCTGGTCATTGAATTAGCATTTATTGAACCACTGCTCCTAGGAGAAGTACAGGGTTAGGTTCTTGTGCACAATATTTTTGTTAATTGATCAATAAATAACCTTCTTTTATGTGTGTAACTGTTTAAAGACATCTCATTTAATATATATTGTTGATTTAGTAACATTTTTCTCATGTGCAACAGCACTGTAACTCATGCTTGAATGAAGATTATTTAACATGTATTTTCTCCATCAGGTACAACACATCCCTCTTGTGTTTAGAAACACTAGTCAGTAAGTACACTTGAGGGTCATTTTAAACAGCAAAATAACCAAAAACACAAAATCTCAAAAAACATGTCACTAAGTAGAACATGAGAAGGACACTTGTCTATAGTCGGAGTGTCAAAACAAGAATGCGGAATATTGGATTGTTAGATCAAAGTTGGGTACGTGCACATTAAATAACTCAAAATTTTGGCTGCTGTGTAGATGTCCATGAAAGACCATGAAAATATCATAAGTATTTATTTGGGAGTTACAAATAAATTTTAGCAAGTAGATGGATTCACAAATACAGAATCTGTAAATAATGAAGATCAACTGTACATGGTTCTCAATCCTCGGATGGAATGTCTACATAATGTCACATTAACTGTGAAGTCTGGCTCCCAGCTACAAATCTTGTGATTTTTCAGTCCCAACTGTACACAGTTACAAATGCTTTACTTCAGCCACCTCAGGGGGCAAAACCTGTCCTCTGCACACCAAACGGTGTACAGACAATCCTTGGCAGTCTCTGAAGGGAGTTGCAGTCAAGGACTTAGGCCCCCCAGTTAGTCATTTTCATCACATGTTTACATTTCTAGCCCTGGCACCTTCATTCCTGCATCTCTTTACCTGAAGACTTTAGCAGAGGTCTTTTTTAAGTGCCTCTGCTGAGGATTCCTTATGAGAGGAGGAAAGGAGGAAAGAGAAACCTTGAGGACACCTTTCCCCACTCTGACTGAGTACTCAGTACTTTTCACGCTAGCCCTTCCCCCTTGTCCTTCCTAGACACGAGTGCCCATAAATCTGCTAGATCTTTTGTTTGGGGTTCCTTCAACAGTGAGACTGCTTCCACATCTGTGCTGATTTACCTGACCTTCAATCAGTGTGCCTGTCCCTGGAGGATAATGAAACCAGAGTGAGTTGGTGCTTTCTCTGGGTTTTGAACTCTTACTTATAAAATCGCAATTACTGATTAAAGCTTAATTATTACTTTAATTTTGGCTCGTTTCTTTAATTAGCTACTCCAATACACAGCAGCTCAGCTCTCTCTTTAGCTCAGTTGATCTCCTGAAATGAACTTGTATGAAACTTGCCATATTTCATAAAAGGTTTTAGAAATTCTTTGGTGTATCCCTTTCAAAATTTACAGATGAGGAAAGAAAGCCCAGCCTAATTTGTATACTAGAAAACTAAAGCTTGAGATCTGGCCTGCCCCAAACTGAAATCTAGGTTTTCAGATTCTAAGTCCCAAGCTTTTTGAACTCTATAGAACAGAATTTTCATTTTAACCTGATTATTTTCTCAGTAGTGATATGTCTCAATTTTCTCAAAAATCCTCAAGCCGTGTAGGGCCTTACCTTTTTGTAATTTGCACATGAGTTTTATGATACAGTTCCTGAGGTGGGAGCATACTGAATTTATTTAAGGACCAGGATGGAGCATAGTGTGTTAGTACTAATGAATGTGTAGAAGAGAGGTAAGAGAAATTAGAATTAGTTGGTATAGTATTTATCAATAGAGTATTTGCAGCAGAGTAGTTAACACATTTCTTTCAGTTGTTTATGTTTATATGACTTCACACTTAGATTGAACTCCTTAAAGTCAGAAATTATGATTTCCTTGCTTCTGCCATCCCTGTATCTTTTTCATTTGTACGCATTTTATTGAATAAGTATATGAATGAATATATGAATAAACAGATGGCTTTTTATAAAACTTTGTCTTTGTGGATGTGATTCAAAAGCAAATGACTCCTGGTCATTCTGTGACTTTCATCTCATAAGAACACAGAACACAAAGGATATTTCTTCTCTTTTGTGTGCATTTAGCACTTTGAGTGCTAAATGAAGAACCTTATTTAATAGTCTTTTATATTCGATTACTTAAGTCAGGAGCATTCAATCTTTTGGCTTCCCTGGGCCACATTGGAAAAAGAATTGTCTGGCCACACATGAAATGCACTAACACTGACAATAGCTGATGAGCTAAAAAAATCTCATAATGTTTTAGGAAAATTTATAAATTCGTGTTGGGCCACATTCAAAGCTGCCTGGGCTGCATGTGACCTGCAGGCCGCATGTTGGAGAAGCTTAACTTAAGTGGTTAGGAGGAAACACTAGGTACTGTACATGTTATACATTTTCAATAGAGAAATAGAGACACTAAAACTCCATAATAATTCACGGAAGATATAAACATTATTGATATGATTCTATCCTTATGAGATCTTCACTTATATTATGATTTCCTCTGATATAACTGTAAACCAATTCAGCACTAATCATTTCTATCTTCTTCTTTTGTGTATGGATTTTGGCAAATAAACTTCTAAAAGTAAAATAGCAATGAGATTATACTATCACTGGAGTGTTTACAACAGAGAAAGTTCTGAAAAACCAAGAAGTCCGGATAGTATACATATTATTTAGTTAGTGCAGAAGTAATTGAGGGTTTTGCCATTACTTTAAAAAATGTCAAAATGTGCAATTACCTTTGCATCAACCTAATAGTTCCTGCTCAGGCATCTATGAAGACATACCTGAAATTGGGTAATTTATAAAGGAAAAAGGTTTAATTGACTCACAGTTCTGCATGGCTGGGAAGGCCTCGGGAAACTTACAACCATGGTGGAAAGGGAAGCAGGCAAGTCCTTCTTCACAAGGCAGCTGGAAAGACAGAAGTGCTAAGCAAAGGGGGAAAAGCCCCTTATAAAACCATCAGATCTCATAAGAACTCTCACTGTCATGAAAATAGCATGGGGGTAACTGCCCTCATGATTCAATTAACTCCCACAAGGTCCCTCCCATGGGATTATGGGAACTACAATTCAAGACGAGATTTGGATTGGGACACAGAGCCAAACCATATAATTCTGCCCCTGGCCCCTCCAAAATCTCATGTCCTCACATTTCAAAACACAATCATCCTCTTCCAACCATCCCCCAAAGTCTTAACTCAAAAGTCCAAGCATTAACTCAAAAATCCAAGCCCAAAGTTTCATCTGAAATGAGGCAAGTCCCTTCCACCTATGAGCCAGTAAAATCAAAAGCAAGCTAGTTATTTCCTAGATGCAATGGGGGTACTGGCACTGGGCAAATACATCCATTCCAAATGGGAAAAATTGGCCAAATCAAAGGGGCTACAGGGCCCACACAAGTCTCAAAGTCAACAAGGCAGTAATTAAATCTTAAAGCTCTGAAATAATCTCCTTTGACTCCATGTCTCACATCCAGGTCACACTCATGCAAGAGGTGGGTTCCCATGGCACTGGGCAGCTCCACCCCTGTGGCTTTGCAGGGTATAGACACCCTCCCAGCTGCTTTCATGGGCTGGTATTGAGTGCCTGTGGCTTTTCCAGGTGCACGGGTGCAAGCTGTTGGTGGACCTACCATTCTGGGGTCTGGTGGATGATGGCCGTCTTCTCACAGCTCCACCAGGTAGTGCCCCAGTGTGGGTGACCTGACCCCACACTTCCCTTCTGCACTGCCCTAGCAGAGGTTATCCATTAGTGCTTCTCCCCTGCAGCAGACTTCTGCCTGGGCATCCAGGTGTTTACATACATTCTCTGATATCTAGGTGGAGGCTCCCAAACCTCAATTCTATTTTTTTGTTTTGCTTTTATTATACTTTATGTTCTAGGGTACATGTGCACAATGTGCAGGTTTGTTACATATGTATACATGTGCTGTATTGGTTTGCTGCACCCATTGACTCATCATTTACATTAGGTATTTCTCCTAATGCTATCCTTCCCCCAACCCCCACCCCACATCTCAGTTCTTAAGTTCTGTGCACCTGCAGGCTAAACACCATGTAGAAACTGCCAAGACGTGGGGCTTGCAACCTCTGAAGCCATGGCCCAAGCTGTACCTTGACCCCTTTTAGCCACAGTGAGAGCAGTTGGGATGCAAGGCACCAAGTCCCTAGGCTGCACACAGCAGAGGGGCCATGGGCCCAGCCCTCAAAACCATTTTTTCCTCCTAGGCTTCTGGGCTCATGATGGGAGGAGCTGTCACAAAAGTCTCTGACATGCCCTAGAGACATTTTCCCATTGTCTTGGTGATTAACATTCAGCTCCTCATTACTTATGCAAATTTCTGCAGCAGGCTTGGGCTTGAATTTTTCCCCAGAAAATGGTTTCTATTTGCTACTGCATTGCAGGCCACAAATCTTCCAAAATTTATGCTCTGCTTCCTCTTGAATGCTTTACCACTTAGAAATTTCTTCCACCAGATACCCTAAATCATCTCTCTTAAGTTTGAAGTTTCACAGATCTCTAGGGCAGGGGCAAAATGCTGCCAGTCTCTTTGCTAAAGCATAGCATGGATTATCTCTATTCTAGTTCCCAACAAGTTCCTCATCCCCATCTGAGACCACCTCAGCCTGGACCTTATTGTTCATATCACTATCAGCATTTTTGTCAAAGCCATTCAACAAGTCTCTGGGATGTTTCAAACTTTCCTACACCTTCCTGTCTTCTGAGCCCTCCAAATCTCTAGGAAGTTTCAAACTTTCCCACATTTTCCTGTCTTCCTTCTATCCTTCAAAACGGTTCCAACTTCTGCCTGTTACCCAGTTCCAAAGTCACTTCCACATTTTCAGGCATCCTTATAGCAGCACCCTACTATCTCAGTACGAATGTACTGTATTAGTTCCTTCTCACACTGGTATGAAGAAATACCCAAGACTGGGTAATTTATAAAGGAAAGAGGCTTAATTGACTCACAGTTTCATATGTCTGGGAAGGCCTCAGGAAGTTTACAATCATGGCAGAAGAGGAAGCAAACAGGTCCTTCTTCACAAGATGGCAGGAAAGAGAAGTGCTAAGCAAGGAGGGAAAAGCCCCTTGTAAAACCATCAGATTTCATGAGAACCCACTCACTATCATGAGAGTAGCATGGGGGTAACTGCCCCCATGAATCAATTAACCTCCCACCAGGTCCCCCCCATGACATTACGGGAGGATTATGGGAGGATTATGTGGGGATTATGGGAAATACAATTCAAGATGAGATTTGAGTGGGAATACAGCCAAACCATATCAGTCTACTAAAAGTAAAAAATTATTTTATGAACACCACCTTCAATAATCTAGAATTCAGAATATCTCACAAAAAAAAACAGAGTAAGAGTAAAAATAACTATGGCTAACCCATAAACAGAAGCAGGACTTGCAAAAAGCAGTAGCTGTGTAGTGGGAGCAGTTGAAACAGGAGGAAAATCCTCAAACTTGGTTTCTAGCTGGTTTAACTCAGTACATGGGTGCTAGCAAAAAAATGAATAGCAACTTCCAAAGGGCAGCAAGCAGTATACCTGGTTATTTACTTTGTATAAAATAAAAATTACCTTATAGTGAGAATACATACATATATGTATATATGTTCATGGGCGTATTGGTCAATGGTCTGGTCATCTGGTTAGAAACCCAGAAGGAAAAGGACTGGATCATTGACAAGGAATTCAGAGGTAAAATCATGTAAGTAGACTTAACGGAGTAAACAAAGTGAGTAAAATGTTTAGACACCTGCTAACACACACCATGAAAGAATCACCAAACAATCAAGTAGACAAAATCACTTGGCTAGTTGACATTAATCAAAATTGGTCATTAGCCACCCTAGAACTGGTATGATGGTCACATGGATATAGGAGTCATAGTGGCAGTGACAGAGGCTACACAGTAGTCTAAGAGCATGGACTCATAAGGCCTACTAGCTACATCTGCCTCTAAGAATTCAGCATGTCTGCAACAGAGACCAACAGTGAACCCCTGATATAACAAAATTCCTCTAGGAGTTCAATTGGCTATTTGAAAATAAAGCTCAAAAAAATTCAGGAGTTTTCCATGTTGGTGAAATTTTTCGGGACCCAGTGATCTGAAGCATGTCACAATATTCCTTCCGAGGTAAAGGACAAATTCCTACATGTGGCCACTAAGACAAAGATGCAACAACTAATGACCTTTGGATTTTGGAATCACAGTGTATCTTGTTTGGGCATGCTCTTCATACTATGATAAAATGACTAATCCAAAAAGCTGCCTATTTTGAGTAAGGCGCAGAACAGGAGAAAGACCTGTAGCAGGCCCAGGCTAATCAAGCCTGAGTCAGCCACAGTACAGATTCAGGTTTTTGACTACAAGCCACACTATCTTCTATGGATAACTATTCTCCTTTCAAATATAGCTTTAAATAGTTTTTGTCTTACTAGTGGGCTTACCAGAGACAGATACTTACTATGGGTCAATTTTTTACCATATAATCTGGGATGCCCATCATACGGGTATTTTCTGACCTAACAAGTCATAAAGTTGAGTATGCATAGTAGCATTCCATCACCAAATAGAAATGATATGTAAGATGGGGTTAAATAAGCCTTACGGATAAATGGCAGAGATTGCCATTGGTCATACTCATGCCACTTTCCCTCTTGCCTCTTAACTGACATCTATAGCCTCAAGGAGAATTTCTTATGACCAATGACTAAAGAAAAAGAAATGTGGGTCTGGCAGCTTATCCAGCATTACATTCCTACCAGAGTGTCTCTGAAGGACAGTTCTAGTGGAAAATTTTTCCAGTAGGCCTAATTTTTTTAATTAATCAATTTTCATTATTGTAGCAGTTTTAGGTTTACAGAAAATTGAGACAATAGTTCAGAGAGTTCCCATAGACTTCTCTCTCCCAACTTCTCATTTCCCACTATGGTTTACCCTATTATTAACACCTTGGATTAGTGTAGTACATTTGTTACAGTTGATAAACCAATATTGATACATTATTACTAACTAAAGTCTATAGTTTACATGAGGGTTCACCATTTGTGTTATATATTTCTATGGTTTTGGCAAATGTATAATATTATGTATCCATCATTATAGTATTTTACGGAAGAGTTTCAGTGTCCTAAAAATTCCCCAAGATTCATCTTGAACCCCTGGCAACAATTGATGTTTTACTGTTTCTATAGTTTTGCCTTTTCCCGATATCACATAGTTGGAATCATACAGTATGCATATAGCCTTTTCAGACTGGCTTATTTTCTAAACAATATGTGTAAAAGCTAGCTACCAGATGTTGGCAAAAGCTAGCTACCAGATGTTGAGGTGTTCCATTAAAACAACAATCCAAAATTAAATTAATAGTCACTTACTACAATGTATAATAAAAACAAAGGGTTAAACAGGAAAAAGCACTAGTTTCTTCAACGTCCATTTTGTCCCTGTGGAATTGTGACTGATGAAGATGAAATACATCAGTGCTGACGCGAGAATAATATCACTGCCAAGGAATCCCTGAACAAAAAGCTCCTGCTGTTTTATGATCCTGGTGGGGAGGGTAGAGAGAAGCAAAAGGGCTAGGAGTGGAAAAGTACTGAATCCTGAGTCAGGGTGGAGAAGCATCTTCAAGGCCCTCCAGTGAGGTGGTCATGGCATAGGCATCTGAGAAAGGCCTCAGCTGAGGGCTTGCATAAGTGTGTGGCCAACTGCATGGGGAAGGGGCGGTGCTGAGTTCTTGATTATAACTTCTTCTTTCAAACTGGGCATCAAGTCTGGCATGGAGAGGTACTTTCCCAAATGAGGCCTGCCAGATAAAGTCTTTGTAATTATTTACAGGTGTTAGGACTGAAAGATAACACAGTACTTTGGCCTGGAGCTGTACTCCTCGATGTTCATTTAAAGTTCCTCCATGTCTTTTCTTGGCTTTATACTTTATTTCTCTTCGATCATTAAGTAATATTCCACTGAATGGATATACCAGGTTTTTAAAAATTATTATTCATTCACCTTTTAAAGAACATCTTGGTTGCTTTCAGTTTTTAGAAATTATGAATGCAGCTGTTTTAAATATTCATGTGCAGGTTTTTGCATACACAAAATTTTTTCACTTATTTGGATAAATACCCATGAAGACAATTGCTGGATCATGTTAAGACTACATTTGGCCTATAAAACTGCCAAACTGACTGGGTGCAGTGGCTCACACCTATAATCCCAGTACTTTGGGAGGCCAAGGCAGGAGGATCACTTGAGATCACTAGTTTAAGACCAACATGGGCAACATATTGTGATCCCATCTCTACAAAAAATAAAAATAAAAAATTAGCTGGATGTGGTGGCGAGCACCTGCAGCCCTAGCTATTCAAGGGACCAAGGTGAGAGGATTGCTGGAGCCCAGGAGTTTGAAGTTAACAGTGATCTATGATCACGCCACTGTGCTCCAACCTGAGCTGGAGGTCATGTCTAACAGAGGGAGACCCTGTCTCATAAAAATAAAAATTAAAAAACCTTCCAAACTGTCTTTCAAAGTGGCTGTACCATTCTGCATTCCCACCAGCAATGAATCAGTTCCTGTTGCTCCACATCTTTGCAAAGGTGGTGGTCATGTTTTAAATTTTAGCCATTTAAAAAGGTATGCAGCAGTCATTGACTTAATTTGCAATTCTCTAATGCCACATACTATTTAACACCTTTTTAATATATTTATTTGCCATATACATAACCTCTTTAGTGAGATGTCTTTTCAGACTTTTGGCCCATTATTTATCAGTGTTTTAAGAATTTTTTGCATATTTTGGGTACCAGACTTTATCAGATATATATTTTGCAAAGATTTTCTTTTGGGTTGTGACTTGTCTTTTCTTCTAACAGTGTTTTTTGAGAAGTCGAAATCCAACATATCAATTTGTTTTATGGATTGTGCTTTTGATGTTGTATCTAAAATATATCACAAAATTCAAAGTAACCTAGATTTTCATTTGTGTAATCTTCCAGAAGTATTATAATGTTATAGCTTACATTTGGTTCTGAGATCCACTTTGAATTAATTTTTGTAAAAGGTGTAAGGTCAGGGTCAAGATTCTTTTTCTTTTATGTGGATGTCCACTTGTTTCAGCACTACTTATTGGAAAGACTGTTCTTTCTTCATTGAATTGCCTTTGTTACTTTGTCAAAGATCAGTTGACTATATTCATGTGATCTATTTCTGGACTCTGTTTTTTCTTCCATTGATACATTTGTCTATTCTTTCACCAACACCACATTGTCTTGATTAATATAGCTTTGTATTTAAGTCTTTAAGTCAGGTAGTAGCAATCCTCTGACTTTGATCCCCTTCTTTAGCCTTGTGTATTCTATCTGGGTCTTTCGCCTTTAGAATCAGCTTTTCAACATGCGCAAAATGATATGCTGATATTTTGAATGTCATTATTTGAATTCATAGATCAAATTCGGAATAGTAGACACGATATTGAGCAATAGACATGATTTTTCACTTTGCCTAGAAGCTAGGATACAGATTTACACTGAATAAATAGGTGGTGGCTAATAGTTTAGGGCTGATGGTCAGAAACTTGGAAGAAGTACAGTGGGAAAACTAGTGAAAAGATCTGAGAAAGAAGTATGTAAATGGGCCTTTCAAATAGTCACAGATTTTGAAGGTATTTGTGCCCTTGTGAATTCTCATCAAAAAAACAACTTCTGCAGTAGAAGGTAATAAGATGGATAGAATTACTCACTCTGATAACATCTGTCAACCTGTTTTCTTGGCTAAGCTGTTTATTATGAGCCCGAGGACTCATGATAAAATGGTTGTCTTGACAAAGATGAAGGTTTTGCACGGACTTAGCAGTACAGACTTCCACTCATCAAGGCTGATATAGCTTCAGGCACAACTATGCGTACCATATGACAACAGCAGAAACCAATCTTACCCCCTGATGTGGCACCAGTCCCCAGGAAATCAGCCACTCACCTGGTGTCAGATTAATTACATAGGACTGCTTCCATCAAGAAATGTGCAAACTTTTGTCCTCACTGGAATACATGCTTACTCTGGAATGTGTCTTCCCTGCCCACAGCCCACAATGTTTCTGCCAAAGCAGTTATCTGTAGACTCAGGGAATCCCTTATTTACTATCATATTTTTTCATATAGCATTGATTCTAACCAAAAAATTCACCCAATAGCAAGTAAAGTGAGACAATGAACTTGTGGTCATAAAATTTCCTAGTCCTATTATATTTTCCTTTATCCTGAAGTGACTGGCCTAATAGAACATTGGAACGGCCTTTTGAAGACTCACTTATGTGTGCCAGGTACGGGACACTAGTTTAAAGGCTTGAAGCAATGTCCTCCAAGTTGTAGTATATGGCTTAAGTTGGAAACAAATATAGATGTTGTTCTCCCATATCCTGGATTGATGAGTCTAGTAATCAAAGGGTAGAAATGTGAGCGGCTATGCTCACCAATGCCTTTGTGAGGCACTAGCAAGATTTGGCCCTCCTGTCAGTGCAACTTTGGACTCCACTTGTCTAGAAAGCATAGTCTCCGAAGGAAAGAAGCTTCATCAAAGGACATAGTAATGCTTTGACCAAGACACATGGCAGTGGTTTCCACAAAGTGGAAAGAAAGAAAGCCATCTGACTGGTTTATGCTCCTCATCCTAGGGAATCTGGAAGGCAGAAGGGGATTGCTGTATCTTTTGGGGCAATTGATCCTGACTACCAAAGGGAGATTGGGTTGCTGCTACACAGTGAGGGTAAGGAGGAACATAACTGGCATGCAAGTAATCCCCTACATTTCTTCTTATTACTCATATGACCTTGTGACTAAAGTCAGTGGAAAACTGCAACAACCCAATATAGGAGGAAATATTAATGGAATATTCCAGAGTTTCTAGGAATGAAGGTTTTGTCACTCCATAGGCAAGGAACTAAGACTAGCCAATATGCTTGCTAGAAGCAAATGGTATATAACACAGATAGTAGAAAAAGGTATCAGCTTATAACTGGCCATGTGATGAGCTGTAGGCACAGAGACTATAATAGTTATATGCATCTATTTCTATTAATATGAATACATTTATGCATATATCAACTAGTTTTTCATTTTCTCCTCTCCCACTTCTCTATCATCTGACATAAAATATGTTAATAGATTTTAACTTTGTATCTCAGTATTTAAATTATAAAATATCAAAGGGAGAATATGACTCAGAAGAAGAATAAATATCACTCAAAAATAGATAAAAGGACTTTGCATCCTCTGTTGAGGAGAAGGTTGTCTATTTCAGTATTCAAGAAGAATAATTGCATTATGTTTGGCAAAGGCCTAATTTTTCTGTTGCCTTTATTTGGAAATTAATTTAACAATATTTGAAAAAAATATGCATGTGGATGCCAAATAGGCAAGGAGTAGCCTATGGAGGATTTGTATTGGGTCATCTTTACTAAGCTGGAGTTATATTTCCCAGAATTTCTCATTCTGTATTGTTCTGGCTCAATGTGGGTCACAAGAGACTATTTGCCTGAGTTTTGGAAAGCAAAAGAGCCATGGAAGCCATATTATTTTATGCTCCAATGGTCAAGACAATAAAAGCAGACACTGCTGCAGCTCTCACACATTGTCATGGGTCTGCAGGCTCACTCTGTGGGGTGGGGTCAGCAGCCGGTTCACAGCTCCTCTAGCTCCTGGAAGTTGATTGCCCTTCTGCAGCACTCCCCACCTCCTGGGTCAGGTGCATATTCAGCAGCATCAAAGTTGGGGGTTTAGAGGCAATGTGAGACTGACACATGTTCTATTTGCTCCTTTCTCTGGGTTTCAATTTGCCCTTGCACATGTCTCCTTAAAAATCTATCTTTCCTTCCTGACTGCTTGCCCTTCAGCCCCAGCACAGATGTAGAAACTGCCAATTTATACAGACTGACTAACCAATTCTTGCAATTGTGTGAGGTTAATTTCTTATATATAATAAGTATATCATTTGATGTCACTCTTAGCAGTTGTTTCTTTGATTGAATCCTAAGTTATACACCTATCTTTGTAAATATCTCCTACTGCTCTGTCTCTCACTCTCTCTCTCTGTCCCTCTCCCTATTTCATGTGATGGTTTAAATGATGATTTATTGATGCTTCAATTTTCATTTCTTGGGTTATCAGTGGACTACACATCACTGAAATCCCCTTTTAAAGTTTACTTATTCTTATAGAAATTCCTGCCTTTTTGTTCTTTGTATAAAGAAGTTTCATAAATATTTTAGATTTGTATTTCATATGCTTTACATGTTGAAATCACTTCTCCTTGTTTTTTAGCTTTGGTCCTGATGTCCTATAATGACAAAGTGTTCTTAATTCAAATGTGTTTTTTACCCTTTGGTTAGTACTTTTGAGATTTTAAAGCTTTTTTATCTCCCATCTTAAATGTTGAGGTATGTTTCTTCTATTCCCAGTTTTTTTAGGGTGTTTATCATGAAGGGACATTGAATTTTATCAAGTGCTTTTTCTGCATTAATTGAAATGATCATATGATTTTTATCCTTCATTCTGTTAATATAATGTATCACATTGATTGATTTGTGTATGCAGAAACAGCTTAGATCACAATACCCAAGTCCTTTCAAATATCTGGCATGTCTTCCCAAGAAGGGAATCTTCTAATAAGCCCAGAGAATAAAGACTACAGTGAATACCTAACCCTTCAATGCCCAGACCCTGAAGAACATCTACTAGCATGAACACCATTGAAAAACACATGACCTCAGGAAATGAAGTAAATAAGGCACCAGGGACCAATCTTGGAGAAACAGAGATATGTGACCTTTCAGATACAGAACTCAGAATAACTGTGTTGAGGAAACTCAATGAAATTAAAGATAACACAGAGATGGAATTCAGAATTTTGTCAGATAAATTTAAGAAAGAGATTGAAATAATTAAAAGGAATCAAGCAGAAATTCTGGAGCTGAAAAATGCAATTGGCATACTGAAGAATGCATCAGAGTTTTTAAATAGAAGAACAGATCAAGCAGCAGAAAAATCTAGTGAGCCTGAAGACAGACTATTTGAAAATACACAGAGGTCTCAAAAGAAAAAGAATAAAAAACAATAAAGCATGCCTACGGGAATTAGAAAATAGCCTCAAAAGAACAAATCTATGAGTTATTGGCCTTAAAAAGAAGGTAGAAAAAGAGATAGGTGTAGAAAGTTTTTTCAAAGGAATATCAGAGAACTTTCCAAGTCTAGAGAAAGGTATCAATATACAAGTTGTTCTACAACCTACAAGAAGGTTATAGAACACTAAACAGATTATATCCAAAGAAAACTATCTCAAGGCATTTAATAGTCAAACTTTCAAAGATAAAGGATAAAGAAAGAATCCTAAAAGCAGCAAGAGAAAAGAAACAAATAACTTACACTGGAGCTCCAATATGTTGGGCAGCTGGTTTTTAAGTAGAAACCTTACAGGCCAGGAGAAAGTGGCATGACATATTTAAAAAGCAGGAGGAAAAATCTTTTACCCTAAATGGTAAATCCAGGAAAATATCCTTCACACAAGGAGGATAAATAAAGACTTTCCAAGACAAACAAAACTTGAGGAATTTCATCAAGACCAGAGCTTGAGGAGCCTCAACCCATAGCCACCGCCACCCCTGGCCACTAGGAGTACTGCCAGACTACCACCAATGTTCCCTTAAGGCACCAGGACTCATAAATCAGCTTGTGGTGAATGTTCCCTGGACTAGGATTCACACTTCAGGGCAGTGGGCTTCTGTCTGGCCAGGAGCAGATCCAGAAATGCTGTCCAAGAGTCAAGTCGTGGAATCAGGGACCCCAAGAACCCACTTGGTGCTTTGTCCTTCTGTGGCCCTGCTGGCACCTAAGGTGCAAGACAAATCTCCCTTTAAGAGAAAAGGCTAAAGTCTCTAAGGAAGAAGGAATTCTGCCTCCAGACTGCCTTCAGACTGCAGCTGCAACAGCAACTCTTCCCTGGGTCTCCAGTCCACTGTCCTGCGCTGTATGTTTTAGACTTGGTAGCCCTTATAATTGCATGAGTTCATTTCTTAATATAAATCATTCTATTATAAAGACACATGTACACATATGTTTATTGCAGCACTATTTAAAATAGCAAAGATTTGGAACCAACCCAAATGCCCATCAATGATAGACTGGATAAAGAAAATGTGGCACATATAAACCATGGAATACTATGCAGCCATAACAAAGAATAAGTCCATGTCCTTTGCAGGGACATGGATGAAGCTGGAAGCCATCATTCTCAGCAAACTGACACAGGAACAGAAACCAAGCAACTCATGTTCTCAGTCATAAGTGAGAGTTGAAAATGAGAACACATGGACACAGAGAGAGGAACATCACACACTGCTGTCTGTCGGGGGCTGGGGGGCAAATGGAAGGAGAGCATTAGGACAAATACTTAATGCATGTGGGGCTTAAAATCTAGATGATGGGTTGATAGGTGCAGCAAACTACCATGGCACGTACATACCTATGTAAGAAACCTGCACATTCTGAACATGTACCCCAGAACCTAAAGTAAAAAAAAAAACAAAAAACAAAAAAAAAAACCTCTCTCTCTTCTTCCCATAGACACACACCACACACACACACACATACACACACACACCACAGAGTTCTTTTTCTTGAGAGAATTGTTACTAATAAAGTAAGCAATACCTATTTTATCTGTTTAATCTTCTCTATTCCCTCCAACAAATACCCTAGCCTGCTATTACCTGTCTTTGACCTCTTCTGCTTGACTCCTTTGTAACCACCCCAGACCATCTGCCAACCATACTCCTAGCACTAATAACCAACCTTCTTTCAATTCAAGAGTTTCTCTACTTTTTTTTAAAAAAAAATTAGTTTATTAGAGCAATTTCCATGCAACCTCTTTTTAAATATTTAGTATTTCCTGAGTGGGAATTTGGGAAGCAATCTTTTCGATTTTATTAGTTCACCATCTTGTCATAGACTTTAATTTCTTTATTGATGCATATATCCTCTATAATGTTTAAAATTTGATATCATCAACAATTTAAAAGCTTTTCTGCCTCATTTCACTCAAATGTGTAAATAATACTACTACCTATCAACAATTGCTTCAATGAGATTACCAATGACAAAAATGATAAATAATGCTTTATAAAGGTAAAACACAAGTCAAATTATATGAAAGCCATCTATAACTGCCAAATTTCTTGTTGTTTTCTCAAATTTTGGAAAAAATACAAAAAATAATGTTAAGTATAAAGTAAAACAAAATGTCAAAGTGTCAAATTAAAAATTATTTTATGACATGCAAATATAGAGTAACTTGAGATAGATTGTTTAATTCATAAATAGAAGAAACAATAGTGTGGTTTAAAGAGTATGTGAGGAACAGAGATTTTATATAGTCAGTTGAAAAAATTATACTGAAATTATTTTGCTAAGTTAGACTCCTATAGGGCAGTAAAACCATATTTTTTATAGTTATCTTTTCTATAGAACAGAAATCATCTGCATCTCTACCTTTAAAAAAAAAACAAAAATACAAGTTAGCAGGTAATTTATCCAAATCTTGGTTCTAATAAAAGGGATAGGCCTCTAGATAGATAAATAATTCCTAGAAAGGCTTATCAGACAATACTCCCGTATTAAAATAAAATGACATGCAATAATCCTTTGCCTTGTTTCCAAATTTTGGCTAATGTTTTTCAACAATATAAAATTTTGTATAGTTTTATAAATCAGTCACATTCTCCTTCTCCTTATCATTTCCCATTTTTTGACATTTTTAAGTGTTTAATTCAAGCACAGACAGTATGAATCTCAAAACAGTAAATAAGGCTACTAGTTGGTACCTCACAAATCTTAGCAGCTAGACAGAAGGCTTTTTCTAAACCGTATATTCTGATCACATTAAGAGATATTTGTGGATTAGGCTACTATGAACAACTATATGCCCAATCAATTAAAAATGTAGAAGAAATGGACAAATTCCTAGATATATACATCCTACCAAGATTGAATCTGGAAAATACGCAAAACCTGAACAGACCAATAACAAGTAATGAGATAGAAGCTGTAATAAAAAGCCTCCCAATAAAGAAATGCCCAGGACAGGAGATGGCTTCACTGCTGAATTCTACCAAACATTTAAAGAAGTAACACCAATCCTACTCAAACTACTCCAAAAAATACAGTAGGAGGAAATATTTCCAAACTCATGCTATGAGACCAGCATTACCCTAATACCAAAATCAAAGACATATCAAAATTAGAAAACTAGAGGCCAATATCTCTGTTGAATATGGATGCAAAAATCCTCAACAAAATACTAGCAAACCAAATTCAACAATACATTAGAAAGTTCATTTATCATGACCAAACAGAATTTATCTATGTGATGCAAGGATTGTTCAACATACACAAATCAATCAACATGATACTTATATCAACAGAATTAAGGATTAAAATCATATGATTATTTCAATAAATGCTGAAAAAGCATTTGAGAAAATTAACATCTCTCTATGATAAAAATCCTCAAAAACCAGGGGATGGAAGAAACATACCTCAATATAACAAAAGCTTTATAGGACAGATCAACAGCTAGTATTATACTGAATGGGGAAAAACTGAAAGCTTTTCCTCTAAGATCTGGAACATGACTAGGATGCCCACCGTTACCACTGTCACTTAACATAGTACTGGAAGTCCTAGCTAGAGCAATCAGACAAAAGAAATGTATAAAGGGCATCCAAATTAGAAAGGAAGAAGTCAAATTATCCATGTTTGCTAATGATTTAATCATATATTTAGAAAAACCTAAAGACTCCACAAGAAAACTATTAGAACTGATAAATTCAGCAAAGGTGGAGGATAGAAAATCAACGTACAAAAATCAGTAGCATTTCTATAAACCAACAGTGAACAATGTGAAAGAGAAACAAAGAAGGTAATCTCATTTACAATACCCACACATAAAATTAAATACCTAGGAATTAATTAAATTTAACCCAAAAGATGAAAGATCTCTATATTGAAAATTATACAACATTCATGAAATAAATTGAAGAGGACACCAAAAAATAGAAACATATTCCATGTTCATGAATTGGAAGAATCAGTATTGTTAAAATGTCCTTACTATCCAAAGCAATCTACAAATTCAGTGCAATTCCTATCAAAACACTAATGACATTCTTCACAGAAATAGACGAAACAATCCGAAAATTTATGTGGAACCACAAAAGACCCACTATAGCAAAGCTATTCTAAGCAAAAGAACAAAACTGGAGGAATCTCATTACCTGACTTCAAATTGTACTACAGCACGGTAGTAACCAAAGCAGCGTGGTACTGGCATAAAAACAGACACATAGACCAATGGAGCAGCAGGATAACCCAGAAACAAATCCACACACCTACAGCGAACTCATTTTTACAAAGCTGCCAAGAACATACACTGGGGAAGAGACAGTCTCTTCAATAAGTGGTGTTGGGAAACCTGGATATCCTTATGCAGAAGAATGAAACTAGATTCCTATCTCTCACCATATGCAGAAATCAAATCAAAATGGATTAAATACTTCAATTTAAGACCTCAAACTATGAAACTGTGACAAGAAAACATCAAGGAAACTCTCCAGGACATTGGTTTTGGCAAAGACTACTTGAGCAATATTCCTCAAGCACAGGCAACTAAAGCACAAGTGAACAAATAGGATTACAAGTTAAAAAGATTGTGCACAGATAAAATGAAACAATCCACAAAGCAAAGAATGGGAGAAAATATTTGCAAACTACCCATCTGACAAAGGATTAATAATCAGAATATATAAGGAGCTCAAACAATTCTATAGGAAAAAAAATCTAATCTTATCAAAAGTTGGGCAAAGGATTTGAATAAACAGTTCTCAAAAGAAAACATACAAATGGAAAACAGGAATATGAAAAGGTGCTCAACGTCATTGATCATCAGAGAAATGCAAATCAAAACTACAAGGAGATATCATCTCACCCCAGTTGAAATGGTTTATATCCAAAAGACAGGCAGTAACAAATGTAGCTAGGATGTGGAGAAAAGGGAACCCTTTTTCACTGTTGGTGGGAATGCAAACTACTACAGCCACTGTGGAGAATTTTTTGAAGTTTCCTCAAAAAACTAAAAATTGAACTACCATATTATCCAGCAATCCCACTTCTGGGTATATGCCCAAAAGAAAAAAAAAATCAGTATATCAAAGAGATATCTGCACCCCTGTGTTTGTTAAAGCACTGTTTACAATAGCCAAAATTTGGAAGCAACCTAAGCGTCCATCAACAGATGAATGCATAAAAGAAAATGTAGTACATATACAGAATAGAATACTATTCAACCATGAGAAAACATGAGATCCAGTCACTTGCAACAAAATGGATGGAACTGGAGGTCATTATGTTAAGTGAAATAAGCCAGGCACAGAAAGACAAACATTACATGTTCTCACTTATTTGTGGGATCTAATCGTTAAATCATTTGAACTCATGGACATAGTAGAAGATGGTTACCTGAGGCTGGGAAGGGTAGTGGAGGGATATGGGGGAGGTGGGAATGGTTAATGTGTACAAAATAATAGTTAGAAAGAATAAATAAGACATACTATTTGATAGGACAATAGGATGACTAGAGTCAGTAATAATTGTACATTTTAAGATAACTTAAAGAGTATAATTGGATTTTTTGTAACTCAAAGGGAAAATTCTTTAGGGGATGGATACCCCATTCTCCATGATGTGCTTTTTTCACATGGCATGGCTATAACAAAACATTTCATACCTTCTATGTGGGTACATAGCTACTATGTGCCCACATAGTATTTGTGAGTACATACCTACTGTGTACCCACAAATTTTTTTAATTTTGTTTTAAAAATTAAGAAAATAGATATTTGCAGACTAAACATTTTTTTCACTCTCACTCTAGTTCCCTCTCTTACTTTTCCTGAAACTCAGGGCCATAAACTTTGTATAATTTTTGTACTCTTAAGTTTTTATTTTTCTGATATTTAGCCAATTTATCTTCTCAAGTATCTTACTAAAAATAATGTTTTATCTTATTTTCCCTAATATTGCCTCTTTAAAATAAAATGCACAAAAATTTTATTTTCATATTTAATATTGACTTATGATAAGTTGCAAATGCAATGCTTTTTGATGTCCATTATTATTAAATAAAAAATTATATTCCTTTATGCAACTTTAAATAAATGATTATGATAATGATGATGCTGATGACAGTGATGATGATTAACCTCAGTAGAGCACTCAAAGTTTACTGATGCTTTTACTTTCCCTATCTCATTTAATTCAAATTAGCCCTGCCAAAAATGCTTATGGGTAGACTACGCAGAGAGGTGATCTTCTTTATAAGGCAGTAACACTGGGGGTAACATAGCAAGTGATTTTATTACCTTACTAATACACTCTAGATCCACTAATTAAACTCGGATTTCTCTGAACCCAAATTCCATTTTTTTGCAGTGTGTCATTTTATGACAGTACTTTGTGAACTGAAAACTGCTATACAAACGTGCAAGGTTATCATTACTCTGTTTATTATTTCCGTCCCTTTATTCTGCCTCTGTACTATAGTACCTTCATTCATCCAGCAGAAAGGATTTAGGTAAGACATATTTGCATTGGTGAAGGCTGTGCAAGGTTAAAACGGAAGCTTCTCTTCTAATTGTTAAGCAAATGAATTGGACATTCCAGTCTGTAAAAGCATTACAGAAAATGCAAAGTCTGATGCCTTTCCCAGTTTTCTACAGGAAGTCAATGTGTTCAGCAGATGACTCAGCAGAATGCTCTCTGGAAGGACCCTTATGAAACAAGGCTGTTTTCACTGGACAGCATATTCCTCTTTATAAGATTTGTGGTGGATTACATAATGTCTGAGTAATTTAATGGACTGCATAAAGGAGAAATATAACAGGCTTTTGACTATTTATGTATATATATATATGCATATATATATGTTAAAAAACAAGTAAATGAAAAGCAAAGCCATGCTGAACTGCAATCAGCATGGTAATCATTGCCATCTTCAATTGAGGGAACAATTTTGACTCTGATCTAACCTGTTTTCCAAACACTGTGTTCTATATCCCATCTTTAGCTTGGCATTTACTGCTGGGATTACCGTAGGCAACCAGCTGTTCTCTACCAAAGGGAACGAAGCCAGGACTCAGTTGGAAACAATCTAAGGCTAAAATCCTGCCATTTAAGAATAAGTGAGAATCAAAGAATTAAGAAGACTTAAAAGAGTTGCTGTGAATCAATTAAATAGACAATTTTGAATGGGTAACTGGGTTTTGATCTTCCTTTTTTAAGGCTCTATTTAGATGATATTTCATAACAAATTAGTCATCTACATTTATGAGAGTATTGAGTTTAAACACATATGAAAATTTTGTTACTTATTTTTTAAAAGAAAAATTAAATTCCTGATTTTTCAGGTTTTAAAGTATGGAATGAACACAATCCAGTTATAGCAAACACATTTTTTACTTCCGAATTATGCTTTTGCTGTCTCACATTTTATTTTTACTCATTTTCTTCTCTCAACCTCAGTGTTCTTACTTAACTTTTTATTGTGACACTGATGACTTTGAACCTGTTATCAAAACTATAATCCCTAACCTTGGGACAAATAGATAAACACATAAAATTATATAATCACTTTATGAGTCCCTGGAATCCTATCTTTAGAATTCAGCTGAAGAACCTTTACTGCACCTGTAATGTTCTTTTTATCCTTTGCCTGTTAAATTCCAATTCAACTTTCAAGATTTAAGTTGAATATGCCACTCCCTAAGTAGTCTTTTCTATTTCTATCCCTCTATGCAAGTTGACATTTATTATTCCCTCTAATATGCTTATACCTCGATTAGAACCATTTATTCATTTTCCTTACCTCCCTTCATTCAACATTTATTAAATAGGCATCATAAAACTAAAATGAATAGAACAATTCCAGCCCTCAAAAACTCTCGCCTCACTGAAGAAACTCATGGTTCATCAAACTATGTGTTTGATGTGATCATGTGAGATAAGTACTAATATATAGTAAAGGAAATGCAATGGGAGTACAATGAAAAGGATATTCAACATGTCTCGTAAATATAATGAACCTGATTTATAGACAATTTTGCAATGTACCAAAAACTCTCCAACAACTCATCCTCATTTAATATTCACAATGTTGCCAGTTGTGTTATTAATAACAATTACATTTGACAGTGGATAAATTCACCATTAATGGACCTGGGATTCAAGGCAATATCTTCTAAACCAAAACCAATATTTCTCCCATAGTATGCTATTTTTCTAGGCTGGTTTAATTTGCCTTAATCATGTGTCCCTCTTCCTACTACATTGTAAGTTCCTTAGGTTAGGATACCACCTTTTTAAAAATTTTATATTATCTGTCTCTTTCTTTTTATCAATTCCCACCAAAAAAGCTACCACATATATGGTTGATGCTTAGTAATATTTTTGTTGAGGTTCCATATTGTATTTGTCCCTAAGTACTTGACTAATCCCTAGTTGGGAAAATGGCATGAACTAATTTTATGAAGCTCCTGTAATGTGGTAGGCACTAAACTAGGCAATTTATGTCTGTTATCTAATTTCATTCCAATCACTTGAAAAGTAGAGATTTTGATTTTCATTGTAGATGGGGGACCTAACACTGAAAAAGCTAAGTCAATATCATTAAAGGCACAACATTTATAAACGGCTGTGTTAGGTAATACATTCCAGCTTAAAATCACCTGGTGGACCTTTTCTATGATTTCAATGATTATCCAGGTTGATTTCTCGTTTTGAGGAATAACGCAAATATTAGCTAAGGAATAATACAGAATTAGGATTAAATTAATCCAACAAGTCATTCAACAAATGTATACTGAAAACTACTGTGTGCTGGGCACTGTTCAAGGAAATGTGGATACAGCAATGAGTAAAATGACATAGTTCTTGCCCTTAAAGTGTTTCCATTCTAATTAAGAGAGCAAATAATAAGCAAATCTATAAGTAAATATGTGTGCCACATGGTGACAATAAATACAATGCATATAGGGGAAATGGGATATGAAACTTAGAAAGTGTGGAGGGGAGAAGTTATCATTAAACATTCATCATCAGATGAAATTTGAGTGAAACCAAAAGTGAAGAAAATAACCCATATGTTCATACAAAGAAAAGTGTTCCAGGAAGAGGGAACACATGCTCACACTCTGAATTGCAAAGAGCCCAAAGTTGCTAGAACAGAAGGAAAAATAACAGATGATATGGACCAATGATAGGGACAAAAACGCCGGAGAACCTTACAGACCATTTTGAGGGCTCTATTTTTCATGTTGTTTGTTTTTGCTTTTTCATAACCTGAAATTTAATATTCTGCTTTTATCCTGAATCAAATGTAAGATTACATTGTGGTAATCAATTTCAGAAGTCACAGGTTTTCCTCATTGTTAATGAGATAATATAACAAGGTGCAATATACAAACATTAAACTGAGCCTGTTTTGTAGACAGCAGAAATTTATTTATCATGATTTTGGAGGCCAGAAGCCCAACATCAGGATGCCATATGGTCAGGTCTTCATGAGGACTTTCTTCCTGGCTTGCAGGTGACACCTTCATCCTGTATCCTCACATGGCAGAGAAGGTAAGGTCTTCAGTATCTCTAATTATGAGAACACTAAGGTCATCATGAGAGCCACGCCTGGCCAATGAAAGAAATTGTTTCAAGAAAAGGGTGACCAATTGTCTCAAATGTTTGGATATATCAAATTTTATGAAGATCAGTGCATTACTAACAGAGGTATTAGTAGTGACCATGACAAGAGCAGTTTTACTGTAAGGAAAATGAAAGGCTTACATAAATGGGTTCAAGAGAGAAAAAGAGGAGAGAGAGTGGAGATAGTGACTTTATTACATAGCAATTTTTGACCTTCAGGCTACTATAGTGCTAAGTGACCAGAAAGCACATTAAGATATGATAGAGTGAACGACTAAGATTTTACTACTTTGCTGTATGAAGAGAAACTAGTTAGATATTGTTGCCATCTATGACTTAAAATAGAACTCATTGTAATGCCCCCCACCTTGATTTGGAACTCATTCAACTTAAAATTAAAGGTCGTCTGTTCACTGTAAGCCATTGTGACACATTCTGGACTTACAGATATAAATCGAACAAATCAAATAACTGAAAAGAAAATAGATATTTAAAAATTAAAGCCGGCTAGAAACTTTTTAACATGGTTTACCTCAAGAGTTTACCAAGATACCATCCTGGACTCTAGAGTAGAAATATTTTGTTTTACTTGATATGTAATGTTAAAAGTCTTGAATATTTGGTTTTCCAGCTCATAAAGGATTAGAAACAGAATATTAAACTGAAGTTTCTAACAATAAAATACATAAAATATGATAATTTGATTGTAAAAGTGGCAAAATATTTGAAAAATTTAGTGGTAGATGTAACGAATCAAAGAGTAGGACAATTAGGCCCATTTGGAGGAGAGAAAAACTAATCTATATTCCTTAGAGTGGCATGAAATTAATACTGCCAAAGTCATCAGTTACTATGCCAACTCTCAAGGAATCAGAGATAAAATGGTATTTTCCATGTTAAATATTTTATGTTCAAATGTATTGGCCGGCATTTTTTTCTTCCTTCTTCTTGCATTCCTTTTTAATGTCACTTAGATAATTTAATTTTTTTTAATGTCACTTAGATAATTTAAAATTTTAATGTCACTTAGATAATTTAAAATACCTACAAAATGTTCGAAACTCATATTCCAACTGCCTTGAATACTTGAAGAATTAGTACATTGCTCTTAAAGATATTATTACCATTTATGATTTTAAAAAGAATTCTTTGTCATGTCCTCCCACCACACATGACACTCACATAATACAGATATTCACCTTTGCTTTTGCTTATCTTTTACTTTAAATTCCAACAAGAGGTAATTTGTTTTTACTGAAGTAAAATATATCAGTAGGAGGCATTTCTTGGAGTTTAGAATAAAGTGAGTCAAAGGGATATAACCTATTTTTCCCTTTTTTAGTTAATTTTTTCAAAACCTTCAATCTCCATACCCCTCTCAAGATGAGTATCCTGGAAATAGTCACTCCAATGAGGATTCCATGTGCAAGTAATTTGTTAAAGAAGCAATTCCAGAAACAAATGAGTAAGGGAGTGGGGCATGCAATACAAAGAAATGGTAGGATCCAGCAAGAATGCAATTTTAGTACCGACCTCAACTTCTTCCCACCCAGGATATCAGGAAAATAAATTATCCTCCAATGTTTTTCCCAGTTAAACACAAGGAAGCTAAACTTCTCTACTCTCACACCAGTTATTCTGTAGGTTGTGTGATAGAGACATTTGTTTCCAGCATTTAGAGCTTTCTGGTGTCCCGCAAAGAGGAAAGAAAGTACAAAGGCATGCAGGTGCTGGGGCAAGCATATACTAACCCGGTAAAGGGATCAGAGGGGGATGCGGCAGAGCACCAATGATGTCCACTAATGTAAACCACAGATCTATCTTTAGCTGCTGTCACTCTCACTGCTCCGAAATCTTATTGTTCATAAGATGCTGTCAGTTTTACCTCTGAAATGCCTTTCCTTTTTAAATTCCCACTGCCACTGCTATGGTTGGGGATCTTTTTTCCTCTAACATGGATAACTACAGCAGTCTATCATTTTTAGAAGTAGGTCTACCTGTTTCCAAATTTTTTTCTCTCCCTAATCACTGATCTATTTTGCGTAAACATAGATGAGTAATTTCCGTAAAGACTAGTTACACAGTTACTTCTCTCTATAAAACATAGTTTTGATTGTGGGATTTATTTCATCAAAACTTTTTTATTTCTCACCATAGCTGATAGAATGAAGCCCAACTGCCTTGTGAGTCCATGCAATGTTTTCCAAAATCTAGACTCAACTTACCTTTCTGGTGCAGTATTTCACCGTACCAACTGAGGCGCCTATATGTAAAGCATTCCCAACACTCTTCATTCTCTGAAGAAGCCTATGAACTATTACTATCTCCAAGCCTTCATTCATTCTATTTGGTCTCTTTGGTACATCCCCACTTCTACCTTCATCTCTGTGCATTGAAGTTTCACCTATTTTTCATGGTTCAAATGGAATACTACCTCCTCTGTGATCCTCTGGTGAATCTCCAGTCATGACTAACTACTTCTCTCCCCATTGTTTGTGTTCCGACGGTACATTACGTCTACACCTCTAATGATATATTCTTCTTTAATTTAGAGCAATGCTACATGTAAATCTATTCAAAAACTGTGAATTCTTTAAGACAGGTATTATGACTTATTTGCCATAAATCCCTAGCTCCTACAAAGCATTGCCTGACACATAGTGAACTCTAATAAATAATTGCAGAATTAAATAAATTAAATATGCTTCCAATAGTTTGTATATATGGATAATATATTCACTTGAAATAAATGATAGTAAGGGAAAAATAAATGTAGGAAACATATCAAGTACAGAAAAAGAGTATATATTTAAATTATGTATGTATATAGGCATTACTTCCTTTGGTTAAGATAAATGAATGCATGATTTATGATTATTTCATATGCATGTGCTCCTAACCCTAACATTATAATATAGATTGTCATATGTTGAATCAGATGTTTTCACAGAAGCAGTTTTCTATTTCTTTTTTTGGTTGGCAAATGTCCTGAAAAATCATTCTTTCATTTCGGTTTTTTGTTGGTAAAGTTCTCATCTTGGGTTATTTTACTCATGTGAGTAAAGCTTATTCCAGGAAAAATATGTATTAAGCAATCAGAAATGGAAAAAGAATCAATTCCATTTGTGAGCTATACACGACTGTTAAATGGGAAGATGTTTTAGCTTATATTTAATGCTCATTGTTTAAAACTGTGGAAACAACGTATTAAGTATATATTCACCAATTAATGTAAGTAGGCAGATACATAAACACATTGATACGTAGGTAAAATTCCTTATGGATACCATGAATGGTAGGATTTTAATGTCTTAGAATGTCTATTTAGATTGAATTTAGGAAAACAGAAAATTCCACATGCTCTGTAGCAAACGTCTAAGCTGTATTCCCTTAGACATCTCCCTTCACAAAGTCCTTCTACAGACAGTACTCCACAAGCTGATGGCTTTTTGTCTAAAGACATGAGAATATGCTCAGATAGAAGTCTGCTAGAGATTTAATGCCCACAGACTAGCCTACAGTCATTGAGGGCTAGAAGTTGGTGGGTAACAAAGTTTGAATATTTGTCCCTGCCAAAATCTCCTGTTGAATTGTAATCCCCAGTGCTGGAGGTGGGGCCTGGTGGGAAATGTTTTGGTCATGGGGGTGGATCCCTAATGACTTGGTGCTGTCTTCATGATAGCGAGTGAGTTCTTACAAGATCTGGTCGTTTAAACGTGTGTGGCACCTCCCCTCCCCTCTCTCTTGCTCCCACTCTGGCCATGTGATGTTTCTGCTCCTGCTTTGCCTGCCAGGATTGAAGCCTCCCTGAGCCTTCAACCAAAGCTGAGCAGATGCCAGCACCATGCTTCCTGTAAAGCCTGAAGAACTGTTAGCCAATTAAACCTCTTTTCTTTATAAATTATCCAGTGTCAGGTTCTTCATAGCAATGCAAGAATGGCCTAATAGAGTGGGCAAATGCCCTAGAATATTTGCCCTTCATTGGTAGAGTTCTGAGATATGTTTTTACATTCAATTTCTCGTGGGTCGCTGAGAAAATAAGCCTCGGTCAACCACCATGGTAACTGACGCATGACTGCATTCTTTGTTGTCTTTCCTTTGCTTTCCTGCCTTTCCTGACTAACCTCCACTTTCTTTTAGTGCTTCCTGGGATCACCTTGCACATAAGCTACTTGTACCCAAATTCTTGTCTCAAAGTCAGTTTTTTTTTAAATTTTTAAATTTTTTTTTTAATGGAGTCTCACTCTGTCGCCAGGCTGGAGTGCAGTGCATGGTGAGATCTTGGCTGACTTCAACCTCTGCCTCCTGGGTTCAAGTGATTCTCCTGCCTCAGCCTCCTGGGTAGCTGGGACTACAGGTGCACGCCACCATGCCCAGCTAATTTTTGTATTTTTAGTAGAGATGGGGTTTCACCATGTTGGCCAGGCTGGTCTCGATCTCTTGACCTTGTGATCCACCCACCTCAGCCTCCCAAAGTGCTGGGATTGCAGGCGTGAGCCACCACACCCAGCCCAAAGTCAGCTTTTTAGGGAATCAATACTTAGACAAGTTTCTATAAAATAATGCATTTTCTAATGTGGGAAACATATTTTTGGGTTTACTTTTTGGTCTCAAACGTGTTTTCCGTACATGTCATTTATTTTTGAAGAGTGACTATTTTACTCATTAAGTAAATTTCAGTGTGTATATAAACTATTATATTTTGTCAAACTGAGCTACAGACACACACACACACACACACACACACACACACACACACAAACATACCCACATACTCAAGTATACATTATGTACTTGAATTTAACTTTGAATTAAATTAGTAACTTGTTTTGTTGGTATTTATCTTTCTTTTCACCTTCAAGCTCATAGAGACAACTTTTTTATATATTTTATCATTTTCTGTTTCTTTCTTTTGGATGAAAACATCAAAACTCTCCTTATAATCACGTTTCTTGCAATTTGCTATTTTAGTTATCATTTGTAGCTTGAACAGCATATTTAAGTAGAAAATGTCTTATAATTTTTTGGCTTCTTGTTGTTCAATTTCATTAAACTCAAACTGTATTTTCTCTATGCTCTTTTGATATGCAGTACAATATCCTCACTGAATCAGGTATGTGACATCATTTTATCCAAATATAACTATTATTATTGAATTATCCTCTAATTCTAATGGTTAACCTTTCCCTAAATCTATTTATACAAAATTTGTAATTATGCAAAGAGAGAAAAATGTGGAGGAATATGAAGAAGTGGTTTGCATCTTAAATGTTTGAATGTCAGAATTGACTATTCAATAAAAGCAATTTCTAATTAAAAAAACTAAATAGATTGTTTTTCAGTTTCTTCTATTTCAGTTTAAACTTTTTTTCTGGTAATTTTAGAATTCCAGATTAAGAACACACTGAGCATTGACATAAAGCATTTACTTTTATATATATATATATATATATATATATATATATATATATATAGGAAAAAAACTTGCTGTCAAAATATGCATTCAGTTCTTTTCAGTCATTCTAAATCATTTCTACAGATCAACTCATTTTTATTTTTTATTTTTTCCTTGAAGTTTTGAAATAGTTCTAAAATGCAATTGGGAGATTCCTTGAAACACATGCTCTGACACGTCCATAACTATCCATGCATTCACTAGTTTCATTATACATATATTGAGCACATTTATATACAACTCTCTTTGGCCATATAAAGAAGAAGAATGAAATGTGATTCCTGCTCCTGCATACGTTATGATCCAGTAATGATAAACTGGCACATGAAAAGCTACTCTAAGTACTGCTGTGTACAAACAAAAGAACCTGAATATGCCAAAAAAGTAAAAAATATTTCTAACTGGGGAAGACATAAGAATTCACAAAAGAACAGGCACTTGTGATAGCACTGGAAAATCTACAGAATTTTATAAAGTAGATTGGGCAAGATGAGGGGTATTCTAAGGAGATAAAAGCAGAAGCCAAAACAGGGAGGTGAGAGGAGACAGCCAAAAGTGGAGTGAGTAATTTGTTGTGGTTTGGGCATGGTTATTTAAACGGAGAGAAGAAATGCACGACGAGATGTGGCCAAGTGTAGTGTGATATAACATTGGAGATCTCAGAGGACTTTAATTTTAGTATCAATCCATCAAAGTCAGACTACTTACTGAATAGTCCAAACACATTTCCAGAATGTGACTCAGTTGGAGTAATTCTTGAGATTGCTGGAATGATGTGAGATATTACTGATGGGGTGGATGAGATACAGGACCTGGCTGAGCTTGTTTGCTAGCTGAAATTAACCCTTCTATTTTTTGGAGAGAATATGGCAGGTCATAGATTTATCCAACGTCATAGAAGTTAGGTAAAATCACTTGTTACAAAATAATTACAACGTTCTAGTTGTTCTGTTTGCCTCCTTTGAGCAACCTTTGAGAAACATATATGTGTGTGTGTGTGTGTGTGTGTGTGTGTGTACACGTATGCACAGAGACAAACATGTATATATACACACACACACATATATATATAATATTGCCAAAATTTATACTATTCGTTACATTTAGATTGGGTCTACTTCATCTTACCATAAAAGTGATGTAAAGTGATTTATTCAATAAAGAGATAGGAAATATCATTTTTTAATTTTCAATTTTTAGAAAACAAAATCAAGAAAAAGATATCCAACAGTTCAGTTAGTTCTCAGCAGGTACTTGTTTGGTGCTAACTAGGGTCTTCAAGTGGGTCCTGCCCCAAATTCTAATATTAGAAAGTATGTCATGACACTCAACATGTTGACATCACTCTAGTTAACATCAAGGACTAAAGCATAATTTACTCTTATCACTTGAGACATCAACAAAGGTTAAGAAGTGAAGAAAAAATGGTTCATCAACTAGTATATCACATGTAATACTGTCATAATTATTTTCCAGTTGTTTTTCCCTACCAAATATGTGAAGGTGTGGGCACTTTGCCGAGATGATCTGATTTCAAATTTCACAAGCATATCCAAATTTTCAGTGGCTTAACACAATAACAGTGCATTTCTTACTCCAATAATATTCTAATGCTGGCAGGGAGAGCGTTGGGAAATCTCTTCTCTATCTTTATTTAGGGACTTAGACTCATTTCATTTATTAATTTTTTCCATCCCTTAGGTCTTTGAGTTCTCCACTGAATGCTTTCCAATAAGCCAGGAGATGAGGGATGAGAAAGAGTACACAAAGAATCTCATGAGAATAGTTTCAGGAACTTTAGGCCAGACCTAGAAGTGGATATATGACTTCCACATATGTTCCATTGGCCAGAACTCCATTGCATGGTCCCAACTAACTGCAGAGGAATCAGAAATGTAGTCTAGCTATGTGCAAAGGAGAGAAAAAGGTAATGGGATTTGGTGAACCCGTTGTATCATCTTTGTTTTAAATGAGACATGGCCACTGTCATAGAATTCTGAGATCTAGAATATTGGGACTAAGACACAATTTATACTGGTCAGAGAGTTGTGTTAAGTTATGGCTAGCCTTCTTTAAGTGGGATGCTGAAAACCCAGAAAGATAAATTCAGATTGTCTCCTGAGAAAATCTACCAGAGTGGAGACAAACATGCAAAAGCACAACATACACGATGAAAAGTTGAATAAACTGACGGGTCTTATCATTGGAAAAAAAAAAAGACTGGAAAGGCTAGGAGGTAGAAAAAGAATTGGATTCAATGTACTAGATTTTAAATATGAAATTATAAATAATGGATAAAAATTCCAGAAAAATAGATCTGATTAAATCGGAAAAAATAAAAAAAAAAAAGATTCACTAAGGTTAAACTACTACTTTGGAGCATATAGAGCTCTAGATCATTACATGTTGAAATTGGCCATCAGTTTATCAGGGTTCTGTGGGAAAGATCAGGCATTAGATGGAAAATTAGAGCAGCCAATCTCTCAAGTTTTTTATAGTCCTGAAATTCTAGATTATGTGGCTAAGTTTTAAACTGTGCTTGCTCACTGTGAATGTTAACCTAAGAACCTTGCTGCGACTATCTTCTGTTCCCTCTTAAATCTGAAAAATATTTAAATGCATATGATCCCCTATCTTATGCCATTTATTTAACCTCACCATAAAAAGTTCCAATTTTATTTGAAATGATTTAATTTTTAAATGTCAGCCAAATTATTGACCTTTCTTTAATTTTGTATCTGGAATAAAAGAAGAAAGAATTTGGCTTCCTATAATAATCTTTCTCTGTTTCATTTTGAGAGGAAATTTATCAGTGGGCTGGTGGTCAGTAGTCTGCAGCTTTATATTTAGTGTCTACAGTATTATGGGAGAGGCTGAGGAACCCAGAATGACCTGGCAATGTTGGGGGTGATCAGCTGTTTCAGTGAAGTTCTCCTTAATCCAGTAGCTGTCTCTAAAAATCTTTTTAGTGGTTTTACTTTTCAAGGTTTGATTCTGTATCCCAAAATTTTATATTTTGGAAAGTATCTGAGAAACATGGTTTTTTTTTCTTCCAAGGTATTGCATTATCTTTGTGAAATTGAATATTGATCCATTTCGCTTAGTTTTGCACTCAGTGACAATTCTGAGCCCTCAGACCTAGTCTGAAGACACAGCACATAATCCCACGTTTTCTTAATTAACTCTCTCAGTAGACTTAGCTTTTGCAATTAACATAACTTTTCTGCAATAAAATATTGAGATTGTGTTGCCATATGTGCCATTTGCAAGCAAACTTCTGTGAACCAAATGGCTTCTCAGCCCGCAAATTGTGATGAGTTGGACTTTTAAACTTTTACTCAATCATTAGAAATTTTTAGACTATGACTGGTTTTCTAATTACAATTAAATATCTTTAGTCCTCTTTAAGAACTTAAAGTCCTCAAAATCAGAACAAACTGGACTGTCCTGGGGATAGTTTAAGATTAAATCTTAGTACTACTTTTTGCATTAATGAGCAGAATGCTGTGTTATAAGCTTGTAAGGCACAAGGAGGAAAAATTGCTGAATTTTACATTGTAATTGTGGTTGAGTTGTGATATTTTTCTGAATTTTATATAACCACGAAAGTATTGATGTGAAGTGACCTTGGAGGAAAGTTCCATGTACCTATTGTAGAAAGTCCTCCAACCACACACTCTATGAAGTAATTTTTCAGTCTATATTCGTAACTCTAAAAGCAGCAATCTCACAACTTCCAAGGTAGTTCATTATCTTCATTGCCATGCAACACAACTAATATTATAGAAGATTATTCTGTATATTAAACCAAATCCTACTTATAATTTTGTATACAACCTAATAGATTTCTTAGGAATTAGAAGGTTGTAATCAATGTAGAATATAACATTTTATTTGAAATGGTTACTATATTATGAATTATGACTACCCTATTTAATTTTTTTGCAGAAATTGAACTTGAAAACATATTTACAGCCTAGATGTTGGGGTTGGACCTTCTGTAAACTCTAAAGGCAGTTTATAAATTAAATGCACGAGTGATGTGACTCTGCTATATTTATGCTGAGGAATTAAATAGCAAAATCTAGGTATGACTCTCTATGTAAGATGGTTTATTTTTCTTTTATTTTTGAATACATCTTCTTTATTACTTTACAAATTTAATGTTCTTTCTCTGTCTCTCTCTTTCATCCTACTTCTTTCCTTTCTTCTTTCCATTCTTCCTTCTTCCTTTTTCTTTCTTTTCTTTTTTCTATGTTTGACTGAACTAATAAGAACCAGAAATTTTGCCTCTGATTTACTCTACATTCTGAATCAATAAATGTGTGGATCAATTACACGAATTTCATGAAAGTTCTGAACATCAGCTTTATAGCTAGAGTCCTTTTCATTTTTGTTCTTTTCACTTTTGTCCCAAGATAGTTTCTCTTTTTACCCAAATATGGTAGTTTAGCAACTCATATACAAAGCTTTTATTTGAAGATCACCAACTTATTCTGAATTCCCAGTAAGAGCAGATCCCCAATTACTCTACACATCCCTAATGGAAAGTCACTTGCTAGGAGGCCTTTCGAGCTGAACATTCCCAGAATGTTAAGACTTATGTTTCTTGGACACTGGGCACTTCTCACTTTCAGTTCAGAATTAACTTTTATAACCGGGTTAGATTATTGCTTGACCACCTAACTCAAATAAGTACTAATTTTTTGAGGTACTAAATGTTGTGTTTGACCTTTGTGATGTAAATCATGAATTTATAGTTTATAAAGCTATTTGAAATATGTGGCGACTCAATTCATCTCAAATCATTTGAATATTTGTAATTCTTAGTAAATTTCAAAAGTTAACGACTAACCATCATGTATCTCCTGCAATATGAATATTACATCTTTTTGGATGAAAGGGAAATGACTAAATATGTAAGATTTCTTATAGAAAACAAAAATCTCTTATTATAAACTTGTTGACTTTTATTTTTTTAAAGTATTTTATATATAAAACTCCAGGCAAAAATGTTGACGTTGGTGCCAATTCGATAATGTTTAATCTGTGTCTTTTTTGACAGTATTTCACTGATGTATTTATATAAAGTATCTGCTATAACCTTGTATAGTACATTACATGATAATCATATTTGAACCTTCCTTCTGGGGACACTATCTCTCAAGACGTTTTATGCACCATGTCAACAAGGTAAGGCACGGACATTTCATATTTATCCTGAAGAGTGATACTTCCAATTCTGTTCATTCTTCTACTTGAGAATTTATTATAGCACACATGGAACTTTTGATTGTCATCAAACATCTTGCAAAATAATTGATGTGAAAGTTACAGAAAAGGACACAGAAAAAGATGGATCAATGTGACTGATAAAGAGGGACTATGAAAATAACACCTGTCAAAATTCCCAAGATTCTCTTTAATAAAAAAATTGCAGCTAGTTAAATATGTTTTTAGAGCTCATTTTACCACTCTTGCAAAAAGAAATAGTCTTAAAATAAAGACAAGATATTATTAAAATTCTAAGCCCAGAATCCAATCCTAAGGCATGTTGATCCATTAGTAGCTTAAATTATGTAATACTCTTTTTAGCTGCAAATGCTACAAATAGTGGACACTTAATATCCCTCAGGAAGATGGGTCTCAGAAGTAAAATGATATATTTACATCCAAATACCAGGACCAAGGTAGGTCACTATTCAAGAATATTCCTGAGCAAAAAGATGTAGGTATAGGAATACCTGTCAACTTTTAAGTTTTTAATTGTATGTAAGATCTTCTTTATGATTTATCAAATCTATCAAAGATTAAGTGGCTCTCCCATCTGAAATGCAATTTAAAACTGCTGAAAGTCTTTCCATTTTGACAAATAAGCACAGGCATTCTTAAGATCAAAAATGTATCATTCATAATAATATCAATGTTCTTTTTATAGGTTTTATAAAAAATGTTTTGTAACTTTTATTATCAAATTGATTCTTTAGCATTTGTTATTAGTAAAAGTTAGGCAGAATTATATGAGAATTCCATATATTCATAAGCCAGATCATAAATTATCACCTCCTGGCCAATCTTGCTTTATCACTAGCCCATTTTTCAACTGCTCCATTCACAATGGCCTCTCACTCTGCCAATTTGATTATTTTGAAGTAAGTCCCTTCAGGTGGTCTTTTACTTTTGAATCCTTGGTGGTGGTGGTTTTATATGTTTTTGCTTTTGATTTTTTGGTAAAGGACATGTTGCTATCCTTTAACAAAGGGCATCACATAAATAAGTCTGATCACTATGGATTGTTAAAATCCATAGTTCTTAGGTGTGGAAATGAAGAAAAGAACAGCCTTACAGTTGTCCCACAATAGTTTAGCACCCGTCCTGGATTAAGGCATAGACCACAAATCTAC
The DNA here is from genome assembly GCF_000001405.40 of Homo sapiens. Classification (NCBI taxonomy): domain Eukaryota; kingdom Metazoa; phylum Chordata; class Mammalia; order Primates; family Hominidae; genus Homo; species Homo sapiens. Next base: position 191,747,639 of record NC_000003.12, on the reverse strand, counting down.
AACCATTTGATCTTCAACAAACCTGACAAAAACAAGCAATGGGGAAAGGATTCCCTATTTAATAAGTGGTGCTGGGAAAGCTGGCTATCCATATGCATAAAATTGAAACTGGACCCCTTCCTTACACCTTATACAAAAACTACCCCAAGATGGATTAAAGACTTAAATGTAAAACCCAAAACTATAAAAACCCTATAAGAAAATCTAGGCAATACCATTCGGGACATAGGCACAGGCAAAGACTTAATGACAAAAACATCAAAAGCAATTGCAACAAAAGCAAAAATTAATGAATGAGACCGATTTAAACTAAAGAGCTTCGTACGCAAAAGCAACTATCATCAGAGTGAGCAGACAACTTAAGGAATGGGAGAAAATCTTTGCAATCTATCCATCTGACAAAAGTTTAATATCCAGAATCTACAAAAATGTAAACAAATTTACAAGGAAATAAATGACATAAAAAAGTGGGCAAAGGACCTGAACAGAAAAGAAGACATATATACAGCCAAAAAACATGAAAAAAAACCTCAACATCACAGGTCATTAGAGAAATGCAAATCAAATCTACAATGAGATGCCATCTCATGCCAGTCAGGATGGCCATTATTAAAAAAGTCAAGAAACAACAGATGCCGTTGAGGCTATAGAGAGGTAGGAATGCTTTTTCACTGTTGGTGGGAATGTAAATTAGTTACACCATTGTGAAAGACAGTGTGGTGATTCCTTAGACCTGGAACCAGAAATACCATTTGACCCAGCAATTCCATTACTGGATATATGCCCAAAGGAACATATATTATTCTATTATAAAGATAGATGCATGCGTATATTCATTGCAGCACTGTTCACGATAGCAAAGATATGGAATCAACTCAAATGCCCATCAATGACAGACCAGATAAAGAAAATGTTGTATATATACACCATTAAATACTGTGCAGCCATATAAAGGAATATCATGTCCTTTACATGAATGGAGATGAAAGCCATTATTTTCAGCAAACTAATGCAGGAACAAAAAATCAAACACTGTATGTTCTCACTCCTGAGTGGATGCTGAACAATGAGAACACATGGACACAGGGAGGGGAGCAACACACACTGGGCCTGAAGGGGAGGGGAGGGAGAAAATCAGGATGAATATCTAATGCATGTGGGGCTTAATCCCTAGGTGATGGGTTAATAGGTGCAGCAAACCACCATGGCACACATTTATCTATGTAACAAACCTGCACATCCTGCACATGTATCCTGGAACTTAATAAAATAAAAAGTAGTCTTCAAAATAGCCTCCTGCTCAGTGAAGAAGTTAATAAACATATGGTGGATGCTAGACATCATCCTCAAACTTGGAAGCCAAATTCATCAACAAATTAATCAGGAGACTTGAATGCTAGGTATAATGAGAGTCAAAATAGTGCAAGTTTAAAGTTTAAGATATTCTTAGAAAAGTGACTAAAAGTCCCTAAAACCTCCCCACTTAATTATAAGAAAATGCAGGGAAATTACAATTAAGAAGTGAATCATGTTCTATTGGCAGTAATTCTGTAGAGAAACTGGCTCATGCCGCAGTTAAGAATTAATGAACCTAGTGGGAATCATAGACTATTGAATTCTAATCTTTGGGTTTGGCTAACCTGCTGCTTGATCTCAAGTCAGGGATGGAGCCTACCTGTTCTTCAGTCTTCTCTGGAAAAAGAATGATGATGATTTTATATTTACATACACACAAAAATGAATTGTGTGAGTACTCTTGGTAATAATTGGTATTATTCTTTACAAATCACAAAATATATTTATTTTATCTTCAGAAATAGCACAGAATAAGTCATACTTATTCCCCTTTGTGTCTAAGGTAACTGAGGCTGAGAGATTATATAATTTTCACAATGTCAACAAGCACAATGGTTGCAGAGCCAGTGCCTTGAATTCATATCTTCTGATCCCAGTTCCAGGTTTAGGATAACACGCCACTGCTGTCTCTACTTCGGTGAGAGCAAAGGATGATTTTTACTTCCACCACTGCCCCCTTCAACCCATTTTTGTTCAGTCCCAGAAGACCAACTTGTTAGGAATTTGAAAGTTTTACTGTGTCAGCCACACGTGCAAGGAAAATCACTCCAATAAAATGAGAAATTCTTCTCTAGAAGGTAAAAATAGAATCCCAGCAGCAGGGCAACTACAAAGATAAAGAAAAAATAGCCTTTAGGCTAAAGGCAGGTTGGTAAGTTAAGGTGGCATCTAACAAACACATTGGGATTTCCTGGGACTTGAGTGGGACTGCTTACTGAAGCATTTAATAGAACAGAGTGCTAGATTGCTTAGCCCAGATTACAGATAAAAAAGATTTGAAAAGACCATTACATAAGCCTAAATCTTCATTCACCAAAAAAAAAAAAAAAAAAAAGAGAGAAGAAAAGAAAAGAAAAGTCTCCTTAAAATGTATAAAATCCTAGTCTATAAAGAATGCCCAGTTTCTAGGTAAGGGATAAAGGTTGGCAGTTTGCAAAAAGAAAAATGTTAACATAACCATTTCTCCTATTCTATTCTGTCTCTCCTTATCTAGCCAAGAAAACTCCAGGGTGCTGTGTTCAGCATTTGTATATACAGACAAAACATTCTGTTTATGCAGATAAGATAAAGGACAAGGCACATGAAAGTTTGAGAGACAATGATTACTGAAGAGAAAATGTTGAACTAAGATTCCTATTCTAGCACTGGTTCTAGGAATTCTTTCTTTACTAACTGTGTGACTTTGAATTATTCAATGTGAATAATAAAACTTGCTTAGTAGTTTAGGTGTATTAGACACTAAAGGGATTAAACACTATGAATAATCATCATCAGAAAGATGTTATAATTTAATAAGAAAATTAAGGCACGTATACAAATGAGTTTATCACAGGATAAGGTAAGCGCACTATGAGAAGTACTAACAGGTGGTGGGGCAAGATGGCAGAATAGAAAGCTCCCCCAATCCTCCCACTCACTCCGACCCCAAGGACACCAAATCAACATCTACACAGAATAAAGACCATCATAAGAATCAAAAATAAGGTGAGGAATCATAGTACCTGGTTTTAACTTCATATCACTGAAAGAAGCGCCGAAGAGATAGAAAAAAAATCCTGGATCACGGATGCCACCCGTCCTCCATCCAAGGCATTAGCAGCTGTGGGGAGTGCCTCTGGGCACTGAGGGAGGGAGAATGCAGCAATTGTGAGGCATTGAACTCAGTGCTGTCCTGTTAGAACAGAGAGGAAAACTGGCCCAAATTTAGCTGTCACCCACCCATGCCCACAAAGGGAGCATTTAAACTAGCCCTAGCCAGAGGGGAATTACCAATCCTAGTGGTCCAAACTTGAGAGCCTTCAAACCTCACCTCCATTGCTGCAAGCACTCTGTGTCTCCAAGTAAACTTGAAAGGCAATCTGTCATAGGGACTGCAACTCTTAGGTGAGTCCTGTGAGAAGGCATTTTAAATGGTCCATTTTCAGGCATGATAAATCTAAGCACTGGGAGCCAGCCTGCAGATGTAACAAGCCACACAGCTCATTCTTCTAGAAAGCCATGATAAATGAACGTAATTTAGAGGAGGGGTCAGCCCATAAAAGGGAAGAAAGTTTAGTTATTGGGAAGTCGAAACTTAAGTGGGAAAAGGGACTGGGGTATGACCTTATAAGGGGAATAATTAAGCTTAGGCAACGTCTGGGAAGATTGTAACCCCATAATACTCGACCAATGAGGAACTGGGGGAAGGATTTGCATGTTAGGAGATAAATTACCTGCTGTAGCTGTTACAGGTGTGCCTGTCAGACACCAGATCTTGCAAGACCGCTATTAAAAGTCTCACTTTTGCTGTTCTTTGTATCTCTGAGTCCATTCTTTGGGTTTGGATGAGTGAACATGTTTCTCACAAATCTGAGGTCCCGTTCAGGATCTCTGTGCCTGCATGGAGTGGGACTCTGGCTGAGAGGGGAGACACATTCCACCCGATTTAGGTGGCCTGCTCTGTCTGGGCATCCCGGCTCCCCGCGGAGGCCATAGACAAACCGGAGACTGTTATTCAGGAGGCAATAGAGGCAACAAAGGGAAAAAAGCAGGCCCTGTGGGAACAAGGCAACCTCGTGCATGAGCTGAGGAAGGAAAAGTGGACTATAAGTACTTCCTTAATAGTTGGGCATTTTTGCAGGTTGAGTGTGTGTGACTGAGACGTATCCAAGATACAAAGTGAATGCGGAGTCCCAATTCGCAGTTCTGTTCTCCCGTGGGGGAAACAGCTGGAGATGTATGAAGTGATTATCGGGGTGTGCAAGAAACCTCCAGTGGGGGGTGGGGGAGTACACAGGGAAAAGCTCAGACACAGAGACTGACTGACAATGGGAAACAGGAATTCTAGGCCTAGGGGACAAAGGGAAGAGGGAGCTAAAGAGAATCCTTCAGACATTCCCCTGGATAGTCCTTTCGGGAGAATGTTGCAGGTTTGGAGGGACAACCCTCAAACCAGGGACAAGGAAAAGCAAAAGATGATGATGTATTGCTGTTTTATCTGGCCCAAAAACCCATTCGTCAGCCTTCAGTCTTTTGGCCTAAGTTTGGCTTAGATGAGGATTGGGTGTACCAAGCTTTAATTATCTATGTGAATGATAAAATCCCATCCTCACCAGAAGATACAGGTTATGCTCTCTGCTGGATCAAGGAAGTAGACCCCCTGTTCCCCCTCAAAGAAGGAGAAAAAAAGCCTAGCAAAGAGCACTCACCCAGTGAAAAGCCTTGGGATCCCTCCATCATGCTCACCCCCTACCTACATCTCACAAAATAGGAGACAAGAAGATAAAGGAGCAACAGGAGGGTTAGAGGAAGAAAGACCTGGAGAACAAAAACTCCTTCAGATCCTCATCCAAATTTAAGAAAATAATTAGAACAGTATAAGAGGGATATTGAGAACTTCTCTATCCCTTCTACACAGCAGGCATCTAGCATGCTCCTACTTAGGGCAGTTCCCATGGAACAAGGAGAAATTGGCTTTGTAAACAGTCCTCTTACAAGTACCGAAGTTAGGAATTTCAAAGAGGAAATGAGACCACTCTTAGAAGATCCCCTCAGTTTAGTAAACCAGCTGGACCAATTCCTAGGACCAAATTTTTACACCTGGGCTAAGATAATGTCTATCATAAATATCCTGTTCATAGGAGAAGAAAGGGGAGTGATTAGGAGAGTGGCCATGACCATATGGGAGAGGCAACACCCTCCAAGGAAAGGAGTCTTTCCAGCTGAATAAAAATTTCCAAATGTCGATCCTGAATGGGATAATAATGATCCCAGGGACTGGGCCCAAATGCAGGACCTCAGGGAACTAATAATTAAAGGGATCAAAGAGTCCACTCCTAGGACACAAAATGTCTCAGAGGCATTCTAGATTCAACAAGAAAAAGAGGAAACTCCCTCTGCATTCCTGCAGAGGCTCAGAGATCAGATGAGAAAATACTCTGGATTAGATCTGAAGGACCCAGTAGGGCAAGGCCTTTTGAAGGTTAACTTTTAACCAAGAGCTGGTCTTGCAGGCCAGGGAGTGCAGCTGCAGGCATGGGGGTGGCTGGAGCCACAGAGCCAGAACAGACAGCTGAGATAAAGGTGGACAGTGTGAGAGAGCTAGTATGAGTAAACCCCTAATAGGAGACCTAATGTCTCTATTACACAAAGGGAGTCACTGGGGACCCCAGGCTCTGTGTAATGCAATACTTAGGAATTTATACCCTCACTAAAAAAGTATGTGAAAGTTGTTTTAACTTGTCAAAGGATAAACAAAAAGGTGATTAGAAAACAGACCACAGGAGGAAGACCTCCTGGACTAAGACCATTTCAAACCATTCAAGTAGATTTCACAGAAATGCCCAAAGTAGAAGAGCCTTTCTCCTTCCAATAGCCACCACCAGAAATGTGGTCAAAAAATATTAAAACAGATTGTACCTGGATTTGGCCAGATGAACTTTTTTTTTTGAGATGGAGTTTTACTCTTGTTGGCCGGGCTGGAGTGCAATGGTGTGATCTCAGCTCACTGCAACCTCTGCCTCCCAGGTTCAAGCAATTATCCTGCCTCAGCCTCCTGAGTAGCTGAGATTACAGGCATGCACCAGCACACCTGGCAAATTTTCTATTTTTTTTTTTTTTTTTTTTAGTAGAGACAGGGTTTCTCCATATTGGTCAGGCTGGTCTCGAACTCCCAACCTCAGGTGATCTGTCTGCCTCACTGGGATTACAGGCGTGAGCCACCATGCTCAGCCCAGAAAATGTTGATTCAGACAATAGGAGCCACTTTACCTCAAGGGTGTTAAGGGGAATTATGGAAGGTTTACAAATTAGATGGAAATATCCCACCCCTTGGCATCCCCCTTTCTCTGGAAAGGTAGAAAGAGTGAATCAAACTCTAAAAAACATATCTCCAAACTAATCTTAGAAACTAAAATGCCTTGGACTGAATGCCTCCCAATAGCACTCCTTAGGATTAAGACAGCCCCACGAGAAGACTTGGGATTGTCCCCATATGAGTTATTATATGGGCTCCTGTATTTGGGCAGAGCTACAGATCTCCCTACTATAAACCAAGGGTCAATTCTTATATAGTGGCCATATTCCACATCCTGTCATCTCTTAGGTTAAAAGGACTACTGACTCAAACTCAGCCTCTTGAGTTTGCAGTTCACCACTTCCAGCCTGGTGACTTAGTCCTGATTAAGACTTGGAAAGAAGACAAGCTCCACCCAAGCTGGAAAGGTCTCTATCAAGTGCTCCTGACCATTGAGACAGCCATGCAAACAGCTGAATGGGGGTGGACTCACTATACTCGAGCCAAGGGACTGGTAAAAGAGACCCCATAAGGGAGGGGAAAAGACCAGTGAAAAGTGCACGGGTCACCTGAGGACTCTTAAAGTTAACTCTGAGAAAAGTCTAATAAGAAACATGGGCTGGCCCCATTTCTGGAAGTTAATATGTCTGGGATGGGCTACTATACAAAGAGCAGAAGGTCAAAATGGAAACTGTCAGGGGACTCCTCCCTACCCAATCAGGTTGATGATTAATGTGACCAAGATAGCAGCACCCAAAACTATAAGATTTGATGCCTGCCATGCCTTACCTTGTGGGAATTTAAAAAATCAGAGACAGCTCTTGCAGGCAGATAAATATATTTGCCCTGAACCAGATACAGGTTACAGTAGGGCATCACCATGCCCCAGCTGTGATAATGTATGATGGATGAATACCTTTCAGCGTTGGATAATAAACATGGGGTGGGTAACTCTGAGCTGGAGACCCTTGAAGGATAAACTACATCTGTCTAAGGGCTCCCCCACCCCTCCAAATAATTGCCAGAATTTAGAATGCAATCCTATACTGATCACCATTGACAATCCAGCTGTTCTAGACTAAGAACCAAAAGTAGCATCTCGTGTATATGGGTTGGGGTAGACATCACAGGGAAAGACCCCCTAGGGTGATTTGCTCTCAAACTAATCAAGAACTCAACTCCCATTTGCCTGGGATGACTCCAAACCCACACCCTAATAAACATTTTAGTCTTCCAAATAATGACCCTAAAAGGGTAAAAATAATTGAGGTAAAGGATTTAAAGCAAACTTAGAAATTGAGACAGGGTATGGGGATGTGAATGCCTGTGTTGAATGGGTCAAATTTTTGGTACAAGCCCTCAACAAGAGTAGCTGCTGTGCATGTACTGTGAGATGATCTCAGGCACAGGTGGCTATGTTTCCCCTAGATACTGATCTAGGATACTGATCCTGAAGGAATGTGTTGCATGTTGGCTCTATACCAGGACAAAGATGCATGGGGAAATGAGACTTGTAGGAGTCTGTCATTGCTCTTTCCTGCATTGCAGAGGTCAGATCTTAGAGCAATCCCCTCATTCTCTATAGGGAATATGAACCACTCCTCTTCCCTCTCTAGGCAGTGGGCAGAGTTCAATAAGCCTGTGGGAGAATGTCGACTTGTACCCACATCCTAAACATCACCGGTGAGGCAATGGCAATTAATCAGTGATCCATATACCCCAGGATGATGACTGGTGGTATTGTGGGAAAAGGAACCTCCATAACTTGTTACCATCCCAATTGGACCAGGACTTGGGCTTAGGTCCACCTGGCCATTCTCTTCACCCTGGTATTCCATAAGATACCCGAAAATATACATGGCCACCGAAACAGAGAGATATAACAAATTCTTTTGATCCCAGTATATATGTGGAGTCTATAGGAGTCCCTAGGGGGGTGCCTAAAGAATTTAAGGCCAGATACCAAATAGTTGCGGGTTTGAGTCAGCACTTTTCTGGTGGTCAACTATTAATAAGAATGTTGATTGGATTAACTACATCTATCATAATCAACAGAGATTTATCAGTTATACTCATGACACCCTCAAAGGCGTGGCTAGCCAATTAGATGCCACCAGCTGAATGGCCTGGGAAAACAGGTTTGTGTTAGATGTAATTAACTAGCAGTAAAGGGGGCATATATGTTATGCTGGGTGGGAAATTTTGTACTTCTATTCCCAAGAATACTGCCCCAGATGGGACCATCACAAAAGCTTTACAAGGACTGATGACTCTAGCCAACAAACTGGCAGAAAATGCTGAAAGTAATATACCATTTATGGGTTGGCTAGAAGGTTGGTTTGGAAAATGGAAAGGCATGGTATCTTCAATTCTTACATCTCTCATAATTGAGGCCAGAGTCTTAACAGCAGTGGAGTGTTGTATTATGCCTTGTGTAAAGGAACTAGCACAGAGATTAATTGAAACAGCTAGTAATAAACAAATGTCATGACTTACCAGTAAAGTAACCTGCTACTATTAGAAACCAAATTAAACTCATTCTCCTATGAGGAAGAAAGTAAATGACTTCTAGAGCAATTCGAGGACCAAAACGATTTAAATGAAAATGAGACCAAAGGAAGTAAATAGAAAAGAGGAGGTAATTTGTGAGAAAATATTTTAAATGATCCATTTTCAAGGCATGATAAATCTAAGCACTGGCAGCCAGACTGTGAATGTAACAAACTGCACAGCCCACACTCCTAGAAAGTCATGATAAGTAAACAGCATGTAGAAGAGGGGTCAGCCCATAAAAGGGAAGAAAGTTTCATTATTCAGAAATCAAAACTTAAGTGGAGAAGGGGACCAGGACAAAACCTTATAAGGGAGATAATGAAACTTAGGTTTCATCTGGGAAGATTGTAACCCCACAGTACTTGACACTTGCATACTAGAAGATAAATTGCCTGCCATAGCTGCCCTGGGTGTGCCCGCCTACTGGACAGCTGATCTTGCAAGACCACTACTAAAAGTCTCACTTTTGCTGTTCTTCCTGCCTCTGAGTCCATTCTCTGAGTTTGGATAGAGCATGTTTCTCACAGTCCTCATGCTGAACTAGGCCCAGAGATACTGGATTTGGGAGACATGCAACACACTGAGACACCAGCCAAGGGAGTGCTGGCATCACCCTTCCCCTAACCCCAGGCTGCATAGCTCACAGCTCCAAAAGAGACCCCTTCCTTCCACTTAAGGAGAAGAGAGGGAAGAGTGGAGAGGATTTGTCTGGCATCTAGGATACCAGCTCAGCCACAGCCAGATAGGGCACTGGTCAGAGTCATGCAGCCTCTGTTTCAGGTGCTAGCTCCCAGATGACGTTTCTAGACACACCCTGGACCAGAAGAGAACTTGCCACCTTGAAAAAAAGGACCTAGTCCTGCCAGCATTTATTGTCTGCAAACTGAAGAGCCCTTGGGCCCTGAATAACCAGTAGTGATACCCAAGTACTGCATTAAGGGCCTTGGTGAGCCTCAGAGACTTGTTGGCTTCAGGTGAGACTCAACACATTTGAAACCAAATTAAACTCATAACTGTGGTGGCTATGAGACAGCCAGGTTGGAGGGGGTCCCTGGAAAATCTTCAACCAGCCTGTGCACTGTGGTTGAGCCACAGAATTTTGCACCATTTGCCATGGTGAGGAGCCTGGCCTCTCCTCTTACTGTGTGGAACCTGGGGATTCAAGCTGCGGGTGGGAAGCGCTCTAGCAGGGACGCTGGTCTTGCGAGAGTCCCTGTGCCACCTTTTTTCCTTTTCACCCAATAAAACCTAGTCCTACTCACCATTCAAATTGTCTGTGAGCCTGGATTTTCATGGCCATGGGACAAAGAACCTCGTCTTTACCTGAACTAAGGAAAAGTTCTGCAACAGCTATGGGACAAAACTTCTGCTTGAGAAAAGCAGAGGGAAAAGTAAAGGAAACTTTGTCTTGCACCTTACCAACACAGCCACAGTGGGGCAGAGCACCAAGTGGGCTCTTGGGGTCTCCAATTCTAGGACTTGACTCTTCAGTGGCATTTCTTGACCTGCCCTGGACCAGAGGGAAGCCTACTGTCCTGAAGGATGAGTCCCAAGCCAGGCAACATTAATGACAAGCTGACTTAAGAAACCTTGGGCCTACAGGCAACACTGGTGGTAGTCTGGCAATACTCCTATGGTGGGGTGGCTATCACCACACCCCACTTAAAATGGCTTATATCCAAAAGACAGGCAATAAGAAATGCTGGCGAGGATATGAGGAAAAGGGAACTCTTGTATACTGTTAATGGGAATGTAAATTAGTACACGCACTATGGAGAACAGTTTGGAGGTTCCTCAAAAAACTTAAAATTGAGCTACTACATGATCCAGCAATCCCATTGCTGAACATATGCCCAAAAGGAAAGAAATCGGCATATCAACGAGTTTTCTGCACACCTATGTTTGTTGCAGCACTGTTTACAATAAGATTTGGAAGCAACCTAATTGTCCATCAACAGATGAATGGATAAAGAAAATGTGGTACATACATACAATGGAGTACTATTCAGCCATAAAAAACAATGAGATCCTGTCATTTGCAACAACATTGATGGAACTGAAGATCATTATGTGAAGTGTAATAAGCCAACCACAAAAGACAAACATCACATATTCTCACTTATTTGTGGAATCCAAAAATCAAATCAATTGAACTCATAAAGAGTAGAAGGATGGTTACCAGAGGCTGGGAACAGTAATGGGGAAGGGGAGGATGGGGGAGCAAGGTGGTGATGGATAATGAGGACAAAAAAAAAATATTTAGAAAGAATGAATAAGACCTACTATTTGATAGCACAGTAGGCTGACTACAGTCAATAATAATTTAATTGGACAGTATAAAATAATTTACAGAGTGTAATTAGATTATTTGAAATTCAAAGGATAAATGCTGGAGGCAATGGATACTCCATTCTCGATGATGTGCTTATTTCACATTGTATGCCTGTATCAAAACATTTCATATACTCCGTAAATATAGACACCTACTTTGTACCCACAACTTTTTCTTTTTTTTTTTTTTATTATACTTTAAGTTCTAGGGTACATGTGCACAACATGCAGGTTTGTTACATAGGTATACATGTGCCATGTTTGTTTGCTGCACCCATTAACTCGTTATTTACATTAGGTATTTCTCCTAATGCTATCCCTCCCCTAGCCCCCCACCCCATGACAGGCCCTGGTGTGTGATGTTCCCTGCCCTGTGTCCAAGTGTTCTCACTGTTCAATTCCTACCTATGAGTGCGAATATGCGGTATTTGGTTTTCTGTCCTTGTGATAGTTTGCTCAGAATTATGGTTTCCAGCTTCATCCATGTCCCTACAAAAGACACTAATTCATCCTTTTTTATGGCTGCATAGTATTCCATGGTGTATATGTGCCACATTTTCTTTAACCAGTCTATCATTGATCGACATTTGGGTTGGTTCCAAGTCTTTGCTATTGTGAATAGTGCTGCAATAAACATACGTGTGCATGTGTCTTTATAGTAGCATGATTTATACTCCTTTGGGTATATACCCAGTAATGGGATTTCTGGGTCAAATGGTATTTCTAGTTCTAGATCCTCGAGGAATCGCCACACTGTCTTCCACAATGGTTGAACTAGTTTACACTCCCACCAACGGTGTAAAAACCTTCCTATTTCTCCACATCCACTCCAGCATGTGTTGTTTCCTGACTTTTTAATGAACGCCATTCTAACTGGTGTGAGGTGGTATCTCACTGTGGTTTTGATTTGCATTTCTCTGATGACCAGTGATGATGAGCATTTTTTCATGTGTCTGTTGGCTGCATAAATGTCTTCTTTTGAGAAGTGTCTGTTCATATAATTTGCCCACTTTTTGATGGAGTTGTTTATTTCTTGTAAATCTGTTTAAGTTTTTTGTAGATTATGGATATTAGCCCTTTGTCAGATGGGTAGATTGCAAAAATTTTCTCCCATTCTGTACATTGCCTGTTTACTCTGATGATAGTTTCTTTTGCTGTGCAGGAGCTCTTTAGTTTAGTTAGATCCCATTTGTCTATTTTGGCTTTTGTTGCCATTGCTTTTGGTGTTTTAGTCATGAAGTCCTTGCCCATGCCTATGTCCTGAATGGTATTGCCTAGGTTTTCTTCTAGGGTTTTTATGGTTTTAGGTCTACATTTAACTCTTAAATCCATCTTGAATTAATTTTTGTATAAGGTGTAAGGAAGGGATCCAGTTTCAACTTTCTACATATGGCTAGCCAGTTTTCCCAGCACCATTTATTAAATAGGGAATCCCTTTCCCATTTCTCGTTTTTGTCAGGTTTGTCAAAGATCAGATGGTTGTAGATGTGTGGTGTTATTTCTGAGGCCTATGCTCTGTTCCATTGGTCTTTATCTCTGTTTTGGTACCAGTACCATGCTGCTTTGGTTACTGGAGCCTTGTAGTATAGTTTGAAGTCAAGTAGCATGATGCCTCCAGCTCTGTTCTTTTTGCTTAGGATTGTCTTGGCAATGTGGGCTCTTTTTTGGCTCCATATGAAATTTAAAGTAGTTTTTTTCCAATTCTGTGAAGAAAGTCAGTGGTAGCTTGATGGAGATAGCATGGAATCTATAAATTACTTTGGACAGTATGGCCATTTTCACGATATTGATTCTTCCTATCCATGAGCATGGAATATTCTTCCATTTGTTTGTGTCCTCTTTTATTTTGTTGAGCAGTGGTATGTAGTTCTTCTTGAAGAGTTCCTTCACATTCCTTGTAAGTTGTATTCCTAGGGTTTTTATTCTCTTTGTAGTAATTGTGAATGGGAGTTCACTCATGATTTAGCTCTCTGTTTGTCTGTTATTGGTGTATAGGAATGTTTGTAATTTTTGCACATTGATTTTGTATCCTGAGACTTTGCTGAAGTTGCTTATCAGCTTAAGGAGATTTGGGGCTGAGACGATGGGGTTTTCTAAATATACAATCATGTGATCTGCAAACAGGGACAATTTGACTTCCTCTTTTCCTAATTGAACACCCTTTTTTTTTTTTATCTTGCCTGATTGACCTGGCCAGAACTTTCAACACTATGTTGAACAGGAGTGGGGAGAGAGGGCATCCCTGTCTTGTGCCAGTTTTCAACGGGAATGCTTTCAGTTTTTGCCCATTCAGTATGATATTGGCTGCGGGTTTGTCATAAATAGCTCTTATTATTTTGAGATATGTCTCATCAATACTTAGTTTATTGAGAGTTTTTAGCATAAAGGGCTGTTGAGTTTTGTCAAAGGCCTTTTCTGCATCTATTGAGAAAATCATGTGGTTTTTGTCATTGGTTTTTTTTATGTGATGGATTACGTTGATTGATTTGTGTATGTTGAACCAGCCTTGCATCCCGGGGATGAAGCCAATTTGATTGTGGTGGATAAGCTTTTGGATGTGCTGCTGGATTCAGTTTGCCAGTATTTTATTGAGGATTGTCACATCGATGTTCATCAGGGATATTGGCCTACAATTCTCTTTTTTTCTGGTATCTCTGCCAGGCTTTGGTATCAGGATGCTGCCGGCCTCATAAAATGAGTTAGGGAGGATTCCCTCTTTTTCTAGTGATTGGAATAGTTTCAGAAGGAATGGTACCAGCTCCTCTTTGTAACTCTCGTAGAATTCAGCTGTGATTCCGTCTTGTCCTGGACTTTTTTTGGTTGGTAGGCTAATGATTATTGCCTGAATTTCAGAGCCTGTTATTGGTCTATTCAGAGATTCAACTTCTTCCTGGTTTAGTCTTGGGAGGGTGTATGGGTCCAGGAATTTATCCATTTCTTCTAGATTTTCTAGTTTATTTGTATAGAGGTGTTTATAGTATTCTCTGATGGTAGTTTGTATTTCTGTGGGATCGGTGGTGATATCCCCTTTATCATTTTTTATTGTGTCTATTTGATTCTTCTCTCTTTTCTTCTTTATTAGTCTTGCTAGTGGTCTATTTATTTTGTTGATCTTTTCAAAAAACCAGCACCTGGATTCGTTGATTTTTTGAAGGGTTTTTTGTGTCTCTATCTACTTCAGTTCTGCTCTGATCTTAGTTATTTCTTGCCTTCTGCTAGCTTTTGAACTTGTTTGTTCTTTCTTCTCTAGTTCTTTTAATTGTCATGTTAGGGTGTCAATTTTAGAGCTTTCCTCTTTTCTTTTGTAGGCATTTAGTGCTATAAATTTCCCTCTACACACTGCTTTAAGTGTGTCCCAGAGATTCTGATACATTGTGTATTCGTTCTCATTGGTTTTAAGAACATCTTTATTTCTGCCTTCATTTTGTTATTTACCCAGTAGTTATTCAGGAGAAGGTTGTTCAATTTCCATGTAGTTGTGCAGTTTTGAGTGAGTTTCTTAATCCTGAGTTCTAACTTGATTGCACTGTGGTCTGAGAGACAGTTTGTTTTGATTTCTGTTGTTTTACATTTGCTGAGGAGTCTTTACTTCCAAATATGTAGTGAATTTTGGAATAAGTGTGACGTGGTGCTGAGAAGAATGTATATTCTGTTGATTTGGGGTGAAGAGTTCTGTAGACATCTATTAGGTTTGCCTGGTTCAGAGCTGAGTTCAAGGCCTGAATATCCTTGTTAACCTGTCTCGTTGATCTGTCTAATATTGGCAGTGGGGTGTTAAAGTCTCCCATTATTATTTTGCGGGAGTCTAAGTCTCTTTGTAGGTCTCTATGGCTTCCCTGGTGGTTTAGTGGCTAGGATGTAGCACTTTCACCACTGTACCCACAACTTTTTCTTTTTTTTCTTTTTCAAGGAAGATTGTATTAGGCAGAAATTTAACCCCATAACCTTCAGCTCCAATGTTTTACCTACGAATACGTCACATTACAAGGAATTTTACAGATATAATTATGGTTTCTAATTAAATTAGGAATATTATATTGGATTATTCAGGTAAACCTCATATAAACACATGAGCTTCTAAAAGCAGAGTTTTCTTAGCTGAGAGTAGAAGGAGAAGTCAGAGAGATGCAACAGAGAGGGAAGTCAAAGAGATTTTAAGTGTGAAGGAGACTCAACTCACCATTGCTTGAGGGGGCTGCTGAAAATCATATATATAGGTGGACTCTAGGAGAAAAGAACAACACCCAGCTGACAGGCATCAGGAAAATGGAACCTCAGTCCTTACAACTACAAAAAAAATGCATTCTACCAACAGAAGCTTGGAAATGAATTCTTCCACAGAGACTAGTGAGGACCACAGCCCTACTGCCACTTTGATTTCAGTCTTGTTAAACCTGGAGATGAAGACTCAGCTGACCCCACCTAGATTCCTAACCTCCAGAACGGGATAAAAAAATTGCATTTATTGAAGCATCTAAGTCTGTAGCAACTCTTGTTAAAGAAAAACTTATGCACATTTAAATTTTAAGGAGTTTATTTGAGCATTCAGAAAATCTGAGTAGCACCAGACTACTCAGGGTATAGCGCTCCACCAGGAGGGGCAACAGGGGAAACTTTTATAAAGTATTCACAGCAGCAAGAACAAATAATCATAATTGGTTAGAGTGAAAAACTTCTAGATAGAGATTTGTTGGTGGTTTCTGATTGATGTGGTTTCTAATTCCCATGTACTATTACTCTGGGCTTTGGTTTGTACATTTAAGAATTTAAAGTGCTAGAGCCACCCCAGTCTAATTAATATATTCCCAATTAAGATTTTTTTTGTAAGATTTGTTATGGCAGAACAAAAACTAATACAGGCCTCATGGATATAGACATTGACATATGATTAGGATTATAAAAGGAGCTGGCTAAGAGGAGGGCATCCCTGGCAGAGGGTTGAGTATAGGTCATAGTGCAAAAGCAGAATAATTCAAGTGTGATGCAAAATCAATTCAATTTGCCTCATAAGACTGAGTCTGAGCCTCAGTTAGCTCATCTGGAAGCATGTTGTAAGCTGTATTATTTAGAGGCCTAGTGAGTCTATGAAAGTGCCTGAAGGGAAACTGTGGGTAGACTATTAGCAGAAAGAACATGTTGACTTATCATGGACCACTCCCCTCCTAACATCCTCACTCTTACACTGCTTTAACAATTAAGGAATGAAGGTAAAGGTATTATGCCATTTGAAAAAAAAAGTTCTGCTGCTTCAAACATTTAAAAATACCTAAACTTGGCTGGGTGCGGTGGCTCACGCCTATAATCCCAGCACTTTGGGAGGCCGAGGCAAGTGGATCACAAGGTCAGGAGTTCGAAACCAGCCTGACCAACATGGTGAAACCCTGTCTCTACTAAAAATACAAAAATTAGCCAAGCATGGTGGTGTGCACTTGTAATCCCAGCTACTCAGGAGGCTGAGGCAGGAGAATCACTGGGACCCGGAAGTCGGAGGTTGCAGTGAGCAGATATCGTACCACTGCACTCCAGCGTGGGCGAAAGAGCAAGACTCCGTCTCAAACAAACAAACAAAAAAACTAAACTTGGTGTTTCCTTCCAGAACAGCAATCTATTATTATTTCTCAAGCATGTTATGAGCATCAAATCAGATAATTGTGAAATGTTGTATTTTCAAATTATTGGTAGTTTTCCTGTGGTGATGTGCATTGTAATAAGTATGACCATGAAATAAGTATGAAATAAGAAGGACTACCAATCAGTATTGGCATTGTCTTTAGAGGTAAGCATGCTTTAGCAGAAATATAAGGATTTCAACACGATGGAACATCCCGCTCCTCTTTTGTAACACAGTTCAGGATAGCTGTTCAAGGTCAAAGAGAAGAGGAAATTGTTCTCTATATTCATTCAAAAGTGAGATTATCTGAAGTTTCCCATCATCATATGTGACTACTAAGTACTCTCAAGTCATCATTATTGTCATCCTACCCAAATAAAAAGGGCGTGAAAGTACACTTGTGGGAGCTTTTATGATCCATGACAGAAAGTGGTACATATGATATCTACTCTAATTTCATTAGAAAGTACTGATATACAAGGCTGATAAATGTAGTAAAAACAGTTGCTAAATAACTGGCCTTTATGAAAGAATAGGTGAGGGTGAAGATTTTGAGAAATGTTAACTGTCTCTGCCTCAGGGTAATGTGCATATGAAAACCTCCAAGACAAGCAAGAAGTACTTTTCTTTTTTTATAGCCAAATTAGAGGTAATTAAAAGCAAGCATTTTCTAGTGGAAGTATAATGGAGCTGTTATCTATGGAGCTTTTGGGGAAAGCCTGTGTAGAGGTGGAGGGAGGAGACAGGGTATATTGTTGGTACAAAGAAGAAGAAAAGAAAATTACAAGAGAAAAGGAGTCCGATTTTTCCTCATATTTTATGAAATCTAAGTGTATTCTGTTTGTAATCAGACTGTGTGATATTTTACAATAACAGAAGTACACAAGTACCCAACTACCCTATGTAACCTTCAGGAGCACAGACAGGTATAGACCTCAAAAGAATAGGAAACACTATACCGAAATGAGGCTCTATAAAACAGGAGAGAATATCAGTATGAGCAGCAGGCAGTGTATATATACTGCAAAGGCAATAGGGCCCAAACAGTAAGACCTGTCAAATTTGCTGCATTATGAAGGAGGTACAAGACATTGAAAGATAGGGAACTTGATATCAAGGAGCAAAGAGTCTTATTAAGTTCATATATAGCTGAGTGAATTATTTTTAATGTATTCTTACTTTGCAATCAACTTGTACGTATAAGTCTATGCCAAGAGTGTTTTCATTATAGGTTTCATTATAGGCCCCATGCCAGAATAAACGATACAACCCAGGTCTAGGAAACCTGTGTCTTACACCAAACAGTAAGAGATTCATTGAAATCGATGAAAAAGTTACCAAAGAGTTAATAAACAATATCAGGTATATAATAAGTTAATGGTGAGTAAAATGGAAGGGAACATGCAAATTGTGTTTTTAAAGAATGTCATCATATAGAGGAGAAATAAAATGTATTATTTTGACTGTCAGGGATAAAGTCAGAAAGGAAAATTAGAAACTTTGGAAAGCTAAATATTTTGTTTTAAAACAACTTTCTGTTTATACTTCAAAGGTAGAATGGGAAGCCCTGGGAGAAAACTTGAACTCTTCTCAACTAGAAGATTGCAGGAAAGGTCCAGTAGATCAGTTGGAAGAAATGCTGCAGCTAGGAGAGGTGGATGCTAGGTGATAGTTTTACATTGTGCTGAGGCTTAGAAGCCAATACCTCAAAATACGGCGCTTTGATACTCTGAACTGAAAAAGAAGCCTCAAAGTCTTCCTGAACTACCTTACTTCCCTCCACCCAGCCCCTCGCTCCTGTCTCTCAATCCTTTGTCTTTCCTGAAGCACAAGAAGAAGTTGTTTTCTGAAGTTCTCTTATCTGCCTAAAGCCTGGACTCAGAACAATTATGTCTGCTGGGACTTCAGTTTTCATTAACTGAACTAATATCACACGAAGAAAGACAGAAGCCTATCCACACTCATGGACAGACTTTTGTCACAAACCATCATCTGCTCTTCAGGCCCAAGAGACACTATCCTAGGCCATTGTATCTTTTTTTAAGCCCATTGAATTTCCCTGAAAATCATTTAATACTCCCCCTAAAATCATCCACACTTTCCCATCTTCCTATAAGATTCCACTATATTCCACTATAAAGTAGAATATATAAGCATCTCTATCCCATTGGGATTTTGGGTAATCACTCTGATTTTTTCCCTGTGCATGCTAATAAATTTGTACACTGTTTCCCCTGTTAATTTGCCTTTTGTCAGTTGAGTTTTTCAGTGATACGATAGAGGGCAAAGAAGTTTTTCCTTGACCCCTACAATGGCTTTTAGTTTCCTGCCAATGTTAAAATTGTCACTTTATGACAGAAATGCAACAAGACAAAATCCATCCAGACCTTTAAAATAATGCAAATGTGCTGAGTCATATTTCTTTGTGTACAACAAGTGTTTTTGTTTTGCTTGATTTTTTCCATGTTTTTGGGAAGTTTGTAGAAAAGTGATAAAACTCAAACAAACCTACTTTGCATTAGACACAATAAATTTATTGCTCATTCTTACTTCCTAAAAAGAAAAATATCTATAGAGTATAGATATTCCTATATGCATTTCTTAGTTCCTAAAACTGCTAAGAAATCAAGATAAGGATATATTTATTAATATACCTACTTTTATTGATGGAGGACATAAGGTGGAAAACTATTGCTTAAGGCTAGACAGCAAGGCAGAGGAAGAAGGAGAGAATTACCTCTCTTTTGACTTCTACTTCAGTATTCTGGGCCCTCACTGCAGCTGTCTCCTAAGTATGTGTCTTTCATATTGATTACTATTATTGTACACTTGTTACTAAGAGTTCAAAATTACTAGCCTGAAGCTTCAAGATAATAAAAAACAAACAAGCAAAAATAAAGTCACTTTTCACTGTTCAGAGAGAAAAGATTATTAAAGAAAGAAAAAAAGATCAAGACTTGCCAAAAAAATCCTTAATTTATATATCATATGAGTTAAAGACACTATGCTTGCTCATATCATTCCGTAGTACTAAAAAAATTTTTAAATAAAGTTCTTATTCACATTTATTTCAAAAATCCAGAGATCTTGGTTAGTGTTTTTATTTTTATGCTACCACATCTGCTTACATTAAATTTTCAACTTCAGTTGCTACTAACTTAATTTAGGCCCTAATCTATTCCATGGACTATTGCAACACTCTGTTAAAGAAACTCCTGAAGTCCATCTGTTTAATGTTCAATCCATTAATGCTACTTGGATAAACATTCTAAATTTTAGACTATGTTATGTAACTCTTTGTCCAAGAGATAACTTCCACTGAATACAAGGTAGGTCCAAATTCCTTAGTCCAATATTAAGGTCAGCAAGTTGACACAAAAAGACTTTAAAAAATCTCATTATCCAGTAACTTCTCACATATATTCTTATACCTTCGTAATCTAGTCATATTAGGGTACACTTCATACCAGTTTTAAAGAGTCATATGCTTTCTTGTTTCCGAAAGACACTTTGACCACCTGCTACAAATTTCATATCTTCTTAACAAATTTCTTTTCTAGGCATCAAGTGCAATTCAAATGTAAAGTCTTCTTATAAGCCTTTCCTAGACTACTAGGTAACTATGAAATCATCTCAATTTCATATATTTCCATTATATCTTAAAATCAACATTATATAACACCTATTATTTATATTAGAATTACATATATGACTGTCTATGGCTCTTTATCAGTCAAGGTCCCATCAAGACCACATAAAATATGCCAATTAATTTAACAGAAAAAAATATAAGTTATTGGATATATAAATATTAGAAGACTGAAATACAAATTAGGAAACATTGAGATGCCAAAGAAATATTTTCTGCAGGAAACAGCTATCATTTCTGGACATGAGGCTAAAAAAAGGGAAGAGGTAGGTGTTTTTAACAATTAGTATTTGAAAGTAGTTCCCTCAGAGCAGGAGCCAGACCTCTTCAGAAGGAAGGCTGAACAGCTTATGCTGTTAGAAAAGAAACGTGTGGAGCTAGGACGCAAACTTTGAGGAGCAAGCACTGTTTGGTGCTGGCATTTCTCAGGGAGTACAATGAGGTTGGTTCTGGGAGTGAAGATAAAAGACAGAAAACACATATCAATCCTACAATGAAAGTACTATTGTGTTACTAGGAAAATATTTGGTCCATAAAGGTGGTCTCTTATTTGTTGAATGAATTACACAAATCACTAAAGTCTCATTTTACAGATGAGATTCTGAGCTGCAAAGGAAACGTTGTTTAATGTTATTTTACTCAGTGGGCTCTCAGGACTTAGGTTTCATTAAAAAGTCAGTTTTTGAATAAAACTCTTGTATCATCAAGATAGTTAATATTTAAATTCAAATGTACATTGATGAAAAGAAAGTAAACTTTCACTTTATGAGTTAATCTTTTGTACCATGATAGCAATGACATTCAAATTGAGTGGCAATTTTATAAAATATTCTGTATAGAGAAAGAGCAATCAGAAAACCACTATTTCTTATTTCTTACTTGATTACACCAAAGTGAGTCTATTTCAAGGATGGTCTCAGCTTATCTGCAGAAAAAAAAATGAGAGTGATGATAAAAAGCTTGTGTATGTATGTGTTTGAATATATTAGATCAACTTGAACAATGTTATTTTTTGAAGTCACTTTTCTGACTCAACTGTCTGCTTTCCTTGTTCAGTCTCTTGCTCTAAACTATGTAGTCAAACTCCTAAGTATTACACAGATCCTGCTCAAATGCTATGTTTCATGAAAACATCCTTGATTCTTCTACATATATACTTTAATGAATGCTTGTGGCCTTTTAGTTCTCGCTTTTGGGGGACACATTTTACCAGCTATCTTGTATAATGAATAATTGCACTTGAAGTCCAGGTACAAGTCAATTCAATTCCTTAATGTTTTAAACTGTCTTCCAGAAATAAAAGTAAATTATACATAGAGGAAGACATCATCCAAAGCCTCAAAGAAGTTCTTTAATTTTCTTCCACAGTTTCTGCCATCCTATCAAGAATAAACAGCTATACAGACAAGAATGGACAAAAATCAAAAGAAAAAATAGGTGATAAAAAGAGATACATTAAAAATCAATTTTAAAAAATCAGAATTATACTTTAAAGTGCTTAATATGTGATTAATGTTTAATAACTTAATATGATGAATCATGGGAGGTAAGAGAAAGTATAAAAATAATTATTCAGAAAGTCTGAATAATGCCTTAATTAAAATATAATGATTTCAATTTCAACACATAGTTTTAATAACATTATAGGCCCTGGTGAAGAAATAATTTATTAATTAGAAACTAGGTCAGTAGAAAACATCTGACCTGAAATATGGGGAGGCAATAAAAAATAATGGAAAATACAGAACAGGTCAAAAGATAAATTGGAAGTGGGGAAGAAACTGAATGTCTATGAAATTGGAGTTGAAGAGGAGGAAGAAGAATAAGAGAAAGTGGCGAGACAGAATAGGTCAGAAGACGGTAATTTTTCAAAACTGACAAAATATGTCAAGCCAAATATGTAACTAGAGATAAATAAACTTTTAAAAATCCATACCTAAGTATATTTTAGTAAAACTTTTGAAAACGAAATACAAAAAGACACCATCAAAGTAACAGCAAAAATTGAGCAATGATTTTAAAATAAATATAATGAAAACATAAGACAATGAAATGGTATAATTAATGGTTAAAAGAAAATACCCAGCAAACTATAATTCTTTGCCTGATGAAAATAGTTTTTTAAAAATGAAGGTGATATTGAAGATATTTCTCAAAAAAGAATTTATCATAAAAAGACTGCACTAAAGAAAATAGTAATGCATTTCATAATTCATTATGAAAAGAATGGATTAGTCAATAAATAGTATAATTTGTTATCCATATAAAAATTGTGCTCTCTACTTCATATCATACAAAGAAGTAAATTTCAGATGATTAAAGACCTGATGTGAAAAGCAAAACTAATTTTAGCAGAAATATATGTTAGAATATCTTTATGACTGCATGACAGGGAAAGATGTCTTAAGCACAAAGCCTAAAAGAAAAGATGTCTGTTTATAATAATATTAAAACTTTCTTTAAATAAAAATTCCTCATGAACAAGAGAGTCTACAGTAAAACACATACTGAAAGAAAATATATTCCAGACAACTGGTAAAAGATTATTTTCTAGAATATATTATATAAATTATTTCTATAAAACAAGAGGAAAAAAATACAAACTTCCCAAAAAGAAACTTAAATAGTAAACCTGAATAGCAAAAGTAAACAAGGAAAAAGAAACTAAAAGATGCCCAATCCTATGAAGAATCAAGAAAATTTATTTTAAAACAGTAGAGTACCAAGGACAGAAGTGCTTCTAGCTAGGTTGGAGTAACAAATATTGGATTTACTCTTTCCCGTGAAACAACTTTTAAAAAAAGAAGACAAAATATACGAAATCACAGTGTTCAAGACACTAAATAGAAATCAGTGAAAGACCCAGAATTTCAAGAGATGAGAAACACAGGAGATAAACTCTCCAATAGACCAGCTTATTGACTTAAGAAAGTTTCTAGGGCATGTTGTAGTGAGGTAGAACCTAGATATAGCAGCATAATAATGGCCCTCCAAAGATGTACATGTCCTAATCCCCTTTACCTGTGGATATGCTACCTTACATGGGAAAGGAACTTCACAGATGCTGATTAAGAATCTTGAAATGGAGAGATAATCCTGGATATCTAGATCTAATCGCATGAGTCTTTAAAATAAAAGAAACTTTCCCAGCTCAGTTTAGAGTTAGAAGGACATGTGGCTGTTGAAAAATGATTAGAGAGATGCAACATTGTTGACTTGGAAGATGGAAGAAGGGGACACAAGCCATGGAATTTAGGCATCCTCCCAGTGCTGGATAAGTCAAGGAAATGAACTCTCCCCTAGAGCATGCAGAGAGGAACTCAGCCCTGCTGACTCCGTGGTTTTAGCAGAGCAAGATCCATTCTGCAGTTCTCACCAATGGAACTGTAAGATCATAAATTTGTGGTGGTTCAAGCCACTATGTTTGAGGTGATTTGCTACATTAGCAATAAGTAACTAATCTACCATCAGGAGATGGGCTTACTGATGTTCTTGGAAGACCAATGTGACTGGACTTCCTGGAAAGGAGAAAGTTGCACATACATAAATACACAGATAAATACATTTTCAGAGATCTGCAGAAGGCCCCCTTACATATTCATTCATCTGAGAACTGATTAGTACATGTATGTAAGGAAAATACTTGAGGCTAAGAAAAGAAAACCCACAAAGGATTAGAGGTAGCAATATCCAGCACTCAACATAGCTGTGAATAGATCCTGCTCTAACCAGCAAGAATGGAAAATCTATGCTTCGTGGAAGTACACATAAGGGTCTTACTTTACTAATGGGGAATTAATAACACTAGACTGAGCACTATTTGCAAGTGGTATAATATCACTAGAAGTTAGAGGGTGATGAGCTACAGATGTTAAAGACATAAAGATAAGCTAAAGGTAAATAATCCTTACAACATCCACTAATGTAAAAGAAAAAAAGTAAATAAAATGGAGAAGAAAAATGAAAATATAAAAAAATTCAACTGATTGAAAAGAAGGTGAAAAAGAGGAAAGGGAAAAAATAACATGTGGCACAAAAAGAAAACAAATAGCAACTATTTAAGTGTTATCACAACAATAATTACATTAAATGCAAACTGTCTAACTAAAAAGCAAAGACTGTCAGATTAGGAAAAAAAAATTAAAACCCAAGTGTAACAAACAAACTTCATATGTAAAGATGTAAGCAGGTTAAAAGGGAAAGGATAGAAAAACATGTAACTTGCCAGCACTAATCAAGAGCAAGTTGAGGAGCCATATTAATATCAGATAAACTAGGTTACACAGAAAATACTATTTCCAAATATACAAAAAATTATTAAATAATAAATGAATAAATTGTCAAACTAAAATAAGTCTAAATATTTATAATTAACAAATCTTCCAAAAAAAATGAAGCAACTAATGACAGAACTGCAAGAAAAAAAGAAATCCACAACCATAGTTGGAGATTTCAATACCTCTCTCTCAGTAATTCATAAAAGAAATAGACAAAAAATAAGTAACAATATAGAAAATTGGAAGAAATACATCACCCAGCTTTACCAAAAATTCTAAACAAACTTAGCAAATAAAATTCAACAACATATATAAACTATACTACTTCATTACCAAGTGGATTAATGCCAATAATGTAAGGTTCATTTAATATTTGAAAATCGATGCATTTAATCATGTTTACAGTCTCAGAAAAAAAAATGACAATCTCAAAAAAGATACAGACAAAATTCAATGTTCAGCCTTGACGAAAACTTTTCTCAAACTTGGAATTGAATGTGTGTAGGAAAGAGTTTACTCAGCAGGCATGAGTGACTCCAGCCTTAAGTGTTCTCAGTTTTCATGAATTGTCTGTTTTCATGAATGGCCCTTGGCTGATTCCTGGGAACTGGGCTCTTCGAATGTTGTGATAAGAGTGTTTTGCATGCTTGTGTCCTTGAACCAAACTGTGCCAGGTTTTCTAGATAGTCTGAGTAAACCATGTGCTTTATGTGAATCCCAGTGTTCCTTCTGGGGCTCTGGAGCTTTAGTAACTGTGGTGAGTCATACAGGTATTATGCACCTACATGCATCCCCATTAAAAACTCTGTAAAATGCTGCAGTCCTAGGCACAGGCAGCTTTCCTGGTGGATATCACTTTGTATGTGTTGTCATAACTTATTGCCGAAGGAATTAAACATATTCTCTGTTACTCTAATTATTCTAATGGTAAAGGGCTCTAGGAAGCTTATGCCAATTCTCTGAAAATTTATTTATAGAATCGAAGCATTCCTAATAGATAAGATAAATAAAACCCAATGTGTTTTTCTTACTCTCACACATCACTAAACACAACACTTTTGACACCAGATTCTCTAGTCGACACCAGCAGGATATCCTATAATTCAATTCTGACACTACAATGAAAGTTGTCAGAATCAAAATAGTCGTGCCAAACCCTAACAAAATAGTCAGGAGGCCATAAAGAAAGGGCTGTCACACACATATCTATGTTTAAAATTATTAGAAAGACTCTCTGGAAACCACAACCTTCCACAAAGGGCCCTCAACCTTTTATAAATAGTACTTTATAAAGACATCTGCCCAGCAACTACCTATTCGACCTTGGACTGATGCCACTATTGTTATAGATCCTTGAAGCCAAGGATAATTATTTCAAAACAACTTATGTAACTTCCCTCATAGTGCTCCTAAAAACCCTTTCCTTTCTTTGCCTTTCTGGGTACGTCAATGGCCATTTATTGGGTGCCATGGCACAAGTATTCCTGGATTGCAATTCTTCTGCTTATTCCAAAATAAACGCATCTTTGGAGAATCTCTTTCTGTTGTTATTTTTGGTTGGCACTACTTAGAGATGGTATAACATCCCACAGGTTGAGGGCTCTGTCCCAGATGACTTCTCCCCAATTCAGATGCCAACCACACTTCCCAGGTTGTGACCTATACATCCGACTGACTGGCTATAAATTGGGGTTTCTATGACTCCCTTCTTGGGTTTCATTAATTTGCTAGAGTGGCTCAAATAACTCCAGAAAACACTTTACTTATATTCAACCATTTATTATAAAGGATATTGCAAAGGGTACAGCTAGATGGAAGAGATGCATAGGGCAAGGTATGGAGGAGGGAACACAAGCTGTGCGCTGTCTGGGCACCCCATCCCGCAGGAACCTCCACGTGTTCAGTAATCTGGATCCCAAACCCAGTCCTTTTGGGTTCTTATGGAGGCTTAAGTAGACATGATTGATGGGGCTGAAAGTCTTAACTCTAATCATGCTTTGGGCTTTTAGGTGACCAGTTTCCATTTTAAAACTATCTAGGGGCCAAAGCAACCAGTCATTTTGTTAGCAAACAAAAGACATTCATCACTCCAGAGATTCCAGGGATTTTAAAGGTTGTATACCAGGAAACAGGGAGGAGAAGAAAAATATATTTTATAACATCACAATTCTATATTTAAATACCACAAAACTTCTATTTATTTTAGTAGAAATTGATACTCATTCTAAAATTTATTTTAAAATGCAAAGGACCTAGTATAGCAAAAGAACAAACAAAACCTTTGAAAAATAAAGTTGCACTGTAACTTTATAATTTTAATGCTTATTACTGAGTTATAGTAATCCAGTTTAATATAGGTCTACAGGTAGACAAGTAAAACTACTGAAATAAAGAGAGAATCCAAAAATATAGCCAGACATTCACACACTTGAATTTTGAATAAAATACAAAGGTAACTCAATAGAAAAAAAATCTATCCCACAGTTCAACATAGTGCTGTTGCTACTGGATATCCATATTGAAAAAACAAAAGCCTTGATCTATTCCTCACACCATATAGAAAATTAATCTAAAATGAACCAGAGAACTAAATGTAAAAGCTATACTATTTCTGGAAGACTATATATAAGAAAATTTATATAATTTTGTGTTAAGAAATCTTGTTGTTGTTGTTATGACATAAAAAGCATGACTCCCAAAAGTAAGGGGGAAAAAGGAAGGAATTTGATTTCATCCAAATGAAAATCTTCTGCTATCAGAAAGGCACTGTTAACTGAGAAAAGGCAAACCAAAAGCTAGGAGAAAATATCTGCATTTATATTTTGTAAAGAACTTGTATTCAGAATACATAAAGAACTTTCAACATGCTCATTCTCTCCTGGTTATGTTGTAAAGTGGTGAAACCCTTCTGGAAAACAAAGTTAAATTTAACATACCATATAATCCAATAATTTCACTCCTGAGAGCTTACAAAAATAATGAAAGTGTATGTCCATACAGTGATTTGCACATGAATGTTTATAGAAAATTTATTTATAATAGCCCCAAACTGGAAATAACTCAAATGTCTCTCAATAATGAATGGATAAACTAACTGTGATCTATTCATACAAGGGATACCTTTCAGTGATAAAACTGAGTGAACTATTCAAACAGACTACAACATGAATAAATCTTAAAATAATCAGACTAGATTTAAAAAGCCAGACCAGGAAGAAATGCACACAGTGTCATTTTATTTATATAAAATATTTGAAAATGCTAACTAATCTATAATGGCAAAAAACAGATCAGTGGGTATCTGGGACACTGGTGTGGGTCAGGGAAATGAGGAGGAAGGGCTTCCCAAGGAGCATAAGGATATGCTTGGGAATGATAAATATATTCATTATGTTGACTATGGTGATTTTTTTCACAGGTCTCTGTATATCTATCTATATATCCATCTATCTGTCCACACACATACATATGTCAAAACTTACCAAGTTCTATGTTTTAAATATATATAATTTAAGTCAATTATACTTCTATAAACATGTTAAATTTTTTTAAAAAAATAAACTATTGAGGTATATTTATATCCCAAACCAAATATTGGTGAGCATGTAAAACAATGAGAATTTTTATTTATTGTAGTATGAGTATAAATTGTTACAACAAATGTAGAATGCTATCTGGCAAATTTAACTAAAATTGTGAGTCATGCATACTCCATGACCCATCAATTCTACTCCTACAATATACCCTCTCAAAACTCTTGCACATATTCACAGGAAGACATGATGTGCAAAAATGCTTACTTTTATGTTGTAATAATAAAATTTCGGAAAAATTCTAAATATTTATCAAAACAAACTGAAATAAACTGTAACATGAAAAACCAACATTTTGTCTAAGAATTTATATATATGTAGTAAAATTAAAACCCGCATATGAAAATCATCTGCCCAAAATGAAGTTTTAAAGATTATCCCGATGAATAAATGGAAGGGAATATTATTAGGGAGAATTATATGTTTCAATATTTGTTAGTTCTTATTTTTTTAAGTAGGTAGTCAATAAGTTGGTACCTATTATATCATCTTCTATACTTGGGTATTTTTAAATTATTTCTAACACATATTGTAGCTATTGTCTATAACTTACAGATATGGAATTTTAGGATCAGAAAGGCTATAATATTTGCCCAAGACGCTATAACTAGTGAATAGGAAGTTCAGTCTAAGATGTAAGCCTTCCTTCTCCTGATCCAGTGATTGTTCACTTACCCTATCATTTCTTTTTTTCTTTTTTTAATTATACTTTAAGTTTTAGGGTACACGTGCACAACGTGCAGGTTAGTTACATTATGTATACATGTGCCATGTTGGTGTGCTGCACCCATTAACTCGTCATTTAACATTAGGTATATCTCCTAAAGCTATCCCTCCCCCCTCCCCCCACCCCACAACGGGCCCCGGTGTGTGATGTTCCCCTTCCTGTGTCCATGTGTTCTCATTGTTCAATTCCCACCTACCATCATTCTCAGCAAACTATCGCCAAGGACAAAAAACTAAACACCACACTTACCCTATCATTTCTATCTTAAGATTGAAGAAGAGAAAACCTTAAACATTTCTTGGATCACAAAAAGATAGTGGTTTAAATTTTCTTGTATCATAAGGCACTGAAATATCTCCTCAGGAAACAATATGTGGAAAAGACGAAAGAGCACCCAGAAGCATTCTCTGTGCCTTCATATTGTAAGAATAAGGAAACAGGCTGGGCACAGTGGCTCACGCCTGTAATCCCAGCACTTTGGGAGGCCGAGGCGGGAGGATCATGAGGTCAGGAGATGGAGACCATCCTGGCTAACACGGTGAAACCCCATCTCTACTAAAAAATAAAAAATAAAAATTAGCTGGGCGTGGTGGCGGGCGCCTGTAGTCCCAGCTACTCGGGAGGCTGAGAAAGGAGAATGGCGTGAACCTGGGAGGCGGAGCTTGCAGTGAGCAGAGATCGCACCACGGCACTCCAGCCTGGGCAACAGAGCAAGACTCCGTCTCACAAAAAAAAAAAAAAAAGAAAAAAGAATAAGGAAACAATTAAACCTATGGAAATCTAAGCTGCCAAGATACTGTGGGAACAAGAAGAAGGAATATTGAGACACATAGATAATAATAATAAAGATGTTTCATATTTTTAAAAATGAGAAAAGACATAATTAAGCAAAGGAGACAATATGTCATTATGAAGACTGTTGGGATTTCTTTTTTTTTTTTTAAAGAAACTGTAACAGAAAATTCTTGTTAAAAACGTATCGTTTTGGTGATGGTCTCACAGGTGTATACTTATCTCTAAGTTCATAAAGATGTAGACATTACATATGTATGTTTCTTATATGTCAATCATACCTTAATACAGTGATTAAGCTACAATGGACTTATATGTGGCCTTATAAGCTATATCTCAGCAGAAATGGAGATATTTATTCATACATATGCATATATATTTGTAGGTACATAAAATTAATTAACATAAATAAAAAACTATACCATATAAAAAGGTATATCATTTAGCTAAATATTACTTAGGTTGAATAAATGTGGATTTTGACACAAATTCTATCACAGAAGTGGTCATATTACTTGATAAAGTTTGTTTTTAAACTTTAGCTAAAATTTTGATTAACTAATATGTTTAGCTCAGATATTAAGATCAGAATCAGAGGAACATGTTCTGCAATGCTGACCTCAACCATCACTAGTCTGTTTATTCTTTCTCTATGGATAAATTATTAGGAAAGACTTACTCAAGACACATTCATTATCAGTAACATGTATTAGCAGACAAAGGCGCCAGATACTACCCAAGCATTCATGAGATGGAGACACCCCTGCACTAATGACAAATATTAAATGAATTATCAAAATACACTCTTATGAATGCTCTAACAAGAATATCTTTAAAACGCTTCTGAGAAAGGAGAGAAACACAGGCCAGGAGAATAGGCAAAAGCTTCACAGATGTAATAAATAAATGGGATAATATCTGGGAAAGTATTTTTCAAACAATAAAGATTTATACCATGTAAGAAATTATACTTGTTACTATAAATTCCTCCATCACAGTTCTCAATAATTTGGACATTTTTGGCATGTAACTTTGTACATGTAAGTATTCAAAATATTTCATGGACTGCCAAGGCTCATCATCTTTTTAAACTTTTCTTTTTGAGGAAAAAAATTTACTCAAAAGTAAATATCTCACCCATAAGTGAAAAAAAAATGCAGTTAATATTTTATCAATGCTAGTTTCTGCACAATTCATTGCCTGACCAACAAATCTTTTTTAAAACATATTATCTGATAGGCAAAATAATAGTTTTACAATGATGTCTACATTCTAATTCCCTGAACCTGTGAATATGTGATTTAAATGGCAAAGAATAATTAAGCAGATAAAGTTAAGATTGCTATTTCACTGATTTTGAGATGGAGACATTACTTTGTATTATCTGGATGGGTTCAGTGTAATCACCTGGGCTCCTTATGTGGAAGAGGGAAGCAGAAATGTCAGTATCAGAATCATGCAATGTGAGAAAGACTTGAAAAGCCATTGCTGGCTTTGAAAATAGAGGAAGGGGCCAGAGGCCAGACAGCTGGTCTCTAGAAGCTGGAAAGGCAAAAAAGTGGATACTCCTTTAGAGCTTTCAAAAAAGGAAAACAGCTCTGCCTGATTTTAGCTCAGTGAGACCCATTCGTGACTTTTGGCCTTCAGTACTGTAAAGCTACTAAATTCATATTGTTTTAAGCCACTAAGTTTGTGGTAATTTGCTACAATAGCAATAGATAAGTACTAGAGTTAACACTGATTTCATTAGGAAAACAAGTCCCATGAACATTTTATGGAAAACTCTGGCCACTGCTATTCTATTTTTATAGAAAACTCTGGCCACTATTATAGAAAACTCTGGCCACGGCTATTATGCTTTACATTACTGCAATTTATCACAAATACAGTGGCATAAAAGAATGTCTATTTATCTCACAGTCCTGTAAGTCAGAAATACAGACACACTTCACTAGGTTCTATTATTAGGCTCTTACATGGCTAAAATCAAGGTATTGGCCAGCCTGGGCTTTTATCTGGAGGCTCTGGAACTCTTCTTCCAGGGCAATTCTGCTTGTGAGTAGATTCAATCCCTTGCAGCTGTAGGCTGAGATCTCCATTTCTTTGTTGGTCACCAAATGGGGGCCTCTCTCAGGTCCTATAGCTGCTTGCATTCCTTCTCATGTGGCCTGCTTTCAGCCAGCTATAGTGCAGTGAATCCTTCTCCTGCATGAAATCTCTTTGACTTCCTCTTCTGCCATCAGCTGAAGAAAGAGCTCTGTCTTTATGGCTTCCTGTGATTATATCAGACCCACCTGGATAATATCTGTATCTTAGGGTCACATGACATAAGCATGGGTGTGATACTTCACCACATTCACAGGTTCTGGGGATCAAGTGGGAAATATTTGGGGGACATTTAAAAGAGTCTGACTATCACATTTATTTAATTGCATTCTTTTTAACATATTAGAATACTTAATGAATTTATTTATATGACTGGCTTACACATTGCCCTGTATTCTGATGTATTTCTTTTATGGAGACATTTTTCCAATAAAAGATAAGAGGCTTCTACGCACATAAATATACTATTTTCATTCCTTCATTGGCATTATGTTAGAAGCTAAAGATATAAAGTATTGTCAGGAATAGGTCTAATGGAACAATATTCTGAAGAACTAGAACAAGTGTAGACAAATTTGAAGAATGTAAAAAACATGAAACCCAGTGATATGGACATAAGACTTATTTGGATAATTTAAAGGCTGTGTGACCTAAGGATAAGAATCCTTAACATTGAATTATGTTGAGTCATTTCTGAATAAATTCAAAATTTATTCAGCAAATAACAATTATGTGCTAGAATGAAGAGAAAAACGATTAGTCTACTTACCCAAAGGGGTTTTTGAGGGTGAAATGAAATAATTTATGTCAAACTGTTTATAAAGCTGTGAAATGCTATTCAAATATGTATTAATAAAATTATTAGTACAGGTTCCTATTTGCTATCTATTATGTTTACATCATCAAGCAGAGTGCCAATCATATAATGCATGCTCAGTGAAAACAAGGATCCTAACCATCATCAATAAGAATATATGTGCATTACATTTCATTCCTCTTTTAATTATCACAATTTTCTATAGGAGGCCAAAATAATTTCCTGTGTCACTTCTTTATTCACCCATCTTATGCTTGGTTTGCTGTAAAGGGATTTAGTTTTACATTTGCTCAACTGCTTCCTGGTAAGGAAACCTTCCTGGCAGGAGAGGTGATGCAAGGTCTGACAAAAAAGGCAGATGAAACAACACCTCTCATGAGAAATGGCTGCTTTTGTCATAATCAACTAATTAAGTTCCCCGTAGCAGCTAAAAATCAACTAAAAATGGATTAAAGTCTTAAACCTAGGACCTGAAACCACAAAACTCCTAAAGAAAACATAGAGAAAAAGCTCCTTGATATTGATCTTGGCAATAAAATCAGAAGCACAAGCCACAAAAATAAAAACAGACAAATGGAACTACATCAAACTGAACAACTTCTGCAAAGCAAAGGAAAAAAATCAACAAAATGAAGAGGCAACCTAAAAAGTGAAAGAAAATATTTGCAAATCATATCATTAACCGTAATAAGGGGCTAATATCCAAAATATGAAAGAAACTCATACAACTCAATGGTGAAAAAACATAACCTGATTAAACAATGGGCAAAAGACTTGGATAGACATTTTCCCAAAGAAGACGTGCAAATGGCCAATAGACAGATGAAAGATGCTCAACATCACTAATCACCAGGGCAATGCAAATCAAAACCACAATGAGATATGACCTCACACCTGTTAGGTTTTGGCTATTGATGTGGTTTGGCTCTGTGTCCCCACCCAAATCTACCTTGAATTGTGATCCCAATAATCCCCATGTGTCAAGGGTGGGACCAGGTGGAAGAGAAGAGCCTGCAGGTGGATGACAATTCCCTCCATATCTTCAACTCATAGGGGTTCCATAGTCTCATTCTAGGTTGTGCTTGGCTTTCAGCAATTTACTGAACATTTTACCTGATTCTTCCCAGCTTTTATGATACTCTGGGTCTGCCCTAGGTAAGCCAGTGTTTACATCCCATCTGACCAAGGTGGCCTTACTATTCTCTTCAGCTTGACAAAACTTTAGATTGCTTTCTTCTTGACTGGGCCTCTGACCTCTCTTTTCTTAGGACGTTTACTCCAAATTACTTGTAATTGTAAATTCTTTCTCTGTCTCTTTGAAGTGTAACACTTTTTAAAAGCATATTGCCAGTTTTATAACCCAGGAATATTATTTCTCAAGGACCTGGGAGCCCTCCCTTTGAATAATAATCATCAAGGAAGATAGTAGCACTCCTAACTCCCAGCCGGGGTGGGAGGGTGGGGAGTAACTTCAGTGGATGCCATTATTTCAAGTTGCAAACTACCTTCTGTTATAAGGATTTGAGAAGTTAGTGTTTCCTTCAGATGAAATCAATTAGCAAACATGATAGCCTATGACTTTTCTACTTGCTTATTCCAGCACTTAGAAACCCTCCTGCCCTCTATTTCAGTGCAGTTGAGTTTGGGCTTAGACTTTGATTCTCTTCTGTTGTAATAGCCTCAATTATAGTCTTCCTTCCCTTTTTAACATTGTCTGCTGCAATTTTTTGGTTTGACAATGTCTTTTTAGAAGATCCAGTCTTTCCTTGGATTTTAGGCCAGTTGGGTTGCCCTGCAAACCTCAGCTCTCTGATTGGTACAGAAAAAGTTATTATTTGACAAATTTTACTGATCTTTGTTGTCATCGTCATGGTGGAAATGATACTCTTTCTAGCTTCCTGCACCTTAAGAGGGAACTTAAGAGGTGACTTAACCAAAAGAAGACATTTTATTTTCATCAAATCCTTTTTTGTTTTTAATTTAACATATGTTCTGCAATCTAGGCAATGCATTCAAATATTAAAACATATAACATTTATAAATAAATAAATGTAATTAGATTAGGGATTCATTATCAAGTAAATGAATCCTTAAAAAGGAAGCAAAATCCAAAGTAGTATAATCACTGGAAAATACATCAGAGAAGTTATATTCAGCCACGCTTTGGGAAATTTATCAGTAAAAGTCTATTTTCATTGTCTTATTGATATACTGTAATTGTACTCACAGAAGAAACAAATGAAGAACTTGATGTAATGTTTGAAATGTTTTCTTTCAGACATTGTGTAACAGGAACGATGAGAGTAGAAAAGTTGACAATATGAGCCTCCTTATTGTTCCGGATTTCTGCCCAGAAGCATTTAAGTCCAGCCTTGCATGGATCTGAGATAAGAAAAGTGATTAACATTCAGGGAGGATGAAAATAGGCTCAAATTTTAAAAATTAACTTAAAAAAATAAAGAAAATGACAAAGAAAAATAAAAATAGTTTTAAAATATTGGACATGGAAGACAGGCAAAGAAGCAACAATTTTCGTATTACTGGAGTCTCTGAAGAAGAAAAACAAAACAATGGACCAGAGACCATATTTTGAACTCTGATCCAAGCCAGAAGTACATAAAGACATTGAAAAGGTTTTCAAGGAACCAGGGAAAATTAGACCAGAATAATTATCCCTGAAACATATCCTAGTAGAACTGTTACAGTTCAAAGACAAAGGCAAAATTATCAAGACCTTCAGAAAAATAAATTACAAATGCCAAAGAATATTGGCATTAGAATTTTCAAAATCAACACCAAAAGCAAGGCAACAATGGAGCAGAGTTGTTTAAGCTACTTTTTAACAGCTTTATGGAGATATTTGATGTAAAATGCAAATATTTAAAGTGTACAATTGGATAACTTCTTTATTTTATTTATTTATTTTTGAAATGGGGTCTTGTTACATTGCTCAGGCTGGCTTTGAATTCTGGGGTTTGAGATATCATCCCACCTCAGACTCCTAACTAGCTAGAACTATAGGTGTGTGCCACAGTGCCCAGCTCAATTTGATAACTTTTGACATATGTAGACACTCCTAAATCCATTGAAATAGTCAAGATAATGAACATATTCATAACTGCCCTTGTAATGCCCAACCTTGTTTTTTCCTTATTCACCTGGCTTTGTTTCTCCCTTAGCTAAGAGAACCAGACAAACTCCATCTTGGCAAGCTATATCCACAGTCTCCAGGAATTCGTCTGATTGATAATGCCCAAAGCCCCGCGTCTATCACCTTGTAATAGTCTTAAAGCCCCTGCACCTGGAACTGTTTACTTTCCTGTAACCATTTATCCTTTTAACTTTTTTGACTACTTAACTTCTGTAAAATTGTTTTAACTAGACCCTCCCGCCTCCCCATCCTAAACCAAGGTATAAAAGTTAACCAAGCCCCTTCCTCATGGCTGAGAGAATTTTGAGCGTTAGCCGTCTCTCGGTCGCCGGCTAATAAAGTACTCTTAATTCGTCTCAAAGTGTGGCGTTTTCTCTAACTCGCTCAGGTACAGCACCTGGAGTATTGTCCCATGCCTTTGCATTTCTCCTTTGAGCTCTTCTCCTCTCCTCAGCAAGCAACCATTCATCTGCTCTTTGTCAATTATATTTGCATTTTATAGAATTATATATAAAGGGACCATGTAGTATGAACTTTATCTGCTTTCATTTATTTCTTTTGGTTGCTGACTTGAATATATTATATAAAAATACCACAATTGTTTATTAGTTAAAAAATTGTATGATATATAATATTTGTACATTTTAATGGGGTACATGTGATATTTTGTTACATTCATAGAATGCGTAACGACTAACTTAGGTCTTTAGAATATCCATCACCTCAAGTATTTATCATTACCATGTATTGAGAACATTTCAAGTTCTCTCTTGTAGCTATTTTGAAATATACAATACATTATTTACTATAGTCATCCTACTTTGCCATTGTACATTTGAACTTATTCCTTTCTTCTAATTGTATGTTTGGAACCATTAACTAAACTCTCTTCTTCCCCACACCCCCACCCACCCTGGCCCACCACACACACACACACACACACACACACACACACACACATTTTTCCCAACTTCTGGAAACTATCATTCGACTCACTACCTCCATAAGATCAATATTTTAGCTCCCATATATGAATGAGAACATACAATACTTGTCTTTATGTTCCTGGATTATTTCACCTAACATAATGATCTCCAGTTCCATTCATGTTGCTTCAAATTACAAGATTTCTTTCTTTCTTATAGTTAAAACTGTTCCATTGGCAAACACTTAGCTTGATTTTATATCTTTGCTATTGTGAATAGCGCTGTGATCAACACAGGAATGTAGGTATGTCTTCGATAAACTGATTTCTTTTCCTGTGGATTAATACCTAGTAGTGGGATTGCTGGGTCATATGATGGTTCTATTTTAGGTATTTTGAGAAATCTCCATACTGTTTTCCATAATGGCTGTGCAAATTTACATTTCCACAAACAGTGAATAAGCATGGCCTTTTTTCAGATCTTCTTCAGCATTTCCAATTTTCTGTCTTGTTAATAATAGCCATTTTAACTGAGGTAAGATGATATCTCATTGCGGTTTTGATTTTCATTTTCCTAATGAATAGCAATGTTGTGTATTTTTCTTTTCATATACCTGTTGGCCATTTTTATGTCTTCTTTTGAGAAATGTCTAACCATGTCCTTTGCCCATGTCTGCTTTTAAATGAGATTATTTGTTTTTGTTTTACTGTTGAGTGGTTTGAATTCCTCATGTATTATATAGATAAGTTATTTGTTGAATGAATAGTTTGCAAATACTTTCTCTTATCCAACAGGTTGTCTCTTTATTCTATTGTTTCCTTTGCTGTGCAGAAGATTCTTAGGTTAATATAGTTTCATTTGTCTATATTTGTTTTTGTTGCCTGTGCTTTTGAGGTCTTAGCCATAAAATCTTTTCCTAGGCCAATATCCTGTGGTGTTTCCCCTGTTTTCTTCTAGTAGTTTTATCATATCTGATCTCATATTTAGGTCTTTAATCCATTTTGAGCTGATTTTTGTATACAGGAAGAGATAGGGATCTAGTTTTATTCTTCTACTTATGGATTTGCAGCTTTCCCAGGATCATTTATTGAAAATGTTCTTTCCCCAGTGCATGTCTTTAGTGCCTTTGTTGAAAATCAGTTGGCTCTAAATAACTGGATTAATTTCTCGTGTCTCTATTTTGTTCCATTGGCCTATGTCTCTGTTCTTGCACCAGCACTGTGCTGTTTTGGCTAAAATTTCCTTGTACCATATTTTGAAATCAGGTAGTGCGCTGCCCCTCAGGATTGCTTTGACTATTCCAGGTCATTTGCGGTTTCATACAAATTTTAGAATTATTCTCTGTTCTGTGAAAATGTCTGTGGCATTTTCTGTGAAAAATGTCATTAGTTTTTTGATAGGGATAGCATTGAATTTGTAGATTGTTTTGGGCAGTATGGCCATTATTTTTTTTATATTTTACTTTTTTTTTTTGAGACGGAGTCTCGCTCTGTCGCCCAGGCTGGAGTGCAGTGGCGCGATCTCGGCTCACTGCAAGCTCCGCCTCCTGGGTTCACGCCATCCTCCTGCCTCAGCCTCCTGAGTAGCTGGGACTACAGGTGCCCGCCACGACGCCCGGCTAATTTTTTGTATTTTTAGTAGAGACGGGGTTTCACCATGTTAGCCAGGATGGTCTCGATCTCCTGACCTCGTGATCCACCTGCCTCGGCCTCCCAAAGTGCTGACATTATAGGCGTGAGCCACCACGCCCGGCCAAGTATGGCCATTTTAACAGTATTAATTCTTCCCATCCAGGATCATGGAATGCCTTTCCATTTGTTTGCATCTTCTTCAATTTCTTTCATCAGCAGATCATAGTTTTCCTTGTAGAGATCTTTTATCTCCTTGGTTACATTTATTCAAGATATTTTATTTTATTTTATTTGTGTAGCTATTGTAAATGAGAATGCCTTCTTGAATTCTTTTTTAGCAATTTCATTATTGGTGTATAGAAATGCTACTGAAATGTGTTTTGATTTTGTATCCTGCCACTAAAGCAGGATATTTTCTTGACTCCTTCATGAGACTTTCAATAGGGGGTGCCTCATTTACTCAGCCTACGCCTGTCTACCCCCCATGGGAGGGAGCATGCAAGCAAATGCCGAAACTGAAGTGAATGCTTTTGGGCGCAGGAAGGAGCAAGCTCCATTTACTTGGCTCACCACATTCAATTCCTTGTGGAAGGGGAAAGTAGGCGAGCAAGTATGGCATCCAGCTGGCCACTTCTGGGCACTGGCAGGAGCAAACTCCATGTTGGCCCTGCAGCAGCATCCAGGCAGGGGTGCCTGTGACCCCCGAAGCCCCAAAGGTTGTGTTACAATGTTCTTTTAGCTCTGCCATCCATGGATGGCTTAAGTGTTAACAGCTCAGTGGGCCCTTTGCCTTTTTGTGTGAAGCAGCTGCTCTCCTCCAGCCAGAGCAAAGGGCCAGTGTGACAGCCTTTTGTATCTGCACTCGTGGCTCCCAAGCTCTTGCCCAGAATCCAGCTAAAATGAGGTTGCACGAACGAATTGAAGGATGGTAAATGAGGAGGATTTTATTGCTGACGAAAGTCACTCTCAGAGGGAAGGGGAAAGGGATGGGGCAGGTAGGTAATCTTTCCCTGAGTTCTAGCCATCTCCAGCCAATTCTTCTTTAAAGTTACACCATCACGCTGTCCTTTTGAAGTCAAGCCACTTTGACATTCTGCTGTAGTCCCATCTACTGGCCGAGTCTGGGGTTTTTATAGGCACGGGATGGAGCAGGGCAGAGCCCTGGGTGGTTTAGAAAAAAGCAACATTTGAGTGAGTAAACAGGGATGTAAGTTCTCACTTTGGGCAGCAATTTCAGGTTTTTCAGCTTGAGGGTGGGGTTTCAGTGGGGACCTGCCCTTTGCTGGCTAGAATTTCTCTGCCCAGTGTCCCTATCACCACCTTACTGAATTCATCAGATCTGAGAGTTTTTTTGGTGGAGTCTTTAGATTTTTCTAAATATAAGAGCTCACCATCTGCAAAGAGGAACAATTTGACTTTCTTTTTTCCAATTTAGATGCCCTTTACCTCTTTCTCTTGTCTGATGTTTTCTGGCTAGTACCTATAGTACTATGTTGAATATGAATGGTAAAAGTGGGCATCCTTATCTTGTTCTAGTTTTTAGAAAAAAGACTTTGTTTTTCTGCATTCAGTGTTTGGCCTTTATTGTGGTGAGTCAGGCTCCTTCTATGCCTATTTTGTCAAGAGTTTTTTGTCATAAAGTAATGTTCAAGTTTATCAAATGCTTTTCATGTGTCTGTTTTTGGTCCTTCATCTGTTGATGTGACATAAAACATTTATTTATTTGTATATGTTGAAGCATCCTATCATCCCTGGAACAAATCTTACTTGATCATGGTGTATTATCTTTTTGATGTGTTGTTCTTAGATTTGATTTGCTACTATTTTGTTGAGTTTTTTCATCAATGTTCATCAGGGATGTTGACCTGTGGTTCTGTTGTTGTTGTTGTGTCCTTGCTGGTTTTTATATCGACAAAATACTGGACCTACAGAATGAGTTAGGGAGAATTCTCTCCTTTCCAACTTGTTGAAATAATTTGGAGAGAATTAGTGTTAGTTCTTTACAAGTTTTGTAGAATTCAGCAGTGAAGACATCTGGCCATGAGCTTTTCCTTGTTGGGAGGCTTTTTATTAGCGATTCCATCTCACTGCTCATTACTGGTCCATTCAGGTTTTTGTATTTCTTCCTGATTCAGTCTTGATAGGTTGTATGTGTCCAGGAATTTATCCATTTCCTCTAAGGTTTACAGTTTATTGGTATATAATTATTCATTATCTCTCTGATGATCATTTGTATTTCTGTGGTGTCAGTTGCAAGGTCTCCTTTTTTTTGTTTCTGATTTTGTTTATTTGGGTCTTCTCTTTTTCTGATTAGTCTAGCTAGTTACTAACTGATTTTGTTTATCTTTTTTTAAAAACTAGCATTTCATGTTGTTGATCATTGTGTTTTTTTTTAGTCTCTATTATTTTAGTTCCATTCTGATCTTTATTAGTTATTTTCTTCTACTAATTTTGGGTTTGGTCTGTTTATGTTTTTCTAGTTTCTTGAGGTACATCATCACATTTTTAAAATTTGAAATAATTCTGTTTTTCTTTTAATGTACACATTTATTGCTGCAAAATTTTCTCTTAACAATGATTTTGCTGTATATTACAGGTTTGGGTATGTTATGTATCAATTTTCATTTATTCTAAACTTTATTTTCTTCTTGATTTCTTCATTGAACAAAGTTCATTCAGGAACATGTTGTTTAATTTCCATGTATTTGTACATTTTCCAATGTTCTACTCATTACTTGATGCTTAATTTTACTATATTGTGTTCTGAGGAGGTACTTCATATGATTTCAGTTTTTAAACATTTGTTGAGACTTGTGTTGTGTTCTAACAAATGATATATCCTGGAGAATGTTCTGTGTGCCGATGAGAAGAATGTGTATATTGCAGCTGTTAGATAAAATATTCTGTAGATCTCTGTTAGGTCCATTTGAACTAAAGTGCAGTTTAAATCCTATTTTTTGTTGTTAATTTTTTGTCTCAATGATCTATCTAATGTTTAGAGTGAGATGTTGAGGTCACCAATTATTATTGTATTGGACTCTCTTTAGATCTAATAATATTTGATTTATGTATCTGTATGCTCCAGTGTTAAGTGCATATTTAGGATTATTATAGCCTCTTGTTGAACAGATCCTTCTTTTCATTTTATAATGACCATATTTGACTCTTTTTACAGTTTTTATTTTTTACTTGAAGCCTGCTTTATCTGCTACAAGTATAGCTACTCCTGCTTATTTTTTATTTCCATTTACATGGAATACATTTTTGAATCCCTTCGCTTTTTAGTTTTATATGTCTTTACAGCTGAGGTTAGTTCCTTGTAGGCAGCATGTAGTTGGGTCATGTTTTAAAAAATCCATTCAGCCAGTTTATATGTATTAAGTGGAAATTTAAAACCATTTTCATTCAAGGTAATATGTATGAGGGTTTATTTCCATCATTTTGCTAATTGTTTTCTGGTTGTTTTGTGTAATCTTTGTTCCTTTCTTTCTCTCTTACTGTTTATTATTGCAGTTCGATGGTTCTTTCATGGAAGCATTTGGGTCCTTTCTCTTTCTTATTTGTCTGTTTGTTCTGCTTGTGACTTTTATACTTTTGTGTGTTTTCATGATGGTAGATATCATCCTTTCACTTCCAGATGTAGGACTCCTTTAAGCATTTCTTATAGGGTTAGTCTAGCAGTAATGAATTCCCTCAGTTTTCCTTCTCTGGACAAAACTTTATTTCTCCTTCACTTAGGAAGAATAACTTTGCTGGGTATAGTAATATTTACTAATGGTTTTTTTTCTTTCAGCACTTCAAATATATCATCCCATTCTTTCCTACTTTGTAAATTATCTGCTGAGAATCTTGCCATAAGTCTGACGGGAGATTCTCTTGCACGTGACTGGATAGCTGTCTCTCTTGCTATTTTTAGGATTATCTGTTTGTTTTTTACTTCTGACAGTTTAACTATAATGGGCTGGGAGAATAACTTTTGATTATATCTACTTGGAAATTTTTGAGTTTCTTGTATTTTGATATCTAAATATTTTGTTAGAATTGATCATTTTAAAGCTATTATTTTGTTAAATAATTTGTTAAATTATCTAAATCATTTTCTATAACTTTGGCCTTCTCTACATTTTCTGGAACCCCCCCCCCCATATTCAAATATTTGGTCATTTTATAGTATCTTATGTGTCACATATGCTTTGTTTATTCTCTTTTACTTTCGTCTGACTAGGGTATTTCCAAAAACTTGCCTTCAGGTTATAAAATTATCTCTTCCATTTGGTCATCTATTGTTGAGGCTTTCAATGTATCATTATACACATTGTATTCTTCCAGAATTTATGTCATATATATATATAGATAGATAGATAGATAGATATATGGTGAATTTCTCACTTATATCCTGATTTTTTCTGATTTATGTGTATTGTTTATTTATGTTCTTTTGTATTGCATTTTCCTTAATATTGTTATTTTGAATTTTTTCTATATTTAAAATTTTTTTCTGTATTTTTTCTATATTTTATAAGTTTATTTTTATTTGAAATCTATTCCTGGATAATTATTGTGTTACTTTACAGGTTCTTTTTTTCAAACTTTTTAATGTTTCTTGTGTTTTTACTTTGATATCTGAACATCTGGTGTGATAGTTGCTCCTTCCAATTTTTTTGGATTAGCTTTTGTAGGGGAGGGCTTTTTCCTAAATTTGGTTGGATTTGGTTAGGTAGGGCATTTTGGCTTTTATTCTGGGTATGTGCTGTAGTATAGTCTCTGTATACATTTTTTTTGGCTATAAACACGATTGTTTTGTGATTTACTTTTGGTTTGGGCTGTGATTATTAGT
Organism: Homo sapiens; assembly: GCF_000001405.40. Classification (NCBI taxonomy): domain Eukaryota; kingdom Metazoa; phylum Chordata; class Mammalia; order Primates; family Hominidae; genus Homo; species Homo sapiens. Next base: position 191,704,289 of record NC_000003.12, on the reverse strand, counting down.
GCAAGGCTGTGTATGTAGATGGTGGGGCAGTCTTCAGGCCCCAGTGGTGGCAGTGGTGGACCACACCTGCCTGTTCTTTGGCCAGTCAGTGGCATATGTGATCATCGCTGTTAACATGTCCAAGGGGGCTGATTCTGAGACCTTCAGGCACCTTGCTCAGGTACCAGCAGTGTCAGCAGAGGGTCAGGCAGGTGAGAGAATCATTGTGTTCCTGGAAGGCATGTGTGGTGTGAAGAATGACCACTGCAGTGGGAGGACAACCATTATGCAGGACAAGGGGAGGATAATCCCTAAAGTGGGCATGAACTTGTGTTAGTGGTAGCTGAAGTGAACTGGGCAGGCCAATCCAGGGAACCCTGGGTTGTGCTTGTGGATAGGTACCAGCTGTGATGGTAGCAGTAGGTTTGATGGGCTTGTCCTCAGGCTCTCAGTAGGAATGCACAGATACTAGCAGCAGTGGACAAGGTGGGACAATCCCCAGCTCTCCATTGGCATATTTGGGCACTGGAGGGGCAGTGACAGGTTGGGTAGGCCTGTTCTTAGGCCCCTCAATTTTGTGCATTGGCACAGGCTATAGTGGACTAGGCAGAGTGATCTCCAGTGCCCCAGCAGAGTGCTTAGGTGACAGCAGCAGCATTCATGAGGATCAGCAGGAGCCCATCCTCAACACACATGCAAGTGTGCTGCAGCCCTGCTGCTGGTGGGAGCAAGGTTGCTTTCTGTGGCAGCTGTCATAGGCAGGCATCTCTTAGGCTTTGGGGAACATGGGCTTTGGCTCCCAGTGGCAGCAGTTGAGAGAGCCAGTTCTCATGGTGTGTGCAGGTATGTGGTGGCCCTGCTGCTGGGAAGCTTGGGGTCACTGCCAGTAACACCTGTTTTGGTCCCTGGCAGCAGCAGCAGCAGCTGCTATGGCTATGGGTGGGGAGAGCCTGTGCTTAAGGTTTGTGCAAGTCTGCTACTGGCGGGGAGGGGTCACCGACAGTGGCACATGTTTTGGCCCCCACTGGTGGCTGCAACTGTGGCCGCAGGTAGGGAGAGCCTGTGCTCAAGGCTCATGCCAGTGTGGTGCAGCAGTGCTACCGGGGGTGGGTTAGGATGGGGGTGGGATTGCTGCCAGTGGCAGCAGTCCAAATCAGCCCAATTTCAGGCCCTGAAAGCATGCTTTGGCTCCCTCAGTCCAGGGTGCAACCTCCCCAGTGTACTGCACAACCTAATCCCTTGGGTGCAGAATACTGTGTGTGCTAGAGTGCCAGAGATTCTGTCTCTCTGCCGGGTCCAACTGGCATGGCACCACTGAAACCCTCTGAGTAAAGGCAGGGGGATATTAATGTAGAGCCGGGGATATGAAATATGGAATTGCAGGGGCTGTTGAGCCCCAGGGCAGGATGTAGTCTGGTGGGGCTGGGCTCTCAAAATGGTGCCATGCTTTCAGCTGCTTGGGACTTGGGGTGTGTGTGGTACCCAGCGTGAGCTCCCTCTAAGGAGCAATGCCATTGCACAGTCTCCAGGCAGCTTCCTATCTTGGTATCAGGGACTGTGAGGGTCAATGGGCCCTCCTGTGGTTAGGGTTGCAAGAGTCTGTAGTGGGAATGTGGAGCGCTAAGGATCTCCCACTTATCCTTTCCCCACCCTGAGGATTCTCTCCCAGCTTCTAGCTGCTCCTGGCCAAGCCGTCTGCCTTGCTTACTTCCTAATTATTTATATTACGCCTGTTTTTAAATCTTTGCTTGGTAATTCTGTCATTTCTGTCATCTAGAATAACATCTGTTGGCTGTCTTTTTTCCTAGAGTGAGATCACTTTTTTCTTCAGTATGATGAGTACATTTCAATTGAAACCTGGATATTTGGAGTATAATGTTATGATATCTCAATCTTTCTCCAAACCTTCTGTTTTCACTGGTCCTTTTTTATACTGATCCAGCAGGGGAAGGAAAGGTCACACTGCCTTGTGACCGCCAGGTGGTGGTAGAAAAATCCAGGTCACTACTCTGTGTTTTTTGACTACCAAAAGGGAGGGGGCTCCTCGTTACTGCTAAATGCAGGTGGGATTTTAGATTAACCACTAGGTCTTCACTGATACCTCTATGGCTGGCAGGTGTAGGAGTGCCCCATTAGGCTCCCTCCATGGCCTCCACTGACACTACAGGGTGGGGAGCAGCCTCCTTAGTGCTAGGCAGTGAAGAAAGGGTTGACTCTCTGCCAGGCTTCCTCCTACATCTCCCCCGTGGGGATGGGGTGGGTGCTCCATTACTGGAATGTGGGGTGAAATTCCTGGCTTTCCTGCGGTCTTTACCGACACCTGGAGTGGGATGGGACTCTTTACTGCTTAGCCAGGATGAAAGTCCTGGATCCCTACTGGCCTTCTTTGCCACCACCTCATTGGAAGGATTGGGATGTAGTATCTTGTAGCCACGTGAGGGCCTGTGGTTAGGCTTCTTACTTGGTCTTTGCTGGTAGGGTAGTGCCACATATTTTTCTGAGGTATTTGGTTAGAGGAGAGTAGTTATTGTCTAAAACTGTTCTGTCTTGCTAGACTGTCACTTTCCTGGTACTTTGGCTAAAGTAAGCAGGCTTTTGGCAGGGCACAAAAAAAGGGTACTTTTACTTTCTGCAAACATCGGAAGTTCTGGGTTGCCAACTTTTGAGATATATGAGGCAAAAAAACAAAACTAAACTGAACAAACACCTCATCAACATGTCATTCCTAAAACTGCAAGGTCACTAGTCATTCTCCCTGTTCCTTTTTACCCTTCAAAGTCTTCATATGTTTGTTTTATATACAATATCCAGCATTTCCCATTATGATTAGCAGAAATAATAAGAAAAATGTATCTACTCCATCTTCCCCAAAGCAGAAGTTTTGCAGCAGAATTTAAAAAAAAAATTAATGAAAGAATGTGAGAACCAAAGAATTTATATCCAACCAAGTATGCTTCCATCCTTTACTAAACATGCCTTTCAACTCATTCAATGTATTTTTAATCATACACATTGCAGTTATCATCTCTAAAAGGTTGATTCAGATATTTTATATCTTCCATGTCTTTACTGAAGATATTCCAGTTTTTCTCTTCCTTTTTGAACATAGGAAATACAGTTATAAGAACTCTTTTGTGTCTGCGGCTCCCAATTCTTTCATTTGTGTCAGTTTGTGGTCACTTTTGATTTATCTTCCTCCTCATAATGGGAAGCATTTTCATATTTCTTTTCATGGTTGGTAATTTTTCTTGGATTCTAACAATAGTCAAATATATATTTTAGATGCTGGATGTTTTCATATTTTTATAAATGTTAATGGGTTTTTGTTCTAAGTCATTCAAATTTATTTTGAAAAAGTTTGATCTTTCAGGGTCTTTTTACGTGATCTTTTTTGTTATGTGGTCTTTTTTGTTATGTGGCATTAGAGCAGGCTTTGGTCTAGGTTAATTATTTCTTTCCTGAGGCAAAAATTATCTTGCCTTCTCTAACTCATCTCCTGTGAGTGATCAGGATTTTTGTCCTGCCTAGTAAGAAGAGGCAATAATCCTAGTCCTTTCTACACTTCAGAGATTTTTAAAATCCTTTTGAGTGATTCTTTCCACATCCTTAAATGCACATACACATGCACCGACTTTAATCCACTAAATTCTCGGGGGGATCCTCTGTAGAACTCTGTTAGTTTTCTCTATGCAACGTTCTCCTTGCCAGTACTCTACCCTACAAACCATATGTCATTACAGGAAGTTGCATGAAGAACATAAGAAAATTTTATGTATAATTTTGCAACTTTTATGAGACTAAAGTTATTTTACAATAAAAAGTTTAAACATTTTTAAAAGTATGTAAACTCACACATATTTTGAGCAAAGCATGGACAAGACCTATACTTACTGAAATTATAAAATACTGCTAAGAGGAATTAAAAAAGACTTACATCATCAAAGACATATACCCTTTTTATGGATAAAGAATGACTCCGTATAACTATGACTGTAATTATTCCAAAATTTATCAGTCAATTCTACAAAAGTCCAAGCAAAATCCCAATGTGGTTTCTAAAATTAATATAGAACATTTTAAAAATATATATATTTTTTATTTAAATTACAGTTCAACTTCACTAGGCAGTGAGTAACATAGAAGCATGTAGCAGTTAGATGACTTGGGTGGAGAAGCCTACATCTTATCTACATGAGGATAATTACAAATGAGTAATAATAAACTTAAATTCAAGGGAATTTTATTTCATTGTACATTATAAACTGTATAATTAGGTAAAGTTGTTTCTCTCCTCAAATAATCTTATTTTTTTGGCCTTTCAGAGTAATTGAAATTTATTGCTTTGGATTAAGGCATTATATTTTGAGAAGTTCTCAATTAAAAAAAAATTGTAGGGAAATGTATTCTTACCAATACCCTAATCTTTGTTTAATTGCACAGGTTAGAATTGATTAGGCTTGCTTCCTTTCTTTCTTTCTTTCCTTCTTTCTCTTTCTTTTTCTTTTCTTTCTCTCCTTCTTTCCTTCCTTCCTTCTTTCCTTCCCTCCTTCTCTCCCTCCTCCTTTTTCTCTTCCTTTCCTTTCCATTCCCTTCCCTTTCCTCTTTTCTTTCTTTCCTTTCTTTTTCTTTCTTTCTTTTTCTTCTTTCTCTTTCTTTCTCTTTCTTTCTCCTTCCTTCATTCCTTCCCTCCTTCCTTCCTTTCTTCCCTCACTCCCTCCCTTCCCTTCGTTCCTTCCCTCCCTCCCTCCCCTTCATTCCTTCCCTCCTTTCCCTCCCTCCTTTCCCTCCCTCCCTTTCCTCCCTCTTTCCTCCCTCCCTTCCTTCCTTCTTTTGTAGTAAGAACACTTAATATGGGATCTACCCTCTTAACAAATGTTTAAGTATAAAATACAGTATTATTAACTATAGGAACAATGTTCTACACCAGATTTCTAGAGCTTATTCTCCTTCTATAACTGAAACTTTATGCTCTGAGAAACAACTCCCCATTCCGCATTCTCCTGCCCCTAAGCCCTTGGAAAGTATTATTATACTCTCAGTTTCTATGGGTTTTCCTATATTAGATACCTCATGTAAGTGAAACCATGCAGCATTTGTCCTTCTGTGACTGGCTTATTTCACTTAGCATAACATTTCCCAGATACATCCATGTTGTCACATAAGTCAGGATTTTCAAAAGGCTGAATAATAATATATTGTGTGTGAATTTCACATGTTTCTTATTCATTTATGTGTCAATGGACATTTAAATTGTTTTGATATCTTGACTATTGTAAATAATGCTGTAATGAACATGGTAGTGCATATATCTCTTCAAGGTAGACTAAGCAATCTTGAGAAAGAAGGCTGGAGGCATCACATCTCCTGATTTTAAAATACATTACAAAATGTTAGTCATTAAAACACTATGGTACTGTTTTAATAGGTATAAAAATAGATATAAAAATGAAGGGACATATAGAGAACCCATAAATAAACCCATGCATATATAGTCAACTGATCTTCAATAAGAGTGCCCAGAATATGCAAAGGAAAAAGAACATTCTCCAACAAACAGTAATGGGAAAACTGGATATCCACATGCAAAATAATGAAATTGAACCATTATTGTATACTATACAGCAAAATCAACCCAAAATGGATTGAAGATTTAGACATAAGTCCTGGAACTGTAAGCTTCTAGGAGAAAACTTAAAAAGAAAACTTTATGACTTTGGGCTTGGCAATGATTTCTGGAATACAACACCAAAAGCACAAGCAACAACAGCAAAATTAGACAAATAGAATAGACAGACATATAGCCAAGAAATTTATAAAAAGATGCTCAACATCACTAGTCATCGGAGAAATGCAAATCAAAATCACAATGAAATATCACCTTACATCGGTAGGATGGGCCACCAAAAAAAAGGGGGGAACAATTGTTGGAGAGAATCTGGAGAAATGAGAACTCTTGTATATTGTTGATGGGATGTAAAATGGTGCAGCAACTCTGGAAAACGGTATATCAACTCCTCAAAAATTAAAAATAAAATTATTATATTGTTTAGGAATTCCATTGCTGGTTATCTATTCAAAAGAATTGGAACTCAACATTTTTTTTATAAAAATTGATAACCTTATTCTAAATGTATATGGAAAAGTCAAGGACCTAAATTAGCTACTAAAATTTTGAAGACAGAAAAATAAAGATTAAAAACATATTTTATCTGAGTCTAATATTTACTTCAAAGCTACAGAAACCAAAACATTTTGGTATTGGTGTGAGGTCAGACATAGCGATCCATAAAATAGAATATTAAGCCCAGAAATAATTGGACACATTAATTGATATTCTTCAAATCAATTGTACCATAAATCAAAGGTACCATATTTCAATAAGGAAAGGAAAATCTTTTGAAAAAATTATGCTGGAACACCTGTATATCAATATAAAAAGTAAATGAATCACAACTTTAATCTCACATCAAATAAAAATTAACTTGACATAGATGGTAGTCCTAAACATAAGCAAATTGATAACACTTTCAGAAGAGAAATACAGATAATAGTAATAATATTGATGCAAGCAAAAATGTCTTAGATATAACATAATAAGCATGAACAATAAAATAAAAAACTAATTGGACCTCACTAAAATTAAAACCTTTTTCTCATAATAGGCATCATTAAGAATATAAAAATCTAAGCCACAAACTAGGAAAAAATAATTGGCAATGCATGTATGAAAAAGAGTTTGTATACACAAGACATAAAGAATTCTTACAATTCTGTAATAATAAGACAACTAATAAAATATGAGTAAAATGTTCAAGCAGATTTTTTTTTTGAAAAGGGGGTCTCACTCTGTCACCCAGGCCAGAGTGCAGTGGCATGATGTTGACTCACTGAAACCTCCGCCTCCCAGACTCAAGTGATCCTCCCACCTCAGCCTCCCAAGAAGCTAGGACCACAGGCAACACACCCGGCTACTTTTTGTATTTTTGGTAGAGGAGGGGTTTCACTGTGTTGCCTAGGCTGGTCTTGAACTCCTGAGCTCAAGCTATCCTCCCGCCTCAGCCTCCCAAAGTGCTAGGATTACAGGCATGAGCCACTGTACCTGGCTGCAGATATTTCTCTATGGAAGATATACAAATAGCTAAATGCATAAAAACATGCCAATTTTTTTAATTCAAGGTCATGCAAAGTAAATTCATGATGAGATAATACTACACAACAATAAGAATGGCTAAATTAAGACTGAAAACTCCAACTACTAAAATGGAGATGGGATAGCTGAAACTCTCGTACATTCCTGGTGAAAATATAAAATGGTATCCTTACTTTAGAGAATATTTAGCAGCTTCTTAACAAGTTAAACATGCATTTACCATATGACCTAGCAATCCCATGACTGGATAGTTACCCTCAAAGAAATCAAAACCTATAACCACACAAAATATTAACTATTAAATAAAAGAATTATTCATAACTGTTAAAAATTGGAAACAATCCAAATGTTCATCAACACATGAATACACCATGAGATAATTGTACAACAGGATAATTCTCAGAGGTAGAGAAGAATAAACTGTGCATGACTGTGCCATAACAAAATGAATTACAAAAACTTTGTATGGAGAGAAAGCAGCCAAATAAAAAAAAAGTTCATGCTGTTTGATTTCATTTATATAAAACCTTTAGACCATGCAAAACTATTGCATAGTAACAGAAAGAAGACCATCTTTTGCCTGAAGCAAGGATGGGAGGGATTTATTTACAAAAGGTCTAAGGGGACATTCCAGGCTTATGTAAATGTTGATTGGGGTGGTAGTTATATGAGTAATATATTTACCAAAACTTTTGTAACTATGCACTTAAAATGGAGACATTTATTATTGCATGCAAATTATACTGCAATAAAGTTGACTAAAAATCACAGCACCCTTGTCTGATTTGTGCAGTGGGTAATTAGGGAAAGACTTATACCTATTGAATCCCCCCTCCATGGCCAGGGTAGTGATATCCATATTTGCCAGTGGTAGTTACCTGACATCATTAAAATAAAATTCTCATAACAGTAGACAATGGTAGAGAAACCTCATTTTTTAAGGTTTAGTTTAATCACCAACTTCTGAATGTCATCTTTGATTATCCCACATGCCTGCACATAAGGATGCTGAAATAGAAAAATCTAAAAAAAAAATCCTGAACTTATATGAGTTAGTACTATGAGATACTCCTAACAAAAAGCTGAGGAACACTTTGAGATCACATAATCTCTCATAAGAAAGGTATTCAAGGGTCATCCAGTGTAGTTTATGTTTCATTGAGATATACTGATAGATGATGGGATACAGCAAGCCTTTTAAAGTACCTATTATATACTAGACACTCCTGAGCTACAAAGATGAATCAAACAAAAGCTACACCACAAGAAACTGTAAATATAAAGGAGGAATCAGACATGCACAAAAGTAATTCTAAGGCAAGTGCTTTCCTGCAAAGACATGGTAATAAAGAAATATCTCAGGAAGCAGCACATTTACGAGGCCGACAAAATTTTAACACCCATCCTGAAAAGGCACACTTGGCAGACAAATTAACACGTTAAAAAGACACCATCAATCTAAACTTTTTTAAAACCATAAAATAAAGAGCATTCTCTATGTTAGCATTGGCAAATGTATCCTTCTAGTTGAAGCTCAAATAGCATATGGAATTATCTAAAGCATTCAGTTTAAAATTAGCACTGAAACAGTCCTGAATGCTCAAGGAACCAGCCTCATCTGAGCTATGAAAGAGTGATTTAGCTGTGCCTAAGGGGCAATATGTTTCATAAAACCCTTATCTTTTTTTAATGATATAAAGCAACTAGTCTGAAAGGGTTTTGCCTTAAAGGCCTCTTAAAGTCTGCAGCAAAATAACCTAAAATTACCATGTCTTCTATTAAACATACCGTGCTGCTATCGTAAGACTGAGCTTCAATACAGTGTTTACTAAGATTGCAAAGTCTAAGAGCTGCTAACTACTCTATAAACTGGCTAATCTGATCTCTATATGAGGACGTTAGAAGGGGAATATAGAGCTCTTTCAATAATGGAAATAATTCCTTATCTGACAAGTTTCCTGTCTTCCTAGGTTGCAGGTTCTGCACAGTGTAACACCTCCGTTTTCTCACAAGCCAAATTTAGCTCATTTCTTTAAGGTTCAGTTTAATCATCAACTTATGAATGCCATCTTTGATTACTCCAGGAAAAGGAAAAATCTTCCTTTGAATCTCCCTAGCACTTTGTATTCCTCCGTTTTTAATTAAATCACTACATTCCACACTTCATAGTTACAATGTGTGTCACCTCATTCTATTGTATTTCAAGTTCTTTGACTCAAGTGTATGTCTTATACACATTGGTAAATTGGTATCTTCAAGCATCTGATATTGTGCCTAATGAAGAATAAATGAGGAAATAATTAATTAAAGTAATATAGCAACTACAAAAAGTCTATTCATGAGAACTGGGTTCGATTTAAAAGTTGAATTCATATAATTTCATTTGAAAGCAAAATTTGTTCCTACTAAAAGGATAAAAGTATCTCTTGGAATTCCTAAAAACTTCTGTCGTTATATCGTGCCTTCAGGAACACACAAAAAAAAGGTTTCAAATAAAAAGATGAAGGAAGAAAACAGTGAGAAAAAGAGAAGGTAAAAACTAAATAACAAAACACTGGTAGCCAGTGGGTGACAGAGCATGTTTTAATACATGTAAAGTGACTTAGATGATTGACAATTACATTATAAACTTGGCAATGTGAATGTGTGTAAGTTCTTTTATACAAATGCTCTGCTCTTACTGAATCATACATTCACGCAAGATCTGAACTAATAAAGCCACCTCTTTTTTGGGGGGGAATATGTGGGGGAATTTCCTTGAACAGTGTGACGCTTATTTTTTCCTTTCACTAGAAAGACCAGGCATGTTTCTCAGTCAGATAGTAGGCAAAGGAAAAAGATAGTGGTTTAGATAGATTGAGCTGCACACATCTAAGAAGAGTATGATATAACTTAATTAAAAGTTCTCAGTGGCCAGAGAGGTGTGTCTCTCAGATACCCTTTAAGAGAAAGTGCTCTAAGGAGCATAGTTGACAGTCCCACTGCCACACCCCTGGATCCACCTAGATACAAACATGAAAGCCATGCTCCTCAGGTTTCTTCTAACCAATGACTGGGCACAGTGGTGGTAGTAGCTGGGCCATTTTTGCCTGAGTAGTCAACTTTTGCTTGAGGATTCCCTTTAGCCCAGCTGAGACAGTGCTGTGCCGAGGTTTGAGAGGCTAGGAAGAGCTCAAGCCTTCCTTTCCCTTTTGTTTCGCTAGTGTCAGATCTGTGTCATTTTCTGAAGCCTCTGACTGCCTACTCCTGCTCCATTCCCCTTTATGATTTGCAGGCATTTCCTCCAATAAAGCTGTCAAATTTCTAATTTCCTGTTTTGGCTTTTGCTTCTTAACAGGCCTGAATTGAATGAAAAAGATATCCCTTTATATTTATTTGCCCCACAAGTAGAGACTCAGATTTAATCCATTCATGTGGTTATACTTGGGATTTTCCCCAGGCCCCATGTTCTAACTTGCAATCCCCTGAAAGGGGCTTTCTTCTGTGTAGTGTCTAGAGCACTGATTTTCAAATACCGTTTTGAGGATTATTCTCAAGCATGATGTATCTTTTTAAAAAATACGTGGCTCAACCCAAGCTCATGAATTATTTACAAAGTATAAAAAGCAAACAATTAAAAATCCACAAGAATATATATTTTAACTTGCTTTTCTAGGTTAATTTGATAAATAACCATGTGTATGAGGTTTCTATTGCTGCATAACAAATTATCACATACTTGGTGGCTTATAAAAACACATTATCCTACAGTTTTTCTGGGTCAGGAATCCATGCAAAACTTAACTGGTTTTTCTGCTCAGGGTCTCACAAGGATGCACTCAAGGCATTAGCTGGGCTGCACTCGTGTCTGAAAGCTCAAACTGAGGAGACTCTGCTTCCAAAATCATTCAGATTGTTGGCAGAATTTATTTCCGCATAGTAGTCTACTGAGATACCCAACATTTTGCTGACTGCCTGCTAGAGACCACGTTCAGGTCTTTAGTGGCTGCCCCCAGTTCCCTAAGAGGTACCTCTCTTCACAAGTCACAACATAGTGTCTACTTTATCAAGGCTATAAGAGAATCTATTTTTCTAGTCTGCTAAGATAGCACCTTATATGACAAAACACAATCACGGGAGAGATATCCCATCACTTTTGCCACATATTACACAAAACAAGTTGGAAGCAAGTTATGGATCTCATCCACAATCAAGGGGAGGGAATTACATAAGGGCTTGGATGATTGTGACCATCTTAGGGCGTTTTACTACACTGGGTTTGGGAATCATCAGCCTAGACGATGAGAATATTGCTTATCTCAAAAAGTAGAACAAGCCAGACCTTACTACATCGTGGTATTAAGAACTATGCATCATCCTTCTCTTCAACTTTAAAGGTAAGATGCTATTCTGCCAGATCTAAAGAGGACTATGAAGCATCTGAGTGATATTCAGACAACCTTACTTTTCACTAATTCTGTATCGGGTAAGAATTTTCTTTATAGCCCAGTGAGTAAACAAAAGGAAAACATATTTCAGACCTATAGATGTTTCTATAGCAGAAGACAGAAGTCAAAGGAAAACTCTTCCTCTGAACTGAATTCACTTAAAAATGCTTAAGAAAAGTTTAGAAGGCAGTTAAGCCCAATTGTGAATAACTTTACTTCTAACGTATGATGGATTAGAATTTGAACACCTGACTCAACAATTACCAATTACGTGACTTTGAATTACTTAATTAATTTCTCTTACTCTTTCTTTCCTAGTCTATAATTGGGATAAGAGAAGCCATGTTAAGGAATGGTTATGAAGATTCAATTTGATAATGCATAAAAAGACACAGCTCATTATTATAAATTAAATATTGGCTATTATACTTAAAAGTAATATTGATCATGGTTATGGTCATGAGCAAATTCATGGGATAAGTGACTCTGCGGAAAATAAAATGGAATAGTTTGGTATAAGTTAAAACAGCAGGTAAGAAAAAATTTTGTCAAACAAGAGAAACAAGTAATTAGATAGTAGTCTCAAAAAATCCAAAATTCAAAAGAAAAGAATAAAATTTAAAAAATAAGAAAAACATAAATAATATATGACATAAATATTTATAAGTATTTGGTTTATTAGCTTTTTTTTTTTTTCCAGACAGGGTTTTGCCCTGTTGTCCAGTCTGGAATGCAGTGGCACAATCAGCTCACTGTAACCTGGAATTCCTGGGCTCAAGCAATCCTTCCAACTCAGCCTCCCAGTAGCTAGGATAACAGGTGTGCACCACCACACCTGGCTAATTTTTAAAATTTTTGTAGAGATGAAGCCTTCCAAAGATCTGGGATTACAGGCTTCAGCCACTGCACCCAGCCTGCTTATTAACTTTAAAAATAAAAATTTTTAAAAAGCCCTTAGACTTCTTATTCACAACCTAAATATTAGAGACTATTAATGTTATATATAAAATATATTGAGGGAAAGAGGCCATAACTCAAAATTATCTACTCAACTAACTTGTTGCTCTGAAAGAGTTAAAAGACTTTTTGTATATGCAAGGTCTAGAAAAACATATTGCTTAGGTTTATTATTCCTGAAAGAATATTCAAATATGACCCAGATAAGTAAGATGTGGTTTCAAATAAATAAGCAAAAAAGTGTGAAAAAGAGAAGGGAAAGACTTTTGTGTTTAATGAACCAGGTGAAAGAATAGAGATAATATCAGGCCTCTGAGTCCAAGCTAAGCCATCATATCCCCTGTGACCTGCACGTACACATCCAGATGGCCAGTTCCTGCCTTAACTGATGACGTTCCACCACAAAAGAAGTGAAAATGGCCTGTTCCTGCCTTAACTGATGACATTGTCTTGTGAAATTCCTTCTCCTGGCTCATCCTGGCTCAAAAGCTCCCCTACTGAGCACCTTGTGACCCCCACACCTGCCCGCCAGAGAACAACCCCCCTTTGACTGTAATTTTCCTTTACCTACCCAAATCTCATAAAACAGCCCCACCCCTATCACCCTTCATGGACTCTCTTTTCGGACTCAGCCCGCCTGCACCCAGGTGAAATAAACAGCCTTGTTGTTCACACAAAGCCTGTTTGGTGGTCTCTTTACATGCGGTCATGTGATGCACATGAAAGATATGTCTAAATAAATGCTGAAAATGTCATCACAATAGGTGAAGCAATTATATTATACATATAGACTTATTTTTCTTTTTAATTCTAGGAATTAGAATCTTAGATTTTTGACTAATTAAAGTCAATTGGTTTGTGAAACAAATCGTCTCCCTGATATTATAAAAAGGTATCATATTTCTTTTTCTGATTAAACAATTAGGTAAGCATTAGTTGAAGTGTATGCTGAACAAATCTTTACCAATATATAAGTATATATAATATGTATATATAAACTGGCATAAGAAGAAATAAGCATAGCAAATAAGAAACTATATGGAACCGAATCATATTCTATGAAAAGTCATTTTTAAATTTTGTGCTACAAAAAACATAATTTGTTTATGTGGCTTAAAACAGCATGATGTAAGGTTAAAAATGAAAGCAAAAACAAATATATCAAAGAAAAACAAGTAACAGTGATTATTAATATAAACATATAAAATTCAAAGGAGAAAAGCAAACAAAACGACATAAAATTTTATTTTATGGTAAAGAAACAGACAATCATTTAAAATAAAACCAAAATAAGCTTTGATATAACCAATAAGTTGGTATCAGAACAAAGAGAGATATACTGAAAGAATCACTTTTAAAATAACTACATTTGGCACCATGAAAAAATTTTTTAAATAATAAAATGAGAATTTATTCAGAGTATATTTTCTAATTTAAATTGAATAGTACTAGGCTAATTTAAATTAAATAATATTACATAATAATTTTAAAAATACTTTCAACTGCTTGGATCTTCAAAAGTGTTCTCTTACATAAATGCTGGATCCAGGTGGAATTTCAACATACTGTAAGTCAATACTTAAGATTAAAGACAAACAGAATAAAGTTAATTGAATTTGAAAGATAAATTTATAAGCCTAAATGTTTTTCTTCTTTAAAAATAGAGAAGAAATGTTTAAGCTTAATAAATCAAATAAAATAATTAAACTAAGCTGAAAAATGCAGTATTCAAAAAATAGAGATTATATTTTTAAAAAGTAAAAAATATTAGAAAATATCTAGAAGACTCAGTCAAGAAAAACTAGAAATGAACTTTTTCAAGAAAAAGAATGGAACTCTAGGAATATAGTGGACTTGTATAAATATATACTATACAAGAAATTAATGTTAATGACAATTTTTTAAAAAACTAATGGCTCTCAAAAATGTAAATTATTAAAGAAAAAGAAAAGATGAATTTACTTTAAAATAATTAAAAATGACAATGAAAACTTTACCAGTGAATGTGGAGGAGATGATTTATCTTAGGTAATAAAATATTTCAGCTAAGATTTAATGAAACTAGTGTGACCCTGTAGATAATTAGACTACAATTGAGAAATAATGTTCAGTCCTTTAAAATGTTTACCAAGACTATATAATGACATTAAAATGTTTATAGAGTCAAGTAAAAAAGTTGAATAAAAGATTTCAAAACTCATATTCTTACACTATCTGTAAAATTCAAAAGTTTATCATAAACCTTAAAGATTAAAAATAATGCCCAAATGTTACCAGTAACTATACTTGCATGATAGAATTATCAGCAGGTTTGCAGGAAAATCTTTGAAAGTATTTTCTCAATATTCTTTGTTACATTTGTTATAGATATTATTCTAAGTCCAATGCTTACAGCATTAAAAGCAAAAACAAAACAAAACCCCACATTCCTCCAGCTTTTCTTCTAATAAGGGAGATAAACGTGTGTGTATGCATGTGTGTCTTGAGGCACTGACAAGTGCTATGATGAAAAACAAAGTTGGGATACAAAGCAATGGGAAGGTGCCACGATAGACACATTGTAGGGATTTGGTCAGGATGGTGGGAGGAATTGTAAAATAAATACAAACCTTCTTGGAAGGCTGGAAGGTTTTTGCAAAAGCCTCCGGATAGAGTTATGACTGAAGGCAGTCTAATCCTCTTTGAGGTATAGCAAGGGTAATTAACATAGGAATGTAGAGGAGTCTACCTAAATAGCTTGTTTACTCATTTGGTCCTAAGACTAACCTTTGACCATGATTGCTCTCTACTGGGGGGTCAGCAACAGTAATTACCTTCTAGTAGCGTTTCCTTGAGACCTTTGTCATTTAATGTGTGCTGAATAAATGCCCGCAGGGCCAGGGGGTTGAGGCTGCCACTGCAACTCTGTACAGCACCTTCCTTAGTGTCTGTAAGTGGCCCAGACCCACAGCTGGACTGATAAGCAGAATATCTGTGTCAGTGTATGCTATTCATCCATCACTGGGTCAGGGTCTGCGGGACAGACCCCCACAACACATTTTCTCTGACGTTTTGAAATTTAAGCAGAGAATTTGAATAAAGAAAAAGGTTGAGTTATATGAATATTTGGGTATGTTCATTAGCCTGAGAGAATATCAAATGCAAGGACCCTGAGTGTGCTTGAGGATTCCAAGAAAAGTAAGAAGGCCATTGAGGGTTGGGTGGTTAGAGTAAGAAAAGGAATTATAGGAGATGAGTGTGAGATGATACAGGACCTTAGAAATTATGTAAGAGACTTTTGATTTTATTCTGCATGTAATGGGAAGAACTGGATAGCTTTGAGTAGACAATGTTATGATGTGATGTAATTTCTGTTTTAATTGGAATATATCTTTTTTTTTGTAGCTGGAGTCTCGCTCTGTTGCCCAGGCTGGAGTGTAGTGGCGCGATCTCAGCTCACTGCAACCTCCACCTCCTGGGTTCAAGCAATTCTCCTGCCTCAGCCTCCTGAATAGCTGGGACTACAGGCGCCCGCCACCACACCTGGCTAATTTTTCATATTTTAGTAGAGGTGGGGTTTCACTGTGTTACCCAGGCTGGTCTCAAACTCCTGAGTTCAGGCAATCCACCCACCTCGGCCTCCCAAAGTGCTGGGATTACAGGCGTGAGCCACCACGCCCTGCCATAATTTCTGTTTTAAAATTATTACTTTGTCTGCTAAATAGAGATCTGCGGCAAGTTGGTTTGGTGAGGAAAGAAGAAAATGATGGTGGTTTGGACAGTTTTTCATTGTGTATCATCTTACAACAAAAACATATGATTCAGCAATTAAAAACTGGAAAAGTTACTTGTTGAATTTATAACTGACTGAGGTTATCAAATTAGTCTTATAAAACTTCACACAATTTGATTAGATTAATACTAAAACCTCAATAGTTAAATTATTAAAAGTTAGCACAGATTATTTTAATTAAACAAACCTGAAGATGTGCATACTCACAAGTGATCACAGTAAAGCAAACAAAAATATAACAATTCCAATTATGTACTGCATTAACGCAGTTTTTTGAAACAACAATGTACAAATTTAATAAAATATAGTGGAAGAGTATTTCCATATATTGCTGTTTTAGTATATATTAGCCCTAAATATGTTTATATTCTTTGACCTACCAGTTTTACATCTCACAGCATAGCCTATGGAAATAGTGAACTTAGTTAAAAATTGATTTATGAGTAGAAGTGTGCCAGCAGAATTTATAAAACATAAAACTTACAAAAATTAATTTCATCAACAGGGATGGAATATTATGAAACTGTTAAAACTGTTAAAAAAAGAAAAAGAAAAAGAAAAAAAAAGAAAACCTGACTGCCTCATGTGAAAAACTACTCATAGTTAAGTTACAGAGGCAGGTGAAAAAATTTTATAAATAATGTAATCATAATCATGTATTTAAAAGTGCTATGGGTATAAAAACAAACTAGAAATTAAATATATATATATTGACATTGGTGATATCTTGCTCAGGTAAATACATGCTTTCATTTTTTCTTTTCTTAATTTTCAATGTATTTTAATGAGGATACATCACTTATATAAGTATAGATTTTTTAGATTATGTTAAATTGATTGATTGCATTGCTTAGTAGCTATTACTCAAGTGTGATTTGTAGAACACAAAGATCTTTATAAAGGGAATTGTAACTAGTTGGTGTGGGACATAGAGGATGGCTCTCAAAGAGAACCATCTGGCTGATTGGGTGGATGGATCAGAGATCAGAGTTCAGGGCTCTGAACACCTCAGAATGGCTGTGAAATTGAGGACAGAAATCTAGGAATGGAAATCTGTACAAAGTGAGAACACTGAACTGTGCATAAAATGTCCTTCAAATCCTAGGCCAACTCCTGAAGTGCACACATGTGAGTCAAAGTCCCAAGGAAAACAGCACTTGGAAGCCTAAAATAGCCAAGGAGAGATATGAGCAACAATGTGCTTCTATGTAAATAGCATAGTAAATTCCAGGACTAAAACCATTTGACCTTGGACAAAAGACAAAAACAAAAGAGATCCACCCTAATAATGTCAAAAGTCATGTTTTCACATGAGCAACATGATCTGTCAGTAATATAAATGCCTGTTGGAATAAAACTTATAAAACTCAATGCCTTTCATAGACAGAATTCAGAGTCATTACATTGTTTAACTCACAGCATCCAGTAGATAATAGAAAATTACTAGCCAGGTGACGAAGAAAAATCTGGAGGAATGTGGTCAAATAACTTCCCAACTCATCACATATTATACTTTATTTTTGAAGAATCATAATATATAAAACATACTTAAAGTTTTGTGAGGGCTACAGGAAAGATATCTGTTTAGCCACTACTTTCCAAACTGATAATGGAAAATTTTGTCATGAAAACATAAAACTCTTAAAATATGAACATACTGAAAGCAAAACTCTCACCCATTGTAATATATAATCGTCATTCTAGTTTGATAATCTGATTCTAATAAAAGGTGTAAGATTGTAGTGCCTTTCCAAAAACATTTAAAAATACATCAAGGTAGCAACCTACAATCTCCGAGAATCATCGTATATAAAGGAAGCACCTTCTCTTTAGAGTCTCCTGTTATAGGCACACCTATACTGGATTATTTCAATAAGTACTCTGATTTTCTACATATTTTATATTTTAGTGGTCTACTTCTCACCCAAAGTTCTTGTTGTATTTATATGACTGAAATTTATTTAAACCTTCCAAGATGTTAAAAACCATACAGTACTATATTAAAACATATGTATAATCATATTTAAAACAAAATGGTGTTTAATTTTTAAACATATGTTCTTCAAGAGAGCTCCTGATTGCTCTATTTTGCATTTTTATGCTTAATCTCATTATTATTTTCTCCTACTCTAGACCTTAGAGAACATAATGTTCTTCAGAAACTTTTCTTTTTGCTATTATGTATAAATCTTTTGAGACCATGCATACAGAATTATGATGATTAATTCTTCTGGACGCCTCTCTAACTCAAACTACTAAAGTATACACAAGGACAAATAACCGTAATTAAACGTTTCTATAAAAGGAAAAATTTGAAACTTAGTTTTCAAAGATAAGAAATGTGTTTTGAATAGTTCTCATTAAGAAAGGAGGACATAAAATTATTATTAACTCAACAAATTTCAGAGAGACCAAATAACTTCCTATCTATTTAATTCCAGAGGAGATTAGATAAATTCCACTCCATTAAATTTTTGGTTACATGCATTGAGGTTTTTCAGTCTATATTCTTTATGCCAGAATCATGCCTTCCTTCTTCCTGGCATAAAAAACGTAGACAAAAAAAAACTCAACACACATCACCAAAAAATATGGGGAGATCTTTTAAAAACACATCTACCTTAGAGGGAATATTCTGAAGTGCTTTTCTTCCAGTCTTATTTTGCCTATCTGCAGCCTGCCTGCACAGACCTAAAATGGAAGCCTGTGTATCACTATGACCTGCAGACTTACGTAGAAATCCTAACTGGTGTTTTTATTCAAGGGGGGAATTCTTTGATATAGAGATACTATTCTGCAGAAGAAGTTATTCATACATAATATGGATCAATGACCATGACATGTGGAGAACAAACAATTTGAAAAAGAACTCAAAGAAACAGATGAACATGAACACACTTCTCATTCGTATCTTAGGGAAGACTTGAGAGACAATTTTATCAATTGAAAAAGAAAACAGATTACTGTAAAAAGACACAAATCAATTCTAAAATTGATCATCTCTAAAAGTGGTACAACCAGGCATTATGTTTCCCCTTATGTGACACAATATGAAGTACACAGCACCGCTCTGAAGTAAACTTGCCAAGAATATTAAACCTGAACATAAGCAAGCCTTTATCTCTAACTTTGAATTCACAGGAAACACGGAAGACAAAAAGTTATTAAGATACACGATAAAGAGGCAATAAGAAAAATCCTAAATGTAGGCCATAGAAGAAAAATGATGGGATTTTTTTAAAACAAGTTAATGAAAGACAAAAACAAAAGAGGAACAGTGAACAAGATTAAAAGAGACTTTATCTGATATTTGTTCAGTCCAAATATAAAAAGTTATCTTGAGTATAATTTGGAAAAATTGAAAATGGACTTGGTATTCTAATATACTGATGTATATTTGTATCACTCAAGAAGAAAGAGTCAAAAAACAAAATATGACACAACACTAATTGTAAATGCATTTCAACTTCAGAAATATTAAGAGCTGAAAAGATACCTATCTGTGCTTAGAATTAATACAATTTGATACGTTTGTAATTTTTCATTAAAAAAGAGGAAAAAAGAAACGCGTTTTTGGAAGTTAACAAATGTATGAGTTAGAGGTGGAATAAAGGTCAGAAAAGTGAATAACCCCAAATCTTTTTAAAAGAACTCCATCTGGTAAAAGGGGTAACATTCCTGATGGAGAAGGTAGGTTAAACCATCCAGGATTATGTTTTGTGTATTCATCTGGGGGAACCAAGAGAAAGTGCACCATGGCTTATGGCTCACTACAGTGCTTGGGAGACACTTAGGAATTACTATGCTAGTAAAGCATGGAATCCAGAGTGCCCTAGCTTTTACACTTTGGGGGAGAAAAAGCCCCAAGATAGGAATTAACTTTCTCTGGAAGGATGCAAAAATTTAGTAGGAGAAGAAGTGTAACAAGGTAATTCAAAACATAAATCCATCTTTTCCTTTGTGCATTCCCCTCTTTTCTTTCTCCTTTATACTCTTATGCGCTCTCTCTCTTCTTCAAGTCACTCCAAAGCAAAAACAAAGCTTCAAGGAACCAAATTTTTACCCCACATACAAATGCTTATATAACAGCGAAAAATCTTGCTTATAGCATGTATATATATATTTCTCCTAACAAGAGCTAGAAAAGCCTGGACCTAGGAGGAGAAAGAAGAGAGAGTGTGGCTTTTATGGATAAATGGAAATTAGAGGATGGCTGAGTGAAGAAGACCAAGGGTGGAAGGAACTCAAAGCCCTTCTTGGGTATGGGCTTTCTCCACAAAGACCTTGTACCTTTGAACAACCTGCCATTTGACAGTCCCAGACACTTGTCAGAGGGAGGGTGTTTGGGTTCCTAAATGGTTGGTAGAGACAGATGATTGTACCTGAGTTAAGTCAGACAAATCTAAAACAGTGTATGAACCGGGCTATGACTTCTTTCTAGGTAATCTTGAGGGCAAGGCTAACTACATACTTGGGTGGCAGGCTGGGAGAGTGTGATAGGGTAAAGATTGATCTGCACACCCAGAGGCTGCTGGACAAAGAATGCAGAATCACAGACTATTCAGAGTTCTGTCCATAGGGGTTGTCTGGGGTGTTTAGAAGACATAAGCAGAAAGGTTTGGAATCATTTCCTCAGGTGTTCCTAGTTGCAGAAGGAACCACTGCAATCTACCGGTGGGAATAAAAAAGCATCAAGGAACTAGAAGCAAAAGAGCTCAACAAAAAACCTGTGAAGAGCTGTTAAAACGCCCCAGTAGAGAAAAGTTGTTTCTGAACATCTGGCACGCCCAAAAAACTCAAAGCTGGCACAAGTTCAAGTAGCAACTCAGCCTTCTGCATTTTCCTTATATCAGCCTTGGTGGGAAAAGCTAACAGCAGCCAGTGAGTAGGGGAGGAGATGAGCACTAAGAAAGAAAACGCCAACTTTGCCTGATTTTCCCCCACAATCTGCAGTGGCTTAAGCTGAAAAGGGAGGAAGACTGTAAATGAGTGCGGATGTTTGTTGTTTAAGGAGATTGTAGAATTATTTAGTATCTAAAATTAGATACAAATTCATAACTTTGCTGGAGTTTTTAATCTAGAGATAGAAGTACATTATCCCTACTCAATGAAGTTTTAAGTGGAAAAAGCATACAAAAGCAAAATTGTTTTATTTTGTCAAGAATCATGCTTTTCTGTTACATTGCTATATGTGATTACTGCTCTTTCTTAATCTGGAGAAAGATCCAAATCAGCTCTTCTCAGGAGCAGGGCCAAATGGATACAGGACAGCTTAGCCCAATCCAGCACGGAGGTGATGAGGTGAATTTCTCCCAAGTGAGTTTATGTTCTCAGGTTGCATTTGCTGGACCACTGGTCAATTGGTCTCCTGATGGAGCTAAAAATAAGATTTCTTTATCTACTTTCTTTCCTCAGGTAATGGGTTCTGGGAACATAATTTTGCCTGATCGATCTGTCATGGGGCAGCAGAATTTATTCTCTGGAATAGTTGTGGGGTTAATGCCCTGATCTTTTGCATCCCATTAACCCTCAGGACTTCTGAAAAGTGAGTCACATCAGGGAATAAGCATTGAACTGACACAGACTCTGAGACCCTGAAGCTAGTTTAGGCTGAGAGGCAGCCTACATGTTGCTGCCATGAGGAAAATCAGTAATGCCTAAGCGTCAGGCACCCTTCTAGATGAGACGGAGCCCGATAAAGAATTCAAAAGCGGCCAGGAGCAGTGGCTCACACCTGTAATCCCAGCACTTTGGGAGGCCGAGGCTGGTGGATCACAATGTTAGGAGTTCAAGACCAGCCTGGCCAACATGGTGAAACCCCGTCTCTACTAAAAATACAAAAATTAGTTGGGCATGGTGGCACATGCCTGTAATCACAGCTACTCAGGAGGCTGAGGCAGGAGAATTGCACTCCAGCCTGGGCTACAGAGCGAGACTCCATCTCAAAGAAAAAAAAAAAGAATTCAAAAGCACTGAAATTTCTTTATACATTAAATATGATAAATAATAATTTTATCTTGAAACTTTAATTATTTTAGATTTTGGTTTGTCTTATCTTCCAGAGAATTTTAATCTTCAGGATTTTATTTTCCCTAGGAGTTTCATATGATAATAAAATTTGGGGCATCTTTGCATTACTGGTTTTTATTGTTGAAATGTCTTCATGAATTAAAAAAAATTGAGACATTAAAAATTAATAATTTTTTTTCCACATGTAGAAGATGGAGGAGGAAAATATTCTGAGTGTTTAAGCTTGAATTTTCTTTATTTTACAGGTTGCTAAAAGATGGTGAGTATATATGAATTTTAAATTTTAAACTAATTACAATCAGTTTTGCACTTTTGAAAAGTTATCCAGAGAGTGAGCAAGGCATTGAAGGCAGCAGAACTAGAAATAGAGAAACTTACTGAGAGGCTATTGCAGTCTCTGTGAGAGATGGAAGCAGGAACTGGAGTGAAAGGCAATGGAGGGCAGATGGAGGGCAAGGAAGGAGAAAGAGAGAGAGCCATAATTCAGGATTCAGATTTAGTGGTCTTGGTAGTGGGAGATAAAGGATAGGGAAACGTAGGGTGATGCCTATATTCCCAGCTTCCAAATCTGGGTAGATGGTGATGTCATTTACTGAAGCCAAGACTATTACACAGATATGAATTTGGGTGGAGACAGAGGTAATTAGGTTATTTTGTGACTTATTAAATTTGAGTTGCCTAAAGTATCTGCAACTCTTGGGTGTGAAATTGTCTTATCTGGTTTTGAATATAGAAGACAGGTCCTCAAGAGAGATTTATCTGGAACAAACAGACTTGGAATTTTAAATAATTGAAACGATAGCAATACATGAGTATGACTCAGTCTGAAAGTTTAAAGTGATAAGAGGAAGATAGAATTATGAGGAGACAAATATTTAAGGGAAGGGCATAGGAAACTTGTTAAAGGGAACGGGGGAATGACCAGAAAGAAATACATTTTCCTCATGGTGTGATTAAAGCTTCATCCCAGATTACTCCTGCACTGTTCCTACAAAGTTCTGGATTTATTCCCTAGCCTCAAGAAAAGATTGCTTCAGCTCTTCCGTAAAGAACATGAAGCATCCTAAAACATAACTGCTGTGTGTTTCATTTGACCTGTTCTCTGACTAATTTATTGACACTTTCTCCCACCCACCCCAGTTACAGAGCAGTGACTAGGTCTTAACCATCATCACTAGACCTTTTCTACCTCGTGGTTTAGAGTTTCTTACAAAAAGACAGTCTCACTGTCTGATCTGCCACTCCCAAACACATGTGAGGTAGTCCAAAGAGTGGTTCAAATTATGTTAAAGCAAATGTTTGTTTAATGTGGTAACATAGGAAGCACTGTGCTAAAACTACTGTGGATGGAGAGATGACTTCCTAGTCAGCTTTAGAGATACTCAGTCTCACTGGGAAGTAAGACATGCACGTAAGTGGCTATTGTAAAGCCAAAGTTGGAACAGTGCTGTGATAAATAGGGTGTTTGCCCCCATTTTATTTTATTTTATTTATTTTATTATTGTTATTATTATTATTATTATTATTATTATTTTGAGATGGAGTCTTGCTCTGTCACCCAGGCTGGAGTACAGCGTCGCGATCTTGGCTCACTGCAACCTCCGCCTCCTGGGTTCAAGCAATTCTCCTGCCTCAGCCTCCCAGGTAGCTGAGATTACAGATGTGCGCCACCACGCCTGGCTAATTTATTTGTATTTTTAGTAGAGACGGGGTTTCACTATGTTGGCCAGGCTGCTCTCGAACTCCTGACCTCATGTGATCCGCCCACCTCAGCCTCCCAAAGTGCTGGGATTACAGGCGTGAGCCACCACACCCGGCCGCCCCTGTTTTATATATGAGGAGAGAGGGATTTAGATTCAACAACAGCCATCATGTAATGGGCATTATTCAGGCTTTCCTTATGCATGTCAACTAATGCTCACAGTAAGCGGGGAAGAAAGAATATTATGAATTTTAGTTTATACAGATGAGAGCATGAGTAAATGAAATAAGTAAAGGGGAAAAGGTTCGCCGGAGATGACAGAGCTAGTTAGGAGAGAAACTGCCATGAACTCATTTTGGCTGGCCCCAGATATGCCATATCCTTTATACTTAGAAAAAATTCCTACCTTTTCAGATTCTGTGACCTATTCCAACATTCTGGGCATTTAAAGAGCATTTGTTTATTTAACTGTATGCAATTTTCTGAAACTGAAACAAGAACGCTACTTAAGGATATTTTCTGAACCATAAGCCTTTTCTATTTGACTGTCTCTGGGTCAAGTGTACATAATTGGTGAGTGGGGTGAATTACTCCAAATAGGCTGTCTTCCTGTTACTAATAAGGTTATGATTGTTTGAAAAGTACTTGAATTTTGTTGTATTATGGTGAGTGGATGAGAAGTGGGCTGGAAAACGGGCATGAAGACTTAAATCTTACAAGGAGCAAAACTTATAAAAGCAAGTCCTAGTGAGCCTTGGAATAATATTCCATTACAGTATGTTTCTTGCAACATCTTTGACTCACACACACACACACAAGCACCAATTCAAAAACAAAAATCCAGAATATGTTGGAATCCTTTAAAAAATCTATGAATTAATATAATAAAAATTATGATGATATAATATCCCTATCTATGGATTGACAATATAGTTTTAAAAGCCTAAACATGTAACACAATGGAAGAGTCAAAACCCTCTATACTCAGTGAAGTTTGGTGAAGTGAGTAATGCTCAAGCTAATTTGACCAGGTAGTAATTGTGTGTTCTGTTTTGTGTGTGTGTGTGTGTGTGTGTGTTTGCTTGCTTTTTATAGGATGCAGGACAATGTTGTACTATAACATATATCTTCCATGCTTTCTATTTTACTAAACTTCATCAGAGTAGATACAGAAAGGCATAGAGAATATTTCCCAGTGATGACTAAATTTCAAATCAAAAACTACCTACAAGACTCACGGGTTCAAGTCATGCTTATGCTTTTAGGATAATGAAAACTGCAAGAGAATGTCCCTTCCATGCTAACAATAAAGAAAGCTAATAATCTAAAAAGGTATAATTTTTTTCAACCCTCCAGAGAGCTTAGGTTACAAGTCAACCAAGTGAAGTAAATTCCAAAGAGTTAAAAGATGCTTGAGAAGAAAAGGGACAGTGAGAACATTTGCTTTTGGCAGTAATGGTAGGAAAATGTAGCCAGCATAGAAGCATGTTAGAAACAGTTCACTAAATGTTAGAGAACTCATAAAGGTTAGGCGTAGTAGTCCCAGAATCAAAGCTCTTTTCTTCTATAAGCCTCCATTGGGTTTTCAGAAAAAATATCTAAGGCAGTGCAGGAGTCTGGAGAAAGGCCTGTCCATGTCATATGCATGCAGAAGGTAAGTGGCTGCTGCTGGAGAACAGGCACAGAACAACACCTGCATATTAAGTAAACAAACAAACAAAAAACTTAAAATATAGGGGAAGGGGCATTCAATATTCTTTCTCCAAGGCAAAGGTCTACTGCTTCTGGTGGAAGGGTAAAAACAAAATCTGTTGAAGAATAGGGATTCTTCCAATCTACATCCAGGAAATAGACAAAGATCCACTACTTCTGAAGGGATTTGTTGAAGCAAAAGTGCTCCGCTCTAGAGAGGAACAAAAAATCACCTGCTACAAGAAGAATGCACTAGCACAACATAGAAATCTGGCACTAGCAATGGAAGAAAAGGAAGCTCTCCAGCCTAAGTCCTGCCACAAATGTAAGACAGAGTTTGGCTGACAAGGGTGTCAATTTATCATGAAGATATTATAATCCTTTTGTATTGATCCAACTGCATAGCTTCAAAGAACATTTTTTAAAAATGGTAGAAATGAGAAATAGACAAATCCACAATTACAACTGGAATCTTTAATACTCCTCTCTCAGTACTTGATGGGAAAAGTAGACAGGAAGTCTTTAAGACTATTAATGACTTGAAAAACATTATGAAGATATATGACTTAATAGACATCTATAGGACATTCTACCTATCTACAATTGCACATGGAATACTCACAAAGATAGATGATATTCTGTGTCAGAAAAACAAACCACAACAAATTTAAAATAATGGAAACAATACAAAATGCTTTTTTTTTAACCATAACATAATTAAACTAGATACCAATTATAAAAAGACATCTGGAAAATATCCAAATATTTATATACACTGACAGAAAAAAGCGCCAACACTTCAAAAAATTTTTCTGAAAATTAAATAATTGGGAAAGCTTTTTAGTGAATTTTATGAGGCAAGCATTAGCTTGATTCCCAAACTAGCCAGAGACATTTAAGAAAAGGAATCTGTGGACCAATATCCCTCATAAATATGGAAATATAAACCATAATAAGACATTAGTAAGTCAAAGGCTGGCATATAAAGACAGAATGATCCATCAGGAACAATTAGCGTTATCCAAAAAGTCAAAGTTTAACATAGCATTAAAAAATCAGTGGAATTCACCATGTGAACACACCAAAAAGAACAGCCATATGATCATCTCAAGGAATGCAGAAAAAGAGGTATTTAATATCCACCATTCATTCCTGAATAAAACTCTCGGTAAGCTGGCAATAGAAGGGAACATCTTCCATGACAAAGAGTATATATGAAAAACCTGCAACTAACATCATATTTAGTGGTGAAAGACTGAATACTTTCTCCCTGAGATAGGGGAAAATGCAAGAATGCATTATCTGGCCTGGGCACAAGGCTCACGCCTATATCCTAACACTCTGGGAGGCTGAGGTGGGAGGATCACTTTTGAGCCTAGGAGTTTGACACCAGCCTGGGCAACATAGAAATACCCCATCTCTATCTTTATTAAAAAGTAAATTTAAAAAAATGGGCCAGACACAGTGGCTCACACTTGTAATCCCAACTTTGGGAGGCCAAGGCAGGAGGACAGCTTGAGCTCAGGAGCTCAAGACTAGCATGGGCAACATAGAGAACCTGACTAAACAAAAATTTTAAAAATTAGCCAGGTGTGGTGGCACACTTGTGTAGTCCCAGCTACTTGGGAGGCTTAGGCAGGAGGATTGCTTGAGCCCAGAAAGTTGAGGTTGCCATGAGCTGTGATCACACCACTGCACTCTACTCTGGGTAGGTGACAGAGTGAGACTTTCTCTCAAAAAAATGAAATACATAAATATATAAAGTATCATCTTATCACTCCTATTATCTGGCATCACACTAAAGTCCTATACAGTGCAATAAGACAAAAGAAAACAAAACCTACACACCTAAACAACAACAAAAAGTGGTTAAGACAAACAAAACTATCTCTATTCACACATAATATGTCTACGTAGAAAACTCTAAGGAATCTACAAAAGAAGCTACTGAATCCAATGTCTGATCTTAGTAGTTAACAGAATACAAAGCCAATATACTAATTCTAGTTGTTTTGCTAATTACTGGAAATAAAAAATTTGAAGGTTAAATTTAAAAATATAATTTATTCCAGACACAGTGGCTCACAACTGTAATCCTGGTGCTTCAGGAGGCTGACGCAGGAAGATCACTTGAGGCCAGAAGTTTGAAACTAGCCTGGACAATACAGTGAGACATCATCTTTACAAATAATTTAAAAATTAACAAGGCATGGTGGCATATGCATGTAGTTCTAGCTACTCAGGTGGCTGAGGCAGTGGGATCACTTAAGCCCAAGAGTTCAAGGATGCAGTGAGCTGTGATTGTGCCACTGTACTCTAGTTTGAGTGACTGAGTGAAATCCTGTCCTCCCAAATATATATGTGTGTGTGTATATATATATATACACACACACATATATATGTATGTATATATATGTGTATATATATACATCTATACATATATATACACACACACATACACAGATAATAGATAGATACAGATATATAATTTCAGTATTTATATCACTATATATGTAAATTATATATAGATATATACTGTATATATGATATATATACTGTAATTATATGTAGATATATACTGATAATTATATTTACTATATATAGAGAACAATTATATACATAATTATATATAATCTATAGAAAGAACAATTATATATATAATTGTAGTATACTATATATAATTGTATACTGTATATACTGCAATTATATAAAGATATATACTGTAAATTACATGATTTATAACTCGATTATATAGAGATATAGTATATATAATTACAGTATATATAACTTACAATAGCATCACATCTGTAAATAATATAAGAAAATATGTGAAATATTTGTGTGCTGAAAACTACAAAGCATCGATTAAAGAAATTTGAGGAACTTCAAAAGACATAAATTAGTGCAGAGATACGCCATGAATAAAAGTCCGAAGGCCTGTTATTGTTAAAATGTCAATTCTTCTCAAATTGATCTATAGATTCAAAACAATCCCTATCATAATCTCATCTGTTTTATTTTTGGGAGAAATTGACAAGCTTACTCTAAAATTTATGTGGGAAATGTAATGATCTTGAACAGGAAAAGTCATATTGAAAGAGATGAACCAAGTTGGAGAACTCACACTGCCTGATGACAAAATTAACTGTAGTAAATGCTATAGTCATCAAGGGAATATGATCTTACTGTGAAAATATTAATATATATCAATGGAATATCATAGAGGGTATAAAAATAGACTCATATCTATGTGCTTAATTGGTGTTTGACAGAGGTACAAATCAATTCAATGGAAAAAAGATAACCCTCCAACAAAAAAATTCCTGGAAATTTTTGACCGCGTATTTAATATGATAAAAATATTGTTGAATCGTCTCTCTTACCATATTAAAAAAATTTTGAAATAAGTCATTGACCTAAATATAAAGAGTTAAAAATCATAAAATTCCTAGAAGAAAGCAGAGGAGAAAATGCTTGTGGCAGGGTTAAGCAAAAATTTTTAGGACACAAAAATCATGAATCATAGAAGAAAAAATAGATGAATTGGGTTTCATCAAAATTATAATCTTATGCCCTACAGAGATATGTAGAAAATGTAAGGAGAAGCTACATATTGGAAGAAAATATTTGCAAGACAAGTATATAGTAAAGAAATAAAGACATAGTTCAAAAAGGATCCTTATAACTCAATGCTAACATTATAAACTAATATATAGGTAAAGGATTATGATTTGAACAACTATTTTAATAAAGATGGATACGAATGACAAGCACATTTGAAGAGATGCTCAATATAATTAGTCATCAGGGAAATGTAAATTAAATTTAATCTAAAATAAGATACCTGATAGAGTAAACTGAAAAAGAAAAGACAGTATAAAGTGCTGAGAAAGATACACAGCACTTTGACTTTTCATATGTGACTTGTGGGAATGCAACATCTTTGGAAAACAGTTTGGCAGTTTTTTATAAAGTTAAATCCTAGGATGCAACAAATCTGCTTCTTAATATGTACCCAGGAGATATGAAAACATATGTTCATACAAAGGGCTGTACAAAATGTTTATAGCAGTTTTATTCATAATAGCTGAAACCTACAAAAACAAAACAAAACAAATAGCAAAAACTCAAAGCTCATCAACTGATGAATGGATAAATTGTGGTGCATTCTTACAATGGAATACTGTTCCTCATGCAAAAGAATTGAATTACTGACACGTGCAACACCTTCATTAATATAGAAAAGAATTATGCTAAATGAAAGAACCTAGACACAAAGGGATACGTAATGTGTGAATCGTATGGCATTCTGAAGAAGGTAAAACTATAGGCATAAAAACAAGATCAGAGATTGCCTAGGGCAAGGTGGAGAACAGAGCATAGTGGAACTCTCCAGTGATGCAAATATTCTATATATTGATTATGGTGGTGGTTACATGACTGTATATGCTTGTCAAAACTCTGCACTGAGCATTTAACTAAAAAAGAGTGAAAGCTAATGTATTTAACTTCTACATCAATACACATGACCTATAAATGAAATGTGGATTTAAGTTGTTTTCTTTTATGTAACTATCTGACCCTGGGAACTCTATTACATTTTTTTTAAAGTCTCTGAATCTTAGATACTTCACAAGTAAAATAATGGTTTTAAACTAAGTATGCCTAAATGTTCCATCTGATAATGGCAATTACATTAACTCTTACTCAGTGAATCAGCCGGATTAATTAAGCACACTTCACTGCTTTTTAACTTATTGATTGAATGTTTTTATCCAAAATTTCCATAGCCCTTGTATTTCAGAGACAACAAGCAAAGGAAATATCTTGAAGGTACATCCCCAATTGCTCAATTACTGAGAACAAGAAAAACTCTTATCTTGAAGTCTAGACCCAAAAACAAACTGGCTTTTCTCTAAAGACTATTGTCGGCCGGGCGCAGTGGCTCAAGCCTGTAATCCCAGCACTTTGGGAGGCGGAAACGTGTGGATCAGGAGGTCAGGAGATCGAGACCATCCTGGCTAACACGGGGAAACCCCGTATCTACTAAAAACACAAAAAAATTACCAGGCGTGGTGGTGGGCTCCTGTAGTTCCAGCTACTCGGGAGGCTGAGGCAGGAGAATGGCGTGAACCCGGGAGGCGGAGCTTGCAGTGAGCCGAGATCAGCGCCACTGCACTCCAGCCTGGGTGACAGAGCATGACTCCATCTCGAGAAAAAAAGAAAGAAAAAAAAGAA
Source organism: Homo sapiens (assembly GCF_000001405.40). Lineage (NCBI taxonomy): Eukaryota > Metazoa > Chordata > Mammalia > Primates > Hominidae > Homo > Homo sapiens. Next base: position 191,673,342 of record NC_000003.12, on the reverse strand, counting down.
AAGAAAAAAAAAGACCATTGTCAAAGAGATTGAATCACATCCTTATCATGAAGAGAAAGTGCTCAGAACTTGGCTAAGTCCACATCTTTCTAGTTTGGGGATGTTCCACAAAAATATAGTAAGAGAATGAAAAATTATAAAGAAAATACATAAATTGGTCTTACTCTGGTTACTAGCAGCAATGAATTCTATTAACATATAAAATCATATTTCATGTCACATGAATGATTCAAAAATTGTTAATTGAAAATACTAAAAGAAATAAAACTTTCAAGGGGATGCAGACTGATATCTAAGCAATAGCATATTTATGAGGATAAATTTGTATTTTATGGTTAGATGTGGGTGAAAACATACCATTTTCTGTGAGGAGAAAAATCATAGCATCTCACAGAAAGTATTTTTTAATACAATAAATCATCCCTATATAATCTGTACAGCAAACCACCATGGCACACATTTACCTATGTAACAAACCTGCACATCTGGCACATGTACCCCTGAACTTAAAATAAAATAAAATAAATCACCCATCTTTAAAAATCCATCTTTCAGCTAAAACAACTCTTTGTCATCAGGGTTTGTGTATTTATTTCTTCTCTGCCTCCTCAGCATAAAGCACAGTGTCTAACACTGTATATACTGTATGTATACTATATACTGTATAGATTCATATTGACATTCTCAAATAATAAAGTCTGGAGTATTTAAATAACTATTAATCACTTACTAACATCACATTCACCTATCTTAAGCATACAGCAGCCCTTGTATTTAAAGGCAAATGAAAGCAATATGCTACATTCGTAGGTAAAACTAAAAATGAGTTTTTAATATATAAGAGCTTCAGACAGGACTGTGATGCTTAATTTTGATGAAGGTAATATTTCCGAACATGAACTAACTGCTTAATTGCTTAAAAGATCTGAAATTTTGCCCTGACTTTAAATTGCTCTGTGGTAATTGTCAGGCCTCTGAGCCCAAGCCAAGCCATCGCATCCCCTGTGACTTGCACGTATTCGCCCAGATGGCCTGAAGTAACTGAAGAATCACAAAAGAAGTGAATATGCCCTGCCCCACCTTAACTGATGACATTCCACCACAAAAGAAGTGTAAATGGCCGGTCCTTGCCTTAAGTGATGACATTACCTTGTGAAAGTCCTTTTCCTGGCTCATCCTGGCTCAAAAAGCACCCCCACTGAGCACCTTGCGACCCCCACTCCGGCCCACCAGAGAACAAACCCCCTTTGACTGTAATTTTCCTTTACCTACACAAATCCTATAAAATGACCCCATCCTTATCTCCTTTCGCTGACTGTCTTTTCAGACTCAGCCCACCTACACCCAGGTGAAATAAACAGCCATGTTGCTCACACAAAGCCTGTTTGGTGGTCTCTTCACACGGATGCACATGAAATTTGGTGCCATGACTCAGATCGGGGGACCTCCCTTAGGAGATCAATCCCCTGGCCTCCTGTTCTTTGCTCCATGAGAAAGATCCACCTACGACCTCAGGTCCTCAGACTGACCAGCCCAAGAAACATCTCACCAATTTCAAATCCAGTAAGCGGCCTCTTTTTACTCTCTTCTCCAACCTCCCTCACTATCCCTCAACCTCTTTCTCCTTTCAATCTTGGCACCACTCTTCAATCTCTCCGTTCTCTTAATTTCAATTCCTTTCATTTTCTAGGAGAGACAAAGGAGACACGTTTTATCCGTGGACCCAAAACTCCGGCGCCGGTCACGGACTGGGAAGGCAGCCTTCCCTTGGTGTTTAATCATTGCAGGGACACCTCTCTGATTATTCACCCATGTTTCAAAGGTGTCAGACCATGGAGGGATGCCTGCCTTGGTCCTTCACCCTTAGCGGCAAGTCCAGCTTTTCTAGGAAAGGGGCAAGTACCCCAACCCCTTCTTTCCTTGTCTCTACCCCTTCTCTGCTTTTCTGGGGGAGGGGCAAGTACCCCTCAACCCCTTCTCCTTCACCCTTAGCGGCAAGTCCCGCTTTTCTGGGGGAGGGGCAAGTACCCCTCAACCCCTTCTCCTTCACTCTTAGTGGCAAGTCCCGCTCTTCTAGAGCAGGGGCAAGTACCCCAACCTCATATCTCTGTGCCCCAGTCCCTTATTTCCACGCCCCAACCTCTTATATCTCTGCACCCCAATCCCTTATTTCCATGCCCCAACCTCTTATCTCTGTGCCCCAATCCCTTATTTCCATGCCCCGACCCCTTATTTCTGTGCCCCATCCCTTATTTCTGTGCCCCAACCTCTTATCTCTGTGCCCCAACCCCTTTTCCCACTTTTCTGGAAGGTAAGAACCCCCGAACCCCTTCCCTCCGTTTCTCTACTCTCTTTTCTCTAGGCTTGCTTCCTTCACTATGGGCAACTTTCCACCCTCCATTCCTCCTTCTACTCCCTTGGCCTGTGTTCTCAAAAACTTAAAACCTCTTCAACTCACACCTGACCTAAAACCTAAATGCCTTATTTTCTTCTGCAATGCTGCTTGACTCCAATACAAACTCGAGAGTAGTTCCACATAGCCAGAAAATGGCACTTTGAATTTTTCCATCCTGCAAAATCTAAATAATTATTGTCGTAAAATAGGCAAACGGTCTGAGGTGCCTGAAGTCCAGGCATTCTTTTACACATCAGTCCCTTCCTAGTCTCTGTGCCCAGTGCAACTCATCCCAAATGTTCCTTCTTTCCCTCCCATCTGTCCCCTCAGTACCAACCCCAAGCGTCACTGAGTCTTTCTAATCTTCCTTTTGTACAGACCCATCTGACCTCTCCCTTCCTCCCCAGGCTGCTCCTCGCCAGGCCGAGCTAGGTCCCAATTCTTCCTCAGCCTCCGTTCCTCCACGCTGTAATCTTTTTATCACCTCCCCTCCTCACACCTGGTCCGGCTTACAGTTTCGTTCTGTGACTAGCCCTCCCCCACCTGCCCAGCAATTTACTCTTAAAAAGGCGGCTGGAGCCAAAGGCATAGTCAGGGTTAATGCTCCTCTTTCTTTATCCCAAATCAGAAGCGTTTAGGCTCTTTTTCATCAAATATAAAAATCCAGCCCAGTTCATGGCTCGTTTGGCAGCAACCCTGAGCCACTTTACAGCCCTAGACCCTAAAAGGTCAAAAGGCCGTCTTATTCTCAAAATACATTTTATTACCCAATCTGCTCCTGACATTAAATAAAACTCCAAAAATTAAATTCTGGCCCTCAAACCCCACAACAGGATTTAATTAACCTCGCCTTCAAGGTGTACAATAATAGAAAAAATTTGCAATTCCTTGCCTTCACTGTGAGACAAACCCCAGCCACATCTCCAGCACACAAGAACTTCCAAACGCCTGAAACGCAGTGGCCAGGCATTCCTCCAGAACCTCCTCCCACAGAGCTTGCTACACGTGCTGGAAATCTGGACACTGGGCCAAGGAATGCCCACAGCCTGGGATTCCTCCTAAGCCGTGTCCCATCTGTGCGGGACCCCACTGGAAATCGGACTGTTCAACTCACCTGGCAGCCACTCCCAGAGCCCCTGGAACTCTGGCCCAAGGCTCTCTGACTGACTCCTTCCCAGATCTTCTCAGCTTAGCAGCTGAAGACTGACACTGCCTAATCTCCTCGGAAGCCCCCTAGACCATCATGGACGCCGAGCTTCAGGTAACTCTCACAGTGGAAGGTAAGCCCATCCCCTTCTTAATCAATATGGAGGGTACCCACTCCACATTACCTCCTTTTCAAAGGCCTGTTTCCCCTGCCTCCGTAACTGTTGTGGGTATTGATGGCTAGGCTTCTAAACCTCTTAAAACTCCCCAACTCTGGTGCCAACTTAGACAATACTCTTTTAAGCACTCCTTTTTAGTTACCCCCACCTGCCCAGTTCCCTTATTAGGCTGAGACACTTTAACTAAATTATCTGCTTCCCTGACTATTCCTGGACTACAGCTATATCTCATTGCCACCCTTCTTCCCAATCCAAAGCCTCCTTTGTGTCCTCCTCTTGTATCCCCCGACCTTAACCCACAAGTATAAGATACCTCTACTCCCTCCTTGGTGACCAATCATGCACCCCTTACCATTTCATTAAAACCTAATCACCCTTACCCCACTCAACGCCAATATCCCATCCCGCAGCACGCTTTAAAAAGATTAAAGCCTGTTATCACTCACCTGCTACAGCATGGCCTTTTAAAGCCTATAAACTCTCCTTACAATTCCCCCATTTTACCTGTCCTAAAACCAGACAAGCCTTACAAGTTAGTTCAGGATCTGCGCCTTATCAACCAAATTGTTTTGCCTATCCACCCCGTGGTGCCAAACCCATATACTCTCCTATCCTCAATACCTGCCTCTACAACCCATTATTCTGTTCTAGATCTCAAACATGCTTTCTTCACTATTCCTTTGCACCCTTAATCACAGCCTCTCTTCGCTTTCACTTGGACTGACCCTGACACCCATCAAGCTCAGCAAATTACCTAGGCTGTACTGCCACAAAGCTTCACAGACAGCCCCCATTACTTCAATCAAGCCCAAATTTCTTCCTCATCTGTTACCTATCTCAGCATAATTCTCATAAAAGCACACATGCTCTCCCTGCCAATCGTGTCTGACTGATCTCTCAAACCCCAACCCCTTCTACAAAACAACTCCTTTCATTCCTGGGCATGGTTGGATACTTTCGCCTTTGGATACCTGGTTTTGCCATCCTAACAAAACCATTATATAAACTCACAAAAGAAAACCTAGCTGATCCCATAGATCCTAAATCCTTTTCCCACTCCTCTTTCTGTTCCTTGAAGACAGCTTTAGAAACTGCCCCCACTCTAGCTCTCCCTGACTCATCCCAACCCTTTTCATTACACACAGCCGAAGTGCAGGGCTGTGCAGTCAGAATTCTTACATAAGGACCAGGATCGCATCCTGTAGCCTTTTTGTCCAAACAACTTGACCTTACAGTTTTAGGCTGGCCATCATGTCTCCGTGCAGCTGCTGCTGCTTCCCTAATACTTTTGGAGGCCCTCAAAATCACAAACTATGCTCAACTCACTCTCTACAGTTCTCAACTTCCAAAATCTATTTTCTTCCTCATACCTGATGCATATACTTTCTGCTCCCTGGCTCCTTCAGCTGTACTCACTCTTTGTTGAGTCTCCCACAATTACCGTTGTTCCTGGCCCAGACTTCAATCTGGCCTCCCACATTATTCCTGATACCACACCCGACCCCCATGACTGCATCTCTCTGATCCACCTGACATTCACCCCATTTCCCCAAATTTCCTTCTTTCCTGTTCCTCACCCTGATCACACTTGATTTATTGATGGTGGTTCCACCAGGCCTAATCGCCACACGCCAGCAAAGGTAGGCTATGCTATAGTACAAGCCACTAGCCTGCCTCTTAGAACCTCTCATTTCCTTTCCATTGTGGAAATCTATCCTCAAGGTAATAACTTCTCAGTGTTCCATCTGCTGTTCTACTACTCCTCAGGGATTATTCAGGCCCCCTCCCTTCCCTACACATCAAGCTCGAGGATTTGCCCCACCCAGGACTGGCAAATTAGCTTTATTCAACATGCCCTGAGTCAGATAACTAAAATACCTCTTAGTCTAGGTAGATACTTTCACTGGATAGGTAGAGGCCTCTCCTACAGGGTCTGAGAAGGCCACCGCAGTCATTTCTTCCCTTCTGTCAGACATAATTCCTCAGTTTAGCCTTCCCACCTCAATACAGTCTGATAACAGATGAGCCTTTATTAGTCAAATCAGCCAAGCAGTTTTTCAGGCTCTTAGTGTTCAGTGAAACCTTTATGTCCCTTACGGTCCTCCGTCTTCAAGAAAGGTAGAATGAACTAAAGGTCTTTTAAGAACACACCTCACCAAGCTCAGCCACCAACTTAAAAAGGACTGGACAATACTTTTATCACTTTCCCTTCTCAGAATTCAGGCCTGTCCTCGGAATGCTACAGGGTACAACCCATTTAAGCTCCTGTATAGACGCTCCTTTTTATTAGGCCCCAGTCTCATTCCAGACACCAGACCAACTTAGACTGTGCCCCAAAAAACCTGTCATCCCTACTATCTTCTGTCTAGTCATACTCCTATTTACCATTCTCAACTACTCATACAGGCCCTGCTCCTGTTTACACTGCTGGTTTACACTGTTTTTCCAAGCCATCACAGCTGATATCTCCTGGTGCTATCCCCAGACTGCCACTCTTAACTCTTGAAGTAAATAAATAATCTTTTCTGGCAGGACTATGCTGAATCTCCTTAAGCACTCTCTAATCAGATATCCTGAGTAGTCCCAATTCTTAGACCTTTTATACCTGTTTTTCTCCTTCTGTTATTCCATTTAGTTTCTCAATTCATCCAAAACCGTATCCAGGCCATCACCAATCATTCTATACGACAAATGTTTCTTCTAACATCCCCACAATATCACCCCTTACCACAAGACCTCCCTTCAGCTTAATCTCTCCCACTCTAGGCTCCCACGCCGCCCCTAATCCCGCTTGAAGCAGCCCTGAGAAACATCGCCCATTCTCTCTCCATACCATCCCCCAAAAATTTTTGCCACACCAACACTTCAACACTATTTCATTTTATTTTTCTTATTAATATAAGAAGTCAGGAATGTCAGGCCTCTGAGCCCAAGCCAAGCCATCGCATCCCCTGTGACTTGCACGTATATACCCAGATGGCCTGAAGTAACTGAAGAATCACAAAAGAAGTGAATATGCCCTGCCCCACCTTAACTGATGACATTCCACCACAAAAAAAGTATAAATGGTCGGTCCTTGCCTTAAGTGATGGCATTACCTTGTGAAAGTCCTTTTCCTGGCTCATCCTGGCTCAAAAACACCCCCACTGAGCACCTTGCGACCCCCACTCCTGCCCGCCAGAGAACAAACCCCCTTTGACTGTGATTTTCCTTTACCTACTCAAATCCTATAAAAGGGCCCCACCCTTATCTCCCTTCGCTGACTCTCTTTTCAGACTCAGCCCGCCTGCACCCAGGTGAAATAAACAGACATGTTGCTCACACAAAGCCTGTTTGGTGGGCTTTTCACACGGACGCGCATGAAAGTAATTGTCTTGATTTCTGGAAGTTCCAAGCTTCTTTTCTCCTGACTGATGATACCAATTTCTAGTTCATGTATTAAACTTGAAGTAAAGAAGATAATGTAGCACAGTCATTCAGCTCATCTCCTAAGATGTCAGTAGGGGCTTATCCTCGTCCCTCCCATTTCCAAATAACCATGTAGCTCTGATTTTATTAACTAAATATCATATTTCCCAAATCTATTTCCTCCTCTCTGTTCCTATCACCATTCTCATTATCATTCACATGCTTACTGCAAATGTTCTGAAGGCTTTTAGTCTTGTCCATTTCAAGCCATTCTCCATATCCCTTCCAGAATTATCTGCCTATAGTCCAACATTTAACTATTGGACTCTACCACTGATTGCTCATCAATGACTCTAAATTGGCTACAAGTTCAGGAAAAGGTTGTAATATATGTTGTAGGATCTACCTAATCTGGCCTTGCCTATTGCTAGCCTTATTCCTACCTGCTCTCTGCCTCGAGTGATACACACCAACAGGTGATTCTATGTATAATTCTTTGCACAAACTTTATTGTTTCTTGCCTCTTTGCCACTGTTTATACTATTCTTCTTCTTGGAACACCTTTCACCTTAATATGTAATCTATGAAAGATCTGGAACTTATTTAAATTTTTTTTTTTTTTTGCAGTTGCAAGATTTAATAGAGTGAAATAGAGTGAAAACAGAGCTCCCATACAAGGGAAGGGGACCCAAAGGGGGTTGCCATTGCCAGCTCGAATGCCTGGTTTTATATCCCGTTCCTTGTCCCTCCCGCTGTGCTCTCAGGCAATAGATGATTGGCTATTATTTACCTCCTGTTTTTGCCTAATTAGCATTTTAGTGAGCTCTCTGATTGGTTGGGTGTGAGCTAAGTTGCGAGCCCCGTGTTTAAAGGTGGATGCGGTCACCTTCCCAGCTAGGCTTAGGGATTCTTAGTTGGCCTAGGAAATCCAGCTAGTCCTATCTCTCAGTCCCCCCTCTCAACAGGAAGATCCAAGTGCTGTTGGGGAGGTTGGCCAATGACTGCTCTAACTGCTTCCTGCTGAATTGGGGCATAGTAGGGGTTGGGCAGTTGAGATTTCCTTGGGAGGGGTGCCTTTGATGTCATTAACATCGGATCATGGGCTAGCAGGCCAGTCCAGGGGTCTGTGGTGGATCTTAGTCATGGACTGCATCTGGGGCTCCATTTGAAGACCCATTTGTAGTTTTACCATTTTGATTCTGGAAGAGACAAACTTAACAAGGAGGTTAAAGATACAGGGATTGAAATGTATGGCCTGCAGTATAGGGGATTATTTCTTTGGCACACTTCACAGGCCCTGACTATCTATCTGCTTGATAGTTTTGAAAAGGCCTGGACCAGTAAATAATAATTTGGCCATCTGATGGGTGCTATCAATGCCTAATGGAAGGTTTGGTGAAGGGTTTTAAGTAATTTCTATTAGTTAGCTGCAAGCAAAAGTATTTTTCCTTCTTTGGTGGCTAGCCATCTGGAGGGGAGGGAAGTTTGTTCTCGTGAGGTTCCCTATTCTATTTTTCCTGCTGAGTACTGGGGTTTGGTTTCCCGGAGGGGATTACCCTATACTAGGGGCCCTTCTATAAGCATTTCTAATGAAGGGTCCTGCCTTGTGGCTTTTTTGACTTCAATATCCGCTTGGCGGTTCCCTTCTATTTTCCTTTCTTTCCTTTTTGATGACCCTGGCAGTGTAAGACTATCACCTCTTTAGGTTTCTGTACAGCCAATAATAATCTCCTAATGGCTTCCTGATGTTTGATAGGTATTCCCTCAGAAGTTAGGAATTCCCTTTCTCTCCATATTGCTGCATGGGCATGGAGGACTAGGTAAGCATACTTAGAGTCTTTATATATATTTACCCTTTTTCCTTCTCCTAATTCTAGTGCCCAAATTAGGGCTATTAGTTCTGCCAGCTGAGCACTAGTTCCTGGAGTGAGGGGATTACCTTAAGTATTCCATTATCACTGACCACTGCATACCCCACTTTTTGAAGTCCTTTTTCTACAAAGGAACTTCCATCAGTATACAAGTTGAGGTCAGGATCAGTCAAGGGAACCTCTAAAAGGTCCCCTCTAGTGGCACAGGTTTGAGTAATTACTTGTTGACAGTTATGTTCTATCTTTTCTTCATTGTCTGAAAGAAATGTGGCTGGGTTAAGAGTTGCACAAGTGTGCAGTTGCCACACTGGCCCTTCAAGTAATAGAGCCTGATATTTAAGTAAATGGTTGTCTGACAGCCACAAGTCTCCTTTAGTAGTGAGCATGCCGTTCACATCATGAGATGTCCACACAGTAAGATTTCTTCCCTGTATTATTTTAACTGCTTCAGATACTAAGACTGCTGCTGCAGCAACTACCTGTAAACAATGAGGCCAACCCTTTGTCACTACATCTATTTCCTTACTCAGGTATGCCACAGGTTGCAAGCTCGTCCCTTGGACTTGTGTAAGAACTCCTAGAGCTATTCCTGTTTTTTTTCTGTGACATATAAAGAAAAGTCTTGCCCCGTTGGCAAGCTTAACACTGGGGTTTGGGTTAGGGCCTTCTTTAAGGCCTGGAAAGCTGCTTCTGCTTCAGGTGTCTGTCTTACTAAATGGGTATTCGCTTTTTGAGTTTCCTTAATTAGTGTGTATAATGGCCTGGCTATTTCACCGTACCTGGGAATCCATATTTGGCAGAAGCCTGTTATGCCAAGGAATTCTCTTAGTTGCTTTAGGGTTTTGGGATGAGAATAAGCCAGTATTGGCTGGATGCATTCCTCACTGAGGGCCCTGGTGCCTTTGGATAATTTTAGCCCTAAGTATTTAACCTGCTGTGAGCAGAGCTGAGCCTTTCATTTGGAAACCTTGTAACCACAGGTAGCGAGGAAATTTAAGAGTGCTTGGGTGGCTTGATGGCACAAGGTTTCTGAACGGGTGGCCAAAATTAAATCATCCCCATACTGAAGGACAAGATTGTCCAGGTATGAGAACTGGCTCAAGTCTTGGGCTAATGCCTGGCCAAATAGATGGGGGCTATCCTTGAACCCTTGGGGTAAAACAGTCCAGGTGACTTGAGATGTTGGGTTCAAAGGATCTTCAAAGGCAAACAAGAAGTGAGAGTCAGGATGTACAGGGATACAGAAAAAAGCACCCTTAAGGTCTAGGACTGTAAACCACTTTGCTGCCTCTGGTATTTGGGAAAGCAGAGTATAAGGGTTAGGTACAGCTAGGTATAGAGGAACAACAGCCTCATTGATAATCCTGAGATCTTGCACTAACCTCCACTGTCTGTTGGGTCTCTGTAATAATAAAATTGGAGTATTGCAGGGGCTATTGCATGCTTTTACTAGGCCTTGGGCTTTTACGTCCTTAACAATCTTTTGGAGTCCTTGTTGTGCCTCGGATCTGAGGGGCTACTGCCTTTGGTAGGGAAAGGAGGTGGAATTCTTTAACTTGAACAGGACGGGTATTTTTTGCTTGTCTATATTGTCCTTCTGTTGCCTAGACTTTAGGATTAATTCCTTCCTCAAGCAGGGGACAACAAACAGGTGTTCCTTCTCCTATGTTCAGGTGTATAATGGCCCCTGCTTTTGCTAGAATGTCTCTCCCTAACAAGGGAGTGGGGCTTTCAGGCATAATTAGAAAAGCATGTGAAAAGAGTAAAGCTCCCCAGTCACAGCTTAGTGGCTGGGAGAAGTATCTCGTGACTGGCTGTTCTAGGACCCCTTGGATAGTGACAGATCTGGAGGACAGTTGTCCAGAACAGGAGAGTAAGACTGAGAAGGCCGCACCAGTGTCCAGGAGACAGTTAGCCTCTATGGTCAAGCATACCCGGGGCTCTGTGAGGGTGATGGCATGGGCTGGCGCTTGCCTCGGGCACCCTCAGTCCTGCTGCTGGATCATCTGGTTAGTGGCTTCTGACTCAGAGGACCTTCATTCCCTGGGGCAGTGGGCCTTCCAGTGATTCTCTTGACATAAGGGGCATGGACTAGGGGGCAGCTTACTTCTACTTGGACAATCTTTTTTAAAGTATCCTTGTAGACCACACTGGAAGCAAGCCCTATTAGGCATTCAATTTGCCCAGCTTTTCCCTTTTCCAGAGCCTCCAAAGTCTGCTTGCCTGAGGGCCATGACTAAAGCAGTGGCCTTTTTTTTAATCCCATTTGTCCCGTTCCACCTGCTCCTCCTCGTGTCTATTAAAAAAACCAAGGTTGCCAAGTTCAATAGGGTTTCTAAGTTTTGCTCCAGGCCTAAGGTGGACTTTTGAAGTTTTTTTCTAATGTCTGCAGTTGACTGAGTGATAAACTTATCCTTTAAGATTAGTTGGCCTTCAACAGAGTCAGGTGACAGAGAGGTATGCTTCCTCAATACCCCCCTTAGTCTCTCCGGAAAGGCAGTAGGATTTTCTTCCTTTACTTGTGTTAAAGTGGACATCATTGAATAATTCATAGTCTTCTTCCTAGTTTTCCTTAGTCCTTCTAGTACGCAAATTAGCAAATGTCTGCAGCACCAATCTCCATGTTCTGATTCTGTGTCCCAATGAGGGTCTACACTGCGTTGAAGGGGGGTTCTTATTAGTTGGGGTCATGGGGGCTGGGGTAGGGAGGTAGACTCTGAGGGCTTTCTGTAGGGCATAAATCACACGTTTTACATAATTACGAGTTGTCTCTTAATGAAAAAAAGTTTGTACATATGGTGCTTCACTCCATTTGCCTTTTTTTTTTTTTTTTTTTTTTTTTTTTACAAAAAAGGTCTAGCTGTAAGATGCTGTTATAATTTATACTTCCCCAGGAGGCCAGGTTTCTCCCCCTTGAAGAGGATATCATGGCCAGGTAGTACTGCAGAAGAATATGTCATTTCTTTCTTAGCATCTGAGGGTCAAATTGGTCCCAGTTCTCCAGAATACGTTAGGGGTTTTTTTGCCTTGGGGGGAATGTTTCCCCTCTGAAAAAAGAAAATAGGGATGCCAGCACCCCTAGTCATTTTCCCATGAGCATTAGTCCTAGAGTGTCCCCTATGGTCCTAATGCTTATTCTTTTCCAGGGTGTGTAACCACCCATGGACCTCTGCTTATCGGATTAGTTACACTCACCGATGTAGCAGTCCTGCACCTGTTTTCCCGCCTCTCTTGACCACAGAGAAAGGGGTCCGGGCTGCTGGATTCTAGTGGTCCTTTACCGGCATGCCCAACATTGCCTTTGTGCTCAGAGGTGAGTTCCTTTCCAGGGTGCGTAACCACCCACGGACCTCTGCTTATCGGATTAGTTATGCTGGCCAATGTAGCAGTCCTGCACCTGTTTTCCTGCCTCTTTTGACCACTAAGAAAGGTGTCTGGGCACCCTCTGGATTCTAGTGGTCCTTTACCAGCGTGCCCAACATTGCCTTTGCACTCAGGGGTGAGTCCTAGAGCTGGGCTGGGTTCCTGAGTATTTCATAACAACCCAGCCACCCCATCAAGATGCATTCCTATAAAAGCAGTTCTTATGCAAATTCATTTCAGAGAGGGTGTAGGTAACTTTTTGAGTCAGGATTGAGATAGTCTTTTTGATTCTGTAAGTACTTTAAGGCTTGGCTGAGTGCAAACAGCTCGCACATTTGAGGAGACCAGTTATTAGGCAAATTTTCTAACTCTGCTTCCACAAGAGTCTCCTATCAATTACTGATTACCCATTGTGGTTTTTTCCTCAATCACCTAGGAGGAACCATCTAACCTCCTGTCCTGAAGGGAGTTCCTCCTAGCTCTGGTTGGACCTTTGTATGGTAATTAAGTCTTAAATCCCCGGTTAGGAAATCTGCTGGGTTAAGGGAATTATCAGTGGTTGGAGTTACATTACCCTTTTCTAACAGAATAGCCCAATACTTTAAGGTTTTTGAGTTAGTAAGCTACCTTTTTGCTTTTTTTTTTTTGACTTGGAATAACTCTGAACTGGTGAGGTGTGCTCACAACCAGGTTTCCTCTAAAAGTTACTTTTCTACTTTTAGTAAAGCAGTTGTCACTACAGACTGAATGCATTTGGCCCATCCATGGGTTACTGGGTTCAGGATTTGCTACACCCTTATTTACACTGACAACAAAGTGGCAATTATCAATTACAAGTTTTAAATTTACCCTGGCTTTTAAAGGAATACGCACACTTTTTTTTTTTTTAACTATTTCTATCTTTTCCTTTCTTTTTCTCCTTGACTCCCTCTTTGTCTCTCTCTCCATCTCTGTCTCTCTGTCTTTCTTAGCCATTACAAACTTGGGGCCCTGGCAAGGGTGGTGGGGAATGGATCCCACGTAACTGCCCATGTCGAGAGCCGTATACCTAAATCGGGAGGGATACCAGGGGTAAGACTCCCTGGGTTACAGCCTATGTGCCTAAGGACGCAGTGTAGAGCTTCCTTAGATCCCTTTGCAGATACAACTTGCTAGAGGAAATGAAAGTCTGAACCATTAGTACCTAGGAGGCAGGGATCAGAGGAAGCAGATTCAGAGGTAAGGAGAATTTTGGGGCTACACTTTCAAGAAAGTCGTGGTCAGGACCCAGGAGGTATGGGTCAGGAGGAAAGGTAGGGGCGCACGCATGGGCGACTGTTGAGTAGAGACTTCTGGCTGCGCCACGATCTTAACCGGCTACTGCAGGGAGTTCAGGACAACAGCTTTCTGCCTCTAGCTGGCCCTCAGCTTCCCCAAGAAAATCAAAGGTGGAAGCTGGCTCCAGGCAGACCAATGTCCCCGGTAGAAGGGTTGGGGGTTGTTAGGAAGCCCTTCCCCAGATAGCCTCACACCGAGTCTTTAGTCCGGCGGCCATGCTTATCATTTTTAACTGGCCGACAAGTGCCCGGTGTTTTCCTCCAGTTCTAAGGAAGGATAGGACAGAATAGCAAGCGAAAGTGGTCCAATATTACTCACCACTTGGGATGTCCCTTCGTGGTCGCCAAAATGTTACCAGGGGTCCTTGCTCCCAGAGCTCCCAAGATGGTGGTTGGCCACTTCCAAAATGGCGGTGGGCCACTTCCAAGATGGTGGCAAGCCTCGTGTTCTCTGACCTGGGGTTCTTGGCCTCACGGATTCCAAGGAATGGAATCTTGGGCCATGCAGTGCTTGTTATAGCTCTATTAGAAGTTGTGGGTCATGGAAGAGAACCATGGAACCCAGTGACTAGTGTTCAGCTCGATTAGGACGAACCCAGGCACTTAGCCATGCAGGAACATTGGCAAGCCCTTAGCCCAATCGGGAGTGGCAACGGGCGCCTCACTGGATCAGGAGCACAGCGGACACCCTGCTGGATGCGGAGGGATGGAGGTCAGTGGTGGGTCTGCCATGGTGGCAAAACAGCAGTGGTGGACAGCGAGCGAAAGCTCAGCTCAAGCCGTAACAAACATGGATCATAAGAGTGCAGTTGCAAGATTTAATAGAGTGAAATAGAGTGAAAACAGAGCTCCCGTACAAGGGGAGAGGACCCAAAGGGGGTTTCTCTTATTTAAAATTTTCAAGAATTATCTTCTACAAATTTCTCTTGGTAGCCATAACCTCCAAGTTTGGATTAGCTATTTGACCATTCTACTTCTATAATATTCTGTGCTGATCTTTATCATTACATTTTCCAGAAGTGTAGTACAATCATCTTTCTATTATTGTTTCCCTCATTCTGTTTAGACTGATGGAATCTCAAGGTTATACACTTCATTTTACTTCCCTTATATTCAAAGTGCCTAGAATAAAGTTTGGCACGTGACAAGTACCCAATAAATGCTTATAGAATGAAGAAATGAATACACGAGTGTTTAAAGTGCCAGTTAACCACTTGGGAAATCAATTTCTTCACATCTTTATGAATTCCTCTTAACTAGAACACATTAAAAAGAGTGACATTTAGATATCTGGAACAAGGCAATAGAATGTACTGATTTCTAATTTATAGAACAGCCTCCTACTATAACATAAGGCAGCAATTATATTTAAGTACGTATAATAACGTAGAATGACATCAATAATCTACATTTGTACAATAAATTTAATTTTTTTCTAATATACTAGATCATCAGCCAGAATTTTAATGCTTACTTTGGATAAAATTGTTAATCTACCTAAAATTAACTACCTGCTTAATTACCTAAAAGATCTGAAACTTTTCCTTGACTTTAAATCAATTTCTATTGGAATATATTGTGTTGATTTCAGAAAATGGTTTAGTTTTTTGTTTATTTTTGGTAAAGCAAAGAAAACAAACAGAAACTAATTGTGTAGAAATACAAGATTAAATGTGCTCCTAGTTCAGAAGTTTCTGAGCCACTCCCCCAAAATTGTGCTATTCAAGGTTAAATTATTTATAAAGAAGAGAATTATTGCAAGTAATTTTTAAAGGTGGAAATTAGATGTAACATGTACTGTGTTAATTACATCTAAAAATATTCCAAGGATTTTTCTTTTAACACATAAACATCTGTTGGCATATGCATAGATTCTCTTGGATTCCACAGTAAATTAAATGTTTTCCTTGAAAAGGGTCTAGAATAATGCAATAGACTACTAAGGTAATTTTTTAAAAAATGTTAATATCTGCCAGCAAATTGCTTTGGTATTTATCAATGCTTTAGCATTTGTATTTTTTGTCTCGACATCAATATTTATTCTTATGACCTCTAAATGAAAGATACAGACTATCAATAAAAAATTATTTAAAATCTAACTTTAATATCGACCATCCACACACTGACCAAAATTATTTTATGGTGCTAATGCCTGTAGACCAGATTCTTTCAAAGAGTTATATGGCATTAACATAACTATAACTATATAATTATCTGTCTTCTCAATTGCTGTATATTGAAAAGTAGTTTACTAAGAAACCATCTATAATGTCAGAGCAATAGATTATGTTGCAGTCAATTGTCATAACATATAATATAGTTGTTCTTCAAACAACTCTTATTTACTATTGCCAGGCACTGTGCTAAACAGTAAAGGAAGATAAATAATTAGAATGTGATCCTTGCTCAAAGAAACTCAGTTTTGCAGACCAATAGATTTAGAAGAAATAATTTTGAAGAATATTAATTTTAATTCAGCCAATACAGCCTAAGCATTTAGAGCAATTACAATAATAAAGGTAACCGTATAATAGTGGGAGAAAGAAAGAAGCACAAAAATCTATACTACCATTTATTTTTAGAATGTAAAAATATTTCAAAAGTTTATCTTTAATCAAATATGTAACAAAAATGATCGATTGTACTGTGTATCAGTTTGGTGGGAATAACCTTACTATTTGTGAGGCAGGCATACTTAAATGTAAGTGAAATAGACATATCTGTGTAGTGCTATTTGACAAACCCCTGTCCTCTTTGTTGGACCCCCAAATTCCTGAGTTTCAGCCTTAAAGATATATTCCCCTAGGACAAACATTGCTACTTCAGCTGAACTTTTGTAAACTACATACACAAAAGGGAGAAGGAGAGAAGGAGCATTACAAATTTGTCTTCCAATATTTTTTTCTGTTTTATTGAGATGTAAATGATTTTCCTTCGTTGTTGAATATAGAGGTTGGCCGTACTCCCTGAGAGTAGTTTATTAATGGTAAAAGTAGGAATAGACTACCAGTTCTGTATGAATTGATTATCCTACCTCATGGAGAAGGCACAGTATCTTTGTACCAATTGTTGGGTTTCAATGTTAAGAAATTGTTGATTTAGACAACATATTGAAGCTCTGATATAAATTTTTAGGCTCTTACTACCTAAGCTGGCATCATGCATCTAAATGTGGGGAAATTGTTTATTTCTTCCTTTCTTGTATTTACATGGAAATATTTGAGAAAACTTTGGAAAAGCTGAATTGGAGTTTAACAGGCAGAAGTCATTTTGAACTGGAGGTAATTGATTTGATTTTGCACACTAACAATTTTACTTGTTATTCAGTTTATCCATATCCTTATGCCTTTTTTCTGCAATTGATAGAGATGCTGAAATTTCCTATTGATTGTTGATAAGTCTATTTCAATTTTATTTCTGTTCATTTTATGAAGCTATCTTTTTAAGTACATGAAATTTTAAATTATTGTATTTTCTTGAGGGATTTAATCTTCTATCATTATGTAGCATCCCTGTTTATCTCTGGTAATGCTTCCTTGTTATAGGCTACATTTTATAGTATAGTTACACCAGATTTTTAGAGGTCAGTTTTTCTATAATATATCTTTTCTATCTTTTCACTTTCAATTTTTTTGTTTTTGCTTGTAAGAAACATAGAGTGGATAGCTTTAAAATTAATATGACAATTTTTTCTTTTAATTATATGTTCCATTTACATTTAATGCAGTTACTGATCTATTTTAATTTATATCTACCATCTTGCTATTTTTTACCACATATCTTTTCTGTCTTGCCATCTATAGAAATAATCAACTTTCCATTTTAGCCTAATTTGTTATTTATATTTTTTACTATACATTTAGTGAATATACAAAGAATACCAGTATCATCCTTGACTTATCACAGTCTAATAAAAAATTAGTACTAGTTTATAACATACTTTGCAAACAATGCTAAGACCTTAATGCTTCTATTTTATTTATGAATTCTCACCTTTTGAGTTACTGTAGTCAGGCATTTTAATTTTATATATACCTGAAAATACATATGACATTATCATGCTTGGGTTTTAAAAAATCTTAATACTTACTTTTGCCCATATTTTTGTATTTCTGTTGTCCATTATGTACTTTCTATATTTCTGTGATGCTACCTGGGGTCACTTTCTATTGTCTGAAATGCTCCCTTTAGTATTTTATTTTAATGCAGCTTTCCTAGTGACAAATTCTCTTAGTTATTTGCCTAGAAATGTTATTAATTTGCCCTCTTTTACAAAACACTATGTTTGCTTAGTATAAAATTTTGGGTTGACAGCTACATTTTCAGCAATTTAAAGATGCCATTCCATTGCATTGTAGCTTCCATTATTTATGTTGACAAGTGAACCATAAGTCTATTGTGGCTTAAAGTCTTTTTATTTTACCTGCTTATAACTGTTGATTCTGTAAATTTGAGAAAAATCTTAGCCATCATCTATTCAAGTAATACTTCTACATCATTCTTCACTCTCTTCCTTGAAGATATCCAGTTATATGCATTTTGACATGTATTTCCTGTGCCATTGTGTCTTATATTCTTTTCTGTTTATTTCTCTCTGCATGCATCAATCTAGTTATTTTCTATAACTCCACAATCTAAATAAGCACTGTCCAATAGAAATACAATGCAAGCAACATATGAGTTCTCTATTAGCTACATTCTAAAAAGTAAAAAGGAAATATTAATTTTAACCATATATTTTATTTAACTCAAAGTGGTACAATTTTAATATGTAATCAATATTAAGATGTTAATGAGGTAGTTTACTTCTTAACTTAGTTTTTGAACTCCTATCTGTATTTTACACTGACAGCACATCTTATTTTATAATAGCCATTTTCCAAATGCTCAGGAGTCTAGTGTTTACCATTTTCACAGTAATCTCATTAAGTATTCTCTGCTATTTAATTCTTACTTCCAATAATTATATTGTCATATATGTAATTTCTATTTGATTATTTTAAAAGTCTTTCAAATTCCTAAAAAAAATCCATCTCACCATCTATTTTCTTAAATATAATAATCACAGCTACTTAAAAATGCTTATCTGATAACTTACAAAGATCACCTGTATATCTGTTTCTATTATGCATTTTGTTTCCTTTGGTTCATCTTCTTTGTATGCCTGGTGACTTTTTACTGATTTTCAGATGATGTATATGAGAATTGTAGAAATTTTCTCTGAAGTACATTTCCCTTATCCTCTGTAAGGTGGCTAGAACAGGAGGATCTCTTCTCAATGTCATCAGGTTTGGGGTTGCAGTTCATTTTCAGTTTTAAAGATGCTGAAGATGTTGGGTTTATCTGCTACTTCTAATGTGTAGTCTTCTGGGAATTGGAAGAGAGAATGGCTGGGATATTTACCAGGATCTTCAACTTTGGTAGGGCCAGAGCTCCAGCTTTTTCTTCTTGGCACTGTAAGTCTTCCAAGAGTTCTTCTGAGTTTTCTGACTATTTCTTCATAGCTTTACATACTATTGGCCTGTACAGTTTAATAATTTACAGAAATATTGAAGAAACAACTCAGAAAGTTAGGCTCACTTTTACATGCTCCCTTTCTCTCCAAAGTCTTAGTTCTAGTGGCCAACACTAATTTCTATCTCCTTTGTCCCTAATCAGTAAAATCACAGAAGTCTCTGCTATTTCCTCTGTCTTGTATTGGGTTTCCTCTCCCCAACTTTTTAGACTGTCACGATTTATAACTTAAGACATAACCAGTGACAAGGAGACATTGGGCTCACATCAGTGAAATTACCTTCTTACTGAATTCATGGCCTTTTAATTTCTGAATGCCTTTGAAACTCTCCAGGCTGTTCACACAATTGTTGCTGTTGTTTTTCAGTTGTTCTTAATGTGAGTGCTGGTTTGTTACAAACTACTCTCTTATAGCTGAAAGCAGATGTTCAAAAAATACATTTTTCACTTTATATTGATTCATGTCTTGGGAATTTCAACTAAGTGGATATTTTTGTAAATCATAAGAGTAAGCTTTTTGCTGTTTTGATTAAATTGTATTATAATTTCTAATATTATTGTATTGTGTTCAGAGAATGTGACTATTACAAATCTTACATCAGGGAATTATCAAGTCTTGAAAAATAAAGCCTTTCCATCTTCAGAAAAGGTAAGGAAACAATTTGGTGTTGGAAAATATAAATTTCAGGTGTAGTGAGAGATACTTGAGTTCTCACGGGATGGCTTTTATTTTCTGCAGAAAATGTGAAGCAATAATATTCTCTACAAGTTATGGCAGTGTGTTATTCTATTGCTCTGCAGCAAATTGTCACAAGCCACTTAAAACATCACACATGTAATACGTCAAAGTTTCTCTGAGGCAGGAGTCTGGGCATGGCTTAGCTGGGCCCTCTACTTAAGAACTCACTAGGCTGAAAGCAAGGTGTCAGTCAAGACTGTGTTCTCATATGGAGACTTGCCTGGGAGGGCTCTTCTTCTAATTTCATTCAAGTAGCTAGTAAGTTAATTTCATTACATTTTTAGAGCTCATCAATAGTGATGTGAGCAGCAATAATATTCTCTACAAGTTATGGCAGTGTATTATTCTATTGCTCTGCAGCAAATTATCACAAGCCATTTAAAACATCACACATATATTATGTCAAAGTTTCTCTCAGGCAGGAGTCTGGGCAAAGCTTATCTGGGCCCTCTACTTAAGAACTCACTAGGCTAAAAGCAAGGTATCAGTCAGACTGTGTTCTCATATGGAGACTTGCCTGGGATGGCTCTTCTAATTTCATTCAAGTAGCTAGTAAATTAATGTCATTATATTTGTAGAGCTCATCAATAGTTGCATCTTCTTCAAGGCAAGCAGGAAAATTTCTCTGACCTATACACTCTCATTTAATGGGCTCACCTGATTAAGTCAGACTCACTCGGGATAATTGCCCTCTTTCATTAACTTACAGTCAGCTGATTAGGGACTTGAATTACATTTGAAAAAAAACCCTCATCCTGAGCATATCCTACTGATTAGAAAAAATTACAGATCCTACTCACACTCAAAGGGATGCAATTATACAAGTATGTAGGTCATGAGGCCATCTTAGTAGTATTCTGATTATGACATGCAGGAGTTTTGAAAAGGGAAAGTTTTTGAATCAGTCACACTGAAGAATGTTAAAGAAAATTAACTATTTAGTATAATTTGAAGGCATTAGTTATAGCTTCATCTAAAGAAAACAAACACCCACTTATATGGTCATTGAAATGGGTTTTCTGGAAATGGTGCAAATTCACACATGAAGAGATGGGAAGGAATTTTGTCCTTTCACTTGAATTTAAATAAGCTTTTGACTTACTTGTAACCAATAGAATTTGGCAGAAGATATTGTGTAACTTCCAAGACTAGGTCAGATTAGATTATATAGATTCTGCTTTATTTCCAGAACATTCATTTTTGGAGTCCTGATCCCCTATGTAAAAAAAAAATCTAATTTCTCAGAATGTTCTATGCTATGAGGAAGCTGATATGGTTTGACTGTGTCCCCACCCAAATCTCATCTTGAATTGTAGCTCCCAGAATTCCCACATGTTGTGGGAGGGACCCGGTGGGAGATAATTGAATCATGGGGCAGTTTCCCCATACTATTCTTGTGGTACTGATTAAGTCTCATGAGACCTGATGGTTTCATATGGGATTTCTCCTTTCACTTGGCTCTCACTCTCTCTCATCTGCCACCATATAAGACATGTCTTTCACCTTCAACCATGATTGTAAGGTCTGCCCAGCCACAGTTCCACTTACAGTGAGTCCATTAAACCTTTTTCTTTATAAATTACTGAGTCTCAGGTATGTCTTTATCAGCAGTATGAAAACAGCCTAATACAGTAAATTGGTACCAGTAGAATGGGGCACTGCTGTAAAGATACCCGAAAATGTGGAAGTGACATTGGAACTGGGTAACACACAGAGGCTGGAACAGTTTGGAGGGCTCAGAAGAAGACAGGAAAATGTGGGAAAGTTTGGAGCTTCCAAGAAACTTGTTGTTGAATGGCTTTGAAAATGCTGATAATTATATGGACAATAAAATCCAGGCTGAGGTGGTCTCAGAGAGAGATGAGGAACTTATTGGGAACTGGACTAAAAGTGACTCCTGTTATGCTTTAGCAAAGACACTGGTGGCATTTCGCTTCTGCCCTAGAGATTTGTGGAACTTTGAACTTGAGGGAGATGATTTAGGGTATCTGGCAGAAGAAATTTCTAAGCAGCAAAACATTCAAAAGATGACTTGGGTGTTGTTAAAGATATTTGGTTTTACAAGAGAAACAGAGCATATAAGTTTGGAAAATTTGCAGCTTGATGATTTGATAGAAAAACCCATTTTCTGAGGAGAAATTCAAGCTAGCTGCAGAAATTTGCGTAAGTAGGGAGGAGCCAAATGTTACTCGCCAAGACAATGGGGAAAGTGTCTCCAGGGCATGTCAGAGACCTTTGGGGCAGCCCCCCCATTACAGGCTTGGAGGCCTAGGAGGAAGAAATGGTTTCATGGGCTGGGCCTAGGCACCCCTGCTGTGTGAAGCCCAGGGACTTGGTGCCCTGTGTCCCAGCCCCTCGACCCATGGCTTAAAGGGGACAAGGTACAGCTCAGGCTGTGGCTTCAGGAGGTGCAAGTCCCAAGCCTTGGCAGCTTCAGCGTGGTATTCATGGGTGCACAGAAGTCAAAAATTTGGTTTGGGAACATCCACCTACATGTCAGAGGATGTATGGAAATGCCTAGATGTGGAGGCAGAAGTTTGCTGCAGGGGTGGAGCCCTCATGGATAACCTCTGCTAGGACCATGCAGAAGGGAAATGTGGGGT
This sequence comes from Homo sapiens, assembly GCF_000001405.40. Lineage (NCBI taxonomy): Eukaryota > Metazoa > Chordata > Mammalia > Primates > Hominidae > Homo > Homo sapiens. The sequence continues at coordinate 191,650,808 of NC_000003.12, read as the reverse complement.
TGAAGGCCCACACAGAGTCCAGACTGGGGCACTGCCTAATGGAGCTATGAGAAGAGGGCCACCATCCTCCAGATCCCAGAATGGTGGATCCCCTGACGGCTTTCACAGTGTGCCTGGAAAAGCCACAGAAACTCAATGTCAGCCCATGAAAGCAGCCAGGAGGGAGACTTTACCCTGCAAAACCACAGGGATGAAGCTCCCCAAGACCATTGGAACCCACCTTTTACATCAGCATGACCTGAATGTGAGACATGGAGTCAAAGGAGATCATTTTGGAGCTTTAAGATTTGACTGCCCCACTGGATTTTGGACTTGCATGCAGCCTTTAGCCCCTTTGTTTTAGCCAATTTCTTTCTTTTGGAATGGGTATATTTACCCAATGCCTGTACCCCCATTGTATCTAGGAAGTAACTAACTTCGTTTTAATTTTCAGGCTCATAGGTGGAAGGGACTTGCCTCGTCTCAGATGAGACTTTGGATTGCAGACCTTTGAGTTAATACTGAGATGAGTTAAGACTTTGAGGGACTGTTGGGAAGGCATAATTGGTTTTGAAATGTGAGGGCATGAAGTCTGGGAGGGGCCATGGGCAGAATGAACTCTCATCTCGAATTGTAGCTCCCATAATTCCCACGTGTTGTGGGATAGACCTGATGAGAGATAATTTAATCATGGGTTGGTTTTGTAACACCTAAGGTTCTTGCTTATCCACACCAAAGAATTGTTTGTGGTGGCTGACAGTGCCGAGTGATAGAGACACGGACCAGGAGAAAAAGCTCTAGGCTTTATTGAGCAGAGTGAAAGTACAAAGTTTCCACAGTGTGGAAGGGGTCCCAAACGGGTAGCCAGAGTTAGATTATGGGATTGCCTTTTAAACTCTTTAAGGCAGGAAATATGTGTGGCAAGAAGATGTTACCAGAGCAAGAAACAAAGGCAATTAACCAGTTGTGACATGTCTTAGATCTTGAGGAAAACTGGAATTGCAGCTTAGGTTTTATCTACTTTATGACATTGCAACAGCATGGCAAAAGAGACAGGATCTCACAGGACTTTACAAAGTATGTTCACAAGGAATTGGAATTGGGAGGATAGATAAGGTCTGCTGGTCACAGAAAAATGGCAGTTAACATTCCTTTTAACTTTAGTTTTGGTGGAGAGGAAGGGAGAGAGGGAGAGAAAGACACAGGGAAACTTACAGCAAAATTTTTGTTGTTTATAGCTTTCTTAGCGAAGAAAATACATGCATAAATCCTGGTGCTAAGAATATTTTAAGCATATATCTTTAATATTATTCATCCAGGGCCGAAGTAAGTCCTGATGCAGGAAATGAGTGAGTTTCACTGCTTTCTGAGCCCCTACTCGACCCAGGAATCCCAGTTGGCATCTCCTCTAGTTTCCCTCATATCATTGTCATGGTAGGGAATAAGTCTCATGAGATCTGATGGTTTTATAAGGAGTTTCCCCTTTTATGTGGCTCTCTCTCTTTGCCGGCCACAATATTAGACATCCCTTTGTTCTCCTTTGCTCTTCTGCCATGATTGTGAGGCCACCCAAGCCATGTGGAACTTTTATTTATAAATTACCCAGTCTCGGGTATGTCTTTATCAGCAACATGAATATGGACTAACACAAAAGCCCAAATTACATGATGAAACCATGCATAGGTGCACTGGATGCCAGTGCCAGCCAAGGTCCCAGTCAATAGCCAGCATTAGTCACCAAATATCTGAGTGAAGATATCTTCAGATGATTCCAGTGCCCAGCAGCCAAATCACCCCTTAGCTGTCAAGTCTTTCCTGCTATGACTCTATCTATTAAGAAACAGAGACAAACTATCCCTGCTGGGCTCTGTATAAGTGTGTGATCCAGGAATTTATGAACACAATAAAATAGTGTCATTAAACTCCTGAACTGGCATAACCAGATATGCAGCAATAGTAACCTGAATAGGCATCAATTTGAAGATAGCTTGATTTTCTTCACACTATTCAGGAAGCTTTATCTAGTCAATACTGAATTGCCCAACATGGAGACTTATCTTTAGAAAAAGCAAGGAAGAATTTGTGGGGAAAATCATAATTTTTAGACGTTTTGCATTTGTTATTTAAAATTGTACTTTTTTAGTTTTATACGGTACAGTATGAGAGGAAGCATTAGTATTTCAACTTTAGTACCTCTAAAGACCTTAATCCAATTGAGAGTATATGAGGTATGAACCCCAAAAATCTGAGACAGGTCTCAGTCAATTTAGGAAGTTTATTTTGCCAAAGTTAAGTTTGCACGCCCATGACACAGCCTCAGGAGGTCCAAATGACATGTACCTAAGGTGGTCAGAGCACAGCTTGGTTTTATTCCTTTTACAGAGACATGAGACATCAATCAACATATGTAACATGAACATTGGTTCTATTCTGAAAGGTGGAACATCTAGAAGCAAAGGTAGGATAACTGGAAGTGGGAGGGGACTCCCAGGTCATAGGTAGATAAGAGACAAAAGGTTGCATTCTTTTGAGTTTCTGATTAGCCTTTCCAAAGGAGGCAATCAAATACGCATTTATCTCAGTGAGCGGAGGGTTGATGTTGAACAGAATGGGAGGGGCAAGTTTGCCTTAAGCAGTTCCCAGCTTGACTTTGCCCTTTAGCTTAGTGATCTGAGGTCCCCAAGACTTATTTTCCTTTTATAGAGGTAAGATGACAATGAGTAAATGTGTTGCATGTACAGGCAGTGGATGAACATGGAGTTGGCGATTTGAGCAAATGAATGACTGAAGTGATTGACATGGGAATCTAGGCTGAGCAATGATCTACTGACTTGGTCCAATGTGGTAGTTACTAGGTGGTGATAATGAGGATGGGTGGAAGACAGAAGACTTAGAGATCACAGTCCTCAAAGGAACAGTATTTCCAAAAGAGTAAAATAACAATAGCCTGGAAATAGCACTATGCTGTTAGGAAAAGGCAGCTCCACTTCCTTAGCCTGGTTTTCCTGGGGTGTCAAAGAAATGAGCAGCATCTGTTTGAATTAGATCCAATAGAAATAGTGTCCTTACAAGACAGCAAATTTTCAGTAAAGGACAAGAAGTAGCATCAGTAGTTAACATGGGGTCCAGAGGATACAATGGAAAGTTTGGAAAATAAGAGAATAGTGAGAGTTTGAGCCAAAGGAGAAGCAGCTTGAATATTATGGTGATAAGAATGTATCACACAAGAAAATCAGTTACAATATGGTGAGTTCAATAGACAGTTGCCAAAATAATCAACATCAGCAAATCAGTGGTGAGTGGTGATGACTGAGGACTTCCAGGAAGAGAAAGTCATGGTCTGGATTACTGGTAGTTGCAAGAAGTTCTAGAATAAGAATGGAAACACCACAAGGTAAATGTAGTGCCAGGGCTCTGACTGCATGTGAGAATAACATTTGCCTTAGTTGAAAGGTGAGAATTTAGGCTTCTTAAATAAATCTTCGTTACTAATTATATCTTTTATTAATAAAAGATGGCTATCTTTGTCTTGAGAACTTTTGCTTTGAATCCTGTTATTAATATCATCATCCTTCTCATCTATTGCTAGATTTGAAATAATAATGCAAAATTTTTATATTTCATGTTCCTAAAAGATTAATATTGGCATGTCTCATATAAATAAAAAATAACTTTAATCCAATTAGAGAGTCTTTTAAGATTAATATCATTTTCATTTACCTTTTGAAATAAAATACTTAGTTTTCATTTATGCCATCTTGTTCTCTCGTGCGTATCTGTTTACACATTCTTACTATTTTCTTAGTGATTTTCTCCTTGTTGTCTCCTCTGATGCTTTGGAAGATATACATCTTGTCTTACAACTACCAAAATTTGATTTAAATATATCTAAAAGTAAAATCTAAATAATAATTCTTATAAAATAAGTTAATATATGAAAAGAACATAGAACAATGACTATCAAATAGCATTACATATAAATACTAAATAAATATTTTTCATTTTTTACAAAAAAATTGTATGGTTTTTATTTTCTTGAATTTTGATTTTTTTTTCTTTCTAATATTTATTTTAGGTACAAGGGGTACATGTGCAGGTTTGTTACATGGGTAAATTGCATATTGCAAGAGTTTGCTATACAGATAATTCTGTCACTCAGGTAATCAGCATACTACCTAATAGGTAGTTTTTTAGTCCTCACTCTGCCACTACTCCCTCAAGTAGGCTCCAGTGTCTATTTTTCCCTTCTTTGTGTCCATGTGTACTCGATGTTTAGTTCCCACTTACAAGTGAGAACATGTGGTATTTAGTTTTCTGTTCCTGCATTAATTCATTTAGCATAATCGTCTCTAGCTCCATCCATGTTTCTGCAAAGGACATGATTTTGTCTTTTTCATAGCTGTATAGTATTCCGTGATGTATATGTACCACATTTTATTTATCCAGTCCACCCATGATGGGCATCTAGGTAGATTCTGTGTCTTTGCTATTGTGAATAGTGCAGTGATGAACATACAAGTGCAAGTGTTTTTATGGTATAATAATTTATATTTCTTTGGGTATATACTCAGTAACGGAATTGTTGGGTCAAATGGTAGTTCTGTTTTAAGTTCTTAGAGATATCTTCAAAGAGCTTTTCACAGTGGCTGAACTAACTTAAATTTCCATTAGTGGTGAACAAGCATTACCTTTTCTCTGCAACCACACTGGCATCTTTCTTTTTTTTTTTTTTTTGACTTTTTGTTAATAGCCATTCTGACTGGTGTGAGATGATATCTCATTGTGGTTTTGATTTGCATTTTCTTAATGATTAGTGATATTGAACATTATTTTTATATGTTCATTGGCTTCATGCATGTCTTCTTTTGAGAAGTATGTGTTCGTGTCTTTTGCCCATTTTTTAATGGGCTTGTTTGTTGTTTACTGATTTTGTTAATTAAATTCCCTATAGATTTTGCATATTACTGGGATTCTGGATCTTTGTTGAATGCATCATTTGCAAATATTTTCTCCCGTTCTGTAGGTTGTCTATTTACTCTGATACCTTCTTTTGCTGTGCAGAAACCCTTTAGTTTAATTAGGTCCCATTTGTCAATTTTTATTTTTGTTGCAATTGCTTTTGGAGTCTTCATCATGAAATCTTTGCCAGGGCCTATGACCAGAATGGTATTTTGTAGGTTTTCTTCTATGGCTTTTATAGTTTAGGTCTTACATTCAAGTCTTTAATCCATCTTGAGTTGATTTTTGTATACGGTGAAAGGAAGGGGTCCAGTGTAAATCTTTTGCGTATGGCTAGCCAGTTATCTCAGCACCATTTATTGAATAGGCCGTACTTTTCCTGTTGCTTGCTATTGTTGGCTTTGTTGATGATCAGATAGTTGCAGGTGTGTGACTGACTTTTGGGTTCTCTAATTTGTTCCATTGTTCTACGTGTCTGTTTTTGCACTAGTACCATGCTCTTTTGGTTATTGTAGCCTTATAGTATAGTTTAGGGTGGGTTTGCTCTTGTTTTTCTAGTTCCTCTAGGTATGATGTTAGGTTTGAGATTTTTCTGACTTTTTGATATGGTCATTTAACACTATAAACATTCCTCTTAATACTGCTTTAGCCATGTCCCAGAGATTCTGGTATTTTGTATCTTTGTTTTCATAATTTTAAAATATTTCTGGATTCCTGCCTTAATTTCATTGTTTACCCAAATGTCATGCAGGATGAGATTGTTTAATTTACAAGTAATTGTATGGTTTTGAGAGATCATCTTGGTATTGATTTCTATTTTTATTGTACTGTATTTTGAGAATTGAGAATATAGTTGTTATGATTTCAAATTTTCTTAATTTGTTGAGAATTGCTTTAGAGCTTAGTGTGTAGTTAATTTTAGAGCATGTGCCATATGCAGATGAGAATATGTATTCTGATGTTATTGGGTGAAGTTTTCTGTAGATGTCTGTTAGGTCCATTTGGTCTGGTGTCAAGTTTAGTTCCTGGATATTTTGTTAGTAAGCTGCTTTGATGCTGTGTGCAATAACGTCTCCCACTATTACTGTGTGATTATGTAAGTGTCTTTGTAAGTCTCTAAGAACCTGTTTTATGAGTGTGGGTGCTGCAGTGTTGGGCATATCTACATTTAGAATTCTTAAGTCTTCTTGTTAAATTAAACCATTTATTATTATGTAATACCCTTCTTTGTTCTTTTCGGTCATTGTTGGTTTAACGCTTATTTTGTCTGAAATAAGAATAACAACTACTGCTCTTTTTTGTTTGCTCTTTGCTTAATAGATTTTTCTCCATCCCTTTACCTTGAGCCTATGGGTGTCCTTGCATGTGAGGTGGGTCTTTTGAAGGCAGCATACAATTGAGTCTTGTTTCTTTTACCAACTTGCCACTCTGTGTCTTTTAAGTATGGCATTTAGCCCATTTATATTCAAGGTTAACATTGATATTAGTGGATTTGATCCTGTCATTGTGTTGTTAGCTGGTTGTTATGTGGACCTGATTGTGTAATTGCTTTATAGTGTAAATGTTCTATGTACTTCAGTATGTTTTTGTGGTGGCCGGTTATGGTCATTCATTTCCATGTTTAGTACTCCCTTAAAGACATCTTGTAAGGAAGGTCTGGTGGTAATGAATTCCTTTTGCATATCTTTGTCTAAAAAGAATCTTATTTCTCCTTTGCTTTGGAAGCTTAGTTTGGCTGTATATAAAATTACTGGGGAGATTTTTTCTTTAAGGATGACGAATATAGGTCCACCATCTCTTCTGGCCTGTAGGGTTTTTCTGGAAGATCTGAAGTTAGCTTGTTGGGTTTCCCTTTGTGGGTGACCTACTCCTCTCTAGCTCCATTTAATATTTTTTTCTCTTGCATTGACCTTGAAGAATCTGAGACTATGGATGGTCATCTTGTATAGTGTCTTGCAGAGTTCTCTGAATTTCCTCAATTTTGAATGTCAACATCAACATCTCTAAAGAGGTTGAGAAAATTTTCAGGGACAATTGTGTGACTGAGTTAATTCAAATAACGGGTCTTTGAGCTCTGAGATGCTTTCTTCAGCTTGATCTATTCTGATATTAATACTTCCAATTATGTTATGGAATTCCTATAGTAAATTTTTAGCTCTATCAGATCAGTTCAGTTTTTTCTTAAAATGGCTATTTTGTCTTTCATCACTTGAACCATTTTACTGGATGCCTTAGACACTTTGGAATGGGTTTAACTTTCTCCTGAATCTCGATGATCTTCATTGTCATCCATACTCACTGAGAATCTGTCATTTCAGCCATTTCATTCTGGCTAAGAACCATTATTGGGCAGCTGTGTAGTCATTTGGAGGTAAGGAGAGGCTCTGGCTTTTAGAGTTGTTGGAGTTCTTGTGCTGGTTATTTCTTATGTGTGTGGGCTGATGTTCCTTTAAATGTGCTGTAATTTGAGTATCCTCAGCTGGCTTCATTTCTGGATGCTTTCAGAGGGCTAAGGCTTTGTGCAGGGTCTTTATTCATGACTGAAATGCTTGTCCTTGGTTTCACAGGTGGGTATATTAGTAAAGTATTTTGGGGGTTGACATTTGGGCTGTGATCCAGTAGACGGTGCTTAAGTGTAATGGCCAGTAGATAGGCTCATACTCAGCCATGTGGCTTCTCTGTATTTCTGATCATTTGCAGCCATGCTCCCTTTCAATGCTCTGAGTGTGTGGACTCCTCTCTCACTTGAGTGCTGGTTACAGATCTCAGCTTGGCACTCCTGAACTGGGCACTGTAGCCTAGGGGTGATCTCAGGCTTTCTGTTCCCTCTCTAACTTGAAGGACAGCAGAGCTGGGGACCTTGGCAGTGGCAATGGCAGAAGGCCTTTCATTTGTCTCTTGGGGCTCCACCCCAGAGAAAGGCAGAGCTTCTGCCATTTGGAACAACCAGCTGGGGATGGGGCAGCTACACTGTGAGCCCAAGCCAAGAGGTCCTGCCTCAGAAAAAAAGGGTTGGTGTGGGTGGAGGACCAGCAGGGAAGAAAGTCTGACCTCTTCTCTAGGGTGGCTATGCCATGTGGGAGGTGCAAGTAAAGCACTCGGGTTCTTTGTTCCTTCTTTAGGCTGGTGGCGGCAAGAGCAGTACTGCCCAGTACTGCTGCAGTGTCAGTGGCAAAGGGGCTATCATTTGCCTTTAAGAACTCCACCCCAGAGTGACAGAGAGCTGTTGCCAATGGGAATGTTCAACTAGGGGGAGAGTTGCTGTGCTCTGGGTCCAATGGGCATGGCGGCAAGGGCCTATCTGTTGAAGGGTAGAAGGTGGGGGCTCACAGGCAAGAGAGACTGCTCCTCTCTGTATGGTGGCCGTAGCATGCTGGAGGTGCCAGCAAAGTGATGAGGATCTTTATTCTTTTCCAAGCCCAATGGCCAGAAAGGGCGGTACCACCACATAGGCGATGGCAGAGAGTCTGTGGGTTGTCTCCGGAATTTCCTCCGCAAAGAAGCACAGAGCCGTCACTGACTGAAATGATCAGGCGGAGGCAGGGCAACTGTGCGGGGGACCCAGGTCAGGAGGCCTTGCCTAGCGAGGAAAGCAGAGTCAGGGACCCATGTGGATAACAATTTGGTTGCTTTTCTACAAGGCAGCTGTGGTGTGCCAGAGGCCCACAATAGTTCTTGGGGTCTCTGCTCCCTGCCTAGCCTGAGGACAGCAGGGGCATGGGCTGCAGAAGCGGCAAAAGCTGTGGGTCTGTCAGTCACCTCTGGGTGTTCCATCCTAGAGAAATGCAGAGCTGTGGCCCAAGCGCTCAGTCAGAGAAGGGGTGGCTGCACTGGGGTCCCAGGCTTGTGGGCTTTGCCTGATGGATTGTAGTGGGGGTGAGGCCAGTAGTCTGACCACTCCTCAGCACCATGGACGGGGCTTCTATTCTGGGGGCATGCAAGAGAGCCTGGCCTCCCTTGGTGAAGCTACAACAGCTAGTGCCAGTGTGCTCAGGAGTCCAAAGCCCTTGGGCTTCATGTGAGCCTGAGTGGTGGCTCTGGTCAGGCCCCAGGCAGCTCTCTGTGTTAGTTTGGAGGCCCCAGAGGGATGGATCAGGGGAGATCACCAGTTCTCAGAATTGCAAAGCTCTATGGCAAAAGTGTAGGACCCCAGGCACTCTTGTCCACTCACCATTTCCTTGTGGTGGGGAGCCTCCCTTGCTTTCATGCCAGTCCTGAGTGGGCAGCTGTCCTGTCTCACTCTTCTCTGCTCTCCATGGGTCATGGTGCTTCCTTGATGAATACCAACCAACGTGTCTTCCTGGATAATCCAGTTGAAGAGCTAGTGTTTACTGCCCACTGTATCTCCTCTCCATGAGAGTAGCATACACCAGCTGCTTCTAGTCAGCCATCTTGGCATCTCCCTCTCCTATATATTTATATAATATATATAATAATATTTACTGTGTCTAGTCCAAGTGTGGTGGTGTTTCCAACTGATTAGTCACAACAAGTTACAGATTTCTTTGTTCCTTCTCCACTCTCAATGCTTCACTTGATATTATATATATATATATGCACACACATATATATATTGTTCATCATATATAAAGTTCATCACATATAATGTTCATCATATATTATATATATATATAAAATGCTCATCAAGTGAAGCAGTGAGAGTGGAGAAGGAACAAAGAAATCTGTAACTGGTTGTGACTAATCAGTTGTAAACACGACTGCATTTGGAGGAGACACAGTAAATATTATTGAAATCAAATGTAAAACATTGTATTTTTAGCACTCTTTTATTTCAGCCATTAGTTGACTACAGCGTTCATTTCTCCTCTTCCCTCATTCAGTTTTAAACATTTGTTAAAATAATGTGGGATTTAAAATTCTTTGGTAAATTTTTTGTCTGTAAGCTGCACATGTGCACACCATTGTTATTAGCGATTACACCATCCCTATCTTGGTCTCTTAAATTTGCTTTGTTAGTTATTTGGAGTGCATTTTCTGGTTTGTTTAAGAAGGACATGCAATTGTCATTTTTTTCCGGTGAATACATTTTTCAGAGTCTTTCTGTTTCCTTAATTCAGAAAGAACTACTTGGCAGCATATGAAAAATCTAGGATGACAATAGTTTTCCTCAAAACTGATTATTTCTCCTAGATGTTATTAATATTGCTGAAAATCAGAGGATATACTTATACATTTCTAATTTCATTCTTTTAAAATTATCAATGTATATAGAATTTTTACGTATTGGCATAAATAGCTTTCCCATTGTTTAACCTTCAAGATATTACTATTTTTTGATCTGCATTGTCAGATCTTAGGTCAAAGAAACTACTCTTCTGCTATTGTTTTCAATTCGTTTATTTCAGACTTTCATTCAAAAATTACCAAAATCTGTGCATTAGTTTTCCAAAATAAAATTTCTACAATTGTGATCTTCTTTTTCATAATTTTAATATTACTTTTTCAGGATATTCTGAAATCCCCAAATTTGCCCTTCATGTTATTGATACATATGCCCTCAGAATAAATTTTGATTTTTTTTACCATGTCCAATACTAGCTTATTTCTTTTACTACATTTTACTTTCTTTTCAATCCCTTTCCTATGTCATCTATTTATCTTTTGTATAACATTGAGTTGCCCTTTTAGTTCAGACCATTTTTTATGTCTGTTTCTAATTCATGGAGTTATATATCCTAGTGCTATATTCTGAAAACCGCAATGAGATACCATCTTACGCCAGTTTGAATGGTGATTATTAAAGGGTCAAGAAACAACAGATGCTGGTGAAGCTGTGGAGAGATAGGAACACCTTTTTTGTTTGTTTGTTTGTTTTGAGAGGGAGTCTCCCTCTGTCGCCCAGGCTGGAGTGCAGTGGCGCAATCTCAGCTCACTGCAAGGTTCGCCTCCCGGGTTCACACCATTCTTCTGCCTCAGCCTCCCGAGTAGCTGGGACTACAGGCACCTGCCACCATGCCTGGCTAATTTTTTGTATTTTTAGTAGAGATGGGGTTTCACAGTGTGAACGAGGATGATCTGGAACTCCTGACCTCATGATCCACCCGCCACGGCCTCCCAAAGTGCTGGGATTACAGGTGTGAGCCACCATGCCCGGCCAGGAATGCTTTTACACTGTTGGTGGAAATGTAAATTAGCTCAACCCTTGTGGAAGACAGTGGGGCAATTCCTCAAAGACCTAGAACCAGAAATACCATTTGACCCAGCAATCCCATTACTGGGTATATACCCAAAGGAATGTAAATCATTCTATTATAAAGGTACATGCACACATATTGTAGCACTATTCACAATAGCAAAGACATGGAATCAACACAAATGTCCATCAGTGATAGACTGGTAGACTGGATAAAGAAAATATGGTACATATACACCTTGGAATACTACGCAGTCATAAAAAGGAATTAGATCATGTCCTTTGCAGGGACATGGATGTAGTTGGAAGCCATTATCCTCAGCAAACTATTGCAGGAACAGAAAAACAAACACTGCATCTTTTCACTCTTAAATGGGAGCTGAACAATGAGAACACATGGACACAAGGAGGGGATCAACACACACTGGGGCCTGTTGCGGGGACAGGGGAAGGGAGAGCATCAGTGAAAAATAACTAATTCATGCTGGGCTTACTACCTAGGTGATGGGTTGATAGGTGCAGCAAACCACTATGGCACACGTTTATCTATGCAACAAACCTGCATATTCTGCACATGTACCCCAGAACTAAAGTAAAATAAAATAAATTTTGTTCAGCTTATAAATTATTTTCAGAGGAATTCTGTAATTGTGAATCTTCATTTTTCTTGTTCTGTAGTTTTTAATTGGCCCCTTTAAAAAAATCTTTATGTATCCTCAGATAATATGGAATCTGTACAGATGTTCTATTTTTAAACAAATGGGGTAGTGGATTGCTTTTGTCTCATTCTCGATCTATTGATATGGCTGCTAAATGCAATTTACAGATCTCCAATGGAGAACAGATTAAAATGTACACCTCCAAGTTTCCATCAGCCTTCTATCCAGGTTATGTCTGCTCTTCGGTAGTACCATCTTCCTCTTGTCTTCACAGAATGACTTTCTAGTACTCTGGAACAGCCCTAATTCCTAGTGGCTATTCCTGCCAGGGCTCTTTCTGTTTCTGCCTTTCCCTATAGTGCTTGTTCAATACCCAATAAATATTCCACAAATATATAATTTAATTGTCTACTGTGTGCCAAGTATTCCGCTTGGTGCCAACATATAGTGGTGATCAAAATAAACACAGAGTACGTCATGTCCATAACCCCATAAAGAATATTGATCAAAGGGGGATGCAATCAAATAACTACATATAGAAACATAAACACAACTAATAAGGCTCTGATGAATGCCATGTAATCATTAATTCATTTAGTCAATGAATATTCACTAAATGCCTTCTTAAAGATAACCACTATTCCGGGTTTCGTGGCTAGATTACTGAAGAAACACAAATTTCCTGCTCCCATTATAAGTGTTTTCTTTTTAGACTAGCTGATTGTTAAGATAAAACATAAAAAGTTATCTGATCTACTTTAGTCCTTAGCAAAGCCTTCTCTAAGGATATGACTTTTGTACCTAGATGTGAAGAATCAAATCAGTCAAACCATCAATCTGTTAAAAGTGAGTAGGGTAAAAGGAAGAATATTCCAGGCAGGAAAACAACAAATGCAAAGGTCCTGAGGAAGGTTGGAGCAGAAAGCTATGTAGCAATATTTTTTTTATTCTGAGTTGAAATATCTATTAATTATTTTGTCTCAGATTAAATAATTAGTTTCCTATCAACCTTTGTTTTCTGTATTATAAAAAGTTATTTATAAATTTTTCAGTAAAAAATTGAGCAAAATCTATTAAGGTTCTTCTAGCCAGATGACATTTTAAGCCACAGATACTAAGCCCCTTTTGTAATAGCAATTTTAGTTTCTTCACACTGTTTCTTATCTCATGTGGTTCTCTCTTCTGCCTCTCAGCCAGCTGCCTTTTTATCTCAGTCTGTTTTCTCAAATTGTTGTTTTATCTCATCTTTGAACTCATTTCATAGATTCTATGTTTATTGAATTATATTGGCAGCAAAACCAGAAGCTGTGTTAAATTGATTTGTTTCCTAATGTAAATCTACAAATAAATGTTCTTCTTCTATCTCCCTTTAGTATTACATGTCTCATTCTTTCAGATTGCAGAATTTTTTCATAAATGCCTATCAGTTGTACCAGTTCAATCAATCTCTAACTATTTAGAAAAACAAATAATTCAACCTGGAATTGAATTATTGAGGACCAGAGAATCTGATTCTCTTGGAATCTGAGTTTTAGTCTAGCCCTAGATCCCATACCATGAGCTAAAGTAAAACAAGCAAACAAGGGGATCCACATACCCCTCTGTTGAAATGGATACACACACATACACACACACACATATACACACAAACACACACAGAAAAGATTTTATTTATGTATATCTGTCAAGTGGTTATAACAACTCTAGGCACTTAAAATTTCACTTCATTTGATGTTGCATGTATAAGCCACATCAAACCATTTTTAACAAAAACAAAACAACAAATAGTATGTATAAACGCAGATAACAAAGTATGTGCGCATAATGTATCTATATGGGAACAAGTTTCATTCTTGTCCATCTACCAAACCTAGAAAGATAATTTTCAAGTCATCCAAATACGATGATCAACTCTCAAAAAGTAGGTATTAAGATGAGTAATCTTATTTCCCAGGTACCTCAAATACCAAATCTTTTTTTTTTCTTTTCTTTTTTTTTTATTTGAGACGGAGTCCTGCTCTGTCGCCCAGGCTGGAGTGCAGTGGTGTGATCTCAGCTCACTGCAAGCTCTGCCTCCCGGGTTCACGCCATTCTCCTGCCTCAGCCTCCCGAGTAGCTGTGACTACAGGCGCCCACGACCACGCCGGGCTAATTTTTTTTTTTTTTGTATTTTTAGTAGAGACGGGGTTTCACCGTGTTAGCCAGGATGGTCTCAATCGCCTGACTTCATGATCCGCCCGCCTAGGCCTCCCAAAGTGCTGGGATTACAGGCGTGAGCCACAGCGCCCGGCCACCAAATCTTGAATACCAAAATATAACCTTTTAGTCACTGAAAAGTTAATTTCCCACATATATTTGGCTTCTCTCAATTTCAAATAATTGTGATTAATGTGAATCAATTTCCAAAAATTGATAGCTTTTGATGGAGCCCATAGACAAACTATCTGCACTTGTAAAATTAAAAGTAAAACTCTGGGCCATCATGACCTCAGAGAAGAATTGCTCCTGAGAGGAAAACCAGACTTGTTCTCCTTATCATTCTTTTAGCTATAATATCTCTAACCAGAGCCAGCTTAAGCATTGCTAAAATCTGCAGCGTTACTAAAATCTGCAGCTCCCGACACATTGACAACCCTTTAACTCCCAAATATCTTTCTCTTTAAAATCACCATGGTGCTCAAAATGCCACTTTTCAAAACTAATTGATTTTTCTCCCAAGAAATCTCCATTAAAAAAAAAAGAATAGATCTGGGAACTACGTTCCTACTTTAAACCAATCTCAGTTAATAACGGGAGCACATGCACTCAGTAATTCCAATGAGTAATAAGATGCTTAACTCAAAATAATCGTCACTTATCATAGAGTTTTAGGAATGGTGTAGTAATATTTTAATATATGTCTAAAAATGTTTGTTGAATGAATTTTAGGAGAAGCAGTACTTTGGTTCCAGGCCAAAGATATTCAGGCAGAAGGAACAGAATCAATAATTCTCACACATAAGCAGCTTTTGTTCAAGTAGATAAAATAGATGAATTTCTAAATAATCATATTAAGATAGTAAAAACTTATTTTAATAAGTTATATTCTGGTGGTTCCTACCTTTAGATATTGAATATTAATGTATAGGTGATAAACAAGCCCTGTTTTCAGTCATGGAAGAAGTAATATTAGGAAGGGATCTGATTTCTTATAATTGAATTATGTTCCCATGAAAGTTAAAAGTATACTATTTACAGATGCCTGTAAATTTTTATATTACATTTTTCACTGTCATATTCCATTCGATGTATCTTTTATGTCAATGACATTCCACTCTACAATGTAATAAAATTGCTATGAAAATATTAAGTAATCACATTTATCTATTTTATGACTAAATATACTATAAATTAGATTTCATTAAAATTCTCCCTTTTAGGTCCTTAAAAATATGAATATTTTGTTGCTATAAGAATGATTAATTTGGTTTGGGTGTTTATAAGAATATTCTTATGCACAAATAAAAGACTTCAGGTTTATATTCATTGCATTCTTTCCTTTAAACATTTACAAAAATATAAACTTGGCTTTACAAATCTTTTAATTAATAGAAGTCTAAATTTAAAACTGTATACTTTTCATTTTCATAATCGAAATATTGAGAACAAAAAAATGTGGTATCTTGTTCTATTTCACAAAGTTTGCATTAAAAAGGGAAAATATAAGAATGCAGCATCTTATTTTGTTTAACGAGCACATGATATGTTCAATGAACTCTGCTGATATTCTAAGTCACAAAACTGGGAGTAAGGGACTAAAAGAAAGATGAGGGGATTTCATCAGAGGAAAGAATCTCTCTTCATCACAGCTGTCAGCCTAGGTGATCTTTTGAATTCTATTTAGTAATTCCCTTCTGAAACACCATCACTCCAAATCACTTCAGTAATATTTCTCACCAAGCTGTTATGCCTTGACGAGATTCTCCTGCAGTGTGAAGGCATCTTGCTGCTACACTACCTGGGGCTGCCACTTCTTTGTCATACTTCAAAGCTGCAGTGAGGAGGGTTTGCTTGGATGGCTGCCCAGGAAACCAAATAGGAATTATGCTTTTTTCTCTCTGAATCACATTTCTGCTTGACCCTTAAAGTTGGGCTGTTTTGTGGGTGGGGGAAATACAAAGTCTAAATTTCTAATTACTTGCACAGATACATAAGAGATTTTAGTCTTTAGTACATCATCAATAAGATGTAAAAAGTAGCTTTCATATTAGATTCCATAGGCAATAACTACTGGATTACTGCTCAGTTTCCTGAAACTTAATAAGTAATCAATATGGCCAACACTTTCATCACTGCTTATCTGCCACTAACAACTATACAATATTAATATTTTCTCATTTTAATAAAATACTCATATTACTTGGTACTATTATCTTGATTGGGCTTGCTTACCACAATCAGCTTTGGAAAACCAAAACAATTAGCCGTAATCCAATAGAATAAACACAGAGGGACACTTTATTAGAGCATGTAGATGCATACAGTTAGGACAGAATGGCTAGTTAAACAAATGAACAAGCAAAACAATAAACTGCATACTGAAATGCTAAAATTGTACATTACTGATACATATTGCCCTTATGCTAAACATATGTACAACCACCATTACTGGTAGTTAAGAATGCATGCTTAATGTGTCTGTGTGTGTACATGTCAGTATTTCTATACTCCCTAACACTTAACTCTGCCTAGCATTACATCTTGCATGATCCAGTGTTTCAGCTCATTACTTTCGTAGGCAGAGGAAGACATGGAGCTTAAACATTTTCACAAAGATCATCATCAGATGAAATTTTTCAATTATGGCAAAATAACCTAAGGAAGAAAAATAGGACTGGGTTAACTTATTATTATTTTTATTAGCAGTGTGTAAGAAAAGCAGGGAAAATCTTTGTATGGGTTATTAATACACAAGGTACACCAATGGTGAACCTTTGATGGAACAAATAAATATTGTATTTTCAGTTTCATAATCACTTCAAATAGAAAATGCTTCTGGCTATAAAGGTCTGCTCAGCTCTGACAGCTCCAGTCCTTCTTAGTAGATATTACTTTCTCTATCATAAGACCTAGAACATTAGCTTCATAAAAAAGAGTAGTGTCCACCAGCCTGACTGGGGATTTATCCACGCTGCCTTGTTGCGCTCTACCTTGTTAGGAATCCGTTAGTCTTCCGTTAGAAACGAAAAGTCTGTGAAAGTTGACCCAGCTGTCTTAGCAGTAGAGGTACCAGAAATCTTTTGATGAATGTCACTCATTTAATGGATCCATAACCCTAAAATTTGGTGATTTTCTCCCATTAAATTTGAACTGGAACCAAGATCTCCCCAACTAATACTATTTCATTTATACCTTGCAGCACTGTCCAGAAAAATTTTTGAGTTGGGAATAGAGATCTAACACATTGTGATTCTGATAACCATAGATTTAAAATCTTAAATCCTGGGAGATTCTAAGAGTCAGGAGTGCTATGATATGGTGAAATGAACAGGGAAATAAGATCCAACCAAAAGTCTCAGCTTCTCCGCTTCTTTATGGCAGATCATTTTATCATTTTCTAAATTTGTTTCCCCACCTATATAATAGAAATAAAAATCTGTGTTTTACAATCCTCCAGGATTGTTGAAAGGAATAAATAAAGTAATCACATAAAGACATTTTGCACATCTATGAAACACTGTCTAAGTATGATGAACTGTTGCCTTGCAGGAAACACTACAAACTATTAGTGGCTGTTTTATTAGCAGATTTTTTTCTCTGCATAAAAATAAATCATCTTCATTTAAAAAAAAAAAAAAAAAAAAAAAAAGGAAGGGCCGGAGCGATGGCTTACGCCAGTAATCCCAGCACTTTGGGAGGCGGGCGGATCACGAGGTCAGGAGATCGAGACCATCCTGGCTAATATGGTGAAACCCTGTCTCCACCAAAAATACAAAAAATTAGCCGGGCGTGGTGGTGGGTGCCTGTAGTCCCAGCTACTTGGGAGGCTGAGGCAGGAGAATGGCGTGAACCCGGGAGGCGGAGCTTGCAGTGAGCTGAGATCGCGCCACGGGACTCCAGCCTGGGCGACAGAGTGAGAAAACAAAAGGAAAAAACTACCTATTGTAAATAAACTTGATTCACCACCATCCTTTCAAATTCATGATGCTCAAGGGTAATTGTAAAATGATAATACTCTGTTTATCTGCATTAATGTTCTTTTCATTCTGCTGTGCTACAGTGCCTGTTAATACGGTTGATGTATCAATTAACTTTCAGCCCAAGGCTTATTTTTTTGAAAATATTATTAAAAAGAAAAGATCCTTTTTCAAGCTTAATCATGAGGAAATGTCTAATGATTCAGTACAGCCATTATAAAGTGACAGCCATGTGAAGATCTGGACCATTAGAAGTAACAGCACAAAGAAAGTCCCCAAGGGCATATAATTTATGTCTTTAATTAAAATAAATTTCTAAAGAACTAGAAAAATAGTTCTCCTAACTATTTTTCATGAAAAAATCCTGATGTTTCTGTTATCTCATGAGATAAAATTTATTATCTATAAAATAACTAATATCTGTATTTTAATAGGATTTGTTTCCATGAATAATTTTTAAGTATCTCATCCTTTACTGAAATATAGACTATGGTATTCTGATATTCAATTTCTGAAGAAAATGAACACTTTCTTTTTTTTTTTTTTTTTTGAGACGGATTCTCGTTTTGTCCCCAGGCTGGAGTGCAATGGCGCAATATCAGCTAACTATAACCTCCACCTCCCAGTTCAAGTGATTCTCCTGCCTCAGCCTCCCAAGTAGCTGGGACTACAGGTGTGTGCCACAATGCCCAGCTAATTTTTTTTATTTTTTATTTTTTTAGTAGAGACAGGATTTCTTTGTGTTGACCAGGAGGGTCTCGATCTCCTGACCTCGTGATCTGCCTGCCTCGGCCTCCCAAAGTGCTGGGATTACAGGATCAAACCACCACACCTGGCCAAAAATGAAGACTTTCTAAGGAAAAAGGGGAATCAGGGAAAATGAGCCTTGTGAACAGTAGCAGAGCTGATTCTTATCCTGACATACCACCAGCTTGCTATGGGACCTTGAGAAGTACCTTATTTCTGGGTATTAATTGCCTCATTTGTAAAATGGGCATCTTAAAATGCATGATTCTAAGTTAAATGAGTTCTAAAGCGAGTTAAAGTTCTAAGTTCTACTTCAAGTCTTTTATGATTCTAAAGTATTTGTGGAAAAGTATGCAAAAAACAAAATTATTCTGCATATATTGTATGAAGTGCAGAAGAAACACTTTTTTCTTCCTCTTTTAGACAACTATCCTGTGGTTTCAGTGGTTTCTTTTCAACTGTCAGCATTTAAGTATGAAGATTAATAGTTGCATTATTTTTATGTGTAAGAGCTAATAGCCTCTTAATTGTTTTTAATGGAACATTTTAGAAGCGCTCTATGTTTTCTACATTGTAGTATATATTTCACCATAAGACCTCTGATTTAACACAGTGCAGCGCCAGCCAGAAAAAAAGAGATTACTTTTAAAATACTGAACTATTTAAATCAAGCAAATGTGTAATTATTTCACCATGTATTAGGTTGGTACAAACGTAGTTCCAAAAACTGCAAGTAGGTTTGCACCAGCCTAACAACTTTGACTCAACTGTGGATAACATTCAGACTGCAGTTGATAGACTTGTGTTCTTCCCAAAGGGACAGTTTCATACCAGGACTGGGTAAGACTTTTCTAAGTAGGTAGGCCAAAATACTGCTACCTTATTTTTAGTGAATAGCCTGTAATGTGGAAAGAAAGGCACTAAAATCTACTGAAAATTCAAGATGATCAGAGAAGATTGGCAAAAATGTCATTTATTTTATGCATTTCTAAACATAAGTAGCCTCTCTGAAAGAGCCACAGCATCAGTAAGGGCCAGAAAGCATAATAGAGAGAACTGGGAAAGCTTTAGTTAACCATAATGAGGATTGTGTTGGGAATAGAATAGAACTGAAAATTAGGTTGCCTCATTTCCATCCCTTTTTCATTTATGCAAAGAGTTGTATGGAAAATCACCTCCTTTATTAAAGTTGTTTTCTCAACTGGTAAGAAAAATATTGACTTCCTTCCTACATCTTATCCCATAGTCTTACCACCAGAATCTACTCTCCAGCAAGCATTTAGCATCTCAGGAAACAACACAACCATGTACAATTACCAGGCACGACAAGGCCCTATGTCCTGTGACCCTCTATCACCTCCTTGCTATCCACCTGCCTATGCCGTGCATTTGTTATTCCAACCTCAGCAACATCATTTCCATTTCTTGAACATCCCAATCCGACTCTAATCTCAAAGCTTTATCGCTTGTTCTTTTTGCTTAGAACACTCTTCCCTAGTAGAAAACATCACTGCCATCTTCTTCTTATTTTGGTTTTAATTCAAATATCCCTTTTTAAAATTTTATTTATTTATTTATTTGAGACGGAGTCTCGCTCTGCCGCCCAGGCTGGAGTGCAGTGGCGCGATCTCAGCTCACTGCAAGCTCCGCCTCCCGGGTTCTCGCCATTCTCCTGCCTCAGTCTCCCAAGTAGCTGGGACTACGAGCGCCCACCACCACGCACGGCTTACTTTTTGTATTTTTAGTAGAGACAGGGTTTCACCGTGTTAGCCAGGATGGTCTCGATCTCCTGACCTCGTGATCTGCCCTCCTCGGCCTCCCAAAGTGCTGGGATTACAGGCGTGAGCCACCGTGCCCGTTCTCAAATATCCCTTATTAAAGAAGCTTTTTTAGCCTAATTTAGCTACTTCTTCAGGATTAAAAATTACATGCAATTATTTATTTTAAAAATCTATCTAATATCCCTCTGCACTCAAAAAGTATAAACCCCACAGGAACCAGAACTTTCCCTATCTTGTTCACTACCGGATCTCAATATCAAAGAACACTGCCCAACACACAGTAGAAAATCAATAAATATTTTTGATTGACTAAGGAAGATGAGCTGAGTAACCTGTAAGGTTTTATCTGGATCTGATATTTTGTAAATGCTTGATATTTATGTAAAAAGGGGAAATCATGTAAATGGCAATGCTTTTTCTACACATATCCACTCCTTGAGGCGTCATTCAGGTCTCCAATTCTATAATTGTGAAAACTTGCAATTGTTCCTTGGTTGTCTTTTTTTTTTTTTTTTTTTTTTTAGACATAGTCTCGCTCTGTCGCCCAGGCTGGAGTGCAGTGGTGCAATCTCGGCTCACTGCAACCTCTGCCTCCTGGATTCAAACCGATTCTCCTGCCTCAGCCTCCCAAGTAGCTGGGACTACAGGCGCCTGCCACACGCCCGGCTAATTTTTTGTATTTTTAGTAGAGATGGGGTTTCACCATGTTAGCCGGGATGGTCTCGATCTCCTGACCTCGTGATCCGCCTGCCTCAGCCTCCCAAAATGCTGGGATTACAGGCATGAGCCACCGCGCCCGGCTGGTTGTCTTTTTTACTTTCATCATGCTTACTCCATTTTATTGCTGTTTTAATAATGAATCCAACAAATACTGTAGTAGAAATTGCAGGAATACCAAGAGGAAGAAAGACCATAAAAAGATAAAATGAGGATGGGAATCACTTCCTTTCTGAAGAAGGGAAGGACATCAGAAAAGAAAGTAGAATTCCAGACCACAATAAGGTAGCAGCCACTGGTGAAAGGACTTAAGAGAGTTGATATAATTCTATTAAGCCTACAATTGCTATGCCTTGGAAGACCAGAGGAAACTAAGTATGGCTGCTAGCTTTCACAAGGTAAAACTGAATCCAAAACAGTCCAGGGAAGCTAAAAGGCAGAAGTAAAATTGACTATTTGACTGGAATAGAGCTTCAGGATGCATTCTATCTCCCTCCAAGTCACATCTCAAAACATAGTGTGCTGAAGAAATATATAAATCCTAAGCCGTGATTCTAGTGCATCTCAGAATGTTATATGCCATACAGGAAAAATAAATAAAATGATTTAGGTGAACAGGTTCACAGCCAAAGTTTACCCTGGAGCATCACTCTCCATATGCAAACTACATAATTAAAATTGATGTTTGTGACTATCCTGTTCATCAAAGGATTATATCATTAAGTGAACACATTCAGAAGTTTAGAAAAAGGGGACAACACTGCCTGGCAACATCTCAGGGAACAGTTTCCTGGAAGGAATTATGAAATATGACAGCACTTAGTAAGCTACCTCGTTAAAGAAATCTTAAAGAGAATGCAAGTCACAAGGCTGCCAGCAGATCCACAGACAGATCATCAAACACTAATCATAGAGGGTTTTCCTGAGAAAAGAACAAAATAACAGTTTACTGAGGAGTGAAAAGAAATGTGGGTCACATCTTATCCTTTAGGCTTACGGTTCCATTTTAAGCTTGAGAGCTTTCATGTTCCCACTCACTGTCAAAATGTTCTATGCTTTGTATAGAAACATCTTTGTCATCCAGAAGCTTATATCTTTATAACCCATTAGAGGTCCAGAAACAATTACAATGCTGAATGCTTATATATTTCTCATATGAACTAGCAGTTTCTGAGAGGTAACTATGTACAGATACTCTTTTAAGTAATATACACATATTAACCTATTTAATTCTTTAAAAAAACTTCTATGTAGGAATATTATTTTTCCCACATTGTGGATGAGAACACTTAAGCTCAAAATGTGAATTACCTATTCTTTACAAAGCTCTCTAAGGCTTTCCGCTTAACTCTTTAACACTTGTCAGCGTTTCTAGCTCATTTTTATACAAGAATATGACAATATTTTCCCATAATCCTTACAATATTCCTATGAGGGAACCAAAGTGGGTTTGATGCAGGACAGGTAAGACCCAAGACTGGGGCTTAGTCTGGGAGAGTTCTTGGATTCACCCAGGAAAGAATTCAAGGGCAAGCAGTGGTGTTAGTCAGCAACTTTTATTGAAGTAGCAGTGCTCAGCAGCAGCAGAGGTATCGTTCCTTGTGGAGTAGGACTACCCCATAAGCAGTGTGCCCAAAGTAGCTCAGGGGCGGTTCTGCACTCATATTTATACCCACTTTTAATTACATACAAATTAAGGGGTGGATTATGCAAAACTTTTTAGAAAAAGGGTGGTAACTTCTGGGTTGTTGCCAGGGAAAGGGGCAGCAACTTCCAGATGTTGCCATGTCAATGGTAAACTGCTATGGCACTGACGGGTGTGTCTTATGGAAAGGTGCTTTCGCCTCTCTCCCGTTTCAGCTAGTCTTCAATGTGGTTCAGAGTCTGAGCCTCACCTCTGGAGTTGAGTCCCATCTCTTACCTTGGGTGTATTCCCATTTCACAGCTGAGAAAATAAATTCATAGACTGGAGAACAATATTTCTCCCTCCTCCCCCAGGCATAGTTACTGGTATAGCTAGAAATCATAAGTTTTAACTGAATAGTTTAAATTTTCTTTTTTCACTACATTCAGTTATAACATCTAGAAACCTGCTTTTCCTATTAAGAAAGTCAGCTAGGTCAATGTCATGGAATTCAGTGAGGAAAACTAATAGAGTGTGATTGTAAAATCCCAGAGAATTGCTGAACGATGCAGTCTGCAGTGCTTTCCCTTCCTGGCATGCATTATAGAAATAAATAAATCAGAGAGGCATCCTGTGTTTGCGGAGGGGAGAGAGAGAGAGGCAGAAGTGGTGATCCATTATGCATTGTTTCCCAGAGTGGGACACGGATGAGCCAGCAGTGCCAGAGCCGGAACGTAAATATTCATGAGGATGTGGGTGGCTACCCAGAATAGGTCGCACTCCAGGGAAAGCCATCCCACATCTTCTTGTCACAAGATGCGCTATGCAGTCACAGAGAATATAACACCCTCCGAAGGGGAAAACCCTGGGTCCTCTTAGAACAGTCTTTGGGAGCTTCTACTCAGGAATAGTAGCAAAGTCTGGGAGAGATGGTCTGATGGAATCTGCAAAGAAATTTCCTT
The DNA here is from genome assembly GCF_000001405.40 of Homo sapiens. NCBI lineage: Eukaryota > Metazoa > Chordata > Mammalia > Primates > Hominidae > Homo > Homo sapiens. The sequence continues at coordinate 191,627,050 of NC_000003.12, read as the reverse complement.
TGCAGAAAGCTGGAGAGATGATGGAATTAGTGTTTCACACGGGCTTTATGCCTATGATGCTCATCATTTGCTTTGCCTCTAAATCTGCTACGGCTCTTGCAAAACAGCTTCAGTAATAGAGCCAATGTTCATGACAGTTTCTCAACCATAACAGTAGAAAATACATTCTGTGATTATTGTGATCTTATTATTTTAAAAAAGAAATTACGTCTCTAAAATAATGCACTTGGGTCCAAATAACAATATTTATGATTTCATGAGAAAAAAACATAATTATTTTATAGGAACTCAGAGAATTCCAATTTTCTCAAATAAGGTTGAGTGAGCTTAAATAAACACATATTCTAAGACATGCGAGTAAGGAAGAAGATTACAAAATAATCCTGTAATATACTATTAATAGCTGTCCAAAGGCATATTAAATGTCTTACATTTGTTTTTACATTTGCTGTGTACAACAAACAGTTTTAAAATCATTTAAATCTAAACGAAAGAAAGAGAAAGAGAAAAGGCCATAGAGAGAAAAAAAGAGAGGGAGAGAGAAATAGGCAGAGGGAAGGGAAGGGAGAGAAGAAAATACAATTTTTTTCACCAAACAATACTACTATTATTATGTGTAATGCATGCTGATATTTTCTATTCTATTCCATTTTGTTCTATTTGATTCTATTTCCTAAAATATGATTCATGACACCTTAAATTGACCACATGACCCACCATTCAGTACCTTTACATCTCAGTAAAGAGATGTGAAAAACTCTCTCATCTAAAATGATTAAATTGCTGAATCACATATTAAACATATGTGTATATTTCTTTATGTGATATATATTCCTGGAAAAGTAGCAAGTGCCAAAGTTTGCCTCCACTTTAAATACCTCTGTGTAACTATGGAGAATTGAGATTTTATTTATGCAACTTTTCGGTGTGTGGATATCAGGAAATAAAGCTATGTGCCAGAAAAGGGTATCATGTAATAGGAAATGCCCATTAGATAAGACCCCAAGAAGTTATAAGCAAAATATAGTGGTGACTGAGAACTAAGCAATGGAGCTCAGTAAAGCAAAGCCAGACATATTCATCAGTTACTAGAACAAAGAAATCTTCCTTGAAAAGTCAGAATCATAGACAATGCTCAATCAGTATTCCAGTCTGAATTTGGGTACTAACATAGATACATAAGCCTCTAAAAGATGATTTAAAGTGTTTTAGGTTTTTAATTGCTCTCTCCTCACAAGCAACCGGCAAATGCAACTGTAATTCTTAACTTCAATCTATGACTCAAATCATTTCCACAGAAAAAATTCCTAGGTAAATAAACAGCTCAAGAGTCAAGAATTACAAAATATAATACAAAGAAACAAGCCACTATAGGTGAAAACAGAAAAACAAACAAATAATACACAGTTGAAATAAACTCAAAAGATCCTAAAATACTGACTTTTTTTTCTCACATAACGTGGGAGACAGAATTAGCTAACTAAAAGTTATATCCAAAGAGATGGGATCCAGCATGCGGCCAGAGAGTAAAAAAATTGCATAGAAATCATGATAAATTAAGAGCTATGGAGGTTAGAGTAAGGGAATCTAATGAATATAATCAGAATTTCAGAAAAAAAGATGAATGAAAGAATGGGAAAGAGGCAAAGTTGAAAGAATTAATGGCTGATTATTTTCCACTGATGAAAAACACTGATAGATCCAAGAACCCCAAGAAAGATATATAAAATGAAACCCACACCTAAACACAGCAAAGTAAAATTATACATACATAAAAATATATACATACACATAATGGCAATAATTGGTTATATAATTGGTTGTATAAAATTATAGTTATATTGTTTAATTTTGAGGAAAAGCAGGCTAAAACCAAAATTCTTAGTAATGGCAGAATGTAAATTGGAAAAGGGTAATCGGACTTGCAGTTTCCTTGGGCATTTAATATTTACAAGGACTGGCTTTATATTTGCTAAATCTAATAGATACATGGAAAGGACTGAAATAATTTTTAAGATAATAAGCAGGAAGTGAAATTTCTAAAAATAGACAAGGATTCAAGCATTTCAAGCAAGAAAGAAGGTAGAAAAAGAATTAAAAGTAAGACATGTAAGAATAGTATGTGGAAATTTGGTATAAATTAATCCAGATATATGAGAATTATTATACATTTAAACCGGTTTGTGGTGGATTAACTATTGCTGCAAATTCTTTATTACTCTCCTTTTGAAAGGTAGCATTTATTTCCTTTCTTATTAAATCTGGGCTGGCTCTGAGGCTGCTTAATTAATAGAATACAGTGGAAATGACACTGGGAAATTTCCAAGCTTAGCCTTTAAGAGGACTGTCAGCTTTCACCTTCTCCTCCTTGGACTATTCACAATTGGAATGCTCCCAGGCATAGCCCAGCAACTGCATGGAGAGGCCCCATATAGGCACAGTGGTTGAGAGGCTCAAAAAACTCCTGCCTGACAATCATGTTACAAAGCCATTTTGGATATTACAGCCCAGTGGTGTCCCCAAGTGATCGTGTAAAATCAATGCCATGTGGAGCAGAAGAGCTGCCTAGCTGAGCCCAGTAAACCTAGGGAATCATAAAAGATGATAAAATGTTAACTCATTAGATTTCAGCATGATTTGTTTCACATCACAGATAATTGAAATAGGACCAAAATCTCCAATTATTATACCAAGATTATAACATTGAAGTAATAAAAGCAATTCCAAAAATAGACAATATTTTAAAAACAAGTTTAAAACTATACACTCTTCTTAACACTTATTTGTATAATTCATTCCACACAGCACCTCTATGGTGTAAAGGTGTTATTATCCTGTTTTACCAATGAGAAAAACAAGAACTGAAAACTTGTTTAACTTGTCCAAGATCACCTGGATCATAGTTTCAAAGCAACATTTGAAAGCCAGGGCCCATAATTCTAGATCCTGAGCTTAACTTCTATGTATGCTACATCTTTACACTTATTGAGCACTTAATATGTCTCAGCCTGTGTTCTCAATTATTTACAGTCTTTTTTAAGATGCATATTATGTTCATTTATTTATTTTTATATACTTTAAGTTCTGGGATACATGTGCAGAACATGCAGGCTTGTTACATAGGTATACACGTGCCATGGTGCTTTGCCACACCCATCAACCCATCATCTACATTAGGTATTTCTCCTAATGCTATCCTTCCTCTATCCCAAAACCCCCTGACAGGCCCCGGTGTGTGATGTTCCCCTCCATGTGTCCATGTGTTCTCATTGTTCAACTCCCACTTATAAGTGAGAAAATGCAGTGTTTGCTCTTCTGTTCCTGTGTTAGTTTGCTGAGAATTATGGTTTCCAGCTTCATCCATGTCCTTGCAAAGGACACAAATTCATCTTTTTTTATGGCTGCATAGTATTCCATGGTGTATATATGCCACATTTTCTTTATCCAGTCTATCATTGATGGGCATTTGGGTTGGTTCCAAGTCTTTGCTATTGTGAATAATGCCACAATAAACATACGTGTGCATGTGTCTTTATAGTAGAATGATTTATAATCCTTTGGGTGTATACCCAGTAATAAGATTGCTGGGTCAAATGGTATTTCTGGTTCCAGATCCTTGAGGAATCGCCATACTGTCTTCCACAATGGTTTAACTAATTTACACTCCTACCAACAGTGTAAAAGCATTCCTATTTCTCCACATCCTCTCCAGCATGTGTTGTTTCCTGACTTTGTAATGATCGCCATTCTAACTGGAGTGAAATGGTATCTCATTGTGGTTTTGATCTGCATTTCTCTAATGACCAGTGATAATGAGGTTTTTTTTTCATATGTTTGTTGGCTGCATGCAGAAAACTGAAACTGGACCCCTTCCTTACACCTTATACAAAAATTAACTCAAGATGGATTAAAGACTTAAATGTAAGACCTAAAACCATAAAAACCCTAGAAGAAAACCTAGGCAATACCGTTCAGGACATAGGCATGGGCAAGGACTTCATGACTAAAATAACAAAAGCAATGGCAACAAAACCCAAAATTGACAAATGAGCTCTAATTAAACTAAAGAGCTTCTGCACAGCAAAAGAAACTATCTTTCGAGTGAATAGGCAACCTACAGAATGGGAGAACATTTTTGTAATCTATCCACCTGACAAAGGGCTAATATCCAGAATCCACAAGGAACTTAAACAAATTTACAGGAAATAAACAAACAACCCCATCAAAGAGTGGGCAAAGGGTATGAAGAGACACTTCTCAAAAGAAGATATTTACACTCTTAGTCACACAACTGACCACCTTTTTTAAAACAATGAAAATTTAAACATAGAAAAATATATATTATGCCAATGCTACTCAAAAGCATGCTGGAGTAGCCTTAATAATGTCTACCAAAATAGACTGTAAAAACAATTACTAGAGATGAAGTAAATCATTTGAAATGATAAAAGTTTCAATAAATCAGGAAAATATAATAATTCTAAATTTATGCTCACCTAATAACACAGACTGTAAATATAACAGTAATTTAGAGGTTATACTGAGAAATTTTAAAACCCAACATTACAGTATTTTAACATTAGTTATTTCAATAATTTATACCTTAAACAGAGAGTAATTCAGTAAAGCAACAGATTGGAAGAGTACAATTAAAGAAATTAAATTTTGCATAATTCACATATCTAGAATATTACACTAAAATTAGAAATTATGCATTATTTTCATGCCTATATTAAATATAATAAAGATTGGTCAAATTTGGTGTTAGCTAGCAAATTCCAAGAAGTTGGTGGATTTCAGATAATCTTTTTTTTTTTTACCACAATGCAATTAAGACAGAAATCAATAGCATAAACATAACTAGAGAAAAACTGCATGCATTTATCCAGTCTTATTCATGAGCAGGGAAGCAAAATCCTTTATAAAAATGAGCAGACTGAACCCAACAATGTACTGAAAAGTTAATTCATTAAGACCAATCTAGATTAATCACAACAATAGAAAATTGATTACACATACTATGTCATTCTACTAGGTTAATGTAACCATTATATATATAAGCTTAAGAAAATGACAAATTCTCTTAATCATCTGTCTTCTGAGCTGTAAAATGGTGATAATGATCCCTGTTTTATCTCTTTCTAAGATGATAAAGATGAGCAAATGAAAATAGGTTTAATGGTTGTAAATTTGGTTTGTAAACTAAAACACACTAGTATTCATGTAAGTTATTTTACTATGTGCAAAAATTGTTACTAAGATTTCCTTTTTTCTTTTCAACCCCTGTTACATAGTTAATGAGCTATATAGAACAGCACTGTCTATATAAGGAGCTTAGTGTGTTCTTAAGATGAAATTGTTTTGAACGGTGCTACATTTACCCTTGTTGTCCATATCTCATTGTGTCTGAGTGTACATGTACAAGAGTTTATCTGGATTTTACACCTAAAACTTAAATATTTGTGTCAAAAGTTGCCACATTTAAAATATACTAAGAAATTCCCAACTCTTTCCTGAAGTGTTTGTACCTATATATATTCCCATTAGTAACCAGTGAGTGTTCTTGTCATACTACATCATCAAAATTGAAGATATCACCCAGCTTCTCAGTTGTTACTTTGATGGATTTGAAATGGTTTCTTATTGAGGTTTTACTTTGTATTTCCTTATTCACCAATAAGGTTAAGTATATTTCCTTTTTTAATTGGTCATTTATTTTCTGTTCTATGAAATGCCTCAATGTCTTCTTCCCATTTTATTTATAATCATTTATTATTAAAGAAAGGTGCACTCTCTGCACTCAAAAAGTATAAACCCCATAGGAACTAGAACAGCCGAGTTCTGGTTCCTATGGGTTTTATACTTTTTGAATGCAAAGAGACACTAGACAGATTTTTAAAATAAATAATTGCATGTAACTTTTAATCCTGAAGAAGTAGTTAAATTAGGCTAAAAAAGCTTTTTTAATAAGAAATATTTGAGGCCGGGCACGGTGGCTCACGCCTGTAATCCCAGCACTTCGGGAGACCGAGGCCGGCGGATCACGAGGTCAGGAGATTGAGACCATCCTGGCTAACACGGTGAAACCCCGTTTCTACTAAAAATACAAAAAAATTAGCCAGGCATGGTGGTGGGCGCCTGTAGTCCCAGTTACTTGGGAGCCTGAGGCAGGAGAATAGCGTGAACCCAGGAGCGGAGGTTGCAGTGAGCCCAGATCACACCACTGCACTCCAGCCTGGGCGACAGAGCGAGACTCCATCTCAAAAAAATAAAAAAAAAAGTAAATTAAAAAAAAGAAAGGTACAAAATAATAATTAAACAATATGCCTAAGATACGAAGAATGACAATACAATAGGCACCCCTATACTTTAAACAAATTGTCCCTGAATTTGCCATGTGTCCTGTATATCCTTCCTGATCCCATTCTCTTTCCTCACCCAGAAATGTAACCACAACACTAAATTGTGTCCTTTGGTTTTTGTTTTTAGCTTTTCACTCTTCTGTATTTTTTAAATTTTGTTTTACTATATATATGTGAATAATAAACTTTTCTCCCCATCTGCATGCTTAATAACACTCTTATTTTCTGTTAGCATTAGCTGGACTAGTCAGAATTACTCAGGAGAGTGATTAAACAGCATTAAATAAAATGCTGCTGTTACTTACCCTTCAGTCAATTACATAGATCTGCCGATGTGAGCAGCTGCTTAATTGCAAATCATTGCCAACAATTCAATCCCCAGCTCTTTTGACTTTCAATTTGGGGGTTATGTTTGAACTGAGTAGGTGTTTTATTCTTTCTCCCCTTTGTATTTAATGTGACGTTAACCTTCACATCTGTCTTTTGATTGGCATACACTCAGGACTTAGATACATCTGAACAATCAATATTGAAGGGCGTATATATTCTCTTCATGTTTTTCTAATACTAAGGTTGAATATATGTTCTCCAAAACAACACGCAATATTGGTTTATTAATTTCTATAATTTATGTACAAATTTTCATGAAATACATATTTTATTGTTTATAGAATGTTACTATTTAATAGGTATAAAGGCAGCGTATTTATTTGAAATTTTGCTTTTTATTATATTACTACCACAATCTATTACGTTTTCACTTAGTGGACATTTTAAAAATGTAGCTGGCCGGGCGCGGTGGCTCACGCCTGTAATCCCAGCACTTTGGGAAGCCGAGCCAGGGGGATCACTTGAGGTCAGGAGATCGAGACCAGCCTGGCCAATAAGGTGAAACCCTGTCTCTACTAAAAATACAAAAACTAGCCGAGCGTGGTGGCGGGCTCCTGTAATCCCAGCTACTTGGGAGGCTGAGGCAGGAGAATCGCTTGAACCTGGGAGGTAGAGATGGCAGTGAGCCAAGATCGTGCCATTGCACTCCAGCCGGGAGCAATTGAGACGGAGCAAGACTTCGTCTCAAAAAATAATAATAAAAATAAAAATAAATAAAAAAATAAATAAAAATGACAAAAAATAAATAAAAATAAAAATGTAGCTATAAATGTTTTTAAAAAGTGATACACAAGACCTTTACGGGCATGTGAGTCACTACAGAGCCTCATGCTTTTCATTGTTACTGAACAAATCTCTAAATTATGACTTTCATTATGAACTCTCATTTATACTCGTCAAAATTTGGTGATATTTTTGTGGATAAATTATTGGATATGTTCTTGTTTGTAATTTATTAGAGGTTTTATATATATATATATATATATATATATATATATATATATATATACACACACACACATACATCACAATCTATTCTACCTGTTTGTTAACTTTCTTTTCATATTTGAATTTTTATCCTATAATTGGAACAAATTTGGAACAATCAGAAAATAACTTTAATCTTTCCCCCTTCTACTAATCACATCCACTCTATGGGTTGTAGTATTTCCTCATCCTTTGGTTTCCTGTGATCATTCTATGACTGTACTTTCATTATTCTATGATAATCCTGGCTACACTGAGAAAAATTTTTGAATTTTCTAAAATTTTTTTCTAGTCACTTCTACACACAAAATAATCTAAATCATGGAATGCAAATGACTATTCTTTTTTTTTTTTTTTTTTTTTTCTGAGACGGAGTCTTGCTCTGCCGCCCGGGCTGGAGTGCAGTGGCGCGATCTCAGCTCACTGCAAGCTCCGCCTCCCGGGTTCACGCCATTCTCCTGCCTCAGTTTCCCGAGTATCTGGGACTACAGGCGCCCGCCACCACACCCGGCCAATTTTTTGTATTTTTAGTAGAGACGGGGTTTCACTGTGTTAGCCAGGATGGTCTCGATCTCCTGACCTCGTGATCCGCCCACCTCGGTCTCCCAAAGTGCTGGGATTACAGGCGTGAGCCACTGCGCCCGGCGCCAATGACCATTCTTGGAAGTTCTAGATCCACTGTGGCAGAGTAAGCTCCTTAAAAACACAGCTAACACATCTGGAAAAAATTACAAAATTGACCAATTGAGGATATGCAAAAATAAACAAAAACAGGTGTACTGTCGAATAACAAAATTTGAAGAAATGACTTGATGAGGAGGATTTCCTGTTTTGTTTCACGATGTTTTTGTTTGTTTGTTTTTAAGTGGAATCTCACTGTCACCCAGGCTGGGGTGTAATGGCGCCATCTCGGCTCACTGCAACCTCCGCCTCCCGGGTTTAAGCGATTCTCCTGCCTCAGCCTCCTGAGTAGCTGGGATTATAGGCGCCCGCTACCACGTCCAGCTAATTTTTGAATTTTTAATAGGGACGGGGTTTCACCATGTCGGCCAGGCTGGTCTCAAACTCCTGACCTCAGGTGATCCACCCACCTCAGCCTCCCAAAGTGCTGGGATTACAGGCATGATCCACTGCGCCCGGCCTCACGATGCCCTGAATTTCCAAATTCAGGGCAAAGCCTCATCTCATGGCTTTGCCCTGAATTTGAGGACCCTTCCCAGAACTGTGTAGGGGCACTGGAGGCTAAAACTCAGATAGAAACCTGACAACTTCCTAGCCAGAGGAAACAGAGAAAGGAGTTTTCCTGAGCCAGAGACTGGGAGGAGAATGCCAAAAGGAAGATTTTTTTTTTTTCACGACAATTTGATTTGTAATTGTGTTATTTTAAAGAGGAATTTCACATACTTTGAGATGTGGAAGCTTGAAATTTGAGTAACATACTTATTTTGAAGTTTCCTGTGTACGTCTGCTGGGACCTTATTTATTTCATTCATGCAATAGTTATGCTCAATTCTCAGCTTGAGATTTCTGTAACTATGTGCATACCACACATTTAGACTTCACTCTCACATATGTTAGAGGTTGTGTGCCACTGGTGATGATGATTCTTTTTCCATCCAAGGTTACCCCCCACTTTCTCTGTCTCTCTTTTCCTCTCTCCCCCTTCTCAAATATTTTGCTTTCCTCCATTCTCTCTTTCCCTGATTCCAAGCTTTATTTATTTTATGTGATAATTTAGTACCTACTTCTTTAATGCATGTGTTATCTCTCCTAGTGGGAAATAAATGATTTGTGTTTTTATTGTTGAGTTGTAATCATTCTTTATATATTCTGGATACAAGTTCCTTATTTGATATAGGATTTACAAATATCTTTGCCTTTTCTGTGGACTGTCTTTTCCTTTTTTTGATGGTATCGTCTGAAGCATAAATGTTTACAATTTGGTGTAGCTCAATTTATCTTGTTTTAAAAAAACTCATTTGCACTTTGGAGTCATTTCTAAGAAGTCATTACCTAATACAGGGTCACAAAAATTTACTCCTATGTTTTCTTCAAAGAATTTTAGCTTTTACATCTAGGTATATGATCCATTTTAAGTTCATTTTTGTATATTGTGTGAGATAAGGGTCTAACTTCATTCTTTCACAAATAGATGTCCTGTCGTCCCAGCACACTATTTGTTGAAAAGACTGTTTTCTCTCCCTATTGAACTGTCTTGGCACCCTTGTAAAAAAAGTGATTCTGCATGAATGTATGGCTCAATATTTCTGAACTTTGTTTCTGAACTTTAAATTATATTCCATTGGTCCATATATTTGTCTTTATGTCAGTACCACATAGTGTCAACTACTGTAGCTTTGTAGTAAGTTTTGAAACCAGAAAGCATAAATATCTACTTTTATTCTTCAATATTCAAGATTGTTTTGACTATTCTGGGTCCACTGCATTTCCTTATGAGATGAGAGGTTAGTGCCTTTTCAGGCCTTTCCTGAACAGATGAACAACTCTGCTCATTAATGTGGCCTTCTAGAGTCTAAAGAACATGGCATAGATTTTGAAAGGACCGCAAGGACATCTCTTTCCTCAGTTTTTTCTTTCAATGTTTTCAGTCAGCCCCTTGTTAGCCCGAGCTAGCAGCACCACCTCAGGCTGCTGCAATGTTAAAATCTTGCTACTGATTGTTTCTGAAAAATTGGCTGGAAATAGGGCTGCTCACTCAGAGTGAGTTCTGAACCAGGTCAAATAAGGAAAAGCTCTAGAATGAAGCTTTTCAGTGAGCTGCCTGAGAGGTCAAATAGCGACATTTCCTTCTCTGTGGGCGAGGCTTTTGGGAAGCTTCAAATCTGTTCTTCCACCTCCAGTGGCTGCTTGGCTGCTGGATTCACAGCCATGCTGTTTATTTTCAAGGCTGCTATGGAGCTGGGGAGAGGATATGGAATTAGGGCAAGTTAAAATGTCACAAAGCTCGATGTTATTACCGAGATCCAGCTGTTTTTCTAAATAACACTCTTTGGATTGTTTCAAGTCTTTGGTTAATTTTCAGAGTTCCGAAGAAGTTTATTTTGTTAGTGCTTTCATTGCTTTTATGGAGAAGCAGATTTCCTAAGGTCTTCATTCCATCATTTCAGAAAAGCTTCTATCCCTGGTAATAGAACTTAAAATCCTCATACCCAGGTAGCTGGGTCTATATTTAATCTCGATTCCTTATGGGCTCTTTCCCATAGAAATTAGCATTTCTACTTGCTAATCTTATACCTGTGCATTTGGACATTTTCTTTTTATTGTTATTATACTTTAAGTTCTGGGATACATGTGCAGAACATGCAGGTTTGTTACATAGGTATACACATGCCACAGTGTTTTGCTACACACAGCAACCCATCGTCTTCATCAGGTATTTCTCCTAATGCTATCTCTCCCCTAGGACCCCCAACACCCAACAGGCCCCAGTGTGTGATGTTCCCTCCCTGTGCCCATGTGTTTTCACTGTTCAACTTCCACTTTTGAGTGAGAAGATGCAGTGTTTGCGCTTCTGTTCCTGTGTTAGTTTGCTGAGAATTATGGTGTCCAGCTTCATGTCCCTGAAAAGGACAAGAACTCATCCTTTTTTATGGCTGCATAGTATTCCATGGTGCATATGTGCCACATTTTCTTTATCCAGTCTATCCTTGATGGGCATTTGGGTTGGTTCCAAGTCTTTGCTATTGTGAATAGTGCTGCAATAAACATTAAGTGTGCATGTGTCTTTACAGTAGAATGATTTATAATCCTTTGGGTGTATACCCAGTAATGGGCTTGCTGGGTCAAATGGTATTTCTGGTTCTAGATCCTTGAGGAATTGCCACACTGTCTTCCACAATGGTTGAACTAACTTACACTAACCAACAGTGTAAAAGCATTCTTATTTCTCCACATCCTCTACAGCATCTGTTGTTTCCTGACTTTTTAATGATCACCATTCTAACTGGCATGAGATGGTATCTCATTGTGGTTTTGATTTGCATTTCTCTAACGACCAGTGATGATGAGCTTTTGTTCATATGTTTGTTGGCCACATAAATGTCTTCTTTTCAGAAGTGTCTGTTCATATCATTTGCCCACTTTTTGATGGGATTGTTTGTTTTTTTCTTGTAAATTTGTTTAAGTTCCTTGTAGATTCTGGATATTAGCCCTTTGTCAGATGGGTAGATTGCAAAAATTTTCTCCCATTCTCTAGGTTGCGTGTTCACTCTGATGATAGTTTCCTTTGCTGTGCAGAAGCTCTTTAGTTTAATTAGATCCCATTTATTTTGGCTTTTGTTGTCATTGCTCTTGGTGGTTTAGTCATGAAGTCTTTGCCCATGCCTATGTCCTGAATGTATTGCCTAGGTTTTCTTCTAGGGTTTTTATGGTTTTAGGTCTTACGTTTAAGTCTTTAATCCATCTTGAGTTAATTTTTGTATAAGGTGTAACGAAGGGGTCCAGTTTCAGTTTTCTGCATATGGCTAGCCAGTTTTCCCAACACCATTTATTAAATAGGGAATTATCTCTCCATTGCTTGTTTTTGTCAGGTTTTTTAAAGATCAAATGGTTGTTGATGTGTGGTGTTATTTCTGAGGCCTTTGTTCTGTTCCATTGGTCTATATATCTGTTTTGGTATCAGTATCATGTTCTTTTGGTTATGCTCTTTTGGTTACTCTAGCCTTGTTTTATAGTTTGAAGTCAGGTAGTGTGCTGCCTCCAGCTTTGTTTTTTTTGCTTAGGATGAAGGGATCAACATAACAAGAAGAGCTAACTATCCTAAATACATATGCATCCAATACAGGAGCACCAGATTCATAAAGCAAGTCCTTAGAGACCTATAAAGAGACTTAGACTCCCACACAATAATAGTGGGAGACTTTAACACCCCACTGTCAATATTAGACAGATTAATGAGACAGAAAATTAACAAGGATATTCAAGACTTGAACTCAGCTCTGGACCTAGCAGACCTAATAGACATCCACAGAGCTCTACACCATAAATCAACAGAATATACATTCTTCTCAGCATCACATTGCACTTATTCTAAAATTGACCACATAATTGGAAGTAAAACACTCCTCAGCAAATGCAAAAGAACAGAAATCATAACAAACAGTCTCCCAGACTACAGTGCAATCAAACTAGAACTCAGGATTGAGAAACTCACTCACAACAGCACAACTACATGGAAACTGAACAACTTGCTCCTGAATGACTACTGGGTAAATAACGAAATGAAAGCAGAAGTAAATAAGTTCTTTGAAACCAATGAGAACAAAGACACAACATACCAGAATCTCTGGGACACAGCTAAAGCAGTGTTTAGATGGAAATTTACAGCACTAAATTCCCACAGGAGAAAGCAGGAAAGATCTAAAATCGACACCCTAACATCACAATTAAAAGAATTAGAGAAGCAAAAGCAAACAAATTCAAAAGTTAGCAGGAGATTTCCTTTTGTTTGTGTCAAGGTGAAAAATATTTTTTAATGTGTACATCTCTGTATTTGAGATGGAACTGGATACATTTTTACATAACATGTATCCACAATTTTAAATAAAATAGTGAAAACACTTTTTTAAGTGATGGTAAGAATTTGGTAAAGTGAGATGAGTTAAAGATCAAGAAAAAAATGTAATGTTTACAAAGTAATGGGAAGAGATGGGATCTGTAGTAAAGGTGATAGCATAACTCTTAATCACGTAAAAGGCCAACTCTTCTAAAATAGAGAGAAATAAGAATACAAATGGTAGAATACCAGAAAGTCAAATGTTGGTGGGAGGAGCAGTTAAGTAAATTTTTGTCTTATGTCATATTTTCTATGTGAATAAAAGGCAGACTTTTTTTTTCTCAGAAAAACGTTAAAAATGATAAAATATGTTCTTGGCAAAATGGATACGTGTTAAAAGAACAAATGTGGAAGATGGAGGGAGAGACCTAAGGATTCAGAGAATAATTTCTGTCATCTTTGGGAACTTGGTATAGTAGAGATCATAAATCGGTAGTAGCAATAATGTGCAGCACTGTGTGATTTAATATAACACTGGAGTTCCAGTAACTGCAGCTACAGCCCTGTGGAATCATTTTCATTTTCATAAATACATCATGTTCTTTCATTCCTTCATTCCTCGTTCAATACCACTCTGCAGTTCTTCATAATATAGGGCATCTTATCTCACTTATTCTCTCATGTGCATCTCTCCAAGGGAAACATGTGACTTATCTGATTAATGAATTGAATAAAGAGTCACGGCTTATGCATGGCACAACTTTGTTCTATCTATGTCTCAGATCACCTTTCATGCACATAACCCTACTCTGAGCAGGTACGCTCATGGGGAGACATCTTCCCTGACTTCTGTGGAAGAAACAGTTCTCTGACTGTGATGGGTTTGGATATATCAGTTCATTTAGTATAGCTTGATAGTTAAAAATTCCATTTTTATATCTGATGCAGGTTTTATTATCTAAAAAATCTATTCATTTGAATCTTTACATTATGAATAAAGTTGATTCATTTCTATTTATTTTATATGCTACTATCATCCTCAAATGCTAGAGACTTCTTTAATAGAAATTCTAACATCATTGATCATCTCTGTAGCTTGTCTGTTGTTGTAAGCTACATTTTAACCACCTGGAGTGCAACAAATATAATGGTCACTATTGAATACCTAGTACTTAACCAAGTGAGAAGACATAGTAGGTTCACTGTAATTGTTGATTGGAGAAGAGGGCAATTTCCTTATGACAAAAGAAAGAGAATGTAGACATTTTGGAGACAGACCTCCCACTTTGTAATTTTTTAAAAAATAGATTATCTGTAAGAAACTGCTGAACAAAGCAGTATACTTTGAAAACAAGCTTAAAGAAAAAAGACAAATACAGCACGAATAATAGATAGATATAATTTCTTTCCATGACTCTACAGAAAACATAAATGTCAGAGTCTGAAGAGCCCTTAAAAATTCCAGTTTTTTTTTTTTTTTTTTTTTTTTTTTTTTTTTTGAGACGGAGTCTTGCTCTGTCGCCCAGGCTGGAGTGCAATGGTGTTGCCTCGGCTCACTGCAACCTCTTCCTCCTGGGTTCAAGCGATTCTCCTCCTGCCTCAGCGTCCCGGGTAGCTGGGATTACAGGCACCCGCCACCATGCCTGGCTAATTTTTGTATTTTTAGTAGACATGGGGTTTCACCATGTTGGCCAGGATGGGTCTCAATCTCTTGACCTCGTGATCCGCCCGCCTTGGCCTCCCAAAGTGCTGAGATTACAGGCGTTAGCCACCACACCGGGCCTTCAGTTTTAAAAATAAGTAAGGAATAACTACATACTTCTATGCTGTGATCTCTAGGATATATTGAAAGTGAATAAACAAAGGTGGAGAAAATTTGTATAATACGCTAATGTTTATGTAAGAAGTCAGAAATATGAATATACATAAGCATAGGCTTTTAGTAACAATATATGTAATAAGTACTTAGAAGGTAAACATGTAATAATTAGCCTCCAATTATAACTTATAAAGGTGAAATTTTCCTTACCTTTTATAATAGATATATCCTTTGGGCATTTTTTTCAAGTTCATACCTTCCTTTAAAAAACACTTGAAAACATCACCTTTTCTGATCACTTTATTATCTGCAATGAATGTGTGATGTTCTCTTCAAAGAATGCAGGTGTTTGCATGTGAGATACGATACTTGTGTTACTAGGGTGACAGTCTGCTTCTTGGTAATGGAAAATGTAATTTTAGAGCAAAAAGATGTGCATATAGACCAGCTACAAAGTCTATTTGAAAAATAAAATGGCTTGTTCCAATATTGAATGAAACACAGGCAAACCAGGAAATGTGAACTCTCAGACTCACATTTTTTCAGCTAATCTCTACCTCTGAGGGAGCTTCTCCTACCTCCTTACCCATGTTCCTAATATTCTCTTGCATTTTCCTTCATTCCTCAATTAAGCTTCCTCCTTTATTTGCTTAAGGTGTGAATAATTGTTTGCAGCTTCTAAAGTGTAACACTTCCTTAAAAATAATTCACTTTTATTCTAAAAAGGTAAAAGAGAACTTCACCCCTTTCCATTCTAGGACTTTCCATGAGACACTGACGTGACAGTACTTAAATGCTCTTTCCTCAAGCCAGACACTTAATTCATTGGCCTCATGATATTATTACATGAATGTAACTATCTCAAAATCATTCATTCTGAGTTGGGATTATAAATTCTGAAATCCAGAAAATAATTCCCAGAGACACATAAAAATTAAGTCAAAAATTAAATCAACTGTCTTAGTATTTTATATTTATTATTAATGACTTATCTAACTAAGGGCAAACAGTACTCCCAAAATTCAGTTCTATCTCTTTAAAGTGAGATAGAACAATAAGATTCCATCTGAGAGCCAAATCAAGAACACAATCCCATTTAAAATAGCCACATACAAAAAATAAAATGCCTATAAATACATCGAATCAAGGAGGTGAAAGTTCTCTTCAAGGAAAACTACAGAACATTGTTGAAAGAAGTCATAGATGACACAAACAAATGGGAAAACATTCTAAGCTCATTGATTGGAAGAATGAATATTGTTAAAATGGTCATACTGCTCAATCTACAAGTTCAATGCTATTCCTATCAAACTACTGTCATTTTTCACAGAACTAGAAAAAAAAACTGTTCTAAAATTCATGTGGAACCAAAAAAGAGCCCAATTAGCCAAAGCAATCCTAAGCAAAAAGAAGAAAGCTGGGGGCATCACATTAACCAACTTCAAAATATACTACAATGCTACAGTAACTAAAACAGCATAGTACTGGCACAAACACAGTTACATAGACCAATGGAACAGGTTTGAGAGCTGAGAAATAAAGTAACACACCTACAGCCATCTGGTCTTCAACAAAGTTGACAAAAATAAGTAGTGCAGAAAGGATTCCCTATTCAATAAATGGTGCTGGGATAGCTGACTAGCTGTGTGCAGAAGAATTAAACTGTACTATTACATTTCACCATATAGAAAAACCAAATCAAGATGGATTGAAGATTTACATGTAAGGTCACAAACTATAACAATCTTAGAAGAAAACTAGGAAACACCATTGTCCTTTGCAGCAACATGGATGGACCTGGGTGTCATTATCCTAAGCAAACTAACACAGGAAAAGAAAATCAAATGCTTCTTGCTCTCTCTTATAAGTGGGAGCTAAATTTTGAGTGCACATGGACAAAAAGAAGGGAACAGTAGACACTGGGACCTACTTGAGAGTGGAGGGTGGGAGGAGGGTGAGGATCAAAAAACTGTATCAGGTACTATGTTTATTACCTGGGTAATGAAATAATCATGGCACCAAACCCCCATGACATGTATTTTAACTATATTACAAACCTGCACATGTAATACTGAAACTGGAATAAAAGTTAAAAAAAAGAAAGAAAAGAAAGCCAGATAAACTCACTGGCTTTACCACTAATGTTGGATATTCTGTATTTGACACATTTCATGTCCTATTGTAAATACATATTTTCTTTAGCATCATCATTGCAAAAGGAATCGGCATTCTCATTCCTGACTGTTGAGGAATGATTATGATATAATAAAGTTTGACTGTATAACTAGTGGGCATAAAACCATATTGTTTCTCCTGCTGAGCTCTTACAAACAGCCAATTTAATTGCATAAATCAAAATTGGCAAAAATTTAAAAATGTTAAAAGTGTTTATCAAATGACTGCTAAGTTACCTGTTTTGCTATCTGCCAGGAGGTCTAGATGAAAGATTTGATTTCTTGTCAAGGAAAAGTGCTATGCTTCCACTGATTATAAAGTCTTTTGTAGATAATAGACATTAATTTTTAAAATCAGATAAAGACATATGATTAGAAAATGTGATTTAAAAAAAACTATGAAGAAAAACTACAAGGAGCTTAGATAATGTATAACAGAGTTTCTACTCCAATGTAAAGATAAATTTGAGAAAATTTTCCCTGAGGAAAGTGTATGTGAAATGAGACCAGAAGCATATAAGAGTAAAGTAGATGAAGAGCAGAGCAAAGACACCAAACTTGTAAGTGGGAAGAATGGCATGCATGGAAAACGGGGGATGGTAAAGGACTTGGTGTCCACAGGAGTGAGAAGAGGGCTTATTGGCTGGAACTAGGGGTGGAGGCTAGGTCTTGCAAGGCCTTTAGGCAAGATGAGGAATTTGGATTATATTCCATTCTATGCCGACTGTAATTAGGAATAGATAGAAAAGGTGGGAAATGTTTCAGGCAAAGGGATTGGCCTGTACAAAGGTCCAGGGTCACCACAAAGCATGACCTGGATGTGAAACTGCACAGTGCACAAAATTGGAGGGACAGGAGTTAAATGGGAAAAGATGAAGCTAGGTGGTAAGAGAAAGCCGGATCATGTAGAGCTTTTAGTCCATGTTAAAGAGTCAGAGTTTTAACTCGTAGACAATGGAAAGACTAGAGAATTTCAGCATGATCTGTCATGTTAATGTCATCATATCTCATGCATTTTAGATGTTACCTGATGCAGTGTGCACTGCACATTACAGAAGGAAGAGAGCTGAGGTAAGTGGGCTGAACAAGTTAGTAAGATAATGCAGGAATCTAGGTACGTTTTTTAAAGACACAATATTTACTGAGCATTGTTACACGAAATATAGAAACACCGAAGGATTGCCTTTTAATGGGTACATAACATTCATTAAAATACTATATTTGAAATGAAACCAAAAGTTGGTTTTTTGAAAAGATAAACAAATTTAACAAAACTTTAGCTAGACTAAGAAAAAAAGAGAAGATTTAATGAAATTGTAATAGAAAGAATAGACACTACAATTGATATCACAGAAACACAAAGGTTTATAAGAGATTACTATCAAAAATTATAAGCCAACAGGTTGGACAACATAGAAGAAATGGATAAATTCTTAGAAATACATAACAAGACTATAAGATCACAAACTATAGGAATCCAGGAAGAAAATCTATGAAACACCATTGTTCTTAGCAACAACACTGATGGTACTGGAGGTCATTATCCTAAGCAAAGTAATGCAGGAACAGAAAACCAAATAGAAAATCTGTACCCCTCCCATCCTTTCCATGGGAGCCCCCTAAGTCCCTTGTATCATTCTTAGGTTTTCGAATTCTAAAGTAACCGAATTCAATTTCTGCGTTGAAATTTTGCTGCATTGAGTCATCAGAACTTTCTCAAACTAACATCACACCTTTTAAATTATTTGATCTTTTAAATATATTTTAAAATTAGGTAGGACAAATCACATTTTAATGCTTTTTATTCAAAAAAGACATTTTTGTAAAGAGTAAATTACCAAATACTAAAACAGAAAATAACTGGGAAAGAGATCAAGTGCATATTATGTAAATGAAAATTTGAGTGAGATGAGTGAGAGAACTTAAATTATCTAAGAAAGTGGATGTGATTACCACATTGTGTGACCTTATAATCAAATTTCTCCATCTCCTACCTCATTTTATTTATTTTTTAAATAATTACAACTTTTATTTTATATTCAGGGGGTACCTGTGCAGGTTTTCTACATGAGCATATTGTGTGATGCTGAGGTTTGGTATATAAATGATTCCATCACCCAGGTAGTGAGAATAGTATCCAATAGATAGTTTTTCAACCCTTGCTCCCCAATCCTTCACCCCTCTAGTAGTTCCCAGTGTCTATTGTTGTCATCTTTACGTCCATGAGTACCCAATGTTTAGCTTCCGCTTATGAGTGAGAACATGTGACATTTGTTTTTCTGTCCCTGTGTTAATTCGCTTAGGATAATGGCCTCCAGCTCCATCCGTATTGCTGCATAGGACAAGATTTTGTTCTCTTTTATGACTGCATAGTATTTTATGGTGTATATGTACCACATTTTCTTTATCCAGTCTGCTGCAGATGGGCATCTAGGCTGATTCCATGTCTTTGTTAGTGTGAACAGCACAGCAATAAACATGCACATGTATGCGTCTTTATGATAAAATGGTATCTATTCCTTTATATACCCGATAATGGGATTGTTGGGTCAAATGGTAGTTCTGTTTTAAGTTCTTTGAGAAATCACCAAATTGCTTTCCACAGTGGCTGGACTAATTTACATTCCCACCAGCAGTGTATAAGGGTTCCCTTTCCTGTGCAACCTCGCCAGCATCTGTTATTTTTTGACCTTTTAATAATAGCCATTCTCATTGGTGTGACATGATATCTCATAGTGGTTTTAATTTACATTTTTCTGATGATTAGTGATGTTGAGCATTTTTTATATGCTTGCTGGTCACATGTATGTCTTCTTTTGAAACGCGACTGTTCATGTCCTTTGCCCACTTTTTAATGGGGCTGTTAGATTTTGCTTGTTAATTTACTTAAGTTCCTTATAGGTTCTGGTTATTAGCCCTTTGACGGATGCATAGTTTGCAAATATTTTCCCCCGTTCTGTGGATTACCTGTTTACTCTGTTGATAGTTTCTTTTGCTGCACAGACGCTCATAAGTTTAATTAGATTTGACAATTTTCGCTTGTGTTGCCATTGTTTTTGGCTTCTTTGTCATGAAATCTTTACCAGGGCCTATGTCCAGAATGGTATTGCCTGGGTTTTCTTTGAGGGTTTTTATAGTTTGGGGATTTACATTTAGGTATTTAATCTATCTTGAGTTGATATTTGTATATGGTATAAATAGGGGTCCAGTTTCAGTCTTCTGCATGTGGCTAGCCAGTTATCCCAGCACCATTTATTGAATAGGGAATCCTTTTGCCTTTGCTTGTTTTTGTTAATTTTGTCAAAGATCAGGTGGTTGTCAAAGATCAGCTTTATTTCTGGGCTCTCTATTCTGTTCCATTGGACTATGTGTTTGTTTTCATACCAGTACCACGCTATTTTAATTACTGTAGACTTCTAGTATAGTTTCAGGTTGGGTAATGTGATGCCTCCAGCTTTGTTCTTTTTGCTTAGGATTGCTTTGACTAAGCAAAGATTAGCTTTGGCTAATAGGTCTCTTTTTTGGTTCCATATGAATTTTAGAATAATGTTTTTTATAATTCTGTGAAGAATGTCATTGGTAGTTTTTCAGTGAGCTGTATTAATAACTTGCAGTTAAGGAAATAATCACCTAATGAGAAAAAAGTTCCTGTACTTTTTATCTTCTTATCACAAAAATATACAGTAGGTCAATATGCCCCAAAATTTGCACACTTGTTTTAAACAGAAACTCAGTGACAGATTAAATGAGCAATACATTTCAGCACCTTGACTGGCTCAGTATTTAGCACATCATTGGAATTCAGTTCTCATCACTTATCTTGAATCATCTTCTCTCACACAATGTAAAATGACGAAGATTTAAATAAAATAGTCCCTCTTTTCATTGTAATTGGATATAAAGTGTTGTTGGTAAGGGATTTAAGAAAGAATAATAAAAAGCATTCAGTATTTGCTTCTTTGAAAAAGCAAAAATCATGTTCAGAAAGTGATGAAAATTAGAATTTTGGTCTCCAGAGCAACTGAATACAATTTTAGCAAACAATCTTTATATGGATATCAGTTTCTGCTGTACTTTAAGGGTGATCAAATCTGTGGTCTTTTTATTGCCTACATGTAATTGTTCTCTGCTCAAGGATGTGTTGGTATATGCACAGAGCCTTACGTTTCTTTTATACAAGTGCATGTTTTCCTTTGCAATATTTTAATGGAAGTTTTGCATATTTGAATGTGAAACAAACACATTCTCCATGTAAAATGCAAACAACTATTTCATTTTCAAGGAGAGAATGGCTCTCCCTAGTATCAGTGTTGCTGAAGAGTACATCTTTTTAATTTCATACAACACAATTTGCATATTGATGTAAATCTTATAAAATATTTTGACATTTTGTATCTTTTTGGATCTTCAAAACATCCTCAAGGATTGTTACACAGGGTATATATTTCTGTTTGACTGATGAAGAATCTGAAGCCCAGAGAGACCTGATTTGCAAAAGGTTGTTCTTACAGTATTGAACATAAGGTTGAGCTGTAGTCTTATTTTCTGCTCCTGCATGGAATCTAGCATGATATATATCTTGAATTGTATTACAAATTATAAGTATGTGCATATATATTTCAAATAGCACAGACTCTCTTCCCTAAAAAGTGTGGGTCTGAGTGTGCCATATTTCAAATAGAACAAACCCTCACTTTTAAAGAGTGTGGGTCTTGGCCGGGCATGCAGGCTCACGCCTGTAATCCCAGCACTTGGGGAGGCTGAGGGGGGTGGATCACCTGAGGTTAGGAGTTTGAGACCAGCCTGGCCAACATGGTGAAATCTCATCTCTACTAAAAATATAAAAATTAGCCAGGCATGCTGGCAGGAGCCTATAATCCCAGCTACTCAGGAGGCTGGGGCAGGAGAATTGTTTGAAACCTGGAGGCAGAGGTTGCAATGAGCAGACATCACACCATTGCTCTCCAGCCTGGGCAACAGAATGAGCCTCCATCTCAAAAAAAAAAAAACAATAAAAATAAAAATAAAAATAAGTCCAGACGTGGTGGCTCATGCCTGTAATCCCAGCACTTTGGGAGGCCAAGGCAGGCGGATCACCTGAGGTTGGGAGTTCAAGACCAGCCTGAGCAACATGGAGAAACCCCATCTCTCCTAAAAATACAAAAATTAGCCGGGCATGGTGGCACACGCCTGTAATCCCAGCTACCTGGGAGGCTGAGGCAGTAGAATCGCTTGAACCTGGGAGGTAGAGCTTGCAGTGAGCCAAGATTGCGCCATTGCACTCCAGTCTGGGCAACAGAGCAAGACTCTGTCTCAAAATAAATAAATAAATAAACAAATAAATAAAAATAAAAGAGTGTGGGGCTTTAAAAATCTTGCTTTCAATTGAATCTTGCTCTCTACTGAAATATAAGCAGGGAAATGGTGGTTTTGTGGTTAGAACACTTCTCTTCTTTATACCTTTTTAAAAAGCGAAATGTTTATTTCTCATTCCACTGACAGGTTTCATCTGTGCTTTACTCTAGTCTGTGGATGTGTTTTATCTCTGACCTTAGAGTTTTTGTATTCTGAGATCTATACAAAAAGTGCATCTCCCATGTGGGCCCTGTACATTCTTATGACCAAAGACTGAGGGGCAAGAGAGCAGGTAGGAACTTGAAATGCCTTTAAGAGCTTTGATTATCTGTGGAATACACCATGTTTACTAGTAATCTTAACCAAAGCATGTTACGAGGCTATACTTCATGTCAGTGTATGGTAGATGTAAATTCCTCCCATAGGCCAGGCACAGTGGCTCATGCCTGTAATCCCAGCACTTTGGGAGGCCAAGGCAGGCGGATCACCTGAGGTCAGGAGTTTGAGACAAGCTTGGCCAACATGGTGAAACCCCGTCTCTATTGAATATACAAAAATTAGCCAGGTGCAGTGGCAGGCACCTGTAATTCCAGCTACCTGGGAGGCTGAGGCAGGAGAATCACTTCAGCCTGGGAGGCGGAGGTTGCAGTGAGCCGAGATCTTGCCACTGCACTCCAGCCTGGGCGACAGAGCCAGATTCCGTTTCAAAAAAAAAAAAGTTCCTCCCATAGGTGCCATTAACAAGTAACACAGCGATTAATGAGCAAGTATAAACCTCTCACAGAGAAGGAGAAGTTAATAGTTGTGAAAAATAATGTGACCTACCAAAGACTTCTCTCTTGATCACAAGTATTTCCATCTCTCTTCTGTGCATAAAATATTCTATTTCTTTCCCCAATGAATATACTGCAAAATTTTACCAATACCCCAAATCCCATTACAGCTCCTCTTAATCAGAGACCTATGTGCTAAAAAGACAAATTTTGCATCCCCACACACACTAATATACAGACCGTTTTGACATGTGGAAAATGGGAAGCATCAAGAATAACTTGACTATAAAAGTTCTTAATTTCTTTTGGGCAAATATTAGGCAATTTCTTACCCTAAAGATTGGTAATGTGTATTGATGGAACCCAAGTTCCACTTCCCATAACAGGCTCCAATTCATTATTCTCTATGAATCTTTATTTAATCTTCTGAGTGTACCTTTCTTTTCCATTATCCTTTTCTGAATTTGAAGAGAGCAGTGCAGAACATGGCTTCCTTGGGAACTGAGAAGTTTCCTCAGCCTCCTTTACTCCTATAGATATTTGGGAAACCAATAATTGTTTCACATTCAAACAGTCACAATCTCTTTTAATTTAGGATACCCCTGCATGTGTATATTATATATTTTATATAAACTATAAAATATTTTTATGTAGGTATACATTGAAATACAATATGTAAGTGTGTAACAATATATATTTAATGCAGTCAACTACATTTGTTATTATCTTCCCCTACAATACTTTTTAAATTCTGCATTTCTCTATACTGAAGAGAGCACTTTTAATCTCTTCTTCTTGAGCCTTTGGGTCCAACTAAAAAGATTCACTGGGGTCAATGTTAATTCATGCAGACATTTTAACAAAATAAACCAGAGCCACATCCTTAATTCTGGTTTATGCCTTGAGACTGAGTGTGATTCTTTGTGTAGTTTCTCAGTTTTTTCTTTTACATATTGGACAGGAGGAGTTGCAGCTCTCAGCCCTGAAAGTTTGAGAATTTCTGGATTCTTTACTTTTCCTTATTGCCCTGCTTGCTTGTGGGTCAAGCACATACAGTGGTACTTGTCTTGTAGTACTTGCTTGATGTGACTAATAAACAAAAACTCAGAAAATGTTGCTTCTCAAAATCTATCCCTTAGATCTCACAAGTTTATTAGGTACATTGCTTGCCTTTCAGGTTCTTAAAACCTTTGGTATTTTAAGGTTTACACATTTAACCAAATGTTTACCAATGCATGATATCTAGTGCCATTTTTCCATTCTCCAATAAAATGTCATCACTGGCATGTTACACATTTCTAATGATATAGCTTAGGTATTTTGTTAGGGCAGCATCTATTTCTGATACTACTTTTTGCATAGCAATTAGTTTTGCTGTATAAAAAATAGCACTAAAACTTCAGTAGTTCACAGTAATTAACTTTCTTATTCATGTTACATGTAGGCTGACTCTGGTTGCTATGGTTTTATTTATTGCTGCTCCATATGAGTTTTCCTACTGGAAAATAGTCTTTAGGAGCAGCATCTATATAGAACGTACTCATTCTCATGTCAGAGAGGAAGAGGAAGAGGTATGATAGCATTTTTAAGCAGAAATGAATTTCTCAGTTCTATGATTTGGATATGTCTCCCAGAATGTTGGAAATGTACACATATGTTGGATACTTAATACCCTGTGTAACAGTGTTAAAAGGTGGAGTCTTTAAAAGATGATTAGGCTCTTCTCTCTTAAAGGGATTAATGCTGTTATTGCTGGAGGGAGTTTGTTATTGCAAATGTGGGCTTCTGATAAAAGGATATGTTTGGCCCCATTTCTTTCTGTCTTGCACACTTACTCTTCTTGTGATGCCTTCCTCCATTACATGACCTTCCATGTCATGCTCCTGCACTTTCCAGCCTCAAGAACTGTGAGAAATAATTTATTTTCTTTATAAATTACCCGGTCTGTGGTATTCTGTTATAACAGCAGAAAATAGAGTAAGACAGTTTCCAGGATAGGGTGCCAGGTTTGTTTTGTTGGCAATCTTGTTTTGCTGTAAAAGAAGTCCTTGTGGCATTACTCTGAGTGTTCTTCTGCTGAGAGAAGCTCTACAATAGTGCCTATGTGCTTTGTTTTGCTGATATTCATCAAATCTTAGATTTGTCGGAGTTAGTAGATCTGCAGAGATTAAGTAGGCAACATTATTATTATACAAATGAGTACATCAAAGGGTAAAGAGGTAAAGGGCTTTCAAAGAGTAAGAGTAATGCCATGAATTAGTATCTAAACAAGGGATAGAATTTGGCTCCTCTCACTATTAGTATAGAGTTTTGTCTCCTATTCCACCTTATGCTTCTTCAGAAGAAATATAAACTTATTTAGTGAAACTATTGTTTTTTTCTTCTCTTTCTTTTTTTTAATTTTATTTTATTATTATTACACTTTAAGTTTTAGGGTACATGTGCACAATGTGCAGGTTTGTTACATATGTATACATGTGCCATGTTGGTGTGCTGCACCCATTAACTCGTCATTTAGCATTAGGTATATCTCCTAATGCTGTCCCTCCCCACTCCCCCCACCCCACAACAGTCCACAGAGTGTGATGTTCCCCTTCCTGTGTCCATGTGTTCTCATCGTTCAATTCCCACCTATGAGTGAGAACATGCGGTGTTTGGTTTTTTGTCCTTGCAACAGTTTACTGAGAATGATGATTTCCAATTTCATCCATGTCCCTACAAAGGACAGGAACTCATCATTTTTTATGGCTGCATAGTATTCCATGGTGTATATGTGCCACATTTTCTTAATGCAGTCTATTGTTGTTGGACATTTGGGTTGGTTCCAAGTCTTTGCTATTGTGAATAGTGCCGCAATAAACATACGTGTGCATATGTCTTTATAGCAGCATGATTTATAATCCTTTGGGTATATACCCAGTAATGGGATGGCTGGGTCAAAAGGGAATTTCTAGTTCTAGATCCCTGAGGAATCACCACACTGACTTCCACAATGGTTGAACTAGTTTACAGTCCCACCAACAGTGTAAAAGTGTTCCTATTTCTCCACATCCTCTCGAAACTATTGCTTTTTATTGTTATTGCTGTTTGTGTTGTTAATACATAGAATGAGCAACTCCATCTCCTCTTCTTCAATCTCATGCTTACACATAAGTATCTGTCAGCTTAGCCTAAGTTACACAGCATGTCTGTGCCAGTTAATTTAGGCTATGTTATAATAACAAATGATCTCACAATCTCCGACTTAACACAACAAAGACTTATTTCTCGGTCATATTCACATGCATTGGAGAGTGTTTGTGGCTTCGCTCCATGTTGATTGTTCTTCCAAAATGAAGGATAAAAAGAAGATTCTATCTGAGACATAATTGCTTCATGGCAATAAGAAAGTAAGATGGTAGGGCCATGAAATAGCTGTAATTTGTTTTGCTGGGAGGTCACCCAGATAACTTCTGCCCATGTATTATTGCTGTATTAGTCCATTTTCACACTACCATACAGAACTACCTGAGACTGGGTAATTTATAAGGAAAAGAGGTTTAATTGGCTCACAGTTCTGCATGGCTGGGGAGGCCTCGGGAAACTTACAATCATGGTTGAAGGTGAAGGGGAAGCAAGGCATATCTTACATGGTGGCAGGAGAGAGCGAGCTATGAGGGAACTTCCCCATACCTTTAAACCATCAGCTCTCATGAGAACTCACTCACTATCACAAGAATAGCATGGGGGAAACTGCCCCCATCCAATCACCTTTCACCAGGTCCCTTCTCTGACATGTGGGGATTACAGCTGGCCATGAGATTTGAGTGGGGACGCAGAGCCAAACCACAATTGGCTAAGCCTGATGTCAGTGTAATGGATTCAGTAGTCCTTCTATAGGTAAGGATTCAGAGCAGAAGGGAGGGCAGCCAATATTTTCACTGTAGTACAATGTGCATGTACACACAATAGCTCAGAGGAAATGATGTGTCCATCTTCATTATTTCATCGGAACAATAGATTTAAAAGAATGTTTGATCAAAAAGGGCTGAAAATATGTAGAAAATGGAGTTTTTATTGGCTTTATCATGATATGTGTATGAGGATTTCTGCTTGAAGCATAGAGGAGTGAGCTCCTAATAAATTAATCTTCCCACAAATAAGAGCTATTGACTCTCAAAAAAGAACTACCTGAAGGCACTGGACACTGGAGATGGAAGCTGAGCAAGAATTTTTTGAAACGGAATTGAAACTTGGAGCCTGTAACCAGTGTGGGAATTGAAATTTGGAGTGTGTACGTTATTTTTTAACTGCTCTACACAGAAGGCAATCACAGCAGTGGTATTGGGCATGAGGTGGCTCTAGGTCTGATAGAAAATAATTCATCCTCTTCTTGGCAGAGGAATCAAGGAAGAGAGTTAAAATACAAAAATAGCTTCTGAAAAGGAAGAATCCAGAGAAGAAGAAACCTAACACCTAAAATGTTGATATCTGATGAATGCGTGAATAAGCAAGCTGAAAGCAATCAGGAGTTAAGATTTAAAGAACTAAACTGTACTCTGAGCCACTGCCATCACAGATATATAGTCTTTAATCTGAGTTTAAGTCATTTTTCTGCTAAACAAAAGCATCAACACTTTTTAAAGTGATATGAAAAAAGCCAGAGCCTAGATTTTTATTCATAATTACATTCATAATGTCCACAATTCAATCCGAAAACCGCTTCATATACAAAGATCCAGGAAACAATGACCCATTTTTAAGGGGAAAAATGACCAAATGTTGAAATTATCAGACACTAACTTTAAACAGAGTTATAACTATGCTCAATCAGGTAAAGAAAGATACACGTGGAAGGAATTAAAAAATTAGAAAATACCAGCATACTTGTAGAAAACATAAAAAGGCATAAAAGTAATTTTAAAATTGATAAAAACACAAAACCTGAAATACAAATTTCCTGTGTAGGCCAAATTTTTAAAATAAAGGTGTCAAAAGAATCTAAGTAAAACCAAATATAAATCAATAGAAATCATACAATTTGAAAAAGAGACAAAAAGTTTATGCAAAAATACAAACTGGGCCAGGCACGGTGGCTCATGCCTGTAATCCCAGCAGTATGGGAGGCCGAGGCGGGCAGATCACGAGGTCAGGAGTTCAAGACCGGCCTGGCCAACATGGTGAAAACCCATCTCTACTAAAAATACAAAAATTAGCTGGGCATGGTGGTATGTGCTTGTAATCCCAGCTATTTGGGAGGCTGAGGCAGGAGAATCGCTTGAACCCAGGAGGCGGAGGTTGCAGTGAGCCAAGACTGCACCACTGCACTCCAGCCTGGTGACAGAGGAGACTCCATCTCAAAAAAAAAAAAAAAAAAAAAAAAGGAAAAGTACAAACTGAGCCCCAGAGAACGGTGGAACATTTCAAAAGGTCTAACACCTTAATTAGGTAATTGGAGTCCTAGAAACAAAGGAAAAATTTGAGACAAAAAATATTTGAAGAAATGATGACCAAAACTTTCCAAATCTGGTGAAAGGCCTATATTTATAGATTACTAAAGGTCAGCAAACTCCAAATAGGACACAGTTGAAAGAAGCATCTACACAGGTATAGGTACCTCCTAGTAAAACGGCTGAAAGACAAAAGGAACAAGAAAATCTTAAAAACATCCAGAAATTAATACTTTACATATGGTAGAACAATCGTTCAAATGATGGTGGATATGACATCAGAAACCATTAAGGACAGATGACAGTAAAGCAACATATTTAAAATGCTGAAAGAAAAAGAAAATAATGGTTAACCTAGAATTTTATATTTAGTGAAAACAGAACAAAGTTAAAATAAAGACATTTTCAGACAAAGTAAAACTATGGGAAATACAAATAAAATTATTCAGGCTTGAAGAGGGAATTGATACAGAAAAATTCATATCTTAGGAATGAATAAAGTTTAAATGAATAAAGATAAAAGATACTGACTGTATGGTTAAATATAAACTAACAATTTTCTTATAACTTTTAAATATAGAGGATTAAAACAAATTTAATTGCATATTATATACTTTCAGCAAAGACACAGAAAATAAAATTTTAAGAATTTAATATACTTTTACCCCCCAAAAAAATTATGAAATGCTTACATAAAAACTTAACAAAATATTCACAGGACTTTTACACTATAAAATAGAGAATAAAAGAAATTAACAAAAACCTAAATAAATGGAGGAATATTACTCATTCATGCATTGGAACAATCAATATTATTAAAATGTAAATTCTCTTCAAAGTGACCTATGAATTCCATGCAATCTCAACAAAATGTCTAGAAAGTTCTCTTAGAGGAAGTGACAAGTTGATTTTAAAATGTACGTGGAAATAAAAATGATGTAGAATAGTAAAATCAATGTTACACAAAAGAAAACGTAGAAAAAATACACTACCAGACTTCAGAAATTACAATAACACTGTAGTAATCACAACAATATTATATGGGCATAAGCATAGATATGTATATTGCTAGAGCAGAATAGAGTATCCAGAAATAGACCCAAACATATATGATGAAAAGATTTTTGACAAAAATGCCAAGGCAATTCAATAGGGGAAAAAGTACTTTCCAAAACATGCCACTGGAAGAGGTGCAATGACTCACATCTGTAATTCTAGTGCTTTGAGAGGTCAAGGCAGGGGCATCGCCAGACTGCACAACATAAGAAGACCCCATCTCTACAAAAAATAAAAGAAATTAGCTGGGCATGGTGGCACACACCTGTAATACTAGGTATTCAGGAGGCTGAGGCAGGAGGATCTTCTGAGCTGAGCAATTTGAGGTTCTGGAGTTATGATCGCACCACTGCACTCCAACTTGGGTGACAGAGCAAGAATCTGTCTCTAAAATGAAATAAAAAAGGCACTGGAACAATGTGATATCAGTAAAAAAATAAAAATATCAATTTTAATTCACATAAAATTACTCTAAATGGATTATTCACTTAAATATAAAAGGTGAAACCATATAACTACTACTTAAAAACAAAGCTAAACTAATCTTGGAGACTTAGGGATACGCAAGCATTTCTTAAATCAAACACCTAAGGAAAAATCATAGGAGAAAATTTCACAATTGGGCTTTATAAAATTTTAACACTTTTGCTCTTCAAGAAACTATTAAGAAAATACAAAGAGAGAGAAAATACTCAGAACACACATATTTTATAAAGAACTGTGCCTAGAGTATATCAACAACTCTTATATCTTAAAAGTAAGAAGACAACCCAACTTTTTAATGTTCAAAATATTTGAATAGGCATTTACAAGAGAAAATATATGAATAGCCAATAAATACAGTAAAAAATACCCAACATCATTAGTCATCAGGGAACTGCAACTAAAACGCAATGAACTGCTACTAACCACCCATAAAATGGAAGAAAAATTAAAAAGACTTAATAAGGTATTATTAATCAATAAAGTACAAAGTAAATGTACACATTCAATGGGAAACTAATCAGCAATTCAAAGGAATAAACTACTGATACATACAACAATATACATGAATTTCAAAATATTTTGCTGAGATAAAGATGCTAGAGACAAAAGATGATCATATGATATTATTCTTATTATAAAACATGGAAACTAATCTATAGTAACAAAAATCTAGTAGATTTTTGCTTGCAGTTGAGGGTCAACGGAAGAACTGACTGCAAAGATACAGTAAGGATCTTTGAGAAATGATGAAAAATGTTACTTTTATATTGTGATGGTGGTTTTATGGGTGTATACAGCTGTCAAACTCATTGATTTTACATCTTAAATAAATGAAGTTTCTTGCATAGGCTTTTTTCTCAAGAAATTTGGTATATTTTCATATACCACTGATTTTTGCTTTGCTTTGCTACCATAAAATCTAACAGTAATATTGTTTGTTCTTGCCAATGATAGTCTAGCATACTGCAGATCAGCCATTCTTCTGAGACAACTATAAAACATGAAAATAATATTTAAAAGGATTTATGGGAAGGTATTCAACATCTTCTAAGGCCATCGTCTGACTTGGCAGGCCAAGATGTCAGAGAAAAATCTAGAGAGGTAAAAGCAATATTCAGTACACTGATGCTTTTTCTTGGTGAATTTGAAGATTCACAAGCTACATCTAAGAGGCTAAGAAGACAAGGAAAATTTCTGGCATCCTAATGGAAGCCACTGAAAACAATGCACACATGAACCCCCAAGTAGGTGGGTCTCTGGTGAATGCCCTTGGTTTGCCTGTGGTCCAGGACAATTTCCATGTATACATGCAGCAAAGATAACAGTATTGAGAAAGAAACAATAATTCTTCTTGGAGAGAAAATACATACGATATATAATAATGATGCTAAGCTTTGGAAATAAGTTGTATGTTTTTCACTGAAAGAGCGGAATGGGTCTTTTTAAGCAGAAATCTTTTAACATCTAGTCCTTCAAAAGGTTTCTGAGAGAGCTTTCTTTTCTCAGTAAACAGCAGGGGGAAAAGACAAGGGAAATTCAACGAGGTACAGAAGAGGTTCTATGCTTTTCTCAGAATACGTAATTAATGCTTTTGCTTCCTCAGTTTCTTTCCCATAGTCAATCTATATTCTTCCAAAAATAGAGTAAGTCCCAAAGACTGTCCTTCTCACTGTTTAATAGCTGTCAGGAAGAAATTTAAATACCAGGAGGATGAGAACCCCTCTTTTAGACCTCTGTCTCCAATATCGTTCTTCAAAATGAACTAATTTTCTGACAAATATTGTGCAAGAAAAATGTCATTAGCTGGCTTTAACCAACCTCTGTGCTGACCTTGGGGTCAAAAAAAAATCATGTTTTTATCGTTTTTGTGCTTATGCGAGACTGTGACCAGTTACTTCACCTCTGAACTTTTGATTCTGACAATGCCATCAGACTAGGATATCATGTCATTGAATTACATGCTTACAATGGCAGAAGAAACATTATAAATGGCAATCTATTTACTATATACCACACTGCCTTTAATAAAAGTAACATATATTCTGCCTACTCTTTGGATAGTCTCATGCCTCTTATTGGTGAGTAAGCCTATATAATTGTTGCCTGTATCACAATAATTTCTGTGAACCTTAAAACACTGCTAACATTTTCTTGTATTAAACATTAGGAACAGGTCCAGAGGGAACTGTGCCTCATTATTTTTCTTTGAACATTTCTTTCTTTCTTAAACTGCCTCATTAAATTAGTCATTTTCTTCCCTGGATGTAAAAGTAGCTGACACAAAAGGGCCACATTTATGGTATAGTGATGAGTTTTACAGAATCAATTTTTAATTTTAAAATGACTAAATTGGAAGGGAGATGAAGCATGCAATTAAAACAAATTAAAATTGATAATGATTATCTGTAGAAAAAATTGTGTCCTGGTTTTTTCCAGTATTCCATACCCCTTACAAAACTAATTCCATTCCCTTCAAATTTACTTGTTATAGGTAGATTTTTTTTGTTGTTTTTAATACTCTCCTGTAACAGAAAAGTTGAATTCCTTGGCAAAAATCGATTGTGTGATATGAATTTTGAGCCATAGGTTATGGTTTATTTTTAATTGCAAATTTCCAGAATTTTGTTAAATTTTTTTACAAGTAATTTCTAAGTGATAGTCACAAACACATGTGAACACACATATCCACACACAAGAATCCACAAACAACAAATGCATCTTGTAAGGTGTGGTGAAAATTTGTGATTGTTACTTTTTAATGTTTTCAACTCTATTCAGGTTGTAATTCAAATTTGCTCATACCAAAATCCTGAGCTAGTTTTAGTACTCTTTTTTCTCAGTTCTTATATTTAATCTAACATAATTGTTGACATTATCCTTAAAATCTATCCAATCTGACTATTGTTCATTATCCCAATTTCTGTCACTCTAGTCTAAGCCACTAGTATTATCTACTTTGATCCCTGTCATGCCTATCATTCCTGTCTCTGCTTTTATTATGCTAAATTGCATACCACACGCAAGAGCTAAAATGATCCATTTAAAACATAAATCATGTCATGTTGCTTTCCTACATAGACTTCAATGACATTTCACTGAACTTAGAATAAGGTGCAAACAATTATCATGGTCTATGAGGGACTATATAGTCAGACAACTACTCAAAACATTGCCTTTCTCTCCTTCCACTCTTCTCTCATTCATTTGACTTCATTAGTACTGGACATGTTGGTATTCCTTGGAAATAACAGTTCTGTCCTGGCTCGGGCCCTTTTGTGCTTGGTGTTTCCTCATCCTGGAGTATCCTTTGCCCACACCTTGGTCTGAATTGCTGCCTTTCTTCATTAAGGGTTCTGCCCAAATATCTCAACAGAGAGAGTGTCCCTTAATGATCCTATTTAAAGTGGCATGAGACAAGTAGAAAGTAGTCTATTTTGTTTAAAATGCTACAAAATGTTGAAACTTGGTATTTTGGGGAAAAATCGCTGAAGATTTTTGCATGGTACTTTTTCTCATCAGCTAGAAAAGTGGGAGAAAATAATGTATCTTCACAGAGTGCGGCAAAAATCTGAGGAAATATCTGCAGGATAATGGCTCCGTAACTACATAACACAGTAAAGATATACAATTCTGTTTTATTGGTGATGGTAAATAATTGGGGGCAATATTTTTCGGACAGTGCTGATATGGCAAAACCATATATGCAGCACCTATATTTGTATGATGCTTTGGATTGTAGGGTTTCACAAATATTTGCATAGTTTTCTTCAAAATCATCCTGTGACAGTAAAAAAATAGTACTACCTGTATTATCATCATTTGTATATGAGAAACTGAGGCCCAAAATAGTGAAATGGCTTGTATTCACAGCCTACAAGTGTTAGATTTTGTACCTTATGCCAACTTTTATAACTACAAATTTAGTATTTTTTCATAACACTATATAACAGAAGATCTAAATGCCAGAGAAAAATATATAAACCCAAATAGTCCATCTAATTAGATCCATGTTGATGAATTATCTATTAATTATCTATTAATTTTGATTAATTATCTATTACTGTGTTGATACAAATACTGAACCATTTCTGCTTATGCAAGAAAAGATACTTTTTCTATTGCTACAGTTATAAAAGCAAAAAAGAAATTACAAAATGGTTGGAGAGAGTTAACAGTAGTCTTTGAGTTCCTGAGTTTGTCACCACAAATGGAAAGCTTTCATAGACCTTAAAATTAACTTCCTCCATTGCCAAATGACCAGCTGCACAAGACAGTCTACAGATCTTCATTAATTGGATTAAACAAGCTTGCTATGTTTTTCTTTCTAGCAACATGAGCTATATGAAAATCTCTAAAGATAATGCCCTTCTTGACAAGATTTATTCCTGACGAGCTGTCAAAGCAGCATAAAGCCAAGGCTCCAGTGAATGAATATAAAGGAAGATTGCCACCCTATGTACAATATCCAAGAAGGAGATTTCTCCAGGTCATAGATCCTGGAACTGTATGTTTAAGAGTTTTTTAATCTATTAGAATTCTAGGTATGAGAGGCATTGTGTGGCTACTCAAACCTTATTTTACAATTACAGAGGGAGCACCACCCTTTAATTATGATGGCTCTAGACTATCACTTTCATGACCACTGCTTCAAACTTTAACGTGTTATCATCAGAGAAATCGGCACAGAACACAAAGTTTTCAGTTTAAAAATGTATGTCATTGTTTATTGTTTAAAATTTATTAATTGCTACTATTTTCAATGCTCTGTGTTAAATTCCACGGAAGACACAGAGATAATTATTGATTTTCTGCCCTATCATGATTATTGTCTAGAGGATGGATGAGCTGTTTATGCAGAGACCAGGGGATGAAGAAGAAAGTAATAATTTCTATAAAAGAATACTAAGTTTTGGAGTTTGGGAAAATGCTTATTCTTATCATGGAGTCTGGGTTTCAGAGCTGGGTAGTTAAATTATTTATTCTATTCTTCTCATTTTAGATACGAGGAAATCTAAGCCCTGCTTGGAAAAATAATTTTTTTAGTTCATATTGCTACTCAGTAACAGATTCAGGAGCAAAATAAGCTATCTGAGTTCCCAGTCTTCTGATATTTATAGGAATGGATGCACACTATAGTTAATAATAATAGTTAGCCTTGGAGCTCAGAATTGAACACCTGGATGTATTTTATACCAGGCAGCCAACGGGTTGCCACATTCACCATTTCGAATCCTGGCCAGCTTCTCACACCATATCCAACTATGACTTTTCCAGTGGGAGCTCTTCAGGGAAATGGGCCAGGGTTTTAAGAAAAGAAACAAACAAACAAACAAAAAAACAAAAAACAATTCTAGCCTTCAACAATCTGTACAACATCTAACTTTTAAATTGCTCAAAATTCTGACTCATCACAACTCTATCTACAGCCTTTAACACCAGTGCCTTCAATTACTGTCATTGACACAATATCCCGACTAGTCTTCATCCAGAACCCAGGTTCATACTGCCTTATTGGACAGTGACACCTTAATATCTAAATGACATATCTAAATGGAAATAAAACTATAATAAAATGGGAAATCTCTAAAGCTGAGGTCATTACCTCTGTTGTTTTGGTATATTTCTCGTGTTCTATGCTCTCTCTCTCCATGCGATTAAACCTGCAATATTTTAAAATAATTTGTCAATTGTGTTTCCCCATTCATAAGTCCTTTTCTATCCTTGTCTCCTGCTCTGTAAAAGCTTCCCTGGCTTTTCTTTTCTCTGTGCTCTACCACTTACTAGAGTTGACAAATTTCTTAAAATCCCTGGGTGTTAGCGTTTGCAATTGTAAAAGAAGGATGGTCATTTCAGTTACCTTA
This sequence comes from Homo sapiens, assembly GCF_000001405.40. Lineage (NCBI taxonomy): Eukaryota > Metazoa > Chordata > Mammalia > Primates > Hominidae > Homo > Homo sapiens. The sequence continues at coordinate 191,590,843 of NC_000003.12, read as the reverse complement.
AAAAAGATTATTATGCTGGGATCATGGGGGTTATTGGATGACTTTCTGCTTATTTATTTTTTGTTATTTTCTACATTTTCTATAAAGAGAATTATTTACTTTAATAATAGCCAAATAAATGCACAAAATTCAAGCAAAAAAAATCATAAGAATTTTTTGTGCCACTTTTGTGTTTTTATTTGAAAATGATATTTTCCTGTTTTAAATTCAAACAGTAACAACTAGTTATACAATGAAAAGTCCCTCCATCTGTGGCAAAAACTGATAATTATTGAGCAAAATTTATTGCCTCTTACCCCTGGCCCGCAACCAAATTGCCACATTGTCAGACTCACTGGCACTTAGGTGTGACCACGTGATAGTTTCCTAGCCAACAAGTAAAAGTAGTAATGTGTAACCTCCAAACCTCCAAGCCTTCCCATAAAAATCTCCATCTGCAATCCTCCATGCTGTTTCTCCTTCTTCCAAATGAATTTTACTATCTATGAGAACTTTAGAAGCCAGTGGGAAAAAATATTACAAAGTTGGTCATCCTGGGTTGCTGAACAACTGTATGATATAAGACACCCTCACCCTCATCATTACAATTAATGCAGAATCTCAGTGAAGTGATATGTGAGCAAAAAAAAAAAAGACTTCTATTGCATTTGAGCCATTATGTAATTTGGACTGTATATGTTACAGCAGTAAGCCAATTTTAAATATATCTGACTTCCCAAATTAACCACTTATAACAATCAGAATAGACTAGGTTTATTTGGTGATAAACAAAACCCAAAATTCACAAAAGTTTAAAACAGTAAAAGTTTATTTCTTGTTTCTGCAAACTTCTTGATAGCCCTGGTGACTCTCAGGCAGTTGTCCTTGTATATGAGTCAGCCATCCAAGCTGCTTTTATCTCGTGGCTCTACATTTTCAACACAAGACCTTGTGCATTAACACTGCAAGGAAAGAGAGAGATGGCAGAATTTAAAAAGGGCTCTTCATTTTTGTCAGCTCAAAAGTCAGTCCCACTCATTTTATTTGCCAGATCTAGTTTCCTGGCTTCAGTTAACTGCAAGAAGTATGGAAACTATAATCTTCTGTATGTCCAAGGAGAGAAGAACTAGCTATTAGTGAACTCAGTCAAGTCCACTACACAACTGTTATCTATTTCTAGAGAAATGAGGGTCTACTATACAGACAGTGTTTGAACTTTTGCTTTTTCATTTAGCGTATTTTGCAGATTAATATACAAATTATTCCTTTCTAATGTCAGAATTTATTCAACATGTCCCTCATTGTCAGAAATTTGACTTATTTCCAGACATTTTCTATTGCAAACAGTATTGCTGTGAACATTATTTGAGTACATACTAGAATATATATGAGATAAATTCCTAAAAATAAAATTTCTAGGTCATATTTGCATTTCTAATTTTGATATATATTTTTATGATACATCTTATATATAATTTTATCCAACGAGTTTGCATGAATTTACATCGTTGCCAATGACTTAGGAAGTTGTTTCCTTTCAAGTTTGCAATGACAATATATTATCAAAATCATGTGAGGGTATTAGGTGTAATCTGCATAGTAGCCTATTACATACAGTCATGCATTATTTAACAATAGGGGTGTCTTCTGCAAAATGTGCCATTAGGTGATTTCCTCATTATGTGAGCATCACAGAGGGTACTCACACAAACGTAGATAGTATAGTCTACTACGCAACTAGGCTAGATGGCATGGCCTAGAGGCTACAAAACTGTATAGCACATTACTGTGCTGAATACTATAGGCAGCTGTTGCACAATGTAAGCATCTGTGTATCTAATCATAGAGAATGAACAGTAAAAATAGTGTTATAATCTTATTGGCCTGTATATGTCACCTGTCTTGACTGAAACATCATTATGTGGTACATGACTATATTTATATTTAACTGAGTAAACCTTACTGAACATTGATTTTGTTTCTAATATTCAAATTACATAAAATATTACACACAAGTATGTACCCACATTTTAATTATTTTATTAGATTTTCCTTTTAGAAGTGGAATTACTGTATCTACAAGTGTGAACTATTTTAATTTTCTTGACATTTTATCAAATTGCTTTACAAAAAGGTTTTACCAATTTACACTTCCTCCAGTGTTAAGTGAAGGCCCATCTCACTTCACCTCCACCAATGTTAGGTTTTATCATTTTTTAATCTTTGTAAACTTGTAAGCTGCATAAGGGAAATACTGGAAATTGGCAATGCCACCTCTGTAACAACTAACTTATGGGACATTAGCAAGGCAAATTCCATTATCATGAATATTCTAAGGGGTACTTTTTTTAGTGTTGCATCTTTTTACAATTTAGCATCTTTTGGGAGGTAGAGTCACTATTCCCCAGTGGCATGTGGTTCTTGTGAACATTTCAATCATGTTACCTTGCTACAGGAATTCCCTATTCCCCTGTTGCCAACAAATACCCTAAGATGTGCCAATTCAAGACCTTCCTTAATATTAATCTATAGAACCTGGAATAAATAAGCTGTTACCCCTTTAAGGGAAGGGGCAGTGTTGCTAAACTGAGAGGAAATAATACTGGAATGGCCAGGGGCCGTATCTTATTTAAAATATGAAGAATGAAACTAAGCACAGATAAGAAAAGAGAGATAATATTTTAGCAATTCTGAGTGCATAATTCCTGCCCTAGGTGCTTCGTTTTTCTGTATCTCTTGCTTTCAACTTTAAGCTACTATTTTCTTGCCAGCCAGTGAGCTTCTTTTGTATAAACTAATTTGAGCTGAGTTCTTGCCTTTTGCAACTGAAATAATTCCTACTAATACACACACTAAAGCAGTACCTTTACATACTTCTCTACTTTGCATTCTGATAACCAGAATCTTAGTCATCATAGACAATGTAAATCTTATGAAATTTCATAAAGAAAGCAGTATTAGATCCACAAGTGCCTCCCAAATATTCAAAGAAAGATATTTTTCAGGACTTGATATAATTTTAATATTACTGTATTGACTTGATTACAATGTATTATTATAAACTGGAGATCCTTTTCTTGATATATAATAGATGAGTCCAAATCCTATTAGCTTCCAACCCTGCTGAGTACCTGTTACAGAATTTTACTCTTTGGTGTCCCTTGAAATAGGAGTCAAAAGGCTATGTTGTGGAGTAAGCACTGGACTAAGAGGCAGGTGCTTGCATCTGGACATCTAGCGAGTCTTTAAAGCTGAGCTAATCTAGAGTAGCTAGTTTAACAACATTGAATAGATTGTTTTAGTTCCTAGTTTTACAACATTGAATAGATTGTTTTAGTTCAGTTTCCTCACTTATAATAACCTCATTTGAATGACTGCTAGAATCCCTCCTTGTTCTAACATTCTAATGAATATCAATTTAATAGTAAATTTAACTGAAAGTAGCAAGTCTGATCTTAATCCAGTCCAGTTTATGTTGAATAAATAAAACATTGCTTTCATTTATTCTCCTGTTTACATGAAAATGAACTAGACACTTTAGAAATCTTCTGCTTTTATTTCTTTTATATAGTCACAATGACTTAGGTGTTTCTGAATAGCCTAGATCAATTAAAGCATTATATATCATTTGACATTTCAAAATCATTAGTAAAAATGTTACATTTCTGGCTGATTGATTATTCTGTGATTATACCAGGTCTATAAAAAATGTTTCTAGTTGTATTAATAAATAATTATATTTGTAGGTTTATTATAAGAACTGTAGTTCTGAAACTCATGATTTTTCTGAATGGCAGTTAAATAGATATGGACATCTTTTTAGAAAATAATTAAATCAAAGTTTCCTTTGGGCATGCAGTTGCTTGGCCTTTATATGGATTTTTAAGTTAGCATGCTAAAACTGTGCGGTTCTCTTTCTTTTCTTTATTTTTTATCAAGTCAAGAACCCATGAAATGAAATGATGTTACAGTACAAACTACATTTAGCAAATAGAATGGAGAGTAACAGCTCCAATTTTCTACTGTTTTTTTTCTGCCACATTAACATAATTCCATTAAGAATATCTACAGAGAATTTCTGGTGTGCAAGACCATACATCAGATATTGCAGAAGATAAAAGAAATGAAACAGAAGTAACTCTATTCTAAGGTGAATGCCTTCTCCAGCAAAATGAATAAAATGCACACATACAAAAAATTTATCATCATTACATATTTATTGAGCATCTTTTGTCTCCAGGAAACTTACATTTTAATGAGAGACATACATAAAATAACTTTAAATAGTGCTATGAAGAAAGTAAAACATGACAATAAAATAGACAGTAACTGGGAAGTTACTTTACGTTAGATGATCAGAGAGCTTTTTGCAGCGGTAGAATATAAACTAAGACCTGGATAACAAGAAAAAGCCAATCAGAAAGATCTGAAGAAAGTATTTCAGGATAAGTGAATAGTTCAAGGCCTTAAGGCATTAATGTAACATATATAATATATTACTAATAAAGGAGGGTTATGCTGAGGCGCCCTAGGACAAGCGGCCATGAGAATTCACAGGCGTAAGAACATATGTAAAAGTAGATACAGAAGGTTTGTGAGAAACAAATTAAATGAGCCTCAAATTTGAGCAGGTTTCATTAAATGGACATGTCAAGGTCAAGGAAGAGAACCCAAGATACAAGAAAAAACATAAACTAGGAATTTCTAACACACAGTTATAGTCTTAGATTATGTAGTGAGGTTTAACATTTACCAAAACGAAAGAGTAGCATCAGGAGGCCTTTAGTGGACTTTTCCAAAAACATCACGAAAAAACAGATACTGGCTTCTTTTAGAATCTCAGAGCAAGTACTTCCCCATAATATCCAAGATATTAATACTTTAGGAAATAAATCTGATTTTAATTATTAAAACTTGAAATTACATATTTTATTCTCTTGTCCTGTGTGATTTTTTAAATATTCACTTACAAAAATCCTTCTCTCAGAATTTTCTAGGGAATAGTTGTGATTATTTGAGAATTATTCATGAAAGGATTTGTATAATTCAGAGCTAAAAGAAACTTTAAAGCTCACCTAACCCAAACTCTAAATTTACAGATGGAGAGATCCAGAGAAGTAAATCTTGACCATTAATAATTGAAGAGATATCAAGACTTGAACCTAATTCTGCATTGATTCCTAATCCAATACTTTTTTATTGTTTCCTTATTTTTAATTATGGGCATAATTACTTGCATAAACATATAACAGTAAAATTATATATATGGTGTAAAACATAATATGTGTCTGTGTACAATGTGTGTGTGCAGGATAATTAAATCAAGCTATTTAACATATATATTACCTCACATATTTAACATTGTTTATGGTGTGAAGGTTGTTGGTCAAAGGACACAAAATTAGTCAAAGGGTACAAAGTTTCAGTGATGCAAGACAAATAAGTCCTGGAGATTTACTGTACAATATAGTGCCTGTAGTTTATTTTACATTGTATACTTACCAATTTGCTAAAGGGTGTATCTTCTGTTATCCCTTCTGTGACAGAAATGTAACAATAAATAAAGAGGGCAGGAGGAAACATTGGGAGGTAATGGGTATGTTTATGGCATATATTGTGATGATTTCCTGGGTGTACACTTATCTCCAAAATCTTCAAGTCATATAGATTAAATGGGTATAACGTTTTTGTACAGTCAATCATATCTCAATAAAGTAATTTTTAAAATAGCTGAGAAAACTCAGGGAACTAAAACACAGTAAGATATGAAGTATACCAGATATAATTTGTTTAAATGAAAATTTTAAATATCACATATTTGGATGCCTTTAATATTTTACAACTACAGATGATCCAAGTTATTTTTCTTTAAATAATGTCCCAATCCTTCACTTGCATTCAGGTATGATTTCTAAAGAGGTCAAAAGAAAGGGTGGAATTTGTAAGATTTCTTGACAGAAGATATCAATCTATCTGAAATATCATACTCTCCTATCAATCACTCAGCATTTTTGAAAGTTAGCCTTCTTTTTATCTAAAACCACAATGTAAAAATTTGTTGATGCAACTTCTGAATATTTCATACCAAATCCCTAAGTATTGTTTAGGAATTAGAGAAGAAACTTTAAGACCCTTGTATTTATCTTTACTAGATTAAGGATGATTACAGGCCAGGTGCGGTGGCTCATACCTGTAATCCCAGCACTTTGGGAGGCTGAGGCAGGGGGATCACCTGAGGTCAGGAGTTTGAGACCAGCCTGCCCAACATGGCAAAACCCTGTCTCTACTAAAAATACAAAAAATTAGCCAGGTATGGTGGCACATGTCTGTAATCCCAGCTACTCAGGAGGCTGAGGCAGGAGAATCACTTGAACTCGGAAGGTGAAGGTTTCAGTCAGCCGAGATCACGCCATTGCACTCCAGCCTGGGCAACAAGAGTGAAACTCCATCTCACCAGCATGGCACATGTATACATATGTAACTAACCTGCACATTGTGCACATGTACCCTAAAACTTAAAGTATAATAATAATAAAATAAAGAAAAAGAAAAGAAAACACAATGGTTTTAATTAACTTTTAAATATAATAATATTTACATGAAAGAACAGCAGATGTATTCTCAAAAAAGCTTAACTGTTTTTTAAAAAATTCTCTCTTTAATGCTATTTGCATATGAAACTTGTACTCAGCTGCCTAATTTTTATCTTATTAAATGCAAAATAGATCTATAACATCCTACTAGACTAAAACTCAAATGGACACACCACATATACATACTTTTTAAAAACTCAATGTAAGTTGCCTTACAATTTGCAGTTTGTGTGTGAATCATCTCATTCATCACTTAACAATCAGTTACTTTTGGATAGAATGCCTAAGCCCAACAGTGACAATGACATCAGAATTCAATTTAATGAGAATGGTGGCTATTTCTGAGTGAAACGGAGAAAAGTGAGAACAAGAACAACATGACCAGTTCCTAAGAATGCATATAACTTCCAATTATGCAGGCTAATGGATTTTTAAAGATTGTCCTAGATCTTTCCTTTAATCCCATTGATTTGATTTTCCATATCTCTCTCCGTTCTCTGTCAGACTCATTTTTGTTGTGAGCACTGTCATACAGCACTCAAAGCCAAAAATGTTTTCTAGCGAGTTGGGCTAGGCTTGGGTTGGCACTGCTTGCTCAAATATAAAAAACAAATGAAAAGATGAGAGGTATATTAGTGAAGTGCAATAGCACCAAATGGGAAAAGGATACTCTTGTTGAATATGAAGGAGACACTTAAATTATCTAACATTCAATTGGCACAACTGTAAAATTAGAATATTAGATTTAACCTTTATCCTCTAATATTGTTTTGATCTTTTTTTTTTTTTTTTTTTTTTTTTGAGATGGAGTCTCGTTCTGTCGCCCAGGCTGGAGTGCAGTGGCGCGATCTCGGCTCACTGCAAGCTCCGCCTCCCGGGTTCACGCCATTCTCCTGCCTCAGCCTCCCAAGTAGCTGGGACTACAGGCACCCACCACCACGCCCGGCTAATTTTTTGTATTTTTAGTAGAGACGGGGTTTCACCCTGGTCTCGATCTCCTGACCTCGTGATCTGCCCCCCTCGGCCTCCCAAAGTGCTGGGATTACAAGCGTGAGCCACCGCGCCCGGCCTATTGTTTTGATCTTATTACTACTGTATAAACTTTTAGAATTAGATGATCTCTAAGTTAACTTTAGAGATCACCCAGAGTAGTCCATACATTATTTGAGTTGGATAAAAACCTTTGTGCATTTATTTCTATGCAGTGGCTCCTTAGAAGTTTCTGCCAAATCACGGGTGGATCACGAGGTCAGGAAATCGAGACCATCCTGGCTAACATGGTGAAACCTTGTCTCTACTAAAAAATACAAAAAATTAGCCGGGCGTGGTGGCGGGCGCCTGTAGCCCCAGCTACTTGGGAGGCTGAGGCAGGAGAATGGCGTGAACCCAGGAGGAAGAGGTTGCAGTGAGCCGAGATCGCACCACTGCACTCCAGCCTGGGCAACAGAGCGAGACTGTCTCAAAAAAAAAATAAAAAATAAAAGATCCAGATAGCTCAGGTGAGGTCTTGCGGGGAAAAGTCTCCTACAACTATTCTATTCAGGCCACAGATTTTCTCTTAACTTTGTTCTTAATCTTTTAGATAGATATAGGGCCTTGACATTCTGTAAGTTTCCCGGCTCTTGTTATTGGGAGAAAGATGTCCTTATAAATCTCTCCCAGATAAATGCGGAAGGTTAAGCTGTCAGAACTAGAAATTGTGTACTGCAAGTGATTTCTTGTATGACATTAGGTAAACTTCTTCACTTTTCTTGTTCTCATCTATTTTTTTTTTGGTTTTTTTATGTAGTGAATGGCAATTACACTTATGTTTTCTGTTCTTTCATAGAACATACGACTGGGACAACATGAGAGAAACAGCTTTGTGGGTTTCTACATACTACAATACTGTGATTATTAAAAAGGAAAATGCAATACAAACAGTAGAAAGAACAAGTAGAACCTAAATGGTCTTCAACAGGGGTGCTAAAAAATTTGACTGCAGTAATTGTACAGGGTTTAGCTGAGCGTAACGTGACTGATTATCAGCTTTAACACAAAACATTTTCAGGCTTTTCTTAGTTGATGTGACTGTATCAAGGTGAGCACCTCCAATGTCAGCTCACAAAAGTTTTCACTGGCTGGGTGCAGTCACTCACACCTGTAATCTCAGCACTTTGGGAGGCTGAGGCAGGCAGATGACCTGAGGTCAGGAGTTCGAGACAAGCCTGGCCAACATGGTGAAAACCTGTCTCTACTAAAAAAATTTAAAAATTAGTTGGGGGAGGTGACAGGCACCTGTAATCCCAGCTACTAGAGAGGCTGAGGCAGGAGAATCGCTTGAACCCGGGAGGCGGAGGTTGCAGTGAGCCGAGATTGCGCCATTGCACCCTAGCCTAGGTGACAAGAACGAGACTCTGCATCAAAACAAACAAACAAAAAATATAGTTTTCATTTAGCATACATAGTGATTGTTTCTGCCTCAGGAATCATCATGTTCCAGGAAAATAAATAAGCCAGGTCTAGATATATCCTAAGAAATTTTGATAAGAAATAAGTAGCATCCTTAGTTCTGCTATGAAGATATTATTAATCTTATACTATATTTAATGAATAAAGTTATATATGAAGCTTTTGTGCCCTAGCATTTGTAGCATTGGTTGTGTTAATAATCAGGATAATTATTAGTGATAATTCTCAAGATAATATGCCAGGAACATTTCTAATTTTTTTAGTTTACTTTGAAACTAAAGTTGAATAAAGGACAAAATGGCCATTGTCACTGTGAAGAAACTTAATAATGGTTTTCTCCATCTGTAAAACATACTAACTTGCATTTTATTGTACTAATTTCTTTAATAATTATATAAAAATTATATAATTTACATTTATATGATAGCACATAATATCTGACTTTGGTTGGTTAAAACAACCTATCCAAAGTCAGATATTACGTGCCATTGTATAAATGTTTTTATCTAACTGTTACTATTTGTGTTGGTTATCATTAAATACCACATACAGAGTATGCTCAACAACTTAAAAACTAAACATAGAAAAATACAAGGACTTCCATTATTTTGCAATATGGCAAACTAAATATTAATTGAATCACTTCCCATAACCATACAACTAATTTTGATGAATAAAATGCGAAAACAACAAAAATCCTATGTACAGAATAGGCGAGAATTCTGTGAGTATTGGAGCTTGCATTAACCTGGAGTCAACTGTCCATCACTGATAGCCAAAAGCCTCTATTATAATCAGTGAACTGCACTGGAGAGAGGAGGTCAGTGACTATGGTGCTAGCAGAATGGTAGCTCAGTTAAGAGAAATTCAGAGAAAAATAAGACTTCTGAACAATCATAAGTCAAAGTAGGTTAAAACCTGACTGGAGAGAGTTAGCAGAGATGTGTTCACCTGTCTCTGATTCCAAGCAGAGCTAATCAAAAAATAAAATGTCTACTATGAAAATTCTTTAAGTATTATTTTGTTTATAATTGACACACGGTAATTGTACATATTTATGTGGTACAGCTTGATGTTTCATTGCATGTATACATTGTATAATAAAGATATTTAGCATATCTGTCATTTTAATTTATCATTTCTTTGTGGTGATAATATTTAAAATCCTCTCTTCTAGTTACCTTGAAATATACAATACACTATTAGTTATACTCACTCTACTGTGTAATAGAACACCATAACTTATTCTTCCTGACTAACTGCAACTCTGTACACACTGAGCAACCGCTCCCTCTTCCCCCCAACCCTCTATCTCTGATAAACTCTATTCTAACACTTTGTTTTGTTTTGTTTTGTTTTTTGAGACAGAGTCTTGCTCAGTCACCCAAGCTGGAGTGCAATGGTGCGATCTCAACTCACTGCAACCTCCCTGTCCCGGGTTCAAGTGATTCTCCTGCCTTAGCCTCCCAAGTAGCTGGGATTTCAGGCATGCGACACCAGGCCCACCTAATTTTTGTATTCTTAGTAGAGACGGGGTGTCATCATGTTGGCCAGGCTGATCTCCAACTGCTGACCTCAGGTGATCCACCCGCTTCAGCCTCCCAAAGTGCTGGAATTGCAGGAGTGAGCCACTGTGCCTGGCCTCTACTGTCTACACTTCTATGACAGTAACATTTTTAGATTCCATATATGAGTAATTTCATGCAGTGTTTTTGTCTATCCGGGCCTGGGTTATTTCGTTTAACATAATGCCCTCCAGTTTCATTCATGTTGCTGCGAATTTCTTTGAGAATTCTTAACAGCAAGGTTGCATGTATGAGTTTGGGGACAGATTTACCATCACCTTTGGGATAAAAATCTCCAAGTTGAAAATTTCATTTAAAGTGGTTCCAGGTTGGTATTACCCTCAGACTCCTAGAAAAGGTTAAAAAAAATCCAGAAGAATGTGTATTTTCAAAACAAGTCTCAAAAGAATTCACATAAAATTCTAAGTTATATGATAAGCCTAAAATTAATATATATATAAATAAGAGGAAAATATTTAAACATGTCTCTCCATATGAATTAGCAGAAACATAATGAAATGTTAAACCCATAAAGTCTGCAAGTATTAGAATTTCAAACAAGAATATAATGTTGATATGTTGAATATTATTTTTTTAAAAAAATGCTTTGAAAAATAAGGCCAAGTAAATCTGAAAAATAATAAAATGTAAAATGCAGACATTAATAACAGGGTTTAGAAACTCAATGCACAAAAAATACAGTACAGTAGAAACATTAGAAGACGTATCCTCCATGAGTAAAATGGTGAATAGTAGTAAAGTAATTAAACCAACTGCAGAACAGAAACTACATGAAAAATAGGAGAGATTGTAAGATATATTGAATAAGGTAAGAAGATTTAACATAATCTATTTTTAGAGTACCTTATGCTTTAGGAGGCTTAGGAGGGAGAATTGCTTGAGGCCAGGAGTGTGAAACCAGCCTGAGAAATATAGAGAGACCCTGTGTCTGCAAAAATAAAAATTAAAAAATTAGCAACACATGGCACACACCTACATTTCCAGCTACTCAAGAAGCCGAGGCTGGAGGATCGCTTGAGCCCAGAAATTTGAGGTTGCAGTGGCTGTGACTGCATCACTGCACCATTCCAGCCTGGGTGACAGAGCAAGGCCCTGTCTTTGGAAAAGAAAAAAAAGGTGGAGGGAGTGGGGAGAAGAAGCAATAATTAAAAAACATAGCAGAGAGTTTGATGACTGACAGAAAAAAATCATGCCTCAAATTGGTTACATAAATAATTCAAAAAGTAGATATTTTTTAAAAATCCAAATTAGAATATAGTAAAATACCAAAGACAAAATTAAAAGCAGTCAGTGACAAAATGTAGACTAACTGTAAAAGGTCTATAATTAGATATTGGCAACACTAAAATTCAGAAGATAATGTGATTATATCATTACCGTGATTAGCTAAAAATATTTAAAAAGTAATCTTGGAAAATCTATACCCAGTGAAATTATCTTTCAGTAATGAGGATAAAATAAAAGTATTTTTAGGCACACACAAAGTAAAAACATATTCTATCAATAAACTCTAAAAGAACTTCTAGAGAAATTCTTTATTTTAAAAAAGTAATTCCAAAGGAAGGTCAAAGGTTCGAGAAAAAATACTGAATGAAGAAAATATTATATCAGTCAAACTTAAGGCAGAAATTAATTATATTAAACAACAGTAACAGTATGCAGTTTAAAAATTAATTAACATATATATAAATCATGACCAGAAAAGTAAAATAGTGTCAAGTGAGAGGAATTCTTATACGGATAAACTGAATATAATTCTTGTTGTTAGCTTTAGAATTTATTAAAATGTATATATTAATTTAAAAAATTATAGAAAAACTACTAAAATATAGATTTGATATAAACTCTAAACCAGTAGGTGGAAAAATTACAATGACTGAAAAAAAAGAGAAAGAAAAAATACCCTCACATGGACAGACAGAATTTATAAACAAATCATAATCAATGTAGGGCTAAAGTAAATATTGTATTAAAATAAAAATAAAAATTGTCAGACTGTATTTTAAGAATATATTTTTTAAAAGTATTTCTATACAGAAGAGAAAAAACACATGAGGCAAATTCAAGCAAAATAAATATATTGGATGTGTCTATATTAATATCAGATAAAAGGTACTTTAAATCAAACTACCAATAAACAGAGTAATCAGATATTGAGAAAAGATTCAATTCACCAGAAAGATCATAAAGTTGAATGAAACTAACAACAAAGTTTTGAAACTTATAAAAAAGAAAATTTATGGAATCCCAAGAAAACGAAAAATTTATCATCATGAGAGGTTTTAACATATCTCTGTCAGATATTAATGAAAAAATAAGAGATTAAATTAATAAGTGGAGGATTTGAAAAATTCAGTAGAATTTTCTGTGTCTTTTTTCCCCCACTCCCTCTAGAAATCCAGTTACGATGATTGTAACGGAATAAATGGAATGAACCTATCACCTGAAAACAATGGGAGACATTACCTATAGTGAATGAGGTAATTTAACGAATTTATGGAAGACAGAATGCGAAAGTGATAGGACAGATAGAATCACAGAAGTAACAGACTAAACTATACATAAGGGAAAATGTAATGGGAGAAAGGAGATCATTTTCCAGACAGAAACCCAGAGATGCCCAAGCATAAAAGTTCACAGGTACAGAGAAAGTCCAACAGAAAACAGGAAGTTAATTTAAAGACTCCCTAAAAAACCTGTCTCTGACTTAAAAAAAAATATTAAAAGTCTTTCATTATAGTTTTGCAACTATAAATGTTCTCCATTATTAATTTAGAAACAGTTAACCTAAAAAAGATATGCAGAAAAAGCATACTGTGAACAACATAGTTAATGATAATTTTTAAAAAGTATTTCATGAAAATAGAAAAAAAGAAAAGATACTGCTCATAAAATTATAGCTCATACAACTGTCTTTTACCCTTTTGCTAGCTAGATATGCTGAGGCATAAAATTACAAATCCACATTTCCTTGCAACTACTTATGTGAATGTAAAATGGAATCTGTAAATTCTTTTTTCTGTGTCTTTAAAGTACTACTGCAGCCGGTGGCATCTTCTTGATCAGTTGTGGTTTTAGAAATAGTACTCCTATGTGGAGGCAGTTTTGCCTTGTTCTGAGTGGCAGGCCTGAAGGCCTAACCTGCAACCTAGACCGGCAGTCCTTTTAGTGATTTTCTGACTTGCCATATCCTTTAATCAAATTCCTTCCTTCTTAAAGTACTTGTAGAATTTTCTGTTCACTATAGTTATTCTTGACTGATAAAGGTATCCACTATTACTGCTTCTCACTAACTTTTTTTATTTGAATATCTTAGCCAATACAATAAGATCAGAAAAAAGAAATAAAACATATGAGTAACAGAAAGGAAGTAAACTATTATTAGGTGCAAATAATATGATTGTGTATATCTATGTCCCTTAAATCAAGCTTGTTCATTGGGTGGTATAAAATCCTCATTCTCACTGAATGTTGTCAGTAAGGTCAATTACTGTAAAAGCAGGGCATATTAATGACCCCATTTTAGTGGTATACTTGCCTACCTGTCCTTGTAGTAGGATCACTGCAACTCAGCAGAAATATGATTTAGAGTGCTCAGAGTATTTTGATAAAAATACTTTGTTGCCAATATGGTGAAACCCTATCTCTGCTAAAAAATACAAGAATTAGCTGGGCATGGTGGCAGGCACCTGTAATCCCAGCTACTCGGGAGGCTGAGGCAGGAGAATCACTTGAACCTAGAAGGCAGAGGTTGCAGTGAGCTGAGATGGCGCCACTACACTCCAGCCTGGGCAACAGAGTGAGACTCCATCTTAAAAAACAAAACCTAATAAACAACAACAACAACAAAACAACACATTGTTTTTAATTGTCTAAACTTTTTTTTTTTTTTTTTTTTTGAGATGGAGTCTTGCTCAGTCGTGAAGCGATTCTCCTGCCTCAGCCTCCCGAGTAGCTGGGATTACAGGCACCCGCCGCCACGTCCAGCTAATTTTTGTATTTTTGGTAGAGATGGATTTTCATCATGTTGGCCAGGCTGGTCACGAACTCCTAACCTCAAGCGATCCACCCGCCTCAGCCTCCCAAAGTGCTGGGACTACAGACCTAAGACAATGCTACTGGAGGGTCTGAATATTTTTATAAAAATTAGTCTTGGTACACCATTTTGGATTTTTTTTTCTCTCAACATTTTGAAAATGTTATTCTATGTTTGGGTTTCCATTGTTGCTATTAAGAAGTCAGCTAGCAATCTATTATTTGTTAATAGCAATCTTTTTTTTCTCTCATCAGACTTTTAAGAACATTGCCTTTTTCGATTCCTCAGGGATCTAGAACTAGAAATACCATTTGACCCAGCCATCCCATTACTGGGTATATACCCAAAGGACTATAAATCATGCTACTGTAAAGACACATGCACACGTATGTTTATTGCGGCATTATTCACAATAGCAAAGACTTGGAACCAACCCAAATGTCCAACGATAGACTGGATTAAGAAAATGTGGCACATATACACCATGGAATACTATGCAGCCATAAAAAATGATGAGTTCATGTCCTTTGTAGGGACATGGATGAAACTGGAAATCATCATTCTCAGTAAACTATCGCAAGGACAAAAAACCAAACACCGCATATTCTCACTCATAGGTGGGAATTGAACAATGAGAACACATGGACACAGGAAGGGGAACATCACACTCTGGGGACTGTTGTGGGGTGGGGGGAGAGGGGAGGGATAGCATTAGGAGATATACCTAATGCAAAATGACGAGTTAATGGGTGCAGCACACCAGCATGGCACATGTATACATATGTAACTAACCTGCACATTGTGCACATGTACCCTAAAACTTAAAGTATAATAATAATAATAATAAAAGAACATTGCCTTTTTAATTATTTAGTTTTATTACAATGTGACGATAGGAATTATTTTTTATGTATCCTACTATGATTCATTTGGTTTCCTGAGTCAAATGATTGTGTTTTGTAAAAATTTATGGCAAATTTTTTAGGCATCATTTGTTCAAATATAGCTGTCTTCATTTCTTCAATTTTTAAAATTCAGGTAATTCAATTATGCTAGATTTTCTTATTCTCTTCTTTATGTTTCCTAATGTTTCATGCTTTCTATTTCTTTGTTTTTCTGTTATATAGTCTGATTAAGTTCTTGAATATATTTTCCAGTACATTCTTTCCTCAGTTGAATTAAAACTACTGATAATTCCACATATTGAATTATTTAAATTATTTTATTATTTTTCACTTTCAGAAATCTTATTTAGTATTTTTTCAAAGACATTTTGTCATTTTCATTGTCATATATTACTTCATGATTTCAAACTGCGTTAAATTTGATTTTATGTCTATCAATTATTGAAGATGTTTTCTCTTTCTATCCAATGTCAAGTTGAGACAGAAATTCCTCATATCTATTCTGGATATGAGATTTGTCCCTTGTCCTCTGTACTTCTTGAGGTCATTAAAATCTAAGCTCAGCTTTCTTTGGTTTGGCAAACACCCTCAGGTAACAACCTGCTTCAGTTCTCTGCTTATAACTCTGAGTTTCTACTTTCAATTATTTTTTGGCATCTAAAAATTTCTATCTTTCTTGCAAGATTGTCTGTGTTTTGAGAGGAATGGGTTTGTAAGAGTATTTTATCAGCAATTGCAATTGATTTCAACGAGTTTGTTCGGTTATCAAGTCTATCATACCATCTGAATCAATAATTGATTTTTTCTTGTTTATTACTTCTTTCCCCAAATGGAATGAGGTAGAAGGAAAGTCTGGTACTTGGCCTGTCTTAATCAGCATTATATCTTGTGCATATAAAACAGTTTCTGATATGTATTAATATTTATTGAGTAAATACAAATTATAAGTATTTCCAGTTCATTTATTTTAATATTTATTTACATTATATGATTTCAATAAAATATAGAAAATTATTAACAATTACTATAACCTCTAAGTGTATTTATAATACTTTTATGCATTTCCTCATTTTTCAACTGTGAGTATGCATTAGTCTTTAGTAAGAAGATATTTTTTAAGAATTAAATATGTCATATGATAAATATATTTTAAAATTGCTAACTACCCAAAGAAAAAAGTTACAGGTAATAAAACTACAAGTTAACAGTAGCTATCTATGGGTGGTAATGTATAGGTTGTTCGTTTTTTAAAATTTATTCCATCTTTAAAATGTTCTACAATTAAATTAAACAATTTTGTTCAATAAACAAAATGTTTAATTCCATAGACATTCTATATGGCCTAGAGGCAATTATTTTCTTTAAAATCCTATGTAAAATTTAAACATCTATTTTTAAACTAAAATATATTAATTGATTAATATATGTCTGACTAATGCTAAGTACCTTATATATATTGCATCCATTTTTACAAACCAATAAAATATTTTATGCATAATGAAATTAAATACAGTTAAGGAACTTTCCAGGGACATACATGTACGTAAAAAATTGTAATAGCAGATAAATGACAACTGCCAGGTAAGACATAGAGCTGAAACCCTTAGACAGTCTGTGACTTTTATGGAATGTCAAAGCCATGTCTTTAAATATCGCCCTAAACTTCCTCACCCCCTCTGAAGAAGTAGTGTTCCTATCTATAAAACATCAATGAAATTTCATTAAAGAAGCAGTACTCTGGCTGTATTAGTTTGCTAGGGCTGTTATAACAAAATAACACAGACTGGGCAGCATAAGCAACAGAAATTTATTTTCTTACAGTTCTGGAGATTAGAAGTCTGAGTCCAGGGTGTAAGAAGGGTTGGTTTCTTCTGAGGCCTGTCTCCTTGGCTTGTAGATGGCCACCTTCTTGCTGTATCCTCACATGGTATTTATTCGGCGATCATGCACCACGGCTGTCTCCCCATTTGTCACTCTCCTCTAATAAGGACATAAGTCATAGTGAATTAGGACCTACCGGAATCACCTCATTTTAACTTAGTTACATGTGTAAAGATCCTGTCTCCAAATACAGTCATATTTTGAGATACTGGGGGCTAGGACTTCAACATATAAATATTTAGAGTAAGATATTTCAGCCTAACACTGCCATACTGAAGTAAGTGGACAAAAATGTAGTTCTATGTTAATAATAGCACTCTATAATAACTTGAAGCTAAAAAAGACAAAATCCTTGCAAATCTGTAGAATACAGTCTTTGATTAATAGATATGGATATTTTTGGCTTGATTATGTTGGCATTTTCCCAATATATGGTTATAATTTGTTGTCATGAATATTTGTGGTAATTTAGTAGTTAAATTCAATAAGGAGCTATTGTGTTCCAGGTACCATGGGACATTTCTAATAAGAATCTTTGATGCAACACTAAAGAGGCTTACAATATTACTAGTGTGGGAAGAGGGACCAGAAAAGACGTATATTAAATATTGTAATAGCAGAGAAAGCATTCAATAAACGGCAGCTGTCAAGTAAATGATATAGGAGAGATACACAGCACATTGGATTTTAAAAAGAATTGATTTCATTTTAGGGGCAATATAATATTGGTGTGCTTATTATTTTAATTGTGTGGTGGTTTGGACCCTTTTTCTCTCTGATTTAAGCATATGAGGTAAACGTCAACATAACTTTTGGGAAGATGATGGTTTTGTTCAGACATTATTAAAATCTATTTGAAAACATTTAATGTTTTGGTGGTATCTGATCATGTGACAAAGAAGGAGATGCTTTATAAATTAATCTTATAGAACAGAGTAACATTTCCCTTAGTATCTCTTAAAAAAACTAAACAAGAAGGAAAATGATTTCAGTCACATAAATAATATATCAATTCAAAAAATTCAAGGGTAAGATATTATGGTTTTTAGAGATACAAAAAAGCAACAAAAGCTAGATAACTAAAGTAAGTGCAAGACACGATATAAAAATAGGAAGGATTATGAATTAGTATTTTAAACAAGGGAAATATTGTCTTTCAAAATTTGTCTCAAATGGTGTGCTTGACAATGTCTTAATCGCATAAATATCATACTAGTGCAACGCTAAAGCAATCGAAGATGCCAATAAATTCTAAATCTCAGGGAAATTTCTGAGAAGCTGCCAGTGGAACTCTCATAATACGTGTAATCTATTTCAGATTTAGTCGGTTGATAGAAATCAACTGATATAGAGAGGTCTATTTTATTATACCTATATGTCTGCTTTCCTACTTTATGTCCTCCTTTGATTAATGCTATTGTGATTTTTATGCTTTAGAACAAAACAGAAGAAATCGATGTTTTTTTTGTACTTTAAAAGCAGTGGTTCTTAAATTGAGTAAAAGTCCCCTTTAGGAATTTAACAAAAGCTTAGACTTTTAGAAATATTTATTCATTGACTTATTCCTTCAATACACATGTTGAATTCCTATTATGTGTTAGGTATTATTTGAAGCATTATGAATACAGCAACAAATTGAAAAGACAAGATATCTTATAGTAATAGGAACAAAGCCAGTCAAAAATAAAATAAAAAGGTTATTGCAGGTTATGATAATGTAATGAAAGAAATAAGCAAGTTAATCAGACATGGAGACTAATTGTAGGATAACTGTTGTAGCTAGTGTTTCAAGGAAGGCATCTCTGAGAATTTTATCTTTGAGCTGAAACCTGAAAGGTGAGGAGAACTCCAGGCAGAGGGAAGAACAGCTTCAAGCACCCGAGGGTGAGAAGGACTGGATATATTCAAGAAACAGAAAAGACAGCTGCAGTCACACCATAATGAGTAGAAGAAAAAGTACAAGTATGGAGCTTAAGTAGGGAGCACAGTGTTTCAAGTCTTGAAGACAGCAGTAAGTAACCTGGGGCTCAACTGAAGCTTAATGAGGTGCTTCTGACAGTGTATAGGCATAATCCTATTAATATTTCAAAAAGATAATTCTCTTTGTTGTGTGGAGGGTCAATAGAAGAAGCAAGAAGATCATTAAGTAAATGATTTTAACCCATCAGACATGGGAGGATTGTAGCTGGGGGTTAAGGTGGTGGCTATAAAAATAAATATAACTGGAAAGATTTAGAATGGCAGAGATAACCAGGGGATTTTCTGGATTAAATTTGGAAGATGAGACAAAGGAGTGATCAAGATAATGTCTAGTTTTTAGTCTGTAGCAAATATGTGATAGTGATGGTACTTCCATATATAAAGATAAAACAACCTGGTAGAAAAGAGAATCAGGAATTTCTATTTTGCATTTATTGAGACATATAGATACATAATAATATCTATGTACAAAAAACCCTCAATAAGTCTACAAAACAACTGCTAGAACTAATGAATGAGTCTAACAAGGTTACAGGATAAAGGGTTAATATTAAAAATGTTTTCTACTTGTATATGTTGGCAGTAAATAACTAGAAAACAGTATTTGCTCAAAATCCATTCATGATAGCACTAAAATTCATAAAATACTTAGATAAATACAATAGAATAAACAAAGATCTCACACTAAATATTATAAATATTCTTGTGAGAAATTGAAGGTCTAAATAAATGGGATGATATATTACATTCAAGGATTGAAAGTCTCAATATTGTTAAATGTCAATTACTCAAAAATTATCTATGCTTTCCATGCAGTTCCAATAAAAATCCCATAGGTTTTTTTTGGCAAACTCTACAAGCTGATTCTACAATTTATATGGAAGTTCAAATAACTTAGCATTACCTCGCTAAGCACTTTCTTTAAAAGAAGAACAAAGTTAGAATAATTACCATACTTGATTTCAAGACAAAATAAAGCTTACAGAAATCAAGACACTTTAGGAGTGGCAAAAGTTTAAAGACATAGAGGGATGAGACAAAGTCACAAGTTCAGAAATAGACCCACACATATTTAGTTAATTGATTTTTTTTACAAAGGCACTAAGACAATTCAATAATGAAAGAAAATACTTCTCAATAAATGTGGCTGGAACAATTAAATTTCTAAATGGAAGTAAGATAAGAGATTCGTATCTCATGCCATACACTGGAAATGGATTACAGACTTAGATGTAAATCCTAAAATTATAAAATTTCTAGAGAGGTTAAGAAACGTTTTCTTAGAACACGAATATTATTAACCACTATAAAAACATTAATAAATTGTTTAATCACAATTTGTTCTCCTTGGAAGCACGGTTAATAAAATCAAAAGGCAACCCACAGACTGCGAGATAATATTCACAACACATATGCCAGATGATATAAAGAACCCTTAAAATTCAAAAATGAAAACTGGAAACACTGTATAAGAGGTTCTGTCAATCGAAATATGGAAAGTAAAAGCAATAAAACATACAAAGTTAGGAAATAAGAAGTAAAACTCTCCCTTACGGAGACAAAATTTTGCATATGTAAAACATAAACCCAATAAGTTTACATACTCACCAACGCTTGATTTTTTTCGGTCTTCAATCCTTGCCATTCTGAAAATGTATAGCGCCATTCATTATGGCTTTAATTTGCATTTCACTGATGACTAATGGTGTTCAGAATCCTTTCAAGTGCTTAGCGGCCATTTGTATGTCTTCTTTTCTGATGTGTCTGTTCAAATCTTTTGCCCTCTAATATACTGCTAGTGAGAATTACAGACACTTGTAAAGGTGGGGGTCACTGTAGAAAGAGAAAGTGTTTGAAGCATCCAGTGTTTTTTTTTCACAAAACAAAAACAACAAAATTAAAACAGGTTAAGAAAAAAGAAATTCCTTTATATCCCAGCTCAAATATAATCTTTGTTTTCATTTCTTTGCTACTCATCTTTTTCACAAAATTAGAAAGTACATTCCCTGTTCTATCTTTTGAACACCTACTATGTGTCATCATCTTGCTAACCAACATAGTTAAAAGCAGTAGCCAAGACAGCAGGTCCTGGTTGTTTTGGGACTTAGAATCTGTATGTTTTCAAAATACATAGTTGATATTTCTATTAGAGCATATTTACGGTATTTTACGCTTAGCATTTTTCTGTCTTCCCCATGAGGTTGCTAGTTGATTACTGAAAGGTTATATGTTAACTTGTTTTATTCCACAACACCCAGCATAGTTCTTTGCACACACACTAGGTACAGGGAAAGAAGGAGGAAGGGAGGGAGGGAAGAGGAAAGAGGAAAATGATAATCCATTTCATTTACTCTTTTACTTATTTGAATACTTCTCAGAATCTGAGATAAACAATGTTTCTATAAGATTACGAAGCCAGCACAGTTTAAAGAAAAATAAATCTCCCAAAAAGCTAATGTTGGACATTGAGTTCATATTGAGGTATAATTATCCAGTTAATTTGACATTTATCTGGAAGACTGGCTACCGAGCTGAAAGCCAGTTTAGACAATATTAGCAGCTATTTCATGGAGATTTTCACAAGTGCTGGTTTGTGCCTGCATGTGTGAAATTCCTGCTGTGAAGTTGACTTCAGGACCAGATTTCAAGATCAATCTGTTCCATGTGCAACATCCCAGCTGGAGTACTGTCTTCTGAAGCCAATCTTTCAGCCAAGTGCTTAAGTGAAGGACTAGGTTGAAGAATCTAGGTTGAACGCCTGACTTAGTCACCTCTCAGCCTCCAAAACCGGAGCTAGCAACATGGACTGCGTGTGGATTCCATACCATGGTTACACACAAAACCCAACCCCTGAGTCTGCCTTGTGACCCCTTCTTAATATTCCCAGAAATATTCTCTTTCGAGGTGATAGAGTTTGCATATTTGTCCTCTCAAAATCTCATGTTGAAATTTGATCTCAGAATTAGAGGTGGGGCCAATGAGAGGTGTTTGAGTCATGGGGCACATCCCTTAAGAATGGCTTGGTGCCGAGATCATGAGTTCTTGTCTTATTGGTTCCCTCGAGATCTGATTGTTAAAAATAGCTTGGCACCTTTCTCCTCCTGCCTCTTTCTCACGCTCCATCTCTTATCACGTGACACGCAGGCTCCGCATTTTTTGGACCATGATTGGAAGCTTCCTGCAGTCCTCACCAGAAGCAGATGCTGGCACCATGTTTCTTGTACAGGCTGTGGAAGCATAAGCCAAATATACCTCTTTTATTTATAAATTACCAGCCTTAGGTATTCCTTTATGGTAAGGCAAAATGGACTAAGACATTTGGTGTTCTGGAATTAATAAGAGAGAGAGGATCTGCTTGCAGCACATTCCTGACCACTGATATTTGAGTGCTTTACAGTGTTGCCTCACAATTAAAGTCATAATTGAAACAGAAAGAACCAGGTAGCCACAGCTTCAGAAATCACAAAATACAGACAAAATACTACTACTAATAAAAATAACAACCATAATTTTTTCTACTTTATAATGTTCTAATCATATATATATAAATATAAATTCGTAAGATAAAAGTGCTGCTAGGAGAGCAGAGGAGCACTTAAGTCACAGTAGTGCAGCAATTCAGAGCTAGAACAATCCTTTTTTCCCGAGTTTAACTTCATTTTAAAGATGAAGAAAGGAGCTTGAATGAGATTACAAATTTTATTGTATTATATAAATCATTTAAAACACTACCTTTACTACAGAAACATTAACAGTGATTTCACCAGTAAAAGGGACAGGCTAAACTAGTTCTGCAAGAGAGGTTAACCTGGGTTATACTTTTTTTTTTCTCTAAAACCTTTGCCATTACTGTTTCCTCTGCCTGGAAATACATTTTTTTTTAGATACGTACCTAGCTTAATACCTCACCTCTTTTATGTTCCTGCTCAACAAATGTCACTTTGCTGGTAGGACTTCTCTAATCATCTATTCCAAAATTGCAACCCCTGTCACTTTCTATTCCTTTTCTCCATTTTACTCACTTGATAATGCTTATCACATCCTAATATCATACTTTGCATGTATTTCCTTACCTGTTTATTTCCTATTTCCTCCTCTAGTATGTAAGTGTCGATGGCAGGAACTTTGTCTTCCTGGTGCCTTCTAACAGTGCCTGGCATGGATTAAGCACTTAGTAATTGCATGGGGGATTGATGGATAGATGAGTTTTCTCAGGAGCTCATGAAAGTCAAGCTCCTTCTTGTACTCCATCACTATCTCCATATTGCCCCATGCAAACACACACACACACACACACACACACACACAGCACCTACACTAACACACATGCACATGCAACCACCACACATAACACAAGAATTTTTGTCTTTACCAAATTCAGCAAGCTCTAAGCCGCAAGATCTCCACTAGGTTCTGCTCATTTGGGTGCAGTATGTTAAGGAAGGAAAATGGGCTCACGATTTGGTCATAGCCTTCAAAGAACCTATTGTCTGGTTATAATGAATTGGAGAAAAGTTCATCCGACACATTGACTGTTTACGATGTTTGAGGACACAGAAATATAAACTATTATATTTTGCCTTATGGCACCTTGAGTGTCTGGAAAGCTTTCAGGAAAAGGGAAATGAGCAGCATCCCAACCAGTAGACAAAGATGTATAAAGGCATTCCACATAACAGAATCTGCAAAAAATGACATAAAGGGATGAGAATGCAAGGCATGTACAGAAACAATGTCCAACTTTCTAAAGGACTGAATACATTAGGGGCAAGTTCACTGAATGAACATGTTGGTTCCAGTTTGTGGCATGATTTGAATGCCATTGGTAAACTTTTGGAATTTATTCTCTTGGTGATGGGAAGCTATTTATGGTTTTGCTTGGGGGAGAAACATTAAACAGCGATCTTAAAATGTTTGTTTACTATCAGGCATCATGCTAAAATGTAATATGCATAACCTTGCTTAAACCTTGCAATAAGTCAGAGAATAAGATTGTAAAATTGAGGAAACAGATTTTCAAAAAAGATAAATAAGATGAAAAGGTAAAACAGCTTGAAAGTACAAGAAATAGTTTAAAAACAGCTTCATCCATGTCCCTACAAAGGACATGAACTCATCATTTTTTATGGCTGCATAGTATTCCATGCTGTATATGTGCCACATTTTCTTAATCCAGTCTATCATTGTTGGACATTTGGGTTGGTTCCAAATCTTTGCTATTGTGAATAGTGCCACAATAAACATACGTATCCTAATTTTGGGTTCCAGGTTTACTCCAGTCCACCTGCCTGATTAAATCTGCTATTTAAAACATTTCTTTGGAACCATTATTTATGAGATACTTTAGTGAAACAAAAAATCCAGTTATCGAGTTCATATAGGAATTTTCTGCAAAAAAAGAAAAAAAAACATGAAATAACGAGGGCCTGAACTAGAACACGGGATGGAAATAAAAGGACAGATGGGATAGGTTGTGTGAAGTTATTACAGAGACCACTGGACAACTGGGCATTTTCCCTCTGGGCTTGTTTAATTTTGAAGAAGAAAATAAATACTAAATTTCATTTTATTATTATTAATTTATATGGTCAACTAACTTAAGGGAAGAAAAATTAAAATAGCAGTAGAATATAAAACCAAGTGCCAATAAAGGCTTTTAAAAGAATGGATACTATCATATATTTTCTTCTTTCTTTTCTAAAAATAAACGAGAAATAAAAGCTTTCAATGTTTTTAGGTTTTTGAATCCACCCACTTACACCTGTTCAGAAACATCTGTTTTCCTATAAAATGGAAACCAGAAAAAATCAAAAGGCCAGCTAGTAATAATATATGGTGAAGAGAAAAAACTTCTTTCTTAGTTTATTTAGTTTTTTTGTGTGTTTGTTTTTGATTTTTAGGATATATCTTTAAAACTAAACTGCACATGATTGATTAGGTATCAATATGGGGATCTCCCCCATTATGCTTTGGATTCCTGGCACTCTCTTACTTGTTAATGTCGTTAGCACATCACTTATTTTCATATGGTTTTAGAGATACGTGGTTATTCTGGGTATTTCATGGTGTTAATTTACTAAGATTTGGATATATAGAGAATAAATTCCATTATCTTAGAATACAGCTAAAACTCATGGCATCTTTTATTTTGGAACTGCAATGACCCTAAGCACATCTAAATTAATTATAATCTAGCACAACAATGAATCTTAGCAAGGTACTGTCTGGCTAAGAAGATGATACATCTGACTTGAGAAATAAATAAGGAGACAAGCCATACTTAAAATAGGGAAGAGACTATCCCAGACAAAGTTAACAATAAGGGAGAAGATTCTGAAACTAAACCAAGCCTGGAATTTTCAATGGATAGAATAAAGTCCAGTGTGTCTGAAGCCAGAGAAGATGAGAGAAACAATGAAAGAGGAGCTGGAAACGACGGCAGAAACAAGATCAGGCTTGCTTTGGAGGTCATGAAGAAAATATTCCATTTACAATGGGAATTCATTGGAGTGTTTTAATTGAGAGTAACAGATCCAATTTACATTTTAAAAAGTTTACACTGATGTCTCTAGATGATGAAAGTAGGAGTTCAGGGATTGAAGCAAGGACATCAGTTAAACAACTTTAACAATTCCAGATAAGAAACAATTGAAATCTTGGGCCGGAGCATTGGAGATGATAGAAAGTGTTCATAGCTGGGATACAGAGTAGAAGAATAACAGATTTGGGTATAAATGAGCACGGAGTTTATGTCACTGAATTTACATTCAATTAGTCTACGTTGTGTAGAATTTATTTTTTAAATCGTGAAGAATAATCGGTGATATTTTTAACAATGATTAAATGAATGAAGCTAAAAACTGGAATTTCTCTATTTGGTACACATTGGTTTTTAGAACCAGGCTATTAAGCCATTTAATTTAATTTTTTGAGACAGGGTCTTACTCTGTCGCCCAGCCTGGAGTGCAGTGGCACAATCACGGCTCACTGCAGCCTTGATTTCCCAGGCTCAGGTGATTCTCCCACCTCAGCTGGGACTACAAATGTGTGCCACCACGCCCAGCTAATTTTTATATTATTTGTAGGGACAGAGTTTTGCCATGTTGCCCAGGCTGGAATAAAGCCATTTTAATTCATAAAAGGACACTGACAATATTCCATTTATACCAAACACAATTGTTTATTCACATGATTTATTTTTTATAAAACTTCTGAATATCTTACTGTGTCATTTATCTGCTCTTAAACTCATTGAATTATGTTATTTTAGCAGAGGTTTTATTTAAGGAACGTGTCACATACAAAAATTTCAAGAAAAATAGATAATTACGCAAAGAAATGTTTAAGAGTTAATTTTCGATGTACATGAGTTTAGGTTTTCCTGTACATTAGTAAAATGTAACTGAACCATTTGATAGTAAACATGGCCAATACTTCCAAGCCTAATTTCAACTAGAGAAATGCCTGTTTGGTTGGAATTGTGTGAACCGTTTACATTTTCTGCTGACGTATGTTCAAATTCAAGTGGTGTTTGTGTAATGAGATAGTCCACCTTAAGCACTAATAATGGTTTGCTACACGATCATCATCATAACAATGTTGTAATTTATCACACCTGCCATTGACGAACTCTTAAGAATTTCACAAACAGCCCCTCGTTAATCTACTCACTTAGCTCCTTTCCCCTTGAAAGCTTCTAAGCAATTTAAGAAATTATGCAGCAACTATGGGAAAGAGATTTTGGAACACTCAGTGAAAAAGACAGGACTGAAACAGGGTTTCAGGGTTGCAAAGATGTAAATTCCATGTGAAACAATCTGGAGAACTGACACAATTATATATATATATATATATATATATATATATATATATATAATCAATTTCTGTTTTTTTTTAAATGGGAAACACTCTAAAATATTTAGATCAAGTTCTTCATTTTAAAAATTGCGCTTCTCTGTCCAGTTTCTTACTCATCTGTTTTCCCTGGCAGTTTGGAGCTTACTGAAGACCTGGGGGTCTGTCACGCTAAAACAAATTACGTATTGCACCAGTACTACATAATTATAGCTAAAGATTCTTTCCCATGACACTAAATTTGATGCCATGTTCATGTACAATATACTTGGTATTCTAAAAAATTCTGAAATATTATTTATACTGTTTAATAATAAAGCATAAAGTATACTCTGAATATCTTAAACAGGTATATGTTCTTGATTGGCATAAAATGTTAGACTAGTTAGAATGTTAGTAATTGTTCTTTAATTTTATCATCTCTTTATAGATCTATTTATATCATTAGATTATTGATTTTATAAGCACTTACAGAAGACCCTCATTTGATAGCTGTTATATAATTTCCCCAAAATGCTAAACCTTAAGCAAATATATTTTATAGATAATAAATAACTTTGAAAAATATTCTGCTGACAAAATGAGTTAACATTCACCTGAATTTAAGGAATTGAAAAGTTTTAGAAAGATAATAAAGAGATAATTTATATTTACAAAGATTAATTCCCACGACAAGAAGATATTTCACTTTACAAAAACATTCACATTAGGATTTGTATAGACATCACTTTAGATATCCCTGTGTAAACTGTATATTTTATGTTAAAATATTATTTAAAGCTCATACGATGGAAAACTGTTTATACTGGGAAAATACTTAGGTTCTTAAAAGGTAATAGGTTTGGATGTAGTTGAGAAGCTGCAAAGTTTCATGAGAATGTAGTAGCAAGCAGACACACCCAATTAATTATGTAAATGTTAAATCAAGCATTCATCTATAGGTGAAATAGATCTAGTCAAGATAAAATTTCTTCTTAATTAGAAAATGGCAGTCATATTTGCAAGTGGCATATATAGATATAAATCTCCTTCTGAATAAATGGAATCAGGGCACCTAATTGGATTGAAAAATAATGTCACTTAAACCTGTCTCAGCTTAAGCACAAAACATGCCTTCCTTATTTTTAATGAAAATCAGAATTACCTGCAGAAGAAAGACTAAAAAATGACTCAAAACGTAGTAATTATTGGTTCTGGCTAGAGACCTGGGGATGTTTGATCCCAGTGAATTTTAATTGTAGAAGGAATATTACAACAAACACCTATGTAGACACTGTCTCTCTTGAAATTCAGCCACTTT
The DNA here is from genome assembly GCF_000001405.40 of Homo sapiens. Taxonomy (NCBI): domain Eukaryota; kingdom Metazoa; phylum Chordata; class Mammalia; order Primates; family Hominidae; genus Homo; species Homo sapiens. The sequence goes on along the minus strand of NC_000003.12, from coordinate 191,562,278 downwards.
ATCATTTTGTTATCAAAAAATAATTTTTAAGTGATAAATAATAAATAGGTGGGGTTGAAGCCTCTCATGCTCATCTTGCATTCCATGACCCATCAGAAAAGATACTAAATATGCTTAATTTTGCATTTTTCAATACCATTCATGGTTGCATATATTTACGTCCTATATTTGCCTTTATTGAGTTGGAACATTATTATTTTGTATGATTTAGACTTTACATAAGTGCTACATCCTATACGTAGTTTTCTGCAACTTGCTTTTTGCCATGATCTTACATTCTTTAATATTTATCTTTGTTGATATGTGTAAATATAGTTGATTCATTTGAAGTACCCTGTAGTATATCGCATTATGGGTATATTATAATTTATTCATCTATTCACTTAATGAACATTCAGATTTTCTTCTATCATAATATAGCAATGTTCTCTTCTGTTTATGTCTTTTTAATCACATGCATGTTTCTCTGAAAATTGTTTTCACATCTTTAAATTTACTGGATATTATCAAATTGATCTAATTGTATTTACTATTATCTGCTCCATCAAAGAATAATCATTAGTGGTTTCATTCTAACTGTACATATTATTGCCAGGTGTTTAATTTTTGTATCATATTGTTGATGTATTATTTTATAAAATATAAATGATCCTATTTCCTAGGAAGCATGAGCATCTTTCAGTGTTACCTGACCATTTGTCTCCATTTTGTGCTGCTATAACAGAACACCACAGACTGGGTAATTTATAACAAACAAACAGAAATTTACTGGCTCATGTTTTTGGAGGCTGGAAAATCAAAGATCGAGGGGCTGGAATCTGGTGAGGGTCTTCTTGCTGCATCATCCCATGGCAGAAGAGCAAAGAAAGGGCAAGAATGAAAGAGAGAGAGAGAGAGAGAGAGACAAAAGGGTGCCAAATCTGTCTTTTTATGAAAAACCCAATACCAAGATAAGAATTCCATTCTCATGATAATGACAATCCATTCATAAGGGCAGAGCTGATATGGTTTGGCTGTGTCCCCACCCAAATCTCATCTTGAATTGTAATACCCATAATCCCCATGTGTTAAGGGAGGGACCCAGTGGGAGGTGATTGGATCATGGGGGCAGTTTTCCCCATGCTGTTCTCATGATGGTGAGTGAGTTCTCACTATCTTCTCTTGATGGTTTTATAAGTGTTTGAAAGTTCTTGATGGTTTTGTAAGTGTTTGACAGTTCCTCTTACACACACTCTTCTCTCTTTCCTAACAATGTTCCTGCTTCCCCTTCCTCCATGATTGTAAGTTTCCTGAGGCCTCCCCAGCCATGTGGAGCTGTGAGTCAATTAAACCTCTTTCCTTTATAAATTACCCAGTCTTGGGTATTTCTTTATAACAGTGTGAAAACAGACTAATACACAAAAGCCTTCATAGCCTTATCACCACTTAAATGTCCCATCTCCCAACAATGCTGCATTGGGGAATCAAGCTTCTAGCACATAAACTTTGGGGGACACATTCAAACCATAACACCACTTATTTATCCTCTGATATGAACCTTACCCATTTGCTTTGAGATTGTTTTTAAATCTTAAAGATGTTTTAGTTAAGGATATGAATAATCATATCACAAAGACAGATAATTAAATAGTCAAGTATCATGTCAAAAAATGTTCATTCTAAAGAATGATCCAGGATATAAAACCCATATTCTTGGTATTTGGTATGAGTATCTGTTTGGGTTTATTCCCAATTACATACATTATTGTTAAATTTTTATCTTTTACTTAATCTAAAGGAAATTATTTCCTGTTTACTGAGCAGAAGCATCATTTAATTTTCATAAAGCCCTAAAAGTTAAGAATAATTAATACCACATTTCATTGACTTAAACCTGGAAAAGTCCCTCAACTGGCTCAAATTCACCCAGCCAGAAATGAAAAATGTCAGGTTTGAAACTGAGGGGTATGGTTCTATGCTGTTATTTGTTTAACCACTCCACTATCCTTTCTCTCTAAATGAACTGTGGCAAAGGTTTTCTTCTTTTCTAATCCTAGTATCTCTTATTTCTTTATCTTTTCCTTTCAGACTTTTAAGAAGATGAAATGATGCTAACAGAAGCTCTGGTATTAAGAATATTAAGAAATTTTTATCTATTCCTACCTTTAAATGAAACACAATTAACATATCAGTTTTAGGAATAACATTTGTTTTTAAATTGATAGAGTAGCTCTATAGCATAGTGATTAAAGAGAGTAGGACTAGAGCTAAGATACCTAAAATGCTAATCCAAGTGATATGGTTTGGCTGTGTCCCCACCCAAATCTCACCTTGAATTGTAATAATCCCCACATGTCAAGGGCAGGACCAGGTGGAGATAACTGAATCATGGGGGCGGTTTTCCCCATAATGTTTTCCTGGTAGTGAATAAGTCTCACAAGATCTGATGGTTTTATCAATGGAAGTTCCCCTGGACAAGCTCTCTTGTCTGCCACAATAGGAGCAGATATGATAGGAAGAATCAGGCTATTACCCAGGCACTTACCCACCCTCCATCCATTGACAAGAATAAGGTTTTCATTTCCACATTGTGTGTTCTAACCTCGGTTTTATTAGCTCCCCCTGTAAAATAAAGGGGATGAAGTAGATAATTTATGGATCTTTCTAAAACAACATGTAGATTGCAATTGATAAATGAAAGAGGTAGAATAACAAGTCAGAAAAGAGTTTTCTAATCAAATACTGATTCTGAATCAACTGACTCCCCCTAAGAAAAAACAAATAATATTTGCTCTTCTACACTGTATACAACATAAATTTCAAAGTAAAATCTTGAAAAATAAAGCCTTAAAATTTTAGAGGAAAACATTTTGTATTACCTTAGTATAGCAAAATAAATTTAAAAACAGGGATTGGAAAGTACAAAACTTAAAGAAAAAGATAATCAGATTTGACTATCTTAAAATTAAATGTATGAAATACTAAAATATCAATATATAAACTTTAAAGTACAATTAAAATATATAAAATGTTAATACATAAATTTAGTAATAGCTATCCATAATATATATATAAATTATATAGATAAATACACAACAAAGTGAAAAAAATGTCAGTGATGAGCGGAATATACAAGTATCAGTAAGTTAAAGACAAAAAAATAAATGCAGAATAGGAGATTTTTGGTAGACTTTAAAAGACAACTAGAATTTTCCACATAAAAATTATTTTAGGCCAGGCACATTGGCTCATGCCTATAAATCCTAGCACTTTGGGAGGCTGAGGCAGGAGGATCTCTTGAGCACAGGAGTTTGAGACCAGCCTGGGCAACATGGTGAAACCCCATCTCTTAAAAAAAAAAAAAGAGCCAGGCATGGTGGTGCACGCCCATAGTCCTGGCTGCTTGGGAGGCTGAGGTGAGATGATCACCTGAGCCCAGAAGGTTGAGGCTGCAGTAAGCCATGATCATACCACTGCACTCTAGCCTGGGCAATGGAGTGAGACCTTGTCTCAAAATTATACGTATGTTCTTTAAAATTCAAAGATGATAAGCAGTTACTCTGTTTCATTTCCTTCTGGGGTAATAAAAACATATTAGAACTAGATAGAGGTGGTTGTTGGACAATATTGTGAGTGTACTAGATGCCACTGAACTGTTAACTTTAAAACAGTTAATTTTTTGTTATATAACTTTTACCTTAATAAAATCGAAGACATTAGATAAAAAGAATCTTGTTAATTTGATCACAGAACTTAAAATTAAGTTATGGTTCTCTTAAATTAAATTATATAAAAACAGAACAATTTGATATGTTTAAATATAGAATGCGGTTATTTTGATGTACTAAATATGGAATAAAAAGTTATGATTCTAAATTCCTGACACTATGAAGGACAAAAAAAGTTAGAACACATCCTCTTTGCCAGATGTCTAGCACAGTAAGCCAAGGTGTTGCTTGATAAAATATTTTGCACACTGCAGAAAATGTTTTTGACTTTCACTGAGACTTATCAAACTGGCTTATTCATTCTCTGATGGCTGCATGTTCAAGGTGCAAAAAATATTCCCATTTTCTCTTCTTTTAATTCTTTCTCTTTCCTTTTAACATCAATTTACCAATTAACAATTCCTAAGCCACAGATAACTACACAGATATTCCCATTATCTCATTTCCGCTTCCTCCAGAGGATTAGCTGACATAGGAGTAAATCTGAGATCAGATTGTTCAGGATGAACTTCATTTAGAGAATTGGTCTGGGAGTAGAAAAACACAATGGTTAGAACACGCTCTCAAGGTGCCAGACTCCCTGGCTTTAAGTCATAGCTGGTAATTGATGTGGATTCCCTACATCAACTATGTGACCTTGGAGAGGTGACTTAAATTCCATGCACGTCAGTTGCCTGACTTGTAAAATAAAAATGAGGATAGTAATAGTACCTACCTCCAAGCCTATTTTTTTTAAAAAAAGAGTTAACATAGAACATTTAGAACAGTTTCTGTCACATGGTAAGAGCACAGTAAATTTTAGCTATTGTTATGATCATCATTAGTAGCACAGCTTGAAAGCAAAGTTTGTTTCCCATTAGGGCATCAAATCCTGCTCCTATGGAGTCTAATGGTTTTTGAATTATGAATCAATGAGTATTCAAGAGAAGAAACTGCAGCACTAGGAGTCACACACCAACACTCACTCTTTGATTGACTGTAAATATTTGATGGTATACAATTGTGGGAGCTGATTAAAAACACATGTAAGGCTGCTGTCCTTGTGTCTGGTACTGAGGCTGAGTTCAGAAAGGGAAATGAAGCAACAATAATATGCTTGTTACATCCGGCGGTGGGGGTGGGGTGGTTATACAGGGGTCCTAGGCACTGTTGCAACTTGCTCACATTGTCACTGGTAGCTGACTTACCTTGTTAGTGTGAGGCAGTAGACAGGCCAACTGTTACTGAGGTTTCAACCAGATTCTTTTTTAGTTACTTTGATTTTTGTCACAAGTGCCATTTACCATTCGGATGAAGGACTCCAGCATTTCCTGCAGGATAACCAAATCATTCCAGTTGGAGGCTTGGACATATTGAAAGATCAATGTGAGTCTCAGTTCATCAGGGATCCAGACATTGATTATGGGTTTGTCCTCACTCTCACCGCTTTATACCCATCTTACATATCTGACTGCCTGTTGAGTCAGTAGACCTTTCAAAATTCATGCAGAACTCCTTTTGTTCCAAGTTTCTTCCAGTAACTTGGAACTCTTCAGTGAAGGGAATTCTTAGAAACGTAGCCCCAGATTTGCTATTGAGAGAATAGAAACCCATCACAGTCCACCCCTTTTTAAGCTAGCTTCCAATTACACGTCTTTTAGCCATACTGAACTTCTAAATAAAGACAGTAGCAAACCCACACTTTCACCTAACATAATGCAACTATCCCTCACAAAACCAAAAACATGCTAGCCCTCTCCCCAAAAGAGTATACAAATTTTCTTCAACTATTTTGGACTGATGTTCATTTCTCTTCTAGTTGAGTCACATTCCCCTTTTGATATTCTGAAATGTAAGTACTAAAATATGAAACTGACTGCTATTAATACACTGTATTGTAGACAGTAAGGAAATGGGAGAAGTGAGGATAAAAAATTGCTACTATATACACAAATCTATTCATATCAAAGTAAGGAAAGTTTTGCATGACCAATGCAGTGTTCATTTCTACAACTGGTCATATCAACTTAATTAGGATTTATAACTACCTTTTTCCACCAGTCATTCTATAACCCCTTTACCCTCAGCAAATACCTCAGCTGTTTATGGTTTCTTGCTGTGTAGGATGTCCCACATCATCATTCTTCAAGGATCTGGACCATTATCAGGTCTGCTTACTTCAGGCCATTGTAATTTTTTTTAATTGACTTTAATCTTGGGATATGTGAGTACTGGGAGGCATTCCATGGGATCTCCCTAGATTATTACAGAAACATTTTCCCCATGATTTTGTATTATATTTTCTATATGTATTATATTAAATACATACGTGTTTGTATTTACATATATATCAAATAGGGTATTTAGTATAGATGTTTGACCTAATGCCATTGTGTGAGCTGTTTATTTAGTCTCTGTGAAGCTGGTATATACAACCTGAATTCTACAGACCAGTAAGCATAAAAGGGAAGATGGGTATGAAGTTGGTAAAAGCTAAGACAAACTGGAACCCACAAACACAAGGTGGAACCCCTGAGGACAGAGAGGAACCCACATCAGTCTTTACCATCTCTAAGCCTCCAACTTTGATGCTGCAAGTGTTCTGCAAGACATGCTGATGCCTTTCAACAAGGAGCTAAAAATGTGCCTCCTTGGAAGTCAGATAAGTCAAATGAGGTTTCAGATGAGCTACATTAACTAAGAATTATGCATGGGAGGCAATTCTGGAAAACACACTTTTAGCCTACCTAAATTGGTACAATATGGTACCACAATATACTCCAATCCAGGCAAGAAAACAAACAAACAAACAAACACTCTGTATTAGAATGCAAGAGGTTTCTAATCTTCTAGAATTCATCCCCAGTGGTGCTTTTGTTTTGTTTCATTTTTTCAAAATCAGCGATTAAGTTCTTTTGTTAAAAATGAGAAACACTCTCCTAGAAGTTAATGTTCTACATTCTAGACTTGGTTTTGTAACTCAATAAGTTTGTGACATTCAGGAGTTTACTTTTCTAAACTAAGACTTTGCCTCCCCACCTATAATTGGAACAAATAACCCAGCCTCTTCTTATTCACTGATTTGTTGATATAAACAAATCAAATAATGGATGTTGAAATGTTCTGTAGCTTACAAAAAGTAATATACAAACTACGAATAGAATGATTAAATTTGTTTTTGCTTTTGTGAACAACAAAGACAAATGATGTCATCAACTACAGAGAATATAATTGATCTCAATTCCTTATGTGGCCTCAGCCCAGGTCCTTAATGACAGTTTTTTCAGCATTTCAACAAGCTGCCTGCTTTATGTGTGAGGCATTTTCTTTCCATGTGGCCAGCAGCAGGAAATGAAATCCATTACAGCCCCATGTAGGTGGTTAATTTCTCTGAATTGTCATTTAGCTAGATCTTCAGTATCTTCCTAATGATCTCCCTAGTGCAATGCAGTGCAAATCTTCCATGTTACTTGTCATCAAAGCAGCTGTTTTCAAAGATGCTATTTGCTTTTATTTTATGGATTAGTATCCTTTTTTACTTTAATGAAAAACACATTATTACACACAGGGCACTTGGCCAAGCACTGGAGATGAAGTTTGGGGAGGGGGTGATTTTTTTTTTTTTTGAGACGGAGTCTCACTCTGTCACCTAGGCTGGAGTGCAATGGCATGATCTCAGCACACTGTAACCTCTAACTCCCGGGTTCAAGCAATTCTCCTGCCTCAGCCTCCCAAGCAGCTGGGATTACAGGTGTGTGCCACCAGGTTCAGCTAATTTTTGTATTTTTTTTTTTTTTTTTTTAGTAGAGATGTGGTTTCGCCATGTTGGCCACGCTGGTCTCGAACTCCTGACCTCAAGTGATCCACCCACCTTGGCCTCCCAAAGTGCTGGGATTACAGGTGTGAGCCACTGCACCTGGCCACAAATCATTTTTCTACCTATAAAAAACTCCACCTACTCTAAAAGAAAGACCACAAATAAGATGAGAGAGAGAAATTTCTATTGGAGTCAAAAGAATGGGAGTTTGTTTCAATTGAGGGCAATTAGAATATATCTTAAAGGAAGATACACTGGAACCAGGCCTCAAAGAATATTCCAGATTTCCTTAAGTAGACAGGGGTATGTGCATTTCAGAGGTACGGCAGAGGGAAAAATAGAGAGAAAAGATTATGTCTGTAAGAAAAAGTTGTCATGAGCCTGGTGAGTATAAAGTTGAATAACATAAGAAAATGATTTGTGTATGTCCCAGATAGCAAAGGCCACCTAATCAGTTGGAACTTACCCCAGGAGCAAAAGTGAGCTATGTGAATGGGCTAGTGATACAATCAGAGAAGTGCTTAGAGGGTTGCTCTGTTTTTCTACCTATAAAATAAAATCTGGACTAAGAGACCAAAGTCTTGGAAAATACTTGGCTTATTTATGTATTAGTGCCTGTATGGGGAAAAGATTCCATGAGGATAGAGATTTGGTTGAAAAAAAGAAAGGATATGAAATGCAGGCAACAAAAAATAAAGACATTGTGTTGTATCAAATCTCTGTCACTTAAAATTATTACCTTCTCTCCTTTGAAGCAAGTCATTTTTTCTTCACACACAAAAATATACGGTGGCAGGATTATCTAACACAGCAACATATTTTGAAGTAATACTACTGGAAAAAATCTTATAGACAATCATGGGAGAATTAGGATTCTGCAAATTCCCTAATGACCCTTCTCCCCATCATTTCAGCTCTAAAAGATTTGGAGGATCACTTTGGGATACAGATGTAATAATTGAATGCTGCTGTGCTCAGGGAAAGGCTTCAGATTCTCCATGGGTGAGTTGGGCCATCAGCTCGCTGCTACAGTCAGCAGTAAACATGGCGGCATATTTGAAAGTGGAATAATTCACATTCCTTCCCTAAAACACAACATACGAAGACATACTCACTGATGTGCATCATCGACTTTTCTAACATCAGGTGAATGCAGCACAAGAGCTGGCCAAAGGCCAGCTGCCATTTTACCCCCATCACTTGCTTCTTCCATCACGTTTATCTTTTTAATTTTGCAAATATCCATGCTATATTAATTATATATGCTTCCATAATTTTGCACATGCCACGTTTTTCTCTTTGCCTCGAGTACTGTAATCCTTCCCTCATCCTGTCTGAACAAGTATTTTTCTTACTCAGAAATTCAAGAAAAAATATCACTTTATCTCTCTAACTTTAAATGTTTTGAGAAATATTTAATTATTCACTCTCTTATCTGTTAAAATTGTACCATGTGCATACCTCTAGTGTTACATTTAATCACACACTGAATTATCTCAGTTCATATATAGTATATCCCTCAGCATGTATATACTGTTCCATAGCCTGCATTTTATCCAATAACCTATATCTAGCCATATTTTATTGCTCTATCCTTGATTATCCTTCACCATAACTTTCTTACCTACTTCTAGCTTATATTATTTTATACTGTATGAGGTTTTATAGATTACCTAAGTCATATCTGGTGCAAGACGAGGTATATATAAATGCATAAATGTGTGAATAAACAAAGTAATAATCTCTCCTCTCCTACTGGCCTATTCAATCCTTGATGCATCCACTGCCTTTGGGTGACCTTCGATGTTTCTGAAGGTGGCAGAATAAATAGCATACAGCAAGGGCTCACTCGAGTTTGGTTAAGAAGCAAACTTTTTGAGAGCTACTTCTTAATACTTTTAAACAAGTGAATTAGCATTTCCATCATAACTGATACTTTTGCTGAAAGAAGATGTGCATGCTTTTAAGTGTGAATAAAATGTTATTCTTGTTATGTGGATTAGGAAGATTTTTTTCAAGTGTCTTTCTCAGTGGCATCTACAGATCAACTTTAGGCATTCTATATGACAAGTATATTATAGATCTACATGCTAAAGACAAAGGGTAAAAAACATTCAGAGTCATTTTATGTTAATGTAAACTGACCGCCTCCTGCTTTACTCACTTACCTACATCCTGCTGATCTCATGGCTTCACCTTTTTGACATTAAAAGAGAGGGGAAAAAAACTAAATTTCTTTACATTGAAATACATAGAACACTGACGTTAGATAAAGGGTGATTTTTTTTAACTGGCTGCTTGGCTTATCTAGGTTTTATTGTTAGCTTTTTATAACTGGTTCCTTGTGCAAATGTATTTGATGGACTAAACAGTATATACTTGTACAAATGTGCATGGGAACTTTAAGAATGGTGGTAGATTAGATATTCATCATAGTTCTCCTTGAAGAGGTCCTTCACGTCCCTTGTAAGTTGGATTCCTAAGTATTTTATTCTCTTTGAAGCAATTGTGAATGGGAGTTCACTCATGATTTGGCTCTCTGTTTGTCTGTTATTGGTGTATAAGAATGCTTGTGATTTTTGTACATTGATTTTGTATCCTGAGACTTTGCTGACGTTGCTTATCAGCTTAAGGAGATTTTGGGCTGAGACAATGGGGTTTTCTAGATATACAATCATGTCGTCTGCAAACAGGTACAATTTGACCTCTTCAGGGAGAACTACAAACCACTGCTCAATGAAATAAAAGACGATACAAACAAATGGAAGAACATTCCATGCTCATGGGTAGGAAGAATCAATATCGTGAAAATGGCCATACTGCCCAAGGTAATTTATAGATTCAATGCCATCCCCATCAAGCTACCAATGACTTTCTTCACAGAATTGGAAAAAACTACTTTAAAGTTCATATGGAACCAAAAAAGAGCCTGCATCGCCAAGTCAATCCTCAGCCAAAAGAACAAAGCCAGAGGCATCACGCCACCTGACTTCAAACTATACTACAAGGCTACAGTAACCAAAACAGCATGGTACTGGTACCAAAACAGAGATATAGATCAATGGAACAGAATAGAGCCCTCAGAAATAACGCCACATATCTACAACTATCTGATCTTTGACAAACCTGAGAAAAACAAGCAATGGGGAAAGGATTCCCTATTTAATAAATGGTGCTGGGAAAACTGGCTAGCCATATGTAGAAAGCTGAAACTGGATCCCTTCCTTACACCTTATACAAAAATTAATTCAAGATGGATTAAAGACTTAAACGTTAGACCTAAAACCATAAAAACCCTAGAAGAAAACCTAGGCATTACCATTGAGGACATAGGCATGGGCAAGGACTTCATGTCTAAAACACCAAAAGCAATGGCAACAAAAGACAAAATTGACAAATGGGATCTAATTAAACTAAAGAGCTTCTGCACAGCAAAATAAACTACCATCAGAGTGAACAGGCAACCTACAAAATGGGAGAAAATTTTCACAACCTACTCATCTGACAAAGGGCTAATATCCAGAATCTACAATGAACTCAAACAAATTTACAAGAAAAAAACAAACAACCCCATCAAAAAGTGGGCAAAGGATATGAACAGACACTTCTCGAAAGAAATCATTTATGCAGCCAACAGACACATGAAAAAATGCTCATCATCACTGGCCATCAGAGAAATGCAAATCAAAACCACAATGAGACACCATCTGACACCAGTTAGAATGGCAATCATTAAAAAGTCAGGAAACAACAGGTGCTGGAGAGGATGTGGAGAAATAGGAACACTTTTACACTGTTGGTGGGACTGTAAACTAGTTCAACCATTGTGGAAGTCAGTGTGGCGATTCCTCAGGGATCTAGAACTAGAAATACCATTTGACCCAGCCATCCCATTACTGGGTATATACCCAAAGGACTATAAATCATGCTGCTATAAAGACACATGCACACATATGTTTATTGTGGCACTATTCACAATAGCAAAGACTTGGAACCAACCCAAATGTCCAACAATGATAGACTGGATTAAGAAAATGTGGCACATATACAGCATGGAATACTATGCAGCCATAAAAAATGATGAGTTCATGTCCTTTGTAGGGACATGGATGAAATTGGAAATCATCATTCTCAGTAAACTATCTCAAGGACAAAAAACCAAACACTGCATGTTCTCACTCATAGATGGGAATTGAACAATGAGAACACATGGACACAGGAAGGGGAACATCACACTCTGGGGACTGTTGTGGGGTGGGGGGAGGGGGGAGGGATAGCATTAGGAGATATACCTAATGCAAAATGACGAGTTAATGGGTGCAGCACACCAGCATGGCACAGTTAATGGATGCAGCGCACCAGCATGGCATATGTTAACCTGCACATTGTGCACAAGTACCCTAAAACTTAAAGTATAATAATAATAATAAAAAGAAAAAAAAGATATTCATCATAATGGTTTAGTCACATTGTGCATAACTTTAAAATAAAATATTTTATAATAACAGTTAAAATAAAATAATTTTAATAGTCTAGTGAAGTTGGTAATCTACAAATGAACATGTAATAGATATGTAACAATATGATAAAAAATAAGTTAATGCAAGGGAATGGAGTGAGCTGTTGTGCTGCTGTAGATTTGTTAGTCAAGAAAAAGAGATCTCCCTGAAGAGGTAACACAGGAATAGGGGAACATCTGGGAGGCAGGCTTTCCTGGCAATGGGAAGGGCACTTTTAGAATGCTGGACCAAAGATTCTCTACAATCTATCTCAACTCAGTTGAATGGCAAAAATTGTCAAGAGTTGGTTGACAATATAGATAGCCTTCTCAACTTGTCAGAATCTCAATGTTCCTGAAAGAAATTCCTTTTTACTAGTTTGTTGTAGTTGTTATTGTTATTGTTTCTGTTAAATTAAAAGTCCCCAATGAGATATTTGTTGAGATCAGTAATTTTATATTGTTTCTACGAGATTTGAAAATAGTACATGCTTCTTTTTCGAAATCTTGTTTACTTAGTCAGTTGGCATCATTTTGAATGAGAACACAGATTAAAGTAAAAGTGTAAATAGAATGACATAACAAAGTATGAAAGAATCAAATGCAATAGGATGAAAAAGTTAGTGTTAGCCCCAAGCACTGATTACTGAAAGCTTTTAATGAGCAAATGTTTAAATGAGAAGTGAAACCAGTGAGTGAAAGTCAGACTATGAGCTATATATCAGAATCAAGCCCCTCTGCCTGCCTCCAGACTCTGGCAAGCCTCATCTGTAACAATTGATTCTAAAGGGGTCAGTGCTGAATAAGGATTTACTGTTTTTGATGATGACTGTGAGGTTAAAGTAATGGAGAAATTGAAAGTCGCTTGCTTAATGGAAAAATATGTAGAATTGCAACTTAAAAAAAAAACTGCCACCAAATTAGGACAAACTGGAATCAAAATCATTTCAGAGATTGATGACATGTCATTACAGGCTTGAAATATACATCCTATTCCTTTAAATTCATATTTTTATCAACCACTTAGGCCAGTGACATAATAAAATCTATTAACCTCAGTTATTTTGTCCTCTAAGTAACACTGGATAGTGCAAGAACAATTTTAAAATTGAATGGATTTCTTTCTGCATTATAAGATATGCTGTTTGACCTTTCATGTTTTTAACAGAAATGCTTAGTTATTCTAAAAGTGGTTTGATACACTATTATGTTGGCCATAAAATATTTCTTTCTGTAATGTCTCTTTTGTCCTTTATTTCATATTAGCATCTATTTTATTCTTTTAGTTCAATGCCTGAGATCATTTCGATGGAGAAAAACTTCTAGACCATTTGTAAATTGAAATATTACACCCAGGACAAATGCATTGATAAGAAAAACATTTAAAAGCTTGAAACATCTTTTTATTGATCTTTCCTAGGCTCCAGATACAGATATAAATAATAAGAGAGATAAGAAGGAAAAGATTTTGAGCCAGAGGGAAAACCTTGCTGAAGGCCCAGTGAGTACAGAGGACAGTGAGAAGAGAGTCCTGGCAGGCACAGCTCAGCTTCAAGGGAAGAGGAAGAGAGTGAGAAGGCGAGAGTGGGCAAGGGGCAGGCAGCAGGGGCTGCTGTCCTTTTGAACACTCTGAGCCTTCTGTATATGTCTTACCAACTTAATAATGTCATGGTCAAATAAATTGATATGGTTTGGCTGTGTCCCCGCCCAAATCATATCTGGAATTGTACCTCCCACAATTCCCACATGTTGTGGGAGAAACCTGGTGGGAGGTGATTGAATCATGGGGGTGGGTCTTTCCCATGCTATTCTTGTGATAGTGAATGAGTCTCATGAGATCTGATGTTTTTAAAAATGAGAGGTTTCCCTGCACAAGCTCTCTCTTTGCCTGCTGCCATCCATGTAAGATATGACTTGCTCCTCCTTGCTTTCCACCATGATTGTGAGGCCTCCTTAGCCATGTGGAACCGTAAGTCCATTAAACCTCTCTTTTTTTTTTTTCAAGTCTCAGGTATGTCTTTATCAGCAGCATGAAAACAGACTAATATAGAAAATTGGTACCAGCAGAGTGGGGTGCTGCTGAGAAGATACCCAAAAATGTGGAAATGACTTTGGAACTGGTTAACAGGCAGAGGGTGGAACAGTTTAGAGGGTTCAGAAGAAAACAGGAAAATGTGGGACAGTTTGGAACTCCTTAGAGACTTGTTGAATGGCTTTGACCAATATGCTGATAATGATATGAACAATAAGGTCCAGGTTGAGGTGGTCTCAGATGGAGATGAGGAACTTGTTGGGAACTGGAGCAAATGTGGCACTTGCTATGTTTTAGCAAAGTGACTGGTGGCATTTTGCCCCTGCCCTAGAGATTTGTGGAACTTTGAACTTGAGAGAGATGATTTAGGGTATCTGGTGGGAGAAATTTCTAATCCGCAAAGCATTCAAGACATGACTTGGATGCTGTTAAAAGCATTCAGTTTTAAAAGGGAAACAACATAAAAGTTTGGAAAATTTGCAGCCTCACAATATGGTAGAAAAGAAAACCCCATTTTCTGAGGAGAAATTCAAGCCACTTTTCTGGCTGCAGAAATTTCCATAAGTAACAAGGAGCTGAATGTTAAACTCCAAACAATGGGGAAAAGGTCTCCAGGGCATGTCAGAGGTTTTCATGGCAGCCCCTCCCACCACAGGCCTAGAGCCTTAGGAATTAAAAATGGTTTTGTGGGCCAGGCCCAGGGTCCCTGTTGTGTGTGCAGTCTAGGGACTTGATGCCCTGCATCCCAGCTGCTCCAGTTGTGACAAAAGGGGGCCAAAGTGCAGTTCAGGCTATGGCTTCAAAGAGCATAAGCCCCAAGCCTTGGCAGCTTCCACGTGGTGTCAAGCCTGCCAGTGCATAGAAGTCAAGAATTGAGGTTTGGCAAACTTCTCCTAGATTTCAGAGGATCTATAGAAATGCCTGGATGTCCAGGCAAGAGTTTGCTACAGGGGTGGGGCTCTCATGGAGAATCTCTGCTAGGCAGTGTGGAGTGGAAATGTGGGATCAGAGCCCCCCACACAGAGTCCCTACTGGGGCACTGTCTAGTGGAACTGTGAGAAGAGGGCCACCGTCTTCCAGACTCCAGAATGGTGGATCCACCAACAGCTTGCACTGTGCGCCTGGAAAAGCCGCAGACACTCAACACCATCTCATGAAAGTGGCTGGGAGGGAAGCTGTACCCTGCAAAGCTACAAGGGTGGAGCTGCCCAAGACCATGGGATCCCACCTCTTGCATCAGTGTGACCTGGATGTGACACATGAAGTCAAAGGAGATCATTCTAGAGCTTTAAGATTTGACTGTCCTGCTGGACTTCAGACTTGCATGGGGCCTGTAGCCCCTTTTTGTGGCCACTATCTCCCATTTGGAATGGCTGTATTTACCCAATGCCTGTACTGCCATTGTATCTAGGAATTAACTAACTTGCTTTTGATTTTATAGGCTCATAGGCAGAAGGGACTCGCCTTATATCAGATGAGACATTGAACTGTGGACTTTTGAGTTAATGCTGAAATGAGTTAAGACTTTGGGGGACTGTTGGGAAGGCAAGAATGGTTTTGAAATTTGAGGACATGAGATTTGGGAGGGGCCAGGGCCAGAATGACACGGTTTGGTTGTCCCCACCCATATCTCATCTTGAATTCTATCTCCCACAATTCCCACATGTCATGGGAGAAACCTAGTGGGAGGTGATTGAATCATGGAAGCGGGTCTTTCCCGTGCTATTCTTGTGATAGTGAATGAGTCTCATGAGATCTGATGTTTTTAAAAATGAGAGTTTTCCCTGCACAAGCTCTCTCTTTGCCTGCTGCCATCCATGTAAGATATGACTTGCTCCTCCTTGCCTTCCGCCATGATTGTGAGGCCATGGCAGAAGGCCATGTGGAACTGTAAGTCCATTAAACCTCTTTTTCTTCCTAGCCTTGGGTATGTCTTTATCAGTAGTGTGAAAACAGACTAATACATAAGTGGATAATGGAAAATATGGTATATGTAAGGTGTCATGTTACTCAGCCTCACAAAAGAAGGAGATTCGGCCATGTGCAACAACATGGATAGACCCTGAGGACATTATGCTACGTAAAATAAGCTAAACTTTAAAACTACAGTAAAATACTGTATGATCTTACCTACATGTGGAATCTGAAATAGTCAAACTCATAGAAGCAGAGACTGGAATAGTGATTGCCAGGGCCTGGGGGAAAGAGAAAAACGGGCAGGCGACAGTTAAAGGGTACAAAGTGTCACTTATGCAAGATACATTCTGAAGATCTATTCTACAGCATAATGCCTATAGCTAATGTTATGTTAATAATATGCTTACAAGTTTCTGAAAAGGTAGATTTTATGTTAAGTGTTCTTAACACACACACACAAACAAATAATAACAGAAAGGGTAACAAGGAACTCTGGGAGATTATGGATATATCTAAGGCCTCAGGATGGTGATGGTTTTATGCATGTACACATATCCCCAAGCTCACTGTGTTGTATACATTAAAGATGTACAGCTTTTTACCTGTCAATCATACCTCAATAAAGTGGGTAAATAAATTATTTTTATTAAAAAATAATGGTCATGGCATTATATTACCTTGAAATATAATTTTAAGTGTTTATTTTATGGGAAAATGAAGAATTTTGCTCTATCACCTCTGTACCTACAATAAAAGTTACTTCTGAAAGCAGGAGATCAAGTTATGGGCCTTGAAAGCTATCAAATGTTATAAGAAGGAGGGAAATCAGTTTCCAACTGGTTCAAGAAACAAATGACAAAGCCCTGAACTAAGGCAAAGATGAAGGAGAAGAAAAAAGTAAGACTGAAAAACCTTGGGTACATGTAGATAAAAGCTTTAGAAAAAGCATCAGAAACTGAAGGTTCTACTAGGAGCAGGAAGGTCACATGTATCATGAGGATGGCCTGGTGAACACATATCTCATCAAAACCTTCAGCTGATGGTTCCATTCAGAGACAGGGCAAAAGAAGTCAGAAGACTAAGCTTTATTTAAAAACTCCCGATTTGTATAATGTTGACATTTTTTAATTCAAATCCATTTAAAATATAAGGTAGCCAAGTTGAAATGGACCTGATGGTCACATCTGACTGTTTTTGACTTCTGAGTTAAAGCCATATGAAAACAACTGAATTGCAAAGCTCTGCATAACTGTGAACTGACGGCTAACATGAGCTGTGCAGGTTAACATAAAGATAACTCAGGAAAATTCTTGAAAAAATTCCAGTATTTGGACTGACTGGCAGATAAAATTGTGTCCAATTAATTGGGTACATTAGATTAAGTCAATTCATAACACTTACTTTGAAGGACTTTTTTATATGTGGAAAGATGTTCATAGTGGTTTTATACATATGAACACATAAATAAATTATATATCGTTATTTATGTGCAAATACAGCCAGCATTAAAGCTCATAATAGAACTAAATCATGTGTATATGTGTGTGTGTATGTGTGTGTATAGTGTATTTGTTATTAGGAGCATTGAATCAAAAGTCAGAATGCCTGTAATGGATTAACAATTACACATTTAACAGCTATGGAATCCAAGTTATTTCACTTTTTAAATCGTGGATGTACTCAATGAGGAGCAATAACCCCTATTACTGCCTAGCAGAATTACTGCAATAAGGATCAAGTTATATTACTGGTTAAAGTGTTTCATCAAATATCATAATGTTTTAAATAAGCCTCAACATTTAGAAAATTCACTCTTTTATTATTCAAATAATTTATTCTTGAAAAAAGTGGAAATATAAGACCTATAATAGCTGGCAAAACTAACCAGCCTTATAGCAACAAACCACGGCAGATAGGACATTGCTATACAACCTAACCTTACCAACTTGTCAATGTGAAAGTTAACCGGCTGTGTTTGTTCACAATATATATCAGTATCATTTGCTTAATGAAAGAAGTAAACTAAAAGAATTCACTGATACGGGCTTGGAACAGTTTCTTTTTAATGTGATTCCGAAAGAACATCCTGCAAATCAGCTATCCTTTATGTGGGATTCTTAAACATAAAATACAGCCTGCAGTGATGCAATATTACATAATTATCCTAGTTGAATAACCTCCTTCTAAAAGCACAGTAAGGAGAAACTCAGCATGAATTTATATGATACTCATTATTCAATGGTGTCAACTCTATGGTCAGCCATCTCCAGAATTTCTCTCTGTCATAACAGAGAGAGAGCTCCGTTAGCCTTGGGCATCATGGGAATTTGTCCCTCCACTTCTCACAGTTCATTGGATGGGACACCATAATAACACTTAAAATTTTATCCACGGCTGTATAACTAATCATTATTGATATAGGATCAGACCTCTGTATTTGCAATTTTCATGCTTTCACAACAACAAGGATTAAAATGGAATTACCAGTTGGGGAATGTCAAGAAAACTGGATATTTAATTCCGTTAAGACTATATCTTTAAACTGTCACGTGAGCTTGGATAATTTAACTCCTCACTTTAGTTTCCTTACCTATAAAATTAGAAAGTTAGACTAGGTGATCTCTAAGTCTCTAACAAATTATAATATCTTACTATTTATGTGGTTTATTAAATAATTCCATTTGGAATTGAAGAACAAAAGCTGACATCAAGTGTGTATCAGAGTTAGGTATATAGTAAACAATGAACAATTATTATTGTTCTACTTTGGCTCATTGTTTTCTTCCAAATATTCTCAAATGATCACTGCTTAAATAATTTTACACCATGTCTTAGGTAAGATGTCATTAAAAGTTTAAATGTACTCAGTCATTTTTCTTGATTGAGAAGGGGAAAAATAGTGCACATATTTTTGTCTTTCATTTAGTCCAGATAGGTTTGTGTATTCATTTCAGGAAAAAAAACAACCTTCAAAACCTGCAATGCATGTGTGAAAGTGTATCTCTTAGAACTACTTAAGGAAGTTTTCAGATGGCAAATATCCTTGCAATGCCCATGTAGAAATGGCTAACCTCTGTAGAACTGGCCTAAGAATATCAAAAACTGCAGAGTCAGGTAATAACTTGTGATGATCAACTGAAGTGATGTGATTTTTTATTTCATGTGGAACTTCTTCATAAACAATGTCTTAGAGGAAGGCATTGCTTAAAAATAACAAACACCCAGCCAGGCACGGTGGCTCACTCCTGTAATCCCAGCACTTTGGGAGGCTGAGGCAGGTGGATCACCTGAGGTCAGGAGTTCAAGACCAGCCTGGCCAAACCGGTGAAACGCCATCTCAACTAAAAATACAAAAAAATTAGCTGGACGTGGTGGCATGCGCCTGTAATCCCAGCCACTTCAGGAGACTGAGGCAGGAGAATCACTTGAACCGGGGAGGCGGAGGTTGCAGTGAGCCGAGATCACATCACTGCACTCCAGCCTGGGCAACAAGAGTGAAAAAACGTCTCAAACAAAACAAAACAAAACAAAAACACCTTATTTGTATATATTTCACCTTATATGTATATATTTAACCATGTATATATTTCCATAAGGAGGAGAATAGACAGCTTGTCAAACAACTTCATAATACATTATTATTCTATAAAACTAAAATTTATAGCCACGTTGTTCTACATCCTTCAAAAATAGTTAAGAAATTAAGTTTAAAATCCTACTTATGTGATGGTTAAGATTGTGTATCGGCTACAATTATTGATTGAATATATTTTACCTTTTTAAAAAAGTCTGGTGGTTGGAGGAGTATGAAATGTAAGACAGGTCCTGTCCCCTTCACGTGCCTGGGAAGACACAGCATTGCACATGCAAGTGTACTCACATATACATTTACACACACACACACACACACACACAGTCAGAGAACTACAAAGTGCTCAACTGTATGAAATGATCCATGCAGTAAGAAGTTAGAAAAGGAAAATACTGAAAGATAGTCACCAAGGAAATCTCCTAAAAAACTGGTAGGACTTGAACTAGAGCATGAAAGATGGCTAGGATTTGGAAAGGCAGAAAAGAGAGTGGAAGGAAATTCTCAGGAAATACAAGAAGGCTATGCCTTGACCACCTGGGGACCAGCCTTCACAAGGAGTTAGGCAGGAGAGGAACCATCAGAAAAATCGTTTCTAAAGTTTTAAAGATAAAATATAGTAATGCCATGAAAGATGAACTAACTCCGAAAAACAGGTAGGGGCCAGGAGAGCAGTTAGGAGGCTCTTAAAAAAATTGCACTGCAAAGTGAAGAGGGTCCAAAATGAGACTAGAGAAAATTGGCAAAACATAGCATTTAAGTGCAGAAGTGCTACATGGAGTAAAGTAGCAGTTTACGTACAAAGGTACATACCTATATTCCAAGGCATGTGCCTCATGACTGAGGGAAAAGAAGCATTATAAAGAGAAATAAAGTCTTCAGGAAAAAGAACCAAATTGGGATAGATGTTGAGATAGAAGAAATGAAGGAATTATAAGCTAAAAGTTTGAATCTTAATGTAGCAAATATAGAAATGGGGTATAGAATTAAATTTGGATATGATGAATGTATTTGGAAACTATCAATGTGGAACCATGAAAGTAGATATAGTCTATCTGAAAATAAATATAATGGTGGTTTGTAATACTTTTAAAGTTGCAGACATTTGGAGAATACAATGAAAATTATAAATTTTCTCCCAAAGTAAAATAAATGTTTATACTGACATTTACATAATTTTGTACATATTTTCAGAAAGTATGTGGGCCCCATTTACCTTATCTAAATCCCAGGATGGCAAGGCTTATTTTGAATAACCAAAAGCATGAGGAAATGACAGTTGAAAAAAAGATAATATCTACTATGTATTTGGTGTTTATTATATGTCAGAATTGTTTTAATATCTTACACATGCCATTTTTATATTTATTTTGATCTGCATAATAATCAATGAGGTAGGAATTCTTTTCTTCTTTTGCAGAAAAAATTCACAAATAGCAGAAAGAAAATAAGTGAATTGATTGTTCCTATATCTTGCCTTTAAACATGTTCGGCCTTGTTAGAAATTATTATGATATTCCTTAAAATGGTAAGAAAGATTTTATTCAAGACTATTGCAATAGAGAAGAGACTATTGAAACACAGCAAAGAGAAGACACTATTGAAACACAGCAAAGAGATTGAACTCAGCTCCAAATACAGTAAACACCACTGGAGATATAGAGCCAACAAGCATAATGAAAAGTCAAGGATAAAAAATTACTAAGAAAAACTTGATCAAATATCAAGGGCAGGGGGGGATTCTTGTTAAGGCAGGACAATGTAATCAAATATCTAGAGTGGGAGGATTCTTAATAACAAGACTCTGCTAAAACTGGGTACAGAAGGTCAACAGCGGGTCCCAAATATGAGGCATAGTCAAAAAGAGATGGCTCAGAGAAGCTTGACTAAAGTTTGGAGGGAGACTTTGTTACCCTCTTTACTTTGCATTCATCTATTAAAAATATTTATTGAGTTCTAATTATATGACAAGCACTGTGTTCAGTGTCCTGAGATCAATTATACAGGTCTGTCCCTGTACTTTTGGAGTTTGGATAATTGCTACTCCTTCTTTATGTTTCAGCTCAGAGATCCACTCCCTTGTAAAGACCTCCCTGAGTTCACTTCATCTTGAGCTACGTCTGCCATCATAGGCTTACCTCTATAGGCTGTAACTTCCTATTTACTTGTCTATGTAACCTTTTATACTACAAGTTCTATGAGATTATGGGCTATGACATCCTTGTTCACTCATCCCCAGTAAACTAGCACTAACACTGCCCAAGTAGTAACTCAGTAAATATTTGACAAAATTTCTAGAATAGAGATAATAAAAGAAGCCAACAAGTGATGCCAAATGCTAGTCAAGAAAGAAGCCAAGGATGCATCATTTCTTAGATACAAGGAATTTAGAAAAAGCCAAATGAGTAAGGAATTGAAAAGATGCTATCAAAAGGAGGACTCTAAGAGCCTTTTGAGCTACCCAAGATTTAATGTTCTCAGTGGGCCAAACAGCAAACAGTATGAGATTTCAGCTACAATTCATTAGAGCACAGAATATGGACTTGATCCTGTGGCAAATGACTCTTGACCCTGGAAGAAACTACAATACTTCTAGCTGATAGAAGCTCCCACAGGTCAGTTTAAGTCATGGTTTAGTACATTTCTTTCTGTGGACCTCATTTTTCCAATTAGCGAAATGTGGGCCTGGGGGTCGGGGGGCAAAGAGTGGGATGCCTCAATACACAGGGCAATACATATGAATGATAATTCTAAGAGGCTGTGACTCCATGGCCTACAAGTGTGTTTTTGAGACAGTAGATGGTTATCAAAGAAGTTCATTAAAGAGATGATGACATATGGGTCATGGTAAATAGGCCGTCTAATTAATGGTATATCATATTTCTCTTTGTTCAGTCAATTCCAGGCACAACTATTATTTCTTATTTTTAACTGAATATCAAATTATAAAAGAGCTTTGAATCAGACAGTAAGAATAGTTTTTTTTTTTTTTACTGAACAGCAGTGGACCCTGAAGATCAGAGTGGACTATGAAGATGAACTGCCTGGACTTCAGTCTGAGCTCTGTCATCTGTTAATTAAGTGGCTATAGGCAAGTACTTAAACTTTCTATACTCCAATTTCCTCATGAGATAAATGGGAATGACAATATCCTTCTCATGCAGTTTTTATAAATATCACAAACACATTCCTGTGAAGGGCGAGTGTTACCTGGGACATAATAAAATTTCCACAATTGCAGGCCGGGCGCAGTGGCTCACGCCTATAATTCCAGCACTTTGGGAGGCCAAGGCAGGTGGATCATGAGGTCAGGAGTTTGAGATCAGCCTGGCCGATATGATGAAACCTCATGTCTACTTAAAAAAATACAGAAATTAGCCAGGCATGGTGGCATGTGCCTGTAGTCCCAGCTACTCGGGAGGCTGAGGCAGGAGAATTGCTGGGACCTGGGGAAAAAAAAAAAAAAAAAGCTCCACAATTGGTTGACATTACTAAAGATGAAGAAAACCAAAATGGTTGCATAATAAGTGTCACACACAATGTCAGGCCTTTTTACATAAATTATATTGTCCGATTCCAGCTATTACAAAAATTATAGATCAGAAGTCTAACATTCAAGCCTTTTCTCATATCTCTACGTCTGAGTATATCAATGAATCAAGTCATCTGAATATGTGAGACTGTACTTGGTATCACCCCAATTCTGGGTATCATATGAATCTTATGATTAGTACTATGAGAAAAAGACCAGGTTAAAAACAAAAGAAATTCAGAAGTCTGTTCATCACGAATCTGTATGGTGTTTGCCATGTTTTGTTTTATCTCTAAATTCAATACCATGGGTGACTTTTTTATACCTAATTAACCTAGTTGAAATGACAACTCAGTACACAATCATATTATGAAGATCAAGAACATGCTTTTATTCCACTTAGTATCTCTGAGAGACCAGAATGATATCTCAATGTTAAACAGTTTTAATGTTTGCTATTAATAATTCTGATTCCCGATGGATTTCCTATTTAGTCTAAGTTCATAAACAACTAAAGACTTCTATTTCTAACCTATCTATTCAGCACAAATAGCACAAATTTAATCTTGTTAACCCATGTCTGCATAATGACTTTCACTTTTTACTAATAATGACACAATGATAATTTATACCCCTACAAATGAAACCATCTTGAGTGGTATAAAAAATAAAGTAAGGCTGGATCAGGATGGAAATCTTTTTCAACTTTTCTCCCATCTCTGGTTTCCTCCCAAATGATCATTTCATGTTAAGGATTGTTCATCAAATCTCAAACAAACAGAGTTCTAAGTACCAGTATCAAGCACCTGCACACTTGAGAGCAATGATTACAGGGGGAAAAAGAGGATTGAACACCATCAGTGTTATTTATCATCACTCCTAAGGTACTGAATATAATGTTGCTTTAATTGTTGACATTTGTATTGCACATTTAAGCTTACAACAAAATAATGATATATATTATGTCCTTACACAACCCTGTACATAGTTGCCATTTTTCCCCATTTGATATGCCATGAAACTGAGATGCACAAAAGTGTGTCAATAATAGAATGAGGGCCAAATCTTCTGAGTTCCCTCCCATCTCACCACTATCCCCGCTGCCGGATCATGTTCTCCTAATTCAAATACCACTTTCTTTTCACTAGTCTACAGTGATTTTATAGTTATTTTCTGGGTTTCTAGGGAGAATATCTGTAGCTGCATATTCACCATGCAGACCTGTAAGGGATTGCTGAACTCAAGTGCACTGACTTTCAACAAAATAACAGGATCCTCTCTTCACAAGTATTTATTTTTGAACACCATTTATTTCAGAAAAAAAATTTACTTTATTTCTTCACTTCTAAACCAAAGGCACTAAACAGCTGCCCTTGTTCGCACTGATACTGCAGGATTTGTATCCTGATGAGCTACATACAGGTTGTTAAATTTCAGTAATTTGACAATGGAATAGGATGTGCACCTGGCTCTCAAACAGCTTTAAAGGCTTAGACTTCCTCTGAAATGATCTCTTCAGCCAGGACAGAAGAATTTTTTTAAAAAATCTGAAATCGCTCCAGGTAAGTAATTCTAAACTCTGCTGCACATTAGAATCATCTGGGGAGTTTTTGAAACATGCCTGCACCCAGGTTCCTCCCCTAGAGAGTCTTATTTAATTGATCTGCCATGCTGTCTGAGCAGTTGTATTTTTAAAACTTCCCTGAGTGATTCTAATGTGCATTCAGGGTTGAGAAACACCAACTGAAGACATAACCCAGAGCAGTGCTCTCAGCACTGGCCATGCATTGGAATGTTGCGGGGAGAGGGGGGCAGCTTTTTAAAATACTGATACCAATACCCAATTAAATCAGAATCTAAATAGGCTCCAGGCGCTGGTGACTTTTAAAGCTCTGTGATTCTGACATGCAGTCAAGTTTGGAAATCATTTATCTAAAAATAATTACAATTTAGTATGTGGTCTACAAATGAGCAAAACCAATCAATCAAGCAAACAACAACAAAAAACAACTAGAATCTGAAAACTTGCTAGAATTGAAGAGTTTCAGACTCCACTCCAGAGGTACTGAGTCAGAATCTGCCTTTGACCAAGGATTCCAGGTACTGAGCATGCACAATAAAGTATGAGAAGCTCTGTTCTGGACTGCTTTTCTAAAGACCTGAGAACAGTATTAACTTCCATTTCTTCTTCTCATTTGATACTTCTCTCAAGTTCAGATGAGTATGTTCTACTGATTGGGACCATTGGGATAAATTGCTACCATGTGTTCCTAATTGCTACACAGCACAAACATGATTAATTATAGCTAATTACCACTAATTAGCTATCTACTAAGCTAACTGCTGAGCCTGGAATTCAAGACCCTTCAGAATCTAAACAGATTTCTTTCTTGCCTTTTCCCATTTATTCCCACCCTACACTCTACCCAAATATAGACTGCTCTGTTCCACATATGATCCACACCTTCTAGCCTCTTTACCTATATATCCATCTCTCCCTAAAATGCTTTCCTTCCGTGTTCAAGTGTATCAGCTAAAGTTCAGTTAATGCTATTGTACTGTGACGATTTCTAATTCAACCCCATATCCAGCTGGTAATAATTTGTCCTAGCACAGAATACTCAGAGCCTCCTATCTATACCTCTCCTGTGGCCCACTAAACAACCTTCTTCATGTTTTCTAGACTTATTTTATATCCTCGATCAGATGGTAAGTTATGTTAGAAGAGGATTCATGCTGATACAGTTTGGAGGTGTGTCCCCACCCAAATCTCATATTGAAATCTAATCCCCAGTGTTGGAGGTGGGGCTTCGTGGGAGGTGATTGGATCATGGGTGTGGATTTCCCATGAATGGTTTAGCACCATCCTCCTTGGAACTGTCCTCACGTGAATGAGTGAGTTCTCTTGACAGCTGGTCATTTAAAAGTGTGTAGCATCTCCCCTCTCTCTCTCTTGCTCCTGCTCTGGCCAGGTGACATGTCTGTCCCCCACTTCACCTTCGATGATGATTGTCAGTTTTCTGAGGCCTTCACAGAAGCTGAGCAGATGCCCCACCATGATTCCTGTACAGCCTGCAGATTGGTGAGCCAATTAAGCCTCTTTACTCTGTAAATTACCCAGTCTCAGGTATTTCTTAATAACAATGCAAGAATGGACTAATATACATGGGCAATTCACTTCTGTACTATTCACACAACCCTTCTCGGAGCTGTGTGTATAGGATGTAATTTTTTTTGTCTTTCTTCTCACAATTTCTTATGCTTAACCAGTTCAAGTCAGTATTCTTAGTATAGTCAGTATGTTTATACTGTCCGCTCTGAATAGATTTAGATCAGATTTTCACAAACAGTAGTCTTTGCAGAATGTGAATTATGAATCTCTAAAGAAGATATTGTATGGAGAAGTTTGGAAACTTTCTATGTCCAAGAAGCTTTTTTAATGAGCTTCTTACAGGTATCATTTTCTCTGCATGTCACACTTTAGGATATTTTTAATAATAGGGAGTGATAAGTCATCCAAGATAAATTTAGGACGATTCAGGCTTTCAATGGCTACCTAGATAAATCATCAACATTTCTTCCTTTTCAATGGGAACACAAGAATCCTATGCAAAAGAGACAGAACACCACAATGGTATTCTCAGGCTGGATAGGTGAAAATCTAGAACCAAACATCATCATAAAAAGAAAACAACAACAACAAAAAAAAAACACCGTGCTGTTATTGCTAAGGAAACTCCTGTTTTATAGGTTGACTAACTAGGGATCTTTAATATACTATCAGTTATGTCTGAGAAATAAGGAAGCACCTATTAAGTTTAAACTATTCTAGGAAAACTTGCATTCGTGATGGTCTTGGATGTAATGTATTCTATTATTCTTCCTTGAAAAATATGAAATAAAATGGGGTGAGCAAGTAGAAAAGTACTTTTATTGTCTCCTAAAGTCTTAGAAGCATTTATAATTTTGAGAAACAACAAAGAAATCCACAGAATCCACTGTAACAGATGGTTCTAATTAGCATGTTAGAATTCATTGAAAACTATGTCAAAGTTGATTGGCTATTTGTGAAAATATTTCTGACCAATTGTTCTTAAACTATTTCCATAAATATATTGGGACATTTTATATCACTTTATTAATATTGAGAGATCCAAAAGAATAAGACATGGTCATGTAGACACTATTTTCTTATTATATCCCAGCAATGTCAGTTTTCTGTCAAAGTCAATGATAAAGCATCCCTCTGTTTCCTACTGGATGACTTTAGAATGGAATGGAGGAGAAAAGTAATCTTTATAGCTAAAGACTTAAAAGAAGATGGCAGGTATATTTATTTCACGCATTTGTGACATGTATTTATCTCTGTTGACTCCATAATTCCAATCTCTATGACTACATCCTTCATTTTCTGCTTCCTACCAAAGGACAAAAATATATTTCTAGAGTATTTCTTATTGATGGTTCCAGAAATATATGAACTAGAATTTTAGGATCCTTGGTACAGAAAAGTTTCATGACTTACTTTATGTTTTTTCAAATGTTGTTTAAATATTGGTTACAGTGTTTGAACAATCTCACCTTTAACACAACTTTCCCCAGCCAGAAGTTTTATTTTTAAATTGTTTTAAATTTGCATAAATGTCTTTGCCAATTAAATTGTCAGATAATTTGACAACATTTTTGCTATCATTTAGACCCGTGATTTCTCAGTGTAGCTATATGCTGAAATTACCTGGACACTTATAAAAATAGTGATGCCTGGGGCCCACTTTCAGAGATGCATATGTCATTCATCTTGTATGTGGCCTGGGGATCAGCATTTTTTAAATATTTCTACATAATTCTAAGATGCAGACAAGGTTGGAAAACAAAAATTTTGACCAAACTTTTCAACGATGGGTTTTAATAACAGTTTTAAACTTAGATGTACTACTGGCATGAATCCTAGTCTGCACTTTTCCATTTTATTTCAGATTTTTCTTGTTGGAAACTCTCCAAGTTCATGAAATCCTTCTGAAAATGAGACTTTAAATCTGGACACAGATGACCTATTTAATGAGGCATTGATAAATAATAGTAAGTGACATGCAAAAGCCCCTTCCAGGAAGAGAAGGAAACAGAAATGCCCAGTTACCACCATCCAGAGATACTAGTCCCATTACCTCTCATAGCCATCTAAAATGTTGACCATTTGTTCCCATCCACTATGAATATAGCTACACTTTTCCTTCATTATTTTTAGACACTCCAACTCTTCTTATACTAAGATTGAATACACATTTTCTACTTTCTTGCTTTTTGTATTTCTATGGAAGTCATAAAAAAAGATTTTGGATAGCTAAGTGATAGCTATCTAAAGGCATGAATTTGCAAATCAAATTATAAAACCTGTTTAGAAGTCTAATGCATAAAAACTAATATATAAAAATGTAAATTAAGGCAAAAATCAATTAGCTCAATGTGACATTCATGTGGCTTCTCTTTCTGGACTCCATGTTCTCTCCAGGGAAACATTGACTATATTATATGCAATAAGGAAAATAGCCAAGGTGGATGGCCCCATAACACATAGTTACAGCTGCCAGAAAATAACTCTCAATTGTTGAAAAACAGCTCAAAAGGTGAAAAAAAAATTTATCTTGGATAGGCTCAATACCAAAAAGGGGACATAATTATGAACTATAGTATTTACTGGTACCTAGATATATTCTCCACTCACATGCTTAATTATTCCCTCTTTCAAACTGTAGAGATGCTCTTTTGAACTGTCCTCAGCCTACTTGTCATGCCCAAGCCCAAGGTCTTTTGGTGGGTAACAGTAGTTGCTAAAGAAGTTAGAGTTTGGTTAGCTCTCATCAACAACCTTGTTACCAAGTTATAAAGAGAGCAAATCTCAGACAAATTTGCCTACACAGTGACATTTATTAATTAAACATTTATTAGCAAGTTAGCACAATATAAATTATGCAATCTGTATTAGGGCTTAAAAAAATACAGCCTTCTCATTCTTTCAGTGATTAAAATGCTATAGTACAAGAAAAATTCACTGGATAGAGCCATATCAAGATTCCAGTAGCAGGATTCTGTTGCCCTTAGAGTTGTTACCCCTACAGTTTTCACTGGGCTTGCAGAAATCAGAGTTTCCAGCTAACTACTAGATCTTTGGGGGTTTCTTTGGTTAAGAATGGTGGCCTTGGGCCGGGCGCAGTGGCTCACGCCTGTAATTGCAGCACTTTGGGAGGCCAAGGCGGGTTGATCGCCTGAGCTCAGGGGTTTGAGACCAGCCTGACCAACAGGCAGTGGTACCCTGTCTCTACTAAAATTACAAAAATTAGCTGGGTGTGGTGGTGGGTGCCTGTAATCCCAGCTACTTGGGAGGCTGAGGCAGGAGAATTGCTTGAACCCAGGAGGTGGAGGTTGCACTGAGCCGATATTGTGCCATTGCACTCCAGCCCGGGCAACAACAGAGACTCCGACTCAAAAAAAAAAAAAAAATAGTGGTCCTGCTAGATTCTTAGATACTGTTCATGCGTGGGTCTGAAGTGTCTCTTAAGTATACCTGACAATCAATTTCTTTTAGAACACTATAATTTTACCAATATAGGACTCCTTCTAACATTCATCTACTAATCATGTTAACTAAGAGTACACCAAATTCACCAGGAAAACCCATTTCTGGCATTCAGCATGAAAACTAGCAAAACTTTGGTTGTAGCCCAAGGTCTACATAGCTGCCTATGGAGGAGAGGCTTACTGATGAGAATGATTGCTGTCCCTTGTGTGTCCTTGATTAGGATTCGAGATGTAAGTGGGGACTGCTTAATTACAAAAATATTTATTTGCTGTTTATATATCTATATAAACAAATTAATACATATTATCTCTATATAATCATATTGTCTTTAAATGGCTACTCATTATAACAAAGCTGCTCTGACTCTGTTCTGGAAGTTGTTTCCTCATTATTTTTTACATGTCTGCTTCCCTTATAGAATGAAAAACTCCTTGAATTCAGAAATTTGTTGTATATTTGTCACCTCCACCTCCACATTTTTAGCATGATACTTCACACAAAATATGTTTAATAAGTATTTTGAATAAACTATTTTCTGTAAATTTGAATTCTTGTTCTATGTTTAACATTTTTCCTCTCAACACATCATATTCTTTGAAATTATATCTTGAGATTTGTATCTGAAACAAAGGGTATCTAGGGAGAATTGCTTATTTTGTTTGAAAAAGAAAGGAATCTAGGCAAAAATAGCTGTGTGGCCATTAGACTTCAGAAATTAAATTATCACTCTTTGTCATTTTTAGGGGGGAAAAAAAAAAGAACTGCAAATGGCCTCACATGACTCAACAACTCAGGAGAGAACACATTTTCCAAACCAAGCCCATACAGTTGTCATCACTAATAAACAGCCCCACAGTAATCTCGAATTCCAGCATTAATTTTGTGAGAGAGAAGATAAATTGCAAAGGTGCAATCTTCATTACTCATCGTCCTTGCTGGGGTTTCCATCTTTTTTGCTCCAGTTTCTTCCTCACAGGCACGCTGGAAGATAGATGTTGAACAGTTTGCCAGATTCATTTTGAGAAATCACGGATTGGGAGATTAAAACTGACATTTATCTTTGCTTCTATAATGGCTGAATTTTGAGATACCTAAGCATTAAAATACTTTAAGAGTGAGTAACTCTTAAAAGCTCCTGACAATTCGTGAGGCTAATTCTATCTCCCATGGTTTTACCCATAATCTGAACTTGGCAGATTTTTCTCTCAGCAGAGAGCCTGTTCCCCACAAACAATATAGATGGCTACAATGAGTAGATGATTAAATTCCTCTCCATGATCATCAGAGCTTATCTGTGGGCCAGGATTATTACACCAGAGAATGAAGACCCTTGTTCTTAATGCTGCAGCTACTGCAGTCTCCAGATGCACTCACTGCATCTAAGAAATTGGAGCCATTTTTTTCAGAGCTGAATTTCAAAGTCACCTTCTCAGGAGATGTACATTGTTTAGTTGTCCCCAAAGAAGAATACACCTAAAACAGTAAGAAATATCATTTTCTGGCTCAGTTCTTGTATTGTTCTATCTTTCCAAGCATCTTGCAATTAGTTACCAGGTGTGTCCTTGAAGGTAGAATGAGGCCGAGTTTCCATTGTGACTAAGTAAATAGACATCTTCAACGCTAAAGAAGTTAACAAATTTTGCTAAAATTCTGAATTTTTCTGAAATTTCTTTATTATTGCTCTGAACTAAATAGAAATACT
Source organism: Homo sapiens (assembly GCF_000001405.40). Taxonomy (NCBI): domain Eukaryota; kingdom Metazoa; phylum Chordata; class Mammalia; order Primates; family Hominidae; genus Homo; species Homo sapiens. Next base: position 191,530,928 of record NC_000003.12, on the reverse strand, counting down.
ACTGCTCAGTTATATAGAGGGAACAATACATATGCCTGGATGTGAGTCTCTGGTGAATTATCTCATTGTCTGATTTACCTTCCATGACACTCTTCCATCTGTTGACTTAAATACTGTAAAAAAAAAAAAAAAGGGTATTGTGTAAGACACCAAGAGAGACAAATGTGTAAACTAAATAGGTTTTTCTTTTGGGAAAATGAACATAAACAAGAGATGACTGATTTAAGCAATTATAATGACAGGTAGAAAATATATAAAAATGAAAATAGGTATTGTAAAAATTTGGAATTATCCAGTGTGTTAACTATATAGAAAACAACCTCAGATATGATTATAAGAATAAAAATTGTAAAAGAAAAGAAATGTTATTGGATAATCAAAACACTAAAAAGATAATAGAAAGAAATTAAGGAACTGAAAATTCTCCTCACTTAGGTCAAATAAAGTTGATCTCTGAAAAATAGAAATTATTAAAACTTCTTTCAACTACTGAGTCATGGCACATGTTCATGATTTGCATCAGTTGTGGAGTATATTACAAATAATTTGGGTACAGTAATACCTAAAGCGTGAGAGGTTTTTTTTTTTTAATGGTGTGTCTTTCCTTTATAAATTGGAACAGATATAAAGCTCCCTTTTAATAACTTCAGTCACACTCTCTTGCCTTTCCGTTTACTATCTTATATGGGAGACAAAGTTAGAGCAACTCTTAGGTGTTGCACAACCTCATCTATCAGATGTACCAGAGCAAAACGCAAGAAGCAAACAAACCAATGAACCAACAGGAAAGGTCGAGAACTTCTCCATAATCGATATTCACTCAGACAGAGAGACTAGCCTTGATAGAGGGTAATTAACAAGTGCTTTATCTATATAACATGTGCTTATAATTCAGGAATCTACTCTCTACAGCAACCATGTTGGTATTATTTCTTAACTTCTCTGACTTTATAGGGCAGAAATAGATTAATATGAAGAAGTTCACTCTACAGAGGCTGAAATTTAATAAAAGAGATGATAAAAGTTTATGCTGCTACAATTTACTGAGCATTTATTCTTTTTCAGATTTGTGCTAAACACTTTACATATATTATCTCACATAGTCCTCATAAGAACATAAGAGTTTGGTATGATTGTCTCTATTTTAATAATGACAAACATGAGGCTTTAAGAATTTAAGAAAACTAATCTGTTATGTAAATATTGGTCAGAGAATTGGAATTTCATACCAAATCAATCTAATATCAAAGTCAACGATTATTATTTTATATTGCCTCAAATAACAATAATGGAAGTCAGAAGATGATAAGTGCCATAAGAAGATAGTAAATTAAGAACTGTTAGATTAGGAGAAGAGAGAGAGAGAGGCTTCTCTGAGATAGAAACGTAGAAAAAGCCTTAAAATTCAAGTAGTATATAAGAAAATTGTAAAGTTGTCCCGCAATATACTCAGGGGATTTGTTCCAGGACTACCTACATAGACTCAAGTCTGCACGCACTCAAAGCCCCACAGTCAGCCCTCCGGAACCTGTGCGAATGAAAAGTTGGTCTTCCATAGGCATGGATTTTGCATCCCTAGAATATAGTATTTTGGATCCATATTTGATTGGAAAAACCAATTAGTGGAACTATGCAGTTCAAACCTGTGATGGTTAATATTGAGTGTCAACTTGATTGACTTGAAGGATGCAAAGTATTTTTCCTGGGTGTGTCTGTGAGGGTGTCGCCACAGGAGATTAACATTTGAGTCAGTGAACTGGGAGATGCAAACCCACTCTCAATCTGGGTGGGTACCATCTAATCAGCTGCCAGTGCAGCTAGGATAAAAGCATGCGAGGAACGTGGAAGGACTAGACTGGATAAGCCTTCTGGCCTCCATCTCTCTCCCGTGCTCGATGCTTCCTGCCCTCAAACATCAGACTTCTAGTTCTTCAGCTTTTGGACTCTTGAATCTACACCAGTGGTTTGACAGGGGCTCTCAGGCCTTTGGCCACAGACAAGGCTACACTGTCAGCTTCCCTACTTTTGAGGTTTTTGGGACTCAGACTGGCTTCCTTGCTCCACAGCTTGCAGATGGCCCACAGCTTGCAGATGGCCTGCATTGTGGGGCTTCACGTTGTGATCCTGTGAGTCAATACTCCTTAAAAAACTCCCTTTTATATATACATCTAACCTATTAGTCCTGTTCCTCTAGGGAACCCTGAGTAATACAAAACCCATATTGTTCAAGGGTCAACTGTATTAGTCATGATTCTCCAGAGAAACAGAACAAATAGGAGATTATCTATCTATCATCTATCTATCATCTATCTATCATCTATCTATCTATCTATCTATCTATCTATCTATCTATCTATCTATCTGCTTGTCTGTCTATACACACATACACAGAGAGAGAGAGAGACACACACACACACACACACACGCACACACACACACACAGATTGATTAACTGATTTATTAGAAGGAACTGATTTATGTGATGATAGTGGCTGAAAGGTTCCACCATCTGCCATCTGCAAGCTAGATATCCAGGAAAGCCAGTATAGTTTCAGGCTGAGTCCAGAGGCCTGAGGACCAGGACTGCTGATGGTGTAAGTCTCAGTCTGAGGGCAAGAGGAGATATCCCAGTTCAGTAGTCAGACTGAGAGAGTAAATAATTCCTTCCTCCATCTTTCTGTTCTATCTAGGCCCTCAAAGGATTGATGACACCCACTCATGTTGGTGAGGGTGAGCTGCTGTACAGTCATCTGATTCAGATGCTGATCTCATCTGAAATACCCTCACAGACACACCCAGAAATAATATTTAACCAAATATCTAGGAACCCCATTGACCAGTCCAGTTAGCAAAATGAACCATCACAGAGAAGAATCAAACTAGCATAAAGGCATAATTCAGTCCCTGTGTCTTAAGGGGTTTTGTTCAATCCCTTTGGCCTCTCCCTTGAGCCAGGCAAGTTACCAATTGAATTATGAGTAGGGCACTGCCTTTGGGACTTACACACATTTACCGAGAAGATACAAACTCAACAGAGGACTTGCTACCCCCTCATTTTCTCCAAGAACTGCAAAAATCTGCAAATTTTGTCTGAAACTCAGGAAATCATTTATAATGAGTTATTTTCCTACTCCAGGGCTTGAAGGAACACTATATTTGCATTATTGATTGAACTGTAATTTAAATTGCCTCTGTTCTAAGGTAGCTTGTGAGTTGAACATTATTTTTAAAGAATGTCTTGGAAAACAGCCGTAATGTCCAGGTCTCATTAGCATGATCAAATAATAAGACAGTGAATGTGGCCTCACCCATCTTCAGGCTATAATCTGGTTTGCTGTGGGTTGATGGCATAGGGATAGATACAGCTCCCAAACCTGTGTTCTTTATTAGGGCACCTGGGTAGCCTCAGATCCACATCAAGAATCTTAGAGCTTCTCCAAGCCTGAAGCAATTCCAAAACTCTTATGTTTTTAACAGTTTTCTTTTATACAGAGATTACTATTCATTTAATGATCAAAGTAAAACCCAATCCTGTTTTCCTTTCATTCTTAGTTGCCAGAGGGCAAAGCCATTTTAAAGTTTATTTATTGCATAAACACAATAATTACATGAAGAAAAACCTACCATAATTTTATGACTTGGATTTTGTCAATCATGGCAGAAGCATTTTCCACGTCAATACATATTCTTCATAATTAACATTTAATTAATAAGAAATAATTATTGAGTCACTTGTTGCACATAAATTTTTTTTTAATTTTTGTCAAAGTGAAATAGAATATTCAATTTTATAACCATTGTATCCCAGGATTTTTGAATAATTATTGTTGTGTTCTTTTTCTCTATATGATTTCTAAAATCTGCATTGCTATCTATTTATGTTATTTATATGTGCTATTTTAAGTATTCTCAAATTATTCCTGAAAGTATGAGAGATGTACCTAATTAGATGAGATAAGCAAATGAACACATCCTAAAGATTACATACTTGGAATTTGTTCTAGGTGAGGGACGAGGGAGGTAGCAGGCAAAAATGGAGAGGGGATCAGCATTTTCACTCTGAAGTCTTCATCTCATTGGTGTTACATCTCTCACTCTCATTTTATCCTGGTGACAAGTCTTGGCTTTCAGAATATAGCGCAAAGGACAACAGCTTTTAAAAGGGTTATTTTCTAATCATGAAATTTCCATCAGTTTACTTCACAGAGAAATACTTTTAAGGACTTTCTTCAGCCACTGAAATGTGGTTAAAATTATGTCCTAGTTATCTTTCTGGCATTTTGGAGCAGGCTGGGAAAGTTTCCAGAGTCATGACATCTTCCGGGCATTTCTCAAACTACAATTCTCAGGTCTATTCTGCTCTGGGTCCCATCACATTGAGGACCCATCCCCACCACAAGATGAAGTACATGTTTACTCTATTGAGTCCTAGAATTTCCATCGGTTCTATATTATAGCTTTTATTTCTCCACTATTATGTCCTATCTTTCATTTATTATGATTGCATTTTCCTGTATCTCATTAAGCATAGTGTATTAATTGCCTTGAAGTATTTATCTGCTTATTCTAACATTTGGGCCATCTTAGGTTTAGCCTCCATTGATTATTTATTCTCTTAAAAATGGGTCAGACTTATTCTTCAAAAGAATGATAATATTCTTCTATGGTGATTACTTGGTTGGACATAAACTGCAAACTTTGTCTCCTAAACAGTAGCTCAACTTAACCCAGTTTTTGTTTTCTGTAGTGTTTTCTTTTGTCTCAACAGGGCTTATAGTCTTCCCACACATGTGTGATTCAGAGGTTAACCAGAAATTTGAGCGAAGTTTATATACTGAGTTAGAGGTCCTCCTCTCTGTCTTTATATTTTCTGGGATTCTATGCTCACTATCCGGATTCGTAAATATGCTAATCCCTATCCTCTGATTGTTCAGGTCAGAAAGTCTGAAGTTATTGGAGTTGTAGTCTTTACATGTGGCACTGCCTTCAGGCTAAAATACTAGAACACACATTCTGTGAATGCCCCTTTCTCCAACTTTCAGTTCCCCTCATGTACACTCTCCAGATCTCTTACGTAGTTACTTTTCGTATTTTGCCCAGAGTATATAGTTGTTATCTATGGGAAAGGAAGTCTGGTATGAGCTCATTTGGCCATTAGAAGAAGCAGAATCTTGCCTTATAGATTTCTTTAAAACAGACAAAGGAAATAAATTTGAATACCCCAAAAGAGTCAAAACTGAACCAATCACATGAAGATCCCTCAATTTATGCTCAACTTGGGCCTGAGGAATTTCTTTATGAATGAAGAGCAAACTCCTTCAAGGAAACCTCATGATCTTTCAGGAGGCACCTACCTGTAGCCTGACCATGCCAAGAGTTCTAGAACAATACTAATACAGACCTCATACACACAAGCCTGGACTTTGCAATTGCTTTCTAAATTTTCCCTTACAGCTTATCACTCCTTTCAATCTAGGCTGAACATTAGTTTTGAGCATATCTCTACTCAAACATTTTAATTGGTTATTGTTCACCTAATTAATTAATTCTAAACTTCTTTATCTGATTCTTTTTTTCACTTTTCACATTATAACTGGTAAGTTTTAAAAAATATACACAACATGGACTGGGAAAATCAGTGCATAACTCCACATTCTATAATATATGTGAGCTCAGAGAAGTAATTTCTATAATGAAGCAGTGAAGTCATCTAAGCTGGTTCGAGTCCAAGCTTTATGCTTAGTAGTTGTGTAAGTATGGATAAGTTTTTTAACCTCTGTAGCTCAGTTTCCTACCAGTAAAGTGCATTTAATACAATGCAACTTCATAGGGTTGTTTTACAGATTAACTAAGAGAACACTTGAAGGCATCTTAAGATAGTGCCTGCCACATGATGCCCCAGTAACTGTTAGCTAGTATCATTATCTGTGTCTTGGTTGCATTCTCCATAAAATGTGGGACATAATTATATTTGAAAGATTAATGGTTCGCATGCAATGAACGTTAAAACATTTAAAACACTGTTCCAGTATGAAGGCATAGAACTCAGCTTTAGCTGTACAGACCTACTTGTCACTCCTTGCTCTGTATAATATGCAGTTTATACCTTCCCACATCAAGATGATTTTCATGTGTGAAAAGACCATCTTACATTTCTGTCTGTTGAAAGTCTTGCCTTTCTTTATGGCTAAGCAAACATACACCAACCCACCCTAAAATCATGTATGATCTCATCCAACTAATGATCTATTCTTCCTCTACCCTTCCAAAGAGGCACATCTTATGTTTCTTATGTAGATTTTCAATTCATGCCATATTCTTTCCTCTGGACTGTGGACTACTTAACAATAGTAACTGCAATTTATATATCATTGCATCTGTAGCAATACCTATACATAGTGTCAATAAATATCTGTTGAATTGAATTAAAACACAGTACTCAAAAATTACATGAGCACTGGGAGGCTGAGGCAGGAGAATAGTTTGAGTTTAGGAGTTCAAGACTAGCCTGGACAACAAAGTGAGACTTTGTCTCTAGCAAAAATTTAAAAATTAGCCAGGCATGGTGGTGTGCACTTGTAGTCCTAGCTACTCAGGAAGCTGAGGCTGTCTGGAGGATTACTTGAGCCCAGGAGGTCCCATTACAATGTGGGCCCATCCCCATCACAAAATGAAGCTCACGTTTACCTTATTTAGTCCCAGAATTTCCACTGTTTTTTTTTTTTTTTTTTTTTTTTGGATGGAGTTTCACTGTTGTCGCCAAGGCTGGAGTGCTGTGACATGATCTTGGCTCACTGCAACCTTCGCCTCACAGGTTCAAGCGATTCTCCTGCCTCAGCCTCCCAAGTAGCTGGGATTACAAGCTCCCGCCACCATGCCCAGCTAATTTTTCTATTTTTAGTAGAGACGGGGTTTTGCCATGTTGGCCAAGCTTGTCTCAAACTCCTGACCTCAGGTGATCCACCCGCCTCGGCCTCCCAAAGTACTAGGATTACAGCTGTGAGCCACCATCCCACCCCACTGGTTCTATTTTATAACTTCTATTTATCAAGGCTGCAGTGAGCCATGTTGCACCACTGCACTCCAGCCTGGGTGACAGAGCAAGACCCTGTCTCAGAAAAATAATAATAATAAATTATATTAGCAAATAAAAACTTAAATTTTAAAAATGCCCATGTTTATACCAGGAAAAATAAATTCAATAAATTGTCATGTTTCTTAAGTGATAACCCAAATTAATAATATCTTTTAAAATGAGAAACTTTCTCTTTGGGGCATATTTTAGAACTTCAGTTGACAGGCAGTTGAATTTCATGGTATAAGTAATGACGTTATTTCAAATTCCAAGGTCCAACCACATGGCCCCTTTGGCTCAATGCAATTCACAGTTAGCAAAAACTGCTTAGTGCTGGATTTCACACCTGGTCTCCTGGGGCAGGATGGAAGTGCAGTAAATAATACTGAAAAAGATCATAAAGATGCATAAGAACCATCTGTGCACAGTGGTATAAATGACAAACCGAAGCATTTCATCTGTCATCCGCAAAGTTAACCTACTACCTAGGGGACTAAGACATAAATAGAAACAGACTCTCTTTCTGCTGGTCTGACAGAAGCTTTGCCTTTCCATCTAACCGAAAGCAAACGCAAAGTGTGCAGGCAAATAAACCCCGCCCCATTACCGAGTGCTTGTTCTTGCTGCGGCGGTGTGATTCTATAAGGCTACCCTTTCAAGCTGTTTTTCTGAGATCCATCTGGAATTGTTTACACAAGGGCAAATCTTATTTATTTACTTCAAAACATCACTACTTGTCCTCTACCTAGCCTACATACTGCTCAGTAGATACATAAAAGGATAATGATACATAAATGCTCCAGGTATATAAAAGGAGACTGCTTTGGTGGGTTGAGAAAAAGAAAATACAGTTTGTATTTTTTTGAAATCCTCAAATGTTAAACTAGAGGTACTCTGAGAGATTGTATATCTCTTTCCTTTTGTTTTATAACTATGAAAGTAGGAGTCTATGCCACAATGATGCCAAAAGTACAAAACAATGAAAGCCCCACAGTGTGGAATATGTTGCCTGGCTCTCCATTCCACCTGCTGCCGATTGGTGGCCGTACATGTCTCAATCTTGGCTTTGTCCTCTGTTAAATAAGCGATGGTTTTAAGTTTTCAAAGGCCATTCTAGCTCTGATTCCTTAAGTCAAATCACCTACAAGTTTTCTCAAGATTATTTAGGTTGTTTACAGAATTCATTTCCTTGGAATTATAGGATTGAAGTTCTCATTTTCCTGTCAATTGTTGGCTAGAAAAAGCTCTCAGTTCGTCAGAGGATAAAATGGATCAATTCATGGAGATCAACTTCAGTAGCATCCAGCACCTAGCCAGTGCTCGGTAATTTCTTATGAACAATGATGATGCCTTTGTACCAACCACCTTATTGGTCTCCTTGATAAGTTTTTATAGTTTGAAAACTGCCTAAATTATGTTCTTAAAAAAGTAATGAACATTGTATTTAGTCTCTTCCAATTCTCAATCAGATTAATTATTATCTTTAATATTGTATGACCTGGTACTTCCATTATAATGTTGAGTTTAAGCAGCTATCATAGAAACCTTGTCTTTTTCCTGACTTTAATAATAGTCCTTCTAATACTTATCCTTTAATGTAGTTTTGTAAGGATTTCATAGATATATTTTATCAAGTTAAAAAAGTTTCTTTCTGTTTTTATTTTATATTATCTCAAGAAAATAAATCACCAGTTTTCCCTCTTTCCTCTCTGATACTATGTCTATAAGATCTATTTCTTGAAATTTAAAAGAAAGTCATTTATAAAATTATCTAGACTTTGCATCTTTTTTCTGGGATGTTATGATAGTATAATTTTGATTACCAATGGGATTTTTAGTATTTTCTTGGCTTATTCCCTTTTTCAACTTTTTCTTGAGTCAATGTTTAAATTATTTTCTCTAGAAGTAATTTTACAGATAAAGTAAAAATAGCCCATATAGTTTCTGCATATTCTCTTGGGACCCTCACTCAGAAAGTTTTGAGCTGCTATTCAAAAAGAAACAGCAACCTTGAGGTCACCATGAAGAGACCACATGAAGAGACCACCTAAAGACTGATGCTTGAGGAAGTACAGATCTTCCAGCACACAGATGTTGGAGTCCTCCCAGCTGTGGTAGGCAGAATTCTAGGACAGCCCCAAAGATTCTCACTCCCTGGAGTAGATGCCCTCTGTACCTCCACCACTACCACCACCACTTGAGTACTGGTGGGACTATGAATATGATGACTTAACTCCTAGCATTAGATTCTGTTATATGACAAAGGTCAAGGGATTCTACACATGTCAGTAAGGTCCTAAATCAGTTAACTCTGAGTTAGCCAAGGGGGAGATTATCTTGCCTAAGCTTGACCTAATCAGGTAAACCCTTAAAAGGAAGAGGACCCTTCCTTAAAAAAGTGGTTGTAAGGATGCCAGAGTCTACTGCCGACTTGGAAGGAGCACACTGTCCTGTTGTAGAGCAGGCAATGTGGCAAGGTAAATTGTGCTCTCCAAGATCTGAGAACAACCTGTAGCTCAAAACCAGCAAAAAAGAGAGGAGAGCCCTGGAATAGCAAGGCACTGAATTCTGACAATGACTGTTGAGCTTGAAAGAGAACTTTGATCCTCAGATAAAACCCCAGCTCTGGCCAGCATTTTAACTGCAACTTTGTGGAAACTCTGAGCAGTGAACCCAGTTTGTAGTTGCATTTTTATTTATCTTATTTTTATTTTTACTTTTTTTTTGGCTGTTGTTATAAATTGAAACTTCGTGACTCATGTCTTTCTTCAGTTCTAAATAATTATCTGCCAATATCGCATTCTCTCTTCAAATATTGCTTCATTGGCATTCCTTCCATTTTCTTCTTCTAGAACTTTTATTAGACATAAATTGAATCCTCTCAATCTATCATCTGTCACTTTTTTAATGTCTTTTTATTATTTGTATTTAGTTTTATTTTGAATGAACTTATTAGTGCCATAATAAATAATTAGAACTAAATAATATGTTTATTTTAAAGTCTGTAAAACTGGCCAAGTATGGTGGCTCACGCCCATAATCCCAGCACTTTGGGAGGCCAAGGATGCAGGATCTCTTTAGCCCAGGAGTTCAAGACCAACCTGGGCAACATGGCGAAACCTCATCTCTACAAAAAATAAAAAAATTAGCTGAGTGTGGTGGCACATGCCTATGGTCTCAGCTACTCGGGAGGCTGAGGTGGGAGGATCCCATGAGCACAGGAGGTCGGGGCTGCAGTGAGCCATGATTGCACCATTGCACTCCAGCCTGGGTGACAGAGTGAGACCCTGTCTCAAAAAAGAAAAAGAAAGCCTTTTTAAAATTGCTAAAAAAACGAATACCTTGTAGAGTGAATTAATGATCTAATGGTTGATTTTCTTGGTTGTATTTCTTACCATTAAATACCTCCATGCATTAGAATTAGGAATTTCAGATTCCTTTTAAGGGAGAAGTTTCTACTTTCCATTTGCCCTCACCTCTCACTGTCTTGTAGTGTCCACTGAGATCTTCTAACCCATCAATCTAGAGCCACATTTATAATAAGACTCCCCAGGTCTAACCCTGCAACAATATAGGAACCCTGCAGACCCAGTCATTCAGCCAGCAAGTGATTTGATTCAGTTCTTATTCTCAAGACTATGTCTTATTCTTCCTTCACCTCTCAAGTTCAAGACTCCATAGAAACTGTGGCCCTGGCTGCAATATATAACTGTTACATTCAGACTCCTCAGATAAAAAAGAATGTCACAATCTATTTCTGAAACTGAGTAACAAGACTAGCTCCAAGCACCCAACTTCCATGGAACTCTCTTATTACTTGTAACCCTGCAAGAGCGAAGCCTTCAGTTACTATTTGCTTTTCAACCCAGACCACAGAATTCATTATAGCTCTTTTACTCCTAACGACTTTGTATGCCTCTTTGTGTCTCACCCACTAAGATATTCATGTTATTTTTATTACTCTGGCTATGTCTTATTGCCTTATTTGCTTTATCTTGATCTATCCATCTAGTATATTAAAATCTGTTGCTAAGTATTTGGAACCAAGGGGGCTTGCAAAATGAACTTACTATACCTTCTGACCCAAAGATACCATGATTTTTACACAATCAAGAAATCATTTAGGAAGGAGTTTTATTGTTTGTCCGTGTATACTTTTTGGTAACTTTGTTTCCAAAGCTATCAGCAAATACAGTGTTTATTTTGCTCCATATAGTTTTCATTTTGACAATTCTATGTATCACTCCTAAGATTTCTATTTGGCCCATCCACAAATGTATTTCTTAAGTCTATTCTCTTTGAAATCTTAATCTTAATTTCTAGATTATCTTTTTTTATTCTCTTCTTTGTCAAAATTTAAACATACTTAAAGTTTCCATCAGATAAGTCCATATTCTCTGCTACCTGCAGAGTAGTTTACCTATCTGTTATATCCACTGGCTGTTTCTCACAACTGTGTACGTGGTGGAATTTGTGCCTTTAATAATATTTTTAGTAGTCATTCTCTTCCACCCTGAAATATAGTTCTCTAGTGGTATTTACTCATGCCTATGGGGCTCACTGGTTGCATAGCAATTTTGAGTTTTCAATGTTTATGTTTCTTTGTTATCAACATTGAATAGCGAGTGAAATTCATACTCTATATCTTCATTCAGCAAAAACTGAAGGTTTCAAACATGCTCCCCACCCCAAATAACTATTTTTATACCCAAAGATGGGGCAGGTAACTATATCCTTAGCCTATTTGGCTAAGTTTTTCTATGATGACGATGATGACGATGATGATGGTCATGATGATGATGATGATGATGATCTTGCAGATTCCCGGTTTGTGAAGGAAGCCTACTTAGAAAGTCACTAGCCAGTATCATCCTGATCTCTTCGTGGACTTTAACATGCTAGGAGCCATGATGGCTTTGTTCTTGTGTTATATCTGAAATAAGATTACTACTCCTACTCACTATGGAGCTATGCGTTCATCTTCGGCACTTGAAAATTTCCCTTCCTTTCTTGGCTCACAGTGTTATTTTGAACAGAAGCATAATATTTGATTTGTATTGCTCATAAGTAGGCAAGGTGGAAAGGAGTTAAATAAGTGAAAGATAACTTTTTAACATTTAAAGCTGTGTAATAGTGAAAGAAATCTAGAATAGTAATGAGTTCCCATTACTATATGTGGCAAATCATAGAATAGAGGACTCTCTACTAGGGGTGACTGGAGCAATTTCTTTTGTGTAGTAAGTGTGACAAGGCTACTTAAACTCTTAAGGTTCACGGTGTAAAGATGTAAGTGTTATAGTAAGACATTTTATAAAGCTACATAATGTATCCTCAGAGCCTCAGCTTTCCCACCTAAAAGCTGGGTGACTTGAGGCAAGTCACTTTCCTTTTAAGGGTTACAGTTTTATCATCTGTAAAACTAGATATGGATAAAATTACGCCTAAGTTTTAAAATTCTTAATGAGTTCATTTCTAGTTTATTTGTATCACTTTCCTTCAGTTAGCCATATATATATATGTATGTAACAGAAGTCTGACTCTTGAACTGCTGACTGAAACACTTTTATGATTTTTCATGCCCGTAAAGTACATTAAAGTGCTGGGAGAAATGCATTTCTCTGACCATGGGATTATATGTCACACTCATTTGATGCTAATATAAATTCAGAACCCCTACATACCTCCCCAGCTTGAAAGTTTAGGCTGCTGTTAAACTGTTGGGCATAAAAGCAGATGTTTTCTGATACTAATGATCAGCTGATATTGTCAAGAATACACAAAACTGGTGGCTAAAAGGAAAATGTTGTTATGGGGAAACCACTTAAGCACATCTCTATCACAATGAATTCTATTATCTGTTTTTTTCTCTGCCGTCTCAAGTAGACTGAAAGCTTCCTGAAGATAGTAGTTGCTATGTGCATATCCCTAAACCTGATACAATAAAAATAATAGTTTTGTGGCATGATCCTGAGCTGCTTACATGTATTATCTTATTTAAGATAGTATTGTAAATATTATTAGGATTGTCTAACAATCACCTTTTAAGAAAGACACAAATATTATCCCAATTTAAGAGATGAGATAATCAAAAAAAGAGAAGCTGAATAATTTATTCAAGTAATTTAAGTGATAGAGAAAAAATTCTTATTTTATTTTGCCTGAGTCTAAAGCCTACAACACTATTTTTTATAGTATTTTATAGTAATTAGGATATAGTTACTTATATTTATTAGCCTATTAAGTGTACTATCATTTACATTGAAATGGGCATAGATCCCTTTAGAATTTCATTCAATTTAATACAAAAAATAATTTTGAGCACCTGCCAGAAGGCAGCTATTTTGCTACGCAATTCAGAAGGTACAGAAAGAAGTAGAAGACAATTTCTGCCTATATAGTTCAGAGTTTAGAAGAAAATATAAGATTGAACACAAATTACCTTATTACAAGTCAGAGAGATTAAGGGCTGTGAATAAAGCACGAAGTGCTTTGAGGATTCAAATAAAGGACAGACAACAGTCTTACCATAAGAGACTCCACAGAGAGGATGACATTTGAGAAGAGTCTTGAAGACAGATAAGATTTTGATAAGAAAATAGTAATATTTTGATTAGAAGAAATATTATGAGGGCGAGGAATGAAGATGGCATAAGTCACAATGAGGCAAAAGTGTGTAAGTAATAGGTCAAGGACAGGGTGTCTGCACCAAAGTTAGTGGATGGTAAGGCTTTACAAAGGTAGCTAGGACATTCAGCTTTTATTTTTCTCCCCCTTCCCCTATGCAGAACTTTACTGGTGACCATTACTCTTCAGGCGGAAATACTAAACAATGTCAGATGAATTTCTAATTCTAATTGTACCATATCCAGAATTCAGATGTTATCTTTGTCCAAGAATTATTTGTCATGTCCATTGACAAAGCACATTGTCAGAAATTTTTATTGTTTTCTGAATTACTGAAAAGGAAGAAAGATTCTACACTCATCCACGTACTGTATTTTCTCGTAGACCCACAGACCTATAGAAATAGGGGAGACCTCAAGAATCATAGACATTTGAGGTGCAAAGGTACTTTGAATGTCTTCCAGTGAGTTCCTTTTCCTCGTCTTCCAGGAATTCTTTCTATGTCTGAACTAAATGACTACCTAATCTATTCTTATATCTCTCCAGAGGAAGAAAGTTTCGAAGGCATCTCTAGGTTATATGTTTCTTTGTTTTCAAGTATGAAAATGGTCCTATTGCCCCAATTTGGAGTCATGCATTAGTGCTTCCCTCTACCAAGAAATGTCAAGCGACACCAAAGATGTCAAGAAGGATGGATGGCAACCTTGTGATTCTGTGAAAAATAGAGCATGTTATTTGGAATGTTAGTAGATAGGAAGTGTGAACGAGAACTTGAGGCCTAAATCTCAAGAAATTTTCTTCTTTTTATGATGGTGGGGCTAAGTTATTCAATTTATTAGTGCATGAGTTTTCCCAGTCCCCAAAATGGAAAGACTAGTTTCATATTATAAAATTCTTTGAGATGCTTCCATAGCTTAAGGCAATAACAAAAATAAAAGTTGTATAGCAACAAACTATAATTTATACTTATAAAATTCTGCCATTTTATGTGAATCACAATTTATGGGTTTAGTTCTCACTCTTTGCTTACTTTTCGTTACCTAACTGGAATCTAAATTCCATGAGGGTGAATCCATAGCTCACAGAAGTCTATCTCCTCCCAGCTTTCCACACAAGCTTTGGTCTCTCCTCGCTAAAAAAATATAATAAGTTACTTTTTTTGCATTTTATCTTGCCAGAATTACCATTTAGAAAGCTTTTATTAAATTTGTATTTTATATGCATTTTCTTTTTTTATATAATTCACAATGGTTGCATCATTACTTGGCTATAAGAATCATGATTTAATTATAGAATAAATATCAGGAATTTTGTCTGCTTGCAAATAATTCATAAACAAAAGATTGTATTCCCAAGATTATTTAGAAATTCACTGGAATCTACGGTGAAAATAATTATATTAGGACTCGATACATACACACACAGACACACACACACACGCAAGCAATTTATTCCTTACAATTAAATAATGTCTCCTTGAAAACAGGTTGTATAATAAACCAGTGAAAGGCAACGAGTTAATCTGAAATATTACAAGCACAGCAAATAAAACTGATTTGTAATGTTTAGGCCACATGTATTTTCCAGGACACCAAAGGATTCTGGCACTTGAAATCACTTTCCCCTTTTCACCTGCTTATGAGATTATGCATAGTTGCATTAAATTGTTTTTAAGTTAGAAAAGGAAATTAAAAATATACAAATTCCCCTCATTTGTGTGCCCTACAACTATTTCCCTAGTGAAAAAATGCTGCTGAATATATAACGAAGCCCCTGCTTAGCACTCAGACACTCAAGTCAAATCCCAGAAGACATCCATTCCGGCATACCTAACCTGCCTCCTTTGAAGGAATTAATCATGGATGACCCAAGAAAATGTCTTAAGTAGCAAATTCCTATGAACAGTTTCTTTACTGAACTAAAGTCAGAAGAGTGAGCCCAAGGTGTTTAAGCTGCTTGTTTTGTGTTTATCGAGAAGGCTGTCCTTTTTTTAAATGTTTGCCTTTGGATTTACTCTATCTTCACATTATTGGTAACCACAGAATTATTGCTTACATATAGAAAGCTACTTTTATCCAGAATTCTAAATAACTGTATGATTATAAACATAAGACACATTAGTCTGGAAATGTCACAAGCTCTTGCGGCACCAACTCTCCTCCCTCTATCCTAGATAATGGTTGGAAGTGGGCCAGATACACAGGAAACTTCAATCAGTCCAGAGGCGATCACTTCATTTAAGAAAGTGCATTTTAATGAATATTTTGTCAGGATGTCCAAAGGGCCAGCAACACACCAGTGTTGTGTGAACATCCTCTCCATTTACACAGGGTGTACCCCAAGTAATCGAAGGAATCCTCTGGGGAGAAACTCCCAAAAATTCCGTAGCAGGGCCTTTCAGCCCCTGTGCTCAGGCCCGCTCCCACACCACTGTGGAGTGTACTTACATTTTCAATAAAACCCTTAATTTCTTAAAAAAAAAATAGGGAGTAAGCTTTCAAATAATGGCCTTTTATTTTACAAGGCCAAAAATATTCTGAGAAATCTCCACCCTGGACATGTTGTAACATCCAATGACATCCAATGAAAGAAACTTCACTGAATTACATGGCTGCTAAAACACATGGACATTTTTTCTGTAATTTGATCTGCAATTAACAACACAACTCAGTATTGTCAACAGTGATTATCTCCACGTGGTAGGAACAAAGATGAACTTTATTTTCCTCTTTGTACTTTTTTTGTATTTTAAAGTTCTCTAGAACAAAAAAAGAGATGAGACAATTATTATTTTGATGGACTATAGCATGTAGTGGGGAGGAGCGCAGACAGCAGAGCCAGACCACCTAGTTCTAATTTTTCCGTGTAAGCACTTACCAGCTGTGTGACCTTAGGCAAGTGATTTATCCTCAGTGGGCAGCAGCTTTTTCATTCACAAAGCTGAGATGATGATAATAAGAGTAACTACCTTACACAAGTCTGTCATGAGGATTCAATAAGTTAAAATAAGTAAAGCAATTAAAATAATGCTGGCATAAAGTGAGCACTTTATAAATGGTAATAATTATTTTTAAAGCACATTTTCAATAACAATGCTGTTTGTTTACAGTGTGTGGCAGTAATGTCTTTTAGCTCGATGGTGCACTTCAGACCTGGATCAAAACAAACCTCTCCAATTTTGATAATAGATGAAATTATTGTTTCAATTGTCAATGTTGATCTACATATTTCTAAGGAAAGAACAATGTGAGCACTAGACACAGGATTTGAAGTAGAGTCTTCAAACTAATTTGAGCTACCCAAAGGTGAATAGGGCAGCAACTGGGATGAGGAGACCTCATCGTTAGTGTCAGTCCTTTTACTAACTGCGTGTGACTTCAGGCGCATTAGTTGCTTTCTCTGAGCTTTCTCACCTCCATCGGCACTATTGTCTCTTTCTTTTCCCTCTTATTTATCTCTTCTCCTCTTATCAGAAAGATGGAGAGAAAAGTACTGACCTGCTGAGTAAACAATAAGCAGTAAAATATTAAAAATAGTATTTTCATGCAAAATATTTTAGAGCCTTGCACTATAAGAGCTGATCCTCAGAACACATCTGTGATGGGCATAATACCTCTCCCCTACCTTAAAAGTTAAATAACTGATGCATTGGAAGTCTAAATTGAGATGTCATATAGCTCTCATCGAAATCAGAGTGCAAAGGAGAGCAATTGAGCCTCTGTTAAGTGGATATGAAAGTGTGTTGCTCTCTCTCCGCAAGGGAATTTAAATGACTCATTGTCTTTGCCTAATAGTCTAGCACTATATATTTCCACTCCATCATTTCTCCCCTTTTCTAGGTAAGGGGAATGTCTAATAATCAATAACAAAAGACAATTGTACCAAGTTTGTTAACTTTGATGATGAAATACACATTAATAAAAGGCATCTTACCCTTGAATCCAGTAAGAGAGGTTAATGGGTACATCAAAGACCAAATTACAAAAGTCGAACATGGCAAATTCCATATAACCTTCAAGACTGTAGAAATCCTAAATGACTTTAATAAGAAGAAATGACTTTTGCTTCAATTTACATAAACTCAAAATGACTTTGGTTCATTGGTACCATCTCCTAAAATCGTGCTTCTCAAAGGATCTACAGTGAAATAATGAATTCCCACAAAACGAAAGGAAAGAAAACAAAAACATATAAAAACCGCATCATCACTTGTGTTTCCACACTGGAAAGCCATGCTATAGAATGCCAGAGATTCAAGGAATTTAAGTTCTTTATTTCCAACCAAGTTATTTTACACATATGGACCCCAAGAATCACAATATAAAAGGATTTACCCAAGGTCATACAACTCAACTTGAATAGACTCGGAACAAAAACTCAGATGTTTAGATTTCTGTGTAGGAGTTTTGGAGATGTTTCTTGTATCATCCATGTGGGTGGTTTTGTTCTGTATTTCCTCATTCTTACTGTTAGAGAGGTTGATGCTAAAAGATAATCTTTTCTGTCTTTCCTCTTGTAAAAATTTTCTACCTTAGATAAAATCAAATTCCTAACTTACTGACAAAATACTCTTTTCTCAAGTTGCCTATCTTAACCTTCATTGTGATCACTTACTAATGTTGGTTCATCTTCCTTTGTACTTTCAAATAACTTCTAAAGTGGAATAGCTAGATAAGAAAAAAGTGGAGGAAAATATTATTTTAATGTTGCAGAATACAGCCATTTCTTATCTATTACCTCTTCAATTATGCATATAAGTTAATACCAATATCCACAATAATTCTATCTATAGAAAAATAAAATTATAAAAACATGACTGTACCCTCAGAAGATAAGTCCTTTTTCTGAACTATATTACTATTCTTTCCTGTTTCCTTGTTTGGTTATTCTTCTGATATTCAGGTCTTAACTTTAATTTAGAAAATAAATGTGGAACAATCCTTTCATGCCATAGACCAAGGGCATGTCATTTAATCATTGAAACACTAGTGTGGTCATCATCACCTGACAATTCTAGTTGATCTAAAATGCAGAATGCTTACAATATTTATATTCTAAGGAAAATAGATTGGGACATCTATTTTTAATCCCAGAGATTCTATTAACTCCTGATGACTCTGTGGCCTATGCATGACTATAATATTCTTAATATTGTAACAACCCAAAATAAAACTATATTCCCTCAATATAAAAATTATGCTGTTGTCAACTGTTTTCTTAGTTCATTCAGGCTGCAATAACAAAATACCGTAAGCTGGGTGCTTATAAACAACAGAAATTCATTACCCACAGTTCTGGAAACTGGTAAGTCCCAGGTCAGGGCACTGGCAGATTCAGCATCTGTCAAGGGCCAATCATTCTCTGCTTCATGGATGCCCATCTTCTCTGCGTGTTCTTACATGGGGAAATAGGGCAAGGGAACTCTCTGAGGCCTCTTTTGTAAGGGCATTGATTCCATTCTTGAGGGTGCCACCCTCACGACCTAATCACCTCCCAAAGGGCCCACCTGCAAATTCCATCACACTGGGGGTTAGGTTTCAACATAGAAATTTTAGGGGGACAAACATTCAGTCAATAGCACCTGTTAAGTCAGCACATGTTTCTAAAACCTACTGAATAATGTGTTCAACGTGGGAGGACAATGGTGAATCTGATCCTGTGTATTTTTTTCAATTCTTTAGATCAAGAAGTCAGAAATTTTTTGAGAAAGGGTTCCTTTTCTGTCTGCAGATAATGTGCATGTCTATGAGGAAAGCAGGAGGGACCCACTGCTATCAGTTCGATCCTCCTCCTTTGAGAATCCTGAAGAAAACACAGTGAGGGAAGAAAGGAGAATAATGGTAGGGATAGCACAAGGAAATTCTGTGTAAGATGTACAGAGAAATCAATGTGAAACCGCTTCCCCAAATTATTTCTTCCCATAAGAAAATATTTGTATATCTTAGAGAAGTTGATACTTGACTGTTAGGCTGACACTGGGTCCCTAGTATAAAATTAGAATCCTAATAATTTCCAGCAGATTATACTTATTTATGATCACTAAATGCCATATCCAAAACAGAACCTCTCATTTAAATTTCAAGCTTTAGAAATAAATGGAAGAAATGTGTGGGCTGTTCATCCATTTTCTGAACATTAGCCCTCCTATTATTTTAGGTGCAGCATGTTTTAAGCTACGGTTCAATTCTCTATATTGCATCTTCAATTTACTTCCATTTATACCATATTAACAATTTTCAAACTAACCAGGCAGAAATACACTGAACTGTAGCCCCAGAAATAGGTGAAATGAAATCGATGTTACTAAATCTGCATGTAGTGATTATAGATGGAAATATTACATCATTGCCATGACAGTGCCATGATGCCTTTGATTTTTTTTTTCATGGAATAACAAAATATGCATTTAATAGGTATGTCTAATTGTCTTTCATTCTGGGTTTTGCTCGCCAACATAGTAACATGCTTTTTGCTAAATGTTATAGTATTGGAGTTCCTCTGCCTCCAGCTGCCATTAACACATTTTGTATTCATGCTTTGCGTAAATTCTGGAAAATGTTTTCAGTTAAGCTTCCTAACCATGCATTTAATTTATATTTAATGAGACAGGAGAAGGTAAAGTTAATGTGAATTGATTAAACTTAAAATAGATATATTGGTGTTTATTAATCTACCAGTAGGTAATATTATGATCACCTTCTGAAGTTAAACCATCATCAGTAAACCCCTTTTCTAGTTGAAGTTAAAGGTAAATGGAAGCATTAACAGATTAAGATGAGTCAAGGACTGGCTCTTTCCTACAATTAAAGATACAAATATCCCAATTTCCTTAAGCAATTTATAGCAGCTTATGAAATGGTGCTTAGAGCTCTTTTAGTCCTTCCAATAAATGTGGAACTTTCTTCTACAGCCAAACCAGTAAATGGTTGTACTCAGCCACCTTGATGCAATGTGGGCCAATGTGAATCTGACCTAAAGGTCTATATGTTAGATCTTTAAGCATTTAAGACAGCTCTCAGGTCCCTCATAAAACTTTTTTTTTTTTTTTTTTTTTTTGAGATGGAGTCTCACTCTGTTGCCAGGCTGGAATGCAGTGGCGAGATGTTGGCTCACTGCAAACTCCACCTCAGGTTCAAGCAATTCTCCTGCCTCAGCCTCCTGAGTAGCTGGGACTACAGGCGCATGCCACCATGCCCAGCTAATTTTTGTGTTTTTAGTAGAGATGGGGTTTCACCATGTTGGCCAGGATGGTCTCCATCTCCTCACCTCATGATCCACCCACCTCAGCCTCAAAAAGTGCTGGGATTACAGGCGTGAGCCACCACGGCCAGCCAAAAATATGACAAATCAATCCTAGGTACTTGAATAATATTCATATTACTGCACACCCTTCTAAACTGACTGCCTCTATATATCAGTTTCTTTCTTAAATTAGGAATTTAGTGTTCATACATGGTAGAAGCAGTCTATACTTTCATAACTTTGCACTATATCCCAGAGCTTCCCACACACTTATTCTCCCCAAATTCCAATAATAGGAACTATGATTAAATGTTCTGGCATTTTGGTAAATGCCCTATCAAACCATCAGTCTGACTTTTAATAACTCTGATTTCTTTTAGGTGCAAGGATTAGGCAATGCTTTCTGACATGGTAGACTTTTGGTGGAACTAGTTATCAGCCAAAAGACTGCTCATGGGAAGATAGCCTTATGGCAATACCATCTTGACATTTCAAGAAAGGGTCCTTTTGAGATAAAATTCAGGAAAAAAAAATGCCACATGAAATAGAAGTCTATCTAAAAAAAAAAATCCTTACTGAAAAGCAACGGTACCTACAACTGTAAATTGTCAGGCATATAGTGATGAAGGAGACACAATATGTTGTGAACCCTCCTAAGAGGCTTGGTTCATATCATTATTTCTGTAAATGTTCTCATGACCACACCCTAACTAAGGAACACCCAATATTCAAACTCAAGGCTGTGGCTTTAAAGCCTGTGCACTTTTCATCATACCCAGCTTCCTTCATACCAAGACCTCCCGGAAGGGGAGAAAAGGCAATTAATTCTACTGCCAGCCAAGGAATTTTCTCATTCTATTTACCATTTGAGTTAAGGTATGAACTAGCCCTTTAATCTGGGGCATGAGGACATATCATAAAGACTGATCAAAGTCTATTCTAAATTATTCACTGAGCAGAGTGTTTCAGGACAGAATGGGACACCAGGAAGTTACCAGGGGACTTTTATTTTTGTGGACCTATTATTTTACCCTCAAATTAGCATCGCCTTATAAATTCTGTATTTCTGTGGATATCACCATCCTTCCCCTTCCATTCTAAATATTAGAAATTGAGGAGCCTGGATTCATGGCCTCCGAATGGCAACTGGTCCACCTGAGCCACGCTCCTTCACATGCCTCATTCAGCTCCACAGTATTACCCGATAAAACATTCCATCTGGTGTCACTCTGTCTGTTCCGGATTCTCCATTTTCAGGATATGCTGCCTAGTTTACTAAGTTAATCTGTTTAGCCTGTGCCTCCAAACATGTCTACTACCTACGCATAAGCTTCTGGATCCCCCCAATACCTATAAGATAGTCATTTGCTTGTCATTTAAAGAGCTGTATAATATTTCTCATTTCTATTTTTCTAGTTTCATTTCACATAATCCTGCATTTATACCACACATGGCAGCCAAACTGACCTATTTGATTTTCCACACATACGCTGAATTTTCTTAGCTCTAGACCATTACCTTAAGACGATGACTTTCCTAATACAGGATTATCCTATTTTACTTCAGCTGATCATTGAAGACTGACCACCAATGAATCTGCAGTCCTGAAGCCTGTTCTTGCTTGCAATATCACCATATTGAGATTTTAACCATCTTTAAGTTCCTTCTAAGATGTCACTTAAAATATTCTTATTATAGTATGTCTCTCTCTCTCTCTCTCTCACACACACACACACACACAGAGAGACACACACACACACAGACTTGCCCTGCATATCCCTTCTAGATTCAATTATTCATCTTTCATTCATAGTATGGGGTTTTAATAACAACAAGTACCTTGTAAGTGTTGCTTGAAATAAAGTAACATAAAGCACCCCTTATAAGAGATTGAAAAGTTGTCCCAATGTTTGCATACCAATATACTTAGGAGTGAGTACTACAGTACTTTTCTATAATCATAAAACTGCCTGACTTCATTTAATGTAAGGTCAGAAATAGAGGCCAGCTTGGTGCGACAAGTACTTTCACATAATCCTCATTCCCACTCCACCATACACCGAGGAAACTTTATTTTTTTTCCAAGTCACAGATGGCATAAGAGAGAAAATGGAAGAACAGCTGGGAGTTTCACAAAGGTACCTTCGGCTCTCTCAGAAGCTCAGTTCAAACTGTCCCCATAGCCAGAACAAAGCAGTGAAAGAAGCAAAATTGCCCAATATTAAAATGCTTTATTTCACTTGAATTCCCTCGAATTGCTGCTATCCTCTGTTTAGCTTTAACTTAGGTGACCTGGCAGGTACAATTGCAGTGTGTGGCCTCCTTGAATAACAGCAACAAAGGCATAGTCCTTGAGAGCTGCCAACAGTGGTGGTGTATAGGTGTCGCTGGCCAGCCTGAGCATAGTTAGGAAGAAAAAAAAAATACAAAGACTGGGATGAAAGGATGAAGTCAGAAATATAAGACAGAGCAACTCAGTGGTGAAATGGAACACCACAGGCTCACTCCTCTGCAAAAGAGTCTTATTTGTAAAATGGTCAAAACTCCTTCAAAATTTAGTAGATGTCCTATTTGAGCAGATGTTATAGTTTACATTTCAATCAGAAGATAATAAAATAATGAATCTGTACCAGATTTGGGGATTGGGTGAATAATTCATTATGTGTAATTCTAGGTTAATATACAAACCTGGACTTTTTCTCTTCTTGAAAACTCTATCTGGAGCTTCATTCTTCAAAATGTAACCTCCTACTTAACACCTTCACCCAATCCTCCTAGGAAAATGTATTTATTTATAAAATAAACATCAAGAGCTTACTATGTACCAGGCAATATTTTAAATACTGTGGATACAACTATCAATGAAAGAGGCACAGTCTGTGACCTCATCGAACATTTATTTTAGTAACGGGAGCAGGGGCCAGTGAGTAAAATGAGGAGAGGAAAGGAATACATAGATAAATATAAATAAGCCCAATGTTTTGGAGAACGTGAAATGGCCTAAAGAGTATAAAGTGATGTGATAGAGAAGAACTGCCAGCTGTGTGGATGGGGTGCTGTAATTAAGGTCATCAGGGAAGGGTTCTCTGAAAAAGAGATATTTGAATTGTTATCTAAAGGCAAAAATAGTCAAATAAGAGGGAGAGAGATAAGGGGAAAAGAGAGGAAGAGAAGAGAGAAACTATGAACCCAGAGCATTCTAAGTGAATGGCCCATAATGCTAGAATATTTCTGGTCCAAAATGTACTAAGGTACAGAGGCCCTAACATGGTTTGGCTGTGACCCCTACCCAAATCTCATCATGAACTGTAGCTCCCGTAATCCCCATAGGTCATGGGAGGGACCCGGTGGGAGGTAATTGAATCATGGGGGTGGGTCTTTCCCGTGCTGTTCTCGTGGTAGTGAATAACTCTCAAAAGATCTGATGGTTTTATAAATGGGAGTTTCCCTGCACAAGCACTCTCTCTTGCTCACCACCAGAGAAGACCCTTTCCTCTTCCTTTGTTTTCCACCATGATTGTGAGGCCTCCCCAGCCATGTGGAACTGTGAGCCAATTAAACCTCTTTCTTTTATAAATTATCCAGTCTCAGGTATGTCTTTATTAGCAGCGTGAGAACACACTAATACAGGCCCTAAAGTGGAAATTAATTGGAATAAGCTTGCTTTATTTGCCAAGTGCAAAGAAAGCCACGGTGGTTGGAGCATAGTGAACAAAGTGAAAAGTGCTCAATATGGAAAGGTGGAATAGTCGGCAGAGGTCAGTGGTTGTAAGGTATTTTTGGCCCTGAAAGGAGGATTGAATTTGATTCTAAGTTCAGTAATAGAAAGGATTACTTTTGAAGACTTTACACAGAGGATTGACATGTTCTAATCTGCATTTTAAAAGAATGAGTCCTACTTCTGTGAGGTAAATGGACAGTGTAAAGCAAGACCAAAGAAGAGACAGAAGAAGGGAAGTGTAATAGTTCAGGTGTGAGCTGCTGGTGGCTTTGAGTCAGAATAGAAGCAATGTTACCTTCATTATCCTCCTCTTGTACTGAGTGAACCTATACTACAGAATTATCACACTGAAGGATATTCTAATTTATATGTGTCTGCCACCTGTACTAGACAATAAACAGCTTGAAGATTGAGGGTGTATTTTATTCATCTTCCTAGCCCCCATCATTCAGGGTACAGTGCAGAGCTGACCCTTAATAAATGTTTGTAGCACAGATCATAGCAAAATGGTCTTTTCCTGTGATCCTGAAAAGTACCATTGATGTATACATGTATACATTGATGTATCATAGTCAAGAACCTATGATACCAACCTTGGTCCACTACTTATAGCTCTTCATCTTGTGTAGATTATTTGACCACAACATTCCCCTAGCCTCAGTTTATTCACCTTTCAAGCTCACGGTCCTATTAATAGCAAACTAGAAATAAATGAGCAAGGGCCTTGTAAAATTACATTGCAAAGTCTCATTGATTGCAAAGCATTATTATCAGTTCTGTTTCCTCTTCTTAAATATTAGCTTTTTATATTAGAAAGAAAGATTTTTTTCTCTTCAAGTTAGAACTCACCAGATGTCTCTTTGAAAATCTTAGGAAATGTACTGGTGATTTGGGAATGCAGAATAATCCTTTAATTCTCCCAGCCTTCTGTTGTTGTAGGTGGTTTAGAAGTCACAGATAATTCCCACTTCTTATAAATTTTCCAACCATCCTAATTCTTCTCTCATGCAGAAGACTGGGTTCTATTCATGAATCAAAAGCTGACACATAAATAAATATGTGGTATAAAGGCAGTGTGGTGTAGAGAAAAGATCACAGCACTTACAGTCAAAGGCCTGAAGTTTTTGGTTTTATCACCTTCTAATGTGGTTTGCAGCATGAATTAGGCATATCACTTACCATGTCTTGTGTCTAAACGTTCCGTCATATTGAGGAGACAAGAAAAAGTGTGTTTGGATTTCCTACAATATCCAATTCTCTTGTTCTCCAACATTAGTTGGTGTCTGACAATTCAATTCAATTCTGACATCAACTACCCCGAATTAACACAGATCCCACAAGTTAAGGGTTCCGTCCTGCAAGCCTGCCTCCACTTCTGCCAGTCACAACAAGGTCTTTAGGCTACCTGCACTTCTGCCTAACAACTATAAATTTGGAGGTTCTTCACAATCCCCCTTCAGGCTCCATAATTTACTAGAATGATTTATAGAACTCAGGAAGTCACTATACTTACGATTACTGTTTTATTATAAAGGAAACAATTCAGAAACAGTCAAATGGAAGAAGTGTGTAGGGCAAGATACTGGGGGGAGGGGGCATACAGAGCTTCTGTGCCTTCTCTGGGTACACCACTCCCCCAGTACATGGACATGTTCAGCAACACAGAAGCTCCCTTAGTAAAGAGTGTGTGTGTGTGTGTATGTGTGTGTGTGTGTAGAGATAAGGTCTTGCTGTGTGCCCAGGCTGGAATGCAGTGACTATTCATAGGCAAGATCATGATGCACTACAAACTCAAATTTCTGTGCTCAAACAATTTTTCTGCCTCAGCCTCTCAAGTAGCTGTGACTACAGGAATGTGCCACTGCACCTGGCTATGTTTCAAAGTTTTTATAAAAGTTTCATTACATAGATATAATCGATGAAAGCATTAGTTATTAAATTCTCCAGCTCTTCTCCCCTCCATGAGGTTGGAGACAGGGCTAATAGTTCTAATTCTTTAACCAGGTGGATGGTTTTTCTTCTGGCAACTAGCCTGCATCCTGAAGCTACCTAGGTGCACAGCAAGTGTTACCACGTTGGCATAAAATCAGGAATGGTCAAAAGGGGCTCATTATGAAAAACAAAATTCCAACGGTTGGTTGTAGGTGGTTTGTGTCAGGAACCAGGGACAAAGACCAAATATATATACTTTTTTTTTTTTTTGAGACGGAGTCTCGCTCTGTCGCCCAGGCCGGACTGCGGACTGCAGTGGCGCAATCTCGGCTCACTGCAAGCTCCGCTTCCCGGGTTCACGCCATTCTCCTGCCTCAGCCTCCCGAGTAGCTGGGACTACAGGCGCCCGCCACCGCGCCCGGCTAATTTTTTTGTATTTTTTTTTAGTAGAGACGGGGTTTCACCTTGTTAACCAGGATGGTCTCGATCTCCTGACCTCATGATCCACCCGCCTCGGCCTCCCAAAGTGCTGGGATTACAGGCGTGAGCCACCGCGCCCGGCCTATATACTTTTATTGTACCACAAATGGCAATCAATTAGGTTATTTCTAATTTTTCTTCCAGTTCTAAATATTCTGCCATTGGTTAATTTTTATTTGTACTCCACTTCCTAAAGTCAGTTCTGTACTATTGAGCACAAAACCACATGGGTATAGAAGCACGTGGATTATATGAATCTTAACACAATAGTAGGATAAAAATGGTTAACTCTTCATTCCTTACCAGCATCACAAAAGGAAAAGATTCTCAATGCTAATAAAATTTCCCAAGATTAAGAAGAAAGAAAGAGACATTTAAACAAAAATAACAATTTGAGAGGTGGAGGAAGAAAATAATTTAATGCAATAATCTCATTAATTCTGACTTCCTTCTAGATTTCATCATACCTTAAAACTGTACATAATAGCAAATTTTTTTCTACAAACTATTCAAGTAAATAGGATAAACTACTTTCTGAGAGGATTGCTTAAAATCAGGTAAGATAGTGAAGTTAAACATCAAAAATATATAAACACATTCATGAACAAAAATCGAAATAATGATAAGCCACTCACGCCAATTTACCCAGTCATCAAAGCACAAATTATAAAATTCCAAATTTAAAAATAAAGTTAAAAAGAAAGAGAAATGAGGAAAAAAACTAGCCTTAGTTGCTATAAATCAAGCACAATGAGAATTTCCTGCTCTTGCGTTTTGGTCCCATTATTATTTTCGTGAGAACTGTAACTGGAGATTTGTCCCTTTGGGATACGTAAGCGACTATGGTAAGGGTTTTGCTCTCCACCTTCAGATCAAAGTAGATGCCATGTTTTTCTCCAGATGACTTCCTGTACATTCTCTCTTCTCTCATGGCCAAATAACAAATGATCAGAAAGTTACTAACAAATGCTTTACTGTTAACTGGCAAGAGGGTACGGTAAGCTAAACTTCAAATTATTCCAAAAGTAACAAAGGTTATTTTCAGCCAGTCAAGGGAAGTCACATTTACAGCACCACCTTGTGAAAGAATAAGGAACTTGCTTGCCAAGGTAAGGAGCAAGAAGCGAACCTTTCTGAACTCATTAAAGGAAATTTTTCAAACGCTTAACTTCCTTTCCATTATCTATTAGTTACTTCACAATATATGTGTATGTACATGGACAACTCAATTTGGAAAATTTTTCTACTTATTTTCAATATTTTTCTCTCAGCGCAATTATTTCACTATTAATTATCAGAGCCATATAAAATAAAGGCAGTATGTACTGTGCCTAAAGAAATATGGTTTTATATTCAAGCAAAATGTATTCCTTTTCTGTATCCCCGTCTTCTCTTCCTTGAACCTCTTTTCTTATAACTCCATAGATATCAAGACTCTCCTTTTTTTAATAAATGGAAAAAAGGCCAGGGAATTCATGTCTAATAGTTTATCATAGCAGGGTATAAATCAAAGCAACATAAATACTGTGTGTATTATCTAGTATTCCAATCAATATTTGTTCTACAAATTAAAAATGGAAAATGCATGGATACTGTGCTGCTTATTATTGAGTCGGTTTTCTGAATTTTTGGATTAAGATTCCCAAATAGTTTACTCCTTAAATTGTGCAAACTGCCATTCTAGATGTTTTCTTTTTCTATTTATTTGCAATGTGTAAAATTACGTGGCCCAGTGGTTCCAGATTTTCGTGTGCATAAGAAGTAACTAGAGTATTTGTCACTTGTTACCAAACCCTATTCCCAGGCTTTGATTCCAGAGAACTGAAGTGGGAGCCCTCTAATCTGCATTTCAACCAGTTCGCAGATGATTCTAAAGTGGGTGACCCACGGCCACACTTTGAGGAATAACGTTCTGATTCTAAACTATCTCATTTTGCCATTTGAATTTGTTGGCCTCTTGTGGGATTCCTAATTTGTGTGTAACTTCTCCCATTTAATCAGTTAATTTTCCTCTTCTACCATGTTTTCCATGTAATGTTTTGTCCTTGGATCTACTTCTATTCTATTTTTATATTATTCAATCTTCTGAATTTCTTTTTCTGTCAGACACTGAAAACTAAATCTATATTATACTCCATAGTAATGTTCCCTCCACTATATAGCAGACAATCTAGGTGTTTTAAAACTAAATAACCTTACAGCAATTTACTCGTTTTTAACTAATGTGCAATTCTGTTCAGGCTGCCTTTCCTACAACACTTAGGATTTCTGAGTGCTAACACCTCTCCAGTCCTATTCTATGACCTCCAACCTCCTAAATCTAATTATCTCCAACTTTAAAAATCTGCCTGAGTAAAATCCGTAAGCAGAAAGAACAGGCACAGCTGTACTCTAAGCACAGCTCTATTTACTACAATTCTTTTAACTTTTCTAATTAAAGTTTCTACAGTTAGGCATTTAGAGTATTTGCAGTAATTTTGTTTTCACTGCACTGAAGGTAGGTCATTAGCCTCCACAATTTGAAGAAAAAAATAGGCAGGGAAAAAACATATATATACATATATATATATTTTTTATATATAGGCACACACACATATACGCACACACATAATATGTATGTATACATTGTATATATAGTGTATGCATTTCAAATGTATGTAAACCTATAACAAACACATATGCATATAAATAATAGAAAGCCACATGGTGTGGTAGAGAGAACTCTTTACAGTGGCTATTGAGCAACACCTTGATTCCGCCATTAGCTTTTGCAACATTCTCTTCCTTCTTTGGGCTCTGTCCTCATATTCCAAATCGGGTTTGAATTTGATAGTTAAGAGGGGTCTAAGATTCCTTCCAGATCAAGTGTCATGGGAATCGTAAGGTCACAGAGTAGTCAAGTTGCTCACTTTCTAAATGATCAAATAGGCACCGTTTTAAGCTAGAAAGTGATTTGTACATAGGAGAGATTGTACCATAATTCCTCTTTCAGCCCATTTCTAGTCTGCATTGACAGCTTCTGTTCTGGCAAAGGAAAGTGGGAACTAAGGCAATTGCTTATCTTAATATTCACATAGCCTAGGCCTATTCCTTTCATCTCCCACACTCTTCATTCTAGCCTGAGTTTCAAGGTCCCTGAAATTCTGTGTTTCCAAAGCTCATCTAGTTCATAGACATTATTGTCATCTCTTGGTTTCATAGCAGTCACCACTCTCTCCTCCATTGCTAACAGAAAGGTCCTTTCTCCCACCTTCAAAAACCCAGCTTGGAACCTTTCACAAAAGCATATTGTGTAAACCTAGAACTGAACTTCCAAAAGTTAATAAGATGGCTAAAAAAAAATTCACCTCTGCTGCTTACATTCTCTGAGACCTTGAACAAGCTTTTTAATTGTATTGGGCCTCTACAAATGAGGATTATAACACCCACCTCACGAAATTGGTGTTGGCATCAAAGACGATGAGGTCTAAAAAATCTATCCCAGACCTGACCCGTTGCAAATGGCTGGAAACCATTAACGCCTCATCTTTCCAAGGAATGTATGAGAGATTAATTCCTTTTTACATCATTTAAAGTCTGTAAAACTATAATGTTATTGTCATTATTTGAGAAACAAAGTTCGGTGCTGTGCAAAGAACACATAGAAAACTGCCCACGCACATCCTGCCACTGTCATTTAGAAAAGAGTTTTAATTCCGCAAAAAAAATAAACAGGAGCAATGAAGCTATGCAGCTGTACCTGATTTCTACCTGATTTCTGCCATTATATGTGAGTAAATCTCTTGCCCTTTGTGGATGTCGAGGACCCCATCTGTGAACTGCCGAGACGGAGCTGTGTGACCTCTTAAGTGTCCTTCCTGTTCAGAGATTGCAGCGATACAGTCAGAAAGAGGCTCTGCCATCACAGCTCGGCACCCCGGGCAGGCAGGCAGGCGCTGTGCCAGAATGACTCCCTCCTCGCCTGGGAAGGGTTTCCCTCGGCTGCAGCAGCAGCTCCAAGGAGGCTGCAGGCAAGCGGGGGCGGCACTCCCACGCAGCTCCTCAGAGACAAGGCAAGTGCTGCCTTCCAACCATCAATAATGCAGTATTTTGTCCGCAATAAATTCCCTCCAAAATTAATGAAACAGCCCTTTTAAATTCTCCCGTCACTGCCTCATACAGCAGAAGCTGGGCTAGGCTTCCTGCTCTCTAAATAAATACAGAAGCCGTATAAAGTGTCTGGAGGCAATATCTAGCTTGCTGGGACACAATCTAATCTTTTCAGCCGCGTACAGAAACAAGGAAAAACAAAGAAACCCAGCACCAATGTGTTTGATCTTTATTGCAAAAGGCACTCACTCTATCATACACACAAGAGCCCACACACCTGGGCAAAAGTTTATGGGCATCCATCGTCTCAGTCACTTCCACTTTGCTGTTTTCTGCAATGTGACCTAGAGGATACCCGTAAGGAGGATTAGAGGTGAACTTAACTCCAGATATTATCTAGGAACTCCCCCTTCTTTTTACAGGTGAAGAAACTAAAATCCAGAGAAAGAAACGAACAAAGAGCTGCAATCTACAGCCTAGGGTCCTAGTAGCCTGAATCGGCTCTTCTCCATTTTTAATGTGCGTAAGATTCAGTAGGTCTCAGGTGAGACCCTATAGAGTGTTCATTTCTAAGAAGCTCCCAGGTCCTGCTGCCGGTGGCGTTCCATGAAGCATGATTTTAGTATCATGTATCTAGAAAATCATGAGCCCCACTGAGGCGAAGCCAGTTATTTTTTTACTGTGTTCCCTGCACCTGACAACATCAATCCAGTAGGTATTTAATAAAAGTTTGTCAAATAATTACTTAGTACACCTAAGAGGCAGCATTGCATTGTGGCTGGAAACATGGACCCTGGAGCCATTCTGCCTAGGTTCACATCCTGACAACGGCATCAACAAATTGTGTGCCTTGGGCAAGTCATTTAGCTGCTCTGTCCCTCAGTTTTCTCAATCATAAAATTGCATCGCTAATAGTATAATGTCTTACAGGTTGCTGTGAGGGAGGGAAATGAGCTAATATAAATAAAGCACTTAGAATAGTATCTGGAGAGTGAGAAAACATAAATATGACTTACTTATGGTCACATAGCTATTTAGAGATCTGGGCAATTTATATTTTTTAACATTTTAGTTCAGTATCACCATTCATATCTTTTAAAATTTTAGTTCAGGATCATCAAGCAATACCTGGCAGAAGAACATTCTATTTATTTAGTTATGAAGGATGGCATTTCTACCCTACAAACCTTTAGAGATATAAAATGTAAGTGTAAATCACATAAAAAGACATTATATAATTGAAGGTAGCTGATAAATGAACATACACATGTAAGCCAATCAGAAACTAAGCTCAAGCCTTATAGAGCTGAGTTCAAATTCCAGGTCATTCACATCTAAACAGCGCACAGGTAAACCATTTATTCTCTCAAAATGACAACTGGCATATAAATAAAATGGAGAAATATCTAACTTAGAAAAATGGTATATAGAATAAATGAGATAATGTGTAAACTCAAAATGACAATTGGCATATAAATAAAATGGAGAAATATCTAACTTAGTATAATGATATATATAGAATAAATGAGATAACGTGTATCAGGTATATAATGCTGTTTTGCACATGGAGCTCAAGAAATAATAGCTAGTAATGGTGGTAGTAGTAAAGCCACAAAACATTTACAAGAAGTATAGATTGGAATAAAGCAACTATCTGTTCCACAGGTATGCAGACTGGCAGATTATTCATGCTTTCTCAGCTTTGATGATATAATACCATAGTTTGTCTCCAAAACTATAGAAAGGTATAAAATGCAACATGAGTTAGAGGCTATTTCAGGCCAGAAGAAAGCCTGATGGAAATATGGTGAGGCACCAGAAAAGGACATTCCTAGACCCAAAAGTTCTGGGTGGAACCAGACACCAGAGAGAAATGGTGGATTATCACATTACTTTATGGACCTTAAAGACAGTATATTGGAATTCTTTCATTTAAACTTGGGAAAATTGAGACATAGAGAGATTGTTTTTCCTCTGATAACAGTTTAAACATGAAATAAGCCAGTAACCTGAAACATCAGTACAACCTGAATCCATACCCACCATCAAACAGCAATTCCACCAACCCGTGCCCAAAAGTTCAAAAAAACCATATGAAGAAAAACTTCTGGAATCAACTTTGACGTGTTAAGAGTTTAGAAGTCATCAATGAGAAAAAGCTGGACAAACTTAAACGATTACTTTGCTTGGACTTATCAGAGAACTGAGAGTGAACAATTGATTTAAGGACTTCCCATAAAGCTGCAGTAGTGAAGCCAACGTGGTATACTGGCAAAAGAATAGACATTTAGTTTGATGGAACTGAATAGAGGAACTAAAAATAGACCCACGCATGTATAGTCAACTGATTTTGAAAAAGGTACAAATGAAATTCAATAAAGAAAAATAGTCCTTTCAACAAATAGTGGTGGAACAGTTGGATATATACATATGCAAAGAGAGAGAGAGGGAGACAACGTAGACACAGAGCTAATACATCACACAAAAATTAACTCAGTATAGTTCATAGGCCAAAATGCAAAATGTAACACAATAGATCTTTTAATAGGAAAAATGTAGATGACCTTGAGTTTAATGATGAGATTTTAGGTACAATACCAACTAAACATTGTGATCCATGAAAGAAAAACGTGTCAATTTCAATTTTATTACAATTTAAAAATTCTGCTTTGTGAAAGATATTGTTGAGACTGAAAATACATGACACAGACTTGGACAAAATATTTACAAAACACATATCTGATAAAGGTCTTGTATCCAGAACATACAAAGAACTCTTAGAACTCAACAGTGAGATAGCAAACAACGCAAAGAAATAAGCAGAAGCTCTGAACAGACACCTCACCAAAGAAGACATACACAGCTCTGAGTCTAGGTTCTGTCTCTCACTCTCTTTGCATTTGTATATATCCAATTGTTCTACCATTATTTGTTGAAAGAACTATTTTTTCTTTATTGAATTGCAGTTGTGCCTTTTTTGAAATCCGTTGACTATATACATGTGGGTCTATTTTTAGTTCCTCTATTCATTTCCATCATAGAAGATACACACATGTTAAGTAAGAACATGAAAAGATGCACAAATCATTTGTCCTCAGGGAAATACAAATTAAAACAGTAAATAGATTTCACCATAATCCTATTAGAATAACTAATACCTAAAAAATAACAATACCAATTGCTGGAAAGGATGCAAAGCAACAGGAACTCTCATTCATTGCTGATAGAAATTCAAAGTGGTACGGCCCCATTGGAAGACAGCTTGGCAGTGTCTCACAAAGCTAAATATACTCTTACCATATCAGTCAGCAATTGCACACCTATATATTTACCCAACTGATCTGAAGCCTTATACCCATAGTAGCTTTATTCATAATATTCCAAAACTGGAAGCAAACAAGATGTCCTTCAAAAGGTGACATGATAAACAAGATGTGGTATATCCATACAATGGAATACTATTCAGTGTTAACAATAAAGGACCTATCAAGCCATACATAAACATAGATGAATCTTAATCTATATTTCTAAGTGAAAGAAGCCAGTCTGAAAAGACTACATTCTGTATGATTCTAATTATGTGACATACTGGGAAAAGCAAAGCTATAGAGATAAACAGATCAGTGGTTGGCAGTGACTCAGGGGGAAGTTGGAGGACTGAATAGGTGAAGGACAGGAGACTTTTTTAAAGTGGTGAAGCTCTTCTGGATTATACTATAATGATGGTTGGCAGGTGTTTGGGTGGCACGGAAGAACTGATAGGTGAAGCGCAAGAAATTTTAAGGTAAAAATATTCTGCATGAAACTAATGGTGGTTACATGGTGGTTTCATGGCACTATGCATTTGTGATAACTCATAGAAATTTACAGTACAAAGAGTGAACCTTCATGTATGCAATTAAGAAAAAACATTTATGAGGCTGAAGAGTCCCAGGATAGAGTGTAGAGTATGACTAAAAGCTAACTGTGTTACAAATTTATGAAATAACCTCACTGGTGGGGACAAGGGAGAAAGCACTGACCTAACCAACTTTGGAATGAGTGAAATTAAGATTGAAGTCAAAAGGAACTGTATATAAGCACTGTGCTGTAACTCAAAAGTTATTTTCCACATGGGTTAGGCTAACAATTCTCAAACTACTATACTTATGTACTGCAATTAAACAATTAAATAAATGGATGACAGATGGTGGGAGCAAGGTGTCTCATTTTTGTAGTGGGATAACCAAGATTAGGAGGCCAATTCATGTGGTAATGGATTAGAATTGGAGACATCAGTATAAACTCATGTTTAACTTAACATATGCATAGATGATTACAAATAGTAATATTTATAATCATGTGCAATGTGTTAGTATACATGTATATATTTCTTTGCTGTGTCAGCTGACAGGGCCTGAAATCAATGATATCCCAGTAACAGTTAGTAAAACTAGCACCTAGATCTTGGTTTCTAGTACCATTTTTCAGTAAGTGACACCAAGACTTTCTGAGAAATGGTTGATTCTAGGACGAGGAAAGGAAATATACGAGATAGGCTTGGAGCCTCCAGTATTGCCATAAAATAAAAAAGTGATCAATAAAACCACATGATAATGGGGAAATGTCATATGGACACAAGAACCAATTAAAAGAGCACCCAATGATTACTGCTGCAACAATTAGAACAACAACATAAATAAAGTAATATTAAATCATATTCCAAATATCTATAAGTTCATAGTGACATAATGATTGAAAAAATAAATAAATTGAAGATAATGAACAAATCTTTTGTGCAGAAGAATTCCAAACAATTTACGTAAATAATTTGATTTGAAGGTGAAGCATAACCCCCATTCCTTAAATATGGGTTGCACGTAGTGACTTCCTTCCAAAGAATGTATGGAAACCCAGAGTAACTGCACAGTGGGGAAATCTGATAAACACTACTTTGACTAGGTATTGAAGCTTGACATAAACAGTGATAATGCAGTGATAGTATATATCCTTGATATAATGTGATCGGAATAGCGTTTGAACTCTGCGGTCTTCCTCCCAACAACCTATAACTCCAGTCTAATCATAAGAAAAACATCAGTCAAATACCAATTGAGAAACATTTTATAAAATACCTGACCACTAATTCTCAAAACTATTAAAGCCATAAAAACAAAGAAAGTCAGAGATATTGTCTTAGCCAAGAGGGACCTAAGAAATTAAGACCAAAAAAAATGTAGTATGTTATGCTGGATGAGGTTCTGCCATACAAAAAATAAATTAGGTAAAAACTAAGAAAATCTGAATAAAGTATACATTTTAGTTAATAATAAAATATCAATGGTGGTTAATTAATTATGACAAATGCACTATATCAATGTGATGTTAACAATAGAGGGCAGTGGATGTGGGATATATGGGAGCTCTCTGTAGTATCTTACAATGATTCTGTAAACCTTAAATTTTCTAAAATAATAAGGTTATGAGAGATAATCTAAGGTTCTCTTGAATATCTGTGAAAATGCAAATGCTTCCTAGAAGGAGCTTTCTTTTATCTCTTATCAGTCACTTCACTTTAGTACGCAGAGAAGAGTATGATCAAATTCTGCTATGAAATTTGTAGAAAAGAGATAAAAGAGATCGATGGCTCTTGAATCTAAATAGGTAAAAAGAAGTAGGTTGTTTGTGAGTGGTAGTGTAAGAAGGTAGATAAAAGAATATTTTTTAAGTTTATGTTCTTGTAATAGAAAAGATAGATACTGCTAAATGCCAAGATGCTCTGGGATAGAGCAGAAAAAGCAGAATGATCCTTTCTGTATTATTTAGGTCAAGTCATTTGCTAGCTTTGGGTGTGTTTTCCCATACACTTAGTAAAGAAATTGAATTGTTACTCCTACAGGATCATTCAGTCATTCATCACCTTCTATGATGCCATGAATATGGTTTTAGCATGGGCTAACTGGCAGATTAACAAAGAAGCAGAAAGTTTTAGTTAAATTAATTCATTTTTACTTTTATAAGTGTCAAATTCATAGTCAAAGAAAATCACCTACTGCATATTTTTGTATGACACATTATTATCTATGTAAAAAAATAAAGGAACCAAATGAAATTTAGTGCCATCTCATTCATCTTTTGGTAATGAAAACTTTGCCTTTTAAATAGAAAATTTGCATTTGACCAGAAAGAGGGAATAAAAACTTGGCTTATTCCTTTGGCTTGGTTACACTTCACAAAAACAGACTCTTAACATAATAATATCTGTATGTCACAGATGCCAGCAATTATTTATAGCATAAAAGAATAGAAGCATATGTCTATTTAGATAAAGCACATAAAAAGTACAGTCTCTACTTCCTACTACTGATTGCCTCTTCATGAAATCTCTCAGATGTCACATCATCAAACTCATGTTGCATTGCCAAAATTCCATAAAAAGATACCCAATTTAAAAAATTGGCTCCTTTTAGATAAAAATAATGACACCAAAGTTAATGGTACAGGGATGTTTTACTTAGTGTGGAAAGCATAATTAATGAAGGAATATATAAACTAACAAAAATATTTCAATAATAAAAATAATTATTTCAATCCATATACAGTTATTTTAGAGAAGTAGGATGCCTATTCAGAATTTAACCTATAATAAACAAAATGAACAAAAAAAGAAAAATAAACACCATTTATAGCAATTTCATTTCCAATTTTTGTGACATTTGATGTTTTCACAGTAAGAGTCATTGTAACTGATGACAGAACACTTTGCACCTTTGACTGCTGCAACCAAAATAGATCTTGGAGATCATCAGTGCAACCATTACATTTTGCAATTGAGAAGCTGAAACATGAACTAGCTAACCAGGACAAAAATTCCATACCATGAGATTCCCACTTCATTGCTGCTTTACCTATAGAACCAAACACAGTAGTCAGTGGTGTACTGGAGCAGACTCATCCTGGCTTATGGGAGCCAATTTTTAAATATTCAGGAAGTCTATGAGTCACGTATTAAACCACTGGAAACCTGAAATTGGCAACAGTGGGAGTATTTATTCCACAGAAATAGGCAAATACTACATATATGGATTTTCTTTATTTATTCCTTTCTTTCTTTCTTCTTTTCTTCCTTTTTTTTCTTCAGGGATTTGTTTTCCCAACACACCACTGGTCCCAGCCCTCAAGTTGCAATTATATACAGTAGTTGCCAGTTTCATGTAAAAATAAACTTTATACTAAAGATAGGAATGTTGATATTTTTAAGTTTATACTTAACATTTCTAGAAAAATGGTATATTGTACTCATTTGGGAAAAACTTAGAAATAATATTCTATATTTCTAAAGATGTGAACATATGTGAAATTTATATTGTATGTCTGACAGAGAATGTCAATCCACAGTACAGGAAATTGTCCTTACCAAATTAGAAATAGGCATAGCTATTTCACAAAAGCAGAGTTATTTTTATGGTAATCTTACAGGCATATGATGATTAGTTAACTGGATCAAAAAAAATAATAGGCATAACCTGGGGAAGAGCATGAATAGGGTGGGAGGTGGTAAGAATCCAAAGGAAAAGTAAAATAAAGGGAACAGATTCCCAAAGAAGCTTCAACCTGGTAACAGGAGTTCTCACTCCCACTGGCCGGCTGCTTTAAGTTCTTTGTGTCAACTTGTTGCTGTGGCTTTGTGAAAAACAAAATGTTGAGTCAATTCTTACTTGTATGACCTAACTTCTTAAAGAAACTGCTAATAGTTAAAGAAATGTTATGAAGGCTAAACCATATTAAGTTCTGTCCGAACATTCTTTACAGCTCGGGTGATAAAAATGAAATATTCCATTTTGATTAAGTATAATCTGAGACATTTAGGATATATTAAAATTACAAAAACCAATTAGCAGTTTGACATACAGGGTTGCAGTAGGATTTCTAATCTCAGAACTTTTGACATTTGGGATGGGATCATTCTTTGCTTCTTTGGGATGTGCGTGCGTGTGTGTGTGTGTGTGTGTGTGTGTGTGTGTGTGTGTGAGAGAGAGAGAGAGAGAGAGAGAGAGATTAGGAGGTGGAAAGCAGCCTGTGCCTTGTAGGATATTTAGCCTATCACTGGCCTCTACCCGCTTGAAGCCAGTAGCCACCCCCAACTCCAGTGGGCAAATCAAAAGTGATTTTCAACATTGCCAAACATTTCCTAGGGGACAAAATTGTTCCAGGTTTAGAATCACCCAATCAACAGTATAGAAAGAAGGTATGAACTCAAGAAACAGGTTTGGAAATCATGTTTTTAGTAATTGCTAAAGCCTGTTTAATGGTATCTAAATAAGGGTGAAGATCTCCCAGGAAACACGTATAAAGTAGAAAAAAATTAAGGATCCAAAATCAGTGGATAAGGTACAACTCTTTCTATTAGAAATAACAGTTACCCAACTTGAAGTAAAGAAATAAGATAATTTATTGGACCTCAAGAAATGAGATCCTGAGTAAGATTTAAAAAGCAAAAAAAAAAAAAAAAAAAAAAGTGTTGAGCCCATGAAGATGAAAGGACTGGCGTTAAGTGAATAAAGAAGCCCTGAAAGAAACAGTGTAACAAAAGCCAAGAAATTCTTTATCTTCTCTACCCTACTCTTACCCTGAGCCTCCCAGTCTTTGAGACTCAGTTCAACTCTCTTGTTTCCTTTGAAATCATTACTAATTCTCAGTCATTACCAGCATTCCTGTCTCTGGTTCCTTTTCTTGGAGATTATGCCAAATAAACTTGCAATGAAGTGTATTCTTTTAATATCATTTGTTGCTGCTTTGTAATTTTTTTATTAGAATCTATTTGTTCATATCACATGGATTTACATATGCAGCTATAAGAGGTAAATATAAGCATATTTTCTCAAAGATTCATTATAAGAAATTTTCTTTGAATGAATGAAAGTTAGACACATGCAGTTTTGTAAGCACACATTGAGAATATATTTTTAAAACATGTTTCTTTTTTCCATTGGGCCCTATAAGGCCAAGAGAGAAATCCAGCAAGAAAAGGCAATAAAATGTAACCATCCTTTTTTTTTTTTTTTTTTTTTTTGAGACGGAGTTTTGCTTTTGTCGCCCAGGCTAGGGTGCAATGGTGCGATCTCGGCTCACTGCAACACTGCAACCTCTGCCTCACGGGTTCAGGCAGTTCTCCTGCCTCAGCTTCCCGAGTAGCTAGGATCACAGGCACGCGCCACCACGCCCGGCTAATTTTTGTATTTTTAGTAGAGACGGGGTTTCACCATGCTGGCCAGGCTGGTCTCAAAATTCCAACCTCAGGTAATCTGCCCTTCTTGGCCTCCCAAAGTGCTGGGATTACAGGCGTGAGCCACTACGACCAGCCAAGTATACTTTCTTTAAGATGCATCCTAAACTGTTTTCTTTCAGTGAATGGAAGAGTTTGATAGAAAAACACCTTTATTAGTAAACATAGAGAATATGTCATTACAATATGTTTTTTTCTCTATTGGTTCATATTGCAAGGGTTTACATATGCACTTATAAAGGGCAAATTTCTTAAAAGTTCATAATAAGGGCTGGGCCCGGTGGCTCATGCCTGTAATCCCAGCACTTTGGGAGGCCGAGGCAGGCGGATCATGAGGTCAGGAGATTGAGACCATCCTGGCTAACACGGTGAAACCCCGTCTGTACTAAAAATACAAAAAATTAGCTGGGCATGGTGGTGGGCGCCTGTAGTCCTGGCTACTTGGGAGGCTGAGGCAGGAGAACGGCTTGAACCCGGGAGGTAGAGCTTGCAGTGAGCCGAGATTGAGCCATTGCACTCCAGCCTGGGCGACAGAGCGAGACTCCACCTCAAAAAAAAAAAAAAAATTCATAACAAGCTGTTTTCTTTCAGTGAATGGAGGGCTTTGATAGAAAAACACCTTTGCAAGCACATATTAACAATATGTTATTAGAGCATGTTTCTTTCCTTATTGGGCCTCACAAGGTCAAGTAGAGAAATTCAACAATAAAAGGCAAATGTAAGCATTTTTTTTATTGTCAAAATTCAGAAAGTATCATATAAATTCAGTTGGAATAGTGTCTTCTAGTGCTTATCTTTCTATTTTTTTTTATAGATTCGGGGGGCACATGTGCAGATTTTTTACATGGATATATTGCATAATGATGATGTTTGGCATTGTAGTTTGCCCATAACCCAAATAGTGAACATTGTACACTATTTAAGTCCTCACCCCCATTCCCTCCTTCTCCTCTTTTGGAGTCCCCAGAATGTATTATTTTGCTCTATATGTCCATGTGAACCCATTATTTAGCTTTCACTTATAAGTGAAATCATGCAGCATTTTATTTTCTGTTTCCCAGTCATTTCACTTACTACCTCCATTCATGCTGTTGCAAAAGACATGATTTCATCCTTTTGTAT
The DNA here is from genome assembly GCF_000001405.40 of Homo sapiens. Classification (NCBI taxonomy): domain Eukaryota; kingdom Metazoa; phylum Chordata; class Mammalia; order Primates; family Hominidae; genus Homo; species Homo sapiens. The sequence goes on along the minus strand of NC_000003.12, from coordinate 191,489,378 downwards.
GGCTACTTAGTATTCCATGGTGTATACATACCACATTTTCTTTATCCAACCACCCATTGATGGACACAGGTTGATTCCATGACTTTGCTATTGTGAATAGTTCTGCGATAAATATATGATTGCAGGTATCTTTTTAATTTCTTCTTTTAACTTTTGTCAGTACATAGTAGGCATACATATTTATGAGGTACATGAGATATTTTGATACAGGCATTCAATGTGTAATAATCACATCAGGATAAATGGCTTAGCAATCACCTCAAGCATTTATCCTTCCTTTGTGTTACAAATAATCCAATTATACTCTTTTAGTTATTTTTAAATATACAGTAAATTATTGTTGATTGCAGTCACCATGCTGTGCTATCAAATACTAGATTTTATTCATTATATCTAACTACATTTTTGTATGCATTAACCATCTCCAATTGTCGCCCAACACCTCACTACTGTTCCCAGCCCCTGATAACCATTGTTCTACTCTGAATCTCCAGGAGTTCAATTGTTTTTAATTTTTAGCTCCCACAAATATGTGAGAACATGTGAAGATTTTCTTTCAGTGCCTGGCTTATTTCACTTAACATAATAACCTCCAGTTCTATCAGTGTTGTCAATAGATAACATCTCATTTGCAAATGAGAGGATCTCATTCTTTTTAATGGTTGAATAGTACTTCGTTGTCTATATTACCACATTTTCTTTATCCATCCCTCTGTTGATGGATACTTAGGTTGACTGCAAATCTTGGCTACTCTGAATAGTGCTACAGCAAACATGGGAGTGCAGATATTTCTTCAATACACTGACTTCTCTCTCTTTTTTTTTTTTTTTTTTTTTTTTGGTATATACCTAGGAGTGGAATTGCTGGATCATATGGCAGTTCTATTTTCATTTCCTTAAGGAACCTCCAAACTGTATTCCACAGTGGCCGTACTAATTTACATTCCCACCAGCAGTGTACAAGGGTTCCCTTTCCTCTACATCTTCGCCAGCATTTGTTCTTGCCCATCTTTTAGATAAAAGCTGTTTTAACTGCAGTGAGACACTATCTCATTGTGGTTTTAATATACATTTCTCTGATGATCAATGATGTTGAGCACTTTTTAATATACCAGTTTGTTATTTGCATGTCTTTTGAAAAATGTCTATTCAGATCTTTTGCACATTTTAAAATCAGATTATTAGATTTCTTCCCACAGAGTTAAGCTCTTCATATATATTCCGTTTATTAGTTCCTTGTAAGATGAATAGTTTGCAGATATTTTCTCCCATTCTGTGAGTTCCCTCTTCACTTTGTTTATTGTTTCCTTTACTGTGCAGAAATTTTTTAACTTAAGGTTTTCCTATTTGTCCATTTTTGCTTTGGTTGCCTGTGCTTGTGGGGTATGACTCAAGAAATTTTTGCTCAGATCCATGTCCTAGAGAGTTTCCCCCAATGTTTTCTTGTAGTAGTTTCATAGTTTGAAGTCTTAGATTTAAGTCTTTGAACAATTTTTGATTTGTGTATATGGTGAGAGATAGGGGTCTAGTTTCATTCTTCAGCATATGTATATTCAGTTTTCCCAGCACCATTTATTAAAGAGACTGTCTTTTCCCCAGTTTATATTCTTCATACTTTTGTCAAAAATGAGTTCACTGTAGGTGTCTGTATTTGTTTTTGGTTTCTCTGTTCTGTTCCACTGGTCTGTATGTGTCTGTTTTTATGCCAGTACCATGCTATTTGGGTTACTATAGCTCTGTAGTATAATTTGAAGTCAGGTAATGTGATTCCTCCAGCTTTGCTCTTTGTGCTCAGGAGAGCTTTGGTTATTCAGCATCTTTTCTAGTTCCATATAAATTTTAGGATTGCTTTTTCTATTTCTGTGAAGGATGTCATTGTTATTTTGATAAGGATTGCATCGAATCTGTAGATTCCTTTAGAAGTATGGACATTTAAAAATATTGATTCTTCCAATCCATGAACATTGAATATCCTTCCATTTTTGTTTCCTCTTCAATTTTTTTCATCAACATTTTACAGTTTTCATTGCAGAGATCTTTCACTCCTTCGGTTATGTTAATTCCTAGGTATTTTATTTTTTCGATAGGTATTATAAATGGAGTTATTTTCTCAATTTCTATTTCAGATTGTTTGCTGCTGGCATGTATAAATACTACTGATTTTCTTATGTTATTTTGTATCCTGAAATTTTACTGTTTATCAGTTCCAGTGGTTTTTTGGTGGGGTCTTTAGGTTTTTTTCAAATATAAAAGATTATGTCACCTGCAAGCCAGAATAACTTGACTTCTTCTTTTCCAATTTCGATGCCTTTTATTTATTTCTCCTGTCTGGTTGCTTTAGCTAGGCCTTCCAATAATACGTTGAATAACAGTGGTAAAAGTGGACATCATTTTACACTGTTCCACCTCATGTTCCAAATCTTAGAGGAAAAGCTTGCAGTTTTTCTGCATTCAGTATGATAGTATCTGTGAGTCTGTTGTATATGGCTTTTATTTTATTGAGTAATGGTCCATTTACACAGTTTTTAGAGTGTTTTTATCATGAAGGGATTGTGAATTTTATCAAATGCTTTTTCAGCATCAGTTGAACTAACCATAATGTTTTTGTCCTTTATTCTCTTGACATGATGTATCACATTGATTGATTTGTATATGTTGCTTCCCTGAGATAAATCCCACTTGGTTATAACGAACGATCTTTTTAATGTGATGTTCAGTTCAGTTTGCTAATATTTTGCTGAGAATTTTTGCATAAATGTTCATTGGGATATTGGCCTGAAGTTTTTTGTCTGTTTATTTGTTGCTGTTGCTGTTGTTGTAATGTGTCTTTGCATGGCTTGGTATCAGGGTAATACTAGCCTGGTAGAATGAGTTTGGAGATATTTATTTCTCCTCTTGTTTTTTGAATAGTTTCAGTAGGATTGGTATTAAATCTTCATTAAATGTTTGGTAAAATTCAGCTGTGAAGCCATCAGGCCTTTGGCTTTTCTTTGCTGGAATACTTTTTATTACTGCTTAATTCTCATTACTACTTATTTCTCTGTTGATTTTTTTGATGTCTTTATGATTCAATCTTGGTAGGTTGTATGTGTCTAGAACTTTATCCATTTCTTCTAGATTTTGCATTTTATTGGCATATACTTGCTCAGAGTAGCCTCTAACAATTCTTTGAATTTCTGTGGTATCAGTTGTAATGTCTCCTTTCTCATCTCTGATATTATTTATTTGGGTCTTATCTCTTTTTTTCTTAGTCTGACTAAAGGTTTGTCACTTTTGTTTGTCTTTTCAAGAAAAAACAACTTTTCATTGTTCTGATTTTTTGAATTTTGTTTCAATTTTATATATCTATCCTTGGGTTATTATTTTTTTCTTCTACTAATTTTGGTTTTGGTTTTCTCTTGTTTTTCTAATTCTTTAAGATGTATTATTAGTTGTTTATTTGTAGCACTTTCTCTACTTTATTGATGTAAGTGCTTATAGCTATAAACTTTCCTCCTAGTACTGCTTCTACTATACCCCATAGGTTTTGGTATGTTGTGTTTTCATTATCATTTGTTTCAAGAAATATTTGATTTCCTTCTTAATTTCTTCATTGACCCACTGGTCTTTGAGGAGTATATTACACAATTTCTGTTTTTTTTTATGGTTTCCAAAATCCCTCTTGTAATTAATTTAAATTTTATTCCATTTAATGGAATAATTAAAATTTATTCCATTGTAGAGAGAAGATACTCGATATACTTTCAATTTTTTGAGCTTTTGAAGACTTGTTTTGTGGCCTATATGGTCTACCCTTGAGAATGATTCATGTGCTTAGGAGTAAAATGTGTATTGTGCAGCTGTTGAATGAAATGTTCTATTAGGGACATTTGGTCTACAGTGCCTTTTCAGTCCAAAGCATCTTTATTTATTTTGTCTGAATTATCTCTTCAATCCTGAAAGTTTGATGTTGAACTCTCCAGCTATTATTATATTGGGATCAAGCTCTCCCTTTAGCTCTAATAATAGTTGCTTTATAAATCTGGGTGCTCCAGTGCTAGGTGCATTTATATTTACAATAACTTATACCTTCTTGCTGAATTCACTCCATTATTATATAATAACTTCTTTGTGTCTTCCCTTTATCTTCAGTCTGTCTTGATAGGTGAGGTGTGTTTCTTTTAGGCTACAGAGTCTGAGGCTTTTTTTTTTTTTTAATCCATTCAGCCACTCTATGTCTTCTGAATAGATAGTCTATTTACATTCAATGTTATCATTTATAATTAAGGACTTACTTCTGCTATTTTGTTTTTTGTTTCCAGTTGTTTTGTGGTCTTGTCTTCCTTTTTTTCTTCCTCCTGTCTTCTTTTTAGTGAAGGTGATTTTCTCTAGTGGTATGTTTTAATTTCTTGCTTTTTCTTTTTTGTGAATCATTGTATGTTTTTTGATTTAAGGTTACCATGAGGTTTGCAAATAATATCTTATAACCTATTACTTTAAACTGATGACAACTTAACACTAATTGCATAATTATCTGGATTGCCCAGGCAGAGATTCTTGTCCTTTTCCCTTACTTTCTTTCAAACAAACAGAGTTTCTTTCTCTCTCTGTGCTGAGTCACCTGGAGCTGTGGGAGAAGTAAAACAGCACTGTTGTGGCCACCACCACTGGAACTGCTCTGGATCAATCCAGAAAGCAGCATGCTACTGGGTCTCCTCAAAGGCCTGTGGTAGCCACTGCGTGGCTACGCCCTATGTTTGATCAATGCCCTAAGGCTGTACAATCACCAGGTGGGGAAGCCAGATAGGGTGTGTTGTTTCCTTCAGGACAGAAAGTTTTCTCCAGCCTTGGGTAAGTCCAGAGAGTCCATGTGGGACCCAAGGCTGGAGTCAGAAGCTCTAGGAATCTCCATGGTGCGCTCTTCTACTCTGGCTGATCTGGCACATAAGCAACAAAACAAAGTCCTTCTTATTCTCCTTTCCGCTTTCCACAAGCAGAGGAGTCTCTCCCCGTGGTCAACACTGCCTCAGGCCCACAGCAAATACCACCAATGTATTAGTCCATTTTCACACTGCTGACAAAGACATATCCGAGACTGGGAAGAAAAAGAGGTTTCTTGGACTTACAGTTCCACATGGCTGGAGAGGCCTCAGAATCATGGTGGGAGGTGAAAGGCACTTCTTACATGGCAGTGGCAAGAGAAAATGAGGAAGTGGCAAAAGCAGAAACCCCTGATAAAACCATCAGATCTTGTGAGACTTATTCACTACCACAAGAGCAGTATGGGGGAAACTGCCCATGATTCAAATTGTCTCCCACCAGCTCCCTCCCACAACATGTGGAAATTATAGGAGTACAATTCAAGATGAGACTTGGGTAGGAACACTGAGCCAAACCATATCATTCCACTCCTGGCCCCTCCAAATCTCATGTCTTCACATTTCAAAACCAATCACGCTTTCCCAACAGTCCCCCAAAGTCTTAACTCACTTCAGCATTAACCCAAAAGTCCACAGTCCAAAGTCTCATCTGAGACAAGGCAGGTCCCTTCCACCTACATGCCTGTAAAATCAAAAGCAAGCTAGTTACTTCCTAGATACAATGGGGTTACAGGTATCGGGTAAATACCGTCATTCCAAATGGGGGAAATTGGCCAAAACAAAGAGGATACAGGGCCCATGCAAGTCTGAAATCCAGTAGGGCAGTCAAATTCTAAAGCTACAAAATGATCTCCTTTGACTCCATGTCTCATATCCAGATCACGCTGATGCAAGAGAGGTAGGTTCCCATAATCTTGGGCAGCTCCACCCCTGTGGCTTTGCAGAGTATAGCCTCCCTCCTGGCTGTTTTCACAAGCTGGCATTGAGTGTCTGTGGCTTTTCCAGGCACACAGTGCAAGCTGTCAGTGGATCTACCATTCTGGGGTCTGGAGGACAGTGGCCCTCTTCTCACAGCTCCACCAGGCAGTGCCTCAGTAGGGACTCTGTGTGGGGGCTCTGACCCCACATTTCCCTCCCACACTGCCCTAGCAGAGGTTCTCCATGAAAGCCCCACCCCTGCAGCAAACTTCTGCCTGGGCATCCAGTTGTTTCCATACACCCTCTGAAATCTAGGTGGAGGTTCTCAAACCTCAATTCTTGACTTCTGTGCACCCTCACGCTCAACACTATGTGGAAGCTGCCAAGGTTTGGGGCTTACATCCCCTGAAACCATGGGTGGAGCTGTACCTTGGCCCCTTTTAGCAATGGCTGGGGCAGCTGGGATGCAGGGCACAAAGTCCCTGGGCTGCACACAGCATGGGGACCCTGGGCCCAGCCCACAAAATCATTTTTTCCTCCTAAGCTTCCAGGTCTGTGATGGGAGGGGCTGTCATGAAGACCTATGACATGCCCTGGAGACATTTTTCCAATTGTTTTGGGGATTAACATTCAGCTCCTTGTTACTTATGCAAATTTCTGCAGCTGGCTTGAATTTCTCCTCAGAAAATGGGATTTTCTTTTCCATCACATTGTCAGGCTACACATTTTCCAAACTTTTATGCTGTTTCCCTTTTAAAATGTCATGCTTTTAACAGCACCCAAGCCACCTTTTGAATGCTTTGCCACTTAGAAATTTCTTCTGCCAGATACACTAAATCATCTCTCTCACGTTCAAAGTTCCACAAATCTCTAGGGTGGGGGCAAAATGCAACCAGTCTCTTTGCTAAAACATAACAAGAGTCACCTTTGCTCTGATTCCCAACAAGTTCCTCATCTCCATCTGAGACCACCTCAGCCTGGACCTTATTGTTCTTACCACTATCAGCATTTTTGTCAAAGCCAATCAACAAGTCTTTAGGAGGTTCCAAACTTTCCCACATTTTTATGTCTTCTGAGCCCTCCAAACTGCTCCAACCTCTGCCTAATACCCAGTTCCAAAGTGGTTTCCACCTATTCAGGTATCTTTTCAGCAACACCCTGCTCTACTGGTACCAATTTACTGTATTAGTCCATTTTCACACTGCTGATAAAGACAAACCTGAGACTAGGGAGAAGGAGGTTTAATTGGACTTACAGTTCCACATGGCTGGGAGGCCTCAGAATCATGGCAGGAGGCAAAAGGCACTTCTTACATCGCAGCCACAAGAGAAAATGAAGATGCAAAAGTGGAAACCCCTGACAAACCCGTGAGACTTATTCACTCCCATGAGAACAGTATGAAGGAAACAAAGCCCACCCCCAAGATTCAAGTTCTCTCCCACTGGGTCCCTCCAATAACACGTGTGAATTATGGGAGTACAATTCAAAATGAGATTTTGGTGAGGACACAGAGCTGAACCATATCAGCCAGCCTACCACCAACATTCACTCAAGGCCCAAGTGGTCTTCAGTCAGCTTTTTGTAAATGCTGCCAGGTCTGGGGCTTTATCTACAGGGCAGTGGGCTCCCCTGTGACATAACACAGGTCCAGAAATGCCATCCAAGAGGCAAAGTATAGAATTGTGGACCCCAAGACCCCATTTGGTGCTCTATCCCACTGTGGCCAAGCTGATACCTAAGCTGCAAGACGAAGTCCCTTTTACTCTTCTATCACTTTTTCTCAAGCAAAAGGAGTCTCTTCCCATAGCCAGCATAGCTGGGAATGCACTAGGTCACACCTGAAGCGAGCACATCTCTGAATCTCACCCATGGCCCACAGTGAGTACTGCCTGGCTACCACTGCTGATTATTCAGGGCCCAAGGGCTCTTTAGTCAGCGGATGATGAATCCTGCCAGGGCTCAGTCTTTCCCTTCAAGGCAGCAGGTTCCCTTCTGGCCCAGGCTACATCTAGAAATGTCATCTAGGAGCGGGGTCCTGAAATCGGACCCTCACAATTCTGCTGGTGTTCTGTCCTACTCTGGCTAAGCCAGTATTCAAGTTGTAAAACAAAGACCTTTTTACTCTTCCCCCTCCTCTTCTCATGAGAAGGGAAGGAGTCTTTCCTGGAGCTGCAAGTTGTGCTGCCTGGAGTTGAGGAGGTGTGGTGCAAGCAATCCCTTGGCCGACCAAGCTGGTATCTCACTAGGTCACTTGCCCCTCAAGTCTGCTGGCTCTGAGCCCAGCACAGTACCAGGACATGCCCAGGAATTGCAGTCCCTGTGCCCTAGACCGCTTTTAAAGTTTATTTAGAATCCCAGAGCACTTTAGGCAACAATGGTGAGGCTTGCCACAACTCAGGTTCTGACTATGGGATGGGCACTTCCCTTCTGGCTGGGTCTAAATAATCCCTCCATGGGCTCCAGCTGAGTTCTGCCTGGTGTTGCTTTCCACTGCGACAGGGCAGCCCTGATTTCTAGAGCAAAATCCCTTTATCACTGTGCTCTTCCTCTCCCAAGTGCACAGATTCTTTCTCTGTGACATGTGGCTGCTGCTGGGGAATGGAAGAGGGGTGACACTGGCAACTCAAGATTGTCTCTCCTATCCTCTTTAGTGTCTCCTTCAGTGATATCATGTTAAAACCAGGTTCTGTGATTACTCACCTGATTTATGGTTCTTATGAAGGTGATTTTGTGTGTGCGTGTGACTAGTTGTTCAGTTTAATATTCCTGCAGTCAGGATGATTAGTGAAGGCTTCTATTTGGACATCTTGCTCTGCCTCCTCTTTCTGCAGGTGTCTTTTTGATACAATGATTTCTTTTCCTTTGGGTGGGTACCCAATAGTGGGATTGATGATGGGTGTGTACCCAATAGTGAGATTGATGATTTAATGATAGTTCTATTTTTAGTTCCTTGAGAAGTCTCCATCCAGTTTTCCACAGAGGTTGTACCAATTTACATTCCCACCAACAATGCATGAGCATTTCCTTTTCTCCATATCCTCACCAACAGCTGTTTTTTGTTTTTTGACATTTTAATAATAGCTATTCTGACTGGTGTGAGACGGTACTTCGTTGTGGTTTGAACTTGCATTTCTCTGATGATTAGTGATGTTGAGCACTTTGTGTGGTCACTTGTATGTCTTCTTAGTGATTATACCCAATAAACTTGCAAATAAGTGTATTCTTTTAGTATTATTTGTTGCTTTGTTGTATATTTTATACTTCTTTTTCTAACTAGATTTTAATTTCCTCAAGAATAAGAACCTGTCATGCTGTAGTAGCCCTCTAGAGCCTTTTACTGGGCTCAGTGTAGTCAGAAAGTAAATAGATATTTCAGTATTAACTGTTGACTAGTTCCTTCTATTGCCATTTTTGAAGAGCATCATTTTAGTTGACATTAGTGAGTGATTACAGTGAAGCACATATAAGAAAGACAAAGATGCCACATATCAGCCCCAAGTCACTCTCTAACAATGCCCATTTCCATCATTGAGCAATGTGCTAATTACTACTCTTCTAAAAGGGAGGTAAATCTAATTTCTTTTTTTCTTCCATAAATCAAATTTAATTTCCTACTTTAATGTTCGAAGACATGCTTATAATTGTTTTCCTCTAACCTACTCTGTGTTTCCAATAAAAACGTGGTATGTTACTTAGAAAGAGAGTACTAAATGAGGAAGGAAGAGACTTTTTTTCTAGTCTTTCATTACCACTCAATTTTACTGTGAAATTGCATGGAAATATTGCTCTCTCTGGTCCTCAGTTTCCCATTGTATAAAACAAGGTGGTTTGATGTGTAATTTTTTCCAGTCTTAACTGCATAAAATTTAGTGATTTAGTCAAGTAAGTTATTCTGCTTAATGTTTGACTACAGCCTCTGAGAAGTCAAATGCATTGCGGAAGATAACAATACATACGTATATATTTTGATGATTAGAAAAAACTAATTTAGTAAAAGCACCAAATAAGTATGCGGCTTTATAGTAAGTTAGAGCAATCAACGACATCGTCTCCCTTTTTTCCTGCAAACAAATCTAGTTCATCTTGGCAATAAGATAGATGTGGATAGACCTATGAATACTATTGCAACTAATTCTGCTTCCAGGTACCTTGAGAGAATGCTGAGGTTAGCAAGACAGTGAGGTGGGCAATACATTGCTTTTTGAATAAATGGATATATTTCACCTTCTATCACAAAACTGCCTACTAAGTGAGTCCCTTGAGCATAACTCAGCATCTATGAAATGTTATGTAATCTTTGCATTTTATCACTTTAATTTCAATAATTCTCCATATTTTACTTCTTTTACAGACAGCCAAGCTTTGTCATCATAATGCCCTGTTAAAAAATCAGCCCTTCCTCTCAGATGGTTACCTATTAGATGTGTCTTTTGCTATAAACAGGAACACCTTGCACGTATACTTTATGCCACCTTTCAAATGAGAAAGGAAAAGAGAATTTCTAGAATTTTCATTGTGCTGGATTCCTAGAAATTAGAGTGTGAATAATGGCCACTGAGTTTCATGTGCAAGTTATTTATATTTTTAAGGTATGTATAAATGTCTGAAAGCCTCACATTCATAAAATGCAGAAACACTTTCATGCATTTCCAACTATTTAATGTGTAATAACAATATAAAAAATTTAAAAATGGAAATTTCTCTAGTCTAATGCCATCTGTTTATAAATTTTTTTGTGGGTAGCATTTCCTTTCATCCTTTGCTCATGAGCAGACATAATTTACGAAGCCGAAGTCAGTGTAGAGATATAATTTTACCTTTGGCTTTTCTACATTGCATATTAGGAAACTTTTTTTATTCTGCCTCATAGTCATTACAATGTGAAATGGCAGCTTAACATTCTGTTTCTCATGCTCAAACTCAAGCCAAATGGTACTCTTACACCATTTCTTGTATACGGGCCATGATTTTTGGCCTCAGAACCTTTGCATGTGTCGTTTCTGAGTCTTACAATCTAGGCCCATCTCCACATTCCAAATTCTACTCATTTTTGAAGTTTAAGTTCTACAAGTAAGACTTCAGTGAATGTTTTCTGATGGCCTTTTTTGTACCCTATAAATAAATATAAATATTATTTATTAATTAGAAATAAGAGGGGCTGGGTGCAGTGGCTCTTGCCTATAATCCCAGCACTTTGGGAGGCCGAGGCGGGTGAATCACCCAGCCTGGCCAACATGGCGAAACCCCGTCTCTACTAAAAATACAAAAAATAGCCAGGCATGGTGGTGGGTGCCTGTAATCCCAGCTTCTCAGGAGGCTGAGGCAGGAGAATCACTTGAACCCAGGAGGCGGAGGTGGCAGTGAGCCGAGATCGCGCCATTGCATTCCAGCCTGGGCAAAAGAGAGAGACTCTATCTCAAAAACAAAAAACAAAAACAAAAACAAACAAACAAAAAAACCAAGGAAATAAGAGAAAGGAAGAAAGAATAAACCCAGTTTAAGTTTCCCATTTTTTAAAATTTTATTCTAGTGTTCTCCTCTTCTACCATACTGATTACCACCCTCACATAAATACAATCAATAAGTATTGAAAAAATCCAGATAATGACTTATAATAACAAAAATTAATTTATTTTTAAAATCCTCAACAATAACAATAGGTTTGTTAATAAATCCATAAGTTGTGTTGATTCACCTGGTATCAGGGATAGGGAATTTGAACTGTCATCTCAGGAGAAAATTCTGCCTAGGACAGAAGGTTGTTATTTTTCAGGACCATAACCTATACCCTTCTCTAAGTGTTCTTGAAAGAAGTCAAAACACTGAAGATACATTTGACCCTAGAGTAGACCAAGCCAGATAACTGTATTAATGAGGTGAGTAAATATTACATTTATCACTGCTGCTTAGTAAACAAGGGATACAAAGGCTTGTCTGAGCTCCAGATTTTGGGGAGCAGGTATCTGAAGAAGAGTATTTCTAAAATTTGATTATTCTGTAGAAGAAAAGCCAACAGTCCTATAACCCGTTAGGTTTCACATGTGATTTTCACATCTCTCCACTTCACTCTTACAACACCTAGTAAGAAAGAAGGGGTTTCTTATTCCCAATTTACAGATTAGAAAAAATGAGGCTCAGATAACCTTAGAGAGACTTGTACAACAGCTTTGCAAACAGAGTTCTTCCTCTGACCAAATTCTCACACTTTTTCCCACAATGTAATATTGCTCTAGAAAAATGTCTTCATATAATTGAAATTTAAAGTGTTTATATTTATCAAGGATCTATATAAAATACAACACACACACACACACACACGCATATATATATATATACAAAATTTTAACTAGTTTTTTTTCCTCTACTCTGTCTCTCCCAATTATGTCCTCAGGGAAATCTCATGAAAAAGCTGCTCATCTTTCATATAACACCCACCCCTTCTTCCCATATTCTAAACCAATTTTCTTTTTCTGGGGACAGTAAAATCTGTTGGGCACAACAACTTCCAGTGAGTGCTATACTTTCTTCCAGGTGTGAATTACTTTCAGTGAGAGCTATAGCTCTTTCTAGGCACTGCCACTTTTGCTTGGTCCACGTCTGCTTCTTGAGATCCCCGTATCCATTGCATAAAATAGCTGTTTCCACTACATTCTGCCATGTTCCAGCCACCTTTGTACACTATGTTCACTAACCCCACAGTCTCCACTAGGCCCTGTAAGCCAGTATCATTGAATGTTTTTGTTCAAGTCCTGAAAATTTCACTGGATAGAGTTATGTAATTATTTCTCTTACCCTTTTTATATTTTATTCAGTTAGCAGTATGTCAAATTATCAAAGCAATAATACCCTATACCTTAACTAACCTACAGAAATTTCACTGAAAATAATTATCTTATTTATTACTTATTTGCTTCCTCTCTCAGAGCCAGGAACAAGTTTATGACAGACCTCTTTGCTGTGACAATTAAAACCTCATTGATCAAACAGTCCTGACTCATTCCTTATCTCTCCTCTTAGACATTTTCTCCAAACTCCTCAGTTTCCCAGGCACATATCTGAAAGCCTTACCCCCTCATGGTTTACATATTAATTGATCTAAACTATGGCATTACAATGAACAATTAATGGGCTGTAAAAAAAGAGAATTCACTTGGCCTCGACTTGCAGAAAATTCTCTTTAAAGTGACACAAATTTAATGCTTTAAGATTACATTTCCTTTTTTCTACAGATCAAATTTCACTAGTTGGTTCTGCAGTAAATACTATTTGCCTAATCTTAATAATGTAAACATTGCTGAATTGTATTTTCTCAAGTTGTAAGCAAAGCACAGAAGTATCCAATCTGGGCTGGGCACAGTGGCTCACGCCTGTAATCCCAGCACTTTAGGAGGCCAAGGCGGGTGGATCACCTGAGGTCAGGAGTTCGGGACCAGCCTGGTAAACACAAAGTGAAACCCCATCTCTACTAAAAAGTACAAAAATTAGCTGGGCATGGTGGCACATGCCTGTAGTCCCAGCTACTTGGGAAGGTGAGGCAGGAGAATCGCCTGAACCCAGGAGGTGGAGGTCGCAGTGAGCCGAGATCACGCCATTGCACTCCAGCCTGAGTGACAGAGCAAGACTCCATCTCTTAAAAAAAAGTCTCAAATCTATAAACCATGGAAATGTTAAAATTTTTAAAATGATAAAACTCTTATGAACTAGGATATAGGAGAGAAGGAGAGATAGGAGTAAGTTTGTATTATACAAGAGCAAACACTACATCTTTTGTTTTTGGAATCATCTACTACTGCTGAACACTGATGGATCAAGAATTTGAGAAAATTATGTTTATTTCTCAAACTTATGGGCAATGGAGTGAGCAGTTGTAGGTACACACCAGAAAAACGCAAATCAGAGAACGTAAAGTAAGTCACCTCTTGCAGTGGATCTGCAATGAGGAGGTGGAGTGGGAGACTTACTATTGATTTTATGCTCTGCCTGCCATCTTATGAGAATATTTTAGGGATCAAGTCCTTACGTTTGCTTTAATAGACTTTAATAACTTCTTTTTAATTTTCTTATGGAATTCACCTATTCTAAGTGATGCCCTTGAACTACAGGTTAAGGAGCATCAGCCTATTTTCACACAGAGCAGGGATCCCCAGAAGTTTCTCTCACTCCGTGTCTCTGACAGGCAAGAAACCAAGAAAGATCAGCCACTTGTTCTCATGACGATGCCTAAAGATCAGAAACTAAACCTTTTTTTTTCTTTTTTTTTAGACGCAGTCTCACTCTGTCACCTAGGCTGGAGTGCGGTGGTGCAATCTCAGCTCACTGCAACCTCCGCCTCCCGGGTTCAAGAGATTCTCCTGCTTTAGCCTTCCGAGTAGCTTGGGTGCACGGCACCACATCCAGCTAATTTTGGTATTTTTAGCAGATACAGGGTTTCACCATGTTGGTCACGTTGGTCTTGAACTCCTGACCTCAGGTGATCCACTGTCTCTCAAAGTGCTGGGATTACAGACGTCAGCCACCGTGCCCAGCTTAAACCCTTATCTTACCCTGACTTCTCTACCATCACCTCCTCTTTCTCCTTACCCATGCTATTTGCCAGAGCTCAAAACCAGGTCCAGTGATGGCCTCTTGTGATTCCTAAGCAGTACAGTTACTCAGTTAATTATAAACACACTTTCATAAAATGCGTAGCTAAATCCGATGCTCTCCACAAAGAAAATTTTGTAATGCAGCTAAGTAGAAACACGACACAAGCTTGGTGAAGAAACATGGAAATGCCACATATGAAGAAAGAGTGCTGCCTTCAGTCATTTTCTGGTGACTGGTGACTGTGCTGTCTGACAACTTACCTATGCTCTGCTTCATCACTTGGGGGAATGCCGTGCACCTGTCCAGCCCTTTGGAGCCACTATATTCATGTTAATAAAAAGTATACAAAAGAAAATTTACTCTCTTCCAAAATTATAAGGCAAGTGTTTGTTAACTAACCAGTAGCCATACAATTTTTATATCATAACATCTAGGAAGCCCTAAAAAAAAGCATTTGTTGACAGAGAAACTATAAATACATGATCAAAAATGGTCAACTGAATCACCATAGAAATGAAGGGCTTTTTTCCTAAGATCACACAAAATGAGTATGGAAAGAAAAGCTATGAGTTACTTGTGCATCAAACCTTTACCATCCTCTTTGAAGGTAGAACTATAAAAATATTTTTTCTGTATCCAAATTACAATCCATATGTGATGACTATTAAAAATAGGATGTTTTATGTATCACAAATACTGTCATCAGCTGTTTTTTTTAAGTCTGTAATGAATGTTATTTTTCCTTGTGGAAAGAATTTTCTAAATTATCTGGATCATCTCAAGCTTATAAAGTGGCAAACTGTTCTTGTCCTTCATGTCTTTCATCCTCTGAAGTAATTCTCTAAGCAGTTAGAAAGCATTTGGGCACACTGCTGATTTGCAGCCTGCCAAGATTTTTTTTTATATGACCATAAACACTAAATTTTGGATGGCCTATATCGTGCATGGTACTGATTCTAAGATAGCAAGGGATTAAGTGAATTTCAAAACTTCAGCTCACCAGAAGAAACCCAGAGATTTTATCTACCCATGTGTTTAAACTGCACAGTCATTAAAAAAAAAATGGTACTGTAGCTCCAAGCCTGGACGTGATCCCTGATCATCTTTGACATTTTCAAAAACAGAAAATTATTTGGCTTTATTTTAAATGTCACCCCTCTGCAGGTGAGGAATGTATTCATTTAAGAGAGTGCAGGAGGGAACAAACTGTGCTGATGCTTACTGTCTACAGAACGTTTAATAGATTCGACCACATTCTTGTGAAATAGAATTTGGGTATTTGCTGAATCATATAGAGGCAATGATCAAAAGGAAAGCTCTTACTTACTCTTCAGAAGCAGTGGGGTGTAGAGGGAAGTTTCCTGGTTTAAGAGGTAGAATGTAGGATTTGAGTCCCAACTTCATCAGTCACTAGCTCTGAGTCTTTGGACAAGTAAACTACTACCATAGGCCTCTGTTCCCACTTCTGTAAAAGGAAAGTTAGCACTAGCTCTTTGGTCACTTCAAAAGCCTTTTATTTCTCAGAAAGTCAGGAATGCCTTATTCTCAGTCTCCCCATTTGTAAAATAGGGCAAAAATTTCATGCCCTATAATCTCTTAAGCTATTAGAATATAGATGTGAACCCACTTTCAAAATAAAAAGCTACTAACTTTAAGATGTTAGTTTTATTTATCCATATATTTCAAAACAATAATATATTGTTATATATTATATATATATAATATATAGTCTCTAAAAATAGAGACTATTGCCTCTATTTTTCTGAAATATTTATCATTTTATTCTAACCGAGTAATAAATTAAGAAATTTGGCTATACCCTAATTTGTTTGAATTGGTTGGGCTATTTCTTATTTATTCACTCTATGGACATCTTATCTCTCAGGAACTGATACAGATTTTTTTTTCTGGACAAGAACATGAATAGGTGAGTCTTTGGACCAGTCACCCTCTAGTCTATATTGAAAGCCTGCAGTATAGCCAATGATATAAAGGGAAAATGGCCAGATACAATTACAGTCATCAGAGTCAATACCTTTTCTTTTCCCTTTGGAGTAGTATCATACTATTGTCATCCAAGAAATGCAGTGACATTTCATTTCCAGAGGAAAGAAACCTCACAGCAATTCTGAAGCAATTTCATGCTTTCTTATGTAGAGCTCTTCATTGTACTGTCCTTCTTCCATTGTTTATGGTTATAAATTTGAGACTATCTAAAAGGACTTCTAGACTGACTATTATTTGTGAAGATATCTCCCCTGTCATTCCTTTAGCTGCACAAAATCCTTCCCTACAATCTCTACTGCTACCCTTATCAAACTGAATTTGTCACTATTCACTTTCTTGCCCTTTACTTTCCTACTTCTGCTCATGCTGTTCCTCCAGTTGGGCATCCTTTCCCCTAGTCGAACGTGGCAAAATCTCCATCCTTCAGAGTCTACTGAAATGCCAACTACTGATACAGACTTGCTTGACATTCTTGAAGGCTTGAATGTTTCCATCTCCTGGAATCCCCTAGCCTTATTTCCATATCTCGTTCAAGATACTTATCACATGTGCTCTTATTGTTTATCTACCATTCTTCTCTGCCTTTTTGGATCAAAGTCCTTTGAAGGGGGGGATGTGATCATCCCAGTGTTTCCCAAAGGACTCATATGTAATAATTAATGTTAATGTTACATGAGTGGGTACAGATTATTATATTTAAATGCTACCCATGGTCTCAGGCTACTAGTAAAACCAAGGACTCATTACATGAACAACTGAATCTTGTTAGTTTTCAGTCCCCAATCTCTAAAGGAAATTCAGTCCCCAGTGGACAGAGTCCTTTTCACCTAAATATTCATCTCTGTGCTAGCTGTCATGCCTTCCTTCTTTGCATGTCCATATCTTAGCCATCTTTAAAAAGCCAGACTAAGTGCTCCTCAAGATGCCATCCCTAAATCATAGGATTTCATTTTACCCTTCTTTGAACTTCGATTAGCACTTTGTATGACTTATTTCCCCAACAATAGAGTTAACTTCACCTCCACTACCACCACCAACTCTTCTTCCCTAACCCCGGGCCACGCTTTCACCTCTCCAAATCCTACAAACACACACACAATATCTAGCCTCTCTGAGGGCAAAAACCAAGTGTATTTAATCTCTACAGTTCTTATATTACCTAATACGCTAACAAGTATACAGTGGTGTATCACTAAACATTTTCAAAAGCACACCAATTGTAGAGGTCAAATTCAATGGACTTCCAGAGTTTGCTTTTTAATTGCTCTATCATGATGGTGCAGTCTGGTATTATTTGACAAAAATAGCGATAAAGCATAGGGGCTCCAGTATTCTGACCCAGACCCTTATTAGATGTGTAGTTATATCTTAGTTTCAATAATCTCAACAGTAGAATGTAAATACAGTCAGCCCTCCATATTCATGGGTTCCACATCCGTAGATTCAATCAATGACAGATAAAACATATTTGAAATAAAAAAGGATTGTGTTTGTCCTGAACATACACAGACTTTTTCCTTGTTATTATTCCTCAAACAATACCATATAAAAATCACTTATATAGTATTCACATTGTATTAGATATTATAAGTAATCTAGAGATAATTTAAAGTACCCAGAGTATGTGTGTAAGTTATATACAAATGTTATACTATTTTATAGAAACGACTTGAGTATCGTGGATTTTGGTATTTGTGGGGGCTCCTGGAACCAATCCCCTTATGGGTACACAGAAAGGACTGTCATAGTCAAAGCTGGCTACATAATCTGCAGAGCTGGTGGAAAATGCAAATACAGGGACCCGGGAATAAAGGAAGAACTGGTCAGTCTCCTCTTCCCAAAGGCTTTCCACTCAACCCATTATGAGTGGGTGAAGTATTGCATCCTAAAAGAATTAAGACACTGGAATGAATTTTGTATCTGGATTAGAGGAGGGTAAGAGGCTCTTTCTAACTTATCTGCCCAATGCTCTATGGGCAGAGAGTAATGGTAGAATGTTGACCCTGAAGCAACCAGGCTACCTCCCTGGACAAAAGGTGGTAGTGGACATAAAGGAAAGGGCAGGGCGCCTAGAACCTGTCTCAGGGAGGTGAGGTGATGGGAAGCAGGATAGTACATGTGCCCAGGGTCTAATCTCACACACACGCTCCTTTGTCCTATCAGACTTAGCTTACAAAACACAAATTCAAATATAAAATTATTAAGACTTTCAAGACAGCAAACAGCTGTAGAACATTAAACCCCAAGTGCAGGGTCTCCTGAGTATAGGGCTTTGTGCAACTGCAGTGGTTGCAGGCCCATGAAGCCACACTAAAAATAGTAACAAATTTCTTGCATTGATGGAAAGCCTACATTTGCATGCACTGAATAGCAAAAAGACAAAGTTTTAAGATTTAATTTGCTGTTTATACAGAAACATTGGAAATGAGAGTATGAATATGGAGCTAGCTACAATATGAACATTCCCCTTTTTTTCTTTCTGGAACCCCTATTCCAAAAAAAAAAAAAATAGAAGAAGAAAGAAAGAAAAGAAGAATACAAGAAAGAAAGTGAACAATAAGCAAATTCCATTTTTTGCTTAACTAGGAGATTTAAAAATCCACAAATTCAGATCTATAGTCTAAAGCATCTAAAACTGACTTCAGCCCCATGGGACACAGTGGCACAGGGAACAGTGGTGCATTATAGAGAGGGCAAGTTTCCAGAAGGATGAAAAGCAGCAGCAAGTCAGAACAAAATGTGCATTCCCTGGAGGTCAAGAGCCTTTGGGAAAGGAAATTTGGAGAGCTGAGTGTTTTGAGAAGAGATAAGATGAAATAGCCTAAGATTGGAAAAAACCTACACATGGGGTAAAATGGCAGGAAAAAAAGTCAAAATGTGAGTTAAGCCTTTATAAATTCAGAAAGATCCACAAAAATACAGCTTCTGCTGGTGAGAGGATCAGCTGTGTCCCTTCGACAAGAACTGTGTTCCTTTGTTGAATTAACCAACAAGAGACCTGGGGAACCTGGAACAGGAAGAAGTCCTTCTAAGCCCAGATTGGTTGAGAGAAATTGAGGAGGCATATCTTCACAAAGAAACAAATAGTGGAGCTCTGTTTGAAGAAAACAGGTGGTACTGGTTGCAGCAGAGGAGAGAGTGTTTGAGAGAAAAATCCTGGAAGACTACAATACACTTGCTTCTCAATTACTCCTTCCCAGACCTTTGCAGGAAACACAAAAGGAATATTTAACATATTCAACCGAATATTATAAGATGATCTGACACAGCCTTGATAAAAGAAACTATTAGATGGTAAAAAGAAATTTGAAGAAAAAAAAAGGAAACTATAAGAAAGGAAGGTGAAAACAGAGAAACATAACTTACTGTCAGAAAAAGAAGATGTACCAGAAGTATACTGTCATGTAATATATGAAAATTATAACCAAAAATGTAATATTAAGTTTAAAATTTAATAAAGCAATCATGGCTACAGAAAATAATCACAAAATTGAAATACAGGAATTCAGGGAAAGAGGTGACATACAGGTGGAGGTAAAATATGAGCTGACAAGTCACAAGAAGCACAAAGGAGAATGGATATTGTGAAAAATTTAGTAAAATAATTCAGAATATAAATAAATTTAAATAAAGGCATTGAATTAAAACATTTAGTGAAAAACGATAGACATGGAACGGAATGAACATGGAATAAAGAAACTAAGTAGAGTGAAAATGACAGCTATAGAAGTTTGGCAAAGCAGATCAAATATAAACATAAAGTAATTTCTGAAGAAAAAAGTGATAAAAAGAGAAAATATTTAACAATATAACTGAAGGAAATTTTTTCTGATATAAGAAGACTTAAATTTACATTTTGAAAGAGAATATCATGTGGCAGGGAGAAGTAACTCAGATCAGTCAACATAGAGCTTTTTCCAAAAAAGTTACTAGACTTTAAACAAATTATCATTTTTGGGCAGTCAGGAAAAAGTTCAAGTCATAATAAAATGAAAAAACCTGTTAGCCTCAGATTACTCCACGGCAACATTCAATGGCAGAAGATGATGAAAAAATCTATTATTTAAGGAAATAAGCTACAACCTAAGGAATTTCTATCAAGCCAACCTGAATTCCAAGTATAAAAGAGACAGATTAACAGCTGATCCCAGGAGCCTTTCTGAGAGAAAACAAAAAAAGCAACTGGAAGACAAACTTTAGCCAATAAATAGATAACTAGGGCAATGTAAAATGAGTGGCAATAAAAGAAGCTACTTGATTGTAAAACAAAGACATTTTTGAAAATATTAGGAGTAGATGGCAAGATAGAATATAAATAACATAAATGCTGATGATCTAGAAAAAAATACAATTAATATAAATGAGAGGAGGAAGGTGGAAATGAAGCTAGAAGTTAGAATAAAGCTGGAAGATGGCCAGTAGTAACTGGGACCAAAAGATAATATCTAAGGGTCAAGTAAAGTAATAGAATAGGCATATTTTACACTACAAAGATAAATATTAAGGAAGTAAATTGTGTTGACTGAAATTGGGTGAGAGGAGAAACCACACAAACTTTAGCAGATACTTTGTGGGGACTTAGAGAACTATTAAAATTTAAGAACTATTAAGAATTGGATCAAATCACACTAAAATAGAAGAGTTTCATTTACTTCTTGAAATCCAAAAGAGATCAATATTGAAAATCTAAATAACATAATCAAAAAGGCATCTGATTGATATATCTTAAATTATGTGCCTTGATGATAAAGAATAAATACTTAGTTATCCTTAGTTTTTCAGGTCAGATTCAAGAAAACTCATGAGACAAACAAAAAATGTCAACAAATTCTCCAAACTGAAAACAATACTGAAGATATTTTCTAATATCAGTATAATAATACTGGAAAATAACAAGAAACAAAATAATTCTTCTTTAAAGCATCAGCTGATATGGTTTGGTAACCAAACCTCATCTCGAGTTGTAATCCCCATAATACTTCATGGGAGGGACACAGTGGGAGGTAATTGAATCATGGGGGTGGTTTCCTTCATGCTGTTCTCATGATAGTGAGTTCTCAAGAGATCTGATGGTTTTATGTGTGTGGCATTTCCCCCGCTGGCACTCATTCTCTCTCCTGCTGCCCTGTGAAGAGGTGCCTTCTTCCATGACTGTAAGTTTCCTGAGGCCTCCCCAGACATGACGAACTGTGAGTCAGTTAAACCTCTTATCTTTATAAATTACCCAGTCTCAGGTATTTCTTCATAGCTGCATGAGAATGGACTAATACACCAGTGATATGGTCTGGCTCTGTCCCCACCCAAAACTTATCTTGAATTGCAATCCGAATTATAATCTCCACGTATTGGGGGAGGGACCTTGTGGAAGCTGATTAAATCTAGATATACAATCATGTCATCTACAAACAGGGACAATTTGACTTCCTCTTTTCCTAATTGAATACCCTTTATTTCCTTCTCCTGCCTAATTGCCTTGGCCAGAACTTCCAACACCGTGTTGAATAGGAGTGGTGAGAGAGGGCATCCCTGTCTTGTGCCAGTTTTCAAAGGGAATGCTTCCAGTTTTTGCCCATTCAGTATGATATTGGCTGTGGGTTTGTCATAGATAGCTCTTATTATTTTGAGATACATCCCATCAATACCTAATTTATTGAGAGTTTTTAGCATGAAGGGTTGTTGAATTTTGTCAAAGGCCTTTTCTGCGTCTATTGAGATAATCATGTGGTTTTTGTCTTTGGTTCTGTTTATATGCTGGATTACATTTATTGATTTGCATATATTGAACCAGCCTTGCATCCCAGGGATGAAGCCCACTTGATCATGGTGGATAAGCTTTTTGATGTGCTGCTGGATTTGGTTTGCCAGTATTTTACTGAGGAATTTTGCATCAATGTTCATCAAGGATATTGGTCTAAAATTCTCTTTTTTGGTTGTGTCTCTGCCTGGCTTTGGTATCAGGATGACATGATTGTATATCTAGAAAACCCCCTTGTCTCAGCCCAAAATCTCCTTAAGCTGATAAGCAACTTTAGCAAAGTCTCAGGACACAAAATCAATGTACAAAAATCAAAAGCATTCTTATACACCAATAACAGACAAACGGAGAGCCAAATCATGAGTGAACTCCCATTCACAATTGCTTCAAAGAGAATAAAATACTTAGGAATCCAACTTACAAGGGACGTGAAGGACCTCTTGAAGGAGAACTACAAACCACTGCTCAATGAAATAAAAGACGATACAAACAAATGGAAGAACATTCCACGCTCATGGGTAGGAAAAATCAATATCGTGAAAATGGCCATACTGCCCAAGGTAATTTATAGATTCAATGCCATCCCCATCAAGCTACCAATGACTTTCTTCACAGAATTGGAAAAAACTACTTTAAAGTTCATATGGAACCAAAAAAGAGCCCGCATTGTCAAGTTAATCCTAAGCCAAAAGAACAAAGCTGGAGGCATCACACTACCTGACTTCAAACTATACTACAAGACTACAGGAACCAAAACAGCATGGTACTGGTACCAAAACAGAGATGTAGATCAATGGAACAGAATAGAGCCCTGAGAAATAACGCCACCTATCTACACCTATCTGATCTTTGACAAACCTGAGAAAAACAAGCAATGGGGAAAGGATTTCCTATTTAATAAATGGTGCTGGGAAAACTGGCTAGCCATATGTAGAAAGCTGAAACTGGATCCCTTCCTTACACCTTATACAAAAATTAATTCAAGATGGATTAAAGACTTAAACGTTAGACCTAAAACCATAAAAACCCTAGAAGAAAACCTAGGCATTACCATTCAGGACATAGGCATGGGCAAGGACTTCATGTCTGAAACACCAAAAGCAATGGCAACAAAAGACAAAATTGACAAATGGGATCTAATTAAACTAAAGAGCTTCTGCACAGCAAAGGAAACTACCATCAGAGTGAATAGGCAACCTACAAAATGGGAGAAAATTTTTGCAACCTACTCATCTGACAAAGGGCTAATATCCAGAATCTACAATGAACTCAAACAAATTTACAGGAAAAAAACAAACAACCCCATCAAAAAGTGGGCAAAGGATATGAACAGACACTTCTCAAAAGAAGACATTTATGCAGCCAAAAGACACATGAAAAAATGCTCATCATCACTGGCCATCAGAGAAATGCAAATCAAAACCACAATGAGATACCATCTCACACCAGTTAGAATGGCAGTCATTAAAAAGTCAGGAAACAACAGATGCTGGAGAGGGTGTGGAGAAATAGGAACACTTTGACACTGTTGGTGGGACTGTAAACTAGTTCAACCATTGTGGAAGTCAGTGTGGCGATTCCTCAGGGATCTAGAACTAGAAATACCATTTGACCCAGCCATCCCATTACTGGGTATATACCCAAAGGACTATAAATCATGCTGCTATAAAGACACACGGACAAGTATGTTTATTGCAGCACTATTCACAATAGCAAAGACTTGGAACCAACCCAAATGTCCAACAATGATAGACTGGATTAAGAAAATGTGGCACATATACACCATGGAATACTATGCAGCCATAAAAAATGATGAGTTCATATCCTTTGTAGGGACATGGATGAAATTGGAAATCATCATTCTCAGTAAACTATCGCAAGGACAAAAAACCAAACACCGCATGTTCTCACTCATAGATGGGAATTGAACAATGAGAACACATGGACACAGCAAGGGGAACATCACACTCGGGACTGTTGTGGGGTGGGGGTAGGGGGGAGGGATAGCATTAGGAGATATACGTAATGCAAAATGGTGAGTTAATGGGTGCAGCACACCAGCATGGCACATGTATACATATGTAACTAACCTGCATATACTGCACATGTACCCTAAAACTTAAAGTATAATAATAATTAAAAAAAAAAAAGAAAAAAAATTCATGGGGATGGTTTCCAAATGCTGTTCTCATGATAGGGAGTGAGTTCTCAAAAGATCTGATGGTTTTATAAGGGATTTCCTCCCCCTTCATGCTGCACTTCTCTCTCCTGCCTCCCTGCAAAGAAGGACATGTTTGCTTCCCCTTCCACCATGATTGTAAGCTTCCTGAGGCCTCCCCAGCATGTGGAACTGTGAGTCAACTAAACCTCTTTCCTTTATAAATTACCCATTCTCAGATATGTCCTTATAGCAACATGAGAGCAGATTAATACAACCAGCATATTAAAAATATAACAGATAGGGTTTATTCCCTAATTGCAAAGATGCTTAATTCTCAGTGATTATAATATTATATTAATAAATCTAAGGAGAAATATTATTGGAGCTAATTTAAAATCTGTTCATAAAAAATACTAAATAAAAGATGAACTGATGGATAATAATATAAGTAAATGTACAACCGTAATCATGAGACATATATTTCAGCACAAAGCATAATGCTTTAAAGTGACACATTAAGAATTTGCACTAAACTCAGGACAAAGCAAATACTTGCTAGAGTCATTTTTACTTAATATTACACTAACCAACACTAAGAAGAAAAAGGAATTATAAGTAAGTCTAAAAATTGAAAATGAAGACATTGATGAAATTTGTAAATGGGATAATCATATTCCTTGAACATTTAAGCAACTAAAGTCAGAGAATTTAGTAATATAGCAAGGTATCAAATTATAAATCAAAAATCAGGCCGGGCAAGGTGGCTTGCACCTGTAATCTCAGCACTTTGGGAAGCCAAAGCTGGTAGATCACATGAAGTCAGGAGTTCGAGACAAATCTGGCCAATATAGTGAAACCCTATCTCTTCTAAAAATACAAAAATTAGCCAGGCATGGTGGCATATGCCCGTAGTCCCAGCTACTCGGGAGGCTGAGGCAGGAGAATCACTTGAATCTGGGAGGTGAAGGTTGCAGTAAGCTGTGATCACGCTACTGCACTCCAGCCTGGGCAACAGAGTGAGACTTCATCTCAAAAAAAAAAAAAAATCAAAATAATGCATATATACAGAAAATAAGCTAGAGGATAAAGTGAGGGAAAATACCTTTAAGACAGCAGCAAAATAAAGATAAAAATTTTTTGGAAAAACTTAAGTGTTTACATTTTATATAAGAGAAGTTTTAGAACACTGCTGAATGTCTCAAAAGAAGAAGTGAACAAATTAAAAGACGTCCCTTCTTATTGAATAGAAAAAAATCAACACTAGAAGGATGTAAATTTCCATCAAGTTTTTAATAATGTAAGGCAATATTAAAAAAATAACTAACATGCCTTTGTTTTTGAATTTTTGTGATGATGGTTTCTTATTTTGTTGTTTGTATATTTTTGTTTGTGCAATGAAACTAGAAAACTAATTTTGAAGTTCATAAATAAAACTAAACCAGCAAGGCTAGGCAGAAAAATCTCTTAAAAAGAAAAGCAATAAAGTAAAGAGCCTCTTTGCTGACAGATATTAAAACATATTACAGATGCTCCTCAACTTACAATAGGGTTATGTCCTGATAAATCCATCAAAAGTCAAAATATCATTAGTATAAAATGTGTTTAATACCTCAATAAGCCCACTGGAAAATAAAAGAAATCATACGTTGAAACATATTTAAGTCAGGAAACATCTGCATATAGCTTCTATATTTAAAGCATCTTGATATTGGTGCATGAAGAGACAGACCAATGATACACGTAGAAAGTCAAGAAATAATTAGCCAGGTGTGGTTGTGCACGCCTGTAATCCCAGCTACTTGGAAGGCTGAGGCAGGAGAATCACTTGAAACTGGGTGGTGGAGTTTGCAGTGAACCAGCATCATGCACTGCACTCCAGCCTGGGCAACAGAGCAAGACTCCGTCTAAAAGAAAGAAAGAAGAAAGAGAGAGAGAAAGGAAGAGAGAGAGACAGAGAGAGAGGGAGGGAGAGAGAGAGAGAGAGAGGGAGGGAGGGAGGGAGAGAGAGAGAAAAAGAAAGAAAGAAGAAAGAAAGAAAGAAAGAAAGAAAGAAAGAAAGAAAGAAAGAAAGAGAAAGAGAGAAAGAAAGAAAAAGAAAAAAGAGGGAGGGAGGGAGGGGAGAAAGCCAGATATATTAGGAAGTTTACTTTGTACATTTCAAATCTGTAGGGAAAAGATGAGATTGCAATAAAGGTTCTGGTATCCTTGGCTGGCTGCCTGAAAAGAAGAATGCTGGATACATACTTCATACCTTTGTTGGGAAAAAGTGGCTAAATAGATTACAGATTTAAAGGCAAATATTAAAATGTAACCATGAATGAATCAGGAGTAAAGATAGGAGAATTATTTTATTCCCTTGGACTAGGAAAGATCTTTCTATGAGTCTCATCTGGAAGCCATAAAAGTAGTGATAGATTAATGCATATACATAAAATTGTAGTCTTCTGCTGTGGGGAAAATCATAAGCAAAGTCAAAAAGAAAAGAAATTGCAACTCATATCCAGATAGTACTAATCTCTCAGACATAAAAGGAGTTCCTGGAATCAATGAGAAAAAGACAAAACAAAACAAAAATGGAATAAAAAAGGAAAATTGTCAAGAGTATGAATAAATAGTTCATTGAATGGAAATATTAACGGTCTTTAAACATATGAAAAGATGGTAAACATTCATTGTCTCATTTTTTGCATTTTTAACATTTATTGAGATATAATTCACATATCACACAACTCATTTAAAGAATACAATTAAATGTTTTTAGCTTATTCACAGATATGTACCATCATCACCATAGTTGATTTCAGAATATTCTCATCACCTCGAAAAGCAATCTTAAATGTTTTAGCTATTACTCCCTATTCCCCTCTACTCACCAACTCTCCTTCCCAGTCCTAAGCAACCTGTTATCTACTTCTGACTCTATAAATTTGGCCATTCTGAACTTTCCTATGAATGGAATCATATCATATGTGATGTGACCATATAATATTTTGTCTTTTATGACAGGCTTCTTTCATTTAGCATAGTGTTTTCAATGTTCATTCATGTTTAAGCATGTGATCAATACTTCATTTTTGTCGAATAATATTTCATTAGCTGCATATGCCACAATTTGTTTATTCATTTGTCCATTCACAGACATTAGGTTGTTTCCACCTTTTGGCTATTGTATACAATGACACTATAAACATTTGTGTTTATGTTTTTATTTCTCTTGATCATGTACTTATAAATATAATATTAGATCATATGAGAACTCTGTTTATCATTTGAGAAATTGCCATCCTGTTTTCCAAAGTGGCTGCACAATTTCACATTTCCATAAGCAGTATATGAGGATTCTAGTTTCTCCACATCTGTGCCAATACTTGTTATTATCTTTCTATTCTAGCCAGCCTAGTGGATATGAAGTGGTATCTCATCATAGTTTTGATTTGCATTTCCCTGAATACTAAAGTTGTCAGGCATCTTTTCTTTTAATGTTTGTGAATTATTTCACCTTTATTTATCTCAAAATACTGGTGATATAGATATTTCATATATAACAAGGTTAAGCAACATGTGCATGTAAAATGGAGGCAGAACCAAGGCTAAAGCAACATCTAGCTCAGCCATCAACTCACTATCCCTGAGGGGTTAAGGTGGGGGCATCACACAGTGTTCATCAGCTCTCCCAGACAGATGCGTTTGATTCATCTTTTCAAAGACCTGGATGGCTGCCATCCCTGCCCAGTAGCTGCAGGAGTGGCTGGTGAAGATTTCTACCAGTTGCTTCCCATTAGCCTTGTCTACCTCTGTCTGGGGGACGGTCTGTAGCTCCTTTCCCAGGGAGATTGTTCTGATCAGAGACTTGAACTTGCTCAACTCATCCTGGCTGAGCTGCTCCAGAAGAGCCTGCAGGTTGAAGTCCAGCTCTGCAGAAGATGCCATCTTGTCCTATGTGGGAGCTCTCCCAACGCCTGGCCCTATGCTCTGGTTCTCACATTTTTTCATATACTAATAAGTATATATTTTTATATCTTTTTAGAAGAAATATCAGTTCAGATTTTTGCTCATTATAAAATTGCGTTATTGTCTTTTTATTGCTGAGTTGTAAGAGTTCTTTATATAGTCTAGGGACAGGTCCTTCATTAGATACGCGATACGCAAATTTTTGCTCCCATTCTGTGAGTTGTCTTATCAGTTTAATGATGGTGTCCTTTAAGGTACAAATGTTTTTCATTTTGATGAAATCAAATTTATCTATTTTTTTCTTATTTTTTATGCTTTTGATGTCATGTCTAAGAATCTTTTGCCAAGTCTCAGGTCATAAAGATGTACCCCTATCATTTACTATAAGAATATTACAGCTTTAACTCTTACATTTGGGTATTTGATATATTTTGAGTTAATTTTTGTATGTGGCATGAAATAGAGGTCCAACTTTATTCTTCTGCATGTAGAAATCTACTTGCCTAAGCATCATTTGTTGAAAAGTCTATTCTTTCCCCATTGTACGGTCTTGAAACCCTTGTTGAAAGTCAGTTGACCACAGATGTACGGGCTTATTTTTGGACTCTCAGTTCTGTTTTATTGAGCAATGTGCCTATCCTTATGCCAGTACCACATTATCTTAATTACCATTAAGATGCTAAGTCATGAAATGAGGAAATACTAAATAAATTACTAAGTCATGAAATAAGGAAAGGTGAATTGTCTTTGTTTGCTCTTATTTTTCAATATCATCTTGGCTGTACTGGGTCTATGCGATACTACTTGAATTTTCTAACTAGTTTGCCCATTTCTACATAAAGTAAGCTGAGGTTCTGACAGGGATTGTATTGAATCTGTAGATCAGTTTGGGGAGTAGTGCCATCTTAACAATGTAAATTAAGCCTTCCAATCTATAAACACGAGATGCTTTCCACTTATTTAGCTCTTTAATTTCTCTCAATAATGTCTTGTAATTTTCAGAGCATAAGTTTTACTTCTTTGTTAAAATTTATTTCTAGGTATTTTATTCTTTTTGATATGATTCTAAAAGGAATTGTTTTAATTTCAGTTTTGGACTGTTCATTACAAGTGTGTAGAAGAAAAACTGATTTTTATGTATGATCTTGTATCCTGAAACCTGGATGAACTCATTTAATAGTTCTAACAGGTTTCGAGTGAATTTTTTAGGATTTCCTATATACAAGATTATGTTATCTGCTAATACAGACACTTTCACTTCCATTCCAATCCAGTTGCCTTTCTTATCTTGTCTAGTTGCTAGGGCTAGCACCACTAATGTAATGTTGTATGGTCATGCTAAGAGCAGATAGCATTGAGATGGTCCTGATTTTAGGACAAAAATCATTTTTCCATTAAATATAATTTTGGCTATGAGTTTTCATAGATAACTTTTATCAGATTGAGGAAGCTCCCTTCTATTTTCCAGTTGGGAGTATTTTTATCATGAAAGGAAGTTGGGTTTTGTCCAGTGCTTTTTCTGTGTTTATTGAGATAATCATGTAATTTTTGTTTTTATTCTACTGATATGATGAATTATATTAATTGATTTTCATATGTTCAAACCAACCTTGCCGTCCTGGGATAAATCCCACTTGGTCATTGTGTATAATTCTTTTTATAGGTCACTGTATTCAATTTGCTTGTATTTTTTGGAGTGCATGTTTCAGATTGAGTATAAATTTATATGAACCCTAGAGAAGGCAGTCCTGAAAAATATAAACGACAAGAGCATTTGCTCTTTGACCTGGCTTTTCCACCTCTAGTATTTGTCTTACAGGTGTGTCTGCTTGCATAGCATTATTTGTAAGAACAAAATACTCACTTAATGTCCTCAATAGATTCTTGGAAACTGCAACTTTGAATGAAATGATGTATAACAAAAACAATTTTATCATAGGCTAACTCATACAAGCAAGAGTTAAATTCCTATGGCATGCTGGTCACAAAAACATCACCGAAGTTCTAAATAAAAACCAAAACACTTCTAATATTAAACATAGAAATAAATGTGAGCCCTACATGCATTTTAAACAGATTAATAAAAATGAGTAAGATGATTTTTTATCCACTTATTCCAATTCAGGGTTGTGAGTGGCCTGAGGTTATGCGGCAGCTCAGGGTGCCAGGTGGAAACCAATCTTGAACAGGACGCCATCCTATCACAGGGTACACTCACGCAGACTGCGAGCATTTAGACACACCAATTAACCTAACATCTTTGGGATGTGGGAGGAAAGTAGAGTACAGAGAAAATCCATGCAGACATGGGTAGAACATGCTAACATGCAAAGTCCATATAGACAGTGGCCCCTGTTTGGAATTTTTTTTTCCTCATCAATGTTACACAAAATGATGTTGAAAAAAATGTTATTTGAGGATCTGTTGTATCTGTTGTATTTAGCAAGAGGCTAAATACAGGATGAGGAGTGGCTTACATAGTGATACATAAAAATGTCCATGATATATTCAGTTTAAAAAAAGGCACATGCTGGCTGGGTGCGGTGGCTTACACCTATAATCCCAGCACTTTGGGAGGCCGAGGCAGGCAGATCACCTGAGGTTGGGAGTTCGAGACCAGCCTGACCAACGTGGAGAAACCCCATCTCTACTAAAAATACAAAATTAGCTGGGCGTGGTGGTGCATGCCTGTAATCCCAGCTAATCGGGAGGCTGAGGCAGGAGTATCGCTTGAACCTGGGAGATGGAGGTTGCGGTGAGCCAGGATCACACCATTGCACTCCAGCCTGGGCAACAAGAGCAAAACTCCATCTCAAGAAAAAAACAAAAGAAAACAAGGCACATGTAACTCCTGTGAGAGAAATGGGAGGTGGGATATAAATTATATTTGTTTGAATTTTCATAAGGAAACTCTGGAAAGATATTTTAAAAATCAGTAAAAGTAGAAATTAGTACAGAACATGGTAGACACAGATGGGAATGGAAGGGAGGTGTTCACAGTGCTCGTTTGATAGTTATACATTTTGAACCACACAAATGTATTACTTGCATTAAATAATTCATATTTCAAAAAGAATCAAAACATAGAATTTTTACTAAGATAAAGTCATTGGGCAGGAAGCAGCTCTTGGTGTCATCAAGTTCAAACCTTTTTTGGTGGGCGACCAAGTCTCACTCTGTTGCCCAGGCTAGAGCGCAGTGGCACGATCTCAGCTCACTGCAAACTTCGCCTCCCAGATTCAAGCGATTCTCCTGCCTCGGCCTCCCAAGTAGCTGGGATTACAGGCACCTGCCACCACACCTGGATAATTTTTTGTATTTTTAGTAGAGATGGGGTTTAACCATGTTGATCAGGCTGGTCTCAAACTCCTGACCTCAGGTGGTCCACCCATCTCAGCCTCCCAAAGTCCTGGGATTACAGGCATGAGCCACCACGCCTGGCCAAGTTCAAATCTTTGAAGCGAATCTTTGAATTGAGAAACAAAGGTCAAGCTAGGAAAGAGGATTTACCTCAGGATACATGGCAAGTTCTTGGCAGAATTGGGATAAAGATTCACATGTTCCAATTCAAAATCAGGTCTCTTCCCACTTCTGCATATCTGCTTTTCACGTTAGGAAATCCTGTATTTGGCTTTTACTGTGTATTATGGGAAGGGAGCATCATGCTTAAAACTAATATACTCAGAGTCCTTTCTTCCCAGTCGTACCCTGGTTCGCCTGGAATATGTGTCCTACTTGGTAGCAGCCTCCACATTATTCTAATGAAGACACAGCAGTTCTACATGCCAGAAACCCTTTATTAAAAATTCACAAAAGTAGACCACAAATGTTCACATTCTGCAATGCTTTCTTCTTGCAACCACTTTAATGTTTTTCTCTCTTCTATGAGTATTTCTTTAGAAATACTCTCTGTGCATCTGTCCACCGTGATGGTACCACGAGCACTATAATCTGATTTATATTGTCAGTCACTTTGCAAAAATAGCCTATTGCTCCAGAGATAATGGGGATGGTGTCGAAGTTACTGATTACTAAATCAGAGATAACTATAGAGAACAAGACTTCATTCAGGCAAGTTAAAGCACTTTCTACATATGTTCCTTAATATATTGGCCATAGATCCTTCCCAAAATGTATTAAATGGGCATAATTTTTTATGCCTAGTCTCTCTTTGTGAATCTCCCCTCCCACCCATTCTCCCTCACCAAGTTTCAAAAATTACTTGCTGACTCCACCAGCTATTGTATTGGGCATGTGATTCAGATGTGACCAAAGAGAATATTCTACCCCCCTAATCAAAGTGTTTGGATCAGAGATCGGCACACAACTCAGGCTGGGACAATGAAAATGCATGGAACTTTGCTGGCACTATCAGGAAAAGCCTCACTTTCTGTGGGGTTTACTAAACTGAATGAGTACAAGTCTAGAGCTTCCAGTAGTCAACTCTGCTCCCACACCCAAAAAGACCAAATGAAAATCAACGGAAATCAAAGTCCAGGAGAAAGGCTGTCAAAGACCGTGGTTAAGCCCCTGAATCTAGTTACTCTTTGGTGGCTATTTAGGTTAGATTTGAGTTATTATTAACTATGAGATGTTGGTATATTTTCTCAGCTATAATGCTCTCCCAATTATATAGTGTATTTTTTATTCTATCCAATATAATATTCATGAAAATTGAAAGTTATTTATTTTGAGATGGAGTCTCACTCTGTCGCCCAGGCTGGAGTGCAGTGGCGTGATCTCGGCTCACTGCAAGCTCCGCCTATCAGGTTCACGCCATTCTCCTGCCTCAGCCTCCCGAGTAGCTGGGACTACAGGCACCCGCCACCACGCCCGGCTAATGTTTTGTATTTTTAGTAGAGACGGGGTTTCACCGTGTTAGCTAGGATCGTCTCCATCTCCTGACCTCGTGATCCGCCTGCCTCAGCCTGAAAGTTTATATTAAGTAAGCAGATATTTAGCATGGTATATTCCCTACTTTAATCCTAAATTCTCTGAAGCACTTAGAAGTTTTTCAATAGATGAATAGTATTCTACAGGAAAAAAAAAAAAAGTGAGCACTGGAAATAACAATGCTTATAATCCTTCCTACAAGTTATAAAGCACTGTCATAATGCTACCTTCACCCTCTTACCCCCATAACAAGCTTTTCAGGGGGACAGTGTGTTATAATTGCATTTTGAAAATGAACAAAGCAAAGTTTCAAAAGCCATAATTTATCCAAAATCACAGAGCTAAGGAAAGAAGGAATTGAATACAATCATCTCACATTTTTGTGTGCGTTTCCATTATGCCACAGGGACTTAGATAAGGACAAACAAAATGTGACTGTTAAACGGAAGCATTCAATCTAAATTGTAACTTTCATTTTCACTTGGGGCTATGAAATCATATGGCTTTCCCCTTTTACCTTAATCTTTCTGTTCCACTTTCCCTCTACCAGTCCTGTCCAGGAAAATCTGTGCTCACATTATACAGAGATACTGATTTTGCTCACTAATTTAAAAAACATAATTTTCAAAAAGTATTATTTGTAAAGAGTACAAGAGAAAACCTTTTTGTTCACAAAAAAATAAGTAAACAATCCTTACAGAGTGGCTTCAGGCTGCTTAAGATAATTTAATTTGACTAAAAAAAAACTGCAGTGTTGACACATTTGTAAGCCCTGGGAAATTATGCAAGACTATGCTGGATAAAGATGAAGAAAGTTATAAGCAAGAATAAGGCAGAGCCTTATACTGGAGAGGAAAAGGGGGATAGCATAGTAGATAGGGCGACATAGTGTGTTTCTCAGGATTTAGAATTAAAAACTACAGCATTTTTTTTTTTTATTTATAGAAAAAAATCTGCTTTGCTCAAAACATACCTGAGCTGGGAGTCAGGGTTGGAAGATGTGCAACCAAGAGTGAGATTCAGGGACTGTTGACGCAGACCACACTGTTTCTGCCAATGGAGACATGTACTGAAGCTGCATGGCGTCCTGGATGCCAAAATTTCTAACATCTCTGTCCCCCAAAGCCATACTCTTCAGCCATCAGGCTTGCCTGATCAAGCTCCCATGAGGGTGATTGCTTCCTCACATTCTCTCTTGTGAATCAAAGTTTTCTAAGGATGTTTCTGGCTGGGAATATCCAGGTCACATGCCTCTCTCCCTGCTCCAAAATAGGCTGGGAGGACAAATTTCTGGATTCTGCATTGAGAGTAGGGACACAATAAAATTGAGGGAAATCTTCAAACATAGAAAAGATGTTAAAAAGCTTCTGACATTGTCTAAGCTTACGCCTGTTTACCAGATACATTAGAGGAAATACAAAGGAGTATGAAGGTTTTATTAGGAATATTACTTTTTTAAATAGGGAAGAGTCTTCTGCTGGAAGAAGCAGCAGAGAGAGTTGGAGATAATGGCTTTTGAGAAAGACTATTTTAAGAAGACATGAGGCAGAAAAGGCATACTCCAAGCTCCCCATTATTCTAATCCTTCACAGTAGGCTCACACTTCCCTTAGCTCTCTACTTCATGGGTAGCCCAGAGTAACTTATAATTATGCAGTAAATATGATTTTAGAAGCTTTCAAGTCAGTTTTACAGAAAAAAAGCAATAGTAAAATATTACATTGTCCTACCATGGCCTCAAACATCAAACTCACAGACATCAATCTCTCAACTGAATCCAATTATACTGAAATCATTTCAAATATACAGAATAAAACTTCAAAAATGTAAGATAAACATCTAAAAATGATGAGGCAAGTGATGCCTGTTCAAATTCCACCTCTTGAAGAAATTCCCCCAAAGTGCTGGATAATTAGAACCCTGAGCTTGGCACAAAGCTGGTTCTAAAGGAAATCTTTTATTCTTGCTTTAAACATATGACAAGCATAGCATCCTTCTACCAAAGGAGGATCATGTTCCCTAATTAGAATGTCCACCAGGGAGGTAATGACACCATGCCATAGGACACAATCCCTGGGCAGCACTCACATATTCCAGCCTATGCCTTCACAAGGAAATAACAAACGTCCAGGGGACTGTTCACCCAGCCACCTCCCAGTGTATATTGAACTTTTTCTATTTTCAATTAAGAGAGACAATAGGAAAATAGTCTTTACTCCTGCTTTCTAGATGTCAAATATCATCTATACAATTATTTTATCTTATAAAATTTATTCCATTAAAAATACTACCAGCTATTATTATTTACAGTGGAATACTATGTAGGTTATGATTATGTCTGAAGAGGAATGCATGATACTAAATACCTTTAATATTATATCAGTTCTATTTCTGAATGCATGAAAAAAGACTATGGAAGGATATGTCAAATTTTAACAATGGTGAGATTTAGGTGTTTAGATTTTCTTTCGGTTTTGGTTTTTAATTTAATTTTTACTTTCTGTTCATTTATACCTTTCTCAATGTTTTAAATAAGCTATAAAGCATATATATACAAAGCATTTATAATCAGAAAAATAATAATGAAGACTTATTAGACTGTCAAAGTCACAATTACTGGAGTGCAATGTAACATGTGTGATAACTTATCATATCTTGAATATAAAAAATCCAAAGAAAATTATTTTCTAAATAATAATTATTAAATTAACCACTTGGGATGTTGAACTTTCTAAACTGAACTCCTTCCTTGCTGAAAAAGAAATAGCAGGAAAAATAAGTACTAGTTCACTTCATCTCAATTGCTCAAATCAACATCATGAACATCTGCTATAGATACCCGGGGGCCTAACGTTGTTTACTTCAACACGTAATGACTTTAGACTGCTTTATTTTTTAATAAAGTAGTCTTTTCAGCTCTTTTATATACATATTGTCTGTTCATTTGCATTATTGAGGTTGTGTAGCTTTGATCATCATTCTCTAATGCCGGCAATGCCTTCTCTTGCGTTCGCTCTCTCCTTATTGGTAGAAAAGTGAGTGGAAAGGGCATACATTTTGGCATCACGAAGGCTACATTTGAATTCAGATGTATGCAGGTACTAATGTTCAGCATCTTAACCTCACTTAGAATCTCAGTTTCCTTATCTGTAAAGTGGGTATGAAGATAATAATAGTACCCAATATAGTTGTAAAACAAAATATGGTTGTTAAATTAGTTTGGACATGCGAAAGCAGTTTTCAAATTGTAAAGCAATACACAAATAATTTTAATCTTTGCAATACTAAAGTTCTTCCTTTTGATCAGCTATGGCTTTAAGAACCAGATAAATATATTAAGCGGTATAACTAAGAGCAAAAGTAAAATACAGTAAATGAGCTTTAAATGTTGTCAGGGGTCTGAATGGAACCAAAAATGGGAAGTTTCATCTAGTCAAAGACATGTATTTCTCCACAGCTTTAACATTTCTAAAACTGGAACATGTTGAGATGATGTCACCAAGATGGCAGAGTAGAAGGTAACCCACTCATATGCCTCCACAGCAACAAGAATTCTGTACCTATTTACAGTCAAAACTCTCTCTTCAGGAGCCTCAGGATTCAAGTAGGAATTTGTGAAACCTCATTGAAGCCTAGGACTTATTAGGGTTGTTTTTAAGCATGCAGACCAACACCCAGGTGGCTGATCTGCCCCACCAAGCTTGTTTCTGGGTTCACTGCCAAGTCTCTCAAGGAGTTTGGCTAAAGCTCCATTTGTTCTTGAGCCTGGAACCAAAACTATCTGCCAAGAGGTCCAGAAGGAATCTTGCACACTCTCACCTGCCCACTGACATTGGTCTCAGCAGTGAACCTGACAGTAACCCTGTGGTGCTGCTCCATCCTTCCTCAGCTGACCTTACAGCTCAGAGATGCTCACACAAGGACCCAGAGGGAGACTCACCCATATCCCCCAGCCTGGGAGTCTAAGCCTCACAGATGGGCATGCCAACCTCTATCCCACAGCAGGTCCCAAGGGGACCCAGTCTCAGCTTTGGCCTCTCTCACTGTAGTTGGGGAACTATCCCATCTGTGCTGAGACCTGCTGGGAAAAACTTACCTGTCTGAGCCAGTGAGACCAGGATTTTAAGCCTCCTTCCCACAGCAGATCCCAAGGTGGTCCAGTCTCAGCTCCAGCACCTCTTGCAGAAGTCAAGGAACTATCTTATCTATTCAAGAACTTGCTGAGTGACATACACTCCTCTGAGTCAAGACTAGGCTCTCCAGCATCTGTCCCACAACAAATACCAACGGGACTCACTGTAAGCTTCAGTCCCTCTTGTTGCATTCAGAAAACTACATCATCTATACAGAGATCTGCTGGGAGATGCATGCCCATCTGACTCAATGTAACATGCATATTACCCTCCATTCCACAGCAGATCCTGAGGGGGCCCTGTCTCATCTCTGGTCCCTCCTGTTGCAGTCAAGGAACTACCCCAACTTGGGCAAGGACCCGCTGAGTGACACTCACCTGTCTAGGTCAATGAGACAGGCCCACCAGCAGATCCTGAAGGAGCCCAGGCTCAACTCTAGACACTTTCACTACAGTCAGGGACTCATCCACTTGTGCATATGCCTGCTATGAAGAACATTCACCTGGGCCACTGGGGACAATCTTCTGAACTCAAACTCCTGGCCAACATTCCCAGACAGCCTTAATAGTCTCCTTAGATCTTCCCCAAGTCTATCCTTGCCAAAAAGCCATATTAATCTTAGACCTTTTTGCAAGACTCACAGCAAGCCTGGGCTTAGACCATCCTCTAGTGCCACGATGACTGTAGTGATCACAGGCTGAAGGAACAAAAAGTTAGTCAGCTTAGAATTACTGAAAGGCTTTCTGAAGAACGGCAGGTACAAACAAAACCAGACTGTGAAGACTAAAATAAATACCTAATCCTTCAATGTAAAGACATTGTCAGACATCAGCAAGTGTCAGGAACATTCAAGGAAAATATAACACTACAAAGTGGACAAAATAAGGTGCCAGAGACTGACCCTAAAGTGATGGAGATATGTGATCATTCAAGCAAATAATTCAAAATAGTTGTTTCAGGAACCTCAGCAAACTTCAAGAAAACACAGAATCAATTAAGAAATCTGTCAGAGGAATTTAACAGAAATTGAAATAGTAATTTTAAAAATTGAACGAATATTGGTGCTTAAGAGTATAATAAATGAAATGAAAAATGCAATAGATATCAACAGCAGAATTGATCAAATAGAAGAAAGAATCAGCATGCTCCAAGATGGACTATTGAAAATATACAACCAGAAGAGAAAAAAATAATAGTACTCAGGAGGCTGAGGAGGGAAGATAGCTTGAGCCAGGGAGGTCAAGGCTACGTTGAGCTATGATCATGCCACTGCACTGCAGCCTGGGTGACAGAGCGAGACAAACAACAACGACAACAACAACAACAACAAAAACCTGTTAGAAAAATAATTACTCTTTCTGTACTTTATACAAATAATCAGGCCAAGTATAATGAATTGAATTGTTCTTACCATAATTTGTCTTCAGTAAAAATAGAAGATTGGAGAGAGAAAAATTGTTTCAATAACTATGGTATGCCTGTTATTAAATTCTAGTCTCATCAGTTGTTTTTGAGTTTTTTTCTGTAATTTAGACTGGCTCTGCTTATTTTTGTGAATCAACCAGTGATCTCTGATTGCAGCTCAAAAGAAACAAGAGAGATGGGTAATGTGAAAATCTGGATCAATATTCTAATTCTGGGCAGATATTGGAACTGGCTAGCAACTCTGTATTAGCTTGGTTCCAATAATTACCCTGTTCACAGAAAGCCTTCTTATTTAGTTTACTTGGGATAATTTTAATTATTTTGCTTTAATGTTGTGGAATATATTGCTGTCGTACTCTTGGTGTACAAATGCAGGAAACGCTTACTCGATGTTTTCTTTTCTTTTTTTTTTTTTTGAGATGGAGTCTCACTCTGTCGCTAGGCTGGAGTGCAGTGGCGCGATCTCGGCTCACTGCAACCTCCACCTCCCAGGTTCAAGCAATTATCCTGCCTCAGCCTCCTGAGTAGCTGGGACTACAGGCACGTGCCACCATGCCCAGCTAATTTTTGTATTTTTAGGAGAAACGGGGTTTCACCTTGTTGGCCAGGATGGTCTCAATCTCTTGACCTCGTGATCCACCGGCCTTTGCCTCCTAAATTGCTTGGGATTACAGGTGTGAGCCACCATGCCCGGCCTCAATGTTTTCTTAAACAGTTATTAATCTTCCAGATAACATCTTTTGTCAGAACTCAAGAATTATGAGTGGCCCTCAACATACTGATGCTTTCTGACTGAGCTGCTCTCTACCCTGAATACAAGAAATCCTGGTAGTTAGGCAGGAACACCACCCCTATTCAGCCTAAAGAAGTTACAGAAGAGGGATCTTTGTCTTTCTACAACTTTTAGGATTAAGGGTTCCCTTGTAAAAGGGAGGAGGGAAACATCAGAGGCGTTGGAACCAGAGCAACTTCGTCTTGAATAGAGGCTGCGTAAAATAAAGCTGAGACCTACTGGGCTGCGTTCCCAGGAGGTTAAGGCATTCTAAGTCACAGGATGACACAGGATGTCAGCACAAGGTACAGGTCACAAAGACCTTGCTGATAAAACAGGTTATGGTAAAGAAGGTGGCCAAAACCTATCAAAACCAAGATGGTGATGAGAGTGACCTCTGGGCATCCTCATTGCCTGTTATAAGCTAATTTTAATGTATTAGGATGTTAAAAGACACTCCCACCAGCAGCATGACAGTTTACAAATGCCATGGCAACATCAGGAATTTACCCTATATGGTCTAAAAAGGGGAGGAACCCTCAATTCCAGGAATTGCCCACCCCTTTCCCGGAAAACTCATTAATAATCCATCCCTTGTTTAGCATATAATCAAGAAATGACTGTAAAAGTGGCCAGCCAGCAGCCCTCAGGGCTGCTTGGCCTACAGAGTAGTCATTCTTTATACCTTTACCTTATTAATAAACTTACTTTCACTTAAAAAAAAAAGTTTTTGAAAAAAGTGAAAATGGAAACACAACATACTAAAACCTGTGGTATAAAACAAAAGCAGTAGTAACAGGGAAGATTTTAGCAATAAATCCTTATATCAAAAAAATGGAAAAATTTTAAATAAACAACCAATTGGTAAACCTCAAGGAACTATAAAAGCAAAAACAAACCAAACCCAAAATTCATAGAAGAAAAGCAATAATAAAGATCAGAGTAGGGTCGACCACAGTGGCTCATGCCTGTAATCCCAGCACTTTGGGAGGCCAAGGCAGGCAGATCACTTGAAGCCAGGAGTTCAAGACCAGCCTGGCCAACATGGTGAAATCCCGTGTCTACTGAAAAATACAAAAATTAGCTGGGCGTAGTGGCACACGCCTGTAATCCCAGCTACTCAGGAGGCTGAGGTAGGAGAATCGCTTGAACCTGGGAAGCAGCAGTGAGCTGAGAACGTGCCACCGTACTCCAGCTTAGGCAACAAAGTAAGACTCCGTCTCAAAAAAAAAAAGAAAGAAAAAAATATCAGAAAAGAAATGAATAAAAGAGGCTAAAAAATATACAAAAGATCAACAAAACAAAGGTTGTTTTTTTGAAAAGATAAACAAAATTGATAAAACTATAGTTAGACCAGCAAAGGAAACAGTTAGAAAACACAAATAAATGAAATCAGAAGTGAAAAAAAAAAACATTAAAACTGTCACCACAGAAATACAAAGGATCATTACAGACTACTATGAACAACTTTACAGCAACAAATTGGAAACCCTCGAAGAAATGGACAAATTCCTGAATACATACAACCTACCAAGATTGAACCATGAAGAAATAGAAAACCTGGACAGACCAATAATGAGCAACAAGATTAAAGAAGTAATAAAAATGACCCCATCAAAGAAAGGCACAGGACCTGATGGATTCACTGCTGAATCTTAGCAAACATTTGAAGAAGAACTAATACCAATTCTATTCGAACTATCTCCCAAAATTGTAGAAGAGAGAATACTTCCAAACTCATTATACGAGGACACCAAAGGTGTCAAAGGAAACCAGACAAAGACACAACAACAAAAAAGAAAACAACAGACCAATATCCCTGATTAGCATAGATACAAAAATCCTCAACAAAATACTAGCAAATAAAATTTAACAACACATTAAAAATATCATTCACCACAATCAAGTGGGATTTTTCCCAGGAATGTAAGAATGGTTCAACATATGCAAATCAATCAATGTGTTACATTGCATCAACAGAATGAAGGACAAAAAAATGATCGTTTCAATAGATGCTGAAAAAGCATTCGATAAAATTCAAACATCACTTTATGATTTAAAAAAATCTCAAGAAATGGAAAAATATTACATGCTAATGGATTAAAATAATTAATATTGTTAAAAATGTCTATGCTGCCCAAAGCAATCTACAGATTCAATGCATTCCCTAACAAAATACCAATGATGTTCTCCATAGATATAAAAAAAATCCTAAAATTCATATGGAACTACAAAAGACACTGAATAGCTAAAGCAATCATAAGCAAAAAGAACAAAGCTGGAGGCATCTCACTACCAGATTTCAAACTGTACTACAAAGCTATACTAACCAAAACAATATGGTACTATTTATGGTATTGACGTAAAAACAGACACATAAATCAATGGAACAGAATAGAGAACCCAGAAGTAAATCCACACATTTACAGCCAACTCTTTTTGGCAAAGTTGACAAGAAGGTATATTTGAGAAAAGACAGTCTCTTCCTGCTGGGAAAAATACATCTCTATAGGCAAAATAATGAAACTAGATTCCCAACTTTCACTATATAGAAAAATCAACTCAAAGTGGATTAAAGACTTAAATTTAAGCCCGGAAACTATGAAACTACTAGAAGAAAACCTTGGGGGAAACATCATAGCACATTGGTCTGTGCAAAGATTTTTTGGGTAAGACCTCAAAAGCACAGGTAAGAAAAGCGGAAATAGACAAATGAGATTACATTAAACTAAAAAGCTTCTGCAAAACAAAGAATATGGAATGGAAGAAATTTTTTGCAAACTATCCATCTGATAGGGAATTAATAAGCAAAATACATAAGTAATTTAAACAACTCAATAGCAAAATCATAATAGTCTGATTAAAAATGGGCCATTTCTCAAAAGAAAACATACAAACAGCCAATAAGTATATGAAAAATGTGCAACATCATTCATCATCCGGTGAATGCATATCGAAGTCACAATGAGATATTATTTTACCCCAGTTAGAATAGCTGTCGTCAAAAAGACAAAAAATAACAAATGCTGGTGAGGATATGGAGAAAGGGAAATGCTTGTACACCGTTGGTAGGAACGTAAAGTAATATAGCCATTATGGAAAACAAACCTCAAAAAATAAAAATAGAACTACCACATGATCCTGCAATCCCACTGCTGTGAATATATCCAAAAGAAAGGAAAGAGTATATTGAAGAGGTATCTGCACTACCATGTTTGTTGCAGCACTATTCATAACAGCGAAGCTATGGGATCAACTTAAGTGTCCATCAACAGATGAGTGGAAAAAGAAAATTTGGTATATATACACAATAAAATACTATTCAGTCATAAAAAAAGAATAAAATCCTGTCGTTTACAATGTGGATGGAGTTCTAGCTCATTACATAAGGGGAAATAAGCCAGGCACAGAAAGACAAATATCATGTTGTCCCACTCATATGCAAGAGCTAAAAAAGTGGAATTCTTGGACTGCAATGGTGGTTACCGAG
Source organism: Homo sapiens (assembly GCF_000001405.40). Taxonomy (NCBI): domain Eukaryota; kingdom Metazoa; phylum Chordata; class Mammalia; order Primates; family Hominidae; genus Homo; species Homo sapiens. The sequence goes on along the minus strand of NC_000003.12, from coordinate 191,446,429 downwards.
ACCGAGAAGAAAAGAGTAAGATGAAGAGAAGTTGCCTAATATGTACAAAAATACCATTAGGTAAAAAAATAATAATAATCAGTCCTAGTATTTGATAGTACAATAGGAAAATTATAGTTAACAATAATTTATTGTATATTTCAAAATAGCTATGAGAAGAATTGTAATTTTCCCAACACAAAGAGAAAAAGATAAATGTTTGAGGAGGTGTATATCAAAATTACCCTGATTTTATCATTACACATTGTAAATTCATATATCAAAATATCACATGTGCCCTTTTAAAAACATGATATATCAATTAAAAAGTACAATAAAATAAAACTGGGATGTGTCTAAAGCTGGTGGTGTCTTATAATTGCTGTGGCCTGGTGGCAGTTGTAATGTCATTGCCTGCCCGAATGCAAATATCAAAAGCATCATCCTCAAAACTTGCAAAATGGGTATCCGCAGCTTGGAATAAAGTCCCAGATTAATGAGTGAAGCATTATTTGAAATAATGCTGTGACATCGATTTTCCTAATGGTACAAAGGGTGATATTGTGAGAAATGGCATGGATATGGATGGCTGTGAGTCCAAACATGAACCAGAAGAGTCAGACTCTGAATGGGGAGGAGCTTCCAGAAAATGTAAACAATTATTTTGTTTGTGTTCATTTTTAAGGTATCCATAAAATGGACATATAATTCTACAAACTGTCAAAAATGACTTATAAAGCTCTGCCAGTATGTATAAAATAAAATGCAAATTTATGTGAAAGCATTATCTTTTTATTGGCAGCATTTTTCTCTCTTAATTGTTTGTATAAACACTAATGATATTTCTGACAATCAGTGGCATCTCAGAAACAATGAAATAGCTAAATGTCTAGTTGGTTTTGTTTGTTTTGTTGTCTTTTTTTAAAATCATGTTATCCTGAATATTTCAGCATACTCTCCTAACAATAGAGGCATTCCCCTATAAAATTGTGATACCATTTTCACATCTCAAAAGCTGAGCAATATTTCCATAATGTCATCCAACCTCCAGTCCATACTCAAATGCTCCAATTGTCCAAAAATGTCTTTTGTATGTTTAAACCAATATTCAGTCGAGTCTTATGCATGGTACCTGACTAAAATTGTTCTTATTATTAGCACTGGATATTACCTACTCAGTAGGGACAAATTTATTTTCCCCATCCCCCCGAATCTTTTAAGGCATTTTGTTTCATCTTGTTTATTATCTTATGGAACTCATTTAAGGTAAGGAATATTTAGCAGCCTTATTACAAAAAAACCCTGCTCATTTGGCATCTGTGTCTCCTTTTACTGAGTTTTTTTTTTAAATCTTTCTGAGGTAAAATTAAATAAAAGGCCATTTTCAAACAACTTGGGTTTGCAGCAGAACCAGTTGTTCTGAATACACTAACTCAATTCCTCTGTGGGGTAATGTACTTACGTACAGCAGAGGCCCCAGATACCTGAACATGGGTCGCCTTTTGAAAGTTCGGTATGCTGTTCTCTGAGTGTTAGGGGTTTGGTTAATTTTGAGTAACCTCTTTATTTTGATGAAATATCCAATCTTCCTGTTGCCACTTTGAAAATAGCTCCCTCCACATTTCCTTTAGATTGGAGTTGCTGCTTTGAACATAATGTTCATATCTCTGGAAAGAACAGCATCTCTCGATGAATAAAAATATTCCTCTTCAAAAAAGAACTTGCTGTTCCATTATTATATAAAATGTTTCAGTGCTGGTGTGAAAAGAATGTATAGACTTGTGGGTAGTGTATAGACTAAAAAACAAAACAAATTGAGTGCTCCAGATAGTAGGAAGTGAACACTGCATATTCTTATTATGCTTCTCATTTATCTTAGAGCAAAATAAAATGAGAATTTTTGGGGGAAAATGGACTTTAAAAACCATACAATCTCATACCTAATATAAAGTACAATAATGTGTAATTGAAATTCTCTGGCAACCCTAGCTAAAAGTGAGTTGTATGTTTCTATTTTAAGTTTTTCAGAATGAATTTTTTTTTGCTTCTAGTTCTAAGCAGGGCTTTCTGTAAGACGTCTAAAGAGTAGAGTTGCATATGAGTAAAGTTTTACTGCTTACAAATTTTTTTTACAAAAGAATGATAAGTATCTGAGGTGATAATTTTGTTAATTTGCCCAATTAATCATTTCACCTTGTACACATATATCAAAACATCACATTGAACCCCATAAATGTATGCAACTATTATTTGTACATTAAAAATAAAATCAAGAAAGAAAAATATATATTCCTTTTTCAGCTGCTATGAACAATAAACTAAGCCAGAAGCATGCAATAGCGGGTGATGTCTGATCATTGATTTAATACGACAGCTCTATTATGTGGATTTACTTAACTAGTTTCACAATGGATAAGTCTTAATTTCCACACAATGACATGTTATTAAAGATAATAACAAGCTCTGTTAACAAACATCTCCCCTTTCTTCTGTTTCTACTATACTCCTAAATGGAAAAAAAAAATTCAAAAATGTGATCTTGAAATAGAAGCTTTCTAGATTATATGTCTAAGAGTCATTACCACTGCCCAAGCATGGAGCATCTCAGTGAACAAGGCAGGTCAAGGCCATTTCTATTTTTTTCAGGCTTGCAGTTGCAGAATTTTAAAAATGCCAAAATATAGCTACAAACTAATATATGTTAAAGGTTTACACTTAACAAATTATTGTGCTCTAGAAAATTCAATCATGGTACATGTGACCTATCTTGGAGACAATTTCAAAAATATATTTTTGAAGCCCAACATTATGAAACACCCTAGGTTCTCAACTTCCAGTCTCTTAGAAGCTGAGCTAATCATACATTCACTTCATTAAATACACAGAGTTTTGATACCTCTATAATCTTCACCTCCTGTAAACTATTTGTTGTAGTTCTCTGGTCACGTTTGTATGTAAACACGTGCCATGGTAAAGTACCAAACACTGACACCTACAGCAATAAAAAACAATTGAAAAAATGTGTCAGAATATCATGCTACACAACTTTTGATAGGGAAAATAGTTTTCTATGTTAAGGGTAGCATTTTAATTCCACAGAGACCATGAGAAAGTATGTGCAAATAAATTAGAGTTTAAAAATCCACAAAAATATTGATATCTCATCAGTTTATTCATTTACAAAGAAAATTTCTCTTATTTCAGAAGGAATAATCATCACTCAGTTCCCTGATTTTTAGCCATCTCTGTCCATCGATAAATATAGATATATTTCCACTCATTCTTATCATCTCTCTCCAGTCTCACAAGAAGGTTTATCTTATATCAAGTCTCAACATCATCCTTTAACCTGTGCTTTAAATCGTACCCTCTTCTTCCTGAGAGACCTCACAACATCCTCTTCTGGTACCTTCGACAGCTCCCTTACTGCTTTCTTTCCCTTCATATATAAATAAACATAAATCTCTCTCTCATTATTAAAAAAAAAAATTTTAATTTCAGGGTCTCCCAGCCATCATCTAATTGTCCTGATTTCCCCTTAACTAAATTCTTTACAGGTAATCTACACTTTCTCCTTCCCTTTCTGCTCTCATCCTACAGCTATAAAATTTCTATCCCTATCTTTCCAGGGAAATTTTTCTCACAAGGTTAAGCAGTTACTCCATTATTTCTAATAAAATGAACACGTCAGCCTTGATTTTACTTTAAATCTATTAAATATGTAGATGTCTGGACCAAGTTTTCTTGAAATTGTCTCCTGTAGGGCTTCCATAATGTAATTCTTGCCTGTTTTTCCTTCAATATCTGTGGTAATTTTTCAACCTCCTTCATAGATTCAATTTCTTTTGGTTACACCTGAAGTGATAGTATTTCTCAGAGTTCCATCTTTGTTCTTCTTTTGATTTCATTGTATTCTGTTTCCCTGGGTGGCACCATCCGCTCTTATAATTTCAAATAAACTGTACTGATAAAGCACAGATCTATGTTTCCAACCTCGATGGCTAAATGCCCTTTATGCTTTTCTGTCTACTTATTTCAGGGCCACAAAATCACTCAATGCCTTACCACCAAATCTCCTCCCTTTTCAATGAGTGGAACCACCGCCTTTCCTAACCCAGAACACAGAAATTATGCTTGATTCTTCCCATTCCCTTGTTTTTCACAAATCACTGAGGCCTGATGAGGCTACCCACGAAAGGTCTCTTTGTTCTACCAGATGCTCTTTACCTGCAATTCCTGATGCTTCCGAACCTTGCCACTTATATTAATAGCTTAGCTCTTCTCCCTGCCCCCAGATTGTTTGCCTTCAATATTTTCACCACAAAACTAACAGGATGATCCTTCTAAACTGCAGAGCCACTCAAGCTATTTCCCATTTCCTCCCATGCTTAAAACAGGTCATTGAATTCCCACAGTCTTCAAAATAAAATATCAACTTGGCCCTCCACAGTCTGTCACTGCCGATTTCTGCAGCTTCATCTTACCAAATTTGCCTTGCAGCCCACATTTTAGTCATACTGAAACGCATATACTGAATACTGACATTTCAATCATATTGAAATGAATGTTTTGAATGAATTTCTGGAAAAAATGCTCTTTAAACATTTGCACTTCTGCACATCCTCCTCATTTGACTCAGCTTGAACATCACCCAGGAAGCAGTGCCTGTTTTCTCTTAAGGGACTGAGAAAATTCTCCTTCTGTGTATTCTCATACAATCTCATTGAACTAATCTCAGCTACAAGATCATTTTATTATTTTATATAGTCAAATATGTGTTCCCTAGGCAGCTAGGTTCAGTGTTCCTTGAGGTTGTGCAGTATATTTTCTTCTTCCTACCCCCACTGTCTTTTGCAATGTCTGCCACATATTTGTACTCTATCAATGTTGAATGAATGAATTCAAGCACTACTTACTAGTAATCTTTTGCAGTTAGTAATGTGATAAAGCATGTACATTATCTAATTTAAACTTAAAAGTGTTTCACTTTGTATAGATGCATAGAGAGATGTAGAAACAGAAAGCAAATCACGAATTTCTAAGTTGATCTTTTTATTGTAGACACTAACATCGTTGTCCGTAATTTTACATGTGTGCCCACACAAATACATAATGTTTCTCATTCTGTAGAAATACAAAATACTCCCTTAGGGAGCATCAGGCAAGCTAAATTATTTTACATACTTCTGTGAATGAGAAAGACTGTTATTATAATTAGGCACATGTAACTAGAACATGCTAGACCAAAAAAGTCTTATGTAAGAAAAAGGTATTCTATTGATATTTTTGAGATTATAATTCTCTTTAAATACTATTCTTTTAAAAAGAAACAATATGTAGAGGGCTCATTAAAATATTATTTTATTTTTTTGAACTTTTATTTTAGGTTCAGGGGTACATGTGCAGGTGTGCTATATAGGTAAATTGCATGTCACACGGGTTCAGTGTACAAATTACTTTGTCACTCAGGTAATAAGCATAGTACCTAATAGGTAGTTTTTTGATCCTCGCCCTCTCCCACCCTCCACACCCAAGTGGGCCCCAGTGTCTGTTGTCCCCTTCTGTGTGTCCATGTGTGCTCAATGTGTAGCTTCCACTTATGAGTGGGAACGTGCAGTCTGTGTTTTTCTGTTCCAGAATTAGTTTGCTAAGGATAATGGCCTCCAGCTCTATCCATTTTCCTGCAAAGGACATGATCTCATTTTTCACGGCTGCATAGTATTCCATGGTGTATACGTACTACATTTTCTTTATCCTGTTTCCCATTGATGGGCATATAGGTTGATTCCATGTCTTTGCTATTGTGAGTAGTGTGCTGCATTGAACAGACACATGCACATGTCTTTATGATAGAATGATTTACATTCCCTTGGGCATATATCCAGTAATGGGATTGCAGGGTCGAATGGTAATGTTTTAAGTTCTTTGAGAAATTGCCAAACTGCTTTCTACAATGGCTGAACTAGTTTATATTCCCACCAGCACCACATAAGTCTTCCCTTCTTTCACAACCTCTCCAGCATCTGTTATTGTTCTGACTTTTTAGTAACAGCCATTCTGACTGGTGTGAGATGGTATCTCATTGCGGTTTTGATTGGCATTTCTGTAATTATCAGTGACATTGACCTTTTTGTCACATGATTGTTGGCTGCTGGTATGTCTTCTTTTGAAAAGTGTCTGCTCATCTCCTTTGCCTACTTTTTAATGTGGTTGTTTGCTTTTTTTCTTGTAAATTTGTATAAGTTCCTTATAGATGCTGGATATTCGACCTTTGTTGGGCACATAGTTTGCAAAAATTTTGTCTCATTCTGTAGGTTGTCTGTTTACTCTGTTCATAGTTTCTTTTGTTGGGCAGAAGCTCTTTAGTATAATTAGGTCCGATTTGTCAATTTTCAGTTTTGTTGCAATTGCTTTTGGCATCTTTGTCATGACGTCTTTGCCGGGTCTCACGTCCAGAATGATATTCCCTAGGTTATCTTCCAGGGATTTTATAGTAAACCATTATTTTAAGTAATCAAATGCATCTTTGAGACTTCAAAGATTATTAAAAATGATATAGCTCAACCTCTTCATATATTACAGGAAAGGAAATTGAGACTCAGAGGGGGAAAAACAGCTTGCATAAAATTGTACAGCTTGTAAATGGAAAAGTCAAAAGATGTTGGAACATTAAAAATTAAGTATGGCTCATTCCTTTAGTGTAAATGATAGGTTTAATTTAAAATATTGTGGCCTCTAGGTTTTTTCTCTGCAGTTTTAAAGCCTCACATTTTTAAAACCAAAATGAAAAGAGTAGTGATTCTATGTAGTACCCACTCATGATTGACTATTTTATTTGAGTGTAATGGGTGCTGCAGGGGCAGTTTACATGTCATCTGCTTTCAGCATTAAGCTCCTGACAAGCAGAATCCCAGGAAATACAACTTATGTACCATTAATCCATCAGGGTCTCTTAATAAAGTACAAACCTAAAGGTAGGTAAGGCCAACCAGCACTTAATCACTCTGAGGAGAACTAAACCACAAAAAGTAATGTCTGGAAAAACAAAGCTTTTTTCCAATTCTACCACTCTCGGGCTCTTTACTCCTTGCAATATAGAGATACTACATCTGACACACAGAATCTGGGTCAAGAAATGATTTTTTAAGTGACAGAATTGTCTGTAGTAAGATCATTTCCACTCCTACTGTATTATAGTTCTTTTCACTGGTGCTAATTCAATACATACAATGCAAATTAACTTTAGATCTCACTTTTGATTTTTTTAAATGAGGTATTATATAATGAACAATAATTAAGGCATTTTAGGTAAATTTTACTGACTCGGGTCACTAAGTACTCTTTCTTGTTTCCCTGAAATGTTTTATATTCTAGAAAATATTTGATGTTCATGTTTAAATATGATCTTATAATCTACGTATTCTTATTCATAATGATAATGAAAACAACTTCTACAACTTAAATAATGTGGCACATAGTTCACAAAGTGCTTTCATATAGATTTCACACAATCTCCACAATCCTATAGTACTTTCATTTTTTTATTTCACAGAGTTGTAGTAAGCTCAGGGATATTACATTAATTTGGAAGTTCACAATATTATTATCTGGTAGATCCTGAAGTTGATCTCATATTTTTGGACACCAAGTTTAGTGTTCTTTCCACTACTTAATTCTGTAATGTTGGTGAGGACATAATATTAGAAACGGAGTAATGCAGTTTTTTTTTTCCCCAACAAAGTTATTCAAAGTATATCAATTTTGGCTTCTAAGTGAATTTTCTTTCTTAAAATACCTTTCTATTCTAAGAAAAAAGTTTCCAAATTTTGGAGTCACTAAAAAATAAACACCAGTATTAGATAAAGGATAAATAAACTGAAAAGAAAGAAGAGAGAAGAAAGGAAGGAAGGAAGGAACAAAGGAGGGAATGAAAAGGAAAGAAGGAGAGAGGGAGGGAGGGAGGGAGGGAGGGAGGGAGGGAGGGAAGGAAGGAAGAAAGGAAGGAAGGAAGGAAGGAGGGGAGGGGAGGGAAGAGAAGGGAAAGGAAGGGAAGGTAATAAAGAGGAAAGATGGTGGAAGGAAAAGGAAGCAAAGGAAAGAAAAAGAAGAGAGGGGAAGGGAAACATCAGGCATTTCATTACCAAGAACAATTGTGCATTAGATATTTGAACAGTCCACCTTTCAAACTCTCTACCTCTTCTTAGCAAACCCTATGAAAATGCATTTGTGTATAAATATGTATGGTTTTCTGGGTCGAAGAATATAAAGCTTTCATCCATAATAGTCCATGGTACTATTATCAAAGGAGAACATTATCTGAAATAAGGAATTATTTGTGTGGGAGATGTAGAAAATGATAGAGCAAAATCTTCTAGGAGTAAAGAAGAAGCAACTGATTAAAACTAACAGAATCTGGAGGAGGGGGTTATGAAACTCATGGCATTTGAACTGGATCTTGAAAGACAGATTGAATTTCAATAGGAAGGGGGAAAAATAGGGCATTTCATGCTAACAGAAAGGCAGGAGCAAAAACACAAAATAAAAATGAATATCTTGGAAAGCAGATGTTTCAACAACTGTTGAATGGTTCAGGTGAGTGGGAGTGCTTAACAAGCGGCACTGATCAGAAAGCAAGTCAATTTTTGACCCCATTCCTGGCTTCCCAGTTTGTAGTTTCTCTTTGTTCTTATATATAAAGGATAGGCCATAGTTCTATTCCATTACAGAAGGACTGCAATAACTGCTTGCTAAATTAATCTATGCACACTTCCTGCCTCACTGTAATAAACTATTTGGTAATTTCTTCCACTAAAGAAATCAAATTATTTTCTTGTAAGTATATAGGAAGAGCATTCCTCAAAGAATATTATGCAAAAAAGGATAATGCTTGCCTTTTTGTTATTGTAGATTCTAAATATAAGCCTTTTTAACAAGCTGAGTTAACATCCCAATCTAGCCTATTCTTGTTTCTCTTTGCATGTGTTTTACTTATTCATCCACCTGAAATATTTCCAATTTGTAAAATTCAAGAAAACTGGGTTAATAAAACATGTGTGTCAAGAGTATATTTATTTTATCTCTAAATTTATTTTTTCACTACTATCTCAGTCCAGCACTAAAATCTGTAAAGAAGGAATTGACTATTATGTGGAAGTAACTTTAGAAACAAGGTTCATTGATTACGTGAGCTCTAAATTCCTTCTCTAAAAATTCTGCTATATATGTTCTCAAATTATTTTCTCTTTAGAGGAAAATAACTTGTTACATACTTTGGTTCTTTATAAATTGATTTAATATGTTTGCTACATTATTAGATGGTTTGTAGTTGCAACTTATATGGAAATTAAGTTCTAAAATCAGCACAGAAGGTGAAAATCCCATATTATGAATTACCAAATGCTAATTTAAAATATTTGCTACCAAAGTTACAGAGAAACAAATGGAAAGTCGTGAATTATAGAATAAAAATGCATTGAGTTGAAAATTACTAATTCAAAGTGCCACTTGATGAAACTTTATTACATATTTAATTGCAGGAACCTGCACCGATGATAGTATATAAATAGAGAGAAAGTAAACTAACAAATTATACTCTTTGTGTCAAAAATTATTGAGATTGTGCTGATTCATTATGCAGTTTTTCTTACCTCTAAACTCATTCTATACTCTGTGATGTTGGGGCTCAAAACATGGCAAACAACAATTCCCAGTTTGGGAACTGAATTTCTGCCAGTAGGCAGCATAATAGAGTAATAGTGGGAGATGGGAGGAGAGGGACAAGGAGTTCTTTCCTGCCTTACTCCTTTCCCCTGCAGCTGCGCTGGCAGTGACACCTGGTCAAGCCTGCAACTTCTTTCTGCAGTCACTAAACCAGCCACATAGGTCTTTGTCCCAGGCTCTTCCTGTACCTATGATTCTAGGTCACCAGTATTCCCCTTCTGCTCTTTCAGCTCATCAATATCTGTGTAATGGTATCCCAAAGCAAATCTACTCTACTTTAAATAACTAATATGGTTTCCATTTTCCCATTAGGACTCTGACTTACACTATATTTCCAAATGAATACTAGTCTGATGCTCTAACATCTTCTATAATAACCACAAAATAAGGATGAAGAGAAGATTCAGAAAAAGCCAAAGATGGTGTTCCACCCTTTGGAACCAAAAAAAATAGTACAGACACAAATAAGTACCGAATCCAGTGAAGAAAAATGTATTCTCTGAAGTTATCCAAGGCAAAACAGAATTCTCTAGACATCAATCACTCAGAAAAGAGGAACTGAAAGAAGAGCAATTTTATAAGAGAACTTTCCACTAAAAAACTAGGCCAAAAAAGCAGGGGTGGGGTTGGCAAGGAGGTGAAGAACAATTTTATCTTCTTCACTTTGAGAGCTTCGACATGATTTTATGCTTTTCAGCTTCAAAAATTGCCTTGTTCATAAAAGTTTCATGGGTAATTTAGGTATTTTCTGCAAAAAATACAGAATATATTATGAGTTTCTGAGTTCAGAAGTTTTCTCCATTAGCAACCAATTTCTGATTCCTCTCAAAAAGGCAACTCAGATATTTTGGTCCCTTTCAGCTACTCACATTCTCATTCAAGCGGATAACTAAATGAAAATAGAGCACCATCATTTTAATGTACCTCGGGGATAAAGACCATGTTATTTCAAAAGTTAAATATTTTAGTTCCAGAAACCATCATGGCACTTACATTTCTTTTAGAATAAAGGAAATAAATATCTCTACTTGGCCACCCATTAAGGTATACTTGGGCCACAATTTTATGGCAACTCCCAGCATAAGCCATTGACAAGTGAATTGTAACACAGTTGTCCTCAAGATGCCAATAATCACAGTCACATTGAAACCTCGCTGAGTACTGCTGACACAAGTAACACATAACCAATTAAAAGTAGCCAAGGACCAACAGGATCTGGGAAATAGGGAGACATGTATATCCTACAGATGTTAGAAACAAGCTGAGCTTTCCTCCTCATCTGTAAGTGTGCAGACAGACCAATTAGTTCATTATATTGATATATTTAGAGGCAGATTATCCCAGGAAAACAGTTTGGCTCCTGCTCATTCTGGTTTTTGTTTTCAAATACAATAATGTCACTTCATATTTTTAGAAGAAGGTACAAATCTTTTTCACATCTCTTATCTAACTTGATCCACACAGAAGCAATACTCTGAGCTGACAAGCAAATACATGCATACATGCTCACGGAGGTGGAGCATCAGGCATGATCACACAGATGTGCAATAGGGAGTCAGTACTAAGCAGTCAGAATCATCAGAAAGCTGGGAAATGGGGTCATCAATATTCTCAAACAAAAATGGTATACTCAGGACTTAAGTTCTAATTTTTCAAGGGAAAAATAAGTTTTACTACAGATGTCAGAGGATAAATAATTTCAGCCAGACCCAAGCAAGATTTTTGTCTTATATTCACAAAGAAATAAAACCAAGTTACTAAGTTACATACACTCCTTTGGAGCTAAAGTCTTTCTCGCAAAGTAGAAAGTCCAAAGAATGAGAATTATGATTTGACATGACCTGAAACTATCATTGGATTACCCACATATAACAGATGTTGATGGCATTCTAGAAGCTAAAAAGCAATATAAACTAAAGCAGAATTACAGGAGAAAAGACTCAACTATCTGCTGTGTAATATTAGGTAAAGTAATTTATCATACTGTAAATTTCTTCTTCAGCAAAATGAAAATAATATTTCCTCTCTGTATTATTTTAAAATTTTAAATAATCTTAACAGCCAGTGTTCCCCTGCTAAAAACTCAGCCCAGAAGTACCCCAATGAGAGAAGAGAATCAAACAACAATTCCACAAGAATGTTACTGCTAAAATAAAATTACACAGACACCTGCTTCACCTTGAGCGAAGTCTGGGCCATAAAAGTTTAAAAACCACAGAGGTTGCCAAAAGACTCCACACAGAGAGGACCATTCTGCAAGAAGACTGAGCATGGTTTATGCATTGAGGTAGAACTCAGGCCTCATCCATTTTGCATTACTCCTTTGGAGAGTGAATGTAAAAGATTTCAGGCCATAAATAATTTACCTAAACACCCACAGATCTCCTAAGTATTAGGGCTGTTCTTTTAAATAGGCCAAAACCTGTGAAAATTTGCCAGAGACAGCCAGCCATGCCCAGAAGCAAAAGCCGGCCAGCAATGGAATTGCAGCAGCATTCCAGGACTAATCTCATTCCTGGAAATGGGATTTTCTCATGCTCTTCCCACAGAGCCTGGAGGGCCTCAGAACCTCACCTTGGGTCTTCCTAATGGCTTCTAGAACAGACCTAATCTTGCTAGTGTCTAGCTTCAGAAATCTAGTTTTCCAGAACCTCATTCACACAATTCCAACTGTTTCTTCTGACCTTAGAGGGTTCAATTTAACTCTTTCTTCCTACCACAGTAGAAGGAAGGAACACAGACATTATTCTCAGAGACAGGATCTCGAGAATTTATGGTTCCCCCAAAATGTCCAGTGGCTGTCAGAAGGAGCCTCCTTTTCTTTAAGAAAATTCCAGTGTTTTTAATTGTGAGCACTTGCCTTCACTCGAAGCCCCCAAACCCTAAGATGATTCCTGGCATTAAGAGGATTTAGGGGCCAGGCCAGGTGCAGTAGTTCACACCTATAATCCCAGCATTTTGGGATACCAAGGCCGGCAGATCACTTGAGGCCAGGAGTTCGAGACCAGCTTGGCCAACATGGTGAAACCCGTCCCTACTAAAAATACAAAAAAAAAAAAAAAATAGCCGGTGTGGTGGCAGGTGTCTGTAATCCCAGCTACTCGGGAGGCTGAGGCAGGAGAATCACTTGAACTGGGAACCAGGAGGTGGAGGTTGCAGTGAGCTGAGATTGTGACACTGCACTCCAGCCAGGGTAAGACAGCCAGACTCTGTCTAAAAAAAGAAAAAGACTTTGGGCTATAGAATTAGGTATGGTATCCCCAATGTCCCCAAAATCTGTTCAGCTACTTAGCAGTACATCAGGCCATCTCTGAAATGCTCCAAAGTTACAAAATTCTCAATCATTTGTGAATTCTGATGGAGCCCAGAATTGTTTCTGAAGCTCACAGTAGGTGTAGGAACACCCAGTGATTAACCCTAGGTCCTTCTCTGAAGGCCAGGTTGTCCAGAAACCCCATGAGTTTCCTCCTTCATCACATAAGGGTGTGTGCACCCTGAAGGCAGAATCAGCACCTGAGCTACTTCCAGGTCAGTGACGGTGTCCAGGCTGCCCCCTAGAGCTGATTGGTTGTGCCCTGATTGCCCCCAGAAATCTTTTACCTTATCTTCTCATGGGAAAAAAAATCCCAGGAAGACCATAGCCCTAACTGCCACTGGAAGCACTGGAATCCAAGATAGAGATCTCAAAGATTTCTTTAGCTTTTCTGGAGTAAGTAGGGGCTGTCACATGGCCTCAGCTTAGAAGAAAGGCCAGCAGTCATTAGCCAGTATTCCTATTGAGTTTATACATGACTGTGAAGATCTAAAGGTTGGCACAAGGATTCACAGATCAACTCTGGGTGAGGTTAATGCTATCAAGAATTAGCCCTAAACCTGCAATTATAGATTGTAATCTGGCCATATTCAGAGACCCTCAATTCTGAGATCTCTAGAAACTTGTCCTAGTACTTCTCTAGGATAGGCAAAAAAGCCCTGTATATAGCAACTCTTAGGCTTGAGAAATTAATTATAGTGAAACAGAAGGCTTCTAGGTGAACTTGGCCAGCTTCTTGGGAAATGTTGACTTTATGTGAAAAAACACCGTATGTCTGAATATCTCTCTCAGTATCAGGTACCTGATGTCAGAGGTTTTTACCACAAAAACAAACAATAACAACAAAATCTTACAGTTACCCAAAAACCCTATTATCCCCACAGTGAGACATCCAAAGAAGAAATGGCTCTGCAAGGCATACACAGAGGGCTGAATGTTTGTGTCCCTCAAAATTCATATGTTAAAATCCTAGTTCCAACATGATATATTTAGAGGAGGGGCCTTTAAGAATAATTAGGTCATGAGAGCGGAGCCCTCTTAAGTAGGATTAGTGCCCTTACAAAAGGGACCCTCTCACCCTCTTTCTGCCATGTGAGCCTACCATGAGAAGTCAACAGTCTACAAACGGGAGGAGGGCCCTCGCCAGAACTCAACAATGCTGGCACCTTGATCCTGGCCTTCTAGCCTCCAGAACTGTAAGAAATCAATTTCTGTTGTTATAAGCTACGCAGTCCATGGTTATAGCAGCACGAGCTGACTAAGATAACACAGACCATCCCTCACAGTACAAAGGGCCTTCACTGAGTAAGACCCAAATGTCTTCCAAGGACCTGGGAATCCTGAGCCATCTTGCAGTCAGTCTCACAAAGGTTATTGTTACCTTTGTGTCAGATTTGTTACTTCCTTAACAAAGGTCTGCAAGACCAACTACTTTTTCTTACCTTTACTCAAAAGTAAAGTATGTTTGCTATAACAATTCAAAAGGAAATATAGGTGTTTATAAAGTAAAACTAGGTTTCTCCCTTCTCCACTTTCTCTGGGGAAATCTGATATGTATTTGTTATATTCTTTTCTATGATATATATATTATATATAAAATATCACATATAACGAATATATAGGATATTATGTTTTTAACATAAATTATATCATAAACACACACACATATTGAAGTGTTTCCATGTTCGTTTCACTTTGTCTTTTTAAATCAATGCGTCAGTAGCCATTTTCCACCTTATCTTTCTCCACCATCGCTCTTAGTTAATAATTTTCCTTTTCATCAATAAGTTAGGTAATCATGAGGGAACTTTCACAAAAACCCTCCTACCAACAACTATGTTCAGATTCTCTGCCTTCTCTCCTATTCCTATGGCTGCCAGGACACTGCCTTCTCCTGGTTTTCTTCCTTTACAATGGGTCACTCATTCTCAGTCTTGATTCTGGTTCCACTTCATATTCCCAAGCTCTGAAGTGTAGAGTGTCCCAGGATTCATCCTTAGACCTCTTATTTTCTCAAGAGACAATCAGTCTCTAGTGATCTGATCCAGTTCTGTGGGTTTCAATGCCATATCTACACTGATGCTTCCAAATCTCCATATGAAACCTCTTTCCTAAACTTCAGAGGAATGTGTCTATTTGTCCACATCAAATCTCCACTTGGAGGTCTAACAGTTCTCTCAAACTCACCACGTCTGATCTCCACTGCCCCCTCTCTCCAGTTGTTACTGTTGTTTTCATCATAGTAGCATTACAGTAAGTTTTACTATGTGGTAATGCAGGAATTCTTCCATTGTTATGTGTCAATATTTTCTTCAGGTTCTATTGAATAATTGTACAAGTGCTCACACTGGGCTTACAAAGATATAATTTTGAGCAAGTCACCTTCCCCTCTCTAAGACTCATTTGGAAAATCAGGTCAATAGTTTTCAGTGCACTTTCCTTGGTGTTCCTGGAGATTACTCTTACTTTAATTCAAGCTCTATTACATTTCATCCAGATTCCCGGGTAGGTAGGGGTGTGTGTGTGTGTGTGTGTGTGTGTGTGTGTGTGTGTGTGTGTAAAGGTTTATGGTCATGTACTTTGCCATACAGGTAGATGTAGATGTCCCCACATCTCTCAAGTAATTTGTCTATAAAATAAGAGGGTTCAGCTGATTTTGCCCCTTATTGTCTTCCCTAGAGCAGTGACAAGGGTATCACTTAGGCGATTAATAGAAATGCAGAACCCAGGCCCTCCTCCCAGACCTACAGGTGATTTACTTGTCCATTCAGCACTGAAGTAGGCAGTGTTCCCTTATACTCCTGCAGCTCTGGCATTACAGGAGAAACCAAAAATTAAGTTATCATAATTCTGGTTTTCTTATTTTTTTTTCTAAACATTAGACTGAATTAAATTGGAAACATTCTCCAAGGTTTAAGAATTCCCTAAAGAATTTGAAAGAGGGTGAGGAAAAAAGCAGTAAAAAGGTATTCTTGCAATTGACCTGGCCTGTGATAAATACTGAGGTCTTTTTCTCTCCTCACTTGTATGTGACAAAGATTCTTTCCTTGGCCAAACTCTACTCAGGTTCCTATAAGCAATTTTCCAACAAGTCCTGACCTTTAGACTTCTGACATCATCTCTGCACGGTCCAATTTTAGCACAAATCTGGCTAAGTCAGTTAAGTGAAAGTCCTCCACCTTCGATATCTAATCAAATCCCTCACTTCCCATACTGGATGTCTTATCACACTGGCTTGCCTTCAGCAAGGGTCCTACTAAGTACATTTAGCCGGAATACCACCTCGATCCTTGATGTTTCCTCTTAGCAATTTTTCATCGAGCGACCCTCACTCTGCTCCTTGGCTATAAATTCCTACTTTTCCTTTTTACATTCGGTGTCAAGCTCAATCTCTCTTCCCAATGCAAGACCCAATTTCAGTGGTCCTTACACTTATCTTGATAGTCATCCTCCCACAAGGCTTTAATAAAGTCTTTCTTACTGTCTTTAATAAGCATTAGAATAATTTTTTCTTTAACACATAATTATATTTGTTTTTCATCTGTTTGGGGCTTGTTTTTTTTTGTTCATTTGTTTTTTCTTTTTGCTTTTTTTTTTCCTCTCATTTTTTTCTCTATTCCATTAATTCTGAAAATGTCCACTACCCTGCTCAAACATCTTTAGCTAAGTCTTGCTTTCCTACTTCAACCTGTTCAGGTACACATTATCTATTCCATGTAAGGTTTTCTTCTAAGACTTTATCTGAAAATAAGTTCTCTGGTTTTAAAAATATAAAACAAGAATTTTTTCATCTCTAACATTTTCATATTTTAGCATTAGTTATAAAATAAAAGATAAATTACATAAGAAAAAATATAAATAGCTGACAAGTATATTTAAAAGATTAATCTTTCTAGTAATCAAGAAAATGTGTCTTAAAACAAGACAGGATTTTTAAGCTATCAAGTTGACATGGATTATAGATAATACCCAGCGTTATGCCGCATACATGTGTTTCTCAGAGTTTGAGTATACAACGTTATTCACACTCTGAAAAAAGAAACATATATCACAAATATTTTTAAATGCAGTCTTTAATCTTTTCATCATATTTGTAGGAGTTTATCATAAGAAAACATTTAAGAATGTACACAAATATTTAGCTAGAGGGATAGTTATCAAAGTGTTGTCTTTATTAGGGGAGTAAGAAAAAAACTGGAAAGCTATAAATATCAAATAAATGTAAATTAACTTCAGCTGTTTATGGTAAAATTGTAGTGGAACAACACTTAGAGGGAATGGTATTTACAATATATCAATTTTAAAGGGTGTGTTTCAAAATAATATGAATCCCATTTTAGTAAAATAAATATGTACATGTGAGTGTCCATGTACATCTGCGTGTGTGTGTGTGTGTTGCTTGAGAAAAACATAAATGAGTTACCTTTTGCACTGGAATTACAAAGTTTCTAATTTAGATTCAGTATTTGTGGTTTTTAAGTAGGGAAAAAAATAAGAAAAAAAGTATTATTAATTTCCAAAAGTACAGAGTCTTTCTCCCAAGACTGATGATGGAAGAGGACAAAGTCAAACCCTAAGAAAGAGTTTAGCTTTCCTTTTTCAATTTTCTGTTCTTCATTGTTTTTAGGTGAAAACTACTAATTAGCAAATCACCTTTTGATAAGCAATGAGTGTCCTGGTGTGGCCAAAATGCAATTATTTAGGCAACGAATTAGTCACTGAACAAACATATAACTACTTTTGTCCCTTAAATAGAAATAACATATAGGGTGTTTATCTCTTTAGGTTTTCTCTGTACCTGACTTCTGTTCTCTTTGGCACTTAATAATACTTTTGCCAGTGGGTTCATGACAAAGGTATATATATTTATCCAAACCACTCAGTGTGTCCATTTCTAGCAGCTACAGTAAAAATTCAAGTGTTAAAGTAGATGACAACTATTGACTAATGGTTGAGGAAAAAGCAATATTTTTTTCAATTGTTTATCTCTGTCAACAACTAAGAAAAACAAAATATTAGAGAAATCATTTAATTGCTGATTAAGCAATGTTAAAATAGACACTAATATTTTGCAAAGTAAGATGCAAATACATTACTTGTAATTTTAATTTCAAAACAAAATGAAATAAAGTTTAACAAATAATTTGCGTGAATAATTTTATTTTCTAATTTTTAAAAAGTCATTTGAATAAATTATGAAAAAACAGATAAGCAAAAGAAAATATAAGTTAAAATCATCCATCATCCCACTGCCAAAGGACAACTATCCTTAACATTTGTATATTTACCGTTTAGTGTATTTTCTATACTAAAATAGATAGGTGTATATAACATATATAACTTGAATCATAGTAAGCCTATTGTTTCATAAGATTCATTCCATTAAAAAATAAGTCAATAAGCTATTTTGTGGATTACTATCTTATAACAGAAATGTAATGGCAGCAGGATGATCCACATGACAAGCTGATAAAAATTTATTTTTTTTCCGCTTTTTATTTTGAAATTTTAGACTCAGAATAGTTGTAGTAATAGCACAAAGAAATCCTAAAAGTCTTAAATTTCTGAATGTTAACATGTTACTGCATGTGTTCAGCATTCCCATGCATACTTTCTCTCTTTCCCTCTCATATGACTCCTTCTCTCCACAGACTATGTATACATGTGTACATAAATACATATATATACGTATAATACTTTCTAAAGAGAAAGCTGCAAACAGAATTACGCTCTAAACACTTGAGTGTAATTTTCTAAAATGAAGGATGTTCTTTTACATAAACATTACAATTAATAAAATTAGTAAAATTACTTGACATTGATGCAATACTTCTTGTGATACACAGATCAAAGTTACAGAATAAATTCAAATTTCTCCCATTTTTTCTATAATGCCTTTTATAGACCAGGAATGTTCTTTTTCTTATCCAGAGCACAAGCAAGGATAACACATTGCATTAGTAAATTGGGTCAGAGCCAAATCATAGTGGACATTAAGATGTAGGTCTATTAAGAAGTTTCTACTTAATCTTATAAGAATAGAAGACATTGGAAGTTTTAAGCTCAGATTATCAGATTTTGTTTTGTTTTGTTTTTTAAAGGCATTTCTGTTGGCATCACAGAAAATGATTTGGAAGAACAAGACTGTTTAATACATTTCTGGAACAGTGAGACACAAGAGGACAAGGCACAGACCATACAGATGGAGAGGAGGGGAAAATAAGAGATGAATGAAAATGAAGTGTGCAAAGGCAAAGCCTGTGCTCCTCCATTCCAAAGCAGGAATTAAATGGTTTAAGTTTGTGATGGCAGACCATCTCCTACCACTGCTATTCACTTATAAGGAAGAGGACAAGAAAATGTCCTGCCTTCAACTTATGTTTGCAAAGAATGTTTTAAGATTGAGTTTGTAATGCATTGTGTATTTCTCAGTGAAAAGGGATAGTCCAGTTTAACAACTGTCCATTTCACATTTAGCAATCTGTTTACACCATCACAGCCCCCTATTATACGCCAAACTACGAAAGGCCTTGAATGTCAGCCCCCAAAGGTCTTACTTTCTCTAATAGCCAGCCTAAGGTTAGAGATCACTCTTACTTTTGCACTTAAATAAATGGATGGTGCTAAACTTCTGTCATTTAACAAGCTAAATTAAAGAATAATTAACAGCCTTAACAGTTAAAATAAAAATATGCATAAGATGTTTTACAATCCTATAAAACCTAATGAAATATATTATTCAATTAAAAACTTTCACCTGAGAACTTAGGTTCTTAGGTTTATCATACAATTCAATCTGCACATCTTCTGGGAATTGAGTTAAAAATGCAGATTTTGATTCCATGGGTCTGGGGTGGAGTCTAAGATTCGGCATTTTAACATGCTGCCAGGGTTTGTCCATGATGCTAGTTCCCAGACCACACTCTGAATAACAAGAATGTAGCAATCATTGATTGAGTCTCACTGGATAATAGATTTTTACTTGGAGAGGGAGGTGGCACAAGCAGGCTGGAAAGAGTACAAGGGTGGGAGTCAAGGATAAATAGTTCAAGAACTATCTCTGCCATTAATAAACTGGGTGACATGAGGCAGATCCTATGATCATTTGGGGCCTCAGTTTCCTCGATGTATATATCTGCAATGGAATAGTGAATTGGTTTTCTAGGACATAAAGATATGTTTTTAGCAAACATTTAACAAAATTCAAACCTTAATGAGCAGACATGCTATGGCTGGTTTAGTTGCAGTAAATGTATTTATTTAAAAATGTTCAATGTTTTCCTGCTGAGAGTGCATCTGAAATAGTTACCATCTGATTATAAAGAAAATGGAAAACTAAATTTCAAGAGAAAATGACCTCTTCTCTTCATAAAGTTGAAGGCTAAATGAAAGAACAAACAAAGACTGTGGCCGAGGAACCATAAATCAGGAGATTAAAATATTCCTTCTATATACAGAAATAAATAACCTACTTTTCTTCCTTAGGCATGGCTTTTAGCAAAATACACTGTTTTTGAATTTGAAATGAAACAGTTTTTCATTTCATTTAAACATGTGGCTCTCAACCGATGGGAGACAAAAGACAATTAAGTATAGTCTATTGCTTGCAGAAGCATTCAGATTAGTAGGGGCAGTGTTCCCAAGAAATCAATGGGGTCTAATCAGAACACCCAAAATCCAAAAGTATACACCTTGTACAAAACATTATTTCTTCATAATCTGTAAGTCGTTGTATTAGTCTGTTTTCACACTGCTGATAAAGACATACCCGAGACTGGGCAGTTTACAAAAGAAACAGGTTTATTGGACTTACAGTTCCATGTGGCTAAGGAGGCCTCACAATCATGGAGGAAAGTGAAAGGTACATCTCACATGGCGACAGACGAGAAGAAAGCGTCTGCAGGGAAGCTCCCATTTTTAAAACCATCAGATCTCGTGAGACTTATTCACTATCACGAGAACAGCACGGGACCCGCCCGATGATTCAATCACCTCCCACCAGGTTCCTCCGGCAACATGTGGGAATTGTGGGAGTTACAATTCAAAATGCTATTTGAGTGGAGACACAGCCAAACCATATCAGTAGTAAACTAGATAGAATGGATTTTTAAAAAGTGAAGAAAGAGAAAAAGAGAGGGAAGGAAGGAGAGAGAGCTGTATTATTTAACTTGGCAGAGACTTATAGTGAGCACATTCATTCACTTGTCACAATCTTTGGGATCAGCTGTGTTTTTGAAGCAGCCCAGTATCCAGGGGTCACCTTTTGCCAGCTGCCTGGGTCCTGTTGCTTTTGATCACTTTCTCTGGCAGATGTGATGTGATTCTATTTGCCAGCTCGCTCCTTTGACTTTGCTAACTCAGTGCACACTGCTCTCATCTCACTAGCAGGGCTGCCTCTGGGTGAAAGCACTTACTCCTGCCAAAGGCGATCTCCCCTTGGAAGGGCAAGCCCCTGTCATCACCTGACAGCCCAGACTCCCACGGCAGATGCAGCTCTCCCTCTGGTCCTGGTGTCAGATTCAAAGGCCTGACAAGCTTCCATCAGCAAAAGCTCTCTTTTAATTGCTATAGATCAAAAAGTGCTGAACATGTCCATCAAAATAGAGTAGAACAGGATAGAGGAAGAGAGGAAAGATTAGGCATTTACCAAGATAACCCAGGGTTTCTTCATGCCACCTGGTCCCATCTGATTAATGAGGGGGTCATTTTCCCACCAATACCATAAACAAAAAGCAACCAATTTCATTGTCTGTATCAATATACGGACATGTATTTTCTGCCATGTATTTTCTATTTCCTATAATTTGTCCCTACAGTTACCTCATATTTCCATTAGGGGACACCCGCCAACACACACCCACACCTACAAGAGAGAAAGAGAGAGAGCCCTTAACCGCATTTCTTTTTTTAATTTTACATACTTGTTATTCCTTTGTTCTTTCCTATTGCATTCTATCGACATGGCAAAAAACTTGATTTTCATAGCTGGAAATGGGCTTCACTAAACAGAGTCTAATAGTTGAGTAAACTAAGGCCAAGAGAATTGATCTGACTTCTGCAAGGCTACACAGAAGCTTTACCTACTACCCCACTTTCTATTTAATGTACCCTTCTATTTCATGACTATGCTAGCTATATTTAAATAACTTGATCTAAAAGCTCCAGAGGCAATCACACGTGCTCGTTGGAAACCAAGCCCACTATGCCACATTGGCCCTGCCACTCAATAGCTTCCTTCTCTGTACAGTGAGACGTGCAGCCTTCCCTACCTCGCAGAGGAGTTGTGAGCATTGCAACTACTGTCTTGGTAATGCTATTCAGTCCAAACACACAGTGAGTTCTAATTTATCGACTATTTCTTTTTTTTTTGTTAACTTTCATGTTAAGTTCAGGGGAACATGTGCAGGTTTGTTACGTAGATAAATTTGTGTCATGGGAGTTTGTTGAACAGATTATTTCATTACTCAGGTATTAAGCCTAGTACCCATTAGTTATTTGTTCTGATCCAGTCCCTCCTCCCACCCTCTACCCTCTGAAAGGCTCAGTGTATGTTTTTCCCCTGTGTTTGCCCATATGTTCTCATCATTTAGCTCACACATGCAATATTTGGTTTTCTGTTCCTGCGTTAGTTTGC
The DNA here is from genome assembly GCF_000001405.40 of Homo sapiens. Taxonomy (NCBI): domain Eukaryota; kingdom Metazoa; phylum Chordata; class Mammalia; order Primates; family Hominidae; genus Homo; species Homo sapiens. The sequence goes on along the minus strand of NC_000003.12, from coordinate 191,423,783 downwards.
TAAGGATAATGGCCTCCAGCTCCATCCATATTCCTGTAAATGATATGATCTCATTCTTTTTTATGACTGCGTAGTATTCCATGGTGTGTATGTACCACATTTTCTTTATCCAGTCTATCACTGATGGGCATTTAAGCTGATTCCATTTCTTTGCTATTGTAAATAGTGCTGCAATGAACATATGTGTGCATGTGTCTTTAGAATAGAACAAATTCTATATTCCTTTGGGTATATACTGAGCAATGGGATTCTTGGGTCAAATGGCATTTCTGTTTTTAGGTCTTTTAGGAATTGCCACACTGTCTTCTACAAGGGTTCAACTAATTTATATTCCCCCCAACAGTGTATAAGCATTCCTTTTTCTCTGCAGCCTCACCAGCATCTGTTCCTTTTTGACTTTTTCACAGTCATCATTCTGGCTAGTGTGAGATGGTATCTTATTGTGGTTTTGATTTGTATTTCTCTAATGTTCAGTGATTTTGAGCTTTTTTTCAGATGATTGTTAGCCGTATGTATGTCTTCTTTTGAAAAGTGTCTGTTCATGTCCTTTGCCTGCTTTTTAATGGGGTAGTTATTTTTTCCTTGTAAATGTCAGTTCCTTAGAGATGGTGGATATGAGACCTTTATTGAATGCATAGTTTGCAAAAATTTTCTCCCATTCTGTAGGTTGTCTGCTCACTCTGTTTATAGTTTATATTTTCCTTTGCTGTGCAGAAGTTCTTTAATTCTATTTGTCAATTTTTGCTTTTGTTGCAATTGCTTTTGGCATCTTTGTCATGAAATCTTTGCCTGTTCCTATGTCCTGAATGGTATTACCTAGGCTGTCTTCCACGGTTTTTATAGTTTGCTGTTTTATATTTAAGTCTTTAAAACATCTTGAGTTAATTTTTGTATGTGGCATAAAGAAGAGATCCAGTTTCAATCTTCTGCATATGGCTAGCCAGTTATCCCAGCACCATTTATTGAATAGGGAATCCTTTCCCCATTGCTTCTTTTTGTAGCCTCGACTATTTCTTAAGTAGAAATTAGTATTCAGAAGAAGTAAAACATGTATAGTTTACTCAACTTATTTAATGCATCTTAATAAGTTAGAGACCAGCGATCTCCAAAAATTGAGGTTTTCGTGATTTTTTTTTTTTTTGGTGGATCAACAGATTGACAAATGTTATTTTCCCAAGTAAACAAGTTTCTAAAATTCTCGCTATCACATTTGTCCTATAAACTAAAAAAAACTTAAATTCAAAGTAGAATAAAGGGCATAATTTGAAAATCAAAAATAATCCTTCCCCAAAACAAATAATACTTTTGATTCTGATGTGAAAATGCTGTCATGGACCAGTGTAACAAGCACTAGAGTTTGCAAGCCCTGTGTTTTTATCTCATCTCTAATAACAAAGAGGCATGTTGCCAGAGACTGCATGTAGCCCTCCTTCTTCCCATCTTCCCATATGTGCCAGGAAGAGGCAAAGCTCAGGGGCTTTGACTGAGAAGACATTTTTCCAGGACTCTAAATGAAGCAGCTACCAGTAACTGAAAACTTATCCAGTCTTCATCAAATCTGCACATAAATTCGATTTGCCAAAGTCAGTATCCAAAAAAAAAAAAAAAAATTCATCAAACACAGACAATAAGCGAACCTAACAAAATGAATGCTGGAAAAAGAGCAAGCTCTGCCCTTTATTGTAAAACTCACCTGTACTTCTGGTGATGTTCATAAAAACGGTGTATGAGAAAATAGACTGAAAGCTTAATAAAAGATCGATGTGGGCTGTGACTGCATGAACGGTGTTCAAATTTAGGAAGCAATAGCTTGAACTCAGTTTTGTAGCATTCAGACCATGCCTGGAGGTGAGATTTCAGCAGGGACAAAGACAGACTAAAATAGGCAAGAGGAGACAATCAGAAGTGCAAAGGCCCTGGGCTGTATCATAAAAAGATACTGATGACCCCAGGGATGTCTATGTCAGAGTAGTAAAATTTCAGGAGCAACAGTCACTGTTTTCAGAAGGCTGAAGAGCTGTCATGCAGAAGAGAAAATAGAACTGCCAGAGCCACACGAAGGTCAAAATGATTGGAAACGAAGTAAAATAGACTTATACAGCAGAAAGAAAAAAATCTAACTCTTACAGTTGCTCCCCTCTCCCCAGCCCCCCCAAAATGGAGTGATTTTCTTGAGCAGTGTTGAGTTCCTTATACTGGGAAGTAAGGAATGTCCACACCAAGGAGTTATACCAGAAAGTCTAACAAAAATAAAAAAGATGGTGCTATACATTCCAGCTAAGAGCTGGAAATCTGATAATTCTACTGTATAATCTTGAACATCTCCCAGCTACTTTCTCAGTCTTGCTTTGTCCACAAGTGAGGCTATTATATATAATAAACTCAGAGCATCTTTGCAGTTTGAATATGCTCTGGCTTTTATCAATAAACCTATCTGGGTTTTTTCCTTACCTTTGATTATGCAGCTATCATTTATTGACTATTTTCCTTGAAAAGGGCACTGTAAAATGTTGAAGTATGGTATATTATTATTCCCATTTTAAAGATAGAGAAGCTAAGTTTCAGAGCCCATACATAATTTTCCCAAACCACACAGCTGGCAAGTCAAGGACGTAATTCTAAATCCAAATCTGTCTAAAGCTCTTAAACCACATGGTGCATGGACTGAAAACATTTAAAATTTATTATCTTGAAAGGATTCTCATTTTGTCCTAGCAGCATTGCCAAATCCTATGCCTATAAATTTACACAAATTCCTGATTACCCAAGGATTAACTTGGAGATCAGCATCATGAAATTGTTGCCCTTCCCCGATCTGTTTTCTTTGATATTAATACAAGCTTCCATGATAATTCCTCTTTTCATGTCCTGGGACTCACTGCCCATAAAAATGATACTTCCAACAGCGTAGGATTATGGGTCTTTGTGTTCTCAACCATAGTTGCCTCTCTTTGCACTCCACTTCAGTTATTTACTATATGGGCTCAAGACCTATACCATATCTAAAATATTTTCTTTCTGACTATAACAATTCATCCTTTACACTAATCCCCTTATTTCATGACCCGTGAACTCTGATCTTGTGGTGATCTGATGGAAAACTTTTCCCTACTCTCCAAGAATGTTACTTCTTGCCCCCCTGGCCTCACCCAAAGATCTCATAGTGCTTTACCTTAACCTCTTTCTCTCCTCTGGCTCTAGGCCTCCCTGTTACACATGCCCATCTGAACCCCAACAATGCATCACTCTCAACCATTCACCTCTTCTGCTTCTACATATGGGTTGCCGATGTGGCTGCTGAAACCAAGCAACCATGAAGATTGATGCCACAATAAATGAGCACAGTCCAATCACAGCTGTTTTCTCAATCTACAGTGCTCAGCAATTCCTAGTCAGTCCCCTCTATCATTTAGCTCAGCTCTTCTTCTAAACTGTCACCATTCTCCACAAGCTTCTAAATCTCACTGTTCTATTGTAGAACATAACTTGTCGTCATATTTCACGTTCCTCAAACTTCCTTGCCTCCTCGTTCTCAACACAGGAAATTCCCTTCTACTACACAGAAGGAAAAAAAGAAATCAAAAATAGAAATTCCATTCACTTTCTACTAGCACATCCTATGTGCATCTGCATTCTCTTTTCCCTCATCTTCATATTATATATGACCTATGTATACTCTAATATGATGCACAGGCATACCACTGAGAGATTGCAGATTGAGTTCCAGACCACTGCAATAAAACAAATATCACAAATATTCCGGTTTCCCAGTGCACATAAAAGTTGTGTTTACACTCTAACATAGTTTAAGTGTGCAATAGCATTATACCTTAATTTAAAAATATTTTATTGCTAAAAACTGCTAAAGATCCTTCAGACCATTGCAAACTTTTTGCAGATGGATGGTCTTGCCTTGATGTTGATGGCTGCTGACAGATCAGGGTGGTGGTTGCTAAAAGGTTGGGGTGGCTGTGGCAATTTCTTAAAATTAGACAACAATGAAATTTGCTGCATCAACTGACTTATTTTCATGAAAGATTTCTCTGTAGCATGGGATGTTATTTGATAGAGTTTCATCCACAATATAACTTTAAAAATTGGAGTCAGTGCTCTCAAACCATGCTGTTGCTTTACCTGCTAAGTTTATATAATGTTTTAAATATTTTGTTTTCATTTTAACAATGTTCACAGCATCTTCACCAGGAGTAGATTCCATCTTAAGAAACCACTTTCTTTGCTCATCCAGAAGAAGCAACTTCTTATCCACTCAAGTTTGATCATCAGATTGCAACAATTAAGTCACGTATTCAGGCACCATCCCAATTATTGTTATCTTGCTATTTCAATCACATTTGCATTTATTTTCTCCACAGGAGTCTTGAACCTCTCCAAGTCATTCATGAGGATTAGAATCAACTTCTTCTGAATTCCTGTTAATGTTGATATTTTAACCTCTTCCCATGAATCATGAATGCTTTTAATGGCATCGCAAATGTTGAATCCCTTCCAGAAGTTTTTCAATTTACTTTGCCCAGATCCAACAGAGGAATGACAATCTATGGCAGCTATGGCCTCACAATGTGAAATTTTTAAATAATCAGACTTGAAAGTTCAAATTATTCCTTGGTCTACGGGCTGTAGAATGGATGTTATGTTAGCAGGCATGAAAACAACATTAATATCCTTGTATATCTCTATCAAAGCTCTAGGGTGACTAGGTGCATCATCAATGAGCAATAATATTTTAAAAGGAATTTTTTTTTCTGAGCAGTTGGTCTCAACAGTGGGCTTAAAATATTCAGCAAACCATGCTGTAAGTAGATGTGCTGTCATCCACGTTACATTTTTCCATTCATAGAGCACAGATAGAGTAAATTAAGCAGAAGTCTTAAGGATTCTCAGACTTTTGGAAGGGTGAGCACTGACTTCAACTGAAAATCACCAGCTGCATTAGCTTCTAAAAAGAGAGTCAGCCTGTCCTTTGAAGCTTTAAGCCAGGCATTAACTTCACTCTAGCTTTGACAGCCCTAGATGACATCTTCTTCCAATACAAGGCTGATTCATCCACATTGAAAACCTGTTGTTTGGTATAGCCACCTTCATCGATCATCTTTGCTAGATCTTCTGGACAATTTGCTACAGCTTCTACATCAGCACTTGCTGCTTCATCTTGTGCTTTTATGGAGGTGGCTTCTTTCCTCAAACTTCATGAACCAACCTCTGCTAGCTTCAAACTTTCCTTCTGCAGCTTTCTCACCTCTCTCATAGTTCAAAGAATTGAAGAGCATTAGGGCCTTCTTCTAGAGTAGGCTTGGCTAAAGGAGACTTGTGGCTGGTTTCATCTTCTATCCAGAGAACTGAAACTTTCTCCATATAAGCAATAAGGCTCTTTCACTTTATCACTCGTGTATTCACTGGAGTAGCACTTTTAATTTCCTTCAAAACCTTTACATTCACAACTTGGCTGGTTGGTGCAAGAAGCCTAGCTTTCAGCCTGTCTCAACTTTTGACATATGTTCCTCACTGAACTTCAATCATTTCTAGCATTAGATTGAAAGTGTGAGGTGCACAACTCTACCTTTCACTTGGACACTTGGAGGCCACTGTAGGGTTATTAAATAGCCTCATTTCAATATTGTTGTATCTCAGGGAATACTGAGGCCCGAGGTGAGGGAGAGAAATAGGGGAATGGCTATTGGTAGAGCCGTCAGAACACAAACAGTATTTATCTACTAAATTAACCATCTTATTTGGGCATAGTTTATGATGCCCCAAAACAATTACAATAGTAACATAAGGATCACTGATTGCAAATCACCATAACAGATATAACAATAATGAAGTTTGAAATACTGTTAGGAAAATGGTGGTGAGATTTGCTCAATGCAGGGTTTCCACAAACCTTCAATTTATAAAAAAAAAACACAGTATCTTTGAAACACAATGAGATATGTCTATAAAAGGCCAGTTTCTTATATATGCACATATAGGTGTATATTAGGCAAGTTTCTCATATATGTAAGGGCAATTTCTTATATATACACATTTAGGTCTGTGTTTTATATATAAAACATATATGAATATATGTCTCTGGCTCCTCTATCAGGAATTTTATTGTCAATAATGCACTTTCTATTATTTTTCTTTCTTTTTTTTTTTTTTTTTTGAGGCAGAGTCTGGCTCTGTAACCCAGGCTGGAGTGCAGTGACATGACCACGGTTCACTGCAGCGTTGACCTCCCAGGCTCAAGTGATCCTCCCGCCTCAGCCAGCCGAGTACCTGGGACTGCAGACACGCACCACCACGACTGGCTACTTTTTGCAATAATGCACTTTCTTTTCTATTTTCTTCAAACTCTTCTCTTAAAGTCTACTTGTCAATATTCTCAGATTTTCTACAATTAGCATCTACTAGTAGTATCTTTGAAACACAATGAGATATGTTTACTCATTGATAAAGTACTGCTTTTGTAAAGGTAGGATTTTTTTTTTTTCTAACTGAATTGGTGCCTTGGTTTTCACATTCAGCCAATCCAGTAGATAGTCTCAGTCTGGGAGTGCTTCAAGGTTAATACTGTCTTGCCATCTCCAGGTGCCCTCTGCTGGCACAATGAGAGTACAACATGTAAAGAAACAGTTCAGTCTGGTGAAGGTGAGACACCACTTCACACTTACCAATTACTGGGAAGTTTATAAAATGCCATCACTTTGGGAGGCCGAGGCGGGCGGATTATCTGAGGTCAGGAGTTTGTGACCAGGCTGGCCAACATGCTGAAACCCCATCTCTACTAAAACTACACACGCGCACACACACACACACACACACACACACACACATTAGCCAGGTGTGGTGGCGCATGCCTGTAATCCCAGTTACTCAGTAGGCTGAGGCAGGAGAATCGCTGGAACCTGCAGTGAGCCGAGATCTCGTCATTGCATTCAAGCCTGGGCGACAAGAGCGAAACTCCGTCTCAAAAAAAAAAAAAAAAAAACTTTCACTTCCATAACTGTATAACACTAGTTAACATGTTTAAATGTTGTTCATTTGAGCTGACATAGATAACAAGTGGACTGTCCAATATGGTAGTCACTAGTCGCCTGTGACTCATGAGCACTTGAAAAGTTCCTAGTTCAAATTGAAAGGCCGATAAATATACACCACATTTGAAGCGTTTTAGTGGCAAAAACAAAAGTAAAATATATAATAATGTATTGATTACATGCTAAGATAATATTTTAGATGTATTAAATAAAATTTTCGCAACTCATAATTTTCTACCTTTTAAAATATGGTTACTAGAGAATTGTAAATCACATATATGTCTTGCACTGTATTTGTACTTTACAATATGCTACAGATAGTACATTCTAAAGTGATAGTATCAGGCAGAAATTTCAAAGTAGGTGATAAAAAATGATTAGATGACACCTGAAATTCTCATGTAGATTGACGGTATAAAATCACTGGAAAATAAAAATCTGAGAAAGATTTTATCAATTTTTTTTGTGTTTTGAGACGGAGTCTTGCACTGTCACCTGGGCTGGAGTGCAGTGGCGCTATCTTGGCTCACTGCAATCTCGGCCTCCTGGTTCAAGCGATTCTTCTGCCTCAGCCTCCCGAGTAGCTGGGACTACAGGTGCCTGCCACCACGCCTGGCTAATTTGGTGTATTTTTAGTAGAGACAGGGTTTCACCATGTTGGCCAGGCTGATCTCAAACTCCTGACCTCAGGTGAGCCACCCGCCTCGGCCTCCCAAAGTGCTAGGATTAGAGGCGTGAGCCACCCGTGCCCAGCCGATTTCATCAATTTTTGGATCAATTTTGGAGAATCACTGATGTGTTCAGTGCCGAAAACCACCATCTGTCCTCAGAGTGGGGAGAGGGTAGGAAGTGCCTACGCCTTAATTCAGGCTTATTGAGGGGCATCAACCGGACCACTGTGAGAGCCTGCCAAGAGGCCAGTCACATGGCCTGTGGGAGCAAAATACGGGGGCTGCGACTAGGGGAGTAATATGGTTTGGATCTGCATTCCCACTCAAATCTCATATTGAATTGTATTCCTCAGTGTTGGAGGGGGGGCCCGGTGGGAGGTGACTAGATCTTGGGGGTGGATTTGTCATGAATGGTTTAGTACCGTACTGTTGGTACTGTCCTGGCAATAGTGAGTGATTCTCCCCAGATCTGGTCGTTGAAAAGTGTGTGACACTTCCCCTCTCGCTCTCTTGCTCTTGCTTTCACCACGTGATGTGGCTTCTTCCTCTTTGCCTTCCTACATGATTATAAACTTCCTGAGGCCTCCCCAGAAGCAGCTGTCACCATGTTTCCTGCACAGCCCATAGAACCATGAGCCAATTAATCCTCTGTTTTTTTGTTTTTGTTTTGAGACGGAGTCTCACTCTGTCACCCAGGCTGGAGTGCAGTGGTGCCATCTCAGCTCACTGCAACCTCCCTGTCCCAGGTTCAAGCGATTCTCCTGCCTCAACCTCCCAAGTAGTTGGGACTATAGGCAGGCGCCACCATGCCTGGCTAATTTTTTGTATTTTTAGTAGAAATGGGCTAGGCTGGCTAGGCTGGTCTCAAACTCCTGACCTCAGGTGATCTGTCTGCCTCGGCCTCCCAAAGTGCTGGAATTACAGGTGTGAGCCACTGCCACCAGACTAAACCTCTCTGTTCTTTATAAATTACCCGGTCTGAGGTATCTCTTTATAACAATGTGAGAATGGCCTAATACAGGGAGTAACTGCATTTTCAAACTTTGTCAGCATGCAGAATGCTTCTTCCTCCAGGACAGGTGTGGGCTTTTTGTGTTCTTTACAGCTATGTGTGTGGTTTAGCTTCTCAAAGAGGGCCACCTAGAGGGTAATAGGATGACAGTAGGTAGGAATTAGAGATGGACCATTGAATGCTGAGTGGAAAAGATTCTGGGAATTCAAAATGAATGATCCCCAGTGATGGGGGAGGAGAGGAGAGGGTACATATAGACATGCCATTTGACACTCATAGACAGACATGCCATTTGACACTCACAGTCCTGGTGAGGCTGTCCCTTTTCTCCATCCCCTTCCTTAGCAAAAACTACAAAGAAAAATAAGGGACCTTCTTTGCAAATCTCTGAACCCAAACATGTCTGCAAACATAAACTATTAATAACTGATAGGTTAAAAACACTAGCTATTTTTAGATGATCTCCTCTGATCCTGATTTTGCCCTTGACCCCTCCTAATACTCATTAATTGATTCATCAGATCTTGAGTAAGGCTCTGCTCAGTAAATTGGAATTCCAAGAACGTCAGAGTTGGAGAAGGCCTGAGGAGTCCTCTTTTCTTTCCATCCACAGAGTTATCCATGATTTTTGAGCTCTATGTGTCAGGCACTACAGTAGGCAACAGGGACAAGAGGTTGTATTCGGTGAGAAATCAAAATCTCCAGTGTAGCCCCATGCTACCTTGGGGAAATTCTCACACTAAAAAGATTTTGTTTGTATCTACTCACAGAACTATAAAACAGCCTGTGTGTTTGGAGAAAGTGAGTTTGGAATGGTTGGAGCACAATATGGGAGATAACTTGCAACTTCCTGAGCAGCCCAATCTAGATAAGCTTTGACTGTTACAAAAGTTCATTTGTCCAGTTTTTCAAAATATTCCAGGTGAGGAGAAGTTACTTTTACAAAATGTTTCTATTTTTCTCCAGTAATATTCTTTTATTTTTATTTATTGTTATTATTATTTTTGAGATGGAGCTTGACTCTTGTCACCCCGGCTGGAGTGCAATGGTGCGATGTCAGCTCACTGCAACCTCTGCCTCCCGGGTTCAAGTGATTCTTCTGCCTCAGCCTCCCAAGTAGCTGGGATTACAAGCATGCACCACCACTCCCAGCAAAATTTTTTTTTGTTTGTTTGAGACAGAGTCTCGCTCTGTTGCCCAGGCTGAAGTGCAGTGGTGCGATCTCGGCTCACTGTAAGCTCCGCCTCCTGGGTTCACGACATTCTCTTGCCTCAGCCTCCTGAGTACCTGGGACTACAGGTGCCTGCCACTACACCCCGGTAATTTTTTGTATTTTTAGTAGAGACGGGGTTTCACCGAGTTAGCCAGGATGGTCTCGATCTCCCTCGTGATCCACCCACCTCGGCCTCCCAAGGTGCTGGGATTACAGGCGTGAGCCACCGCGCTTGGCAATTTTTTATATTTTTAGTAGAGACGAGGTTTCACCATGTTGGCCAGGCTGGTCTCGAACTCCTGACCTCAAGTGATCTGTTGGCCTCTGCCTCCCAAAGTGCTGTGATTACAGGCATAAGCCACTGCTCCTGGCCGTAATATTCTTCATTAAAGATTACCTTTTCTGATATTTACCACGGCTTTCTTTTGGTTAGTTTCCATGACCATCTTTTTTTAATCCTTTACTTTCATTCTTTGTCATATATTTTAAATATTTCTTATATTTCTTATAAAGCTGCATATAGTTTTACCAGCCTGACAATCTTGTCTTTCAATTGGAACATTTAGTTCACAAACATTTGGGTTTGAGTCTACCATCTAACTACTATTTCTTCCATTTTTTCTTAAGTTCTTTTCAAACCAATTATATTTTATTATTTCATTTCCTTCACCATTAACTTGAGAGTGCAGGACAGTTGTCCAGATGGCCTTGGACCAATCCAGTTCTCTCCTTTTTCTTGCTTGTCATTCTCAAGAATAACTGTAGAATGTGGTGGAAATGCAGCATCCTGAGATATGGGGGGCTGGGGCAGAAGAGCCTGGGCTCTGTTTCAGTCTCCCCAGAGAAACAGGATGTCTTTCAGTGCTTTAGCACTGAATCACAGTGAAACACAATGCCTCTGGGTATAAAACTCTGGTTGGGCTTCTTTCCAGGTTCCCTCAGCTGTGCTGCAAGTTAGACCCACACAGATGAGACTCCATCTGTCCAAGGCAGTTTTCCTGATCTTTGGGGGACTGGCTTGTGAAGAATCCTAGGCTACTGTTGTCCTTTGCTGCCTATCGATAAGTAATAAACCACTTCATGTAACTTGTGTATGAGTGTGTTCTGTCTCACCAGACTCAGATAAGGTGAAGAGTGCAGAGTGAATCTGCTTCACAGGTAGTTTTATATTCTTTTACTACTCTTTTTATAGTTATAATAATGATTACATCAATCACACCTGACATATTAAAGTCTACTACTATGTTACTTCTTCCAAGATAGTAAAGACACTATGCCTTGCTAGCCACAATGTTTTCTTAGACAGAAAGAATAAAAATAATCCGGGAATTTGTTAAAAATGAAAAATAGTTAATGCATGCTGGGCTTAATACCTAGGTAATGGGTTGATAGGTGGAACAAACCACTTTGGCACACGTTTACCTGTGTAACAAACCTGCACATCCTTCACATGTACCCCAGAACTAAAAATAAAAATTTAACTTTTCGTAAAGGATAAAAAAGACACATATTAAGTGCAATGTACACTGCTTGGGTGAAAGATACACCAAACTCTCAGAATTCACCACTAAAGAACTTATGCATGTAACCAACAACCACCTGTACCCCCAAAACTATTGAAATTTTTAGAAGAAATAGGAAAAATATGCAAAATCTCCATCCCCACCCCAGATCTATTAATCAGAATCTAACTTTTTACTTTTTCATAATTTATATATCATTTTCATGTATTTTAATTTAAATTTTTAACCCATGTGATATTGTTTAAACAGTCAATATTCATTTATATTTACCAATATACACTTATTTATACTTATTCCTTTCTGTATTTCTGACCTTGCCATTGTGTGCCCACTGTTTCTAGGCCTTTTCAATGGACAAAGACGGTTGAAAAATTTTTTTTAATATGTGGATGTGTCTATTGAGAGACAGAGAGATGAGAGAGAGACAGAGAGGGAGGGAGGGGGGAGAGGGAGAGAGAGAGAGAGAGAGGGAGATACATAAGGTCATTTGAAATAGTTCATTTCTGTATGAGCATTAACCAGCTGGATACAATTAAGTTAACGTCTTTCATTTTACATTAATAAAGTTTGCTTTGTATTTGTAAAATTTTGTTTCATGATTATTTGAAATACCTAATTCTCACATCAAATCTACAAAATAAGGAATATTCCATTATATCTAGATTCTACATCTCCAACGCACATATATTTTCTCCCTTCCTATAGCAAACTCAAAAATTTTGTTACTCCATTTTCCATAATATAAGCAAATATGCACACACAATGGCATGATCTCCCAAACTCCTTTTTCCAGATACATGATGAGAAACTTTCATGTTTTCTCCACCTTTCTTTTCTCATTTAAAAATGTATCCTGTAGATCACTTTATGGCTGAGATCTTCTTCATCTGACAGCTAACCAGTACTCCACAATGTATTAATAACAATTATTTCATTAAAAGTATTAAGATAAATTTTCTAACAATCTACAAGATAAGTCAATTTCCTTAAGAAATTAGCAAAAGGACCAAGTAGGCAGTCTCAAACCCCTTGGTCCCCACCAATCCCAACCACACACACACAAATCAAAAAACAAGCAGAAACTTTCAGAATCAACATTGTCAGAACTCTGGAAAACAATCAAAGGCTTACAGCCACCTAGTGAACATGGAATCAAGGAAAAGCTAATTTATAAATGGTTGAAAAGCTTTCTGGTATTTTACTTGCTCATGCCCCACACTCTCCTGGCTCAGCAACACTCTTGAAGAAAGCAGCCCACATTCCCAGTATGGGATCCTGTTCCCTAATACCAGAGGAAGTATAGCAGACCTTATATGCAAATTATCATACAGGTCTGTTCTAACCTGACAGGGTGATCTGAAAGAGTCATGCAAGGTGCTTATCTTAGTTGGTCTAACTGGAAAAATCACCAAGGCCAGAAACGTAGTGGGCCTTATTTGAAAACACTGCAAAGTGGATGAGCAACCCACTGACATCTAAGGCAGGAGATTAAAGTTGAGACATACAACAAACAGACCAAGGCTTAAGAGAGAAACCTGGGAAGAGAGTTTCTTAGCAATCAAAGTTACCTGTATTTATGGGGGAATTTAGAATGCCATACATATGCCAAGGGCAAGAACCATGCTCAAAAAAGACCTCAAAAGATCTTAAGTTTCACCTTGGATGAATCTCTCGTCTCAGTGAAAATCAGGCTAAGTGTTCAAGAAGGGAAGGGTCCTAGAAAAGAGCCAATCTGCAAAGCCTGAAAGAGGTACTTGTTTGCCCCCAACACTGGCTCCACCTCTGATGTTCAAGGAAATCTCTGTCAAACATGAGATTAAAAAAAAAAAAACTAAAGAACTATATATGACAAGCAATATAGACTCTGCCAAAATAGTTTGGAAATGTCACTAGACAATGGACTACTACAACCTTCAACAATAAATATAGAAAGAAAATGCAAACCCCAGGGAAGGGTGAGCATCTGATTTCCAGGGTTATCATATTCAAATGTCCAGTTTTCAACAACAAAAATCACAAGTTATATAAAGAAACAGAAAAATATGGCCTACTTAAAGGAACAAAATAAATGAACAGATGCTATCCCTGAGAAAGCCCAGGTAGTGGGCTTACTAGACAAAGACTTTAAAACAATTGTCTTAAATATGATGAAAGATATGAATATACACACCCAAGAATCTCAACAAATCCCAGCTAAGATAAACTCAGACACCCACGTTGAGGCACATTATAATCAAACTCTCAAAAATCAAAAAATATTGAAAGCAGCAAGATGAAGCAACTCCTCTTGTACAAGGGAGCCGCATTAGGATAAACAGCCAATTCCCCCGTCAGAAACTATGAAAACTAAAAGCATGTGGAATGACATATTTAAAGTGCTGAATGAAAAAGACTGACAACCAAAATTTCTATATCAGGCAAAAATAAGGGAGAAATTAGGCCATTCCAAGGTAAACAAAAACTGAGGGAGTCTGTTACCACTAGACATGTCTTGAAAGAAATACTAAGGTAGACCTTCAGGCTGAAATGAAAGGACACTGGTAATAACTCAAAACTGTGTGAAGAGACAAAGGGCTCTGATAAATGTAACTACATGAGTGAATGTAAAATCCAGCACTATGGTATTCTTAATTTATAACTCTACTTTTTGTGTCCTACAGCAGCATTCCCAAACCTTTTTGGCATCAGGGACTGGTTTTGTGGAAGGCAATTTTTCCATGGACCAGGGATGGGGATGATTTTAGGTGAAACTGCTCCACCCCAGATCATCAGGCATTAGATTCTCATAAAGAGCATACAACCTAGATCCCTCGCATGCCCAGTTCGCAATAGGGTTCATGCTCATAAGAATCTAATGCCACCACTGATCTGACAGGAGGTGAAGCTCAGGAGGTAATGCTCACTCGCCTACCACTCACCTCTTGCTGTGTGGCCCAATTCCAAATGGGCCATGGACCAGTACCAAGGGTTGAGGATCCCTGCTGTACATTATTTAAAAAACAAAAGCATAAAAATAATTATAGATCTATGCTATTGGGCATAAAATGTATAAAGATATAATATGTCACAACAGCAACATAAAGAGAACAAAGTTTTTTTATTATTATACTTTAAGTTCTAGGGTACATGTGCACAATGTGCAGGTTTGTTACGTATGTACACATGTGCCATGTTGGTGTTCTGCACCCATTAACTCGTCATTTACATTAGGTATTTCTCCTAATGCTATCCCTCCCCCTCCCCACACCCCACGATAGGCCCTGGTGTGTGAAGTTCCCCACCCTGTGTCCAAGTGTAAAGGGAACAAAGTTTTTGTATGCTATTGAAGTTGATGTCAATTCAAACTAGACTGTTACAAATTTATTATGATAAATGTAATCCCCATTGTAGTCACCAAGACAATATTTAAAAAAATAAAAGAAACTGAAAAAGGAAGCAAAACAATTCATTTAAAAATATCAACTAAACACAAAAGAAAATAATAATAGAGAAAATGAGGAACAGAAAAAAGGATTTATCCATTTGGAAGACAGATATCAAACAAGCAGAAGTCCTTCTTTAACAAAAGTTACTTCAATTGTCAATGGATTAAAATTCATTAATGAAAAGGCAGTGGTTGGCAGAATGGATTTTTAAAAAATTATTCAATTATATTCTGTCTACAAGAGACCCACTTTAAATCTAAAGACACAAATAGGTTAAAGTGAAAGGAAGGAAAAGAATATTCCATGCTAATGGTAACCAAAAGAGACCTGGGGTAGCTATACTAGTACCAGGCAAAACTGACTTTATGTCTAAAAAAAATTACAAAAAATAAAGACATTCTATATTGATAAAAAAGTAAATTCATCAAGAAACTACAAAAATTATAAATATATATGCACCAAACATAGCTTCAAAATATATAAAGCAAACACTGACAGAATTGAAGGGAAAAATAATTTTACAATAATAGTTGAAGGCTCCAATACACCACTTTTATTAATGAGAACATCTAAACAGTTGGCCAATAAAGTAGTAGAGGATTTGAATAACACTATAAACCCATTAAACCTAACAAACATATATAGAACACTCCACCCATCAACAGCAGAACACACATTCTTCTCAAGTGCATATGGAACATTGTCCAGAATAGACTATGTTGGGCCAAAAAGTAACTCTTAATAAATTTAATAAAGTCAAAATCAAAGTATCTTCTTTGATCACAATTTAATGAAATTGGAAGTCAATGTAATGAATATGGAAAAACTACAAATGTGTGAAAATTAACACATCCCTCTAAAACCAATGAGATAAAGAAAAAAAATCAAAAGGTAAACTAGGAAATACTTAGAAAGTAATAAAGATAAACACACACACACACACACACATACACACAATACCAAAATTTAGAGGATGAAGCACAGGCAATACTCAGAAGGAACCTTATAACTGCATATACCCATATAAAGAGAAAAATCTCCAACCATTAATCTAACTTTATACTTTGAGGAAACAGGAAAAAACTAGCAGGAAGGGGGAAAGAATGAAGATCAGAGTAGAGATAAATGAAATAGAGAATAGAAAAACAACAAAATCAACAAAACCAAAAGTTGTTTATTTGAAAAGATAAATGAAATTATAAGCCTTTAGTTAAGACTGACAAAAAGCAAAGCAGCAAATAACTAAAATTAGAAATAAGAGTAGAAACATTACTATCAATCTTACAAAAATAAAAAGGATTATCCCAAATTTACAAAAATAAAAAAGATTATAATAATATGAACAATTGTATACCCATAAGTTAGATAACCTAGATGAAAAGAACCAATTCCTAGAAACACAAATTGCCTAAACCAACTCAAGAAGAAATGAATAATCCCAACAGACCTGTAGTAAGAAATTGAATCAGTAATTAAAACACTCCCAGTATGGGCGCGATGGCTCATGCCTGTAATCTCAACACTTTGGGAGGCCAAGGCAGGTGGATCACGAGGTCAGGAGATCGAGACTATCCTGGCTAACACAGTGAAACCCCATCTCTACTAAAAATACAAAAAATTAGCCGGGCATGGTGGCACGCGCCTGTCGTCCCAGCTGCTCGGGAGGCTGAGGCAGGAGAATCGCTTGAACCCGGGAGGCAAAGGTTGCAGTGAGCTGAGATAGTGCCACTGCACTCCAGCATAAGTGACAGAGCGAGATTCCATCTCAAAAAAAAAAAATTTAAAAAATTTAAAAAGCATAGGACCACATGGATTTGCTGGTCAACTCTCTAAATAAATAAATAAGAATGGAAAATAATCCTTCCCAAACTCCTCCAAAAAATAGAATAGGAGGCAGCAATTCCTAACTCATTCTAAGAGGTAAGCATTGCCCTCTCATGCCCACTTTCACTGCTGTTACTCAATATTGTACTGTAAATTCTAGGCAGAAAAAGTAGACGTAAAAAAGATATAAAAGGCTGACATAGTTTGGATATTTGTATCCTCCAAATCTCATGTTGAAGCATTATCTCCAGTGTTGGAGGTGGGGCTGGTGGGAGGTGTTTGTGTCACAGAGGCAGATCCCTCATGAAAGGCTTGGTGCTCTCCCCATAGTAATATATTCACATGAGATATGGTTGTTAAAAAGAGTCTGGGAACTTCTCCCTCTTTCTTGCTCCCTCTCTTGTCATATGACATGTCTGCTTTTCCTTCACTTTCCACCATGATTGGGAGCTTCCTGAGGCCTTCACCAGAAGCAGATGCTGGTGACATATTTCTTGTACAGTCTACAGAACCATGATCCAAATAAACCTCTTTTCTTTATAAATTACCCAGCCTCAACTATTGCCTTATAGAAATACAAAATTGACTAATCAGAAAATTGGTACCAAGGAGTGGGGCATTGTGATAACAACGCCTGCAAATGTGGAAGCAGCTTTAAAGCTGGGTAGTAGGCACAGGTTGGAATAGTTTGGAGGGCTCAGAAGATGACAGGAAGACAAAGAAAGTTTGGAACTTCTTAGAGTCTGTTTAAATGATTGTAACCAAAATGCTAATAGAAATATGGAGAGTGAATGCTGGACTGATGAAGTCTCAGATGGAAATGAGGAACTTACTGGGAACTGGAGCAAAGATTGCTCTTGTAATGCCCTAGCAATGAACATCGCTGCATTTGCCAATGCCCTATGACTTTGCAGAAGACTGAACTTGAGTGATGACTTAGGGTATCTGGTGGAAGAATTTCTAAGCAGCAAAGCATGCAAGATTTGGTGTGCTAGCTTCTCATGGCCAGTGATCAGATATGGGAGCACAGAAAGAACTTACAGTTGGAACTTATCATTAAAAGGGAAGTAGAGCATAACAATTTGGGTAATCTATACCCTGGCCATGTGGTAGAGAAGGAAAGAGCATTTCCAGGTGAGGAATTTGAGCAAGCAACCATTGCTAGAGATATTAGCATGAATAAATGGGAGTCATGTCCTAATAGCCAAGACGATTTTAAAAAAGGTCTCAAGGCATTACAGAAATATCTGAGGTGGCCCTTCGCATCACAGGCCCAGAGGCCTAGGAGCAAAGAATAGTTTCAGGGGCCAGGCCCAGGGTCCTGCTGCTCTTTGCCACTTTGGAGAGATGTTCCCTGCATTCTGGTTGTTCTAGATACAGCCAAAGCTCAAAGGGACCCAGGTACAACTCAAGGTGCCATTCTGGAAGGCACAAGCTATAAGTCTTGGAAGAATCCACATTGTGTTAAGTCTGCAGGTGTGCAGAATCCAAGAGTGGAGGAGGTTTGGCAGCTTCCACCTAGATCTCAGAGGATGTATCAGAAAGCCTAGGTGCCCAGGCAGAAGCCTGCTATAGGGGCAGAGGGTTCATAGGAAACCTCTACTAGGACACTGCCAAGGGAAAATGTGGAGTTGGAGGCTCCACACACAGTCCTCACTTGGGCATTGCCTCGTGGAGCTGTGGGAAGGGGTCCACTGCCCTCCAGACCCCAGAATGGTAGAGTCAGCAGCAGTGTGCACCTTTAACTTGAAAAGCTGCAGACAATGGACTCCAACTCATGACAGCAGCCACATAGGCTGCACCAGCAAATCCACAGGGGTAGAGCTGTCTAAAGCCTTGGGGACCCACCCCTTGAACCAGTGTTCCCCGGATGTGAGCCATGAAGTCAAGAATTATTTTGGAGCTTTTAGGTTTAATGTCTTCCCTGCTGGGTTTTGGACTTGCTTGCCAAGTCTGTTGCCCCTTTCTTTTGGCCAATGTCTCTTTCAGAATGAGAATGCTTACTCAATGCCTGTATCACCATTGCATCTTAGAAGTAAATAACTTGCTTTGATATTACAGACTCATAAGTGGAAGGAACTTGCCTTGAGTCTCAGATGAGACTTTTGACCTTCAAGTTGATACCAGAATGAGTTAAGACTTTTAGGGACTATTGCGAAGGAATGATTACATTTTGCAATGTGAGGAGGACATGAGAGTTGGGGACCCAGGGGCAGAATTATATAGTTTAAATATTTAGATTTCAACTCCAAATCTCATGTTGAAATGTGATCTCTAATGTTGGAGGTGGAACCTAGTGGGAGGTGTTTGGGTCATGGGAGCAGGCCCCTCATAAGTGGCTTGGTATTCTCCCCACTGTAATGATTTCATACGAGATCTGGTTGTTAAGAAGAGTCTGAGACCTCCTCCCTCTTTCTTGCTCCCTCTCTTGCCATGACACACCTCCTATCCCTTTGCCTTCCACGATAACTGTAAGCCTCCTGATGTCCTCACCAGAAGCAGATACTGGTATTATGCTTATTGTACAGCCTGCAGAGCCATGAGCCAAATAAACCTCTATTTGTTAGAAATTACCCAGCCTGAGGTAATTCTTCCTAGTAATGCAAAACAGACTAATACAAAGCATCTCAATTTGAAAGGAAGAAGTAAAACTACCTCTGTTTGCCTATGATATAATCCTATATATTGAAAATCCCAACGAATCCACAAGATAGATACTGGAGTTAATAAGTGAATTTAGCAAAGCTGCAGGTTATAAGATCAATAAATAAAAATCAATTGTTTCTATACACTAGTAATGAACAAACAAAAAAGGAAATTAAGAAAGCAATTCCATTTACAATAGCTTCTAATATTCCAAGGAATAATAAGGAATAAATTTAACCACAGGTGTGAAAGACAATACACAATAAATTACAAAACATAATTGAAAAAAATTAAAATAGCATAAATGGACATTCCATGATCATGGATTGTAAAACCCAATATGGTTAAGATGGCAATGTTACCCAAAAGACCTGTGGGTTCAATGCAATCCTTATCAAAATTGCTACAGTATTTTTGTAGAAATGAAAAGGCTAATCTTAAAATTCATTTGGAATTGCAATGGGGCCCCTGACAGCCAAAATAATCCTGAAAAAAACACTGGAAGATTCACAATCCCCAATTTCAAAACTTACTACAAAGCTCCAGTAATCAAAATAGTGTAGTAGTGGCATAAGGCTAAACATATAGACCAGTGGAACAGAACTGAAGTCCAGAAATAAACCCACAAACTTATGGCCAATTGGTTTTCCTCAAAGGTGCCAAGTTGATTCAATGAGAAAAAGAAAATTTCTTCAACACATAGTGCTGAGACATACAGTAGGTTTCCAGATACAAAATAATGAAGTTAGAGCCCTATTTCACACACAATTACGATGACTATTAGGGAAAAAAAGAGAAGAGAACAAGTGTTGATGAGGATGTGGAGAAACTGCTGATAGGAATGTAAAATGGTGCACTCATTATAGAAAACAGTTTAGTGGTTCTTCCAAAAGTTAAACAGAGAGTTACCATATGACCCAGCAATTCCTACATATATAACCAGAAGAACTGAAAATAAAGACTCAAATACTTGTACTACAATTAAACATTATTCACAATAGCCAAAAGGTGGAAACAATCTAGTGTCTATGAATAGATAACTGCATAAACACAATGTGATATATACTTAGAATATTCAGCCATAAAAAGGAATGAACTGCCAAAACACGTTACATGAGTGAACCTCGAACACAGTATGCTAAGTAAAACAAGCCAGACATGAAAGGAGAAGTAGGTTGATTCCACCTTTATGAAATATCTAAACCAGGCAAATTCATAGAGACAGGTTACATTGCTAGAAGTTGGGGAAGGGAAAGAATGGGGAATTACTGCTTAATGGGTACAGAGTTTATATTTTGGGTGACTGAAAAGTTTTGGAAATACTAATAGTAATGACCAACACTGTGAATAAAATAAATATCACTGGATCGTACACTTAAAATAGTAAAACTTCATAATTTGTTATGCAGATTGCATAATAAAAAATACACCAGCAAAATAAATAAATGCAGAACACACTAAAAGAAAAAAAGGAAAAGAAATTGCCAAAACAGCTTTAATTTTCCATTGGAGGAATATGAAATAATACCCATAGATTTCTTTTTTGAAAGAGTAATAAAAAGGAACATGTTTCACTAGACATTAATTTAGTAATTTGAAATGTGGCACTAGACAAAGGTAAGAGAATTTTTTACACAGAAAATATACAGAATTAGAACTATTACAATAGTGGATTTCAAATCTATAAAAAATGACTTGGCTGTTTAATAAATAGCATAGGCAGAAATAAAAGAAAATAAAACTACATCACAATGAATTCCTAGTGAAATAAATCTCAAAGCCTAATTAAAATGAGAGATTAAAATATGTAAATATTGGAGACTTCCATTTCTAGGAAATAAAATAGACATACTTTTCCCTATCCCTCCCACTAAATACAACTAAAACACCTAAACATCATATTATAAAACCAACATAAGACTCTCAATAAAAAATAAATAAGTCAAGGAACTTCGGAACCTAAGGAACATGGTTTCCCTGGGTTTTCTTGTTCTCTCATGTATATCAGACTAAGAAAACTACAAAGTTTTCAAAACCAGTGGTCCTCAACTTTTTTGGCACCAGGTACTGGTTTTGTAGAAAACAATTTTTCCATGGACAAGGGTAGGCGGGCAGGGAGGAGATGGTTTTGGGATGAAACCGTTCCACCTCAGATCAGCAGGCATTAGATTCTCCTAAGGAGCCAGCAGCCTAGATGTTTCACGTGCACAGTTCACAGTAAGGTGTTCGCTCCTATGAGACTCTAATGCTGCTGCTGATCCGACAGGAGGCGGAGTTCAGGCGGTAATGCTCACTGGCCAGCTGCTCACCTCCTGCTGTGCAGCCTGATTCCTGACAGGCCAAGGACCAGTACCTGTCCATGGTAAAATGATCCCTCCACCAAGACATGACAATCCTAAACGTGTATGCATCTGTGCTGATTAACATTAGGTGTCAACTTGAAGGATACGTAACTGGCTGGTAAAGTGTTTCCGGGTGTGTCTGTGAAGGCATTGCCAGAGGAGACTGACATTTGTGTTGGTGGACTGGGAGAGGAAGACCCACCCTCAATATGGGGGAGCACCATCCAGTCAGCTGCCAGTGCGCCTAGAACAAAGCGGGTGGAAGAAGATGGGATAAGCTTTGCCTGCTGACTTTTCTGGCTGCCTTCTTTCTCCCCTGCTGGATGCTTCCTTTCACTTGTCCTGCCCCTGGACATTGGACTTCAGGTTCTTCCGCCTTTGGACTCTGTGACTTGTACCAGTGGCTTACCATGGGCTCTTGGGCTTTGGCCACAGACTGAAAGCTGCAGTCAGTTTCCCTGGTTTTGAGGCTTTCGGACTTGGACAGAGCCGATATCAGCTTCTCTCTTCCCCAGCTTGCAGACGGCCTATAGTGGAACTCCATCTTATAATCATGGGAGTCCATTCTTCCTAATAAACTCCTTCATATTTATATATCCTATTAATTGTCCCTTTGGAGAACCCTGCTATATACATATATATACATACACACATACACATATAGAGTATCAAATGACAGCTGCAAAATATGTGAAGCAAAAATTGATAACAACTGAAATAAAAAAATAGGCAAATCCAGAAGTAGAGGCTTCAACACCTCTCTTGGCAACTGATGGAATAACTAGACAGAAATCAGTGAGGATATAGAAAAACTTAACAATACCATTGACCAAGATCTAATCAACATAAAGATAGCCCCTGACTATATGACAATGGTGTTACATCTGGATAAATGTAATCTGAATATGATTACAAAAATGAGGAGGGGGTTACATCTGGATAAATCCATCATAAATTGAAAATATTAAGTTGAAAAGGCACTTTCAACTTAATCAGTTTATGTAGACATAACCCCAACATAAGTCAAGGAGAGTGAGTATATAGAACACTCCACCCAACAGCAACACATGTGCTTTTTAGTGCTTATGGAACATATACTAAAATAGGCAATATCCCAGGCCATAAAACAAACTTCAACAAATTTAATGAAATTGGAATCATGCAGAATCAAACTAGAAATGGGAGATTTTTAGAAGATATCAGGAAAATTCTTCTGGAGCAATTGAACATGCAGGCAAAATATGTAAACCTTATCCTAAACCTTCACACTTTATACAAAAATCCACTCCAAAATGGAGAAAATTTTCAGGATGTTGGGCTAGAGAGCTCTCAGGTTTGGCACCAAATAATAATCCATAAAAGAAAAAACTGATATACACCAATTGGTACTGTCCAGGCCAGAAAAGTCCATTTTCATATATACATAAACCCTTATAGAGTCAATGACAGATTTACCTGTGTTTGAGAGCCCCTGCAGCCTGGTCAGGGATGTGAGGGAATGAGGGATGGACAGGTCAGCAGGAAAGGTTTCAAAAAGATTAGGCACAAAGAGCACTGCTAGTGATGGCAAAGATCAGGTAATGACACAAAATACTTTAAAGTGGCAGGCATACTTAAGGGTATGTTATGATCTACATGATCAAAACCAAATTTGCATCATTAGGCTGAGGAATCGATAAGAAAAGTGGGTGTGTCCTGGAAGTATGGTATGCAAGACATACTAGTGGAGTTAATTTACAAGAACATCCGAAGACCATTTGAGGAAAGAGGCTCAAATTTCAGCCTTGGGAATAAAACATAGAGATGGGTATTGGTTAGAAAAACACATAACAAGTTAATGACAATCTACTGGATGTGGAGACAGAAGTAGCAAAATACTGCAGTAAAGAACAAAAGATCATGGTTGTCTTTCATGATGGAATGCCTAGGAAGTCTTTGTGATTTTACAGGACCCAGCAGTGAATAAAGCTGCTCTCTTCCTGGCAACATCTTAAAAGAAACCAGCAGCCGTTGACCGCAGGAATCCTCAAATGTTATACTTGAAGTAGTGCTTCAGGCAAGTGAACTGAGGTACAGCAGGATAAATGATGTCCCAAGGTCCTG
This sequence comes from Homo sapiens, assembly GCF_000001405.40. NCBI lineage: Eukaryota > Metazoa > Chordata > Mammalia > Primates > Hominidae > Homo > Homo sapiens. The sequence continues at coordinate 191,399,984 of NC_000003.12, read as the reverse complement.
AAACAAGCTCATAGCAAAACCTGGACTAGGACCCCGTATCTCATTCCTGTAGATTTCTTTAGTACACTGATTTCGCAGCAGCCTTTAGTTTATGTTCGTTCATTTAAGCATGATACCCAAACACAATGGAGGAGGGGCATTGGTCTTCCTGCCCTTGAAATGGGGGCAAAATTGTCTTGAAACCATGGTTCTAGGATTTGTAGTAGTCCAAAACCCTCTTAAAGGTTTCACCAAATTTCGAAGGTGTGCGAGGTAGATAGTGGTCTCTTAGCTGTTGTAAGAAGGAACTGGCCAGGCGCGGTGGCTCATGCCTGCAATCCCAGCACTTTGGGAGGCCGAGGCAGGCGGATCATGAGGTCAGGACATCGAGATCATCCTGGCTAACACGGTGAAAACCCATCTCTACTAAAAATACAAAAAAATTAGCCAGGCATGGTGGTGGGCACCTGTAGTCCCAGCTACTTGGGAGGCTGAGGCAGGAGAATGGCGTGAACCCGGGAGGCGGAGCTTGCAGTGAGCCGAGATCGCGCCACTGCACTCCAGCCTGGGCGACAGAGCAAGACTCTATCTCAAAAAAAAAAAAAAAAAAAAAAAAAGAAGGAACTTTCTTGTATGCTACCTTTTCACATGGCCACATGGCCATAGCCTGACAATCAGACTCAAGTCATATTCCCCATAAACCACCCTATCACCTTGAGTACCTCTTACCACAGATTAAAGGGATCTGTTTTACTTGCATATTTAATTTTTTAGTTGGCTTCTAGATGCATCAACTTTTTCCACTGGCAACTTTAGTATTTATTTAGAGACCAAAGGTTGAAATCAACATACTAATCTTCAACTAAATAAAACAGTATCACCTGCACATCACTGGTACTACTCAGGATCTAGCAGAGACTACAGAAATCATTTAGATTTCCTGCTATATTTGCCACAGAGGAATCTGAGGCCTAGAGAATCTACTGTAGGGGTGGCTAAATAGTGACATCTTTAAAAATAAATTTAGTAGTCATTGAAAATATTATATTTAAGATACCTAATTTTTGCAGAATCATTTCCTACATTGTGGCTATTCTATCAAACCAAATAAGAAAAAAAAAATTCTTATGAAGGTAAAATATTGAATAAATCAGTTATTAATATCCATTTCTCAAAATACATTGAAGTGTCCACAAGGTGTCAGGTATAGTGCAGAGTTGTGCATGGGGTCTTTAATCACTGGAATTATTGTGTGAACATCCACTTACCTGTTTTTTTTCCTCCCAAATATATCAATCAAACCACGAAACACCACACACAAAACAAAGCTACTTCTCCAACTGATCCACACTTGGCAGTATTTATTGAGGATTTCAATACACCAGGCATCATTATCATGTTATACATATTTACAGAAAGTGTATGGAAATGGAGTAAGAAAAAATTTCACTGTTACTAAACAGACCTATTAGGGTCATTTTGTAAATAATAATAATTATAATAAGACTCTCGTAAGTTTCCCTGTCCTTGAATGCTGTAAAGAAACAAAACAAAAACATGAGACAGAGACCACTGACTTAACAAATGGATGACTTTATTAAGAGAGAAGGACAAGACTGATGTTTACCTTGGTCAAACCATCCAGGAAAACAAAGCACACAGACTTATAGAATACTTTGGTTTAAAAATTATTCATAATATCAATATTAAACCTGATGTTTAAAGAACCTAATGAGAAATATAGTGTAAAAAACAAACCATGAAAACACAAGTTTGCATAGATGAATTAATGTAGATGTACAATTGGCATTTAAAAAAGGAGGTTTGCGTTTTGGGAGTGCCTTAACGATGTTGAACACCTCAACCTCCCAAGACACATGAAAGTCACCAGCACCACAATTCTCATTTTCCTCAATGAGGTCATGAGCAGGAACAACTTGTGCTGTACGGAGGTGAACTGAAAGAGACTGCTTCCATTGGCCTAGTCCAGATGAGTGTATATATTCCCATCAGAACCCACCACTGGTCATCTTTAAGGCATCCACAAAATGTCCCTCACAAATTCACTTAATCTCTAGATAGGCATGTGGTCTGAGGCAGCCTCTTTGTTTTCTGTCCTCACACAGGCAACTGCATTCCATCAAGGTTCTGTTCAATTCCACGAACTAGCTATTTCAAAGCTGCCTATTCTTCTGGGGCTTGGTTATAAATCCATGTGGATTTGGAATAACAATCCATTTGTTTTATAAATATATCCACATTCCAAATATCAAAGGGGCACTTCCTAAGGAATCTGAAAGTGCCCAGGCAATGCGTAGTCTCTCTCTCAAGAGATCACGTTTCTAAATTATGAGACAAATGATAGCATCACCTCAGGTTTCCTGGGCAACTTGATTTATATGAGCAAACTCTTGTACTTTTTAATTCAGCACCTTTTCAAAATATGTGCTGGGATGGATTCTTCTTAGGGAAAGCCCCATATAGAATTCTCATTTTGGAGCATCATTTTTATATGCTATCTCCCCAGTGTATCTTCTCAATATTTATAACACTTTATGAAATAAATATTGGGTTGCCTGTAAGAAGAGAAAAATATAGCTCTTTCTGAGAAAGAGCATTTGGCTTGCAGTTTACAGCAAGAGCTGAAATTAGAGACCATAGGGATTTCCAAGACCAATTTGACCAGAAATACAAAAATTCTGATGTCAAAAACCCTCTCACAAAATTTAACAGGTAGAAATTATTTTAGCAGTATAGCCTGAAATCCAGTGCAACAAAAATGTATCCCAATTCTATGATATGTCATAGTATGTTCTCTTAGCTGTCTTCCCTTACTTGTTCTTACTCCTTACTTGATCTTTTGGGAAGAAAATGTCGCCCAAACCCATCTTTCAATTTTTCTATTCTTTATATGAACCTCAGCAATGAATAACAGGGCATTAAGTTACACAATTAATTATGCCCTTATCTGAAATGCTGAAACCTGCACAGTGCTGGTTCTCTATGCTATGAAGTTAACTCAAAAAGAGAAAAAACATTTTCTTCTAGTTTGCTGAGAATGTACAAATGCATCTTAAATCTATTAAAATGTTACTAGGCAGTGTTCACATATTTATATATATAAGGGAAAGAGAATGGTTTTTAGGGCCATATATTTCTACAACTCAACATGATTACACGATTGTGTTAGCCTGTGGCATCAAACAGAATCACCACTCTGGTGTCTTTCTTATCAAAGCAAAAGTTTTCCTGCTTTTCTCTTATAAGTAATAAAACAGAAACACTCTTCACATTAGCAAACCTCCCATTTCAAGTAAATGTCTCTGTTTTGTTCGGTTTTCTCCTTTTTTTTCCCTGTTAATGGTTAAGCATTTCAATACACAAGGGTGTTGGTGAAATTCTTACAAATAATCTGAATGTCTTCACTGCATAACAGAACCTTTGGAAATATCTTCTATGTAGTCACCATAGAAGACAGTCAACTCTCAGTTACTCAAGAAGTGGTACCTGGTATGAAGGATTTGGCCAAGAAATTCTCTCCTTCTACCAGTCTTTTTGGTCATGCCACTGCTTATTCAGAGGTGGACAGACAACATGAAATAAAATTATGTATTTATTGTGTTACAGATCAGCCACAAGTCAGTGGCAGAAAAGGTCCAAAGCTTCTGATGACAAGGATACTTGGGGATCATCTGTGAATGTTATATCTCAATGGAAAGCTGACTGTCAGTCACATAAAGGAAGTAACGTACACTGACATCAGTCAGAGTCAAACTAATTTAAGGCAGTACTGCTCCTCACAAACAGTGCTGGCATAAAGTGCAGGTCTCATTGTAAAAGTGACTCTGTAGTAGTAAGATTTTCTCAGTTTACTCTTTCTTTCTTGACTTCTCTACAATTAAATTTCAGCATTTCTAATGACAGTTGTTAAATACCAGGAGCAACAATATCCTGACTCTTTAATATTCTTACCTCTCGCCATGGATAAAAGAGATTCTTCCACCAATAATTTGAAAGACATTGTGCCCCATGCAGCATTAACAGGACAGTCTCCAGTTTGCTTCTACCTGCCCATATTACTTATCATGGGCTAAAAAGAAAAAAAGTATTCTATCAACAGTAAGATAAGCAGATATGGCTTTAAGACTCACAGGCACCACCAGAAATGAGAAAATTGGACCATTTTATATAGTCACTTCTCTATGAGCAGTAAGTAATAGACAAAGTAATTTAAAAATCTTTTTTCCTTTTTGCTGAAGCATGAGGTTTTGATTTTGTTATGATCGTTTCAACAGAATATGGCACTCTATGTACAATGAAGTCTACCTTAGCACTCCTTACACAAATACCGTCTTCTCAAAAGGGAAAAAGCCTTTGGCTGCAAGTTCTATTCTATTATCAGTCCTTCAGAAAGCTGTTTACACAGAGATCTCACTCCTTTATTAGGGTGAAGATTTTACAGCCAATCATCATAGTTATCTTTCAAGAAAATAATCACTGAATAATGAATCATCTTGGTATTCCCCAAAGCGATGCTTATACAAAGGCAAGACATAAAAAATCTAGGACTTAAAATGTTAACCACTTGTGGAGTAAACTGAATGCACCATATTATAGTGGGTATTTCCAATTTGGCACAACACAAATTTTAGACAAGTTTTGACAGAAACTATTAAAGAAAATTAATAATCAGTTAAAAGCTAATTATTTTTATACTGAAAAGTTCTAACTTTGAGAGAAAGTGATGAGCAACAGTCAGCAAAGAATTTACTCATCATCTAGCTCAGCTTCAGGACACATTAGAGAAGAAAAGCGGGGTTAATGAATCAGGTCCAGAATTTTCTAGAGTGAGTTCAGTAAACACAAAGCCCAAGGTCACACATTTTGGAATATGTTGACCTAGATCCAAGTGGTCATTGCCATTCTAAAAAGGTTTTCCTCCTAAAAGCATCTATCCATATCTTTCTTTTCTAATTTAGCTATTTCTCTATCATCAGAACACCTAGGGTTAATTTTCATTTTCTGCTTTTGTAATTTATTGGTATGCTGCTGCTGGTTGTAAAGTAACTTGGGAAATAGCAATTCAATAGTATGTAAAGCCACTTTCTGAAAATCACAATGTTCCCTTAAATACATGTAAAGCAACTGTCTAGTCCCAAAATAAAATACTTATGTCTAATAAAATACTTACGTCTAACAGTGGTTTGAACGCAAAAGTCAAATATTTTTCAAGTCAAAACATTTAATTTGACTCTTATCTAACTTTACTTCCAAACAATGATTTATAAAATGTGGAGGAGAGTGGGTGTCTATGTCAAGCAGCCTTATGATAAGGCTCCGTCATATATTGTGCTTATTCAACAATACTGGTGTTAATGAGGCCTGGCCTCCAAAGGACAAAGATACAGAAACAGAAAGGTTTTCCCAGGCCAGAAGTATTAGTTTACATCACAACATTAAAGCATAATACACTGTGGGCCTAAAAATTAAACTGCATGTGTTCTAGCAGCAGGAACAACAACAACAACAACAAAATGCTTTCACATTTATATAAAAATGACAAAGTAAAAAGCAGAGAACACAGTGAAAAGTGTCTGGCAGTTCATTAAAATACAGTTGAGTTGCTTCTATAGTCTCAAACATTATTATATTATTTGAATGAGAAAGAGTATGAGGATTTAACTGGCTGAATTTCATTTCTATCTCCTTATTCATAGGGTAATAATTACTCTGATATTATTTTAAAAGTGTTTGCTTTACACAAAAATAAAATAAACATAAAATATTTTAAAATTGTAATCTTTTAAAAACCTTTAAAAAAAGTAACAAATTTTCAATAAAGATGTTGAATTAGCTATCACAAGGTGATAGCTTACTTGGTCACTTACTAAAACAGCTGAAACACTAACATTCCTGGTAAGTGTTAAGTGGTCCGACTTTTTTTTGAATGCAGTATCTCCAGTTAACATTTTACAATAATAAATAACTGGATGAAGTACATGAGAGGCAAGAGAAATGCAGAATTTTTAAAGTAAAACTGATCATTGTATGAGATAGAAAAATAAATATTTATGAAATAAAAAATGGCAAATGATTTTGCCTAGTTATCAAATAAAAATACATTGTTTTTTTCCTTTAAAATTACAATAAAAAAACTTTGAAGGACACGAAGCGAAATCACAGGGCAGATAAAGAAAAATATAGCATTACTATAAGTAAACAAGGCCTAAGCTTTGGATATTGAAAGCACTATCTGGAATTTGACTTAAGGCCAGGACCTTCCATTTTGTCTCCCCTTCCTTATTTAAATGGAGGTTTTTCTTTACCCATTTTATCACAGCTATAAAAAGTCCTGTTATTTTCCTTTTCCTCCATTTCTCCAAAATGACTACATAAAGTAGGGATGTAGATTATCTTTCTGATTAACATTTGCCCAAAACTTAACTCAGATGATTTTACTTAAATTCCTATAATATACAAACTTCATTGAAACTACAAATCTTTCTCAAATGAGAGACCCAAATCCACTCTGAGAAACTGTTCTAAATAGCTGCCTGAATATTGCCCAACTTTAAAGACTATCTGAAAAGATAAGGCAAACAGAAGGCAATTCACAGTGGGAAAAAAATTAACATTTTTCTCTAGTGACCTACATATTTTTTCCCTAAACAAATGCCATATTGAAATGCCAAGAATTTCATATTTATACAATGAAAAATAATAGCAAGTCAAGCTGAAGGGATATATATATGTGTACATGGGGGGGAGACAGAGAGAGGGAGAACAAGTGAGCTTGATTGCCATTTGTCAACTAAGTAGTATGGGAAAATAAGGGAAAATAAATATTGCAGTAAGGTTAGCAGCTACACAAAGACTAAATTTCTTGAAGAGGTGCTTAAAGGTCTTGTACAGAGGAATACAATCCCTTGCACAAAGGAATACAAATGTTTAAAACCAAATACTTGGCTGGCTGGACATGGTGGCTTAAGCCTGTAATCCCAGCACCTTGGGAGGCCAAGGCAGGTGGATCACTTGAGGTCAGGGGTTCGAGACCAGCCTGGCCAACATGGTGAAACCCGCTCTTTACTAAAAATACAAAAATTAGCCGGGTGTGGTGACACATGCCTGTAATTCCAGCTACTTGGGAGGCTGAGGCAGGGGAATTGCTCCAGCCCAGGTGGCGGAGGTTGCAGTGAGCCAAGATTGCACCACTGCACTCCAGCCTGTGTGACAGGGCGAGACTCCAACTCAAAAAACAAAACAAAACAAAACAAAAACCAAATACTTGGATAGATGACCACTTCATCAAATTCAACTTCATGTTGAATTAATTTAATTACTGGCATGTAAACCAAACATTATTGAGAGGTTATCAACAAATACTGCTCTGACTTGAAGCAAGAGAAAAGCCTCAGTCTACAGCCAGAGAGAAGGATGGCATCATTACTTATGCAATCATCTTTCAATTCCATTTCCTTGGCTCTACAAGTAAATGAAAAAGAAGAGATGGAATACAAAGTTTTTCATATATATGAGTTAAAATTTCAGAGAACTAAATTTTTGTCAATAAATACTAATAAATGTTCCATTGCCCAGGAGCTTAGGAAAGCCTTGCTACTGAGGCAAAAGCAGAGGAAGTGTTAAAGAATGCTATCTAGGCCAATCTCCCCAGGAGGGCTGAGAAATGCAAAACCTCTACAGTCCATCTAGTCAGAATAACATATTTCAATTGCTCCAAGTGTTTCTTTTTTTAAAATACTTTATGGTTGTGCTTTTCTTAAAGAATACAAAAAGCAAAGGCTCTGTCCTTCAAAATATCATACATTAATGCAACAAAAAGCTATTTCTTATATTCTTTTATTCTGCGTTGCATCCAAACATTGTTTCACTTTGATCATTCATCTCCATAAAATTTGAATTGCTAAATAAGGCCTACTCCCTAGATACCAAACTCCATACCTAACAAAATGGCAGTTTACAAAGGTCTTAGATACTATATCCCAAGAAGTATATGCAGCATAGAGGTGGCCAATATTCAGAAGCTACATTTTCTTATACTGCCCAAGTGATCATGAATAACCAAAACATTTGAAATGAATTAAAATTACTTATGGTCAGAAATGCACTTGAGGATAAATCCCAGGAATGCAAACACAGGAGAAAAAAAGTAAGTGTAGAATTCATTCTGTATCACCCAGTAATATTTGCTATAGTGAGTCCATTTTCAAGGCAGATTCCTAGGTTTTTAATGTTTGTAATGAAAACCTGGGGAGGGGAAGAAAAAAGGAAACACAATTAAGGAAAAACCTTTGAAACTCAAACAGCTTTTTCTCCCTGCCCAAGTAAAATAACTTTATTTCTATACATTTCTAATAGTACTTTATTCTTGATTGTGACATATATACAGAATCAATGTGTTAGTTTAGTATTATGCATCAAATGTATGTCAAAGACAGTAAGGTACTCCCCAAAAGGTGATACATGTAGTTTGAGAAAGAAAAATATGAGCTACTTCGTTAAATCGGGAACAGTGAAAATGCCACCAACTGATGGAAGTTGAGGTGGGATGTGTTGATGAAGATGTTTATAATGTCCAACTAACCTTACTTTTAAAATAATGCCTTTTGTCTTTTTCTCAGTATTGGATGTGAGTCAGAATGTGGGGGTGGGGGAGCTTCTTAAAAATGCAAATGCTTGACAACCCCCATCCAGAGATTCTGATTGAAGTAGTCTAGAGTGTCATTTTTGCGATGGTATTTTTAAATGACAGCAGAAAATGTTATTTAAAGATATTTGGGGACATTATTATTGACTTGGAAATGAATAACAATATCACCTAAGTCTTCAAAAATCATAACAAATAAACAGCATCAATTAATGAGATATAATATATTTGCAAAGTCTACTGCACTGTGCAAAATTCTTTCACATATTTAATCTTTTATGATCCTGACAACTCTGACACTTTCTATTTAGACTGCCTCCATTTTGCAGATGAGGAAGTTAATATGAGAAACTACCTTTTCACCATTTCATTTTACAGCTCTCATAAAAATGTACATAAGTGAACGCAGATCCTTGCAAGAGCAAATACGTTCCTCTGTCAGAGGCGTTTGAACCAGAGAGACTCCATCTTTAATAGGGGCTGGATAAAATAAGCCTGAGACCTACTGGACTCCATTCCCAGGAGGTTAGGCATTCTAGGTCACTGGATGAGATAAGGGGTTGGCACAACACACAGGTCATGAAGACCTTGCTGATAAAACAGGCTTTGGTAAAGAACCTGGCCAAAACCAAGAGGGTGACAAATCTGAACTCTGGTTGTCCTCACTGCTCATTATATGCTAACTATAATGCATTAGCATGCTAAAAGACACTCCCACCAGAGCCATGACAGGTTACAGATGCCATGGGAACATCAGAAGTTACCCTATAAGGTCTATAAAGGGGAGGAACCCTCAGTTCCAGGATTTGCCCACCCCTTTCCCAGAAAACTCATGAATAATATACCCCTTGTATTAATCAGCATATAATCAAATAACCATAAAAATGGGCAACCAGCAGCCCACACTGCTGAGCAGCCATTCTTTATTCGAACCTTCTTCTTGGAGTCTGAATCGGGACCCTTTTCTGGAAACAAATTTTAAAGGTTTCGTCCAATTGAGGTATCCCTATTTTTTCTTTATGCTTTGTTCCATTTTTCTTTTGCATAACAGTTATGTGGGAGGTGTGCATGCATATTTTAAATCTAATTAATAAGAGTCATGGGCAGATAGGAAACAAGAGCCACTACAGAAAATGCAGTCCTACAGATCTAAATGGAGGTCACCACCACCTTTTAAGAATCTGATGAAAGAGCTGGGTGCGGTGGCTCATGCCTATAATCCCAGCACTTTGGGAGGCAGAGGCAGAGGGATTACTTGAGTCCAGCCTGGGGTGACATGGTAAAACCTCATCTCTACAAAAAAAATACAGAAATTAGCCAAGTGTGGTGGCACATGTCTGTAATCCCAGCTACTTGGGAGGCTGAGATGGAAGGATCACTTGAACCCAGGTGGTGGAGGCTGTAGAGAGCCAAGATCATGCCACTGCATTCCAGCCTGGGCAACACAGTGAGACTCCGACTCAAAAAAAAAAAAAAAAAAAAAAAAAGTGAATTTGATGAAAGCGTTGTGCTCCCTCTCGAGGAAAATGCAAATACACAGAATATCTTACATAAAATTTAGGGTGTTCTGTTTTCTGTTTTGTTACTGTTTTAATAAATGAGGAGTTCTATAACAATGTGCTGACAGAATAACTTATTTTTCCACTCTAGTGGAACACAGAATTTGATTTTTCCACTACAACACGAGGCTTATATAAAAAAAGAAGATCCTAAACTTGACCATACATACTCTTCTTACCTTTATGAGAGGACTCTGATTTTGAGAAATGCCGTGTGGAACTCTGCTGGTTTGTAAAATGAGTGTAATCCGCATCTTCACCATCTGTCATGATAGGTGGTGGTGGCCTAAAAGGAATCCAGAATTTAAAGGGGCATTCTAAGTAACGCTTACTACAACTCCACCCCTCTTACTGGATTGCAAGCTAAAAACATTTTCTTGTGAAATGAAAAGCCAAAATGCTTCAGAATTCACACTGTAGTTCCTGGACAGTTGCATGGCCTTGAATAAATTATTTATCTTCCCGTTCCTTTGTTTTGATGTCATAATTCAATACAAACAATTATCTCCTCAACAACTAATACATGTTAGGAACTGGGCTAAATAAACAAAGATTAGTGAGATGTGACTGCTGCCATTTATAAGAAATAAACTTTGTTTTGGTAGGTCTTACCAAGTCAAAGAAAAAATAACAGAATAAAGAACAGAAAAGAAGAAAATAATAAAGCCAAGGAAGAAAGGAAAGGAAAAAAAGAAAAAAGGAAGGGTAAGAGACAGAAAGGAGGGAGGAAACAGAAACAAAATTTCATGAGCAAAGTTCCTTTATCCACTAGGTGGCAAAACAGATCTTAATACATTTGCAAATTCTATGTAATACATTCGCAACTTTTTATGTCAAAAAATGTAAAAAAAAAAAAAAAGATATAATTTTTACTACTCTAAACTTTTTATTAAAATTACTTAACATAGATTTATGCAAACATGTAGCACTGAAGCAGAAAACCTCTCATTCTTTATCTCCCAAAGGTATACTCAAAGTTTGCACTAAAGGATAGCACCAGATTATCAAATTTATCAATATATCAAAGATTTATCAAATATAACCATACTGTAGGCCATTTTGTACATTTATATGTAAAATCTAGAAGGCATAAGTATTCTGAAGTTTGTAAAGTTATAGTTGGTTTGGTACAATGGGCTCTGTCATGTAAAAATAAAAGCAAGTGTTTCCAAATTTTTTATCTTGTCGCCATGCAATAAATCTTTCCCTGGGTATTCAGCATCCCGAAGAGGTCAGCATGGGATATAAACTGGCATATGTGCTGAGGACCATGCTACAGGTTCTACACAGATTATCTCAATTAACTTTCAGGACAAGTCTGTATGCTAATGCTAACTATCATATACATATTTGAGTCAGATTAGGTTAGATGAGGTAAATAATCTGTCCATTTTCACACAGCTGTTAAGTGGCAGACCCAGGGCTCAAACTCAACTGGATTTCAAAACCAGTGTTCTTAACTACTCTACTACATAGGTGTGTATTTTTATCAGGAGCAGCATCATCTGTATAAAAGACTATATGTATATATGTGTGTTTATATATATGCATTTGTATATTTTCAGAAGTATACTTTCATATGTTATTGTACTTATACTTTCAAATATCATTTCATGCATCTGTTTTATATATATATATATAAAAGTAATGGAAACATAGTGAATAATGCATTTTTTCTAATTTTTATTTTTAAATCATTTGTTTACCAATATTGGAAATTAAATAGTATTTTTCTCCAATACCTGATATTTTTAACACTTATCTTTAATAAACAATGTAAGACTTGGTAGAAAAATTAAGACAAATCAGTCTGACTCTAGGATTAAAGAACTTAGCTTCAAAAAGCAAACAAGTGGCTTAAGAAGTGACTCAGGCCCAAGAAAACAGGGTTAGTAGTTAGAATGACCCAGTCTGTTCTTCTCTCTTTTATTAATGTCATTAGGCAGTCAAAAATCAGAAAGACAGACGTTGAGTGGAACTCACAAAAACAATCCATGATTAGTGCCTCACCATCAACTCATCAAGGAAAAGTATGCTAAAGTTATGAAACAAAGCACAGGATGCCCACAAGTTTTCTAGCATGTCCATGTAAGGATAAACAAATCAATCTAGAATGCTCTTAAGGGTACTGTTCTAGAATGCTCTTAAGAGTACTTCTTAAGTACTTCTTAAGAGTACTTCTTAAGAGCAATCTAGAATGCTCTTAAGAGTACTTCAGTGCTCTTAAGGGTACTGTTCTGTTTAGTTTCAGGTTACATAGAGAACAAATCTTGGCTTACTGCTGCCAAGAGTCCTACACCAAATTATTTTGTTATACCTGAGACAATTGTTTTAAAGTTACAGCATATATATCCAAGTTAGAAAAATCTTATTAACTAACTTTGTTGTACAGTTTTATTGTATTAAGACTGCCTGTTTCCTACCGTTCTCATGAAATCATTTACATCTTTAATTTAGTGATACAGCCAAACACCTTTCATAATTCACTTCAAAATTCACTTCTTTAAGAAACCCTCCTAGACACTTAAACCAGGATGTCTCCCTATGTTCTTATCATCCTGTACTTTTCATCCATAGCACTTAACACAATCATAACAGTTATTTGGATAATTATTTGTTTAGATTATAAACTCATGAGAACATGACAGAGTTCATTCTTGTTGACTGATGTGTACCCCAATTATGTGTGAGCAATTAATAGGGTGCTCAATAAATACTTGATAAATGAATAAATGGAGACAACTGTATTTCACATTAATAAGAATGCACAAGGAATAAAATGAGATTTAGAAAATATTTAATTTTCCTATGAAAAAATGCAAGTAGAATAACAAATAATATTAAAAGTATAAAATCCTGTAGTTAAAACAATTTGGAACATGGGTTGAAATTTTTTCCAGTTACAAGAGTTAGAATTCAGATTGCTAAGTGATCCTCTATTTCCTTAAAAACAGTAGAAAACTTCTTTCAACAGTGTTTTGCAGTTCTCCTCATAGAGATCTTTCACCTCCTTGGTTAGAAGTATTCCTAAGTATTTTGTGTGTGTGGTTATCGTAGATGGGATTGAGTTCTTGATTTGATTCTCAGCTTGAAGCTTACTGGAATATAGAAATGCTACTGATTTTTGTACATGGATTTTGTTTCCTGAGACTATGCTTAAGTTGTTTATCAAGTCTAGGAGATCATAGATGACACAAATAAATGGAAAAGCACTCTATGCTCATGGGTTGGAAGAATCTATATTATTAAACTGTCCAGGTCAGGCGCGGTGGCTCACGCCTGTAATCGCAGCACTTTGAGAGGCCGAGGCGGGCAGATCACCTGAGGTCAGGAATTCAAGACCAGCTTTGCCAAGATGGTGAAACCCCATGTCTACTAAGTATACAAAAATTAGCTGGGCGTGGTGGTGGGTGCCTGTAATCCCAGTTACTTGGGAGGCTGAGGCAGAAGAATCGCTTGAACCCAGGAGGCAGAGGTTGCAGTGAGCCCAGGTCGTGCCACTGCACTCCAGCCTGGGTGGCAGAGTGAGACTCCGTCTCAAAAAAAAAAAAAAAAAAAAAAAAAATGCCCATACTAAACAAAGCAATCCACAGATGCAACAACTTCTTATCAAATTACCAACGTCACTTTTTGCAGATTTAAAAGAAACTATTTAATTCACATGGAACCAAAAAAAGAGCCACATAGCCGAGGCAATCCTAAGCAATAAGAACAAAGGGAGGCATGACATTACCAGACTTCAAACTATACAAGGCTACAGTAACCAAAAAAGCATGGTATTGGTACAAAACCTGACACACAGACCAATGTAACAGAGTACAGATCCCTTGAAATAAAGCTGCACACCTATAACAAAGGGATTTTTGACAAAGTTGACAAAAATAAACAATAGGGAAAGGACACCTTATTCAAAAAATGGTGCTGGGAAAACTGGCTGACCATATGCAGAAGAATGAAACTGGACCCATACCTCTCACCATATACAAAAAATTCAAGACCTTAAACTATAAAAATTTTAGAAGAAAACCTAGGAAAGACTATTCTCAACACTGGCCAAGGCAAATAATTTAAGAAGACCCCCAAAACAAATAAACAAATATAACAAAATCAAAAACAGACAAATAGGACTTAATGTAACTAAAGATTTCTGCAAAGCAAAAGAAACTACAGAGTAAAGAGACAACCTACAGAATGGGAGAAAATATTTGCAAATTATGCATCCAACAAAGGATTAATATCTGGACTCTTTAGGGAAGTTAAACAAATGAACAAGGAAAAAACAACCCTATTAAAAAGTGAGCAAAAATATGAACAGACACTTCTCAAAAGAAATACAAGCAGCCAAAAAACATGAAAAATGCTCAACATAACTAATTATCAGAGACGCAAATCAAAACCACAATGAGATACTATCTGACAACAATTAGAATGGCTATGAAAAAGTCAAACAATAACAGATGTTAGCATGGATGCAGAGAAAGGGGAACACCACTTTTACACTGTTGATGGGAATTCAGATTAGTTCAATCCCTCTGGAAAGCGGTTTGGAGACTTCTCAAAGAACTAAAAATAGAGCTACCATTACCCTGGCAATTCCATTACTGGGTATATACCCAAAAGAAAATAAATCAGTCTATCAAAAAGACACATGAACTCGTATGTTCATCACAGCACTCTTCACAATAGCAAAGACATGGAATCAACCAAAATGCCCATCAACAGTTAATTAAAGAAAATGTGGTACATATACACTATAGACTACTACACAGCCACAAAAAAGAATGAAATCATATCATTTGCTGCAACAGGGATGCCTCTGGAGGGCATTATCCTATGTGAATTAACACAGAAACAGAAAACTAAATATTGTATGTTCTCACTTATAAGTGGGAACTAAATCCTGGGTTCACATGGACTTAAAGATGTGAATAATAGACACTGGGAACACCAAAAGGAGGGAGGGAGGCAAGGGCTGAGAAACTTCCTACTGGGTACTCTGTTCACTATCTGGGTGACAAGATCAATAAAAGTACAAACCTCAGTACCACACAATATACCCTTGTAAAAAAAACCTACACATGTATCCCCAGAATCTAAAATAAAAATGGCAATTTTTGAAAAATAACAACAAAAGTTAAACACACATACACGAAGAGTAGAAAATTCTGTAACAGACAAAGAAATTGGATTTCTAACCATAAGTATTACAAGCTCTACATAAGAATTTGTGTCTCACTACTACTATTACTACACTTCAGTAATAAACATCTTGACCTAGGAAGTGCCATGTTTTTCAATCCTTGAAACCAAATATTTCTGTATAGCTAAACTTTTCCATCATGATTAAATGTGAAAGAGGAAAACCAGATTCTAACCAGAAAGTATACATTCTGATATTAGTTGTGCAAGGTATCTACATATGCAAGATATATAAGCTTTATCTTTTAACTATGAAAATACAGGTTTCATAAAATTCCTCATTTTTTTGGTCATATATACAATCCTGCTAAAATGACATTTAAAGACAAATGTTCCTCTAAGGTAAAAACAAAAATTTCTATTCTACTAGCCCTAAGTCACTTTTCATTCATTTATAATAGCCATTTTTAATACAGGATCATTTGATTATTCACTCTTTCAGTATGCCAAATATTTCTAAAGTATCTATTATATTCCAAAAACTTGTTTTCAGACTTTAATAAACTTTCTTAAGAAATCATCCAGTACTGTTCCATCATATATGCTGTCAATGGTATTAGTATTCTAAAGAGGCCAAGGATCTGAAGACTGCAGAATTAAGCCTAAAGATGATTTAAATTCATTTGACTAAAAAAAGGATAATAATCCAGATGTATTTACTTACTAAGAACAGATTAGCTGCTGCTTCTTTTACTTGGATACTTTGGGAATGTACTAACCTATAGAGTTCTAAGAAAATGTTTGGCATGTGCTTAACCAAAAGCTACAACAGAAAGATTTTATATAACTAGACAGAATATGCCACTATTCTTCTCAGAGCAATACAAACCCAATGTAATTTTCTGAAAGATTATCTTCTGAAAGCAAATGAGTTTTAAAATAGAGGATTACTTTTTAAGGACACTAAATACATTCACTTGAAGGAAACAAGTCTAGGAGCTTCAGTGTGGGCATGAGTAGCAACAACAGTGTCAATTATTCAATGAAATAAGCGTTATGTTTCAAGAATTAACAAATAAGAATAAAATTCAAATTTGAATAATTCAGAGTTTTCAAAATTTTAAACTTAGTGTTACTTTTTTGTCTTGTTTTTAGTATCTTTTTCTTCACATTCCAATCATGTTTTCTTTCGAAAGGCAACAAAAAGCAATTAAAAAAAAAAAGAGGTTACTTCCCCAGAGACTTAAATGTTGACAACTTGAGGCAGAAAGACAGCAGCTGCTCCATAACTATTATGCACGACTGTTTGAGATAAATCAGAAAGTATGTACACCATAGCCACAGCTATTTGTTGAGTGGGATTTAGACAGTCTGCAAGGATTCAAGATTTTGTCAAGGACACTGAGACTCAGAAAGAAATGAGTTTGAGCATGTGCAAATGGCATGCACACATCAGTGTGGCTATGAAACCCGGTAAATATTTAAAACTCGAAATTTTATTTAGGAAAAAAAATCACTCTCATTCCCCAAGCTGAAAGCATAAATTCAGTGAATGCAGAGGTAAGAATCAGTCCTAACAAAAAGTACATTCTTCCTTATCCACCCCAACTATTGTAAAATTCTGATTTGATGTACACAACTCAATTTAAGAGTGGAAATAAAGTTCTAAAAATAACCCTGAATGTCTTGACACTACCTTACAAATGCAGATTTTTGGATCTCCTCTCCAAAAAACATACACTCTTCTTAGGGAACTGAAATCTCCTTATTCACCCCAAAGTCAACTTCCTCATTTTTCTTTTCAGGTGTCAGCTTACCGTGCTGGCCTTTCATTCTTAGAATGGTGAGGTTCATCACTCTCTTTTGACTTGGAATTTGCTGCTTTAGCTGTTTTTGGCTATGGACAAAAATACAAACAAACAAACAAAAATAACACACACATACAATCCAGAATCATCAAACAAAGGGAAAGATTAAGTTTAACGTATGTTTATCATGCCAAGCTCTTCCTTAGTAATTTCAGATTAATTATATTTAATTGAGGAACATAAAATATTTTTATATATGGCCACTCCAGAGGTAGAAAATTTATAGCTGCAAAGGTAGGCTTTGGGCTTACATGGAAGGTGTAATTTAGCCCACTCATCTGAAAGCCTTAGAGCAGCCAGAGGAATGGGCTGAACACACAGGAACATGCTTCCCTAGATGGGTGTGCTTGGCCACTGATTATTAACATAATAGCTACACAGTAATTGCCAAGAACCAGTGCACGCCCAGAGTCTACGGAATCCAGGTTTGTGCACTCAAACTTATTTCCGCACACATGTCTTAGGCTGATTTCCAGCCAGTAAACTAAGGCACATTCAAGTCAACTTTTCCAAGAGAGGAACTGTATCAGTACCAGTTATAAAATAAAAATTACAGAAGTCATGATGATACCTGCTAGAGATGTGGCCATTGCCTTCTGACACGCTTGATTCCTAATCCTTAAATACTTACCCTTTCCTAGTTAAGGTAGCAAAGAATCTGAGAAACTCCTGGGTAATTATTTGTGGCTTAATTTATTTAACAAAAGTATTTGGGAATCCTTGACTAAAACAGTATATTAGAAAAAATCTTGAATTACTGAGTTAGTTAAGAGAGAGCTAAATATACATAATTAATATGAGAATAATACATTCATTGTTTTGAGACTAACTCGTGGGTAACTGAGCAACAGGAAAGAGTACAGCAATACTATTAGCAGGGTTTCTACACCTTTTTCCTCACAACCATTACTGAGACTGTGAGGTGGGACCAGAAACCCAATGGAGGAATTTGTTCAAGAGAGACCAGCGCTAAACACCAACTGTGTAAGGAATACACAACCTAGGTTTCATTCTTCTGGGCCTAAACTCCCTCCCTAAAAACCCTGTATTGTACGAATTCTCTCCCTATTCCTCTGCTCTTTTTCCACCTAGCTTAACCTTCTATTTGTTAGCTGTCTACACTTTGTCTTCCTCTCTACATTATACACTACTATCAGGAAAAATGTCTTTGTCTTTCCATGGAGGTCCAAAGTGTTGTCTTACGCGCTGTCACTGATGAATAAAGTCTGCTAAGCTGGAACTCACAATTACCGCAGCAAAATGAATTGCAGTAACTGCTTATTTTGTCTACAATTTCTGATCAACGAGGGGAAAGATAACCGTCCAAACTCACGCTAGATAGGTCTTGCACTGTGACATAAATAATAATTGTTGGTGATAAGTATGTATCTTTCAGTCTGCCACAAACCATGTTACATCAAAGGAAAGAGAAACGGATACATGATAGAGATGAAAGATAATGTAAGCACAAAGAAAGTAGAGACGGGAAGAGAAGTTCATTGTGGAAAATATGAAAGCATGTGAAAATGCTATATTCTTCTATAATCAAAGTACTGTATATGAAAACTAAGACTGTTCATGACCAGAAGCACTTGCATTTCACTCCGTCTTAAAGGGAACAGAATGAGTTTTCAATCTTAGCAGTAACTTTTTACATATGTTCCAAAATTCAGTGATTTTTCATGGTGATGGAATCTTCACAGATCAGATTCACATATGCAATACAGATAATTTATATATTCATATATCCTAAATATATTTGCAGAGCTTAACTCAAAAGCAGAGTCCCCTTTTCATTTCTAATTTTATTTCTAATTAGAAAACAAACAAAACACACTCTACCTTCCACTCGGGGTCTTGCTTTCTTTTGTCCAAAGATGATTTCTCCCGCTCCTTGGCTTTTTTGTAAGCTTTCTTTTCTTCAGCCATTAGAAGTCGAGCGATTTCCTAAACAAAATACAGTCAATATCATTAACTGCAGAGGTGCAGATAGAAATATACTAGGATATTTCCAAAGAATATCAGCTAAACTCATTAACTTACTTCATCTTGAGCTACTTGAGCGGCTCTCATGTCCACCTGGGTAGCCTATGATATCGAAAATACAAAAACAAAGAATTTAATTGGAATCTATGTTGTGCATTTTCAGTATCTTGTACAAAATAAGCTGGTTTTTGAAAATAATTGTGACTCATGTTCCTGAGGTTGATAATCAGTTGGTATGCTTTCACCAGCCAGAGCAGGAGCTCTTTTTATCAAATCCTACAGCAGGGTTATGGAGAACAATCATGGAGATGGAGAAATGGAGTTATGGACTTTGCTGCTAATGCTTACTCACTAAGCAAAAGTGGATACTCTATTCCTATTGTCATGATTTTTCCACTCATAAAAAAAGGTTTCTCAATTGATAGAGGACTATTAATATAATTTCAAGATGGACTAGATTCACAAAAAAAATACCCATCAATATATCTAAACTTTTGCCTTAAAATTTGCTCACCAAAAGTTCTTCTTCTTGCAGTTTTCTGGCAATTTCAGCATCATACCATTCCTGATCCCTGTGGGCCATTCGTGATGGAGTAGATACAGCTTCTTTCATCACTCTTGGCTTCATTCCTTTAAAAAAAAAAAAAAACTCAATGTAATAAAACAACCGAGGATGTTTTCTGAAAAGTTAAGAAATTTAAGATAAAGGAGATTTTTCTTTAGTAGCTAACAATGACAATACTACCTCTACTCCAGAATACAGTGTGGGGTGCATTAAAAATATTTTTGCCCTAGGAATGGAAGTGGCAATGTAGATAATGCATACATTTAAACAAAGATATCTAAGCAAGCCTGCCTGGTAAAAAGTCCCCTCTCACATAGTTTCTGCAACAGCAGAAATTTATGTAAGAAGTTGCAAGTGAGGCCCTGGAAAAATACAAAGTGAAAAAAAAGTCATTGAAAACAAAAATAATTTAAAGAAAAGCAAATTACAGAGTCAGAGTTTAAAAGAGGCTAAGCTGTCAAGGCTGGAGGAGAGTAGAGGCTTCTTTCTATTTATCTCAGCCTGCATACTTACTACTTCCGAGGGAGCAGGAACAGCAGCACCTGGCAGTCATGTGATAATACCTGTGAGACAAGCAGTGGTCCTGCCATGGCTTTTCCTCTGAGAGTAAATAAACCCACTCGCTTTAGAACTTCCCCACAGCTTTGATCAGACTGATAGCACTGTGACATCTTAGGGAAAATATAATCAGAGCTATATTGAGAGCACAATGACCAGAGTTCTATTCCAATTTATTCCTATAAAGCAATTCTGGCTTTAAACTTTTACTTGACAGTGTGAGTGTATTATATTCAGAATTAATAAAAATTTTGAATACAGTGAACAAGATTACTTATCTGAAATAGTTCATTTCAGTAAATTAACTATTCAGAGGAGAAAGAAAATGTACTCCTGATTGTCTCTTTATGCCAGGGGTTGTCAATCAGGGCTATATATTCGAATCACATGAGGGTGCTTTGAACACGTATAAAAATATTTGCCCCAACCCCCACAGATTCTAAATTAAGTAGCCTGGGTGTGCCCTGTCCTTGAGTAAGTTTGTTTTAAATCTCCCCAGTTCATTCTTACTTGCAATTAATATTGGCATCACCTGTTTAGTGTATTATGTCCATTAAAATTACTGTAAATTAAAATGATTTTTGTCAAAATCCCTCACCACACTTGACTCACTTGCTGTTAATCTTTAAAAAAATAAAATACAAGTAAACACTGGGCAAATGATGAGAATGTAAGTATTTTGTGAAGCCCACCTTTGTACAACTTTCAACCTGGCTTCTGCGGCTTCAGAAGCCACAGACTCATACACATCTGTATTTCCTACAAAGACAGACTAGTAAACATGGCTTTCTTAGCTTCAGACCTAATAGAACCTGATTGCACAGATCACTTCAAATCAACTCTAGAGCCACGGAGTCTTATGCTGGGCTGGGCTTAATCTAGATTTCTAAGTGGTTTGGGACAGCAAAAACAAACAAACAAACAAACAAAAAAACAGTGGCATAGTCCCAAGAGTGGACCATCTGAAATAGAATATAAATCTCCCTGAGTTATTTAGCTTAGTCAGAACTAGGAAGGCAGATTTCAGAGAAAATGAAATTAGATAAGGAACTCAGTACTGGGCAATGTCAGTGGACAAGATAGTCTGCTATATAAACCATGTTCCAATCTATAGAAAAAATGATACTTCAATAAGCAGCCCAAAGCTTAATTAAGGATGACAGAACATGCCTACCTCCTTCACTTTTGCCATACAGTGAAATAATACAGTGGGATGTGCTCAAATTTCAAGAGACCAAATTTTCTCCACTATTATGCCTCCTAAAGTACACCACAGAATTAGCCAAGAAGATTTTTCACTTTCAGTTTTATTAAAGACACATTGTTTTAAATTCTACCAAAGACAATATTCCATTGAATAGTCTAATTGTTTTGACAGGGTGATAAGACTGTAACCTCTGGCAGTTAAAAAGAGAATGATGACTTAGTAAGAGTCAGAATCTGAGGTAATATCTCTCAGTTCCAAATATTTAGAGGGGAAATGGTTTATTTAAACCCTTGATGTATCACTGGAATCTGTAAATCTCATTAAGTAGAAAATCTCCACAGCCTGGAATACTAAATTTCTGCACTGTCAGGATGCCCATTCTCTGCAGTGTCCTCTGGACCCAAGGTGACAAAAATTTTTGTAAGGATATAGAAAAAGAACTCACAGTGCAGTGTAAGGCCGTCATTAAACAAAGATGTCCAAAAATTTTTTAAATGTAATTAACTGAAGGAAATTAACAGACTAGCTTCCCTCATCTCAGTATCCTAAACAGACTCTAGAAACTAGCTTTCAAAAAATCAGGTGAGTGGTATTTTCAAGTTCCATATATATCTTAATTTCACATTTCCTTGTCTTTTTCTGTTCATCATCCTTCAGATGGAGAACACAAGAACATCCTTAAATGAACACAAAACTTCAGCCTTAAATAAATTTACAGAATAAAATTGTTGAAAGTACTGACAGTCAAGATAAATTTATTCTGAGCTTGGAATAAGGTAAAATGATAGATTCTTTTTGATATCATGTAAGAGTATTTGTAATAAGCCAGTCTGACATTTAGGGAATGCCACAGTATATCTGACTAACAATTCACAGCAGAACAGTGCAGATATTTTATGGCCCTGTGAGTTTAGAAGTTAACCTGCAGAAAATGATGAGCCATTAAGAATTTATAGTCCAATAGAGAAGTAACTCCGAAAGGTTAAGTACCCATTGCCCTGTAGAAAGTTATCTTATACTTAATTTAAAATTTTATTTTGCAGTCCCTTTCAACTGATTCTATTAATGCTGCTCTGCAAATGCTCTTAGAACCAGCTCCGTGTCATCCTGCTAGTTTCTTCATTATTAATGTAAGTTTGGCCTGTCCTAACAACTTTAAGAATTGTGCTTTTACAACAGCAAGAATAGATGCCACTACCTAGTAATTATATTTTAATGTAATCCTCTGACCTGTTCCAGGGAGTTACAAAATCAAATGCCTACGGGGGCTAGAAAGGTAAAATATAAAAAGCAAGCTGAATATAAAATGATAGAAAAGCAGCAGCTCATGTTGTAGTCGTTTTAATATCCGCCTGGTAACATTGTTTTTCAATCCCTTGTGCTGGCAAAATAAAAAACAAAACATTTGCAATTCCAGTAGTGGAGCCTGTGAGTCAGCGTTTAGTGTCATGCTTCCTCAGCCTATTTAAAATATCCTGGAGCATAACTAAAAGCCATAAAGCCTAACTAGCCCTCAGAGCACTCGTGAAAGTCAGATTCACAGAAGCAGAAACGTAGAGGTCAGTGTACATCATTCTTCCTCCATACTTCCCCCACACCTTTGGAACTTGTAAACCTCAAAATGCTAGGGGTGTAACCTCCTCATAAACCTACTCAAGACAGATTATATCACACTTTCCTCTATTTTTCCGCAGCTCTTTATGTCTTCCTAACAAAGTGGATCTAGTTTGGAATTGTTTACAAAGCCATCTTTCTGGCTGAAATCCAAGCACAAAGCCTAAGACAAGGATATTTGTGGCAGCTACTCAGAATGGCTTCTGGAACTAAATTTTAATTTTCTGCATAACCAAGTCCTTCAATAAGAAATAACATGACAGGAAAAACCAACTTAACCTGAATCCGCAACCTAGAAACAAGTTCTCTGACCACAGATAGAGCTTGACTGGCTCCTTGGTACTATGATTCCTAGTGTTACAGACACATGGAAAACATCACCTCAGCAGTTTATAGAAAATAGAGCCATTACTGCGTCAATGATGGACTTCAGAGTTAAGCCTCAGGGGTGCCAGAAATTTGAGGTTTATCTATAATATTTACCTCATTCTTATATAGGTACCAAGAACTTACCTGTATTGGTACTTTAGAACACCAACTGTAGAGTTAGAGCTGGAGAAAGTTACAGCATAAAAAGTAACTTAATGCAATGACTTTAAACTTTTAAGTTCCTAAGAATCCACCTCCAGGTCTAAAACATGTCCAAACTGCCAGGCCTCACTCCAGAGATGATAATACATGTGAAACCCAGACATTTCCATTGTTAGTTAACAGCTGATTCTGATGAAAATGAACTGAGGCATATTATTTGAAAAATACTTTCTTAAAAGACTGCCTATCCAACTCCTCATTTTACAAATGAGAAAGATGAGGTCTAAAAAATACAGTATTTCCGGCTCTATCGGCCTTTTAGTTAGACAAACACTATCAAGACAGGCTCATCAGCTCTTCTGGGTTCACTGAAGTAAAACCAGAAATTCAGGAGTTTTGATTTGGTATCAGAATCTCTGATACACAGTCTCGGTAAATGAAGAACTATATCTGGAATGGGTACCTCTAATACAACCTGGGCATGGAATAACTCTCCAAGAAATCAGTGCATTCTCACAGAAGGGAAAAGTTACAAATATTTTCCTTCTTCTTACAGACCTGAGATTAAGTGTATACCTTTTATAATATGTTGCTCTAGGATTTATTTCAAAGTCATGAGCATGAACTAGAGAGAAAGAAAGGTTGCTTAAGGTACTTATTAAATTCATTGGTTTGTAGTTATATACATGATACCAGGACTTCCATCGAGACTGTCCTCTATTACCTGCGTCATGGAGGTGGAGCTGCTCCTCACTCTCTGAGAATGGAGGAGTCCTGGGCCTGTGTCTCCTTTTTCTGTGCTCACCTTGCCCATGGTCCCTCCCATATACAACTTCCTTGCAGTGAAGCCCTGCTTTTTGTGAGGACTTGGGTGAAAGTCGATCTTGGTGTCGAGACTGTTTTTCCCAATTTCGAGTCTGATGGTTAATCTTAGTCTCCCAGTCATCACATTCAGTGCTCAGAAACACTTCACCACTGATCGTGGGAAGCAGAGGTCTCCGAGGCCTCTCCTGAGTGGACCGTTTCCTTTCATGCTGCTCATTGTTAATATGGGGATTGTCCCTCCCTTTGCCCGAGCTAGAGGATGACAGGGATCTCTTCGATGAACAATGTTGTTCTGGCTCTTCCAAGTTCTCCAGTGGATGTTCTGGTTTCTCTTTCTTGTGCTTCACAGTCTTTCCATCTCTTTGGAGTCTACAAGGTCTTGAGAATCCAGAACCCAATTCCCTGGCCCTCCTTGACCCTGGTTGGTCTGAGTGGAGGCAGAGGGATGTGAAAAATAAAAATGCAGATTAATTTAATGAGAGTTATGAACTCACTACACAGGGGGGAGTCTGGGCTCCAGTTTAACGTACTTTAAAAATGGAGAAAATTGCTTTTTCAACTTAAATTGAGAAGAGGGGATGAGCATTACTGAAACAGTTCATGCATACCTAAAGAATTCTGGGTACATAGCCAAAATGGTAAGAAACTAAAGTGAAACAAATGTGAAAGAAGAGCTTGATCACGATTAGGTAGAGCTAACAACACTTTAATATTTGCCAATAACAAAATTATAGCCATTAAACATTAAGTTCTATTTATAAACCAATTTGAAACTAGTATAGAGTAAAAAGTAGAGGTTGAGGAATCTTGTAAAACAAAAAAATTAAGCTTTGTAATTTCAGACAGAGGCTTTCAAATATTCTTACTGGAAATGCCAATAAAACTATCAGAATATTGCTAGTTTCTCTTGAGTTCAGAGGAATGATCCACAGATTTTTATATGCCTCCATCTGCCCACTTTATGTGGCCAAAGCAAACATACCCAGTCACTTCAGAAATTAGCCCTCTATTACAGTTCAATATAAAAGAGGATCAAGTAGATGAGAATTTTGAGTTCATGACCCTGTTATCTGTAGATAATTCTGTTCTCAATCTTAGTTGAAACTTGGCAAAGGAAAAAAATTTAAAGGGTTGCCTTGATGGAATATATAAAAAGGAGTCGCTTCCTAAATACATTTCAAAAAACTGTATGATATTGTATTCTTTGTAGAAAAATATAATATATGCTAAGTATATGTCCCCAAATTTAATATAAACTTCAAAAACAGCACAAAAATAATTCTTTTTCAGGTCTTTTTTAGGCACAAGTATAATGTGAAGACAAAGGCAGCAAATGCATATGCACTTTATAAGAATATACTGATTTTAACATTTTCTAAAACTTTTACTACGTTTTGGAAATAACAACGAAAAATCCCAATTCCATGGAAAATTGCTATGAAAGCTAAGATTCCCCGATGGAATTAACCACTTGCTGAACTGCATTTGAAAGAGCTACCGTAAGTTGATGAGATGTAAAGAAAATAAAAAACTATACGTTTTCCTTTAAACTGTTTCATTTGATATTAATCTGTTAAAGGAACAGAGCAAGAAAGAGGTATGTGCTAAATGTACCAATTATGTAAGTTTCCATTAAAAACCTCAAATTGTTTCCTCTTGTGCTTTCCAGAAGAAAAGAAAGCTTGCTTCCCAAGACAATACTAAATTAAAATTTGTTTTCTAAACAGTCTGTAGAAGTATTTATCTTCATCATTTATGGGTAAGTTTTATTTTACATAAAATCAAAAGCAAAACAGAAGAATTACCCGGTGATAAAAACAAATTATCTGCTCTTTTAAATAAACTATTATTTTAAGACTATCGTGACAACATGAGAATCAAGTGACTACTGCTGTAAATTTATATAATACAGACCAGCCACTTAAATGATGACCACATCCGGGGAACAATGGTTTACGGTGTTAATAAAAATGTGCTCACTCAGAGTTGCACAAGTGAAGTCCACCTTCCAGCTCAAAATAAACAAAAAGAATTGGGTTTTGACATGAATTTGTGATATTATGATTTTTAATTCCTTCTAAATAGTTAATAGATATTCATAGTTTTACTTTTAGGAAATATGCTGCAGGAATTATTACAGAGCTGTTACTACATTTTTACAGAGCTGACTGAAAAAGTTTATTCTCTAATAATAAATTTGCTGTGACAGCTTTAAATCTTGGAAAGAAAAAGATAATGTGAGGAATCTATCTGAATGCTTTAAAACCTCATACAGTTGAGGACTGAGACCTGTATGTTTCTTGAGACCAAGTTATTTGGCAAATATAACTTACTCCCTCACTGCCAAAACATACATAGGTATTATGTATTGGCATATACATAATATATATATACACACACACACACATATTTATACACATATATATCTGCATTTTATATGAGTGCCTCCATGTTTGGCTTTCAAAATAAGATACACAAAATATTACATTATACACATATAACACCGATATATGTATAAATAAGTACTTCACCAAAATTGCATTATTTGATCTTCTCAAATCCAAATGAAGGATTTACTTTTATAATCTCCATTTTATTTAGTACGTAACTTCATTAAAATTAATATTGTTCTTAGGAGGGGACAGGACTTGAACCACAGTCCTATGACTCCAAAGACCACAACTTAAAAAATCACTAATATGACTTCAATAAGTGGCTTTGAAAGAAAAACATGGATTCATTAATAAATAATATATATCATTTGAGTTGATATAAATTTGACAAATGTTTTTATACAATTTCAAATTTGTAGAAAATCCATAATCATTCTAATAGATAATGTATTAAAGTTTGAGTTAAAAGTTGAAAAACTGACCATTTCTGTAATGATATACTGTGATTACCGTGCAAGTAAGGCAAAAAATCAAATAGATATACAAAGGCATACAGAGAAGTACAATGAAAGAATATCCCAGGTGTGTTGGAAAAGGACCACTGCAAAGACCAGAAGGATTATTTTGTAAATATGAGCTGAACTATAATATGGTTTCTGTGGAACTGCACTTGGTCTAACACAGGGGCATATTAATGAGGACTCCATGTTCAACAAAACATAACCTCCCAATAACAACACAGCTGAGGCAAGAGAAATTTCAGTATTTACATACACATGTTCAGGAGGTCACCACTTCCTGTTCCTCAAAACTCCCTCAAAGTCTGTCTCTCCCCAAAGAAACAAGCATATACGCCACTCTCTACAAATTTATCGGAGTAATTAAAATAAATATAAAATACTTTTAAAAGCTTTTATGTGTCCCTGAAAAACCACTTAATTCTTAACATAGTCTCCTGCCCTAGAGAAACAAATCAGAATGACAGCACTCTGATCAAAAAAACAGGTTTGAGTCTCAATTCAAGTCAGTATAAGGCTTTAAGAGGGGAATGCTAAAATTAACAGTTTAATGCATTTAATTCCTTGTCATCCTAATGTTTTTACAGACTGAACAGTTTAAAATAATAACGTTTACAGTGAATATACCTCCAAAGCAGACTTTTTAAAAAAGGGAAAAACACCAGGCCACATTTCTAAGATTTAAATTGAAGGTGAAGAGTAACACTTTGCTTTCTGATCTTTAGTACAGCAAAATGTGGCAATAATTTTTCTTTTTAAATGACATAACATATAGATTCATCAGAAAAACCAGCATAAAGAAAATGGCTATCAAAAAAGAGAAGAGTGTTTTACATACAGAGGAAGAACATATCAAGCAATAAATTGTGAATCAGCCTGCTTACTAAAAAGGCTGAGCTCTACTGATTATGGTAAATTTAGAGCAAAAAATGTTACTGGGCAAAATTATACTCAAACTGTAATAATCCCATTATCTACATATACACTGCTTTCATTCTACTCATCAGAGAAACACATATTTACCTTTTATAATGGAATTACAGAAAAGCAGTTGATGACTGGTTTGCAAGGCCCTTCAGGATCACTGACCTGAAATTCTTGACTCTCTGAAAGTTGCCTTTAGGTTTTGTTCACTTGTGATCCTAAGTATTGGTCTTCAAGCTGAATTTCATTAAATACTGACACTTGAAACTACAGGAAACATCTTTCCTTTGACAAGTCTTTGAGAAGGACTCGACAACACTTGCAAATACTCATTTCCCAACACATTTTTAAGATAAAGAATCACCACAACTGCCACCACCACACCATCACCATCACCATCACCACCCTGCAAAGCAGGCACCAGAGAAGCGAAACTGAGGGAATCATCCCCTCAGAAATCATACTATATGGTAATCAAATAGCAAAGAAAGGATCAAAAGAAAAAAATGAACATGGAAATCTTAAAATTTAATATTGTTTGTCATCAGCAGGCTAAACCATCGGCCTAGGTTTAAAAGGCAAGAAAGCACAGAACAAAGCTTTGTTACCCAGTAACTGATGCATGGTATACCTTCTTTCTTCATACCACTTTCCTGCTTCAAACAGTACTTTCCAGACTTCTTGAGAAAGGTTAAGTCCAGAGACTCATCGACCATTTTCCACACCCCATTTATGTGCTTAGATTATAATAAAGCATTCCAAGTCGCTAAAGTTTAAAAAGAATGCATGCCAATTCTCATAAAATCATATTCAAATTTTAGCCATCATGAAAGTGGCTCTGGTTGTCCAACTAAAGAACAGATAAGGCCGGGCGCGGTGGCTCACATCTGTAATCCCAGCACTTTGGGAGGCTGATGTGGGCGGATTACTTGAGGTCAGGAGTTCAAGACCAGCCTGGCCAACATGGTGAAACCTCGCCTCTACTAAAAATACAAAAATTAGACAGGCGTGGTGGCACATGCCTGTATTTCTAACTACTTGGGAGGCTGAGGGAGGACAACTGCTTGAGCCTTGGAGAGGGAGGCTGCAGTGAGCCCAGATAGCACCATTGCACTCCAGCCTGGGTGACAGAGCAAGACTCCATCTCAAAAAAAACAAAAAAAAAAACAAAAAAACAAACAAAAAAAACCACCGCATGTTCTCACTCACAGGTGGGAATTGAACAATGAGAACACATGTATACAGGAAGGCAAACATCACACACCGGGGCCTGTTGTGGGGTGGGGGGAGGGGGGAGGGATAGCATTAGGCGATATACCTAATGTTAAATGACGAGTTAATGGGTGCAGCACACCAACATGGCACATGTATCTATATGTAACAAACCTGCACGTTGTGCACATGTACCCTAAAACTTAAAGTATAATAAAAACAAAACAAAACAAAACATGAATTTATTAGATTCAAATAGAATCCTGCCACACATCTAAATGTACCCAGTGCCTGGGGATAAGAGAAACAGTCCCAGGTCCCTAAGGTCACTTTATGAACAAAATTAAAGGAGTGTTTTATGGTTGAGTCTAAGGATAGAATAGATCATGATGCAGGAATTGTTACCTCCATCTTCATAATAGTAACTATCTGCATAAGCACGGGTTGCAGGGAACTCTGGAAAGTGTTTCTTTCTCTTTTTCTCTTCCTGTAACTCCTTTTCTTGCAAAAGGCGAGCTATGTCCTGCAAAGACAAGAGGAGAATGGAAATACACATTACCAAAGAACAAACAAACTCCATATGGTGGGGCTTGACATTCCACTGCCAAGTTTGTATGTGCTCTGTCCATGGCTCTCTAGACTTTCTGGCATTAATTTCATGTCTTCAAATGCCAGATGACTGCTTAACAGGAGTAGCACATGATCTAGATAAGTGAGACAGGCTTTTTTAATTGAGATTTAAATCCACCACAACATGGAAGACATTCAAAACTCAGTACTTCCTAAAGCAGGTTACACAACAGAATTTTAAAAATATGTATTTGTGGGCCCTCTTTCCAAACTGATGATTCAATAAATCTAGATTGGGCAGGATGTAGTAATCTACAAAACTTTATAATTTAAAAACTTTTGAAAAGAATTCTTATGGAGATTTTGATTTAGCTTTGCATTAGAATACCACTGTCTTAACCAAAAAAGAGAAAACAATCTTCCTTCTGTCTCCCACCTGTTCATCCCCAGGCAAATTTTTAGCAGTCATTAAGTGAGAGGCACTGTGAGGGACAGAATGATGAATAACATTCCGTAATGTTTCCTAAAAGATTATCATCCCTTTATGAACACAAAAGTTTCATAGAAACTTTTCAAAAAAAAAAGTAACTACAATAAAATTAAATTGTAAATGCCTCAAAAAAATTTCCACGGGAGTACAAAAGAGGGAATACTATTTTTGCTTAAAGGAATTAGTACAAGATTTTGCGTTGTGTTAGGCTTTGAACAAAGAACTGAATTCCGACAGGCAAAGTTGAAAAAGAAAACATCAGCAGAGTTATGAACATTTTAATGAGCACCTATCTAAGGTTAAATTAGAACATGAGATACGGAATGTTGTAGAAAAAGCTGAGGCTAGAAAAACAGTCTAAGGCTGGATCACAGGAACTCCTTTTAGACAATCTTAAGAAGTCTGGAGTCTGTTAAAATAAGGGGATGGAGGATTACTAAAGGTTTTGAGCTGCAGAGTGACAATGTTCTGAATCTGAAGATTACTTCTATGAAAGCCCCATAAAATAGCCTGTAAACTTATATGTTCATGCACACTTTTAAGGAGAGAAGTCAATAGCTATCATCAGATTCTTAAAGGCTCATACAAATATGGGAATAATACTCACTGGTACAAATGGTAATAACAATCATTGGTAATTTGAGGTACTTACTTCTTTATATTTATCGTTCATAAGGAATACAAGAAATATTAAATGTTAATGTTATAAATTTAAAGAATTACTATTCTTCAAATTTTATGAATAGGTGCGAATGAAGAATACCCTCAGATGGCAATATAAATTTCAAAAGAAAATTTAAGTGAATTAATTTTTTTCACATCTATGCAGAAACAAGCTGGATGCTCATTCTAGGTAAATTAGCAATATTTATCCATATCCTCAGCTGTTTTTTACTATTCATCCAAATAGCCTTACAAATCTGACTTTATGCCAAATACAAACTTAAAATACACCATTAATACACTTTTAACTGACACATATATACGTATTTTTTTGATAAGTAATCTATGTAAATGTCCATGCAATAGTTTCAGACACTTAAGTGAGCACTCACAAAATGATGCAACTCAGAGGGAGAGGTAAAAGATATCATAATCCTACTTAACATAAGTATACTTTTCATGAATAGAACTCTGAGTTTCTAAGACTTTGATGGAAAAACTATCTCCTAAATCTGAAAGTTAAAATTAATCTCTTTTCCAGTTCAAGTCAGACATGGTTTAAAGAGACATTGGGAGAGAAATAGTCACTACTGATATAAATTTGGGGGGAACTTCAATTCTTTATCTGTACAATAGAAAGTTTGAACTATTCAATCTTAAAAAAAAAGCCAAATGTCTTTGACTCCTTAATGTATCATTTCAACAAATGTGTCTACCAGGTGCCAATCCCTGTGCCAGATTCTTTAGCTTTAATATCTTACAAAGTAATCTATCAATCAGGAAGAGAGGAACGGGACAGATAGCCTATTCTCCAAAAAACTATTATTTGTTACAGAAGAATTTTCCAAATTTCTATAATGTTTACTACAGAAGTAGAAAGAAACGTAAACATTTCCTTGAACTGTATGTTTACTAAGCACCCAAAACTATATTTTCCTACGTGGTTTGCTTTACAGTAAACAAATATTTCCCCTGCTATAACTGAGGAAAAAATATAAAGGAAAATTATCAGGTCCAACTTCCAGAAGAAATTATAAACTATGCTCCACAGACCTGGTAGACACGGCTTTATTAAAATGATAAATTAAGTAGTCAAAGACATTTGGCTTTAAGATTGATTAGTTCAGACTTTCCATTGTACAGATAAAGAATTGAAGTTCTCCCCAAAATTGGTATTAGTAGTGACTATTTCTTTCCCAGTGTCTCTTAAAACCGTGTCTAACTTGAACTGTAGGAGAAAAGAGATTCATTTTAACATTCGGAGAAAAGAGATTCATTTTAACATTTGGAGAAAAGAGAGATTCATTTTAACATTGAGATTTAGGGGATAGTTTTTCCATCAAAGTCTTAAAAATTCAGAGTCCTATTCATAGAATTGCTTATAACTGCCCTCTTGCTACTGAATTTAGTCCTAATGGAAGCATAGTAATACGCCACTCTCTCAGTGTAAAGAACCAGGAGAGAAAAAAGAATTACAGCCCTTCTTTGTAATGCATTAGCTAGTCAAAGAAAGTGCTTTTAATCAAGTAAAAAAATAATAATAATCATAACATGTCATGCACCTTAGCACCCAAACCTTTTTGCTCTTCTAAGCTCTCAGCTCTTTTTTGAAAGAAAAGGTCTACTAGGCTTGAGGAAAGAAAGGACAAAAATTCAATGGAAAACTGCCACTATATTATAGCTGAGGTTTAGCACAAGTCCGTTCTCCTCCCAGCTTTCCAACATTACTATGCAATGAGTTTTGTCAGATAATTTCAGTGTAAAGTAAATCCCCCTGAAACAAGCTGACGATGGCAATTATCAGTCACAGTACTTGGATGTAGCTAACCAGCTTAGTCACCTTTGATATAAACAATCTCCTTGGTCCTCAGCTTCCTTCCTGTTAATGATAAGTCTAGAACAGCACTTCCCAAGCCTCTTCCTGAGAACACTGGCCTCAAAACTTTATCCAAAAAAAACACACCTTTCAATAGAAAGCATGCAGCATATATAACTCTTTAAGATGCATATTAGCACATTTTAAAACTTTAAAAGAAAAAAAAAACCTGTTATCTTCCAGTAACCTATAATTTTCCAAATTTATGACAGAAGCTTCTGTTCACATTTTAAAAAAACTCAGGTAATTAATGTTCTACATAACTTGGGAAAACAAATCTAAATGAACTCTTAAGCTCTTTTAAAGTCATTTTTAATTACATTTTAATTAATGAGATAGACTTCTGGGCTAATATGTAAAAACAAACCTGTTCCACAGAAGACTTCCTAGTAAATACATTAATTGAAATGGGAGTTTACCATTGTATCTCACCTTTCCCTTCTGTTATCCAAGCTCACCCAACTCTGGAAAATTTGAAACCATAACCATAAGGAAGGAAACAGTTAAGGATCTCTAGTATACTAGAGAAAGGTAATTTTAATGAAAACATAGATTTAGTGATTCCCTTCAGTGGGCCAGACGTGTGCCCTGTGTCAAATTCTTTAGCTTTAAAGAATAGTGCTATGAGCAGTAGGGGATTGATAAATATCATTAACGTTCTTATCTTGCTTTTAGTAAAACAATTAGCATAATGTAAGAAATGAAAACATGGCTCTATGAGAAGCATTAATATAAACAAGGTGCAGTGGCACCCAGAGGATCCCCACACATCTTTCCCAAGTAGATGACAAGTAACTGAAACATGGTGTTGGCTTCCTTAGGGTATTTCTGTCATTTACAGGTTGAGCATCCCAATCCAAAAATCCGAAATCTGAAATCCTCCAAAATCTGAAACTTTCTGAAGCATAGACATGATGCTCAAAGAAAATGCTCATTGGAACATTTTGGAATTTGGATTTTTGGATGCTCAATCTGTATATGATTTATATCATTTAAATATATAAGGGATGGAGGGTTATATCATATAAATGTATAAGGGATAGAGAGTTACTTCTCAGCGTTTCACCTCTATCCTCCAATGGCAATGAGTTTCAAAAAGAGGAAATCTGGAGTTTAAAAACAATCAAAAGGTGATTTTAAAATGTGACTGTCAAATGACTGTCAGAGAAAAAAATCGTTCCATTTAACTGCTAAACTTCTCTATTAACTAGCAATTAACATATTAACATCTAACTCGGCAGGGATGTCAAGGCAGGTATAAATCCAAAAGGTTTGTTTGATAAAACAGGAAAATACCAATTCTATGGATGTAAAAACATCAGTATAATAGTGTAAGAAGAGAGGAAGACTTCAACAAGAAGCCTCCCATCTCCCTTTCTAGTCATATTTATAATACTTAAAACACAGGAAAATTTTTAATAGCTAAATGGTATTACTGTTTGATCTAGCCTCTAAATATTACCAAAGAATGTGTAAATATTCTTTTAGAACATGAAATTCTAATCTTTTTAAAGAGTGCTATGTGTAAGTACCATGGCTCATACTAGATTCATTTTTTCAATGTGAATTGGTTACTAGGTTTATCCCTGAGCAGTTTATACTATAAAGGGCTTCAAATTGTTAAACTAGTGCCACAAACTTTTCATGACATGTTTGGCCATGCTAATATTTATTTAAGGAAAAAAAAAAGTTTTTCCTTAAAATAGTTGCACATTCACATATATTTTAAACCTAGGTTTAAACACACACACACATCTAGTCATGCACATAAGTACACACACACTTTTAGAGTTTTAGTTAAGAATAACTAAGTTAAATTAACTGATTAACCTTAACCCATTTTTATTAACCACTAATTCACAGAGTCCAGTATACCCAAAGTCTACAAGCTCCTTCCAACAGGGAGCCTAGGGAGAACTACCATATTCGAGAAACTATGTAAAAGAGTTAAAAATAAACAGAGACAGAAGAGCAAGACAGAGTGAGAGAGCAAGAAAGTGAAGAAGAGGAATGAAGGGAGGGAAGGTGAGGAGTTCTCAAAGCTAGAAAGACCGAAAAAAAAATTTTTTTTTCAACTTTTCCACATCTGTGTCCTGCATGGAAATGCTACTTTCCTTACATCTGTGCTTTGTTAACAAACATAATAAAATTATACCATGACAAAGCTAGAACTGCTAATTTATACACGCAAGGTTGTATAACTCCACCACATCTGACACACAATGTTGTTCAGAAAAAATTAAAAAAAAAAAAATCTCTGTTCCAAGAGAAAAGGGTTCTCAGTCTCTATATCTGGTATTTTATGGGGTGGTAACTAACCAGGAAAATTGACCCCAAAAATCTCTTAAAGAGATTTGGGTGGAAACCCAGAGAGAGATTTTCCACAGCCCTGCTGCTGCTAAGTCCTTATTAACCAAGTAGACTCTACAGGGAAGCAGAAGAGCATTGAGAGGGAAGGGGAAAAAAAAAAAAAGGAGGCCGGGCGCGGTGGCTCGTACCTATAATCTCAGCACTTTGGGAGGCTGAGGTGGGCGGATCACAAGGTCAGGAGATCAATACCATCCTAGCCAACATGACGAAACCCTGTCTCTACTGAAATACAAAAAATGAGCCGGACGTGGTGCCAGGCGCCCGTAGTCCCAGCTACTCAGGAGGCTGAGGCAGGGGAATCGCTTGAACCCAGGAGGCAGTGGTTGCAGTGAGCGAAGATTGCGCCACTATACTCCAGCCTGGAGACAGAGCAAGACTCTGTCTAAAAAAAAAAAAAATAAGAACTAAGAGAGTTCATTAGTCACAAGCAATTCTTTTTCAAAAATTGGCCGGAAGAGTTAGCACTACTGTCTCAGTATTAGTTTCCTCTCCCTTTCAGGCACCCTGTTACCAACAGACTAAAATAAATAAGCATTTTCATATATCCCTCAATGACAAACTTTACTCACGCAAATTTTCTTCATTTAATATTGACAACATACTAGACAGCTGAGAGTCACATTTTTCTACCTTGGCACAGTAGCCATCTTCTCATCTGAGGCATGAGTTGAAAAGTCAAAAAGTCTGAATGAAGTTTATATAGGCTTGTCTGGTCAACACACCTATACAACTGGATTTCTCATTTAACTTTTCCACTCTACTGAGGGCAAGCTAGTGGGAGACCTGTAATGACACGTGTGTAAACGCTTGAGGACCTCTCAAATCACACCATACTGAAACACACTTAAGCCTGTTTAATTTTGCCCTAGGCAGCACATATCTCTCTATAACAGAAATCAAGGAAAGGGCAATTATAAATTTAACATGTACCAGGTGCCCCAAGTACCTGATCTCATTTACCTCACAACAGCCCTTTAGGGTATGCACAACTACTATGACTCAACCCATTTCGGAACCTGAGGTTCTGCGTGGTTAAGGGCGGTGCTGAAAATCACCAAGCTAAATAGTTAATGAGCTAAAATTCAAACCCAGGTGAGTGTAACTCCAAAGTCCACATGTTTCATGTATACCACAGTATGTCTAAGTCAGAAGCAGTCAGGAGACCTGAATTGTACAGACATTTCTCTAGCATTTTATAACTTGGAATCAGTCACTTACTTCTTTAATACTTAATTTCTACATCCGAAAAATGGAGTTAATCACTAAACTGCTAATTTTATATAGTATTACCATGAGATTACTTACTATGATTACTATTTAGATTCTACATAATTAAAATAAAGTGTTTTATTTTCTCTTTCTATCCTGTTTTTCTCTAAACGGAGAAAAAAAAAAAACCCCACAGGACAGCAGTAGCATTTATAAGAAGCCAACTTCACTACTCTGGTATTTTTTAAATAGAAGCTTTCCTGTCTACAAAATATAATCACTTCTTTTAGTTCCCAGTGTCATCCCCAAAGCAAAGTCTTCACTATAAAGAGGCAACACATTAAATACTAAGAAAGCGCCTCCTGTGTATTACAGGAAGTATCAAAAATAATCCCTAATTTTTACTTGCAGCTCTGATTATCACATGATCATGATTTGTTTCTTGAAGAAACAACTCAATACTCTCATACCAGGTGTTTCACATTCATCTGGCATTGAACAGAAGTCTTACAGGAACAAGAGTGGCTCAGTAGGAGTAGCAGTGTATGTAGGCTGTTTACTGATGACCCTGATCATATCTATTTAACATGATGATCATAAGTGCCAGTTTGCCCAGTGTAGTTTCAGTTTATGTAATTAACACCATGCTTATAACCCTCGAAAGTGTTTCTGGGTGCTTAACAAACCATATTGTTATCCAACTATTAAAAATAATAAATCATTTGCTTCTCTATTATAAATCAAGACAGTGACCAAGTACAGCATAACAGGTGTGAAAGCAGGGTAGCATAGAAATGATGTAAAATGAAATAAATTGTTCATAAGAAGTGCTGAAACTAAGCTGGGCACAGGGGCTCATGCCAGTAATTCCAGTGCTTTGGGAGGCTGAGGCAGGAAGACAGCTTGAGCACAGGAGTTTGAAACCAGCCTGGGCAACATAGTGAGACCTCGTCTCTACAAAAAAAAAAATGTTTAAATATTAGCCAAGTGTGGGCGCGTGTGCCTGTAGTCCCAGCTACTCAAGAGGCAGAGAGGATCACTTAAGCCTGGGAGGCGGAGATTGCAGTAAGATCACACCACTGCACTCCACCCTGGGTGATGGAGCAAAACACTGTCAAAAAATAATTTAAAAAAAGGGCTGAAAATAATAACACAAAAGGAAATAATAGCTGATGGTAAATTCAAGTCTTCTCACAAACCAAACACTATTAGTAATTTTAGTCATTTTCAGCCTTAAAAACACTATGACTTAAAAATATATACAGAATCAAACTGATTAGTTTTTTTTAACCAACAGATCAGAGGAAAGGGAAACCTTTAAGAAAAAGAGAAAGAACGAGA
The DNA here is from genome assembly GCF_000001405.40 of Homo sapiens. Taxonomy (NCBI): domain Eukaryota; kingdom Metazoa; phylum Chordata; class Mammalia; order Primates; family Hominidae; genus Homo; species Homo sapiens. Next base: position 191,361,922 of record NC_000003.12, on the reverse strand, counting down.
GCAATGCCTGCTCCTGGCCTCTCCCAAGGACTACTCCCTGGCTCCTGTGCAGGCCCCACTCAAAAGTCTGCTCTCTCTAATGCTGCAAGAACAACCCAGGGACAGACACCTTGTAGTAAGCTGAATAGTGTGCCCTCTCTAAATTCATTTCTATCCAAACCTCAAAATGTGACCTTATTTGGAAACAGTCTTTGCAGATGTAATTAGTTAAGCTGAGGTCATACTGGATTAGGGTGAGTCCTCAATTCAATGACTGATGTCCTTGCAGGAAGACAAGAAGACACAAAGATACAGACAGAGAATAAAGCCATGTGACAATGGAGGCAGAGACTGAAGTGATGCAGATACAAGCCAAGGAATGCCAAAGATTGCCAGGAGTCAGGAGCTAGGAAGAGGCAAGGAAGGATCCTTCCCAAGAGGTAGCGTGACCCTGCCAACACTTCAGATTTTAGACTTCTAGCCTCCAGAACTCTAAGACAATAAATTTCTGTTAAGCCAAGTTTGCAGAGTAATTTGTAACGGCAGTCATAGGAAACTAACTCACATCATATGTGAAATTATCCATTATCTCTCAAGACTTTTACCATTTACATAATCAAGAGGCTATAAATCATGGTCCACAGAGGAAAATGCAGCCCAAATAAGAGGCATTCTGCTTCCCATTCAGAAACCCTTCATTGAGCCCGTGACCTACAGAAAGTTTTTGCTCTAAAGCTGAGCACCCCTTTCTCCATGAGGGAGAGGGGCAGTAACTAAGTTATACCTCATCCTTCTTCTCCTGAATGCGTCGTCTCTCTGCCTCAATAGCCAGCTTCTCCTGAATTTCCTGAGCAATTTCACAGTCTTGTTGTTCACTAAAAAGCAAAGGTGAAAACATGAATAAGGAAAATAAAAAATAATGTATTTCCTAAAAGTAATAAATACAATTTATTGAATACTCACTATATGAGAAGTACATTATTTTTCTCACTTTATCTTCAAGATAAAGATGCAAAGAGGCTGACACGGTCACATTTACAGATGAGAAAACTAAGGTCCAGGGAAGTTGCATCATTTTCTCAAGATCACAACGAAAATATGTGGTAGAACTGGAATCTGATCATCACACCCAACAATGGAAAACTCCACACCTCTTCTATACCACCTATCACTTCACCCCACTGGGGCCTGTTTGACGGTCCTGCCTCTACCACTAATAACCACAAATCATTCTCTGTCATGCCATGTTATAAGCTATAAAAAAGTGTACACTTAGTAACTTCACATTACAGGTCTAATATCATAGTATTCTTATCTATTCAAACCAAAGAAATGAAAATAAACAAAAATCTACTCAGACCAATTGCTATTTATATTTCTTCTTTTCCTTCACTCATTGTAATAATTAAGAATCATACACAAAATCACGGACTTAGTTTTCAAAAGCCTCTGTCTTCATTCAAGCCTCTACCTGAACCTCCCAAATTAATGTAAAATCTGTATAGAATTAATTGACTAATAACTACATTGGATGTGATAATAAGTGGGAAGAAAGTAGAAGCACCGTAGAGAAGGCAAACCCAAATGAAGTGTTAAAGGTCACAAGTGACACAGAAGATGTATCTCCTGGTACAGAAAATAAATAAGTGAAGCTTCATCTGAGTTTAATGATTTCAAACCATATTTCCAAGAAGTACCATCTCTGGTTCAGTCAGCTAATTATACAGACTCCTGGGAAAGCGAAACTGAGAAAGCAGTAGTAAACAAGCGGTAATCCTGACTTACGGCAGCCCGGGTATCCAGACTGAATAAAAGGTTCCAGTTCAATGAAAACTGCAGCATTTCATCCTTCCCAAGATGTACAGCTATTAAAATTGCCAGGGAGTGAACTGAAAGACTTCCCTTCTAGCTTACTTATTTCATCCAGGAACAATTTCAAAACCTTGAAGTCTCAGGCAGAAATATAATACCCGGTTCTTCTCTCCTTTAGGACCTATAAAATATCACTCTCTACTCCTGATTTATATTTGAGTGGTTTGTCTTGATAATTTCTGAAAAAGCTCATTATACTGTTATTAACCTAATTCAGGATTTTAAACATCTGCATCAACCTCAGAACTGGCCTTTCTAACAGAGAATTGTGAATAATGTAAAGGGCAATGAATTTAGAACTCTAGAACATTCTAGCTTTGGTTCTCACCTTAACCTGTGACACTGAGCCTCATAACATCTCAAATATCTCTCCTCCTCTTTACATCTCCATTACCATGACCTTCAATTTAGGCCTCATCATCTCCTTCCTCTCTGTCACCACTGTCCTCATTCAAGCCTCACCATCTCTTAATTTGACCATTGCTCAACAGCTGCCTTCAAATCTTGCCCACTCCAAGCCTTTACCCACCTAGTCTACAGAATAGATCCCAAAATGAAAATCTGAAACTACTTCAAAGGTTCTCCATTCCTTATAATTTAAAATCTACAAAACCTGAAATCTTTAACATAACTTATCGTGACCCTTTTGATCCAGCTTTTGACTACTTTCCTGGCCTCACTTCCTACTTCTGCCTGTAAATACACTCTCCACTCCAGCAACACTGAACTTCTTGCAGCTAACGTGAGATTGATTCCAAGTCCTCTTACCTCCTGCCCTTATGCATGCTGCTCCTTCTGGCTAGAATGGTTTTCCCCATCACTATAAACTTCTAATTAACCTTCAAGTTTCAGATTAAACACATCGTCTTGTGAAGCTTTTCCCAGTCTCTTCTCTCTAAATAGGCCTGAAATTTACATTTCAATTCTCTGTGACTCATGCACGTATCTCTAGATACACAATGCTCAAGGTGTTTTCCTGAGGCCCTTAAAGGCAACAGCTGTCTTATTCATATCTCTGGTCTCCTTTCATGGTGCCAGATTTAGCATGAATCAATAAAAGTGTTTATTTACAAAATAAGGGAAGCTTAACAAAATGATTAATAAAGTCCTCTCTACAAATAATAAACAGAAAGACAAACCCTTCCTATAAGTTAGCAAAAATGACTGGCTTTCCTTTTTACCTGAATATGACACTGAAGTAAATTAAGGGGTTCCTTCCATTTTTCCTTTACCCCTTCCTCCTCAACACAGTATCTGTGGTTAAATCTACCCACATTAAAGATTTAGGATGTAAGAGCCACTCTCAAAGAAGAAATGTATCCTGGGAGCTTTATAACACTGAAACAGAATAAAAGTCACTGTGCCAAAAGAAACCTGAGAAATAATCATTTCCGTTTATCTGTGTGTTAAAGGAGGCTACTAGAGAGAACTTTTGTCAGACACTGAAGTTATGAAAAAAACTGAGTCTACACTTCAGAGCTTTTCAGAACATTCTGCTATGTACTGAAAAGCAAGGAAAGTAAGAGCGGCAAACACAGCTAGAACATAGTAAAGGAACCAATACAACCCATAAAGTTATTTGATGTCCACTATTTCACTGGATCCCCCAAAGAAACTATGAGGCAGAGGGGACAGAGATTATTATCCGCATGTTATGGGTAAGGAAAATAAATTCAGAGAAGTTGACTAACTGGCCCAAGGTCATAACAGCTAAAAAATGTTAAAATTCACACCATCATCAACATGTCCTTAAACCTGGTCAAGTGCTCCAACAAAAACAAAACATTTTCAAATCAAAAAAACTGTTAGACATCCAGGGTAAGATTTGTAATCTAACAGTAGAAGGAATCAGAGGAACAGAAGTAGTCTCCTTCTCCCCTGCCCTGGTTGCTAGCTCCACAGAGAAAACCAGTCTTGCATCACCCCTCCCACCTCCCAAATCCTCACAGGTCTTTGTAGCGCTTCTGGAGCTGGGCCTGCGCTTTCAGATCTTCCTCTTGGAGCTGCTTAGCCACCTGGAGATCATGCTGGACCAAACGGTTCCGCTGAACGTTCGATGCCAAATGATGCTCAACTGGAACAAAAAGATTGAGGACAGGAATGAATAATGTCTTGGTTTGTTAGTAATAAATGCCATAATAATCTTAAGAGCTTTACCATAACAACAGCTTTGCATCCATCACTTCATTTTATTGTCTCAACAACAATATATAATAAAGAGCAAGGAATTATTATCCCCACTTTTCCATTAAGTAAAAAGAGGATCAAAAAGATTAAATAATTTGCCTTTGGTCACACGGCAACAAAGTGGCAGTGCCAGGACATCTACACAAATATTCTAAAGCCAGGGCCAATGCTCTTTCTACTACTACATGTTGTCACTCTATTTATTAACCGCATTTTTCAAAATGTCAATTTTATATTGATATGTGAATTCACAAATCATATATTCACAAGTATGTACTTTAATATAACATGCATAGCTTAGATTTACTTTTCATCACCACATGGAAAAAAAGATTCAGAAAAATTCACAATGTGATCTCATTTATACCACAGTTGCCTGGGAAAACTGTTCAAGTCCCTATCCTAGGAGCAAGAATAGATTCCTTCTACGCACCCCAGATAAATCTACAACCATTGTGTCCCTCCTACAACAAGAGGCTAGGAAAAAGGTTCAAACCTCTCTTTTTCCTCCTACAGACGCAGCAGTCTACTAATTCCTGGCAGCCTATCTTACTTAACATGCCCGAAACTTCACTGATCACCCAGGCATCATTTGCCTAAAGAAATCCTTCAGGATGTATGGATGGTGAAGCCAAGTGACTGTGCTCTCTCCCCACCTAAGCCCTAAGAAACCAGCCTCAAGCTACCACTAAAAAAAGAAAACTGAAGGAGCATAAATGAGAGGTATTACTCACTCTCTTGTTCCTGCAGGCTGTGAGCCAGGGTGTGGTCCTCCAGGACAGCAAAATCTCGGCATACTAGAGTAGATGGAGGAAAAACAGACAGGAAGGCTCATTAGTAATACTTTAACATACAAAGGAAAGGATTTTTTTTTTTTACTTTAAAAAAAATCAATTCTAATATTTCAGAATGACACACTTTATAATTCTCAATGCATAAAATAGTGACTAGTTAAGTATGCAGTCTTTAGTCACAAAAATCTATAGTGCCTGCTTAGTGCCAAGCACAGGGTGTCACAAAATACTGGTTAGCCTTGGCCCCTGGCCTGAGGTGAGAACATTTACAGAATCAGATTCCAGAGGTCTAGAAATTCCAATCCACTTCTATAAATGGAGGGTTAAGTGCTGCTGAAATAACAGACGTATCAGTCATGCTTTGCATATTGCTACTGAGAGAGAACTGAGTTACTGCATAATTAGAGGTGTTAAAAGAAATCTAATCTATGCTTCCCTGTGGTTCAGACGATCCTCTCCCAGCAATTTATGTCTACCCTGGCGTCTTTCAAGAAAAAATATATTTTCACTAGTCCCTCAGGTAGGGGCAGAGCTCTACTTTAAAAATTCTTAATTTCTTAAACATTCTTCAGTGGGTCAATCCCCAGGGACATGAGTTAGAACTAGGTCTCTAGGTCCCTCTAAACCTTGGGCTGCCCCAAAATAATCTACAAACCAAAAGAAAATGGGAACCCTGAAGGAAACCAGGAATCTGCCCCAACTCTGCCTCCACCTGAAGAGCCAGGCAAGGGCATTTCCTGACCTGTCTTCTCAGAAGCAAAATGGGAAGAAATGGTCTTGAAGAAATGGTTTGGGGTAAACAATGGTATCCATGTTTACCCCAAGCTGCAATTTAAACTCCTGCTTCGTAAACATACAAACAGACAAAACATGAAGGATTCATCATGTAAAGTGCTGTTTTAAGGACGTGTAGTTTAGGTGATATGTTCTCACTCTATTCCAAGCATGTAATTCATGTTAAAAAAAGGAAATTCCCCAAAGCCTCAGATTACTGCAATTGAGTAGGACTCATGAAACATTCCCCAGGGCTTAGGAAAAGTGATAGATTTCTTTCCGAAGCTTTGGATTTGCCTATGAGGACACTTAACTGAAACAGAATGAAAAACGTTCCTTTGCCGTTCTTTGCACTTATGTATGTTCACATATACACTCAACATTAGTTGTGTCCTTCACGACTGAGGGATAATGCCACAAAAAGGGAGGGAGATCTTGGGGAGGTCAAGATTATTTTGAAATGGTTTTATAATGGAGGAATAATTCTTGCCCAAGAACTATATTCAACTGGATACAACCTGCTTAATCCTCGCTCAAACATAACAGCAAAACCAGTAATTCGAACAGAAAGCCCTGTTCTTTTTCATCAGCTTTTCATATTCTCAACCGATTCTAATATCTTGAAGCCCAGGTCCTAGTTACCTTATGTTTCACAGAATAAAAGTAGTTTCAAGATGAGCTAGATAACACCCTCATTTAATAAGTGAGGAAACTGAAAGCCAGAAGGAAGAAGGGGTTTTCTAAGGCTGTACAGAGTTCACTGGTGACAGGGCTTGGGGGTCAACATCTAAGCCAGCAAGAGCTCAAGAGCTCCTTCCCCTTCCCTGACACAATGATGGCCCTCCTTCCCTCCAGGTAAATCATGGTAAGAATAGACAGAAAGAAAATATTCTACATTAACCATCGCATATTCTCTAAAACACTTCAATTAATTAATATCTAATTTTTAAATGGGTAAGACATACACGGACTTAATTTACAAAAATTAATGAATTAGCTAAAATAAATATAATCAAATCTTGTGTAAAGAATGTTATTTTAATGTATTGACCTATCATTTAAAACACCTTTATTATACTGGAAAAGCTTGTGCTTATATATTAAAAGTCAGTCTTAATTTTAGATTAATTATGATTAGATCAAATTTAAGATTACTCTTAATGATTTTCAAATTATGGGTGGCAATCTATTATTAGGTCAAAAAATCAATTTACTAAGCCTGAGAAAGGCATTTTAAAAGTCAATAGTCTAGAGAATAACAGAGGACAGTTGGCTCTCATAGCCCTGAGTTTTGGATTCATGGATTAAATCAACCACAAATAAAAAATATTCAGGAAAAAAAAATGTGGCTGTACTGAATACATACAGACATTTTTTCTTATCATTGTTTCCTAAATGAACGGTATTAGGTAGTATAAGTAATCTACAGACAATGTGAAGTATACAGTAGAATATGTATGAATTATATGCAAATACTACCCCATTTTATATTAGGGGCTGAAGTATCCATAGATTTTTAGTATCCATGTGAGGTCTTGGAACCACCTCTACACCCCACCCCACAAATACGAAGGGACTAGTATAAATCACACACAGTACAGGAAACTAGTTTGGGGAAACTTTTCCCGTATTATATATAAACATCACAGAAATATATACATACAGAGATGATAGGTACTAGGTCAAAATGTAAAACACACATCATTCTATAGATTACAAAAAGCTTAAAAGCCACTTCAATTTATGTTATTAGGTCAGAACGTTACGCCAAAAATATGTTTTCTATGTTTCTAATACCATGCTAACTAAAATTAAAAATTATGAAATTATTACATTTTTCCATGTGGAGAATCATGTGAAGAACTACAATAATTTTAAAAATATTTCTTAACTTCAGTCAGCAGAACATTAAACATTAAAATATAGTTTGTAGATAGATATACCTATGGTTAAAAAAAATTTTTTTAATAATATGGCACTGACACAAACTTAACTCCAAACAGTAGTTCTCTCTCCAGAGAGACGAAGAGGGGCATGAGTGCCTTAGCTGCATGAGCCATTCTGCTTCAAAAGCAAAAAGAGAAAAGATACACAATAAGGCAAAATATTAACATTTGATGTGGGTGGTAGGTTCATGGGTTTTTCTATTTCCTGTGCTTTTTAAATGTCTTACATATTACATTTTAAGTTCTATAATTAAATTCACTTATTTCATGTTGTCAACAGCACATATTGCTAAACCATGAACATGAAGATATGGTTTGACACATTATAACAGGTGTGAGAAATTTCCGAATTGCTGATTACCTTGATGACTCCTCATAATGATTTCTTACTATCTCAACAGCAAGACTGAAGTATATTCTATTATTGCAATTTGTCCCTGAATCTGCAGAAGCTGAACTAGTACCCAAAAGATATGAGGAGGGCCTGAGCTAGAAGGGGATCTGGAAGATTTTCAATGATTATGAGGAAGTACATGAACACATACACACAGAGAGTTGTATTGTCAAATACACTGACTTTGCCCTTCGGAGGTTACTAGGAGTTTCCAAACATATAATCTCATTTATACTGAAATATTACTTGCCCAATATATAATTTCTTCTGAACCCACTCTAATTTTTTTCAAGATTTGCCTCTGTATTCCCTCCATCAGTATTCTAGCACAACCTGGAAAACAATCACATATTCAGTCAACTTTGTAAATCAGTAACCAGATTGAGAATTACTGAAACTATTTCACAGCCAGGCCACGCTCAGAGCATGAAGAGAACTTTTCTCCTTTTCTAACCTCCTCTGCCTTCGATGTAAACAGCATAAACAGCCTACTGAGGATAAACGGCATACACTCATCTTCCCACCTTTCTCTGTGGGCACATTTAAGGTGAACCACCTTTCACCCTCCCATTTCTCAAACTTTTTGCCTCCCATGTTCACCTTCACTCATTCAGAACTCAGGCTGACCTTCTTGCCGTAAGCCAACTCTATCAACATCTTCTACTAGTCCCAGTCTGCTATTAAAATGAGCTTCCCACCATAGTCAATTACACAACTATTCTTTGTTCCCACCAGATCTCAATGGTCCCGTAGGCTCTCCCCTCTGCCCAGACATTTTCCCAGTGTTAGGGATGGTGGCTAAGTCTCTTTTGAACATTAAAAGCCGTACAACTCTGCCTCATTGCTTAGAAGAGCATTAACAGAAAGAAATGCACTTTGCTCTGAAATTCGAGCACACAGCTGCTTCCCTATCCAGCTGCAAGCTCTTCATAGCAGGGACTTTGTGGGTGTACTTTCTGCACCTTCCACACAATGTGTGCTCGTTAATTGAAAGAAGTTAAAAAAAAAAAAATAAAGCTGGATCATAAAGTCAAACAAGAGTAGGAGAAAGGAAGAAAATAATGTCATAAACAGAATTAAACTCTGCTATTATGACAGCATAACACACTAATATGTCAAACATCATTTAAACAAATTTAGTAATAAACAAACTACATAAAACTAGAACCCTATCCCCATTCTCATTAAAGGAGTTTCAATATGTTAATCTAAATATAGGCATATCTTGGAGATACTGCAGGTTTGGTTCCAGACCACTGCAATAAAGCAAATATTGCAATAAAATGAATCACACGATTTTTTGGTTTCCTAGTACATATAAAAGTTATGTTTACACTATAGTCTATTAATATAGTCTATTGATAGTCTATTAAATGTACGATGGAATTCAGTCTAAACAGGTTATGTACATATCTAAATTTAAAAACACATTATTACTAAGAAATGCTTGCTACACACCTTCAATTTGTAAAACACATAGTTTGTCCAAAGCGCAGTAAAGCAAAGTGCAATAAAATGAGGGATGCCTGTATATACAGTGAATTAATTTACAATAGGCCAAGCAGGTCTTAGAAATGGAAAGGAGGACTGGCTGACATACATAAATACATACATATATATACCCCCCATCCATTTCCTTAAAGAATGATTTTCATTGAGTTGTTGATCTCCCCCTAAATACATGAATGGCATAGTATGCACCTAATCAACACCATTTACTCAATAAACATGTGTTGAACTCTATTTCAGGATGAATGAGTCATCTCCAAGCCATCACTGAGATGAAATATCAGAGAGGAAAACAGGTATAATGTAAGTTAATAAACACTGTACTAAAGACAATTAGTTGTACTAAAGAAAATTCTTTGAAGTCATAAACACTGGAACAGTTATGCTTGTTATGAACTGGGGGTGGATGTAAGAAGTGGGGGTGATTTAAACAGAATGTATCAAGAAACCGTGTATCAAGAAACCTTAAAGTAATTAACACGAAATGTATCTCAAGGTAAGTTAAAATTCCTATGCACAGAAGCGGTAAACATTCTTGGCAAAGGGGTCAATTATGGAAAAAGACAAAAAGATGAAAACCCACAGGCCATCCTGGAGTTGTGTGTGTCCGGAGCACAGAAGCCCCAAAGAGAATTACAGCAAGAGATGGGATAGGAAAGACCCTGTGCACCCTCATAAGGAATTGGTTCTTTTTTTACATAGGCTTCCTGGTATACAACTTACCTGAAATGTACCAAAGAAAATCTGGTGATTTACCACCCCACTCCACCTCACGCCAACCAAACTCTATCTCTTATATTTTTTCTCTTCTTGCATTTGCTTCCGAAGTCTCTCATTTTTGTTTTCGCCTTATTGTTTCTCCTCACACACCTTTTTTCAGGTACATCTACTTGCCAACTTTACCCCTCCAGCTCCAGACACAGCCCACTCCCCAATTCCCTACCAATAACTGTAGGAGCATTCTATGAACTTTGAAGCAGAACTACTTGTTCTCCTTCTACAGGTAACACCCTTGTCTGCCCTCCCCTTGGCAATCAGTAGAAAAATAGAGACAAAATTTGTATATTTTAATAATTCAACACTTTAAAAGGAAACTGATCAACATTGATTTGAATGTCTCTTAAAATTCCAGCCCAAATGACATCAAATTTGGAGGCCTAAAACAGCCTTTAAAAAATTCTTTTCTTAGTCATTAACAGTACTAGATTAAGATCTCCTCAGCTTTCACCAACAAAGAAATAAGTAAACTCTGAGCATTTTTCATAAAACGTATTTCAGATTGTTATTTTAAAAAGCTCATTTACAGCAAGTTTCTCTCCTTCTCACTCAGAAACAAAATATTCTTTTTAAAGACTGTTTCAAAGAGGTGATTCAGATTTACAAGTGATGGGGTAAGAGTCTTTAGAATCCCCTTATCTTTTTCTCAGGGACAAAGAGAAGTGCCCCCTCCCAACCCCTGCCACATCCCCCACATACACACATACCCCTAAAGGGCAGCAGGAATTTTGTTTACTCTTCCACTAAAGGAACACAGTCTCAAATTTTGGCCAAGAATCAGGAACTTAACTTGTATTTATACTGGCAATGCCGGTGAGAAAAAAACTTAGTGGGGGACATTTTGCTAAACTAACTCTGCTCAAAAGTTTAAAAGCTCTGCACAAGATTAACCAAATCTAAACAGTGAACAGCACTCCTGCTATCAAGAACTCCTTCTTTCACCTCAGTCAAGTATGCAGAATGAGTACCTATCTATCACCCCATTTCAACCAAAGCCAGAATTTTCTGATTCCATGAACGGCTACACGTTCCTTTCACACATTATCCAAATAATGTGCACATTCCCAGTGCTTTCCCAACTAATTCTACATAAACTAAAAAGGAAGTGAAAAAAAAGCCATTTCCTTTCCGTTGTTCTTTTACCTACATCCTAAGACTTTCGGAAATTACAATTGCCATGATTCATCTTTAAAAGCTTCCATCCACATAAAAATGCCTGGATTAATACCACATTAACTAGAGGCTATTTCTTTCACCTGTGTCTGTTTTCCCTTTTATAGAATGGTAGAATTTTGTGAATTATTCTTTTTATGTAAATGCTATGAGTAGCAGAGGGACTATATACTCTGCTTTGAAAGCAGGGATTATGCTTGCTTTCCTTTGTTCTGTATACATGAAAACATCTACTATGAACAAGAAAGATATTCAAGAGATACATTTTGTCTTGTGAAAGTTTGGTAATAACAGACAGCCACAACTGAAATTTATACAGCACTTCATAAATTACAATGCACTTTCACATTTATTCCTCCTAACCATCTGAGGATAAAGGCTTTATCAACATCCCCATTTTACTTATGAGGAAACTAAGGCTCAAGAGAAATAAAACGGCTTGAATAAGACTACCCAACAAATAAAACAAATGAACTGGAAATCAAATCCACCTCTTCTTGCCCCAGATATTTCTGCTTAGAGTATCAGGAAAAAAAAAGGGAGGGGGGGGGTATTATTAAATACTAGTTAAAATAAGATAAATGGGCATTAAGTTCTTTAAAATCAAGGATAAAAGTAATTTTTAGTAAAGATGGTACATGTATTCAGAAAGTGGTTTCCATGTCCCCCAAAATGCAAATAAAAATGAGACCTAGTTTACTTTGCCTCACTGTCTCCCAAGAATAGACTTCTAGCAATCACAGTCGGCCTATATTTACACCTGAAAAAACAGGAATAAAAAGTTTCTTAATTGTATAAATTTAAGGGTTTCAAGTGCAGCTTAGTTATATGGATATACTGTCTAGTAGTGAAGTCTGGGCTTTTACCGTAATCACCACCTGAATAATGTACACTGTACTTCATTAAGTACCTTCTCATCTCTCACCCTCTTCCCACCACCCCATCCTTCCGATTCTTTCACAGTGTTTCCTAAGTGACCTACAGGAAACCCTAGGTAGTGACTACAGTGAAAAATTCTAAGGGAAATCTCTCTTTGGGACCTACCACTTGCCCTCATCTCTCTAACCCTCTTTTCAACATCCACAAGTTTCCCTCCATTTGGGAAGAGAAGATATTGTTCAATTTTAGACTCATGTGTCTAAGATATATTAATGACACTTTGAAATAATAAACGTATTTTGTAAAACTTTTACGCTACCCTACAAAAGAAATGTCTCCCTAATCTGTTAGAGTTTCTTCTCTTTATTAAAAGTTCTAATAAAATTACCACAGTAAAAGAGAAATGGGATTCAGAGAAACTGAATAGATCTTATCCTAATGAAAAATCCTCTACATTCTCAACCCCAGCAATCTTTATATAGAGATCAACAAAATGACATCAATATCACTACCGCCAATATCATTAGCAAAACCAACCCCCTCCTCCACCCCCATCAGCAGGGCAAGTAGGGAGCTTAGAGATGCTTGGCTATAGACAGCAGACACGCTCTTATGCTCACTCAAATACCCCAATTATGAGCCCCATAAAAGCAAACTTAGTTCTGAGTTGCTGATCACTGATAGCTAAAATTTCTCACTTTCAGGCTCAAGGCTGAAAACAAAAGAACACTTAAGTAATACGTGAGCAATTCATTTACTACAGAACAAAGGGTAACACAAACTTTTGATCCTTCTCCATTTTTTAGTGTTCTAAAATTTTCATGCCATTGAAATTAACAAAATCTAAACACAGTATGACAGTGGGAGGGTAGTGGCATCTAATTTTGGCTGAAGCTAAGCAAATAATCTACATAGGTGTTCCATCTTCATTTATTTTGTTACTAGTCAAAGCAATCAATGGCAGGGCTACTTTTCTAATTAAGTCTCCAAATTCCCTGTTCTTTCCAATATGCCATGATATTCCACCTGTCTGGGAGATAGATGATCCTTCTAAACAGAGATCCATAATACAATTAAATCAGATGCACTGTCTTGTAGTTATTATCCTTAGTATAATAATCCCACTACTAGACTGTCCACAAAGTCGACACAGAATTTTTGCAATTTCTTTGTGAAAGACAAACATTTTCACTCTACACCTTATACAGATGACTAAGGAACCAAGCAATATTTACCAATATTTCATCTGTTTAGAGATTCTTATGGTTATTGGTTTTGGTCTCTGTTTTTGGTTGCTTGGTTGTTGTGAGAATGAAACACAGAGAATGGGAGAGGCTTGCAAATGGGAAAGAAGCTTAGTCACCATTATTACACAGATGATGGTGGGGGAATCTCTGTGTTCCATCTGCCCAAAGCACCCAACCACCCCTCTACCATCTAGAAAATTCACAATCAACCTACAAGACCCCCATTCAAATGTCACCTATGTAGCTGACTCACAAACATACAGCAGACTCATCTATCATTTTCTTTCAGTGCTTTCATAGCACGTAGTTTACAGGATAGAACTGTAGCACTAATTATATCATTAAAAATTTTTACTCATGTTTCCCCAGCATATATTCTAGATCCTGAAAGGCAAGAAAAATATTATGGATCATTTTATCTCCAACATTTATCCCAGTGCCCAGGATAGTGACTTTCAAATAAATGCTTGTGAAAAAGATGGATCCTGAGAACAATGACGACTAGTGCACAGGACATAACACGAAATGTTGAATTTTTCCACCCACATCCATCCAGCATATTCATTCATCCACATCCTCCAGCTTATCTGAAACAAGGCTATGGAGCTACATGTCTATCAATACTACCTCAAACAACAGTAAATTCCTTCACCTGGAATTTCAGCTTTATTATAATGAAAGGATATGTTGCCTAATAGGATCCTAGAATACCTAGAAAAGTGATATATACAGGCAGGTGGTCAATTCTTGGTTTCTTTGGGCCACAATTAAACAGATCACTCAACTTACAAAGAAATGATGGCTGAGATTTGTAATAATATGCCCAAGATCGCATAGTTAAATGAGTGGCACTGTTAAGATTAGAGCTCAGAATCAAGAAAAATGTGTGTATACATACGGATGTATTTGTTCAGCTAAACAATGCAACGGGGTGCTTAGGATTTATGTGGCATTTAAAGCAGATAAAGCAGTATGTGCTGAGGTGCTAGCAGGAATTTGCACAATCTGGAGCTAGTCTCCAGAATTACTGGTTTGAGAAAACTGCCCCACATCCTTAGAACTCCCCTGTAGTTGCAAACTGCCAAATCATCCCAAGAATTACAAAATGTTAATAAATTAAGTATAAGGTGAATGGAAAAACACAACTCAAGGTTGATATCCAAAAAATAAGAAGAAAGGAGAAAAACCTTCAGAAATTCTAGTAACAGAAAGACATTTTCCGGGTTAATTATCCTGCAATAAACATCACAGATAGAAAGCTGCCTTTTTCACAAAAAGTTTTACAAACACCAGAATAGCATAACTCAGGATCCTCTGCAAACTTCTTACAAATATCTGACCTGCTAAAGTCACCTTATTGGTTAGAGCACCAAACTGTCAAGAGTATCAAGAATCTGTAATCCTATTTCCAATAATAATGGTCCTAAATGGCAGACTGGGCTTCCTAGTTTCCTCAAATACTTCTAAATTTCAGTCACTGTTCATAAAAAGATGCTGATCTATCACTTTATTAAAATTATAGATACACTATCAAAAAGGGTTTTAATCGTTGTCAAATTCAGCCTTATCTTGTCCAAGCAATCATCTGGACTCCTTTTAAATGTTTCAGCCACCGGAAACTCCCTTTATTTTAAAACACAGCCCATTTTTCCAATAACCAGAGGTAAAACTGTCTTCAAAAGGACAAAATCTGCCAACCTATAGTGATTATCCACTGGTCCTAGTTCCAGCCTCAAAGCACTCACATTCTCCAGAGTGTATGTAGGTGTTTTGTAGAAACAACTGACATTCTGAGGTCTGTTATTTTTATACACCCTATGGATAATCATCCATGTAGCATATCATACGGGTTAATGCACAGGTTAAGTCCCAAACGTACTCTCCATGTTACAGGCAGAGTCTAGGGCTGATCTTATGCCTCCCTATAGGATACCCTGACTATATTTGAAATACTTGACTTTTCTATTTAAATTTAGAAGGTACCAGAAAGAATAAACATCAAAATTCTAACATTAACAACATACTATGAGATTACAATGTAGCTTATCTTCCGTTTTAAACACTTCTATATTTTCCAATTCATCTTCCATGAAGGCGAATCTGATAATCCTTTTCAAAATATTTCATAATAAAGAGAGATACATGTTTTTATTCTAATATAAGCATCTAAACAGTGAAGCAAGAAATATTTACAAGGAAGAAAATCAGTTGTAGTAGCAATTTTATTGATTTATTTTATAATGCTCCTTTGAAAATTAACAAAAGTAAAGCCCACATATGGTCCCAAATTTGTCGACAATCTTCCTGAACACCAATGTAAGAAGAGAAATATGAAAAGTTGTTCAGTTTTCATTATCAGAATGGAGAAATTATACCAGCTCTTTACTGCAAAGAAATGTTTTATTAGTATCAACTGTACAAGTAAATTCAGTTATCACGTGGCAACTTAAAATAGGGAGCACTATATTATATAATAGCATCATCAACAGTTTTACAAGGGTAATAAGCATAAGTTTTAAATGTGTGCCAACAACACATGCACACTTCAACAAACACACTGCGAAGAATCATTCTGAAAAGTAAAACTGATTGAATCCCAACATTTCATTCTCACGTAATTTATCAAAGTATGTTCCTGAGTTATTTTTTTTTCTAATCCCCTAAATTCAAAGTTAAATGAAAACCCCGGTAACCTAAACCACTTGTTTGGCAAGTAGATATGTTATGGCTAACCGCAGATACACCAGATTGCAGGCAAGCGGGTTTTGAAAATGCTGAGATGATATAAGTCCTCACATCAGAAGTACTACTTTAATATCATAGACCATCTACATCATTATCAGCGACCACAGAGTAAAGTGGGTAACTTATTGGGAAAGAGAAAATGGCTGAGTCAGAATTTCCATCTGACAGCACAAATGATCTGGAGTGAGAGGAAGAGTGAAAAAGCAGGGAAAAGGTAGCAAGGTAGAAACAGAGCAGTCTTTACTTATATTGGTTAAACTGTCGAACACAGATAAAACTTTCCATATAAGGTTTATCTGACTCAGCTACCATAAATGATTTTTAAAATGCCCGCAAACATGGACAACCTCATAAGCTTCCTGTGTTAAAGCCAACAACTGTATGGATTGGTGCTTTGAATCCAAAACCTTTTTTTGCTGGGAGTAACAAAACAGAAGCTACCCAAGAAAAGTTAAGACTTAGACCTTGTCTATTCTTAGAAGATGCTGATGCAGGTATTAACAGAAAGCACTCAAGTTAAGCTTCCTTTCTTCTCAAGAAACATCCCATAACCTCAAAATGAGCTCAATCAGGACATCATTTATTCTGAGTGCCCATCAAATTGATTCCTGGGCTCTGTCTTTCTATTCCCATCAAGAAGTCACTAAGGTTCTCTTCAAAACTTTATGTTTTGAAGATGTGGATGTGCATTTGAGGATGTGAGGATTTGAGGATGTGCATTCCTCACAGTCTAACGCTCAATGGGACATATATTAGAATTGGCATCCTGGCTGGGCATGGTGGCTCACGCCTGTAATCCCAGCACTTTGGGATGCCGAGGTGGGCAGAATGCCTGAGCTCCCGAGTTCGAGACCAGCCTGGGCAACAGAGTGAAATCTCGTCTCCACAAAAATACAAAAAATTAGCCAGGTGTGGTGGTATGTGCCTGTAGTCCCAGCTACTCAGGAGGCTGAGGCAGGAGAATCGCCTGAACCCAGGAGGCAGAGGTTGCAGTGAGCTGAGATTGTGCTACTGCAATCCAGCCTGCGTGACAGAGCGAGACTCCGTCTCCAAAACAAACAAACAAACAAACAAAAGGAAATGACATCCTTAAGCTGAACCAAAATCAATATGTTCTATCGATCCAACATCGTTCTATCCTTTAGTGTCACAAATAATTGTTTCACACTATATATGGTAGCCGCCAATCATATGTAACTGTTACATATAATATAAATTTAATTTTAAAAATTCAGATCTCCTCAGTTTCACTAATCATATTCCTAGTGCTAAATAGCCATATGGGGCTGGTGGCTACTATTCTGGACAGTACAGAATACAGAACGTTTGCATCATCACAGTTGTTCTATTAGATAGGACTGCTCTAGACGATAATCACAACGTGACGGTATGACAGAACTAATTTAGACAACTGGACCACTCAGTGAACCTGAATTAGAGACCTCATAGCATTTAAAACCATTTTAACCTTCTGCATGTGCATGCATGCACAAGCATGTGTGCTTGCAAGCACACTGCATAATTCGCTTTGCCATTTCAGACATCCAAGGGTCTTGAGTATATTACTGGTCTTGTGTCAGCCACTGATTTATCTTCAAAGTGCTCGCATATTTACATTTCTCCTATGCTGCTTCTTCCTCAGGCCTAATGTGATAGTTTTGCTAACCTCTGTAGGGTGAAAGGTTAAGAGTTATCCTACATTTATCTAGCAACCACTGTGCAGATATAGTCACAGACACAAAGTGAACAAATTTCTGATTAGAAAGTAAAGTGAACCAGGTATTCAACATAGTTAGAGGAGTTCAATTCTTGAAATACAACTGGTACTGAATAAACCCACCAAATCTCTAATACTTTACCAAGCACTTACTGAAGTACCCTGGATTCTGATTAACAAATGTGAACATTTATGAATTTCAACTGGCCCTGAAAGTTAAATGAGTCACAACTGAAGAAACATTCTCCTAGATTTCTTGTCTCCTGTACCTTCTTTAAAAAACAACTGCATTTTACATGGTTGCTTTACTTTAGAACAATTCAGGAATATATGAACTTAGCAACTAATTACTCTTAAAATCATAAAGATGAGTAAAAAGGAAGCACTTCTGCTGTTTTTAAATTGTTCAGTTTACTTTTTAAATGGGTTTATAAAATTTCGTAATTAAACATAAAGAGATAACTTAAAATTATACTTAGAGAAAGATTAAACTCTTACACAGTAACTTCTGCAGTACACTGCACAGAACACTGGCTCTTTGAGATATTCAGTGAATATTTATTGCACAAGGAAGCAGCATGGTGTAACCAAGAGAACTCTTACTTTGATTCCAACCCTAGCTCCATCACTCACCAACTAAATAATCTTAAACAAACTAACATCACTTATGTTTACGCCCCTGTAATATGAGAGAAATAATAGCCATCATAAGTACAGTCATCCCTGGGTATACGTGAGGGGGACTGGTTCCAGCACCCCCACAGATACCAAAATAGGTGCATACTCACTTCTTGCAGTTGGCCCTGCGGAACTCAGGTATATGAAAAGTCCCTCAGTATACACAGGCCTTGCATCCCGCCAAGCACTGTTATTTCTGATCTACACTTGATTGAAAAAAAATCCGTGTATAAATGGACCCACACAGTTCAAACCCACACTGTTCAAGGGTCAACTGTACTTGAGCACTGCAGGATATTTTAAAGGTACTTATCAATTATTCTCATGGAGGTAGTCAGACATTCTACGAAAAAAACAGGCCACTGATAGTCATAAGGCATCCTCAACAGGGTAAATACCATTATATAAGCAGTAGTAGACAATTTTTTCAAAACAATTTTTCACAAAGCATATCCAGATAGTAAGAATTCATTTTATTTTTATTCCATGTATCCCTAAAGAAACTCCAACCTTCTGTTGTTTCACTACTTGAATGGCACTTTTCCTGGCACTTACACAAGCCCTCAAATGGTTTGGCAGCCAGTACTCTGTTTGCCTTAGCCTAGAAAGAAAAGCCACCCATCTCCTTAAACCTCTGTAGGATAAACCCAGCCATGCCCATTAAAACCCAAAGATCACTTCCAGCCCAGCTTAAGTACAAGTTTACACCAGGGGAAGAAAAACCATTTTAGTTTATTGGCTTCATATGACAAAAGAGCTTCCTTAAGCACCAGCTACTGCAAGTTCTATTTATCCTTTGAGTCAGATATTTCCATTTTCAAATTCTCTTTTGCAACTAGATACTTTAGCTAGCACTTTCCTTCCTATTAGGAGTAGTAAATTCATTTCAACTTTAAACGATTGAGAGCAATATTCAAAATTCCCCAACAACTTTACTTTAGATAGAGTCATGGGATAAACAGGCATGGTAAAATAATCTCTTAAAATCTTGCTCTCACAAAGCAAACTGCAATACTGGCAATTCCATTCTGATAACTATTTGTCAGAACTCTACACACATTTCTGGAAATCTTGGATTACGGAAATCAAAAGTTAGGAACAGAAAACAAATGTGTAAATCTTGAAATTTCTGCAATTCCACTGTTAGGCCACCACAGGCTCAGTAACTGGTCATGTTCACTGACTAAAAATGTGTTTGTCTAAAAGATACCTTGAGATCATGGGTACATTCCTAGAATCAAATCAGTTTTATACAACCTAGGAGGATACTTCCACAGAAGATCAGGAGCTATATCTGCCTAATTTTAATAAAAGTAAGCTTACATAAAAATAATATTTCTTCCCCTAGAAACAATCTATACAGAATAAGGTGACCGCACAGCAGACTTGAGGAAGCCAGCCAGTGTTTCAAAGTACGTCCAGAAAATTCCCACACAAGTAACAGGGAGTTACACATAGATTTTAAGAAGTGATTCTGTCAACCCTTTGGCTCTCCATGCAGTTTCACAAGAGTGGGGTAATTTTTTTTTCAGAAAGAAATTTATATTCACCTTATTGGTACTTCAGTTACATGTGAACTCTTGATAGTTCTCTATTCCCAACAAAGGCTGAAAACAGCTAGCACTCTGAGAAGAGAAAAGCCAAAACTTAAGCTGCCAGTCACACTGAGAGACTCCAGTGAGGAGGATGCTAAGACTTCAATAACATACAAATAAACAGAGTATACAGAGCAACAACCTGGATCTGTTTTGAATTTTTTTAAGTGTTTAAGAAGTATTTGTGAGTATCTTGAGTACAGATCAGGACTCAAATATTGCTTACTTCCAGGCTAAAAGACCTTGGGCAAGTACTTAATTTCTTTGAACCTCAGGTTCCTCATCTGTAAAATAAGGATAAATGTTGTGAGGACTAAATTAGATAAGGTATGTGAAGGGCGAAAGAAAGCATCTGCTACTCACTAAGCAGCAGCTCAATAAATAGAGCCTATTATTGGCCTCATTAAAGTTAATAAATTCTTATAATTAGTTATTTTCTATTAGGTATTGCTTCTAGTGAGGTCCCACTAAGTCACTGATTAACATAGATCTAGTCACTTGTCTAGTACAGAATCTGTGCTGCAATTTACAGTGAGTACTTGCTCTTAGGAATCTGCAGAAATGATCCCAGTGCAGGCTAAGCTGGGAGGATCACTTGAGGCCAGGAGTTCAAGATCAGCCTGGGCAATATAGTGAGACCCTCACTCTACCAAAAAAAAAAAAATTAATTAGCTGGGCCTGTAGTCCTAGCTACTCAGGAGGCTGAGGCAGAAGGATCACTTGAGCCCAGGAGCTTGAGGCCACAGTGAGCTATGACTGCACCACTGCACGCCAGCCTGGACAACAGAGTGAAACCCTGTCTCTAGAAGAAAAAGAAATAGAATCTGAAGCAATGTTTCCTGGCAAGGAATAACAATATAATCAATAGTTTACTGCACGTCTAAAGCTCTTTCTAACCTCATATGTCCGCCTGAGGGAGAATATGTTTCCTATACACATTGTAGGCCTGAGTTAAGGGGAAATCAGAATGTCTAAAATGTTTAATAAGCTCCGCCACTCCAAACTTTTTCAGCTGAATGTCCAAGATTAGAAAGTAAAGTAGAATTCTATGTGAAGATTATGTAATTATAGTTTACTGAGACAGAAGAATCATCAAATTATCACCATCAAGAAGGGTATGAAGGAAAACTGTTGAGTAGAAGTGTAGCCAGCCAAAATCTAACCAACATATTAACATGCAGATTAAAACTTTTTGGCATAGCTAAAACTAAATGTAGTTTCCTAATTCTGTATTTTGAGTTGCTGTAGTAAAAGCTTTCTGCTAAATCTCCATGACACTTTAGCATCTGAAATGTAATAAATATAGATTTACTTGCCCAATTTACAGAAATATAAGGACTTTATGATAGTATATAAGGCGCAAGCAAATTATAGTATAAAGAGCCCTCTTAATTACAGATACCTGTCAGAATTTTAGTCTTGGCTCTGTCAGCAGCTTGTCAAGTGAATGAACTTTGACAAGTCACCTTCCAAATCAGAGCCTCATGTCCTGACCTGTGAGGAGACAGATTAAATTACCTCTTAAGAATCTATCCAACTTAAAAATAAGGTAGAATGAAATGTAGTTGATTTAGTGTAAGTGATAGACATTTGTCTTTTGGATACAAGTATTATACATCATGTAAAAATGTAATAACTGAAGCCTATTCATCTAGGGTAATTGCCATGCTAACTTTCACCTACACCAAATATTGCTTTCTTCATTGCTGCTGCTGATTTCACTATTTCTAGCATCCAAGATAACAACAATCTGCTTATATCCAACTGTATAGTATCTTTCACCACAAGTACATTTTAACCTTTTGTTCAACCTGGTGCCTTTTAAAAAGGTGAGCTTTTCCTGTTTCAACTAATAGTTCTCACAGAGTCTTCAGTATCAGAGTAAATGGAGACCATGTTATCAGTCACTAACTGTCCAGTGAATACAAATGTGGACTGTAACATTTACTAAAAGGTTTTCCTGGGGCCAGATGATCAGAGTACAGCCTGGGAAAGTCAACACTTTCCATATTCAGAAAGCTTCTTGAAGATCACCAAATTTTTTATGTTCATCTGCAACGCGTTCTAAATGCCCTAGATTTCTCTATGATTGCTACTGAAATTGGCTTCAGTACAACCTACAGTTTGCTTGGTTATCATGTAATACCCTCTGCAGAGGAAATGAAAGAAAATCAGGGGCAGCCTGTATCTAGGAACAGGAAGACAAGATTCTGTCCAAATCCTTTTCTGCTATAAAGGAATCACTTGCCTCACTTTTTTTATATAGAGTCAAAATTATTTAGATGGTTTAGAAAATTTTATATCATAACTCCCTTGAAGGATACATTTGTTTTTCGTAGCACTGCATATTTTTAACCAGTGTTAACTTCTAATACACCATATGAACCTGAAAGAGACCATTCTAAAATAAGTACAAATTGAACATATCATCCCCAAAGCAAAAAGGCTTCAGCTCATTCTTTTGCTCATGCTCTCTCCTCTTTTCAATATAAACCATGACAAGTTTGCAATCTGTATATTCATTGTTTCCAACCCAAAACTTTCAGATTCTTCACAACTGTCTCCCCTTATATCAAGAATTTTAAAAATACATGCTATGTTTGACTTGTTTAAACTGTGTAAGAGCCTTCCCCCCTTTATCTAAAAATAAATTTAAAAGAGAAAATAGCACACATAAAAATTCTGATGGAACCCAATACTATCTAAGAAACTAACTGAATACTCTAGTAACAGCAACAAAATGACCATATCACTTTACTGGAACGTGTACAAAAATTACCAGCATCTTATATAATTAAAATTAATCCTTAAACAAGTAAGACTGTTGCCTCCAAAGGAGACCACTCTGACTTCAGGTGTTGTCAATCACAACACCAATCAACTTCTTATAGAAATTTGAGAGCTGGAACAACTCATACAACAAAAAGTAAAAGTAAAATGATCTTTCAAAGATTAGCTCTATGGAGCTTCAATGGGGAAACTATAAAAAGAAGGAATGATTTGTGGATCCACCAAAGACCAATTTGAAATAATGAAGTCTGACCAGAGAATGCTGGGAAAACAACAGAAGCAAACATGTTAACTTAGAATCCAGCAATCACTGACAGAATTGAAAATATTTTCTAGGAAAAGCCAGAAAGTGATCTATAAATGCAGACATTGAGAGTGAATAGCCCTTTCCAAAAGAGCTACCGGCCCAGATATTAAGGCAAACTCCAGATGTACAGATGGGAAGAACGTGGACCATTAAGTGAGCCCCTATCTTTCTCTTTCTTCTACGTCAGGACTCCCATCTAGACAAAAAGAGTCTTTCACAGTATTTGTCAACTCTTGTATTCGATATTTACACAGACCTTCATAATATAAAAGAAAAACCTAATATTTTCAAAGTATTTGGTGGGAAGATGCTACTCAAAAATTAGTGAATATAATACTTAAAGTCAATCATGGACTCCTCCATAGTCAATAAACAAAACAGAATTTGTTGCTGATGGGGAAGCGGTGAAGAGGGAAAGATATCCTTATAAGTCATTCATAGTTTTACTATATGCAGTTAAAACTCCTAAAGTTAATGGAAAATGACTAAGCCTTTATGACTCATTGGAAAAACAAAAGCCAAAAAAGTCCAGGGGAGACTCCCCTGGTATTTGGTCACTGAGGAGCTGTATCAGGACTGGAAATGCTCATCAGGCAAGATGAAAAATTTGGTGATAAATTAGCCTAGGTACCTCTGATACAAGTTTCTAAAAAGATGAAATGATACTTCATTCACACAAATATCTGTAATAAGTTTTAAACAGGACCAATAATATAAGCTAAAAAAAAAACGTAAGGAAACATTTTAAGGTGGTTAAATCTGTTGGATACTCATGAACTTCTGAAAGCCCCACAGACCCTTACTCAGAGCTGGCATACGGCATACTCTTACTTTACATAAGATTTCTACCTACATTTGATTTTGAAAGTCCCCAGAAATTTACCGGAGTGTAATTTTTTTTTCTTCTTAAAAAAAGAGGCTGGGTGCAGTGGCTAATGCTTGTAATCCCAGCACTTTGGGAGGCCGAGATGGGCGGATCACGAGGTCAGGAGTTTGAGACCAGCCGGGCCAACACAGTGAAACCCTGTCTCTACTAAAAATACAAAAATTAGCTGGGCATAGTGGCGGGCAACTGTAATCCCAGCTACTCGGGAGGCTGAGGCAGGAGAATCGCTCGAGCCTGGGCGTCAGAGCTAGACACCGTCTTAAAAAAAAAAGAGAGAGAGAAAGAAAAATGATTTAACTCTGTACTTTTTAAAGTCACTTCAAAAATTAAATAGGCTGTCATAAGAGTTCAATCAACAATAATTCCCAAGGGCATCATTATATTAAAGCAAAGTTATGAAAAACAGTGTTTATACCGATAACTGAACTGTCCAAAAAAGGTTAAATAACAAAGTTTTTTAAAAGTTTCATTGAAAATGGCTCCAAAACAAATCTTTTTTTTTTTTCTGTCTAGTATCAGGTCGCAAAAAATTTAAGCTTTGCCAATCACGTGGTCTCTGCTACAACTACTCATCTCTGCCTCTACAGTATGTAAGCAGACAAAGACAATATGTAAATGAATAAGTATGGCTATGTTCCAATAAAACTTTACTTACAGACACTGAAATTTGAATTTCATACAATTTTCACATCACAAAACATTATTTTTTTTGAATCATTAAACACTGTAAAAGCCATCCTGAGCTACCTTGCTATACAAAACAAGTGGCAGTAGTTTGCAGGTCCCTGCAACAAATTTGAATTACTAGAGAGGATTACTGCTCATTCTTTATCAGATAAATGAGCTGTCACTGCAAAAACTTAAGAAATTAGGAGAAGATCCTTGTATTGGGGTGGCCACAGTATACTCATTCTGTAATTTTCCAAATGTAATTGCATAAGTCTGAGTACATAGTCTGTATATAAAAACTACAGATTCCTGAAACCATCTCTAAGAGATTTAGCTAATATCAAGTAGGGCTAGGAAGGTGTTTGGATCCCCATATCATTCTGATATTGAACTAAGGTTTTTAAAAGCATGGACATGGGCAAACTGTGTATCTAGTAAGAACTGTATCCAGAATATGTAAAGAACTCCCAAATTCAATAATAAGAAAATAGTCGATTTTAAAATGAGCTAAAATTTAAAGCAAACACTTCAACAAACAATATAAGAATAGCAAATCAGCACAAGAAAAAAGGCACAACATCATGAGTCATTAGGGAAATACAAATTAAATCCACAATAAGATATCATGACACACTTGCTCAAATGGTTAAAATTAAAAAAAGTAAATGGGTCCTGAAAATATCAAATGCCAGCAAGGATGCAGAACAACTGGAGCTCACATACATTGCTGGTGGGAATACAAAATGGTACAGCCATTTTGAAAAACAGTTTGACAATTTTAACATGCACTCACCGTATAACCCAGAAAGTCCATTCGAGGGAAACAAAAACTTATGTTCAAATACACACACATACATTAAAAAAAAAAAAAACACTTGTACACAAATGTTTAGAGTGACTTTACTGTCACCCACCAAAACTGAAAACTCATATGTTCTTCAATTAGTGAATGGATAAACAGTATGTTTGAGGAGACTCAAAAAACTACTTACTATATGATCTTATTTATATAAGATTTTTGACAAGGCAAAACTACAAGGGCAGAAAACAAATCAGTGGCTGGTGGGGGCATGAAACGGGGGTTGAGAAGTTTGGGGGTTAGGAACTGTTCTGTATCTTGATTGTTGTGGTGGTTCCAAGACTACACATTTGTCAAAACTCAGAACTACACACTAAAAAGGAAGGAATTTTTATTGTATGTAAATTATTCGCTGAACTTGACTAAAACGACAAAGAAAAAGGAAAGAACCACTGATAAATAAACAAGACCGGTAATACACTGGTTCTGGTTTATTAGAAAGTCTTTACTGCTTTGTTTTTTTTCCTTTTTCTCAATGTAGGCTAAAAACTATCCTATGCACACACACTTAATGTATGTGTGTATGCTTTTTTAACGAAATGATGACAGAAGGAAATAATGATTGTTTTCTGCTTAACAGTCCTTTTAAAAGCAATATCTGAGAACTCTTGCGCTGGTTTTTAAATTCAAACACCTGGAACATTCTAGATTCAAACATCCAAGTAATCCCCAAAGTCCTTCTAAATATAAAAACTAATTATCCTTTGTAGGTCTTATCTAAGATCTAGGTTATTCTAATTTTACATTTTTGAAGCACAGGACACCTTTAAACGAGTCACCAGTTAAAAACATTAATCCAATGGCACTTCCAGTGGCTACCTCTGAAACAGCAAATATAGTTGTTTGAATGTTTGTTTTCTCCTCTATGGATCAAAGCAATTCACTTCTAAATATGCTTCTGTACCTTGGAGAACTGGGATTTCAAGCAGCATTTACTTAAGTTTAGTGGTCTCCATAACTGTTTTCTTTATGAATGAAACTCACATGTTTTTTGTCACTGAGGAAAAATTTATTTATCTCAACAAAAACTGTTAAGTCCCTAACAAGGGCTGAGGAAAGACCATGGCCTATGACTTTATTTCTCCAATACGTTTAATTTTAGAGTTTCTACCTTTAAATATTAGCCTCTTTAGAATGAATATACCAGAGAAGACATGCATTTTTGCAAGACTTTTCAGGTAGAAAAAACAGTGAGGCAAGAGTGTGACTTCCTACAGTTCACTCAGTAATTCATTTGCTGAATCAAAACTAAAAGTTGTAAAAAATTGTATGTTAACTCAGCATCCATATGATACATTATCCTTAAAATAACTATCCTCAGAAAAAGCCTTATTATTTTCATTCTACTGTCTTAAACATATGGCATATCACATAAATGAAACACATCAGAAATGAATCTTTCGCATCTACAGAACAATTTAAAAGAAAGAAGGGGAAGAGAGGGAAGGAGGAAAAGGAAAAGAGAAGGTAGGTAAAAAGAAATGGAGGGAAGAATAAGCTGTGTAAGCAACTACTCACAGTTCTAAACTTTTCTAATTCTAGGCCCCAATGTGCCAATTCCTAGCTACTTAGCCTCAGTGGTTTAATACAACTCACTTGCCCTCCCTGACCCTGGGATTTTCATCTGGAAAATAAGGAAGTTGGCCTAGAACAGTGGTTTTTAGTGCTTTCTACTCTGAAATCTCTTTTTAAAGTACCAATTAACTATGGTTTCCCACGTGTGAGTCGTCCGTTAAGTACCTGTTTAAAAAATATATATTTTACAAATTAACAGTTACATCCATTTGAAAATTCCCTTCTTCATTCAAAAAAGTAATGCAAGTCTACATATGGCAATATACTATTTTCTTCCCTTTTGTGAAAGCCATTTTTGGTGCACATATGAATTCAGACAGTTCTTTCAACAACTCCATGCATTCTATACCACAGCAAAGATCATGTTCATGTACCATGGAAAATTTTTTTTTATTGTGGAAATACCCTCAACACAACATGTGGCACACAGCAGATATGCAAATTATCTAAGATTCCTTCCTGCTCCCAAATTGAGTGATATTGCTTTGTACTTAGAACAAAAAATTAAACCTATTATTACTCAAGTAAAAATCAAAAACACAAAATAGCATTTAGAAAATTTTACTAAAATTCTATTCTTAATGATTATCTCCAAAGTCAGAAAAGAAAGCAACAAATTACTTTCTTTAATTTTTCTATGTAATACATATCTATGTTGAATGAATTCTATTTACAAGACATACCTATAAAAAATTAGAAAAAAATTCGAAGTTTTTATAAATTTAATGCTGGTATAAATAAGTGATACACACAGTTTAAAAGGTATTATCTCTGCCTTTTAAAAGCTTATACTCTGAAAAAGAATACAAAATAATTATGCCAGAGACAAGATTCCTAAACCAACAGAGAATAATAATGTATTCATTCATTCACTCATTCATTTATTCACACATGCAAATATTTACTGAATAGTTGCTGATTACATAAAAGACATTCATCCAAATGAGGGTACAGCAAGATAACTAAGACATAAACCTCCTAGCTCCAAGAGATCCAGCCAGGGTCTCATTAAAAACCAACAACCAAAACAAAAACTGTTATGGAATTTTGAAAAACAGGGAAAGTGGGTTTGCCGTGTAGCCAGATATATGTACATCTCATGGACACTGCCATCTGTTTAGATGCCTAGTGTGCATGTGATAAGCTCTAAATTTCTTAGACTACTGGGTTCACTGATGGTACCAGACATAATTTTATATCTTTCCCCCTTGAAGGTCTGGATGTACGCCATTAACTTAATTTAACACATTATGCCACTGGAGTGCCCTGAACCTAAAATAAATCAGTGCTTTCTAGGTATGTTTCCTTTTACAGACATTTCTAAAAATGTATTAAATTGTATCTTTCACTAAAGAAAAAGGATTTGCTCCCAGAATAGCTAGCTACCTGTACTTCAAGAAGTAAGTCACTCCTAGGTAAACTGATTTCAGATGTTAAGCACACACATGCACACCAACACACACAGAATTCACCAACTTTGAGACAGTGGAACTTTCCACCTAAAGAATGTAAGAATTGAACATAAAAATGAGATTGAGAGAACTGCTGTAAGGAAAGAAAAATAAAGATTAACACTTGGAGAAAATAGGAGAGGTTGAAAGCATGCACTGCATGGCTAAAAGTGGTAAAGCTCTAATGCTTAAGAAATTGCAAAGAAGTTGATGAAACGCCAAAATGTCTAGAAAGGCCTCGATCAACATCTTGGTTAGAGAGGGCTAAATGGCAAAATTACAGCAAGTGGACAATTCATTTACCGATACAGGAACTTGGAGAGCAAAAGGAAGTAGGGAGTCTTGATTGCTGGTTCAGAAAAGAAAAATTCAATGAAGAAGCTAAAACTGACCCCCTGAAAAATGTAAGTTTGTCAACTGATTAAAAGTTTTTTACAAAAATATGTTTCCAGCTCTGAACTCCAAGAAACTTTCAGAATATTGTTGAAACATGCCTGTTCCTTTCCCTAACATTCGCAAATTGCATTTTGCATTTCAGTTATAGACCTACTGAAGTTTAAAATGGCTGGAAATTATTTCAAATCTAGAACCTCAAATGTTTCAGAAGAAATAGAGTATTATTCCTGAATATTGGCAACAGCGTTTTCCATTACAAAAAGTATACAGATGTTCCAAACACACTTTTAACCAGAAAAAATGATGTGTTGACACTTAGTTGACTTGATTCTTTTCACCTACATATGAACTCAATCATTTCCCTTTGTCTCCCAGTTTAAGAGATTTACCAAGGTATAAATACTACCATAGGTGTATGTGTGTGTGTTTTTTCAAAAGGTCTGTCCAAATGATGAATATTTTTGACTTCCTTAAAAACTAAGTAAGCAAGCATTAGATTTCAACCTAGGAAAGAAGATTTTTAAATATCCCCTTACCCTAATGTCAGCTGCTACCCACGACCTCTATTGAAATGTTCACGACAAAAGGTCACAGGGTGCCCCATCCCCTCCTAAACAGCAATGGAAACGGGCACACACTCACTGCACTATTCTTCTTAATCTCTATTGGAATCTACCCCATGATACCAAATTGAATATAAATTGTAACTGCATATATATCTATCAAAAGTTTAAATTAAAAAGTAGAGGAGACAGATACAGGGATTTTTTTGAATGGGGTTCAAAAATCTGCATCAGAATATTAAACTAATTACTACTACTAACCCTTCTCAAATGAAGTTGGAGTTTCAATATTACCACAGTCTCAATGTTTGCACATGTTTTACCCTATCAGGGGCACAAGCTTCATTCTCTTTAATTAGGATAAAGACACTGTTAGGGAGTAACTGGGCCATAATTAAGAGTTATATTAGGGAAGGATACACTTTATTAGACTTGAATACTTCTCAGATCAAAAACTTCACCACCATTAGTAGGACATTCCTAGTATAATACATCACTTCCTTTGATGATCTTGGAACTAGAAAAGTCAGATGTTTACAAAGACAGTGATCTCATCGATTCCTGACCACCTTCAAAATTAATATTTAATTGTAACTTAATGAAAGAGCCACACTGAATTTTCTTACCAATTTACCAGATTACATAAAAGAGATTGCCAAACACCGTATTACGCAAAATGAAAGCTAATTTAAATGTATTAGACTCTAGAGTGTGGAAATGGAAAAATCTTGCATTTTTATATGGAAGGTGTTTGTGGAACTCCTTGAGAAATAATATGTTAGAATACATCATTCATGTCTTGGTACGAAATCAGAAGACCTAAGGGTAATATAAATGTATATGAAGAGTTTTATGTTTTTTCACTCACATGAATAGGGGATTGGATAAAATCATAGCACCATATGATTAATACTATACATACCAGGTTTTGTTTGAACTCCAATTCTCATTCTACTCACCATGCACTACACACTGCACAAGGATCACTCTTTCTCTAGAGACAAACCCAACACATACCCACACAAAAAACCCTCATATCCAAAAGTAAAGGATAACCAGACAATCTCTAAGATAAGAACTCTCAAAAGTATGGATCCGCCTTTCCTATCGCTCAGCCTCCTTAGTCTTGACAGCAGAGTGAAAACTGTTTTCTACAGGTGAAAGCCCTAAGTCTTCATCAAAGCCATACCAGGGACGGAAAGGTAGAAAAGTATTAACGCTAAAATCTCACGCCTAAGCTTTAACACCCTTCCGGAACAGTAAGACAGAACTAGGCCCATCAGAAATTCTACATAAAATCAGTGACCACTAGTCACTAGTCTCCTAGTGCTTGAAACTCTGAGAAAGCAATCAAGCAGTCCCTCATTTTCCTGAGATTTTTGGGCTGGCCTGAGCACACACAAGACCAACGGAGTCAAATTAAGTTGGCAATAAAACAAGCGGTTCCAAGAAAGCAAAAACTATTTTCAATTCCACATCTCCAAGACGCCTCAGGCTACAGTATTCAATCGATACAAATGACATTCACAACAGAAGCCGATTTTGCAAAGCCCTTGGAACTTAGGGGTCTGCGTCAGCACTCTGGAACGTCTATGCTTCCTAGGACCAAAGAATAAACAAAGATAACTCAAGGCATAAGGCGATCCAGCACCTAAGATCTCAGCAAAAAAAAGCTAGGTCCTGAGGCAGCTAGTGGAAAAACAAGAGAAGGGAAGTCAAAAGGCTACTTGCTGTCAGCTAAAGCCAGGTCAGTACTAATCTCTACTTTCCTGGACATTGGTACAAAAAGCAATGACAAGGCCATCAGTCCCCTGTTCCCCTCGCTCACTATTGTGTGTGTGTGTGTGTGTGTGTGTGTGTGTGTTTTGTTTGTAAGAAAATGCTTATAGTGGCTTCCCGCCCGCGCAGAACACAGCCAAGACTAAACTTTTAAACCTTGAGGAAGGTGGGAAAGTCAGCCAGCCAGACGCCGGCCTAGGAAAAGTAGGGAGAGAAGGAGGGAAAGAGTCATGTTTCAAAACAAAGGCTCCACACGGAACTGAATGTCAACCCCTCTCCACTTCCCAGCCTTCAAGCCAGCCAGGCTGGGCCTCGATTTTTTAGAAGCGGAGTAAGTCAGATTCACCCGGCTCTCAGCGTCCACTGAGGCTTTGCGATGCACGAGAACACGGGCACAGCCACCTACTTGCTGGGGCTGCTGCTAGCCCCCCCCCCCCCCAACCACCCCCTTGAGAAAAAACGGGCTTGGAACGTCGGAGACTTGCCCAACGTCCCACACTAGAACCTGAATTCAATTCCTTTCACGTCCGGGCAAGGCCAACGCAGGGCGGGCACCGGGCGAGGGCCGCGGGAGCCGAAATGGCAACGCCCCTGACCTGAGAGAACCTCGGGCTGGGAGAGGGGAGGGTCCCGCGCGCTCTCCCTCCGGGGCCCTTACCTTCCTTGACTCCAGGCAGCTTGGACTGGTCGATGCTGACTTCAGCCATACCGGGCCAGGGTCCCGGTTGCCCCTTTAACGCGGGCTTCCCGGTCACCGCCGGCGCCGAGCGGGGCCCCGAGCGCAGCAGCAGCGCCGGACGCGGCGCAAAGTCCGGCCGGCAGGGCTCGCAGGCCGGAGAACGGAGCGGGTCGGGCGGGCAGGGGCTGGTGACCAAAGCAGCGGGAGACGGTCCCCGAGGCACCAAGCTGGCGGCCCAGCTGCCCCGCCGCGGCCACCTGCTCCGCGTCCCCGGCCCCAATCGATACCAAATATCCGGAGCCCGGAAATGGACCGGGGCCGTCCAGTACGGAGGGAGAGAGGAGACAGAAAGGCGGGCGGGCCGGCTGGGGGAGGGGGAGCTGCAGGTCTGTAACCGCAATTGCGAGTGGCTGGCGAGCGAAGATCAGCGCCCGCTGCCGCCTCGCTGTTGTCTCCTTTGTGCTCAGTGACGCGCCGCCTGAGGCTGGGGCCCCGCTGTGCTCCCGCCCCCGGGCCCTGCCCCCCTCCTACGGGAGGGTCGCGTCTTTAGGTGGGGGCCTTGTATCCTAAAGGCCT
The DNA here is from genome assembly GCF_000001405.40 of Homo sapiens. NCBI lineage: Eukaryota > Metazoa > Chordata > Mammalia > Primates > Hominidae > Homo > Homo sapiens. The sequence goes on along the minus strand of NC_000003.12, from coordinate 191,329,126 downwards.
CAACAAAAAGGCCACACGGGTCACCTAAAACATAGTCTTTCCCGTGAGCGGTGTAGTCAGCATTCTGTGGTCTGGTTCTGGGATTGAGATTAACACAGGATGTTTACTGCATGCTTGCCTCTCTCTCATACACTCTTTTTGCACCCGGAATTAGAGGAGAGATGGTAGATGGCCATAAAAACCCCAAATACAACGTACAGAATGAAGAGCAGCTGATAAAATTCTGGGCCAGTTTGGAGTAGAGTGTGTACACAATCAGCTGGGAGAACTGAGTCATTCATTCATCAAAATCGCATGAATGTGTCTACCAAGTGTGATGTTAGGTACTGTGGGTGATAACGAGGCGTCAGACTTATCTCTGTTATAGCGCTGCACACATTGGATTGTAATTGTGACATTTCTATCTCTCTAAAATAGACAACCTCTCCTGTTTCATCTCCTGGCAACAGAATGCATCCTCCTTTTGGGAAACTGCCTCTTTCCCCACTCCTCAGAGGTGAGCTTCTCTCCCAAACGTGTGCCATGTCTGAACCTCGAGACTACCCCATCACTCTTCCCCCTTCCTCCACCGACATGGGTTCATCGAAGGGTGGCTGGGTGACCAAGACAGGTCAAACAGAATACTTTCCTGGGTACATAAAGAGTTACATATTCTGTTTCTTGTGGAAAAGATCTGCCTCTAGGAGATGATGAGGCCAAACTGAAGACAGAAGCAAAGAGAAGAGAAAGGGAGATGAAGAGGGCATGTTCTGATGTTACCACAGTAGCAAAGCAGGATATCCCCAGAGCAGCTGGCATTTCAGCAACTCCTGGATTCTGGGATCTACAACCCGCAAACTCTCAACTTATCCTCAGTTTTGCTTAAGCTAGTAATAGTTGATTTTCTGTCACTCACAGCTCAGAGTCCCAGTATGAGAGGCCACGTAGGGGAGGTTTTATTTGAACTTGACATTGAAAAGTAGGTGGATTTTAGGCTAGCAAAAATTTAGAAGACTTTCAAGGCCAGAGGGTAGCAAAGTATAGCCCACAGGCCAAATCTACGCCACTGAATTTGAATGACTGTTTTTTATATGTTCAAATAATTACATTTCAAATCACTACATAAATAGGACATAATATTTTCGACCTTGCCTCTTAAGCCTCAAAGTCTAAAATATGCTTTACAGGAAAAGTTTACCCACCCCAGTGCTAGGCAGAGATAACACTCAGCAGGTTAAATGTGGGAATAAGAAGGAAGTGGTATTAGAAAGGTAGATTTATGGGAATTTTTTAATTGTCCTGTAATCTAGTAATTTTTTTTAACTTCCTGTGGTCTAGAGAATATTTATAACAGCAGTATTTTCTGTTTCCCTCCCCAAATCTATCGTTTCTACTTCTCTACCAAGCCGTGCCTTTGGATGCCTACAGATAAATCACTAGGCCCCTTTGACCTGTGGCTTCCTGTTGTGATTGACCAATGGGAAGCACTGGCAGAAAATCAAAAGAAGGGAGGAGAGAAATATCAGAGTATTCTTCTTTCCTTTAACCCAAAATTTTGGCCACAGTCCTGTCCCTCTATGACTACAGGGCCTGTGTAGAGGCCTCTTTTCCATGGCCTCAGCTCTCATGGGTCTCTAATAAAACAATTTGTTTCCAGTGTCCCTTCAGGCCTAGAGTGTGATGGCTTCCCCTAGTTCCTTTTGGCTCACTGCAACTTCTGCCTCCCAGGTTCCAGTGATTCTCGTGCCTCAGCCTCCCGAGTAGCTGGGATTACAGGTGTGCACCACAACGCCTGGCTAATCTTTTGTATTTTTAGTAGAGGCAGGGTTTTGGCATGTTGGCCAGGCTGGTCTGGAACTCCTGGCCTCAAGTGATCCGCCCACCTCGGCCTCCCAAAGTGCTGGGATTACAGGCACGAGCCACCACGCCCGGCCTCCCCTAGTTCTCTTAACCCAGTTAATACCTCTGAAATTGTCTCTTCATTACATTCTTTTCAGTAAAATCACTTACAGTGCACCTCCTGTTTCCTACCTAGACTGTGACTGTTACAGTAAGATATGCCAAAAGTAAGATATGCTTAAAATATGATGTGCTTACAGTAAGATATGCATAAAAATATCCACATTTCTGGCCTAGAGAAGAAATGGAAACATATATAATAGCCACAACTATTGTTTAGAGAATCGGCTGCTTTCAGCAGAAAAAGTAATGAAAACCAGGAGCCCTTTTCAGGTACTAGAGCAGATGACCTGGAAATCCACCCCATAGTTGGGCTTTCCTTCTCCTACTCCACACCTGTTCTGTATAGGTCCCCAAGCTGAGCAAACAATTAGAGCTCAGCATTACAGAGTAGGCAACTTCTAGCAAAGGACTGACAGTAACACGGGGAAGAGCTAGTATCTTTTGAGTATTTATAGGGAATGAACATATGGTGAATTTCTGTAACAAGTTTACATCTTTTGGTGTCCTGAAATGTCCATTTTGCAATAAAAGAGAAAGCATAAGGCTTCTCAGGATGGATACAGATCCCTAATTTGGGGCAGATGCCAAACAAGTAATTCAGCATCAAATCACAACTTGAATGCCATAGAGAGAAATAAGGATTTTATTTATAAGGCAATATGGAGGCATCAATTGATTTTTTTTTCTAGGTGGATATTACATGATACATTTTCTACTTTTATAAAGTGAATTTGGTAACAATAAAATGCTTGGATTGGAGTAGGGAGACTTTGGTCATAAGAAATGAAAACTCCAGTTTGAAAACTACCAAATTCCACAAAAGCATCCCCCAGTTAGAGCTTACCTTACTAGAAGGTAAGCTCTGTGAGGGCAGGGGTTTATCTGTTTGATTCCCTAATATCCGCGTATCTAGAAAAGTGCTTGGCACATAATAGGCACTCAATAAATATTTGTTGCATAAATAAATAAATATAGTTATCCAATTTTATTATCAGTAAGAATCACAAATTAAAAGTAAGTTAAAAAAACAATATAGGCAAATGAATAAATTACACTGGACCTTGGCAAAACAGGAAAGGGGACCCACAGAACTATACTTCTGGAAAGAATTATCTGTCTCCTTGGCCCCCAGTGCTTCCTAGCTCATCAGCATAATATACCTAAGAGAACAGTTCCAAAAATGAGGATGCAATTAGAACTGTTATTCACTTTCACCAAGAAGACTGTATGAATATTCTAAGGTTGCCATAACAAAATACCACAGACTGAATGGCTTAAATAACAGAAATTATTATATATGTTTTTCACAGTTCTGGAGGCTAGAAGTCCAAGAGCAAGGTGTCAGAACATTTGGTTTCTTCTGAAATCCCTCTTTTTAGTTTGCAGATTGGATTAGGGCTAACCCAAATGTCTTCCTTAAAGACCCTGTCTGCAGTGCAGTCCCTCTGAATTACTGGAGGCTAGGGCTTCAACATGTGAATCTTAGGGACAGATAATTCAGCCCATAGTAGAGACTATTAGGACAATAATCCAACCGTACAGTTTAGGCCTCTTTACTCCAGGCCTTGAAGCATTTTTGTCTGGACTCTCATAACATATGTAAGTTCCCCAACCCTATTCATGCTCTCAACTTTCCTCAGTTGCTCAAGTCCCCTCACCCTATGGAATTCACTATCAGTTACTCACAAAATTCCCCATATCTCCTTTGTAACTATTCCCTTTCCCTTCTTTTCCTACTGGAACTCAGGGGTCACCTGGGGACATTGCTCTTCCAAGAGCCCTCTAAATTAGAGGCTGTTTCTTCTAACATACCCTAGACCCCATTGGACCTGGAGGTGCCATGGTTTTTATCTTATTGCCTTTTTTAGAACATATGTCTTTCCTATTTTTAAATATTTTCAACTTCTTTAAAGCTCATATCCTCAAATTCTGTCACCTACTACATACCCTTATTGCAATTATCTGTACACTTCTGGGTAACTTCTTACTCCTTACAGATGAGACCTTTTTTTCTCACTCTCTGTCATCACAGAACACTTGATGATTTCAGTGTATACATAAACATACAGAGTCATTCCTTCTGGTAACCTGATCTCTCTTTCCTTGACTTCCTTATTAATATTATTTTTTTTTCCTGAGATGGAGTCTCACTGTGTCACTGAGGCTGGAGTGCAGTGGCACAATCTCGGTTCACTGCAACCTCCAACTCCCAGGTTCAAGCGATTCTCATGCCTCAGCCTCCCAAGTAGCTGGGATTACAAGAGTGTACCACCACGCCCAGCAAATTTTTTGCATATTTAGTAGAGAGGAGGTTTCACCATGTTGGCCAGGCTGGTCTTGAACTCCTAATCTCGAGTGATCTACCTGCCTCAGCCTCCCAAAGTGCTGTGATTACAGGCATGAGCCACCACGCCGGGCCTTGACTTCCTTATTCTGATGAGCTTATACCCCATTGTATTAGCCTATTCTCACGCTGCTAATAAAGACATCACCCAAGACCAGGTAATTTATAAGGAAAGAGGTTTAATGGACGCCACATGGCTGGGGAGGCCTCACAATCATGGCAGAAGGCAAATGAGGAGCAAAGTGACATCTTATATGGTGGCAGGCAAGAGAGCTTGTGTAGGGGAAACTTCTCCTTTATAAAACCATCAGATTTCATGACACTTATTCACTGTCAGGAGAATAGCATGGGAAAGATCCGCCTCCATAATTCAATTATCTCCCACCAGGTCCCTCCCACCACATGTGGGAATTATGGGAGCTACAATTTAAGATGAGATTTGGGTGGGAACATCGCCAAGCCATATCACCCTATCCCATCTGTCTTACTCTATTTTCAGTTGCTTATAACAGAATATCTGAAACTGGTAATTTATAAAGAAAATGAATGTGTTTGTTACACTTATGAATGCCTCCAATTGAAGGAGTCCCATCTGGTAAGAGCCTTCTTGCTGGTGGAGAATCTCTACAGAGACCCAAGGTGACACAGAGCATCACATGGTGAAGAGGCTAAATGATCTAGCTAAGGTCTCTCTTCTTCTTGTAAAGCCTCCAGTCCCACTCCAATGAGAACCCATTAGTGATTCAGCAATGGATTAATGCATTCATAAGGGCAGAGCTCTCATGACCCAATCACCTCTTAAAGTCTCCATCTCTTCATACTGCCATGCTGCTGACTAAATTTCAACGTGAGTTTTGGAAGGCACAACATTCAAGCCATCGCACCATCTCCGCCAACTCCTCTCAGGGTATTTCACTGGAATTTGCCATTACTAAAAACTCATTCTTTGTCAATTTCAAATGTCTTCCAAGTACCACTTCTCTCTCTCCAACTCACTCCTAGAGGTACCCCACATTCAACAATTCTTCAATTATACAAGAACCTATAATCTGTTTGCCCTGCCACCCTGGTACTGCCTCTCACTTGACCCTATACCCATTTTCTTCTTAACTGGCTTAAATTTGACAGCTCATTTTGATAATCACGCCCTACTCAATACCCTCAATTCCCTTGTCTCTGTCTTCCTCTTTTCTACTTCCATAGCAAGATGCCAAGACATGGCTAATCTACTATAAACTCTACATATTGCCCTGATCAATTAACTTCCTATTCCAAAACACACTGATAGCACACCTTCTTCCCTTATACCTACAAGGTCCCTAGCCTCTTTTTACTCTTAGTGTCTTAGATTTGCGAGAAAATAAAAGCACTGAGGTCAGGCGCGATAGCTCATGCCTCTAATCCCAGCACTTTGGGAGGTCCAGGTGGGCGAACCACCTGAGGTCAGAAGTTCGAAACTAGCCTGGCCAACATAGTGAAACCTTGTCTCTACTAAAAATACAAGAATTAGCTGGGCATGGTGTCCATGCCTGTAGCCCTAGTTATTCAGGAGGCTGAGAATTGTTTGAACCCAGGAGGCAGAAATAGCAGTGAGCCCAGATCTCTAGCCTGGGCAACAGAGCAAAACTCTGCACTCCACTGCACTCTAGCCTGGGCGACAGCGAGAGTCTGTCTCAAAAATAAATAAATAAATAAAATAAAATAAAATAACAGCACTGAAAAGAGAACCTGAACATCATACCCTTTCCAAATCTATCAACCCATCAACTTCTCCTAAGACTGACATCTTCATTTGGACTCTGGATAGTTGAGTGATAGTCAAAGCATTTAACAACCAGAATGGCAGAAGCACAAACATAGCACCAAAGCAGTCTGTGGGGCTTTCTTCTGTTCCAATTGTTACCTTTTAGTTTCTGGATGGTGGGCAGGTCCAAGAAGTTCCAAGGGAAAGGAGGTTGGAGGTGGGAGCACTCAAGGGGCTCAGAAGAGCAATTATTTACAAACTGTCCTGAAAGTATGTTAGTATCTTAGCAGTCATTATTGCTTTGGTTGTGCATGTCTGCTAAACATCAGCCCTGATGAGACCCCATTTCTTCATTTTCTCAAAGATATTACTCCCAAAATTTTCTCTCTCTACTGCATCATTATTTTTTCCTCTAAAACTTGCTGTAATTCCTCCACCTTAACAAACATTTGTCATATCTCCAGTCCCCTTCAGCTATTATAGTTTTCTGCTCCTATTTACAGCAAACCTCTTTGGAATATTTGTCTATTCTTATGGTCTGTACTTCCTACTCTCTCATTCTTTCTTGAATCTATACTAATCATACATTTGCCTACACCACTCCAAAAACAAACTGTTCTTATTAACATTAGCAGTGACTTCCATGTTGCTAACACGGAGATCAATCTCATTCTCCTTTTATTGGCTAATTGTTCACCATTTAACCAAGATAGGTCTACTTTCATGTTTGAAACATTGTTTTGCTTTTGGTTTGTTATTTTATTTCATTTTGTGTTTTTCTTATCTCCCAAGACAACTCTAAATCACTGACCACATTGTGGAAAAGTGACCTAAGTCAATGAATGCTCAACACTTGAGTTTCTTTTGGATAGTGTTATCTGCCAATTATTGGAAATAGTTATGGGCTAGCAACTCTACCTAAAATGTTTCTACCAGGTTACAAAAAAAGTACATCTGACACCAAATTCATACATTATATATGAATGTTCATATATTATACATAATGAATGTTATGTACATATACATATAGTCACACACACACACACACATATATATGTATATATATTTTTCCGATGGAGTTTTTCTCTTGTCACCCAGGCTGGAGTGCAATGGCGCAATCTTAGCTCACTGCAACCTCCGCCTCCCAGATTCAAGCAATTCTCCTGCCTCAGCCTCCCGAATAGCTGGGATTACAGGCACCCGCCACCACGCCTGGCTAATTTTTGTATTTTTAGTAGAGGAGGGGTTTCACCATGTTGGCCAGGCTGGTCTTCAACTCTTGACCTCAGGTGATCTGCCCACCTTGGCCTCCCAAAGTGCAGGGATGACAGGCATGAGCCACCGCACCTGGCCCTAGTCACATATATTTTTATATATCATATATACACATATTTGTATGTACACATACACATTTATTAGCAGATAGATACAAAGAAGTCATAAAGACAGTTTTGAAAACATGTTGGAGTCCCAATTTCCTATCCTCTATGGGTTCTGACTACACAGTCTATAAAAGATTTGTGCAAACACAGACATTATTTTGGAATCATGCCTTGGGAATCATTGCGAAAAGTAAAGGCTGAAAAGCTCCTTTGGCGCATAAACCTTGTCCAAATAAGAGTGTTAAAATATTTCAGGCAATTCATATATCTCCACATATTTTGAGTACCCACAATTTTACTAGTGAAAACCTATTTCTTGCATTCATTAAATGATGCTTTAGAGTTCCTATTATTAATCTAAGATTTTAAAAATAGTTAAAAGGTCTTACTAAAACTTCCTTTAGAGTATAGCCTTCTGATAATCATCTGGGTTGCAATACCTGCAGTTTGAATTCCTAGCTAGGCAACTGACTGCCACTGTACTGTACATAAAAACTAACCACTCCCACCCCTCCCCACACACACTTACATCATTTCTTATCATAGTCTTTAGTGTTTCTGCCCCCATTTTCCAAACATTTAAATGCTACAGTGTTTCTGATTCAGACAATACTCCAGTTCTCAAACTTCTTCTACTTCCTAACTATTCTTACTCTGGAGGATTTATTGAGGAATAATGTCGCATGAAGCTTATTTTGTAAGTCTTAATCCCATTAATCAGGGAGAAGCCCTTTAGACCTAATCATCTCTTATAGGCCCTGCCTCTTAATACTATCAGTTGGTGATACCTGTATTCTGGAGAGACACATTCAAACCACAGCACTGACTGACTACTTTTTCATACTAAGTTGAATATTTAATTAGCACTTATTCAGGAATAATCAAAACTGATGTCATAATTTCTTCAATTTACTTCACCTCTGTACTTACACAGTTGTCACATCAAAAACTTTACAGTCATTTATTCTTTACTGTCTTTCTTTCACACCCTGCATTTATCCTTCAGCAGATTCAGTCAACTCAAGCTTTAAAATACAACAAAAATTCCACATCTCATCTCCTGACTGCTGCTACCGTGGTCTAAACCCTCATCATCTCTCACTTGGGTTTTGGCCGTAGCCTCCTTCGCAGTTTCTTGGTTCTGCTCTTATTCCCCTGGAGTTTACTGACACAGAAGCCAGAGTGACTTATACCTTAAAGCATGCCAGAGCATGTCATTGATTTGTACATGAACCTTGGACGGTATCTCATCTTCTCAGAATTCAGTCTAAAGTGCTTAGCATCATCTGCTAAAGTCACCTCCTGGCTTCCTCTCATTCCCTTCTCACTGCCCTGTCCTCATATTGACCAACTTGATGTTCTTTGAATAAGCCACGCATAGTCTTGCTTCAGGGCCTTTTCACTTAACTGGTCCCTCTTCCTAGAAAGACCCTGTATGCCAATAACTGTGTGATTTACTCCTCCAATTTTATTCAAGTGTCTGCTCAGATGTCACCTTCTCCTAGTGACTTTCCCTGATCTTATCTAAAATAGCAATCCAATCTGTCATTCCATATCTTGCCCACTCTTTTTTTTTATCTCCAGGTCAGTTATTCCTGCCAATATTATATGTCTGTCCAATCTACCACAAAGACTGAAACTTTGTCTATGTGATTTAATGCTGTAATTGTCAGTACATAGAATAGTGTTGACATATAATTGCTGCTCATGAAATATGTATTGAGTAAATTGCTGGATAAAGCATTTGATAAAGAATAATTGAAGTGTATCTAGACTATGCTGACCAAATAATAATTTTCCAAAAAGTAAGGTTTTTAAAAAAAAAAAAAGTGGCTTTTTTTTTTTTTTGAGACCAAGTCTCGCACTGTTGCCTGGGCTGGTGTGCAGTGGCGCGATCTTGGCTCACTGCAACCTCCGCCTCCCAGGTTCAAGCACGTCTCCTGCCTCAGCCTCCCAAGTGGCTAGGATGACAGGCACCCGCCACCACACCTGGCTAATTTTTTTTTTTTTTTGTATTTTTAGCAGAGACAGGGTTTCACCACGTTGGCCAGGCTGGTCTTGAACTCCTGACCTCGTGATCCACCCGTCTCAGCCTCCCAAAGTGCTAGGATTACACATAAGAGTCACCATGCCCAGCCAAAAATAGTTTTTAAGAAAGGACTTTTAAAAAAAGAACCTATACCTTAATAGACAGAAGGTGTAATTTAAAATATTTAGAGAAGCAACTAAGTTAAAAAGAAACAGATATCTTCTCCTGCTTTGCCGTGAGGGACATTTGCTATACCAACATGTTGTGAAGTCTAATTTTTGTTTACGAGCCATTTATTTATTACAGATAAATGTCCAGTTAGAAAAAGAAGTAAAATATGAAATAGCTTATCAATACCTATTGTCATGTGAGAGATTTTCTATGGCTATCACAAGGGTGTAGGCGAGAGACAATGATAAAGTGAGTCAACGTGGAGCCAGGGCAAAGGAATCTCAGCCAAGAGCTTGGCAGGGACTAGAGTAGGATGATAGCAGTTTGCATATCTAGGGATAGTATACATATTGGCACAGGTACTGATTAGTACAAGGAGCTAATGCAAGGAGGACTGTGAGCTAATACAGAGGAAAATTCAGCAAAGTGTCAGCTATGGCATAAGTTTCCTAACCTGTTAGCTATAAACATCTCGTATGATAGAGTTATTATGGTAATTTCTACAAATGTATATGTACCTCAAAAATAATCTACAGACTATATAAAATAAAAGTTTTTCATAAAGCATATTTTGAATTTTTAAATGAATACAAGTGCAGCTGTGATTAATACATATAAAATTTACAAATATTACTAAGATCATGTGATTTGCAATTATCTATTTTTTCAACCCAAGGTTACAAAAAACAAAAACAAAAACAAAAAACAACTATGTATGGAGGGAAATCTTAATTAAAAGATCTTCAGCCAGGCACAGCAGCTCACACCTGTCATCCCAACACTTTGGGAGGCCAAGGTGGGTGGATTGCTCGAACTCAGGAGTTCCAGACCAGCCTGGGCAACATTGTGAAACCCCATCTCTACCAAAAATATTAAAAATTAGCCGGACATGGTGGTGTGCACCCGTGGTTCCAGCTACTCAGGAGGCTGAGGTGGGAGCATCACTTGAGCCTGGAGAGGTGGAGGTTGCAGTGAGCTGAGATTGTGCCACTGTACTCCAGCCTGGGTGACAGAGTGAGATTGCGTCTCAAAAATAAAAAATAAAACATAAAAGAAGATCTTCAAGCTGGAAACATTGCAACCCAATTTAAAGGATGAACCATTCAGTCAACTTTTCTGCAGGAGGCCTATAGTTTAGGAAATTCCTTTTCTACAGGCTACTTTTCTTGTGACCTCAGATTTATGAGATTTCCTCAAGATTTTGTTTTGCCCTATGTGGAAAATGCTTAAAGTATGAAGAGTATTCAGTGCTAGAGAGAAGTCTGGTGAAACTATACAAATATGAATGGGAAATATAGACATTGATTACAGTAGCTACCTCTGAGAATGGAGAAAAGGAAAACAGAATGTAGGAAAATGCATGTCACAGATTATTGCTTTAAAAATGACCACAACATTGCTTCTCATCGCACATGCCCTCCTGCAGTACGACATTATAACCCTCCATCAAAATGTGGAATCAATTTCCCCTCCTGTTGAACCTGGGCTGGACCTGTAACTAATTAACCAATAAAATGCAGTAGAAGTGACATTCTGAGACTTATAAGCCTTGACATAAGAAGGCCAGGCAACTTCTGTTTTCATGCTCTTAAGGAAGTCAGTTGTCTTGTTAAAAAAAATAAAAATAAAAAAACCTGGCCGGGTGCGATGGCTCATGCCTGTAATCCCAGTACTTTGGGAAGGTGAGCTGAGCAGATTGCCTGAGGTCAGGAGTTCGAGACCAGTCTGGCCAACATGCTGAAACACCGTCTCTACTAAAAATACAAAAAATTAGTTGGGCGTAGTGGTGCATGCCTGTAGGCCCAGCTTCTCGGGAGGCTGAGTAAGGAGAATCGCATTAACCAGGGAGGCAGAGGTTGCAGTGAGCCAAGATGGTGCCACTGCACTTCAGCCTGGGCGACAGAGGGAAACTCCAACTCAACAACAACAACAACAACAACAACAACAAAGACTATCCTAATGAGAGGTGACAACGTGCTAGCAGCCGTCGCTCGCTCTCAGCGCCTCCTCGGCCTTGGCATCCACTCTGGCCACACTTGAGGAGCCCTTCGCCCGCAGCTGCACTGTGGGAGCCCCTCTGTGGGCTGGCCAAGGCCGGAGCCAGCTCCCTCTGCTTGCAGGGAGGTGTGGAGGGAGAGGTGCAGACGGGAACCAGGGCTGCGCGTGCTGCTTGCGGGCTAGCACGAGTTCCAGGTGGGTACAGGCTTGGGAGGCCCCCCCGCACTCAGAGAAGCTGGCTGGTGCCCCCGGCCCCAGGCAGTGAGGGGCTTAGCACCCGGGCCAGCAGCTGAGGAGAGTGCACCAGGTCCCCCAGCACTGAGCGCCGCACTGGAACTCTTTCCAGGCCTCAGCCGCCTCCCCGCGGGGCAGGGCTGGGGTACTGCAGCCCGCTATGCCCGAGCCCCCACCCCCATGGGCTCTGCACGGCCCGAGCCTCCCTGACGGGCACCACCCCCTGCTCCAAGGCGCCACGTCCCATTGACCGCCCAAGGGATGAGGAGTGCAGGCACGCAGTGCGGGACTAACGGGAGGCTCCGCCGGCAGCCCCGGCGTGGGATCCGCTAGGCTAAGCCAGCTGGGCTCCTGAGTCGGGTGGGGACTTGGAGAACTTTTATGTCTAGCTGGAGGATTGTATATGCGCCAATCAGCACTCAGTGTCTAGCTGGGGGTTTGTGGATGCACCAATCAGCACCCTGTGTCTAGCTCAAGGTTTGTAAATGCACCAATCATCACCCTATGTCTAGCTCAAGGTTTGTAAAAGCACCGATCAGTGCTCTGTGTCTAGCTAATCAAGTGGGGACTTGGAGAACTTTTATGGCTAGCTAGAGGATTGTAAATGCACCAACCAGCACTCTGTGTCTAGCTCAGGGATTGTAAACACACGAATCGGTACCCTGTCAAAATGGACCAATCCGCTCTTTGTAAAACGGACCAATCAGCTCTCTGTAAAATGTACCGATCAGCAGGATGTAGGTGGGGTCAGATAAGGGAATAAAAGCAGGCTGCTGAGCTAGCAGCAGCAATCCGCTGGAGTGACTTTCACACTGTGGGAGATCTATTTTTTCGCTCTTTGCAGTAAATCTTGCTGCTGCTCACTCTTTGGGTCTGCACTGCCCATAAGAGCTGTAGCACTCACCGCGAAGGTCTGCAGCTTCACTCTTGAAACCAGAGAGACCACGAACCTACCGGGAGAAATGAACAAATTCCGGACGCACCATCTTTAAGAACTGTAACACTCACTGCGAGGATCTGCGGCTTCATTCTTTAAGTCTGTGAGACCAAGAACCCACCAATTCCGGCACACTAATATGCTGTTGGAAACTGGCTATATGGAAAGGCTATGTGGAAGAAAACAAACACCCCAGCCAACATAATGGAGCTCCCAGCTGACAGCTGACATCTAGCTGATTGCCAACCACTTTGGAAACTGATCTTCAAAACCCACTTGAGCTATGTCAAGAGAAGCCACCTGTGACACAGGTAAGAAGAGCTCTCTGACCTTACCCAATTTGCAGAAATTTGAATAAATAAACACATGCTACTGTATAAAGCTAAGAAGCTGTAGCATGCTGTATTATGCAGCAATAGATAACCAAAAGAATATGTTTCAATTATATATGTAAAGACAAATATGGCAGCATGTTTACCTTGAATCTGAGTGTGGTGCATTGGTGATTATTTAATTTTTCATAGGAAATACTGCATAACTAATAAAATTTAAAAACATATTTAGACTTGAACTTTTGCCCAAGAAGGAATAAATGGTTCTAAACAATTTCTTCTCCAAAAATGACGAAAAAGCTAGAGAAAACATGAGACGAATGTTCTGAAGCACTAGGCAATAGGTAGCATGACTCTGGCAGTGGAAAAAACACAAACTGTTTTTCCTCCGCCCTCACACCACAATAACAATCATCAACACAGAAGACTTCCATCACCAAATGTGTGAAGGGATTTCTTTATACATCATGCAACAATTAGTTCTGTAGCAGACACCAGCTGGGTGAACTCCAATCCAATTCCGACACTATCTACCTGGAGGTGGTATCAGATCCAGCAGCTTAGGGCTCAGTATCCAAGACTGCCCTTCACTTCCTATGCCAACCACAGGTCCCAAGTTGTTCTACCTGTGCTTCTGAGCGACCAGGTGTAAATCAGGGGTCACAGAACCCCCTCCTTGGGTTTGATTAATTTTGTAGAGTAGGCCGGGCGTGGTGGCTCATGCCTGTAATCCCAGCACTTTGGGAAGCTGAGGCGAGCAGATCACCTGAGGTCAGGAGTTCGAGACCAGCCTGGCCAAAATGGTGAAACCCCATCTCTACTAAAAATACAAAAATTGTCTGGGCATGGTGGCAGGCGCCTATAATCCTAGCTACTCGGGAGGCTGAGGCAGGAGAATCACTTGAACCCAGTGGGGCAGAGGTTGCAGTGAGCCAAGATTGTGCCATTGCACTCCAGCCTGGACGAAACAGTGAAACTCCATCTCAAAAAAAAAAAAAAAATTCTAGGGTGGCACGCAGAACTCAGGGAAACACTAACTTACACTTACTAGTTTATCATAAAGGATATTACAAAGGATGTAGGTGAAGAGATGAGATGCGTAGGGCAAGGCAAGTGAGAAGGGGAACAAAATTTCCATGCCCTCCCTGGGAGCCCCATCCTCCAGAAACCTCCACGTGTCAGCTATCCAGAAGCTCTCTGAACCCACTCCTTTGGGTTTCAATGGAAGCCTCATTATGTAGGCATGATTGATTAAATCATTGGCCATTGGTGATCAGCTTAACCTTCAGTCCCTTCCCCATCTCTGGAGGTTGTGGAGTGGGCCTGAAAATATCAACCCTGTAACCATGACTTGTTTTTTTCTGATTACCAGCCCCACCCTTGCACTTGCGCTTACACTCCTCAAAGCTACATAGGGGCTGCTTGTCATTAGTCAATCATTAGCATACAAAACAGTCTAAAGATTTTGGTTGTATGCCAGGAAACAGGGTCAAAGACCAAATATATGTTTCACAATATCACAATGACCCATGAGAGAAGAGTAACACATGAAATTTAGCCTCTCATACTCTTGCCAACTTTGTACTTGGGGCCTATTTCCCAACTTTTATGAGGAAAGTAGAGTCCAAGAAGGGTCTCTCTGGGAAGGCAAAGAATAGAATGCACGACTGCTGACCCAATTGGAACTTGTGGAGTAGGGTACTGAAGAGGACAGAGCTGCACACAGGGGCTCCCAAGTCTTTGGTCAAAGCCTGTACTGCATATATGTAACGTGAAACTCCATGAGGCTTAACAGAAAGTAGCATCTACAGAGTAGGGAATGAATTGTCACTGGAAATACGGGCCTTGAACCAGACCCCAGAGAGAGTTCTTGAAACTCGTGCAGAAGGGAATTCAAGATGAGTCACGAAGTGCAGTGGAAAAAGCAAGTTTATTAAAAGCTACTCCATTACAGAGAAGGGTTTCCTCAGAAAACAAGTGGAGGGGCCTGGTGCGGTGGCTCATGCCTGTAATCCCAGCACTTTGGGAGGTCGAGGTGGGTGGATCACCTAAAGTCAGGAGTCTAAGACCAGCCTCGCCAGCATGGTGAAACCCTGTCTCTACTAAAAATACAAAAATTAGTTGGGCATGGTGGCAGGCGCCAGTGAGCTCAGCTACTCAGGAGGTGGAGGAAGGAGAATCACTTGAACCTGGGAGGCAGAGGTTGCAGTAAGCCGAGATGGTGCCACTGCACTCTAGCCTGGGCGACAGAGTGAGACCTCATCTCAAAAAAAAAAAAAAAAAAAAAAAGGAAAGTGGAGGAATGCATTGTCTTAGTTTTAAGTTTTTCATATATAGGGGTCTTGTCTATGTAAAAACTAAACTAAGCTGCGTCTATGTGCAGGTGAGCAGACAGTATGACAAATTTATTACTCTATTGACTTAAAGAGAACTAGCTTTGACAGTCTGGTGTGTGAGTACATCAAAGCATAACTGTTATTATCTCACAAACATATATCGTTATGGGTATTGGGACACCTGGACTTTGTTATTGTAGGAGTGTGTTCTTGCAGGTATCATTAGGCTGTTTCCTTTACTATAAGCATCCCATGAATCTGGGTCCTGACCAGCAAGGAATGTGCTTTGTTAGTCTCAAAATGGAGCTGAACTTTAAAGGGAAGGAACCAGAGTTCACACATTACTGTGAGTTAAATGTTACAACCATTTTAAAAAATTGTTTAAGCTGGGTGCTGTGGCTCACATCTGTAATCCCAGCACTTTGGGAGGCCGAGGTGGGTGGATCACTTGTAGTCAGGAGTTGGAGACCAGACTGGCCAATATGGTGAAACCTCATCTCTACTAAAAAAACAAAAATTAGCCAGGCTTGGTGACAGGTGCCTGTAATCCCAGCTACTTGGGAGGCTGAGGCAGGAGAATTGCTTGAACCAGGGAGGCCGAGATCACACCACTGCGCTCCAGCCTGACAGAGTGAGACTCCGTCTCAAAAAAAAAAAAAAACCTGTTTGACAGTTATTAATGTTAAATGTACACTTATCCTATGACCTTGAACTGCCCATAAAAATGTGGCCTGCAAAGAAAATATCACCTTGTATTCATTTTCATTTCTGTGCCTCGTTATCCTTTTCTCTTTACTCCAGCTGCCCTCACAACTCCCAGTAAAGTGTTAGCACTTTGTAGGTTTTGCCACCTATTCTCTATAGCCCCAGGCAAATATAATTGATACAAGGAGAGGAGGGGGCCTCAAAAGCCAATCCTCAAGATGACGTTTTGGGGTTAGATCAGCCATGTTCTGGAAGTCACAGGGACTCACTTCGTTTCTGTTGTCAAGTGAAATGGCAAATTACTGGCCTGTAATGAATCACGATTATTAAAAACTTCACCTGTGGTTAAGAAGAATGAGGTGTGGGTAGAAGGAAGGGCATTAGAAAGTCAAGTGGCTGTTGCAATTGATTTGTATAGGGGCATTTATAATTACAAAGTTGCAATAACTGCAAAAAAAAAGTAAACTGATGGGTCCCTGAGGCCAGGAATAAAGATTTTGGGGGATTCTGAACTTCTAAATTCCTTGAGCTGTCACGGCCAGCAGAATCAGTCCTGTCCACTTGCCAGAAGAAAACAGCCCAACATAAAGACCATGTAATAACCTCACTCAAAGCAGATGACCTGCAATATGACTTTTGGTGTCCTCAGGATCCTTGACTCTCATTCCACATCGCCTCCAGGGCTGATACTCTGAATCAAATTTTAATACAACCTGAGTAGGGAAGCACAGCCCAATAATTTGCTGTGATGATTTCTTGAAGCCTGGCGTTGGTGAAGGGTTACACTAAATGAAGTGGAGATGCCTTTTTTTTTTTTTTTTTGAGACAGAATCTTGCTCTGTCACCCACGCTGGAGTGCAGTGGCGCAACCTCGGCTCGCTGCAACCTCCACCTCTCAGGTTCAAGTGATTCTGTTGCCTAAGCCTCCCAAGTAGTTGAGATTACAGGTGCACGCCACCACACCTGGCTAATTTTTTTTCTTTTTTTTTGTATTTTTAGTAGAGATGGGTTTCATTATGCTGGACAGGCTGGTCTCAAACTCCTGACCTGAGGTGATCCACCTGCCTTGGCCTCCCAAAGTGCTGGGATTACAGGCGTGAGCCACTGCACTTGGCCAAGATGTCAAAATTTTCATGCCACATAACTGGAATTTCTCAGAGGGCTCTGGGAAGTGGAAATGTTTGAATGGATTTACTATGCCACAGCTGAGAAATATCACCTAACGCCTAAAGGATACTGTCTCATTAAGGCACTAATGAATGCACAGGTGACGAAGGCACTGAAATCATTGAGAAGCTCAGTGGTAGCTGCTTCATCAGTGGAAGATGCTGCTACAGAACTAGGCTATCTAAAAAGTATGAGGAAAGTGGGCCTCTGGAATGGAACAGGCCGTTGGAATAGTACCATGGGAATGGTACAAGTGCAGAGTTAGCGTGCAGAAATACAGGAGTGTCAATCATAGAACCTTGGCTATCAGAGAGCAATGGTGATGCCCAATAGATCATGGATTTCCCAGGGATGACAGACAGGTGGAGAGAGAGAGAAAGAGATATCAATCTGCTCTGAATGCCACTTTGGAAAATCACAGCCCTTTCAGTTTTCATATGTAAGTCTGTTCACAGCCCTAGGTCCTATTGATTGAAAGGGAAACTAGATACATGCAAGTATATCGAATAATTTTTCTTCAAATTTTCCCACAGAAACCTGTAACCATTTGACAAGGCAACATTTCCTAGGTGATATTAAAAGACTCTTAGGTGTGAGGACTGAACTGACTGCTATCAGGGAACCTGAAATGTCATCTGAGCCACCTGGTGAGGAAGGGCATTTATAGAGGACAGGTGTTAAATGGAGTTTTGATCCCAGTCTGTTGCTCAGTGGGTTCACTGTGTCTATTGACTACTTTATAGTTAATTTCCTTAGCCAAGATATGTATAATCTAGATGGACATACTTAGATATTGGCAGAACCTTTAAATTGCTTCTTTGACCTTTGAAATAAAAGCCAACTTAAAGTGCCAGTTGCAGCTTCTGAAACTGTACGTCTTGACCCTAAAGATAACAAATAAATAATATATTTCGAAGGAATTGAAGAGAAGTGACCCCCTTGTCAAATATTTAAGAGATGTAGGGAAGTTAGCAGCACTTTTTTGATCAATTCATCTGTTCAATCTCTGTAAAAAAGAGTTGGATCATAGTAGATAGCAGTAAGCTACTATAACTTTAACCAAATTATAACTCTGATCATTGCTACTATATCAGATGCCAAGAACTATGAAGGGTCTGAGATTTTATTCCACTTGCAAGCAAATAAGTTAGCTTGCCACAATTTCATGGACGTTAGCAGAAAACATGAGATTCTTGGGTTAGAAACAAATGACAGTTCATTACTCACAGAAATAGCAATGGCCAGAGCATCAACATTGGCAGCATTTTCCCAAATGTCAATTCACATAGCCCAAAGTTGGTATAAGGGACAAATGATTTCTGCACACTAAATAGGATTTGTTACAGGATAGGGATCTCAAGCTTAGGGATCATTAATCTTTTATAATGGGCATTAAGTGTGCTTGACCTTTGCCTTGATGGGAAATATTATCTTTGTTATTCTGGCCTGTAAAGAAACCTACTATTTGTTTTGAAAGGGGATGTTATCTCTATCTTCGTGTTAGGTCATTCTCACATTGCTATAAAAAAAAAAAAATACCTGGCTGGGTGCGGTGGCTTACGCCTGTAATCCCAGCACTTTGGGAGGCTGAGGCGGGGGGATCACATGAGTTCAGGAGTTCAAGACCAGTCTGGTCAACATGGTGAAACACCATCTCTACCAAAAATACAAAAAAAAATAGCCAGGCATGGTGGTGCGCACCTGTAGTCCCAGCTACTGGGATGGCTGAGGCAGGAGAATCACTTAAACCTGGGAAGCAGAGGTTGCAGTGAGTGGAGATCGTGCCACTGCGCTCCAGCCTGGGTGACAGAGTGAGACCCTGCCACAAAGAAAGAAAAAAAAGAAAGAAAGGAAAAAAGAAAGAAAAAAAAAATTCTCAAGACTGGATAATTTTATGAAGAAAAGAGGTTTAATTGGCTCATGGTTCTGCAGGATGAACAGGAAGCATGGTGGCATCAGCTTGTGGAGAGGCCTCAGGGAACTTATAATCATGGCGGAAGGCAAAAGGAAGCGAGGCATTTCATACAGCTAGAGCAGGAGGAAGAGAGAGCAAGAGGAGGTGCTACATGCTTTCGTATTACCAGATCTCACAATAACTGACTCACGCGCTATTACCAAAACAGCATCGAGGGGTTGGTACTAATCCATTCATGAGAACTCTGCCCCTGTGATCCAATTACCTCCCACCAGACCCCACCTCCAACAATGGGGATTACAATTAGACATGAGATTTGGTGGGGAGACAGATCCAAACCATATCAGTCTTCCAAGGCTGTTTGCAATACAAACAGAAACTTGAAAATATTAAATTGAAAACATAGTCTAAAACAAAGAGGCCAGGCGAGGTGGCTCACGCCTGTAATCCCAGCACTTTGGGAGGCTGAGGCGGGCAGATCACGAGGTCAGGAGATCGAGACCGTCCTGGCTAACACGGTGAAACCTCATCTCTACTGAAAAAAAAAAAGAAAAACCAAAAACTTAGCCAGGCGTGGTGGTAGGCGCCTGTAGTCCCAGCTACCTGGGAGGCTGAGGCAGGAGAATGGCGTGAATCAGGGAGGCGGAGCTTGCAGTGAGCCGAGATGGCACCACTGCACTCCAGCCTGGGCGAGAGCGAGACTCCGTTTTAAAAAAAAACAAACAAAACAAGAAAGCCAGTCCCTGTGCCCACAAGAGAGATGCAGAAACACTGGACACCCATTCAGAATTGACTTTCATTAGCAAATGTGTTATTGTTACTGAAGCACATTAACCCACCTACTGGCATTTGGTATGCTATTATTAAAATAGTGATCCCTTTAGGATAGAGGATCAAATATAGTGTGCTTTTACATGACTATGTTAATGGTCCTAGTCTCTTTTGTAATACAGTCCTCAATTATCTTGACCATTTATCGTTTTTACATTCTGTTGAATATCATACTGGTCCACTCTACAGATAAGATCATTCTGATTTGTCTCATAACTAAGAGGTAGCAAGTATCCTCAATATCCTAGTAAGATACATATAGAGCAGAAAGTGGAAATAAACCCCATAAAGCTTCAGGGATAATGGCCTTGGGCATATTGAGTCATTCCATCTAAAGCAATGGTTCTCAGCCAAGGATGATTTTGTCCTAAAGAGAAATTTGGAAATGTCTGGAGACATTTTTGGCTGTCAGAAATCACAGAAGGGGGATGACATCAAATGGATAGAGGCCAGGGGAACAACAAAACATCAGACAATGCACAAGACAACCCCCTCGCAATAAAGAATTACCCAACCCCAAATCTCAATAATTGCAAGATTGAGAAACTTTGCCTTAAAATAATAAATGTGATGCTCCATCTTGAAACCTCTAAACAACAAAAAGAGATATAGTGCATGTGAACCCCTTTGAATTTTTGAGGTAATACAGCAACTGGTAATACTACTTTGACTAACTGAGTGACTTAAAGGCTGCTTGTTTTGAATGTGGCTCCCGTACAAGAGAAGGTTCTGTAGTAGATCCAAAGTGCAGTGAAAGCCACCCTGCCACTTAGGACGTATTCATGTGGCTTAGCTCTTCCTTTATTCCTAGCCCTACCAGGTGCCTGGATTCCAAGCCACTGAAGTTCTAGCGATAGCTCTCGCCATTCTCATTGTGATAAAGGCCCAACTATTTCTGCGTTTTCCACTAACAGAAAGGAAAAAGTCCCTACATCGTGGTGGCTGATGCCTGTAATCCCAGCACTTTGGGAGGCCAAGGTGGGCAGATCACGAGGTCAGGAGTTTGAGACCAGCCTGGCCACCTTAGTGAAACCCCGCCCTTACTAAAAATACAAAAGTTAGCCGGACATGGTGGAGTGTGCCTAAAGTCCCAGCTACTTGGGAGACTGAGGCAGGAGAATTGCTTTAACCCGGGAGGCAGAGGTTGTGGTGAGCTGAGATTGTGCCACTACACTCCAGCCTGGGCAACGGAGCGAGACTCTGACTCAAAAAAAAAAAAAAAAGAGAAGAAAACGAAAAGAAAAGAAAAGAAAAAAGAAAAAGCACCTACATAAGGTGCTGACTGACAAAGAAGAGAGACCACTGCAATGGTGTATTGGTAGAACAAACTTGAGGAGATTCCAGATTCCCTGCTGGATGCCTAGAGCAGGGAGGAGAATAACACAGGCTGAAAGTGCAGGAAAGTTAACACTCCATGAGGTAGACTAGTCAGTTACAAAACATGAGATGGAAGCCAGAGAGAATCCTCTGAACGTCCTACCCATCATGAACTGATCTCTTATAGCCAGTCCAAATTTATCCTGCAGGACTCGGCAATCGACTGTTTATACATGAGACTGCAGCCAACACAGAAACACATGATGTTGTATTTGCTTTTCCTTTGTCCATGCTCCACTTTTCGTTTTCCTCTTATGCTTCTTTGTGCCTTTCAATAAAGCAATAGCATATAATTTTGCCTTAGGTTTTTTTTTTCTAAAGGTCTCAAGCTAAGATGCCTTGTACTAGAATAGGAAGGTCACAGGGAAATTCAGTTGGTGAGGAGATGTATAGACGGATTGAGTCTGGGTCATGGAGAATCTTTAATGTCAAGCTAAGGATTCAAGGTACATTCAGTTTCCAAGGATCTATGATTCTATATTCACACAGAGTGCTAGGAACAGAGCTCTGCATACATAAAGTAACTCAGAGCCTGTCTAGGCATTCATTAATAAACT
Source organism: Homo sapiens (assembly GCF_000001405.40). NCBI lineage: Eukaryota > Metazoa > Chordata > Mammalia > Primates > Hominidae > Homo > Homo sapiens. The sequence continues at coordinate 191,307,126 of NC_000003.12, read as the reverse complement.
GGGGAGTGAATATTGCTGTTTCTTTCTCTTCACATATTGCCTATGAACCTTTCTTTTGTTTAATTACATGGGCTGTACTCTCATTCCTGTAAGTAACCCACCTTTCATGCGCTGCCAGAGGTGAACCAAGGTTTTGGAAGGGGTTAGTTAATGAGAAAATCTGTAGCAAGCCCAAACATTAAAATTTCCCCTCCTGGCTGGGTGCAGTGGATCACGCCTATAATCCCAGCACTTTGGGAGGCTGAGGCAGGCGGATCACTTGAGGTCAGGAGTTCAAGACCCGCCTGGCCAACACGGTGAAACTCTGTCTCTACTAAAATACAAAAATTAGCTGGTATGGTGGTGTGCGTCTGAAACCCCAGCTATTCAGGAGGCTGAGGCAGGAGAATTGCTTGAGCCCGGGAGGCGGAGTTTGTAGTGAGTCAAGATCTTGCCATTGCACTCCAGCCTGGGTGACAAGAGACTCCGTCTCAAACAAAACAAAACAAAACAAAATTTCCCCTAGTTACCATTCCTCTCCTTAATATAGTAAACTACTTAGTGTTAGAGCAGCTTAAGAACTCCAAGGCAGGTCTTCTGAACCATTATAAATGTCTCTGTGCTGTATTAGGCAATTTTTGAAAGTAAAATGAAATCTGGTTGCTATTGTATGTCATTTTGGGAAGGAGGGATTAAAATGATAAATATAAACTATAAAATAGATGATGGATTATTTGAAAATTATAAAATGTGGTAGGGTTCAATCCTCATTATACCTAATTATAAATGATGAAATCAGTGAGCCAGTTAAATATATCTCTGAAGTTAACTTGTGCTTTTTATGTCTTTGAAGCAATGTAGTCTTCCTTTATCTTAAATGGTGAGGGAAAAGAAAAACCAATGTATACATTCAATACTATTTCCATTAAACTACCATTGACATTCTTCACAGCACTAGAGAAAACTATTTTAAAATTCACATGGAAGCAGAAAAGAGCCCGAATAGCCACAGCAATCCTAAGCAAAAAGAACAAAGCTGGAGGCATCACACTCAGCGACTTCAAACTGTACCACAGGGCAACAGTAATCAAAACAGCATGGTAGTGGTACAAGAACAGACACATAGACCAATGGAACAGAATAGAGAACATAGAAATTAGACTGCACACCTACAACTATCTGATCTTTGACAAACCTGACCCCCCAAAAAAAAGCAACGGGGAAAAAAGTCTTATTTAATAAATGGTGCTGGAATAACTGACTAGCCGTATGCAGAAAATTGAAACTGGGCCCTTCCTTACTGCGTACACAAAAATTAACTCAAGATGGATTAAAGATATAAATGGAAAACTCAAAACTATAAAAACCCTGAAAGACAACCTAGGCAATACCATTCAGGACATAGGCATGGGCAAAGGTTTGATGACAAAGACACCAAAAGCAACTGCAACAAAAGAAAAAATTGACAAATGGGATCTAATTAAACTAAGAAGCTTCTGCACAGCACAACAAAAGAAACTATCAACAGAGTAAATAACCTACATAATGGGAGAAAAATTTTTGCAAACTATGCATTTGACAAAGGTCTAATATCCAGCATCTATAAGGAATTTAAACAAATTTACAAGAAAACAACCCCATTAAAAAAATGAGCAAAGGACCTGAATAGACACTTCTCAAAGAAGACATGCATGTGGCCAAGAATTATATGCAAAGAAGCTCAACATCACTGATCATTAGAGAAATGAAAATCAAAACTACAATGAGATACCATCTCATGCCAGTCAGAATGGCTATTATTAAAATGTCAAAAAATAATAGATGCTGGTGATGTTCTGGAGAAAAAGGAACACTTATACACTGTTGGTGGGAGTGTACATTAGTTCAACCATTGTGGAAGACAGTGTGGCGATTCCTCACAGACCTAAAGACAAAATACCATTTGACCCAGCAATCCCATTACTAGGTATATACCCAAAAACATATAAATCATTCTGTTATATAGACACATGCATGCATATGTTTATTGCAGCAGTATTCACAGTAGCAAAGACATGGAATCAACCTAAATGCCCATCAATAATAGACTGGATAAAATGTACATATATACCATGGTATACTCTGCAGCCATGAAAAAGAACAAGATCATGTCCTTCGCAGGGACATGGATGGAGCTGGAGATCATTATCCTTAGCAAACTAAAGCTGACATAGGAAAACCAAATATGGTATGTTCTCACTTGTAAGAGGGAGCTAAATAATGAGAACACATGGACACATAGAGGGGAACAACACACACTGGGGCCTGTTGGAGGGTGGAGGGTGGGAGGAGGGAAAGGATCAGGAAAAATAACTAATGGATATATGCTTACTACCTAGGTTATGAAATAATGTGTATAACAAACCCCATGACACACTTTTACCTATGTAACAAACCTGCACATCCTGCACATGTACCACTGAACTTAAAAGTTTAAAAAGAAAAAATGACAATCAATATAAAAATAGCTAGTGTTTGGTGAGTTTCTGTACAATAGAATTTGAGGTTAAAGAGGATACGAGAGCATTATATTCACATTGTATAAATTTGCTTTCTGCAGAAGCAGAAGGATCCAAGTCAAAGGAGTTTATTTGGGAGGAAATAGCACGAGAGAATGGTGAGTAGGAGAAATGTACCTGGGAAAGGAAAAATGCCAATAGAATATGTTAACTAGCTAGTTACCAACGTGGGCAACTGGAACATAACCTCTCTAGCGAACTGGGATGATGGTGAGCAACATATTTCAGAGTTGCCCCAGTGAAGATCAAGGAAACCAGCATATTTATTTCTCAAATTCCCATCTTTCACTAGATGAAGTTTGCTTCAGGTTTCCTTTAAAAGCCACCAGCCAGGCAGGGCGCAGTGCCTCACGCCTGTAATCCCAACACTTTGGGAGGCCGAGGCAGGTGGATCACTTGAGGTCAGGAGTTCTTGACCAGCCTGGGCAACATGGTGAAACCCCGTCTCTACTAAAAGTACAAAAATGAGCCGGGTATGGTGGCGCATGCCTGTAATCCCAGCTATGGTAGGAGAATCTCTTGAGCCCAGGAGGCGGAGGTTGCAGTGAGCCGAGATTGCGCCACTGCACTCCAGCTGGCACAACAGAGCAAGACTCCATCTCAGAAAAGAAAAAAAAAAAGCCACCAGGCAATTCTTTCTTCTGCAATATATCCTTCCCCATTGAAGAGTCTGGGACCAAGCTGGACCTAACTAAGTGTGTGCCTCATCCTGTTCTCTGACCACATCTGCGTGGCCAGATTCTAATCTTAAATGGCATGAGCATTGGTCAAAACCACATGTGATACTCCGCAGACAACTGTTCATTGTACTGTCAATCTGAAATACAAGGAAAAACATTGGGAGAGAAACAAGATAAAAACATCAGAACTCATCCAATGTCATAATATTTGTGAGTAGTGCATCATAGATTAGATCTAGGCATTCTGAGTCCTAGTGATAGGCTCTTTTCAATAAGGAACACAACTTCTTGAATGATTTTAAACCTCGTAACATGATAGTCACATGGTTAGAGATAAATAGGCATTTGTGAATTAACAGTGAGTTTTTTTTTTTTTTTTAAGGAAATGTGTTTCCAGACACTACTGCCCAAATTTTTATCTTGAATTCTTCCTTTTCAGAGCAAATGTGTGTTCAAAGGACATGTGGGATGTCTGTTAGAGATATCTCATGCTAAAGCTATGATTGGAGCTGAACCTCAGAAGACAATAAAATTGATAGTTTTATAGGGGTGAGGGGAATTTTCCTTCCACCCTCTGAAAGTTTGACAATTTGAGTCTCTGGAATAAATTGACAGCAGATATATTAACAAGAGAAAAGATACCACAAGTTTATTATGTGGATATGCACGTGGGTCCTACAAAGTATGAGACTCCCAGAAGAGTTGGGTGGTTGAAGTTTATACAGTATCCTCAGCTACAAAAAGATATAGGGGACTGGGACATCTAGAGTCAGGCGGCCACAGGTTATGGGGTGCTGAAGGGAAGAAACACATGAGGAACAAATGCTGTTTTTGTGCAGATGAAGTTTCTCAGGTAGCAGTCCACAGAAGAATAGGTAGTGTCAATCTTTTTTCTCCTTTCCTGTTAGTTAATCTTCGCTATTTGATGATATTATTGTAAGGAGGGGCCTCATGACAATTGCATTCCTTTCACAGGAACTTTCTTTAGTGAGTTAAGGGAACTTTAGAGAGAGCCTCTTCATGCCTGCTTTGGGAGGGAAAGAGGAGCAAGAGACTAGGGGAACAGAGAAGGTCAGAGAGGCCTTGTTTCTCCTTTAGTTCAAAGCACTCAGCGTAACAAAAGTGCCATATTCTGGGGCATAATTTTTCTGAGTCCCAACAGTTTCTACAACCTTTGCCTTCCAGAGAATCCTTTCTTCTCAATCTCCATGTCTTAGCAAAGCAAACAGTAGTGCCAATAAATCTGAGTTTATGTTGTTATAGTAGTTAATGGACTTAACGAACAGCTCAGCTAAACAATCATATACAGGCAGGAGGTATAAATTATACAGGTGTCACAGGTTGAAACCTAGAATTGAGTTTCAGCCTGGGAGGCCACATGGGTCCATGGCTTTGCCCAGGAAGGAATTCAAGAGTGAGCCAACAGAATTAAGTGAAAGCAAATTTGTTAAGAAAATAAAGGAATACAAGTATGGCTACTCCATAGGCTGAGCAGCCCTGAGGGCTGCTGGTTGGCTGTGTTTATGGTTATTTCTTAATCATATGCTAAACAAGGGGTGGATTTTTCATGAGTTTCCTTGGAAAGGGGTGGGAAATTAGAGGAACTGAGGGTTTCTCCTCCTTTAAGACTACACAGGGTAACTTTCAGAGGTTGCCATGGCATTTGTAAACTGTCATGATGCTGGCGGGAGTGTCTTTTAGTGTGCTAATACATTACAATTAGCTTACAATGGGCAGTGAGGATGGCCGGAGGTGACTTTCAGCGCAATCTTGAATTTGGTGGGTTTTGGCCTGCTTTTCGATTGCATCCTATTTTATCAGGTCAGTGTCTGCATGACCTGCATCTTGTGCTGACCTTCTATCTCATCCTGTGACTAAGAATGCCTAACCCCCTGGGATTGCAGCCCAGCAGACCTCAACCTAATTTTACCCAGCCCCTATTCAAGATGATGTCACTCTGTTTCAAATGCCTCTGACACAAGCAGGATAAAAACTCCATAAATATTGACTCCATCTAACAGATTCTGTCAGAGGAAGAAATCTCATTTTGATAATGACATCTTTCTAGAGCACTGCTCTTTGAATAGGGTTTCCATAGATGTATTAATATTACCAAAAATTGGCCGGGCGTGGTGGCTCACGCCTGTAATCCCAGCACTTTGGGAGGCCGAGGCGGGCGGATCACAAGGTCAGGAGATCGAGACCATCCTGGCTAACTCGGTGAAACCCCGTCTCTACTAAAAATACAAAAAAAAATTAGCCGGGCATGGTGGCGGGCGCCTGTGGTCCCAGCTACTCGGGAGGTTGAGGCAGGAGAATGGTGTGAACCCAGGCGGCGGAGCTTGCAGCAAGCCGAGATCACACCACTGCACTCCAGCCTGGGCGACAGAGCGAGACTCCATCTCAAAAAAAAAAAAAAAAAAAAATTACCAAAAATTTAGTTAATAAAACAAATACCAATTGTTCAGTATCTAACTTCATCTATAACTCAATGTTTTGATAACATTGAAGAATCTTCACAGTTCTCAACACTCTTGTGGTGAGAAACTCAGTGAAACTTGTGGAAGACAAGGTAGTGGCACTGTGACTCAATGAAGACTGAGCAAAATGGCATTTTGCAAAGCCAGGGATGTCTGAACTACTGTATTTTTTTCCATTCAAATCTTTAGGGCACCAGCTAGAATGAGACAAATTTTCTTTTCTAGTTTCACTAAAGCTTATGCAAATTCTTGAATCTGTTTCACCACCCGGAAAGACAGCTAAAATCCACCTAAAGAGGAACAGGCTGGGTTAGTCAAGGAAAGAAGGTGACATATTTTGGTTAGGGCAGTAAGTCACTTTCATAAATAAAGAAGAAAAAGTGATAAAATGGAATGCACACAAAAATAGATTTATGGAGGAAAAAGAGTAACCATACCAAGAATATTAGTTTTTTCTCAAACTGCTATAAATAAATACCTGAGAATGAGTAATTTGTTTTAAAAAGAGGTTTACTTATTGTATGGTTTTGCAGATTGTAAAGAAAACATAGAGCTTCTGGGGAGGCCTCAGAAATCTTACAATTATACCTGAAGGCAAACATAAAGCAGGCACATCTTACATGGCCAGAGCAAGAGCAAGAGAGAGAGGGGGCAGTTGCCACACACTTTTAAACAACCAGATGTCATGAGAACAGCCCCAAAGGGGGAATTCTACCTCCATGATCCAATCACCTCCCACCAGGCCCCACCTTCAACACTGGAGATGACAATTTGATGTGACATTTGGGTGAGGGCACAGAACCAAACCATGTCATTCTGCCTCTGGCTCCTCCCACGTTTCACATCCTTCTCACATTGCAATACAGCCATCCCTTCTCAGCAGTCCCCCAAGTCTTAACTCATTCCAGGATTCACTCAAAAGTTAGTCCAAAGTCTCATCTGAGACAAAGCTAGTGCCTTCTGCCTATGAGCCTGTAAAACTAAAAACAAGTTAGTTATTTCCAAGATACAATGGATTTACTGGCATTGGGTAAATACTCCCATTCCAAAAGGGATAAATTGGCCAAAAGAAAGGGGCTACAGGCCAGGCACGGTGGCTCACACCTGTAATCCCAGCACTTTGGGAGGCTGAGGTGGGCGGATCATGAGGTCAGCAGTTTGAGACCAGCCTGGCCAACATGGTGAAACCCCATGTCTACTAAAAATACAAAAATTAGCCAGGCATGGTGGTGGGCGCCTGTAATCCCAGCCACTCGGGAGGCTGAGCTGGGAGAATCGCTTGAACCAGGAGGCAGTGGTTGCAGCGTGCCGAGATTGCACCACCGCACTCCAGCCTGGGTGAAAGAGCGAAAACTCCGTGTCAAAGAAAAAATGTATATATGTGTATATATAAAAAAAAATGTTAAAAAAAGAAAAGAAAGGGGCTACAGGCACCATGCAAGTCTGAAAGCCAATGGGGCAGTCATTAAATCTTAGAGCTCCAAAATAATCTCCTTTGACTCCATGTCTCCTATCCAGGGCACATTGATGCAAGGAGTGGGTTCCCAAGGTCTTGGGCAGCTCCACCCCTGTGACTTTGCAGGGTTCAGCCCCCGTGGCTGCTCTCAAGGGCTGGTGTTGATTTCTTGTGGCTCTTCCAGGTGCAGGGCACAAGTTGTTGGTGTATCTACAATTCTGGTGTTTGGAGGATGGTGGCCTTCTTCTCCCAGCTCCATTAGGCAATGCCCCAGTGGGGACTCTGTGTGGGGGTTCCACCCCCACACTTCCCCTCTGCACTGCTTTAGTAGAGGTTCTCCATGAGGGCTCAGCTACTGCAGCAGGCTTTTGCCTGGACATCCAGGCTTTGCCGTACATCTCTAAAATCTAGGTGGAGGCTCTCAAGCCCCAACTCTTGCACTCTGTGCACCCACAGGTTTAACACCACATGGAAGCTGCCAAGGCTCATGGCTTGCACTCCCTGAAGCAGCAGCCTGAGCTGTATCTGGGGTCCTTTTAGACGTGGCTGGAGCTGAAGCAACTGAGCTGTGAAGAGCAGTGTCCAGAGGCTGCAAAGGGTATTGGGGCCCTTGCCCTGGCCCACAAAACCATCCTTCCGTCCTAGACCTCTGGGCATATGATGGGAGGGACTGCCCCTAAAGGTCTCTGTAATGCCTTGGAGGCCTTTTTCTTACTGTCTTGGCTATTAGCATTTGCCTACCTTTTATTTATGCAAATTCCTGTAACTGCCTTAAAATTCTACCCAGAAAATGGAGTTTTCTTTTCTACTATATGGCTGAGCTGCAAATTTTCCAAACTTTTATGCTCTGCTTCCCTTTTAAATGTAAGTTCAAATTTCAGATCACTTCTTTGCTCCTGCATAGGAGCATATGTTGTTGTTAGAAGCAGCTTGGCTACATCTTGGATGCTTTACTGCTTAGAAATCTCTTCTGCCACCCTAAATCATCACTATCAATTTCAAAGTTCCACAGATCCCTAGAGCAGGGGCATAATGCATTCAATCTCTTTGTTAACAAATAACAAAAGTGACCTTTGCTCCAGTTCCAAATAAGTTCCTCATTTCCATCTGAGACCCCCTTTATCCTGGACTTCACTGTCGATATCATTATCAAGATTTTGGTTATTACCATTCAACAAGTCTCTATGAAGTGCCAAGTTTTCCCTCATCTTCCTATTTTCTTCTGAGCCCTCCACACTCTTCCAACCTCTTGTTACCCAGTTCCAAAGCTGCTTCCACATTTTCAGGTATCTTTATAACAGTGCTCCACTCCTTGGTACCAATTTTCTGTATTAGTCCATTCTCACAATGCTATAAAGAAACATCTGAGACAGGGTAATTTATAAAGAAATGAGGTTTAACTGGCTCACAGTTCTGAAGGCTTTACAGAAAGCATAATGGCTCTGGGGAGGCCTCAGGAAACACAATCATTCCTGAAGGCAAAGGGAAAGCAAGCACATCTTACATGGCCAGAGCAGGAGGAACAGAGAGAATGGTGAGGTGCCACACACTTTTAAACAACCAGATCTCATGAGAAATCACCCACTGTCATGAGAACAGCAGGGGGGAAATCTACCCCATGATCCAAACACCTCCCACCAGAATCCACTTCCAATATTGGGGATTACAATTTGACATAAAATTTGGGCAGGGGCAAAAATCCAAACTGTATCTCCAAGTTAAAGCAGTGACTGTTTTTTTTGGAATTCAATGTATACATTTTTCACAAGGTTATTGTGGGTCTATTATTGTGCTAGGTACGACATTGGGTGTTAAATGTATAAGAATCTTGGCTTACCTTTTTTCCCTAAAAAATAAAAAGATGAATATATATGCTACAACTAGGCAACAGTTGATGATAAGAAAGGATTCATCAAAATATTGCCACAGAGTGTTCAAAGGGAAAGGATCTCAGATGTAATTAGCCTAAACATCTTACATGTTAGAGACAGAAGCCCAGCGCTTGGAATTCTCAGTGTTATATGACAGAAGTAGAAAGTGTTATTTATTTTCTAAAGCAGGTGACCAAGAACACTTAACCTGTTGAATGACAATGTAAATACTTATTTAAGTGCATTATCACAATAAATAAGGTTTTTAAAAAATTAATTTGGTTCGTAAATAGAGATTATTTCAGTTAGGATAATCGATGATAAAATAATTATCCACTTTAACTAACACTATGTGCCAGGTGTAATGCTGAATATTTTATTATCTGTCTTCTCCTTTAATCCACACCACAGGCTAGAAGTTGTGTAGTGCAATGAAAAATGAGGCATTACTATCCTTGTCCTCAGGCCACCCAGAATTTAGAGGGAGACCTACACTTTGACTTAATTACTAACAAATATATTGCAACAGGTAAAATAACACATTATATTATGCTACAAGAATATGAAAGAAGAGGCAATTAATTTTGTCCTAAAAAGAGAATCAAGGAATTATTTTTGGAAAATATGACCTTGGATCTCACATTTTTAAAATAATGAGTTTACCAGGTAGGCTAAATGAAGTATAAAGATCTTCTAGACAAGGGGAATTGTGTGAACAAAGAAATGGTCTCTTGAAAGCATTCTCCTCTCTCTACTGAACAGTGAGGAAAGGTCTAAACCAGCTATCAGGGTAAAAGAAAAGAAAAAGCTGAAATGAGTGTGAGAGAAGAGCAGATGAGACTCAAGAAATTAGTTCCTAATAAGAATAAAGTTAAGAAAGTGGCCAAGGACAGAAGTATTAATATTACTCTATGAGTCAGATACCCCTCAGGGACAAAACTTTTAGGATAATCCACAGTTCAAATCCAAAAGACACACACAAGGAGAAAAGGCACAGAAGTTATAGGAAGGCTCTTCATTTGAAGAGATTCTCATTTAAAGAAAAGGTTTTTTTTTCTTTCTCACAGATGTTGACATTGTTTCCCAAGCGCAATAAGCATCATTACAGTTTATTGCCTGTTCTATGAATGCATTGAGGTGTTCATCTGTTTTTAGTTAATTTGCCTATCAAATAACCACAGTCATGTTTGATTCCTCTCTACCTCACTTGCTCAATGCCAGTTATTTCCTCCATTTAGGAGAAAACCAGCTAAATATGCCAGCCTTGGATTTCTCTTGCTATCTTTTCCTCTAGGCAATGAGATTCTGGATTTGAAATTCCCAGGCCTGCCTAATTTTGGAGACACTCAGCCTCCCGCTTTCCTTAAGAAAGACCTATTTTGTGTGTAAAATAATCAGACTTCCCTCCAGCAGGTGGGGTTTGAAATAATTTTATAAGGAGAGACATGGAAGCACAAACAGAACCACAAGTGTTCTCTTACTCTATTTCTTTATTCATTTGTTTAATTATTAGATATTTCTGGGCAAACAATTATGGGCCAGGAATTGTGGTTACTGGAGATAGTAACCGTATGTTCACAGTCATGAACAAGGTAAATATACACAGTGGCATATTGAAGCTTGTAGTGCAATGGAGAGAAACACTGTACAAAAACATAGAGTAATTGATTTACGGTTGAGATATGAGCTGTTGAGGAAATGTACACAGTGGAGTGAAAGGCTCTGACAGGATGACCTGCTTAATCTGGAGAAATCAGGGGAGATTTTGTTGAAGAAGCCACAACTTTAATTGAGGCTTAAAATGGAGTATGTGTGTATGTGTGTGTATGTGTGTGTGTGAGTGTGTGTAAGTTGGGGAAGGGGAGTATGCCTCCCTGCAGGTGCAAAGTCCTTGTGGCAGAAAGTTGCTTGACATTTTTGAAGAACTGAAAGAAGGGTATTTGTGGTTGAATTGTGAAAAGGGGAAGACAGATACAGATGAGATTGAGAGGTGGGTGAAGGCGGGTAATGTAGGATTTTCTAGATCATGTTATGACTCGCAATATTTATCTATGGGTAATGGAAAACAGTTGAAGGATTTTAAATGGTAGTATTACAGACTGATAATTACATTTCCAAAAGATTAACAGCTTTTGGAGAATGAAGGGGAGAAACAGTGAACATGAGACTTCTTATTGAGGGTATTTCAGCAGTGCAGGTGTTTAAGATGATGCTTTCTTGATCTAGGGAGCAAGTAAGATAGAAGGAGTGAAAGGTTTGAGAAGTATTTAAGAGACTTAATTGATGACTTTGTGATTGATTGGAAAAGAAGACGCAACAGAGAGGAAAGAGTTTCTTCAATGAATTACTGGGTAAATGGTCATGCCATTTTCTAAGACAGTGAATACTGAAAAATAAATGATACATTAGGGTAAAGATGAGTAGTTCAGTTTGTGACATGGTTGAGAAGCCTTGTAAGAAAACCAGGTGGGAAAGTGTCTTTGGATGCACAGGTGTGGTACAAAAGAGGTGGGGAGAGAGGTATAACTTTTGGAGTCACTGACATGTAGAAGGTAATTAAACCCATGTATCTACTAGGAATATATCAAAGCATGATAATAAAAGAAAATCTAGAATCAAACCCTGAGAAAGTTCATCTTTTAAAGGTCAGAGAAAGAGGAAATGCTAAAAGAAGCCGAAAAAGTATAACCAGGAAAGTAGGAGAAAAAAAGAAAACTAGGGAGTTTTCCAAGGAGCAGGTCGTTGTCAGCAATGGAGACACTGCAGAGATACCCAGGAAAATGAGGACAGACAAGTGCTTATTGGATTTAGCAGCAATAAGATTTTTAGAAAGGGCTATTTTAGTATTTCAGTGAAGGGAAAGATGAAAGTGAGATTCAAAGGGATTGAAGAGTAAACATGTGAAAAGTATTAGAGGCAGAAAATTATTTTAGGAAGTTTGGCCTGAATGGGATGGAAAGACTAGACATAGTAGGTAGAAGATTATATGAGTGTCCTAATAAAACTTATTTGGTGTTTTGTTTTGTTTTAAGATGGAAGACAAAAAGTTTGTTGTTGTTGTTGTTGTTGTTTAAGACGGAGTCTTACTCTGTCACCCAGGCTGGAGTGCAGTGGCGCGATCTCAGCTCACTGGAAGCTCAATCTCCCAGGATCAAGCGATTCTTATAACTAAGCCTCCTGAGTAGCTGGGACTACAGGCGCCTGCCAACATGCCCGGCTACTGTTTTTGTATTTTTAGTAGAGATGGGATTTTACCATGTTGTTCAGGCTGGTCTCGAACTACTGGCCTTAGGTGATCCACCAGCCTCTGCCTCCCAAAGGGCTAGGATTACAGAAATGAGCCACCATGCCTGGTCAAGATTTTTTTTTTTTTTAGTGATACTTGGGAAAATTATGTAGAGAGAGAGATTAAAGATGCAAGCTATAAAAGGAATTGATAATATAAAAGCTCCTGAGAAGATTGGAAGAATACATATAAGAGACCCTGATCCTTGATAGGATGGACCTTTTCTAGAACTACCATCACCCTGGAAGCTGAAGAAAGTAAGTGACAACATGGACATTTATCATAGCTCATAGCTCCTGTTGGCCAAGGAGTCCACCCTTTAAATGGAGTCACAAATCATTTTCTTGACAGTTTTTTTCTCTGGTCTTAATTCTGAGAGTCTGGTTTCCTGCTGCTTACAACATGCTTAGGCTTAGAGAGTTTTTTTTCTTACAAAGGCACTGCTAATTTAAATTTGCGTCTTCTAATAGACCCTGGAGTTTGAATCCAGTTTTTGCTCTCTTCCTATTACCAGGGCCTTTATATTTCAGTTGAATCCTTGCTCAGTGGTTTCCCCTTAGGTAATGATTCTAAATAATGTTTTATTTTCCATCATGTGATACAAGGGTAGAACGGTATGTCTAATCCTTGACTTGAAATCCTCAGGCTGGACCAAAATCCCCTACTCACTTTGTTTGTTTGTTTGTTTGTTTTTGTTTTTGTTTTTTTGAGATGGGTTTTCATTCCTGTTGCCCAGGCTGGAGTGCAATGGCGCGATCTTGGCTCACCGCAACCTCCCCCTCCCAGGTTCAAGCGATTCTCCAGCCTCAGCCACCCGAGTAGCTGGGATTACAGGCGTGTGTCACCACGCCCGGCTAATTTTGTATTTTTAGTAGAGACAGGGTTTCTCCATGTTGGTCAGGCTGGTCTTGAACTCCTGACCTCAGGAGATCCGCCCCGACTCCCCCACCCCCGGCTTCTCAAAGTGCTGGGATTACAGGCGTGAGCCACTGCACCAGGCCCTCACTTCTACTTAGGCATCTTTCATGTTCTCAACCACTATTGAAGATACTGCTTGAAAATAGACTAAACTTCCACATTATAGCATGTTTATGTTTGAAAATTCCTGCTGCCATGCTCATCCACTAGATCAAAGCCCCTTCTGGATGAAATGTCTGTATATCTCATGGCTCTTCTTAATAAAGATGAGACAGAATATTTACAGATTTAAAAAATATAATCAAATTTCAAGTTTGGGGATATTACTGCCAACTTTACAGAGACAAAATAGTTACAAAGGAATATTATGAATAATTGAATGCCAACAATTAGAAACCTATATGGAATGGATAAATTCTTAGAAAGACAAAAATTAGCAAATCCAAATTAAGAAGAAATAGAATTGATCTATAGAAGTAAAAAGGTTGAATCAGTATTTCAAGATAACTTCCCACAATAAAACAACAGATGAATTCACTATTGAATTCTACCAGATGTTTAAGGAAGAATTAACACTAATCCTTTACAAACTCTTCAAAAACTTAAAAGAGAAGAGACCATTTTCAATTCATTCTACAAGGCCAGTATTGCCCTGATATCAAAACTGGACAATGACATATATAAAATAAAACTACAGAGCATCTCTTATAAATATAGATGCAAAAGTTGCTAATAAAATACTAGTAAACAGTCCAGCAACATATAAAAAGTAACACACAACATCACCAAATAAGATTTATCCTGGAATACAAGGTTTATTTAACAAACAAAAATTAATCAATGTTATACAACATATTAACAGAATAAAGGATGAGAACTTTATTCTTTTTTTTTTTAAGACGAGGTCTTTCTCTGTTGCCCAGGCTGGAGCGCAGTGTGCGATACCTGCTCACTGCACCTTCTGCCTCCTGGGGGAATTTTATTCTATAGTCGTCTCAATAGAGGGGAAAAGGCATTTGACAAAATGTAATAGCATTTCATAATAAAAACACTCAACAAACTAGAAACTGAAGGGAACTTCCTCAATCTGGTAAAGGGCAGCTACAAAAAAATCCAGAATTAACATCATCCTTAACAGTAAAAGTTGAAAGCTTTACCCTCTAAGCTCAAGAAAAAGACAAAGAGGTCCACTTTCACCACTTTTATTCAACATTGTACTGGAGGTTCTAACCAGGACAATTAGGTAGGAAAAAGAAATAAAAGATACCCAAATTGAAAAGGAAAGAGTAAAACTGTCTCTATTTGTTGACATGATCTTCTATGTACAAAATCCTAAGGAATCTATGAAAAAATAAATAAACAGAGCTAATAAATGGGTTCAGCAAGATTGCAAAATATAAGATCAATATGCAAAAATCAATTATACAAAATCAATCAATACAAAGATCAATATGCAAAAATCAATTATAGGACAATTTCATGTCCTAGCAAAGAACAACGCAAAAAATAAAATTAAGAAAGTAATTCCACTTGAAATAGCATCAAAAATATAACATATTTAGGAGTAAATTGAACCAAAGAAGCATAAGACTTGTTCACTGAAAATTACAAAACAACATTGAAAGAAATTAAAGACCTAATTAATTATAAAGATATTCTGTGTTCACAGATCCAGGCATAACATTTTTAAGATGGAAAAATTCTCCAAATTAATTCACAAATTTAGTGCAACCTCTACCAAAATCTTAGCTTCCCTCCTGCAACCTCTTTTTTTTTTTTCAGAAATTGGCAAGCTGATCCTACAATGTATATGGAAATGCAAGGGATACAGAGAAATCAAAACAGCTTTTCACAATAGACCATTAGAAGTCTCACACTTTCCAATTTCAAGGCTTACTACAAAGCTACATTAATAAACAATATTTTACTTGTATAAGAATGGACAAATTGGTCAATGGAATAAAATTTATAGTTCAGAAATAAAACCATACATCTATGACAAGCTACCAAGACCATTCATGGGGGAAAGAATTATCTTCTAAACAAATGTGGTGAGACAACTAGATATCCACATGCGAAAATAAATAAATAAATAAAGGTGAAACCCAACCTCACACCATATATAAAACTTTACTTAAAGTAGATCAGGCCGGGCGCGGTGGCTCACGCATGTAATCCCAGCACTTTGAGAGGCTGAGGTGGGTGGATCACGAGGTCAGGAGATGGAGGCCATCTTGGTGAACGTGGTGAAACCTTGTCTCCACTAAAAATACAAATAATTGGCCAGGTGTGGTGGTGGGCGCCTGTAGTCCCAGCTACTCAGGAGGCTGAGGCAGGAGAATGGCATGAACCCAGGTGGTGGAGCTTGCAGTGAGCCGAGATGGCGCCACTGCACTCCAGCCTGGGTGACAGAGTGAGACTCTGTCTCAAAAAAAAAGAAAGTGGTTCAAAGACCTAAATTTTAGAGTTTCACTATAGAACTCTTAGATAATAATATAGGCATAAATCTTTGTGACTTTCAAGTAGCTAATAGTTTCTTATAGTACTCAAAAACAAGAAACACAAGAAAAAATAGATACATTGGACTTTTTTCAAATAAAACCCTTTGTTCTTCAAAAGACATGATCAAGAAAGTGAAACTACCCTCAGATTGTGAAAAAATGTTTTCAAATTATGTATCTGATAAGGAACTAGAATCCAGAATACAATGAACTCTTACAACTTAACAATAAAAATACTCAATTTTTAAAAAGGGCCAAGTATTTGAACAGATGTTTCTACTTTATTTCAACAAATTCAGGCCATTGTTAACTCTTTTAAATGAAAAAAAGAACTCCAAGCACCGTCTTGTCAGGATGTCAGAAACTCTACTTTTGCTTCCTTCCTTCCGCTATTTTTTTCATTTAACTACATGTAAGGAATTCTACCAAGAATTAATAGTCAGAGAGAAGTAAAAATAAAATTGTTCAATTTTCTTACTACAAAAAAAGTAATAAGGCCAAGAGCTTACTGGAGTCTGAAAGTAATTATTCAAATCAGTTTGAGTCACCATACAAACACTTATCTGTGCTTTTCTTGTCACTCATCGTGAGAAATAGTCAGATGCAAGTGAATCTTAAAGCTATCTGTTCCCTGTAAATTATAACTTGACGAAGCCTTCATTGACAAAATGGAAATGCCATTTATATCCTGTAATTGATACATAGACTGAGTTATTAAAGTATTGCTATTGAAAATACAAAGTTCAAATGTTTCTAAGTTTTCTTTAAAATGGGGGTCTCTGTTATTGGAGCAATCATTTTCTATCTCTGTGTTTCCCCAATTGTGATATGTGGGCAAGAGATCATGTGGGTTAAGCATGTAGCTCTGCGTTGGGTAGATCTGGGTTTCACTTTTGGTTCCAAAACTGTCTTCTTTTACTGTAAAAGATGAAAAATTATAGTTGTGCAATTGTTGAGGGATTGCTATGGAAATTAAATGAGGTACTATTTGTGAGGTGCTTAGTACAGGGCCTGGCATGTGATGATTGCTCAATAAATGGCAACAATAATATTGCTATATACTATAAATGTGTATAACAAGAACTCCTCAAACAAATATTCTAACTTCATTTATCCATCCAATACAATCGATAGTAAACATCTGCTTTTATTTGAATGATTTGGTTATGCACTCATGACAAGAATTTAGTATTTTATTAAGGAGAGAGAGAGATAAAAGATTTAATTAAAGATCTTTGCAGACTTTTCCCCAAAGTGGATGGAAATGGTCATGAAACAGGGACTTCTTTGTCTATGTCTCTTTTTAAAAATCAATTCATTAAAAATTTGACAAAATTCTGTACATCTATTGTGTACAACATGATGTATTGAAATATGTATACATTATGTTATGACTAAATTGAAGAAATTAGCATATGATTCCTTCACATACAACATTTTTGTGTGGTGAGAACACTTAAAATTTACTTCTTTAGTGATTTTCAACAATAAAATACATTGTTATTAATGATATCACTAGGCTGTACAGATTTCTGAAACTTAACTTCTGCTATCTAACTGATATTTTGTGTCTTTTAAACATCTCTTACACATTCTCCCTTCCCCACAACCCAAGCTCCTGGTAACTACCATTTTCCTCTCTGCTTCTAATAGTTCACATTTTCTTAGATTCCACATAAAAGTGAAATTATGACAAATAAAAATATTTGTCCTTCTGTGTCTGTTTTATTTTATTGAACATAATATCCTTCAAGCTTATATATTTTATCACAAATGAGAGGATTTTCTTCTTTTAAATGACTGAAGACATTTCAATTGTGCATATATACCACATTTTCTTTACGTTTTCATCCCATCATAGACATAGCTTGATTCAATATCACGGCCATTGGGAATAATGCCGTGATGAATATGTTAGAGCACTGAACATATTAATTTCGTTTGTTTTTTATTTATTTATTTATTTATTTATTTATTTATTTATTTATTGAGATGGAGTCTTGGTCTGTTGCCCAGGCCGGAGTGCAGTGGCGCAATCTCCACTCACTGCAAGCTCTGTCTCCCAGGTTTACGCCATTCTCCTGCCTCAGCCTCCCGAGCACCTGGGCCTACAGGCGCCTGCCACCATGCCTGGCTAATTTTTTATATTTTTAGTAGAGATGGGGTTTCACCATGTTAGCCAGGATGGTCTCGATCTCCTGACTTCGTGATCCACCCACCTCGGTCTCCCAAAGTGCTGGGATTACAGGCGTGAGCCACTGCGCCTGGCTGATTTCTTTTAGATATATAAACAGTAGTGGGAATGCTGGATCATCTGGTAGTTCTATTTTTAATTTTTTGAGGACTCTCCATAAGGTCTTTTGCTTATTTTAAAGCTGAGCTGTTTTCTTGATATTGATTTGTTTGAGTTTCTTAGATATTTTGGATACTAACTTCTGTGCAAAAACTGTTTAGTTTGATGTAATCTCGTTTGTTTTTGCTTTTGTTGCTGGTGCTTTGGAATCGTATCTCAAAAAATCATTGCTCAAATCAATGTCACGAAGCTTTTCAGCTGTGTTTTTTTGCAGGAGTTTTATAGAGTCCAGTCTTAAGTCTTTAATCTACTTTGAGTTGATTTTTGCATATAGTGTGGGATAAAGTAGTAAATAGTGATATACAGCTTCAATGCAATCTCTCTTAAAAATTCCCATAAAATTTTGTACAGAAATAGAAAAAAGTAGTTTTTTTTTTACAGTAGATTTACAGTATCAGGCCTTAAGTCTTTAATCTACTTTGAGTTGATTTTTGCATATAGCGTGGAATAAGGGTCTACTTCTATTCTTTTGAATGTGAATATTCAGTTTTTTTGACACCACTTATTGAAAAGAC
Organism: Homo sapiens; assembly: GCF_000001405.40. NCBI lineage: Eukaryota > Metazoa > Chordata > Mammalia > Primates > Hominidae > Homo > Homo sapiens. The sequence goes on along the minus strand of NC_000003.12, from coordinate 191,288,529 downwards.
TCTCCTTTCCCTGTGGTATGTTCTTGGCATCTTTGTTGAAAATCAATTGATCTTCAGTGGGATTTACTTCTGGGATTTCTATACTATTCCATTTGTCTATTTATCTGTTGTTATGCCAGTGGCATGCTCTTTAGATAATGATAGTATTGTAGTATATTGTAGTAATGTAGTGTATGTGATGCCTCCAGCGTTTTTCTGCCCAAAATTGCTTTGGCTATTTGGGATCTTCTGTAGTTCCATACAAATTTTAGGATTGCTTTTATTTCTATTTCTGTACAAAATGTTATTGGAATTTTAAAAGAGATTGCGGTGAAGCTATACATCACTTTTGGTAGTATGTACATTTTAACAATATTAATTATTCTAATTCATGAAAGCAGGCTATCTTTCCATTTGCTTGTGTCTTTCATCAATGTTTTGTTGTTGTCAGTATACAGGTCTTTTACCTTATTTGATAAATGTATTCCTAATAATTTTTTGAGGGGATATCCATTGCAAATGACATTCTTGATTTCATTTTTGGGTAGGTCATTGTCAGTATATACAGAGGCCAGTGATTTTTGAACATAGATTTTGTATCCTGCAACTTTAATGAACTCACATAGTATTTCTAAATTACTGGATGGAATCTTTAGGGTTTTCTATATACATGATTAAGCTGTCTGCAACAGGGACAATTTAACTTCTTCCTTTCCTATATGGATGTCTTTCCTTTCTTTCTTTTTTTCTAATTGTTCTGGATACCTTTTCTTTCTTTCTTTTTTTCTGATTGTTTTGGCTAGGACTTCGAGTACAATGTTGCGTAGTAATGGTGAGAGTGGGCATACTTATTTTGTTTCTGATCCTAGAAGGAAAGGTTTCAACTTTTTACCTTTGAATATAATGTTAGCTATGGGTTTTTCATATAGGGGCTTTATTGTGCCGAGGTACATTCATTCCATACTTAATATGTTGAGAGTTTTTATCATGAAAGTTTTTATCATATACATTTTATCATGTTTTTTCTGCATCTGTTGAAATTATTGTATAGTTTTGTTCTTCGTTCGATTAATTCGGTGGATCACATTTATTCATTTGTGTATGTAAAACATCCTTGTATCCCTAGGATAAATCACACTTGATCATAGTGAATGATCATTTTAACGTGTTGTTGATCTTGGTTTGTTAGTATTTTGCTGAGGATTTTTGTGTCAATGTTTGTTAGGGATATTGGCTTGTAGCTTTCTGTTCTTGTAATGTCTTTATCTGGCTTTGGTATCAGAGTAATCCTGGCCTCATAAGTTTGGAAGTATTATTTCTTCTTAAATTTTTTGGAAGAGTGTGACAATGATTTGTATTAGTTATTTAAATGTTTGGTTGAATTCAGCAATGAAGCTATCAGATTTTTTCTGGGCTTTTCTTTGATGGGAGACTTTTTATTACCAATCCAATCTCTTTACTCACTACTGGTCTATGCAGATTTTCTATTTCCTCATGATTCAATCTTGGTAGGTTGTTTGAATTTAGGAATTTATCCATTTTTTTTGAAGTTATTCAATTTGTTGACATACAGTTGCTTGTAGTGGTCTCATGATCAATTGTATTTCTGTGGTATCAATTTTTTTTTTCTATTACATTCTTCCTGATTTTATTTGTCTTCTCACTTTTTATCTTAGTCAAGCTAACGTTTTGTGGATTTTTCTTATCTTTTCAAAAAAACAAGTCCTATTTACTTTGCTCTTTTCTATTGTTCTTCTAGTCTCTATTTCATTTATTTCTGCTCTGATCTTTATTATTTCCTTCCCCTCACTAACTTTGGGCTTCGTCTACGTTTGTTTTCCCAGTTTCTTGAGATGTAATAGGTGTTTATTTGGGATCTTTTCTTTTTTTTTAATATAGGCATTTATTGGTACAGACTTTCCCCTTTTAACTACTTTTGCTGTATCCCATACATTTTGGTACATCATGTGTCCATTTTCATTTGTCTCCAGATATTCTTATATTTCCCTTTTAATTTCTACTTTGGTCTATTAGCTGTGTAGAAAACATTTTTTTAATTTCCATGTATTTGTGAATTTTCTGAAATTCCTTATTATTGATTTCTAGTGTCATACCATTGCAGTTGGAGAAGATATAAGATATGACTTCATTCTTCTTAAATTTGTTAATTGTGGTCTAATACATGACGTATCCTGGAGAATATTTGGCATGCACCTGAGAAGAATGTGTATTCTGGTGTTGGATGAAATGTCCTATATATGTTTGTTAGATTCATGTGGTTTAAAGTTTCCTTTAAGTCTCATGCTTCCCTATTGATTTTCTGTCTGTACAATCTGTTCATTGTTGAAAATGGGGTATTGAAATCACCTACTATTACTGTATTATAGCTGATCTCTCTCTTCAGATTTATTAATATTTGCTTTACATAATTAGCTGCTCTAATATTTGGTACAGACATATTTAAAATTATTATATCCTTTTGATGAATTGACCCCTTTATCATTACATAGTGACCTTCTTTGTCTCATTTTACAGTTTTTGTCTTGAAGTCTATTTTATCTGATATAAGCTTAACTATCCCATTTATTTTGTTATTCATTTGCATGGAATATCTTTTTCCATCGTTTCACTTTCTTTTTTCTTTTTTCTTTTTTAGATGGAGTCTCACTCTGTCATCAGGCTGGAGTGCAGTGGCGTGATCTTGGCTCACTGCAACCTCCGCCTCCTGGGTTCAATTGATTCCCCTGCCTCAGCTTCCCAAGTAGCTGGGACTGTAGGCACACACCACCACACCCAGCTAATTTTTGTGTTTTGGTAGAGACAGGGTTTCACCATGTTGGCCAGGATGGTCTTGATCTCCTGTCCTTGTGATCCACCCACCTCAGCCTCCCAAAGTGCTGAGATTACAGGCGTAAGCCACCGAGCCGGGCGCACTTTGAACTTATGTATATTTTTAAAAGTGAAATGAGTCTCTTGTAGACAGCATATAGTTGGGTATTGTTTTTATTCATCTATGTCTTTTGATTGGAGAATTTAATGCATGTATACTCAAGGTAATTATAGGTAAAAAATTACTAGTGCCATTTTGTTAATTGTTTTTTGGTTGTTTTGTATATCCTTTCTTTGCTTCTTCTTCTCTTGCTGTCTTCCTTTGTGATTAAAATTTATCTCTAGTGGTATGCTTTGATTCCATATTTTCCTGTCTTTTGGTATCTACCATAGGTTTTTGCTTTGTGCTTACCGTGAAGCTAAAATAAAGTATCTTATTATAACATACTATCCTAAGCTGATAGCAACTTAACATTGATCACGTAAAATAACTCTACACTTTTACTTAACCTCCTCATATTTTATGTTTTTGATGTCACAATTTACATAATTTTATATTGTGTATTCCTTAGCAAATTATTGTAGCTTATAAATCTAAAGCACTATTTTTAACAGTGTTGTCTTTTAACTTTTGTACTAAAGATATTAGTGACTTACATACCACCATTACAATATTAGAGCATCTGAAGTTGACTGTGTACTTACTTCTACCAGTGAGTTTTATACATTCATGCTTTCAAGTTACTAATTAGCACTCAGTTCTTTCAGCACGAAAAGCTCCCTTTAGCATTTCTTGTAAGACTGGTGTGGTGGTGATGAATTCCTTCAGCTTTTGCTTGTCTGGGAAAGTCTTTACATCTCCTTCATTTTGGAAGGACAGCTAGGGACTTATTTTTCATCACTTTGCCAATATTACCTAAAATATGGCAGAAAAATATTTTGGAAATTATATCAGATTTCTTAAAACTTTGTGGAAAAAAAGATGTGAAACAAAATTATAAATATGAACTCCTGGCCTCGTGACCCGCCCACCTCAGCCTCCCAAAGAGTTGGGATTACAAGCGTGAGTCACTGTGCCTGGCCCTGATTATTCATTTTGGGGCCAGGTGCAGTGGCTCACACCTGTAATACCAGCTCTTTGGGAGGCTGAGGTGAGTGGATCATAAGGTCAGGAGTTCAAGACCAGCGTGTGACCAGCATGGTGAAACCCCGTCTCTACTAAAAACACAAAAATTAGCCAGACATGGTGGTGCTAGCCTGTAATCCCAGCTACTCAAGAGGCTGAGGCAGGGGAATCGATTGAACCTGGGAGGTGAAGGTTGCAGTGAACCATGATTACGCCACTGTACTCCAGCCTGGGCGACAGAGAGAGACTCCTTCTTAAAAAAAGGAAAAGAAAAGAAAAGAATAATCAGTATTCAACCTTATCAAAAGACAGTTAAATTATTTTGCCACTTTCAGGAAAACTTCTTACCCATGAGAATTGGAGTTCCTCTTTCAGTTTACATCAACACTTTTTAAAAAATAGAATAATCTTATTTATACTTAATTTTTAAAATTAAGGCAATAAAAGCTGCATATGTCTTTAATACAGTGCATATCTAAATTTCCAATTTCATTGGAAACCTATTTTCAGGTTTTTATTTTGAATTATTGATTAGATTTATTATTTTATATCTCATTTTTAAGTATATGACTTGTAATTATACAATCTTTCATCATATTTATATATTCTCTCTACATCACATGACATTAATTTCCTATTTTCCATCTTGATATAATGTTTTAAAAATAGAGCTTAGAAAGCTAATTTAAATAACTTATTAAATAAATAAGGACAGATATCATCAAGGTATATTTGAATGACAGAGGTTTTGAAATGCTATGGAAGAATAAGCTTTTAGGATCTAGGTTCATCATTGTTCATGGTTGAATTCTTAAGAAAGTAAGACACAAAGAGTTGCAATTATTCTTTCAGCTCATATAGCTTTATAACTGGATGTAAAGTTTAAGGGGGTTATATTTTTGCCTTTCAATTACTAGAAATTTTGGTTATTATTTAGTCACACATCAAACATGTTTTCACTCATTTTTCCCGCAAACCACTATGGTACTTGCACATAGGGACAGAAATGACTATGACTGTAACTGCTCTCAAAGTATTTACAATTTGATAGTGGAGGCAGACTCGCAAATACATAACTAATGAAAGAAGAAATGAATTTTGAACTGTAGTAGATATACAAACAAAATGTTGTGGCAGTCCAAAGGAGAAAAAAAAGGTTATGACTCAAAGTAGAAAAAAGATCCAAAAGGCTAAACAGTTCTGGTGGCATTTGATCAGTAGCTTCAGGAATCAGTAGGTAAAATGGCAGGTTGTAGAATAAAGGATTCTAGGCAACCATGTCAGCAACTCTCTGAAGTGCAGAAAGTGCAGGATATATTCATGAATTAGTAGTCTAATGTGGCTGGTACACAAAAATATATAGTGAAAAATGAAACTGTAAAGGAAAAACAAGCCTAAATATCAAACTAAGTAATTTAGATTTTATTCAGGAACTTTATTAAAGCAACGGGTTAGTAAAAAGATTAGTCATTCTCCTTAGTTAATACCATCATGTGCTGCAGTGTATGCACTGGAACAGAGTCAATTTTAGAGTGGATACATCCAAAGTCTTTTGGGACAAGTAAATGCCAAGATCGGAGGTCATTATACTATAACATCACTGGAGCCATAAAATTGAAATTGGAGATATACTGAAAGACTTTGACTTAAAAAGAAAACCAGCACAATTAAAGCAAGTATTAAAGAGAGTAACTGATGGGACATTTGCCAGCTTTGAATTAATTAAATTCAGCCTTAATTTTTAAAAGAGCTGCTTGAAACAAAATGAAGCCATCCTTTTCTAATATAGTGAGACAGTAATGTGATCCCATTATGATTCATTTCAAATTTGAGCTTTTCTCTAGTTTATTCAGTTGGTTAAGAACAAAGTGATAGTTGCAAATAACATCACTATCAGGAAGACTACCACCTAGCTCAAAAGTAGTCAAATGAAAGACATTGTTCCCATTTTCACCTGCCCTCTATGCTCTCAGCTTTAGTATTAATAAGATTTGAGGTTAATTAATCCTGGAATCTGGAAATTAAACCATAAATTGTGAAAATCCAACAGTTTTTTATTTCAAGATGTTGCTTCATGCTTGTGCATCTATTTGAATGTGTGGGCATGCATAGGAATGCTTGCTTTTAGTGAAGTGGGCGGGTATGAGATGTATTGATTGGGTTCTTCCTGCCATTGACTCCATAACAAATCTGTCACTTCTCCAAGTAGTGAATCATGTTAACTACTTGATTGCATTGCATTTTATAGATTTATTTTCTTTCTTTCTTTTTCCTTCATCTAGATCATTCGTAACTGAGGCACACTTGCCTTTTGCAACTAAGCTCTACTGAATTCCAAAGCTATAGAAATATCCATCTTGACCTGGAAAGTCTGTTTCTTTGCTAGTCCAGAAGGTTTTTTTTAACATGAACAAGATCCTCTCAAGCACTGTTTGCTTTGGACTCCTAACTTTGTTATCCGTGTTGAGTTTTTTACAATCTGTGCATGGACGACCATATCTTACCCAAGGTACGTGCATATCAATTAAAAATCCTACAGGTGGGTAAGTAATTCTTCTATTTCTATTTGAACAAATTTGATTTTTCTGCCATTGTTGAAATAATGTTTTAAGGAATAAATATTATTTAATAGCCAAATCTCCCTTAAGTAGTTGCTGGTCAGAATTAAATGTCATCTTCAATGCTGTTCTTTTCAAGTAGATTAATTTTACCCAAATTAATTTTACCCAATATTGCACTAAATTCACTTCAACTATAGTTTATTTTTTTTTAAATATTGGGGCACTTGTTTCTCATTTGTAGTCCCTGACCAAAGATTGGGAATGTATAAATAGTAATGCATCCTTCATATTTCAAAACTCTATCTTGGGGAAAGGAAAAGGAGATTTTCATCTTACAAGACTATTAGTAAGTTCTTTATGAAAATAGAGTACAACAATGAAAAATACATCAAGATAGAAACTTGTATTTGCAGAGATTTGAGGAAAGTAAAGCATTGGGGGAAATCATAGCAGTTTCAGGAGGGCAATGCTAACACCTACATTACACATTGTTTATCACATTTCCATCTATGACAGCTAGAAAATATACACCATGATAAAATTAGTGAAAATAAGTTTCTGCTCTTATAATATTATAATTTACATAATTTTTATTTAAAATTTGTGGTGCTTCTATAGAAAAAGTAGCTCTTAAACTGAGAATCCTGAGAGCTAGATTTAGTGATGATTTATCAGGCAAACAACTTAGCCTCATTGAAACTTTAATACATTTCTTTATGTTTCCAAAATAGTGACTTAAAGTAATGTTCTCTAATACCTTTTCCAGCCTGAAATTCTTGCTGTTTCTCTCCTCTGACTTCCTTGTCAGGAAGAGGGAGATAACCTTTTCCTCTCAGCTTACTTAAGGGGAACCAAGACAGAATGTAATAAATTTTGTTTACATGACATTAGATTGAGAAAAGGGATCAAGTTTCCAATTTCTGATTCTAATTCCATTTTACCAGACCTTGTTACCTCAATCAATAAAAAGTAGAGTAGTTCTGTTGGCAGAGGAAATAAAATTGCATAATCCCTTATTATTTATTTATGAGGATTTTTCCCATTGAAAAACAAGTAGTCTCAGAGACCTAAATACAAGCCTGGGAATCAAAGATTCTGGATTTTATCCATGACACTCACATTTTATCTTTGGTCAGCCACAATCATTGCATTTGGTAGGTCTACGTTGCTCTTTCTATGAAATATTGAGATTTCCAATGTTTCTAACGTAATGTGAATATGGGAGGAAAAATGTGATTATTTGCTGAAGACTTTGCAAAATTAGGATTAGGTAATTGTAACTTCTAATTTCATGTGTATATGAAACAGAGAAAAATCTGCCTCTAAATCATTTGCTAGATTACAGTTAAATAACACCTCTGACCTCAGAATGCCACACAGTGATATACATATATCACTGACAGCACAGTGGTGCTATTTCTCTCAGAGACCTCTTTGATCTCAGTTTTATTATATGTAAATAAGGAAGATTAAATTATTAGTAAGGTTATTTTCTATCTAAATAGTCCAAGATTAGAGGGAGTTCTTCTCCATGTATACATTTTTTATATCCACTATTTGACTTCTTTTAGTCTTCTAATATAATTTTAAAATAAGCATTTATCTGCTGACACAGACTACAAAGTTGGGGTTATCAGCTTTTTTCTGTGTGTTAGAACTCTCCAAGACAAATGGCACAATCCTCCCCACTTACATCTGGTAGGGACCATATAAAAGTGTGCCTGAGGGAATGAGCCTGAAATTGGGCAAACTGCCTAACACAAAGGAGGAAGAAAGAGTATCATGACCAAGAAGATTATGGGAAATTTATTTTTGTGAATTTAATCGTTTTGGGAGTTTCCAGATTTCTTTCTGGTAAAATTTCTTGTCTCTGTGCAGTAAAAACCTTCCCATGTAGATGGAAAGCAAAGAGACAACTAAATTTCTTAAGATTCAGTATCTCGAGTAGCAATGAATCAACATTTTCTGTGTAATATTTGCAAAAACACTCTCTCGTATTGGAGCAGCTTTGCCATCTTTTGTGTCAAATGTGTGTCTACACTCAGATATTTTATATTCAAATATTTCCTTTATTAATATTAACTGTTCAAAGATAGAAACATTAAAAATATATGTGTTTTCTTTTAAAGCTATATCTGTTTTAAAACTAAGTATGAAAACAAGAAACAAAAGACTCATTTTCTATTGCTTTTTTTTAGCCAATATCTTACTTTAGAAATCAACTTTTTAAAATTCCTTGAGAAAAGTTTTTCTTCAGAGACTCCCATAAAAGAGGTTTTTTTCTTAAGAGATAGTGATAAGAAATTTCTGAGGACAAAGAGTTATGGAGGTATAATTATCGGAAGCAAAACTAATAAAGAAAGGCAAATCTATCAGTTTTGTTTTTTGAAAAATGTTTCACTTAACTATGCAGAGGAATGGATTGTGAATTAAGGGGAAAAAAGCTTTAGATCCATACTCTTCTAGTTACATTACTCTTAGTCATATACATTTTCTAAATTGAAGGTAATGGATCTGTTTCTCTTACCATAGTTGTCTTTCTGAAACAAGTAATTATTATCTGGCTCTGAAATATCCCTTCTTTTTTCAATGAAAACATTTTAAAGATTACAATTTAACATTTTTAATGAATGATTAAAATAAAAATTACATTATTTCATAATAATGTTTTTCTTTTAAACTAAACTATCTCTGAGAGTCTTTGTATAATTGATGCTGAGCAAAATTTGATATTCTGTTGGTATTTTAAATACTCAAAAGAAAATTTTACCAATAATTTTTATGTGTATGAAGCAAAGAAAATTGAAGAATTGAGCAACAATTAGGTATCTTTGGTTAATGTAGAAAACTGTGATCCTGTCACTTGCCCCAAATTATTCATTTTCTTCTTTTAATTAGCCATTTAAGTGTTTGAATTTATCAACTGACATTTTGTAGAGACAGGAAAGACAGGTAATTTTAAGAAATAGTCCAGTCAACTTATAAGCCATTTCTCTAGCTGAAACCACAGTACTCACTCCTAAACTTAAATCTCATTAATATTGCTTTTACTCACACTCTAACAGTTAATACAAAGAGGCAGGGAGAAGAAAAGATGATCTTACAGAAATTATGTGATAAAGGTTTGATTTTTCAGACCATCTCACTAAAGTTCATGGTAATATACTAATTATTATTTCAATTGAATTGTCAATGGATTTTTTTTGAATCTTCATGTTTTATAGCTTGCTAGAAGTCTCTTGTCTCAATTTCTACTCCAGAATGAAGATAATTACAGTACTGAGACATTTAGGGACCTGAGGAATGAATGGCTGTGAGGTAAATTGACAAAGATTAAAAGATGTTAATACGGAAGAGGTAGACACCATCCTAGCTTTGCCACAATCTTCCTTGGATGCTTTGAAGGAAATTCCCGGAACACAAACTGGCTTATATATATAAATGTGTATATAAATGTGTATATCAGATAAAATCACAAAATAGAATGCTATATTTTTATTTTGAAAACTACTTTTAGTTTATACTTATTTTAAATAAAATAGTAGAAAATTCCAGAAACACAGATTAAAAAGAAGAAAGTAAAATTCACCTCCAATTCTTCTACTCAGAAGTAATCACAGGTAAAACTTTAGGGTGCAACCTCCAGGTATATGCATATATTCTCTCTCTGTGTCTGTCTGACTGTCCATATTCATTCAATATATATTCAATAATTTCTTAAATTACCCATCCCTTCAGACTATACACTCTCTCTACATTTCTTTCGTTGTCAAATATACAAATTGATAGTAGCCTGTAAGACCAATTTAATTAGAAATATTTTCGGTGACTCAAATTGAAAATGGTGGTTTTTGATCATTATAGGAAATGAAATATTTCCAGATAAAAAATATACAAATCGTGAGGAACTATTGCTGGCTCTACTGAATAAAAATTTTGATTTCCAAAGACCTTTCAACACTGGTGAGTTAAACATAAAGTCAAGCTCTATTTATTAAAAAATAACAATTTATTTTGTCTTGAGACTTGCTTTTTCTAAATGTTAATTTATATTAAATGAAATAATTACTCTTTTATATGCTACACTAAAGATTTAAGTGATTTTTTTGTTTTATATTTATGTTAAATCCATGGAGTTATTAACAAATATTAATAGCCTATTTTGGTCAATTTGAGGGTCCTAATGGGATTGGTAAACATATAGTTAAAAAAAAAGGTTACCTTTATTCATATTTTCTTCTCATCTATGCAATTCTCCACTAGTACCACTAGTATTTTATTTTCTTAAATGTTTCAAAAGTATTATAGTTATAGGTTTCTTCTAGAAATTTCACAAATTAACTGCAGCTTTGTTGTAGTTAATTTAGCATTATTTTAATCAAATTCTTTCAATTTTAGGAAACAGTTGGAGTACAGATGATGAATGAAAAATTTAGGCTACACCAATTGAAATTATTTTTATTTGAAGAACAAGAGAATCTGACTTACAAATATCCATGAGATTGTCCTCCAAGAAATGACTGAGATTTTGTCAGAAATTTAACAAGTCTAGCTTAAGAGAAAATGTGACAATATGATACCGTGCTACTCTCCCATACAACATCTGAAGTAATCTAAACATGTCTGTATTCATAGAACAAAATGCTGGTTAAAAGAATAACTTAATAAATACTTTTAAAATTCAGGGTTTTTAAACTAAAAGTAATATATTCTTATTGAAAAATAAGTGAAATTTATAAAAACAAAAAATTTATACCCAAATTTTAAAACCTGGAGCAAGTTAGCCTTAGTATTTTGGAGAATTTTCTTCTCGATTGAATTATACATAGAATACATGGCTTGCTTCCCCCCGCCCACAACCCCATTTAATGTTGTTTTATGAGAATTTCCACATGCCAGCAAAAATAGTTTATTTCTAAATAATAGGTCATGCTAGAACTATGGTCTACGTTAGAAAAACTTTGTGCTAATTGTTGAAAATTACATATTTCAGATGACATAACTGATTGCATTTCAATACTATGGGCATTGAGAAATATACTGGAGGTTTTATATTAGGAATGGATGGGTGATGTCAAATCATATGAAAAAGACCTATGCTTTCTACGTAAGATCTTAAATGTGTGTACTGAAGCAAATTAAATATTACTTGCAATGTACGTTTTTTCATGTGACAAATGTGTCTTGCAGACCTAGCCTTACCTAACAAACTGGAAGAACTTAACCAGGTGAGAATGTGAAATACTTAAATGAGCAGTTTTAATAACAATTATAAGGAAATTTCTTCTTGACACAATGTTTTTTAAAATAAATTATTAATACTACAATGTAAAACTTTTATTCCTGCTAAACAAAGCGTGAAGCTGTTTTGTAGAAAAAGAAAAATCAAGTTATACTAACACAAAACAAAACAAAACTATGGCTGAAGTGATCATTCTTTATAATGTCTAGAAATCTGGATTCTAATTTTAGCTTTGCAATTACCAAACTGTGAAACCTGGGGCAAACAAATTCTCTAGACTGAAATCTCCTCATCTGTAGAATGGGAGGCTGTAAATAGATGGATGTTATTGTTTTTAAACAGTGGGAATCTTTTTTCCCCCAAATGTTATGTTTTCCCAGCAAATGAAACATGTAAAAGTCAAGCTGTTTGGCTTGAAGCAGCTGGTGTGAAGAGCCTAAAGTGCTGCCTTCTTGACGGGGACCCCTAGTAACACCCTTTTCTCCGTGCAATTCCATTATTCTGCAAACTGGCCCTTTGGGAGAGAGAACTATTCTCATCATTCTCTTCTGAGTAGCACCAACATGGAGATAAAGAGTGGTCCAGGCTGAACCCTACTTTTGTAGTTAGCTCTTCAGGGCCTAAGGCAATTAGTAACCTTATTAAAATTAAAAATTAAAATAAGTTGAATTCTGGATGGAAACCTTAAGGCCTCAAAATACTTTTTCCTTCCAGCTAGAAAAGACAAAAAATTCAGGAAATCCAAGTATTGACACAATAATTTGTAGCTCCTTGAAAAGACCTGCTCATTATAGGTGGCACAAAATGAAGTCCAAGTACACAGGCTGTATTTACATGTTCCCCATTAACACCCAGAGGTGACTTCCTTTGCCCAAAACCTGTTTCTTTCTGATCTTTTGTTGAGTCATGTACCTTTCCTAGTCAGCCCCTGAATGCATGCTCCCTGTTTTTCTTCTCTCTTTTTTGTTTTTTTCTTCCTTTGTTTCTATTTCCCCCTTTTTCTCTCTTCCTTTCTTTCATCCATTTTCTCTCTTTTTTTTTCTTTCTTTTTATCTTTCCTCTTCAACAGAGAGCAGCATGGTTTTTTTTTTGTTGTTTGTTTTTTGTTTTTTTGAGATGGAGTCTTGCTCTGTTGCCCTGGCAGAAGTACAGTGGTGCAATCTCGGCTCACTGCAGTCTCCACCTCCTGGGTTCACGCCATTCTCCTGCCTTAGCCTCCCGAGTAGCTGGGACTACAGGTGCCTGCTACCACGCCCAGCTAATTTTTTGTAGTTTTAGTAGAGGCGGAGTTTCACTGTGTTAGCCAGGATGGTCTTGATCGCCTGACCTCGTGACCTGCCTGCCTCGGCCTCCCGAAGTGCTGGGATTACAGGCATAAGCCACCGCGCCCGGTCAACAGCATGGTTTTATAGAAGACCAATTAATTATCATTTTACAATTTTATCAGCTGGAAAAGCTAAAAGAACAGCTAGTGGAGGAGAAGGATTCTGAGACGTCCTATGCTGTAGATGGTCTATTCTCTTCTCATCCTAGCAAACGAGGTAAGCTTTCATTTCAAGGTTTTAAGATTGACTTCCAAAAGATTATTTTTGCAGTAATTTCTGAGAGGAAGAAGATTCAGTTGGCATTTCTTAATCTTATGGTGGTGACCAATATAAAGGCTCATATTAAAAAAATATATTCCAATAAAAGTGTTACCATATAAATGTATTTGAGCTTTCTGGTGTTTACAACGGGGCAAGTTCACACTTCTCAGGTTTAAATAAAATAGGTCCTTATTGTATAAACTCTGGCTTACTCTTGCTATTTTGGCTTAAACACTGAAGCAGCAAAGACCACAAATAGAAATAATCCATTTTAAGTCAATTTAAAATTCCATAGAATCTATTCTGACATAAGGGGAAACTTCGTTGCTATAACACTTGTTCCAAGGTTCGATTCATAGCATTTAATTTTAGAAAGATTACTTTTTTGGATTATGCTTTTGGATAATTTTTCCTAGGAAATTATTGTTTCTTACTTTGTTTTTATTTTTGAAAAAAATGTATTCCTGTTTCTTTGTTCATGTAGTGATGAGAGATTTCCTAAGTCATATTTATTTTTACTTGTCCCCTATACCAGATTTGTCTTTAACTTCTGTAAAATCATATTTTAACAATATTATTGAGGGAAGAAGATGAACCAGTGTTAAGCCCTAAACATATACCAGACATTTTATATTTTAATGTCTCAAAATATAGTCATTAAGCATTCAGACTCTAGAGCTAGACTGCCTGGGTTCAAATTTTAACTTTGACTACCTACGCAACCTTGGAGAGTTATCTAATTTTCTCTGCCTCATTTTCTTTGCCTAAAAATGCGGATAATGATAATAATCTTCATGGGATTGTTGGGAGGAGTACATGAGTTAATTTAATTTAAAATAATTCCTAGTATGTAGTAAGTACTATGTAAGCTTAACTTAAAAAATTATTTTGATCATTATTACTACAATTATTTTCTACATGAATCCCATACAATAGCTATTAATATGACTTTTTTTATAGACGAGAAAACTGCATCTCAGAAGGGTTAAATTTAATGCTGAAAATAACCCAACTGCTAAGTGACTTAGCCAGTAAGGGTGAAGGATGAAGTGGCAGAAGATGAAGTGGAGGGTAGGAGGGAGGGAATTTAGTGGCTTTTTTTTTTTCTTTGAGACGGAGTTTCACTGCCCAGGCTGGAGTGCAATGGCACAATCTCGGCTCACTGCAACCTCTGTCTCTGGGGTTCAAGCAATTCTCCTGCCTCAGCCTCCCAAGTAGCTGGGATTACAGGCATGCACCATCACTCCCGGCTAAGTTTTGTATCTTTAGTGGAGATGGGTTTCACCATGTTGGTTAGGCTGGTCTGATTCTGGATATATTTCAAATAAAAGTCAACAAAATGTGCTGGAGAATTACACATGAAGTGTAAAAAATAGGCAGGTGTCAAAAATTACTCCAAGGATTTTGTTTTGAGCAACTAGGAACAAAGGACAGTTTCTGTTTATTGAGCCAAGGATAACTGGAGGAGAAGAAAGTACAAGAGAAAGGTTGAAATAGAGATTTGTTGGACCTTTCCTGAATCAGTATAGCTTAGGCTATTAGGTGTTAACAGTTGTAATCTAAATCTCAGAGGCATGGTGTAATAAAGTCGGGAATCGAGTCCAATGCTTGCAGCACAGCACAGCACCACTCTATTCTGTAGCCCTATCATCCAGAACGTTGATACAGCTTAACTGCCTCCAACATTGCCAAAACAGAAGAGGATAAAGGATACATCCCAGCTTTCAATTGCCTCAGTTCGGAAGGGACACACATCATTTCTACTGAAGTCCATTGGCCGGGATTAGTCACTGGGACTACCACCAACATATGGCAAGGCAGGTTGGTAAATGTAAGGAAGTACCTATAGTACTTGGTGAGCACTGCCTCTATCATAGTCTATCCTTTATCTCTTCTTAAAAACATAGACTATACTCAACTCATTCTCATTAGAGACAACCCCAAATCTCTTCTAGTGACTGCATGCAGCACAAATAACAGGCTTTCCAGGATATATTTACTAGTCTTCATCAGATATAATGTGGCCACTCCTTTTTTTTGAGACGGAGTCTCGCTCTGTAGCCCAGGCTGGAGTGCAGTGGTGCGATCTCGGCTCACTGCAACCTCTGCCTCCCAGGTTCCAGCTATTCACCTGCCTCAGCCTCCCGAGTAGATGGGACTACAGGTGGGCGCCACCAAGCCCAGCTAATTTTTTTGTATTTTTAGTAGAGATGGGGGTTTCATCATGTTGGCCAGGCTGGTTTCAAACTCCTGACCTCAGGTGATCCACCTGCCTTGAGCTCTCAAAGTGCTGGGATTACAGACATGAGGCACTGTGCCCTGCCCATTTTTTTTTTTTTTTTTTAGACGGAGTTTTGCTCTTGTTGCCTAGGCTGGAGTGCAATGGCACGCTACCTCGGCTCACTGCAACCTTCGCCTTTTGGGTTCAAGCTATTCTCCTGCCTCAGCCTCCCAAGTAGCTAGGATAACAGGCACGCACCACCACGCCCAGCTAATTTTTTGTATTTTCAGTAGAGACAGGTTTCACCATATTGGCCAGGCTGTTCTCGAACTCCTGACCTCAGGTGATCCACCCGCTTCTGCCTCCCAAAGTGCTGGGATTACAGGCATGAGCCACCATGCCCAGCCAAGCTACTCTTCATTCACAGACCTATTAACTGAAAAGATGAGTTATTATTCACCCCATACATATCCAACAATTAGCAAAGGAACAGGGAAAGGATAATCGCAATCAACAGCAAACTAAATATACTGCTTGCCAATTTACTCTTTTCCAGCCTTTCTTCTAGGAGCTCTAGGCACATGATCTGAATCCCAAGCTGTTGCAGATGCGAGTTTTAGCACTTATTTTGCCATTTAATAAAATAACTCTTAATTTTTCAAACCTATGATATCAGTTTCCTTGTCTGCCATTAATGAGTTGCTGATACTGTGTCAGATTTTAGGTATGTTTTACAGCAGCACCCTCACTTCACGTTATCAAACTGTATATTGGGATATGCTTAGCAAGCTGATAAAATAGCCTTTAAATCTCAGTGATGCAACTTTCTATAATTTTGACCGAGTTTACATGAGGTCTTACATATGTTGACCATTTTTCCTTCACTTCATGCATACACTATGTGGAACACGTGGTCTCCAATGTACCTATAGTAGGATAGGAAAGAGATGAAGCAGGTAAATATGCTTTTAACTGCCAGAGCTATGCACATGATCCCAATTTAACTTAATGGGGATGTGGGATCCCTAGGAAATACAGAGAAGTCTTAGGAATAGCTGAAGAGTTGTATTCCTACCACATATTTTGGGTTTGTTATGCCATATTTAATAAATCTTCCAGGAGTAAATTGAGTAGAAGATTAGATGTATGAATCTGAAGTTAGTGAATATGAATCTTATATCTTCAGTCAGCCCAGATTAGAGATATACATTTGGCAGTTATCAGCATTATAAATATTGTTTGGCATTGTGACGAGAGCATCTAAGGAGTGACTCCAAATATAAGGAAAAGATACCTAAAAACTGAGACTCAGATCATTCCAAGGGAAGAAACTGAGCAGATGAGGCAGAGTCAACAAAAGAGGCTGAGTAGGAGTAGGTACAAAGAAGGAGGCAAGAAAGCAACACCCACAAGTCAAGTAAAAAAACTGTTTCTGGGAAAAAGGAGTTTAAGTCTATCCAAAGCTATTGTTACCAAAACACCAGGGGTTCAGTCTAGGTCCTACAGCTCACTGCACAGAAAGCTGATCACTGAGACAAGTATTGCCAAGGAAGAAGGCTTTAATTGGGTGCTGCAGCTGAGGAGATGGAAGCTCAGTCTCAAATCCATCTCTCTAACTCACTAAAACTAGGGTTAATATAGCAGGGAAGAAATGTAACTACGTGTGAGAAAGGCAAGGAAGCAATCATAATGAATGAGTGGTCCAATATCTCATTGTCTGGATGGGGTGATCTGGTGAGTTTCAGTTCTTTGATACCTCTTTTTTTTTTTTTTTTTTTTTTTTTTGAGAGAGTCTCACTCTGTCACCAGGCTGGAGTGCAGTGGTGTGATCTCTGCTCACTGCAACCTCTGCCTCCCGTGTTCAAGCGATTCTTCTGCCTCAGCCACCCAAGTAGCTGGGACTACAGGCATGTGGCCACCACCCTCAGCTAATTTTTGTATTTTTAGTAGAGACAGGATTTCACCATGTTGGTCAGAATGGTCTCGATCTCCTGACCTCATGTCTGCCAGCCTCGTCCTCCCAAAGTGCTGGGATTACAGGCATGAGCCACCACAACTGGCCCTTTGACAGTTTTTTTTGGGAGGCCTAAAGGTCATTTCCTGAGGAAGAAACTCACCTAAAACAAATACAAGCTTTAAGCTTTAACAGCAGAAGGGTCAATTTCTGATTATCCAAAAACAACTCTCTATGGGTCTATGGGGCTGATTTCACTATGATAGATCCAGTAAAATGAGGACTGAGAACTTCCAGTTGAATTCAGCAGAGGAAAGGTCATTAATGGCCTTGCCAAGGATTGTTTGGTGAACTTTTTGTTAAAGAAAACATGACTATAGAACTGGAACCACTGACAATAGAAAATTCTCTTAAAGAATTTTGTGCTAAGGAATAGAAAAAAAATTGGTATATCAGCTAGAATGATTTGAAAGCATAAAAAAAAAACCTTTTTTGTTTATTTTTAAGAAAGTAGATATTACAACATGTTTGTAGGTCAGGTACCAGTGGCTCACACCTGCAATCCCACTACTTTGGGAGGCCAAGGCAGGAGAATCACTTGTGCCCAATCGTCTGAGACCAGCCTGGCCAATATAGGGAGGCTGTGTCTCTACAACAAATTTAAAAAATTAGCCTGGTGTGGTGACCCATGCTAGTAGTCCCAAGTACTCATGAGATTGAGACTGGAGGGTCCCTTGAGCCAAGGAGTTCGAGGTTGCAGTGAGCTATGGTTGTGCCACTGCACTCCAGCTTCGGTGACAAAGCTGAACATAATCCACGTTATACATGAAGTGCAGTGCTGTTGCCATAACTAGAGACTAACCACTGTGAATAACAATATATGAGGATGAAATAGACCCAGAAATCCAGCTTAAGACAGTAAAAACTTACGCTTACTGTGAAATATTGTACCTTTCTTTAATCTTTTAATATATTGTTGATAGACATCTGCTACAAATATAGCTGTCCAACTCCTAGCATCATGCTAAAAACGGAGAATACAAGAGTTAACAAGACAGCCATTAAGTGACACCAGAAAGCTGGTTGGGGTTTTACTTTATGTAAATGATGAATGGTGTACGCTATAAACATTGGGGAATTGGCTCTGCCACCAGTATGACTCATGACAGTTCCCTTTGACCACATCCAAAAAATTCTCCAAACTATATTCCATTGTATATTTAATTGAGCTGTTCATGTGGTATAAGTCTTGGCTAAGTGTAAGTTTATATTCTTCTGCCAGACTCAGATATTCAAAGACATCTGAAAAGACAGAGAGGTCAGTGATGATAACTTTCCAAAGCATACTATAAAAAGAAGATTGGCCAGGCATGGTGGCATGCACCTGTAGTCCCAGCTACTCAGGAGGCTGAGGTTAGAGAATCACTTGAAGCTGTAGCACTCTATGATCATGCCTGTGAATAGCCACTGTGGTCCAGGCTGGGGAATATAGTGAGAAGCCTCATCTTTTAAAAAGAAAAAAAAAAAAAACCTGAAAAAAAAGAAGAAGGTGAGATTAGTGGGTGAAGCGCCTCACTTCAATGTCTGAAAATAGACTTCTGCTTTCGCAGGGTTTGAATGTGGCTTCTAAGGGAAACTGTGGCTCTTGAAGAAATGAAAAATAGGCTCTGAGTGATATCATAAAACTCTGTTTATATGTGGTGATAAGCACAGGGGCTACGGTGTATTTGGGGAGGAAAACCTGGGCAAGCACATAGAAATTTATCATTCATTTCAATGAGGGATTATATGTTTTTCAACTCTTTTTCACTGTAAATACCACTGATCAACAATGAATCAAAGGCCCTTCTCCCAAGGGGCTTAGTTTTATAAGCTAGTTAAATAAAAGGAAATTAGAGAAACTGATAATTAGCTAGATGCAACTACTGTAAGTCAGGTGATTGGTAACAACCTACAGAAGATTTAAAATGATTCATTTATATATTTGAAGATTGAAATGCTAATATATTTGGTTTGATTTCTCTGAAGAATCATTTTATGATCAGAATGGGAGGACTAAATGTGATGACAAATGAAGTTATTTAAATATCATTTTGTGGTCTGCAAAGTGACCTTTAAACTGTCTTCCTTCCTCTTCACTCAACAGATAGATTCTCATTAGCACTGCTTTTTTACTTATGTGACTTTCTTTTTGGTATATCAGTTACCTCAAGTGTAAAATAGAGGGATGAATCTCATAGGGCAGTCTATTGAATTCTCTAGACTGTATTATATGTATTATAATTTATAACAGTGTTGTCCAATAGAATTTTCTGTGATGGGAACATTCTCTAGTTTGTACTGTCCATTGTGGTAGTCACTGGCTACAAGTGCTATTGAGCAGTTGAAATGTGACTAGTATGATGGAGATGCTGAATTTTTAATTTAATTGTGATTAACTTAAAGATCCACATGAGGCTAGTAGCTACAATATTGACTGTCCCTTTTAAAAACTTAACTCTCGCATTCAGGCACACATAAGCTATTGATTCAAGAGCAAGTTTTATCAAATATACTTCTAATAAAAAATGTATTTTGTTTTCTTCTTTAGCTTGCTTTTGGAAATACTGTGTTTAAAGCTTTTTCTCTGGATGCAAAAAAAGATAAGAATATCAGGAAAATATATGTATCTACTCACTCTGCTGTAGGCAGACCCCCTGAAACTATTGCTGTGGAATAAAAGATGAAATGCTCCTGATTATTGTAAATACAAAATTGCATGCGGGATTGTGTAAAGACAATGCCAGGTTGGACTGCCAGAATGAGCCAACAGCACTTGCTTCCCCCTGTAGAGAGCCTATGAATGGACGTGCAGTCAGGGAGGTTTCATATCACCAAGATTCCTATCCCAGAAAAGCAGATGTTCATAGCTCTGGGAATGGAATGCGCCCCTCGTGGAGAGCCTATAAACGGATGCATGGAAGGCGCCTGTCCATATGGATAAGATAGGGTTGTAAACGTCCTCATCTTGCCATGGCTCTTCTAGGCCTCTTTAGGGTTAAGGCATATTTCCTTCTGAGAATTTCTGGTCTAAGCGGTTGTCTAGCTTCATGTCCTGTTTCCATGGATTGTTTGTAACCAGCTTTTGTTACAATTGTTACTGCTGATTAATATCTTGCTAATCATAGGTTATGGAAAGATTGTGTTTCTGTTTTAAGGCTCTGTTAGAAATTACACACACAGTATATTGTAAATTCTTATCTCTGTATACTGTACTTCTACATACAAATGTACTGTACTTCTACATACAAATGTTATGTTAAAGAATTACTTCATCCCCATGTGACCATCTCACCTCATAATCAAATGACCCTAAATCCCTCATTAACCTACCCCTGCCCTTGCTAAACTTAATAATAAATGCTGGTATATCCAGTGCATTGTTGGCACCATGGGACCAGAAGGTGGTGACCCCCCTGGACCCAGCTTTCACTATCTTGTGTGTGTCTGTTATTTCTCAACCTGCTGATCCGCCTGGGAACAAAGAGCCCCGTTGCATTGCGGGCTACTGGCCAGATCCCGCAATACTCTGCTATTTAAAATTGTAGCTGTTTCAATCATAAAGAAACTGGCATTTATTATGCATATGATTTTTTCACCTTGTTCTTGTTACTAAGTCAATTATGATAAGCTTAAGGTTTATGTTGTGAATAATCACTAATCAGTTGCACTTTTGAAGGTATGTCACTATCAAAATGGTTTTGTAGAGCTAGAGTTGAAAATGCTGTATCTATTGTATGCTTTCCATAAATTCATTGCTTATGTAAAGTTTTGTCCTGTTGTGACTATGCTGTTGAACTATTAATTAAAACATTTTGAAAAGCATCTTGGAAAGTTATATTGTCTCAAGTTACATGGAAAATATGCATTATTGTTCTTTCTCATTTTTATGATTGTATTGGCCACCTCTCTTTTCTATTAATTTGAACAATGGTAATTGAGACTACTCCAACAAATGGATACATTACTAAGCAGAAACAGATTTATTAAACTCTGGGGAAAAAGTACTAGATGCCTTAAAGATAGAATGTTAAGAAAACTTTCTTAAAAAAATGATTTGCCTTTTGTTTTCTTAATTCTCATGTCTGCCTCCTCCACAACATGAGAAACTATTTGAGACCCTCAGCATTCTTGTAAGAGTTTAGACACAGTGTGGTTAAAGACAACAACAACAAAAACCCCAAAAACTCATTGGCTTTCTCTTGATTAGCTTTTGTTTCACATCTATACATCAAACTGCCCTTGCTTACATCTAAACAAATTTATTTAGTCAATTAAAATTTGGAAGTTCAACCTCAATTTTGTTTACAATCTGTGCTGGCACAGATATATTGCCAAAGTAACTTTACAATGAAAGAATATTAATGGCTAGCTTACTCTGTGATAGCTGACCAAATCAATCTACATACCACCCTTTACTATATGGGGAGGAGAAGATACAGTTTAATCTACATAAAATTGTTGGTGCTTAAGATAAAGCTGTCTTATAAGATAAAATGAATAATATTGCTTAAACTATTAAAAAAAATTAAGGGTCCAGGCACGGTGGCTCATGCCTGTAATCCCAACACCTTGGGAGGCCGAGGCAGATCACCTGAGGTCAGGAGTTCGAGACCAGCCTGACCAACATGGAGAAACCCTGTCTCTGCTAAAAATACAAAATTAGCTGGGTGTGGTGGCACATGCCTGTAATTCCAGCTACTCGGGAGGTTGAGGCAGGAGAATCACTTGAACCTAGGAGGCGGAGGTTGCAGTGAGCTGAGATCACGCCATTGCACTCCAGCCTGGCGACAAGAGCTAAACTCTCTCAAAAACATAAATAAAATTAAAAAAAAAAAAAATAATAAAGGCCAGGCCCAGAGGCTCACACCTGTAATCCCACCACTTTGGAATGCTGAGGTGGCGGTGGAGGGGATCAGGCTTAAGCCCGGGAGTTTTGAGACCAGCCTGGGTAACATGGTGAAACCCCATTTCTACAAAAAATACAAAGATTAGTCAGGAGTCGTAGCATGTGTCTGCAGTCCCAGCTACCTGGGAGGCTGAGGTGGGAGGATTGCTTGACCCAGGGAGATCAAGGCTTCAGTGAGCTGTGATTGCACCACTGCACTCCAGCCTGGAGCTAGACCATGTCTCAAACAAACAACAAATAAAAAACCCCAAACCCCCAAAACAGAAATGAAACAAACAAGTAAACTATTAAAACAAATTTAAACCTACAATAAAATAGACCAAGTTGAGCAATATGCCTGTAATGCTAAGGAATAACTCAAATGTATGTAAATAAATATTAGTTGCATGGTAATGCCCGAAGATGTTCTCATGTATTTACAACAGTTATGAACGCAAATGTGTTATAATAAATAAAGATTAAAACTGCTTTCATCATCCCTTGTTTATTAACTTTGGAAAAGTTGAACCATATTCAAGCATCTTGAGCCTTTAGGTATAAGGGGTAATATCATTCAGAAAGCTTTTTATACTTTTTCCTTTTAGAAGATTCCATTAAGTTATTTTTTCATAATTTGGTTTAAGAAACTTAATTCCCTAAAGCTATGAACAGGTTAAAGGTACAACTTGACAGACATTTTTTAGTGTGTGTAAATTTTAGGACAACATAGCCAGTAACTAACATCCTTTTATGAAATTTGATTATGTAATTGACACTAGAACCCAGAACTCCATATACATATATTCATTTGCTCTATAAAGGTTCATACAGAAGCAAAGAGAAAAAAGTAATGCATTATTTTGAAACAAAACAAAAAAGTCCCTTCAAGTTGAAATATAGTTGGATTAGTAATACCTAATGCATTGGATAAATAAGTGAGATGACTTGTCATATTCTTAACAAAAATTCTGTCTTAATTTACTGCTATGTTAAAAGAATAGCCCCATTATTTAGTATATTGCTGACTTATTTTCTACTCTGAATGAAGTAGTGGTAAAAATTAAAATATGAAATAAAATAGAGTTATAAGTGGAGAAAACATTTTCTTCCCTTCATGGAAATTGTGTGTATATTAGGTGAAAATACATTACACATGAAACTATAGCATAAATCACTATATTGTGACTTCTTATTTTAATTAAGTTGGATGTCATAGTCTAATTTTGAATTAAAAAATAAAGAATGGAGGAAATCAATTTGCATAATCCAACTTCCAATATTTACCATGAGAAAGTTTTAGGCTAAAGTAGGTTTTAATACCTTTTGTCAAAGCATGAAGCAGAACCCAATTGGATTAGAAGCTTACAAATACCCAAATGTGCATACAAGGAAAGAAAGAGCTTCTAAGCAATAGGAAACATTTCTATAGTTCATCACAAGGTTGGGGAAAGGCAGACAAGGATATCACAACTTCTTAAATAATTCTTTCAACTCCTGAGTCCTCCAGGATACTTCCCTATGTGCTATTGCTAGCTTTCTAACACAAGTTTATGAAAAAAAGAATTGGTTAGATTTCCCAAAATTCACTTCTCTTGGCTACAGCCCTCTACTACAATGAAAAAAAATTATTTACTATTTTTCCTAAATTAATTTTGAAGACTTTCAATTTTAAAAATATCCAGAAAAACTAAGAAGTTACATACAAAACCAATATATATATTCTAAGTACACATGTTCATTTCTTTCACCTCTTTTTGCCTCTTTTAAACTTTATCTTTAAAAAGCACATTGGATAACTGAAAAATTAGTCCTTCATAAAGGTCAATTTCTTAGTTTAACTCTTTTTCTAATATATTTTTGTTATGTTTCTTTGAGTTTATTTTATTCTTTGGATCATACAAGTCCATTAATTTTTAGTTAAGATTAGCAATTGCCCATTTCTCTCCTCTTCCTTTAAAATTAAGACACCTTCTCACAACTCACAACACTCTCTTTTTATGCTGAAATAAGCCTTTGCTCTACTGGACAAAACTTTTTTCCTCCCACGTATCAGACAGTGATTTTTAGGGTTTACAGAGGAAGTGTTTTTCGATGCTTTATAAACTTCTGCTAAGTAACTTATGATGAATCTCTGTTCCATAGAAAGTTTTTTTTGTGTGTTTTCAAAGTATATCCAATGCACAATGGACCTATGTGTCCAAGCTACAGTAACATCATAGTTATTACTGAGAACTGAGTTTTCTACAATACGAAAACTTATGTTTTAATAAGTCATTCAAAAATAATCTGAATGATTTTTAAGAAATCATTCTCAAAATCATTATGCTCTTCAATTGGCTTACTAAGGATAATAAGACAATTGAAGCCAAAGAAGCCAATATGTGAAACACAGTAAACAGTTTCTTAGATTAATCCAAGATATCAAAAAGATCACATTGTACTATGCTGAAGTGTACTGAGCTAAAATGATGTGTGCTTAGCTGGTCCTAACCTGTTCTGGTGGTAATTCTTTGACTTCCCTCCTACTTTCATTTTTACCTCTGTGTGAGCTTACTCCCCTCCTAATGAGACACTACTGCTCTTAACTGTCAGAATTTAGAAAAATGGAAAGTTTTTAGGGGACAAGTGATATCTAAGTTTGACAAATGAGTAATGTCCTTCACTTTCTTAATTCTAAGTCAATAGGCTCATTGGGGCTGTGTTTTATTTTTCTGAACATGACTGAAACTTGAATATGAAAAGAGAAGCCTAATTTCATAATTATTACCGATCAGACTCTTGGAAAAATGGAATACAGGGAAGTGAAAGTACTCAACAGAAAATACACAGCATTGCCTTTCCTCATTCCCCAATAATGGACAGATTATAACTAAATTTTACAGAAGCAAATCTGTCTTTTGTTATTATTCTTTGACTACAAACATGTGCATGGTAAATCCATACAGAAGGCATTTCACTGTATTGTGTATTTAATTATTATTTTTAAAAGTAAGGTTTAAGGGGAAGTTAACCATTCTTGAATAATTAAAATATATAATTTTAAAATGTACGTGCATCAAAATGATTTACACAATTTAATTGAAGCTGTAACAATGCTGTAATGTGATGGACTGAAGTTCAAGCTTTGGAAAGGATTTGCAGAAGGTCAGTTCCTTAAAAGTTTAATCATTAAGAAGTGTGAATAACTTCAGTGAAGCATCTTCCATATTGCTGTGACATTTCACCCAAGGAAGTTGCATCTGCAAAAACGAAAGTTGAGATTGTTAAAGCTAATGAGAACTCTGTAGATCAGGTGGAAGTCCATCAACTTCACTTGAGAAGAGTTAAGTCTTTAATTACATGCTGTTTCATTATAGCCTTTATTTACATGGCAATTTTTTATTTTGAAGACAATAATGCAAAATAACAATTTCAGTTCAAAATACATTAAAAAGAATATTTTAAACATATAAGCTAGGTGCGTATGCTCAAGTTTTAATAAAAATTATAAAAAGTCTTTTTCACAGCTCCTTTCCTCAAGTACCAACTATATTCTATTTTGCTTGAGTTTTTAATCTTTGTTCAAAGGATACTGCCGTGACAAACAAAAGAAGGACAAAGAAAACCTGAATACTACTTTCTGTTTATTATAACACATTGAAAGTTGTATATTTTGCACATTCTACCAAGAATCCAACCATATACTGCCATTTAAACAAGATTTCTGCTGTATTTGAGTTATATTAATTTATTTGAATGATGGTATGTCAATATATGTCAATATAAATCTAAAATAAAAATTTTCAGTATAATTCAGCAACATGTGTCTCACATTAGTGGAAGAAAAGTCTCAATGGATGTGCCAGCAAGTGGTAGCACAATTAATGGTCACGTTTCTTTTCTTTTTTCTTTTTTGAGATGGAGTTTGCCCAGGCTGGAGTGCAATGGTGCGCGACCTCAGCTCACTGCAGCCTCCGCCTTCCGGGTTCAAGCGATTCTCCTGTCTCAGTCTCCCGAGTAGCTGGGATTATAGGCCCATGCTACCATGCCAGGCTAAATTTTTGTATTTTTAGTAGAGATGAGGTTTCACCATGTTCGCCGGGCGGGTCTCAAACTCCTGACCTCAGGTGATCCACCCGCCTCGGTCTCCCAAAGTGCTGGGATTACAGGCATGAGCCACCGCACCCGGCCAATAGTCACATTTCTAATTTTATCAGGTTGACATTCTGATTTCAATGGCACAGACCTAGAACTTGCTAATTTCATCTAGAAAAGCTAGGAACATTTAGACAAAATACTTCTTTGAATTTGAGTTGCTTAGAGCTAAAGCCTACTAAAAACTCAAAACTTTGGTACAATATATTAATGATTTCAGAAAGCCATTGCATAAATAGCAAATTATCGTCCTTTCAAAAATACGTATCAGGGAAGAAATTAGTGTTTGGTCTGGTAACTAGTGATGGAAATCAAAATATTTTACCCAAAATATACTTCCTTGACATATTTTGAAGTGGCTCCATAAAGCTGTTTTTTTGTGGGGGGATTTGCATTCATGCAGCCAGCCCTCCTCTTGTCTAGATCTAGGGAAGATTAACTGAGAGTCTAATGCTTTCAGAGGTCTGAAAAGAAACATTTGCCATCTATTCTCTCTGAGGGCTGCTGGGTTTTATCTACATAACAAGACTACCTTTGCTAGCCAAGCCTCTTTCTCTCTCCCATAACCTCTCTTGTCACTAAAACCTGTTTTTGGCCATGCTCTGAGCCTGCATTCTTTCTGTAACCTCAAGATAATATACAATTTTTTGAACACCATTAGTAGATTGGGTCCTTCATTCTGAAGGCTCCCCTGTATACACATTAAATAAATTTGTATCCTCTTCTCCTTTTAATCTTACATCTGCCGCATGTCAGTGATTTTCGGCAAACCTTCAGAGGGGCAAAGGTTAAAGTTAGCCCTTGGCACCTTCAGTTGGGTGCAGTGAGCAGCGAGATTAAAATTTCACCCCGCTGGAAGTCACAGTTACGAGAACCCAAGACCTAATCTGCTGGCAAAAAGAGTAAGAATTTCTTACCAGAAAAGCTCCTGGCCTCTATCTCTCTCTCTCTGTAATCTGATCAGGTGAATGGTAAAAATCACTCTTTCCTCTGCACAATTTTGATTAATGCGAGACAAAGATTTATGTGACTTAACTTGGGGTATAGTATCTCTGGTGTACTTTTTGGTACTTTGTGTATGAATATTCATATTGTTTGATCTCTTTCCTCCCAGAAACAGTCTTTTTCTTTGTCTCTGTCTTTCTGTGTTGTTCATAAAGAGGGATACCAAATAAAGTTCCCTCTTGTTCAGTTTTATGTCCTGGAGAGCTTGACATCTGACTAAGTGGGAGCAGTCTTTCCTGGTCTCCATCACCCGAAGGGCATGGTTGTTGGATCACATCAGGTGGCCATCCTAAAAATGCCTGGGAACCCAAGACTTTTTTTGTTACTAATCTCCCAAGCTCGGGGGCGGGGGTTTGTCATAAGAAGTCCTGTCCATAAGGAGCTTTTGTTTTCTCAGCCGTTGTTGCCTGGTTAATGCCGGGAAAGTCCAATCCCAGGAGGGGACACCTGGTGTCACAGATTACTGGCACCCCCCTCACAACTGTGACTGGCACCCCCCTCAGAAATTTGTGGGTTCCTTAATATCTGTGGCAACAAGAGTCTTTTGCTCTCTTAGCCTGTTTCCGGGAGTGAGATTTTTGGTGGGGGAATCTTTGGCATTGTTTTTGTCTATGCCCTAAAATTACATTCTGGCTTTACAGGAAGAGGCTTTTGGATTGAGTTGTTACTGGAATAAGTACACCACTGGAAACCCTAATTGTCGGTGGCCAGAAGACGGATCCTTTAAGTTAGACTAAAATTCCTAAATTAAAAAAAAAAAATTAGAGATATCTTACACCAAACAATTGATGCGAAGATTAAATTAAAAGGATACACAGGCTGGGCACTGTGGCTCTCCCCTGTAATCCCAGCACTTTGGGAGGGTGAGGTGGCGGATCATGAGGTCAAGAGATCGAGACCATCCTGGCCTACATGGTGAAACCCCATCTCTACTAAAAATACAAAAGTTAGCCGGGCATGGTGTGTGCCTGTAGTCCCAGCTACCCCGGAGGCTGAGGCAGGAGAATCACTTGAACCGGGGAGGTGGAGGTTGCAGTAAGTCGAGATTGTACCACTGCGCTCCAGCCTGGTGACAGAGTGAGACTCTGTCTCAAGAAAAAAAAAAAAAAAAAAGAAGGATACATAATAGGGTCATAGCTAGCTTTCAAAATTCTCTTGACTAAATTAAAGGGCAAAAATTTGACCTAAAACATTTAAAATCCTTTGTAAGAGATTGCCTGAGGGAATAACAATAAAAGCCATCCTGCCTTGTGGTCTAATAGTTAAAAGTCCATGCTTTCAGCATCAACGCCTGGCTTTGATACCCAGTCAGGGGGCCCTGTTGGTTTGACATCTGTGTGACTTTTGACTTTTTGGAGGTGGTCATTTATTTCTTTGGAGACACCTCATACATCCTTGGTTAAGTCAGAACCTTGGTTAAGGCTTATTAATTTTACCAGGGAGTGTATTTTGGTTAAAAAAAAAAATCCAGGCAAGGTGGCTCACGCCTGTAATCCCAGCACTTCGGGAGGCCAAGGCGGGTGGATCATGATGTCACGAGTTCGAGGCCAGCCTGGTCAATATGGTGAAACCCTGTCTCTACTAAAAATACAAAAATTAGCTGGGGGCTACAAAAAGTAGCCAGGGGGCGTAGCTCCTGGCTACTCGGGAGGCTGAGGCAGAAGAATTTCTTGGATCTGGGAGGCGGAGGTTGCAGTGAGCTGAGACGGTGCTACTGCATTCCAGTCTGGGCGACAAAGCAAGAGTCTGTCTCAAAAAAAAAAAACAGATTGTTTTCCCGTTTACTTTCACTTCTCCCTGCTTCTCCTTCCTCTTTGCCATTTTTGGTACCACAGGAAAAGGTCTAGAAAAGACTTCTAACAGCTCACACTCCTTAAGGGACTCAGAAGAAGGTAACTCAGAGTACTCTTACTCCTTTCTGGGAGTCTTCTTTCCTTGCAGTTTTAAGCGTCGTAGGCAACCTCCTGTGAGGTCTAAAACTCTGCTCTCTTTTGTATTGTGTTACCTGATCACTTTGGCTTTTGACCAGAAATTATTTGGTATTATGAGAGACTTGACCTTAGTGTATGTAATGGCTAGGCAAGAGTAACAGTGTTAGACATGGCCAACTATAGTTGTTTCCAATAAATGCTTGTTACTACAGGGGGCTACTCATTTGCACATTAGATGAACAACGGTGCGGTTTAAACACCCAGAAAAATGTATTTGCGGCAAAGTGACCAAAGTGTGTGGCCTGGTTTCCATGGTGCTTTCCTCTTTTGGGGGTACCTGGGATTCAGTGAAAGCCTTGATTTTTTTTTTTTTTTAATTATACTTTAAGTCCTGGAATACATGTGCAGAACGTGCAGGCTTGTTACATAGCTATACATGTGCCCTGGTGATTTGCTGCACCCATCAACCCGTCATCTAGGTTTTAAACCCCGCGTGCATTTGGTGTTTCTCTTAATGCTATCCCTCCCCTTGCCTCCTACGCCCCGACAGGCCCTGGTATGTGATGTTCCCCTCCCTGTGTCCATGTGTTCTCATTGTTCAACTCTCAGAAACCCTTGCTTTTTAAACATCTAAATGCTTTGCCTTTTAACTGCATCCACTTTTTTCATATTTAAATTATTAGGCCCTATAAACTAAAAATACTTTGTTAGCCTTGTTCCTTAATGAGTTCTGTCCTGACCTCAGTGGTCCACTTGAAAAACACAGACTGAATTAAAAGCTACCTATCTAAATGAGATTGCTCTCCTTATGCAATCTTACGGTTAATTCCTAAGGAATCTTGGCATTCATTTTTAATCTTCCTTTGACTACTCAAGCTTCTTGAAAAATCAAATTCTCTCTGTGCTTTGAGATATAAATTTGCTACCTGTTTTCTCTGAAACTCAGAAGGGGTACTCCAGATAAGCCTTAAATTTTTCCATTTACAAAGGCATAGTTTCAATCTGTCTTTTTAGACTAGTGAGTTTTACCTGTCTTATGGCTAAAATTCTAAAATCAAAACAATAAAGTCTTCATGTGCAGATGTGTATGCTATACCTTGTGTCTCTCTATACATACATGTATATGTATATATGTATTTATAGCTATACATGTTTAATATTGTCTACACATGGTACCACATTAATTTAAAAATAAATGAGTACTCATAAATTAAGACCAAATGCTTTTCAAGTTCATGTGATTTTAGCAATCTTTGAGAAATAAAGATAGTTTTAAAATTATTGGTAAAATAATATTAAAATGTCTTCAAAATTTTAATGTAGACATTTTTGTCTGAGTCTATTGATCAGGCAGGTTTATGGCCAAAAAATTGTTGCTTGATATTTTTGATACTTGATTAATTTGTTTCCGAGTCTGTGTATCTTGATTACAGCCTTTCGATTCAGAGGTCTAGACAGATGCCCATGATGAGGGTGGGGGATAACACCTGGT
This sequence comes from Homo sapiens, assembly GCF_000001405.40. Taxonomy (NCBI): domain Eukaryota; kingdom Metazoa; phylum Chordata; class Mammalia; order Primates; family Hominidae; genus Homo; species Homo sapiens. The sequence continues at coordinate 191,257,542 of NC_000003.12, read as the reverse complement.
CCATCTTTCCTATCCCAGTTATGCCTCCCCTGCTGGGAGATTAGATTCTCTCCTATCCCAGTTATGCCTCCCCTGCTGGGAGATGCTGTGAGAAATTAGATTCTCCAGGCATTGTCTTTTGTCCTGGGCTCTGCATCTGATATGTAATTAAAATTACCTACTTCCTAGATTTTTTACTAAAATAAAAGTTACTAATTATTAACACTATAATAACTATATGTAGTCAAAACTACTAGATATAAGAGAAAAAATATGCAAAGTGTGTAAGGAAGTAGAGTATGTTTTTGGTAAGAAGGATTATAAAAAGGCATGTAAATTTGTGTGTCTATGGTCTTTTTTTTTTTTTTTTTTTTTTTTGAGAGAGGGTTTTGCTCTGTCACCCAGGCTGGAGTGCAGTGGTGTGATCATGGCTCGTTGCAGCCTTGACCTCTCAGGATCAAGTGATCCTTCCAACTCAGCCTCCCAAGTAGCTGGGACTACAGGCTTGCACCACAATGCTTGACTAATTTAAAAAAACTTTTTTGTACAGATGGGGTGCCCCTTTGTTGCCAAGGCTCGTTTCAAATTTCTGGGCTCAAAGTGGTCCTCTTGCCTTGGCCTCCAAAAGTGCTAGGATTACAGGCTTGAGCCACAACACCCAACCTTGGTTTTTGTTAAAGTGAAAGTAATTTTGTCTAGTTTAGAGGTTTTAAGGATTGTTTTAAATTGAAGAAATTTTAAAAATTGTAAGAGGTTATAAAACTGAAATTGTATGGATTTGTTTATAAACTTATTAAAATTAGCTTTAGCATTAATAATACATGAATACAAAGGTAAAATTTGGTTTTCTCTTTTGAATAATCTTTTAATATAGTATTAATAAGAGGTAGTAAAAAATTTTATTTGCTGTTTGACTAAGCTGCAAAAAAAAAAAAAGGAGGAGAGAGGGGGAGAGACAGTTTCAGTTTGCCTCATGCTGTCTTTATTAGACCTTATGATTGTTTAAGAAACTGAGTCTTCTCTCTATGCTTTTTGAAATCTCTGAATTATTATTTTGGCTAAATGAATGTCTTATTTTACAGAGACCTGTGATCTTATTTTGTGATATCAAGGATTTTAAACTTTTGATGTTTGATAAACTTTCCAAAATCAAAATTCAAATGCTAAATTCAGTCTTTTTTACCTCAACTACCTTTTTAAATATTACAGCCCGTGGAAGTCCAAGAAAAACATATACAGCTTATTTGGCATGTTCAAATTATACAGGAAGCATTGTCAAGTCTGAAATGTGTTTTACTTTGCATTATATTTATATAAGTGTGTTATTAAGATGTGTTCTAAAATTGTATGAGGTTCCTGAAATTCTGATATGTTTTAGCATATGTTATCAGTAGTATTTAATTATAATTATTATGTTAAATTGTTATATGCTATAGAAATAACTGATTTTTCTTGTCAATTTTCTTTAACCATGCCAGTCTAAGACTTTTGTCATACACAGACAATTATTATTTTACTCTGACTCTTCTTAAAAGGTGGTTTATAATCAGCCACAATCCAAAGTTTGCTTCTTTCTGGAAATTCATGGAAAGTACTTTTGTAAGTACTCTTAAGTACAGGTTTCTAATAACTTTGGAGATTATACAATTTGATTAGGTAAAAATCACAAAATTTTTAGGACTCTAATTAAAAAGCTGATGCATTCATGGCAACTGCTAACGCAACATCAAGCAGAAGAAGAGTTAATTACATTGGCTAAAAGTAACAGAAAACCGAAATCATTTTAATGACTTTTTTTGTTTGAACATTGCTGATTATTTTTGTTTTTTTTTTCAGAGTTAAAACACTTTTTTTAGGGCTATTTATATCTTACAACAGATTGGATAAAGCATACTTTTGTGAACAAAATTTGAAGCATATTTCTTTCTACCTGCCTTCTTCAGAATTTAGAAACTATTTGTGAGCATTTTTAGTTTCTAGGAATATAATGTTTTGTGTAAGTTCAGCAAGAATATGTTTTGTTTTTTAACAGTACACAATTGCAGACACTGGTTATTTCATCAAGGATTTGAGTGGAGTGGTATATTTTTAGAAATGTCCAGACTACTTTGAGGAATTGAGTTTGACTTTATAGAGCCAATAAAAAGCCTCTTGGAAAGACTTGCCTGATACCTTGCCTATGTGGTTTCTTTACGAAGTTCCTGACTTGCGGTAAAGCAGCATTCCCATCCTCCGGGTTGCGGACCAGCACATGTCTGTGGCCTGTTAGGAACTGAGCCACACAGCAGGAGGTGAGCAGTGGGCAAGTGAGCATTACCACCTGAGCTCCACCTTCTGTCAGATCCACAGTGGCATTAGATTCTCATAAGAGCACGAATCCTATTGTGAACTGTTCATGCAAGGGATCTAGGTTGTGTGTTCCTTATGAGAGTCTAACTAATGCTTGATGATCTGAGGTGGAACAGCTTCATCCCAAAACCATTTCCTCCCCTGCCCCCTGGTCCTTGGAAAAATTGTCTTCCAGGAAACCAGTCCCCGGCGCCGAAAAGCCTGGGGACAGCTGAACTAAAGAATGTCACTTTCTGACAGGCCCAGGAATCTCAAGTTATTTTAGGACCCTGAGAAGAGAGAAATTCACCCAAATTCATACAGGTGTGTACAAGCACAAATAAATCTTTGATTTGGTTAACCTCAAGAAGCTTTTGAAAGTCTAATCTGAGATTCCTTATAAGGAAAGTCTCAGTAAAGCCAATTTAAAAAGACCTTGTATGGCCAATCACATTTTTGCTGTACTTCATGCAAATAATCAGACCAAGTAGAATATATAATATGACTAAAACTTATTTTGCAAATAAATAAGGACTATGACTTATCTTTGGTAGAAATGGGGAAGTGGAGAGAGAAAAATTATCTTTCAAAAGAAAACTATACAGACACCTGTTGTTAGATTCTAGCCTTATTCATTGTTTTTGAGTTTTTATTATTTGCCTATAGTTTGGACTGAATCTTGAATTCTTTCTTGGCTACAAGTCTCCAAACTAAGGTTTTTAATTTTTTCTTCCATTTTTTTCTAACCTGAAATCTCTAGAAATTAAAACTGTGCTTTTCATAAAGCCCGGCAGACTGAAGTTAGACAATTTAAATTTTGAGAGAAATAACAGCCACTTATATGTAAACAACCTTCACGCCTGCTGATACGGACTTCTCAGAAAGTTCACTTGAAACCCTATTTTGTAACACAATTCAGAATAATCTGGCATATTGCCATTGCATTCTGAAGATGCTTCAGAGACTCTAGAAAAACTAGTCTATAGACTGCTCTAGACAGTTTTTAACCTCTGTTTAACCCTTGTTTTTTTCTATTTCCTTAGAAATACTTCTTATTAAAGATCTGTTTATCTGCATCACATATAGAGGCCTAGTCCAACTCCCATGCCACCTTCTGGAATGGGACACAGCTATTTAACTGAACTGATCTATTCTCAGGACTAAGAGACTGACTAAACAAGACTTGAGATAATATATTTAAATTTACTTTTTTCTGTTTATCCCAATTTGTCTTTCCATCTTTTGTCTATTTCTATCTAACAACCTCTAATCCAAATCTCTCCAAAGCTGTTAGTTTGGCTTTTAATATGTGAAACGCTTTTTAAGTTTCAAAGTGGGGATTGAAGTAAATAAAAAGTATTTTACTCCAAAATATATTTCTTTAACATATTCTGAAGTGATCCTGAAAATGTGTCTTCTGTGGGGGAAATTTGCATCTGTAGATCTGTAGAGAATTTGCATTAATGCAACCAGCCCTTCCCTTGTCCAGATCTAGGAAAGATTAGCTGAGAGTTTGGTACCTTTAAACTACTGAAAATAAACATTCACCATCTAAATTCTCTGAGGGCTGCTGCCAATGAGGTTTCATCTACATAACAAATCCACCTTTGCTAGCCAAGCCTCTTCCATTCTCTCTCCCATAGCCTGTCTTGAAACTATTATTAAAACCTGGTTGTGGTCATGCTGAGTCTGCATTCTTTCTGTAACCTTAAGATGTTATATAAGCATCTATACCCCCTGGAAAGTTGAGGTCTTCATCCTTAAGCCTCCCAGGTATAAATGTTAAATAAATTTGTGTGACTTTTCTCGTATGTATCCATCTGCCTCATGTCAGTGACTGTTAGCAAAACCTCAGCGGGCATTTGGCCCCTATAGTAGGCATCATAGAGCAGCTGTTCCAGACTTCACCTCGAATGAAGCAAAACTTCCATAATTAGATAGCAGTTTTACTTTTAATAGGAAGTGTTAAAGTGAAACCCGGAAGATGAAAACCCACAAATAAACCTGCTCCAAAAGTAAATCCATCAACCTGCACAGAAGTGAAACAAAGATTTTTGTAAAGTGCGAGATACCATTTCTGTTCGTCTTAGAAATGTATAACCAATGAATTTAGCATCCAACAATGAAAACTTAGCACCAAGAAGGCCTTTTGGGTCACGAAGAGAATGTTGGCCTATAAGTCCAAAGACCCGGACCCCAGATTTTGCTCTGCCCAAGAGTCTATAAAATTTGGGACAATTTCCTCTTGCAGCTCCATTTTCCTGAATTGTTTTAAAAAATGGGGTTGGATTAAATGAAACTTTATGTTTTTGAACCTCTCAGCTGTATTACTGTGTGAACAGTATTTAATGACTTTTAAGCTGCTCTCTGTTAAATGATACATCCCCTGTTTAATTCAAAGGAATATTGTTGACAGTAGATAAAAATATAAAAAGTAACTTTGAAAATTAGATTGGAAATTAGAAATATATTATCATCTCATGTCTTTTGTTATTCATAAACTACATAACATGAAACTTCACATGAGGAAGTAAACAAATGTCTGAGAGAAATCTTGGTGACAGTGATGGAAAATAAATAGAAACAAAACGGTCGAACAGGTGAACCCACAATGACTGATGAACGGGAAAGAGCAAATATATGATAAATTCTTTTCTAAATCGATTCTTTTGTGATATTCTCACCTTGAGATTTTAATATAAGAACAGTGATTATCAAGATGCTTAACAAAGTTTGCTAAGAGAAGGACACAACATACAAATTTGGATTTCACCCAACAGTGATTCAGGAAGCATTGTATTAATTCAATTGTCTTCATAGTTTGGTAGTTGCTGAAATTTCTATGGTCTCAGTCTTCATATAAAAATTCAAGGCTGAGCCCAGTGGCTCACTCCTGTAATCCCAGCACTTTGGGAGGCCGAGGCAGGAGAATCACAAGGTCAGGAGATCGAGACCATCCTGGCCAACATGGTGAAACCCCATATCTACTAAAAATATATTTTTAAAAAAGTAACTGGGCGTGGTGGCGCACGCCTGTAGTCCCAGATGCTTGGGAGGCTGAGGCAGGAGAATTGCTTGAACCCGGGAGGCAGAGGTTGCAGTGAGCCGAGATCACGCAACTGCACTTCAGCCTGATAAAAGAGTGAGACTCCGTCTCAAAAAAACCAAAAAAAAATCATATGAAAATGAGTTCTCTGTATAATTTGTTTAACATAACTCGTTGTGGTTGAACTAAAAAATGTTGAAATGGGTGATAATCAAGGGTGGTAAAGGTATATGTGGAAACCAATCAAAGTTAATTAATTTTATCTCACTGTCATAATGTTCTCAGAACATCAAGAAACTGGAGGACTCAAAGAGTTACTTGGTTTTTAAACAGCAATTAGCTAGTTTCTACTCAAATATAATGTGGCAATTTTTAACAACCTTGAAGAGTGACCATACTTGGTATATCTCTAGATACGAAGAAATAATGTTCAACCTGTTTTGAAGATGATGCTGATTAAAAGGCAGTGTTCTTGGCAGTATTCAGTAAGTTCTCTTGTATCTATAGACATTCATTAACTGCAGAGGTTCATTAAACAACTCCATGATAATGAAATTTATTTTAACTGAGTGATTTTGAGAACGAGAGAGTTGAGAAAAAATACTGACTATTTATTGTGGTTTTAGAGCATGAGGAGGAGGGAAAAAATGGGATGATTTAAATTAAGACAAGATCAGGGCTAATATGATACTTTTGGGGCCTCTAAATTATTGGTCTAAGGATTATCTCGAGAGAAGCAGAAGGCAAAATTCCCTCTGCTCTAGCCTCAGATTGTTAAAGCAGTTCCAGTTTGTCTTATTTGTTAGGGAGCGGGCATGCACCTTCTATAAGTCCTATTGGAAGAAAACATATTGCTAAGATTTCACCTTCAAAAAACATTTATTTAGTGTTTAAAGGATATGTATGATTAAATGCTGTGTTTAACATACCCACTCAGGATGTAACCTTTCTGGATTTTAATTCTATGTGTACCACTTATACTCTATGTGGCACTGTAAGTTAATATTTCTAAGCTTTCCATTTATTTGTATAATGATAATATTAACTAATACTTATTAATAAATTAACATCTCAGGTACTATTATAAGTGCTTAATATGTATCTATTTAATCCTCAGGACAATGCTATATGGTAGAAATTATTATTCTAATTTAATGAAGGAGTGTTTGAGAATTTAAATAAGTTCCCATAGCTAGCAAATATTGATAGATGACCTGGGATTTGAACCCATAAGGCCTGATCTCTTTAGCTGGCACCTTTAACCCTTATACATCAATAATTCTCAAGATATTGGAGATAGTGATAGTATTGCTTTATGAAATAAAATGATTAAGTGAAGCAATGCACATAAAGTGCCAAGTATAAGGCCTGGAACAGAGTAAATTTTCAGAACTGTAATGTAAACTATCACTTGCATGTATTGTGTATCCAATATATTGTAGGCCCACTACAAACATCTAATGTAATCTTCAGAATACCACTACATTATTATTTAAATGTACAAGCTGTAGAAAAATAAACTATCTTAACAGAAACAAGATAATGAATGAATGAAAGAATCAGGATTTGGATAAAGTGTTTTGATTCCATGGCTAATGCTCTTTCTGCTGTGCATTTTCTCCCCTATGCTCCACATTATCATAATTCTAATAACGTACTTATTGACAACAAAATGATGTGTATCACTTGAATGTGTCTTCTTCATAACGCAAGGATTTTTATATATTTATGGAGGTGATTTAATATATTGACTAGAACTTTAACCCTTGTGTGCATATTAATATTCAATGGTTAATTACATAGAAGTCTGAAAACAACTAAATCATTAATTTTGGAGAGTGAAGCAGAACTAGGACATTCTTTTGCTTTTTAAATATCATTTAAGTTATTTAACATTAATATACTATACTCATTGCATACATAAATGATTGAAAAAGTGAACTGATAAGCTAGGAAATCAAAAGGGGGATTTATAAGCAAGAATGGATTGATTAGTCCATTGTGAAATATTAATCAAATACCTGCATATACTGTTACTTATTCAAATTGTACTCACAATTGGAATCAATTAGCCTCTGGAATTTGAAAGCCGGTTTCTACCAATCCGATCCATGGGGATACCAAATCGCCTTTTTGGATGATCTACTACTTTCCTGAAACAAACCAAGGAGGACATTTTTAAACTAAAGGGCAAGTTATTGATCATTATTTTTGTTCTTTATTTTATGTAGCTCTGGGGGCTTTCTTTGGGAGTTGGAATAAACATGATAGTTCCCACTCACCAGTACTCACTATGTGCCAGACACTATCTCATATTTTCAACATCTGTGGGAGTAGATATTATTAGCTCCATTTTACATATGAGGAAACTGAGGCTTAGAGAAGTTAACTTATTCAAATTCAAATAGACCAAACCAAAAGCCAGGTCTTATCAGCATACGAATCTGCCAACTAAGTGCTTTAGTTTGAGAAAATCCCGTCCCCCTTCAAATTTTATTTTTCTGTTATTTTGTGAATATTAAACTGGATAAGTAGTTTTTCACAAACTTTGCTTCAGAATGGCTCATCTAAAGAAGGATGATGGTGGGAGAGGAAAGAGTATGATGCTAAGACTGAATGTAGAGGTAAATATACCTCTCATGTCTTCCCTTAGACTCCACCCAGAGAAGCTTTGTATGTGATGGTCGACATTTGCTTATATTCTCTTTGTTAAATACTGTTTGAAATAAATTAAACATCTTCATTATTAAAATGAAGTATAAAAAGTCCACACAGTACTACCAAAGGTCTAATATAACTTCCAGCTTATATTTTCTATCAATTACCCCTTTAAAAATAAGATGCATTTTAGAAACTTTTCAATTTGATTTGCTAATATTATCATCACTTAGTTCTATCAAGCCAAAATCCTAACAAGAGAGGATCCAGAGCTTTGATCGTATAACTTTCACTGGCCTTGGAGTTAAGAGAAGTGTGAATCTTTATGAAGAAAGAGACAGCAGGGAGAGTCTAAGAAGCCTATGTAAATCAGTGATTTATCTCACAGAAAAGGTAACTGGCTTATAAAATTGTGAGGCTTATTGTTGACAAAATATACATGCAGAAAAGAGGTCAGAAAGGAGGGCATATTATAAAAATATTAGACATATACAGATTTTAAGTGTAATAAATTCCCAGACCAAGAAACAGAACATTGCCAGCAGACAAACACTTTTGCAATGAGAGATAAACTTAAAAGGTTATTCTCCCACCAAATGTAAGGATTTCTGCTGGAGTACGATGGTGTGATCATGGCTTACTGCAGCCTCAACCTCCAGGGCTCAAGTGATCTTCCCACTTCAGCCTCCCAAGTAGCTGGGACTATAAGTGTGTACCACCATGTCTGATTAATTTTTTTGAATTCTTTGCAGAAATGGGAGTCTCGCCATCTTGCCCAGGCTCATTTCAAACTCCTGAGCACAAGCGATCCTTCATCTTGGCGTCCTGAACTGCTGGGATTAAAGGTATGAGCCACCATGCCTGGCCTGCTTCAATTTTTTGACCAATAATGATATACTTCATTGCTTGAAAAGCTCAGTGATGTAGGACTTAGTATCTAACAAGACAACTTAATTTTCAGCAGTTTAAACAGTCAAGAAAATATTTGCTTCAGAACATTTTCAATAGCTTCTTTAGTTCTTTTCTAATTACTAGTATTATATTATTAAACTATACTTATTTACCAATAATTACTTTATACTAATTTAAACGCTAAACATGAATGAAAACCTCAATGCCCTCGAGGCTTTTCTTATTATGATCTAATTGTTTTTTCTATTATAATTTACTGTGTACCTGATATGTAGAAAGGTTCTTTTTGTGGCTGTTTTGGGTGGAAGAAATGAGTCATAAATAGCCTTTTCCCTCAAAAACCTATAACTGACTATTCTCAGATTGATGATGATTTAACGTAAATAGTAGAGGAAAATAATTATGTCATTTTTTTTCCTTGACTACACAGTCATATCGGTGCTCCTGATATTACTATGAAGTAAATAACTTATTAAAGGTCTCGGAGGCCCGGCGCAGTGGCTCATGCCTGTAATCCCAGCGCTTTGGGAGGCTGAGGTGGGCAGGTCACTTGAGGTCTGGAGTTTGAGATCAGCCTGGCCAACATGGTGAAACCCCATCTCTACTAAAAATACAAAAATTAGCAGGGCATGGTGGCGTGTTCCTGTAATCCCAGCTACTCGGGAGTCTGAGGCATGAGAATCGCTTGAACCTGGGAGGCTGAGTTTGCAGTGAGCCGAGATCGCACCACTGCCCTCAAACCTGGGCGACAACGCGAGACTCTGATCAGGGGGAAGAAAAAGTCTGGGAAAGTATGGAGAATATGAGAGATTTTTATTGTTGTACCTTGTACATTGAAAAAATCTATAAACATTGATAAGTTCTAATTAAAATAATGTATTTAAGGACAACTAATATTTACTTAATACCTTCTATGTGCCAGATGCTGTGCTTGGTGCTGTTGTATAAAAGGCTAATAAAAATAGACATGGAACCTGATACGGTGTTTATACTCAAACAATATTACAGAAATAGGGCCATATTACATATTTCAACTTATTCAACCTTCTTTTCTGCTGATTTACGTCCATCTTCCTTTCTAGGTTGGCTCTTATTATCTGTATCGACTATATGTGTGATCTTTTTTTTCTCCTAGATAAAAATTTGATCAATTCGGTGAGAAAAAAACTAGGAAAAAAGTATTTAATCCTTATCCTTACTCTAGCTACACCCTTGCCTCCCTTCTTCAGATTCCTGAAAAACATATCCTCTTAAGTGGTGTTCTATTGTTTGCACTTCTACATTTCTTGATGAAAAATTAACTACATATTTTTCAACTTGATAACCAAATAGGAAACATGTTATTTGTAAAATTAATATAAATTTTATGGTTTAGAGTCATAAGAAACCATGCCTATCAGTCATGCTCTATGTCTTTGGTGTAATTATAAATAATGACTATTGAAAGAAAAGAAAAACTGTCTCCTTTACATTTTAAATTATCTTTGTCCACATAAAGTAAATATATAGATTCTTAATTACGCAGTTATTTTCCTCGTGGTAGTCAGAATAATGACTTCTCAGAGATGTCCACTTCATAATCTCCAGCAATTATAAATATGTCACTTTATATAGCAAATGCATTTTGCAGACAGGATTAAGGTTAAGGACCTAGAGATGAAAAGATTATCCTGGGTTATCTGGTTGGGCCAATCTAGTCACCAGTCTATAAAAGTTGCTAATCACTGACTAAGAGTGAGTCAGAGAACAGCAATCTAAGGATTTAACCGCCATGGCTGGCTTTGAATGGAGCCATGAATCAAGGCTTAGATAATGAATCAAGGAATGCTGTGGCCTCTAGTTCTTCTCCTCCTTCTCCTCCTTCTCCTCCTTCTCCTCTTCCTCCTCCTTCTTCTTCTTCTTCCTCTTCTTCTTCCTTTTCATCCTCCTCTTCCTCTTCTTCCTCTTCCCCTTCCCCTTTACCTTTCCCTTCCTCTTCTTCTTTTCTTTCTTTCTTTCTTTCTTTTTTTTTTTTTGATACAGGGTCTAGCTCTGTCACCCAGGCTGGAGTGCAGTGGCACCATCTCAGCTTCTGCAACCTTCGCCTCCTGGGCTCAAGCAATTCTCCTGCCTCAGCCTCTTGAGTAGCTGGGATTACAGGTGCGTGCCACCATGCCTGGGTAATTTTTGTATTTTTAGCAGAGACAGGGTTTCATCATGTTGGCCAGGCTGGTCTCAAACTCCTGACCTCAGGCAATCCACCCACCTTGGCCTCCCAAAGTTCTGGGATTACTGGCGTGAGCCACCACACCCGGCCTACTAGTTCTTGAAAGCAAATGGGGATCTTGGTCCTGCCACTGTAAGGAACTGAGTTCTGCCAACAACGTGAATGAGAGGAAGTGAAAAACCAACCCTCTCAGATGTTTGAAGGACTCACAAGAAAGGGAAGGAAATAGCGGCTGGGGAAAGCAGTCACATGATACCTGCACTGATTCCCCAAACTCCCTTTAGAAATAGATGATGTCATGAAAAAATAATACGTTTACTCTTTTTTTTTTTTTTTTTTTTTTTTTGAGACAGAGTTTTGCTCTTATTGCCCAGGCTGGAGTGCAATGGCACAATCTCAGTTCACGGCAACCTTTGCCTCCCGGGTTCAAGCAATTCTCCTGCCTCAGCCTCCGGAGTAGCTGGGATTACAGGCGCCCACCACCACGCCCAGCTAATTTTTTGTATGTTTAGTAGAGACAGGGTTTCACTATGTTGGCCAGGCTGGTCTCGAACTCCTGACCTCAGGCGATCCACCCGCCTCGGCCTCCCAAAGTCCTGGGATTACAGGTGTAAGCCACTGTGCCCGGCCTCTTTTACTCTTTTCGAGATACGTATGATTAAAACAGAACATTCTTTGGTCTCTCCTACCAAAATTTATTTTCTCAAAAATGAAGGTAAATAAGTGAAAATGTGTTTTTCTTTTTTGCTTTACTACAGTTGATCTTTCCCTGCTCAATCAAATAAGAGGCAGCTGCGGTATAGTGGAAAGCAAAATAAATTCTGTTTTACTTCCTTTCTTTCCTTTTTCCCCATTCTCTCCTCACCTCCTTTCCCCCAGATTTGATCCAAAATGTATTAGAAACCAGGAGATGGAGGATTTGTGTTCTACTTGATTTACTTACTGATAGTATGACCCTCTGCAAGTCTTTTATTCTAAGCTACTCTTTCCTTTTTGATAAAATTCAGATAATAATTGCTATGCCTATCTTCTGGAGCTGTTTATTCACTTAACAAACTTATTTGTTAAGTGATATTTGATTGTTTCATGCATTACCATGTATTACACAGACTTAACCATGTGTTATGTGTTGTTATGTGCATTGGGGATACTACAGTGAATAAGACAAAGGTTACCTCTCAGGGTTCACATTTTACATTGAAAAGTGGTAATCAGGTAACACATGTAAAAACATTTCATACATTTCAACTGATACTAATTTTTCCTACCAGTCTAGTCCAGTGGTTTTCAATTTGTAGTTATTTCTATAGATAAAAGCTTTATAAAAGAGAGCAATATCTGAAAAGTTAAGTAAAGAATTGTCCCAGTAAAAAAGTATCCCTCCTACACAATATATAGTGGCCCCTGACAGACCTTCCAGAAACACCATAGGTTCCTCAGAGCAGAGTTTAAGTGAAAACTACTGGTCAAGTGGATAAAATAGTAACTCATGGTTTTACCCTAGCAACAAATTCATAATTACTTTGATTCATCTTATCAAATTGTGGATTGGTTGCAAATGCTTATAGATATCTGGACATCAAATAAAAATAAATAAAACAAATATATATATAAAAATCAATTCATTTTAAAATTTTTAGTACTAATACAAAATAAAAATAATTTTCATAAAGCACATAATCAGAAACCATAATAGCCTGGTTAAATACTTTCTATACAATCTATATCCATCAGAAGTGAAACAGAAAGCTAGTAGTTAACATTTTTGTTGATATGAAATATATATATTATATATGAAATATAAATATATTTATATTATATTTATAATATATATATAATGGTGCTACATTCTAAAACACATTACTGGCATGAATGTAGTGTATGAAAAATTAATGTTAGATAGAGAATATAATCTTGAAACCAAAAGAGAAAGCTGTACTTTTTGACTATCTAGTCCCTCTTGTGACAAAATAATGGTATGACATGGCTTATATGATATATGCATTTAAAACAACCCACGTTTTCCATTCTGAAATATTCTGTAAGTAAAGTAGATTAAGGATATAGAATATTTATCAATTTAATACAATCACAATGATTAGATTGTTTATTTTAAATGAAACTAATTTTCACACGAAAATCTAAACTTCCTATGTGAAACAGGATTTTCTTTAACATTTATAATCTTGGATAACTCCATTTCTAAAGGTATTTTACATTCCAAAAAACAGCAGGTGGAAAAATGTTTTTAAACTTTTTATTGAGAATCACTTCACACATACAGAACCTATACATTTGTCTATGCTCAATTTAAAGAGAGTAAAAATGAACAGCCCTATTCCCAGCCCCCAGCATAAGAAATAGAGCATTACCACTACTTTAGAAATTCTGGTATTCCTTCTCCCAAACTGCAGCTGTCTCATGGCTCAGTCCCAGAGTAATCCATAGACTAAATTTTGGTCTAATAATTCCCTTGATTTCCTTCATAATCTTAGAATCTATATGTATTCTTCAAAAATCTGTTGTTTTCTTGATAGTTCCAGAATTGTACTTAAAAGGAATTGAGTACGATGAACAATGTACAGCATTGTGACTATAGTTAATAATGTTGATATTAACATGTAAATAATGTAAATATTAATTATTGTGTTATTAATGATGTTAATAATAATGTATACTTGAAATTTGCTAAGAGCAGATCTTAAGTGTTCTCACCAAAACAAAAAACAAAAAACGGTAGCTGTCAGGTGATAGATATGTGAGTGTGGTATCATTTCACAATGTGTACATATATCAGAACATACTGTACACCCTAAATTTATACAATTTATATTGTCAATCATAGCTCCATCAAGCTGGGACAAAAATTATATATGAATTTTTCTCCACTTCTTTCAGCAAATATTATGTGTTTTGAGATTTCTCCAAGATGACATGTGGAGCTGTAGTTCCTTTATTTTACTGCTGTATAATATTTCATTGTGTGAATACACAACCATTTGTTTATCCATCCTACTGTAGATGGAAATTTGAGGTATTTCCTCTACTTGTTGTTGTTATGTACTGTTCAGCTGTACCTGCCTTTGGTGTTCAAGTAAGGATTCCTCTACAATATATTCCCAGTAGTATAATTGACAGCTATGCTTATACTTAATTTTATTACATAGTGTCATATTATTTTCCAAAGTTATTGTACAAATTTACGAACTCAAGAGCAGTGTATGATAGTTCCTATTATTTCAAATTTATGCTAATCCTTGTATTGTGGGATTTTTAATTTTGCCAGCCTAATGCTTTGGTAATCATATCCCACTGTGGTTTTAATTTACTTTCCCTGAATACTAATGATGTTGCTCAGCTTTTCATTTGTTTATTGGCCACTTGGATTTCTTCTTTTGAAAGTGCCTGTTTGAATCTGCTGCCTGTTTTTCTAATGTTTTTTTTTTCTTTTAAACATTTATCTGTAGGAGGGCTTTGAATACTCTGAATATTAGACTTTGAGAGTTATAAATTTCAAATATCTACTCCCATCTGTGATTCATCTTCTTTATTGTGATTTTTTAAAAAATCTTTGATGTGGTTTTAAAACATCAATATTTTTGCATCTCATGTAATAAATCACCTCTACCCTAATATTATGAAGATATTCTCCTATGTCATAAAATATTTTTGTAGTTTTGCCTTTTACATTTCAGTTTTTAATACGTTGAAATTAATTTTTGCAAGGCACAGTGGCTCATATCTGTACGACCAGCTACTTGGAAGATTGAGGAGGGAGTATCCCTTGAGTCCAGGAGTTCCGATCAGATTGAGCAATATAAAGAGACCCCGTCACAAAACAAAATAAACAAGAAAAAATTTAATTTGTATTTATGGGGTGAGTAAAAAATCATGTTTCTTTTTAAAAAAATCTATATTCATGCCTAATGATTCAGAAATTTTAGATTCAGCTCGTCAAGTTCTATAGAAATCCTATTGCTGCTTTGACTAGAATTGTATTGAATCCAGGTATAATTCATTTAGGGAAGAATTGAAATCTTTATGATATTGAGTCTTACTATCCAAGATCATTTATTTAGAGTGTTTTTAATGTCTTCAAATAAATTGTTAAAATGTTCTCCAAAAGACCTTTTTGTGGTTGTAAGTGGCATCATTTAAGAATATATGTTGTAGGCATTTTTTAATGGTGTCCCTTACTTGGTTAAAAAAAGTTTCCTTCTATTATTAATTTACTAGTGATTTCAATCATAGGTGGGGGTTTAGCTTTATTGAATGCTTTTTCTGAATCTATAGAGATGATGTGATTTATATCTTCAATTTGTTAACTCCATTAATTGATTTTCAAAGTAAATTAAGCTTATATTGTATTTTTGTGATAAACAACATGATAATGGTATTTTTTTTTAAATACATTGCTATTTGTTTTGCTATTTTTTTTGGTAGGAATTTTCTATCTGTAGTCATTAATGAGGCTGTCCTACAATTTTCTTTTCTTGTTCTCTCCATATGTGGTTTTGGTGTTTAGATAATGTTATTCTCATTAAATGAGTTGAGAATTGCACCTTCTTTTTGGTTATCCTTCTGTTATTTATTTAATCACATTGTAGTTTGAGAACATGTTTTGTATGATAACCATGCCTTTAAAACTTGTAAGGCTTATGTTACAGAATAGCACTTCGTTGAAAATTTCCATGTCTAGATGTTGTTTGATTGTTCTTAATAGGTGTTTCGGGTGTCATTAAAACTTTTTTTCCTTCCATTTGTTGGATACAATAACTTTTAATGATCCTGTTTATAGTTTCGAGTTCCAAGAAAAGAAACTTGGAATCAGAGTGTGGAAAATGTTCCTTAAAATCAATAGTCTGATTTCACTACTACAACTTAAAGGGGCACTAAAATGCTAGTCCTCCTTTAAGAAAGGCACAGAGCTGGCCAGGCGCGTTGGCTCACGCCTGTAATCCCAGCGCTTTGGGAGGCCGAGGCGGGTGGATCACGAGGTCAGGAGATCGAGACCATCCTGGCTAACATAGTGAAACCCCGTCTCTACTAAAAATACAAAAAAAATTAGCCGGGCGTGCTGGCGAGCGCCTGTATTCCCATCTACTCGGTAGGTAGGCTGAGCCAGGAGAATGGCGTGAACCCGGGAGGCGGAACTTGCAGTAAGCCGAGATCGCGCCACTGCACTCCAGCCTGGGCGACAGAGCAAGGCTCCGTCTCAAAAAAAAAAAAAAAAAAAAAAAAAAAAAGTCAAGGCACAGAGCTCCACCAACTTTGAGTTCTATCCAAAATGAGAGAAAACAGAAATAGCTAAAAAAGAATGTTCTTTCAAATAGTTCAGTAATTTAGATTAGTAAAACAGGGAAGTTAATTATTATAGTATAAACCTTACATGAGTGTACTAGCCAGGCTCCAAGGTGGAACCCAATAATTCTACCATTATGTAGTCTCCTTCCACATTGAATAGGGCTGACTTCTCTAATCAATAGACTATTGTGGAAATGACACTGTTGGAAGTAATGAAAGCTATTGCAGCTTCTGCCTCACTTTGTTGGATCACTTATTCCGGCGGCAGCTGGCTGCCATTTCCTAAGTGCATGCTAACAACCCTTTAGAGAGGTTTACATGGCAAAGAGCTAAGGCCTCTCGCCAACAGCCAGTGAGGAACAGAGACTTCCTGCCTTCAGCCAAGTGAGTGGGCCATTTTGGAAGTGAATACTCCAGCCTCAGTATAACTTTCAGATAACTGAAGCCCTGGCCAACATTTTCACTGTAACCTTGAGAGAGACCCTGAGCTGGAAAAAAATGAGTCAAGCTTTTCCTGGATTTCCGATGCACAAAAAGTGTGTGAGAACAAAAATGTTTATTGTCGTCAATTTTAGGTAATTGTTGCATAGCAATAGATATCTAATACCATGAGATTCACAGTGCTCTGAGATTCCGTGAGAGAAGAGACCACACCCAATTTGGGGGTTCTAGAAAAAACTTAGAAAACTTAGGAAAAACTTAAGGAGCATGTAGAAAAAATAAATGATCATCCATGAATCCTGCAATCTTGGTTACTGCAATTTAAAATTAAAATGCAAAACTAAAATGTTTACATTAGGATAGATATCACTATATACAACCTTGGAAGGACTGACATGTGAGAACAGACCAAGCTGAAGGACTTGGCAAGAACCTGTGAAGGATGAGAAGGAAAATAATCAAAGTGTACAAAACCATGTTAAAATTTAAATTCAAATTCCAGAATGATAGGATGAAGGAGCACATTAAATCTGAATGGTGATATGGTTTTAAGGAACCAAAACATAATGGCTTTTTTTCTCAATTCTACATTCAGAAACAGTAGAGAAATAAAATATGAGTGATCAATGTATAGTAAACAAAATGTCATTTTTATTGCTGATCAAGCTGAACATAAAGTGTGTCTTTACATCTGAATTTCACAGGGCTTCCTGTTGTTTTCTCCCTGTATTAGACAGACTTTTATAACTAGTCATTGTTTTCCAATAAAAAGAGGAAGCAAGCCGATAACCTGAACAGGCTCAACTACTCCTCCCAAACTGACCAATCAGAGAAGTGGCCATTCCTTCCCTGGGAAGGAGTGAATAAAAGGCTGGGCAAAAGCCAATTTTTTTCCTAACAGGAGTTCCTTCACATAGAGGACAGAAACAATTGGTTACCACTTAATAAATGGGGTAGTTTTGAATAACAAAAGAAAGTGCTAATTCACTTAGCAGAAAGTTTACTTTTGACTTCTAGGATTCTGTCTCAAAAGTGATAATTCACTTTTCAACAGATTCTGCTCAATTTATGATGAAGGTGCTGATTAGGCATAATGTCAGCTTCTGATGTATTATCTCAAGGAATTAGCCACATGGACAGGCATTCAGAAAGAAACCATGAGTACTGGAATCACATAATGAGATTTAAGTGACTGTACTGGCATGTTTAATTTGAAAATGGCTGTAGATGAGGCAGGAAAATAGGGTCTAGAGGCAGGGAACATAAGTCAGATTCACATTTCAGCTATGACAGAAAATATCCTCTCCATAGCGCATGCCCAGTATGTGACTTTGTAACTTTATTTCATCCCTTCACAGGGCATACACCAAGTAACCAATGGAATCCTCTAGAGGGTATTTAAAACCCCTCAAAATTCCATAACAGGGCCCTTGGGCCCCTTTGCTCAGGCCCGCTCCCACACTATGGAGTGTACTTTCATTTGCAATAAATTTCTGCATTTGTCACTTCATTCTTTCCTTGTTTCATCCTTTCCTTGCTTTGTTTGTGCGTTTTGTTTAATTCTTTGTTCAAGACGCCGAGAACCTGGACACCCTCACCAGTAATATAGAGTTTATCGTATAAGGCAGAGAGGATCTCCATTTACTTGGCTCATGAACCTTGAGAAGCGAATGAAACTTTTAAAACTTCTGTTCAGCAAATGTATTCATACAAAAATATCCTGTAGAATGTTCTTTTGAGGGTTAGGGTCTGTAATATACTTTGCAAAGCCTATATATGGAATCAGGTATTATCCCTTTTGGGAGAAAGTTTTAAAGCTTCATACATAAATTGGGTTGGGAGAAAAGGTAAAAGGACTGTCCCATCCTATGGTCTTGAGCTGAGCTGAGAAGAGGACTGCAGTAAAGAACAGTCACTGGCAACAATGGCCCAAGATCATTATGCTCAAAGGCATTTCCCACTGTGTAAGAAGGCAGCATTTAAAAGGGCGGCACACTCTTGTGAAAGAACATGGAATCTCCTCAAATCACTACCCCAAAGGGAAAGTTAAGTTCGGGAACTGAGTCAATACTACTGCCTTCCTTTTGTTTCTAAACTGATAGCTGTAATTCCACAACGCTGTATCACAGCCTCGTTTCCTCTACTCCCTCTTTTCACATGTTTACTTTATCTTATGTAAACTGTAGATTTACTGAGCATGAGAGAATGCATAATTGACTTTTCCCTCTACTTCCTCTTGTCATATGTAAAATGTAGATTTACTGAGGCTAATCAGAGCCTCACAAGAATGGAAGCATCTGCCTCACTGCCTGCCCTTTCTGCATTTTTCCCCCTCCTGCATGCTCTTTCCCCTTGAAAACACCCTTTGGAAAAAGCACAGGTCACAGGTGCTCCTGTGACTTGGATTTTTTTCCCCGCAAGTATCTTCAACTTTGGCCAAATATACCTCTGTTGATTGAGAAATGCCTCAGTCACATTTTGATTAACACTGTATCCCTTTTTTGTGTTTCCCACACCTGAAATGGAGCTCATTTTCAACTATGTCCTCTGGAGATGACCAAATAAGAGCTAAAAAAGAAAAGCATAAACCTTGAGATGCCGCGATTGGCTCAGTTCTGTGGCATTTCTTCACAACAAATTAGAAAGAAAATAAAATGTTAGACTTTTTACCTTAATCTTTGGGATTTTTGTCAAGAAGGGCAATCATATCTGACAAATTGAATCTGGCATTGCTATTCTCAACTTTAGCCTGAACCTGTTGTTACAGTGCATAGAGCTGTACTGGGGCATGAACAGGAACGGGGCAGAAGAGGGCCCCCACATCCCACCAGGAAAGTCAGGTGACCATAGGTGATGGTCAGGCATTTGTCACACTGCCTCTCTAAAATAATAATTGGTCACAGCCAGCACCAGGGAAAGGCAGTTTCTCTATAGATCAGAAATATCTGAAACTGGTGATTGGCATCTTCCTGATAAGATCTCAGGTGTTGGGTGAGTTTGCTCAAGCATGCGCTTTAAGAGGTCAAAAGGTGGCATTTAACTGGTACATGACCTTCTAGGGGCATTCCACTGAAAGAAGGATGCCAGGTGCTGGAAGCAGGCCAGCATATAATACCCTAAGGCCAAGGTCAAATGGGGCACTTGACCTCCAAGATGCCTGCTTGGCCTTCTTCCAAGTGTACTTCACTTTTCATTCCTGCTCTAAAGCTTTTTAATAAACTTCCACCCCACTCTAAAACTTGCCTAGCTTTCTTCTTCTGCTTTATGCCCCTCAGTCAAAGTCTTTCTTCTAAGGAGGCAAGAATTGAGATAGCTGCAGTCCCGTTAGGATAGAAATCCATATATCATGGATACAGTAATTCTAAAACTATTCATTTAATGCATATATTCTAAGTGAATCTCACTGTTCCTGGCCTTTGACAAATATCTTATTCACACAGAACTTTAATTTCTTTGTAGAAAGTCGCTTGAGGCAACGCATAATTGACTTTTGCCTCTACATCCTCATTTCACATGTAAAACCTAGATTTACTTAGGCTAATCAGAGCCTCACAAGAATGTCAGCATCTGCCTCACTGCCTGCCCTCCCTGCCATTTTTCCCCTCCTGCTTGCTCTAGCAGCTTTGTAGAAAGCTACTTTCTGCAAAGAAATTAAGTGGAAAGTCACGGCCTTGGAGTTAAACAATCTGGCATGTAATTTATATCAACATAATCTCAGGGAAATCATTTTATCTCTCCGAAAACATAATAAAATGTGGATCCTAATGTCAGAGGCATTTGAACCAGAGTGACTCCATCTTGAATAGGGGCTGGGTAAAAAGAGGCTAAGACTTGCTGGACTGCATTCCCAGAAGGTCAGGCATTTTAGTCAGAGGATGTTTACAGTTAAGAAAACAAGTTAATAATGTTTATGGAAGAGATCCAGGACTTAGCAGGTCCAGAAAATATCCTGATGTCACGATATCTTAAGAACAAAAGTATTCTTAGTTTAAGAGTAAGTTTCACTTTAAAGATAATAATATAAATTATTGTGGAAGACAGTAGTTATACAAAGATTAACAATCCTTTGTCCCAAGCCCTTGTAGTAGCGCACATCTCCCCAAGGATTGTTTTTTTTTTTGCGTTATTATCTTATATATAAACAAGCATTATACCTAAAATGGACGCATTCCTCCTCTTGCTTTTGGGCCCTACTCTCTATGGAGTAGGCATTTTTTTGTTTCTTCATTTCTGTAATAAAATTGCTTTCACTTTACTCTGTGGACTTGCCTTAAATTCTTTCTTGTGTGACATCCAAGAACCCTCTCTTGGGGTCTGGTTCGGGACCCCTTTCTGGTAACAATACCTCCTTCTTAGTGTGTGATAGAGATTTTTAAAAAAGAATGTACCAGAATATTAAAATGGGATGCTTTCTATCTCAGTTTTTGGCTGTGGCTTTAAAAGGCTGAGTAAAAAAGAGACAGAAAGAGAGAAAGTATGTGGGAAGTATTTCGTTTTGCATTCCAAAGTGAGGTGCTAGACTTATGTAGTACTTCCAAAGGAGGTTGCTACAAACTTAGTTTTTTCCAACTTCAATCCAATAAAAGGATTCATATTGAATAGCTCAGGAAGGGAGAATTTCTTGGGAGCAAGTTATTGAAAAACAATGGCATTTTCCTTCCTCCTTCATATGGGGAAAGGGCTTTGAGAAAAACACTTCGAGTTTAAAATATGTCCATTGAAGCATGGTGAACCTAATAAAATAGTGTCTATGAAATCTAAAGGGCAAGAAGCTGTGAGAATTGGCTTGATACCAGACTGAAGAGATGACTGCACCAAGAACTGCTTCACTTTCAGTAATGAGAGTCAAGGATGTGGGTTTTCTGTGGGCAGATGTAGAGCATGTGGAGAGAGTCAGCCTGGGTCAATTATAAAAGGGACCTTGCCCCAAGGGCTTTCTGTCAGGGCTGATGGGGGAAGCAAACTCATCAGGATGCTGATGGTGGTGTCAAATGCAGAAGATGAGAGAGTAGGGTGAGGATGAGGGGCATAGCAGATCTGCCAGAAGAGGAGTATTATTGGAGGTAAGGACGCCTATGTTACTATTCGCACTGGGGGTTATGTGACCCCCAGAAACATTCCAAGATGAGTCAGCTTTGAGCATTCACCAAAGCCATGAGGGCACAAAGACAGGTCATGATATTATGTCAAGTAAGACTTTGTTTTACTTCTCTGCATGCATCTCCATCCCCAGTTCTGGAGGAGACAAAAGGCAGCCTACTGTGATAGGGGAGATTGTGAATATAAACTGGCCACAAGCTCCTTCCCACTGAAGCCTTCCAGGATGAATGGGGTCCAAGCTAGGGAAAAGAGAAGCTTTATTAGTATTCATGGTTTGGGGTCACATATAAGAATGGTTATTTGAATTACTGTTATATGGTTATTTTTCTAGTACAAGTAACCATAGGGATTCTTATTATTTTGATGTGGCCAGTAGAGCCATTAATACCTGCCTTTGGGTTTACTCAAGGGGTAGGGAACAACAACTACCACTGAGTGGGTTGGAATGCATGGGGATGGGAGGAAAAGCTGTTTTTTCTGATTATGACTTATGGAGTTTTTCTCTTTCAATTAGGTGGTATAATAACAATATTCTGGAGCAAAGTGTTTCTTGACCTAAATCTACAGAATGTGTATAATTTTGCTGGCTATCTTCCCTCTGCTCTCAGATGTATGCTGCCTTTTCTCACCCTACTTTCAGTCCTAGGAGGCTGATCTTTTTGGAACATATAAATGTTCCTGTGCCCTCTGGCTTTGGTGTGGATCAAGCAATAGATAATTTGGGGAAGACAGAATAGAGGAAGAGGAGGAGAGAGGTCAGGATAATTTTCTCCTGGCCACTCCTTGCAAGACCTCTTCCCGGGAGTATGCTCCTGAAGAAAAGTCACTACTTTTCTTTTCTTTTTGTGCTTTGCTTTTTTTTTTTTTTTTTTCAGATGGTGTCCCGTTCTGTTGCCCAGGCTGGAGTGCAATGGCGTGATCTTGGCTCACTGCAACCTCTGCCTCCCGGGTTCAAGCGATTCTCCTGCCTCAGCTTCCCAAGGAGCTGGGATTACAGGCGCGTGCCACCACACCCAGCTAATTTTTATATTTTTAGTAGAGACGGGGTTTCGCTTTGCTGGCCAGGCTGGTGACAAACTCCTACCCTCAGGCGATCCACCTGCCTCGGCCTCCCAAAGTGCTGAGATTACAGGCATGAGCCACTGCACCCGGCCAAGTCACTACTTTTCTCAAGGCATCTGAAACTCTGTGACTCTCTGACTTTTGGAAACCTCTTCCTTTCTTGTCTTTTCAGGCCACCGTGGGCTGCTGTGCCATCCATTATAATCTACCTGTACCCAGAGTTTTGTAAATAGTCTTCCTTTGAAAAAACCCTCCTCAAATTTTCCTATTTCAAAGGTGACACCTATTTCTTGTTGGAACCCTAACCCAATAGCATTTCTTGCTTTACTGACCTAAAATATTAAATGGGAGAATTAAAGCAATAAGAGTTGTACAAATATTTAATAGTAATTGAATTCAAATATAGAGCACTATTATTGTTATTATTTGCAAGACATTTTTAGTGTTGTGTGAAGGAGTGAGAGAAACCATTATTTAGAAAAATTCTAGGCCAATCATCAATTTTTTTTTTTTTGAGATGGAGTTTCGCTCTTGTGACCCATGCTGGAGTGTAATGGTGTGATCTCAGCTAACTGCAACCTCCGCCTCCTGGGCTCAAGTGATTCTCCTGCCTCAGCCCCCAAGTAGCTAGGATCACAGGCATGCGCCGCCACACCCAGCAAATTTTGTATTTTTAGTAGAGATGGTGTTTCACCATGTTGGTCATGCTGGTCTCAAACTCCCAACCTCAGATGATCTGCCTGCCTCGGCCTCCCAAAGTGCTGGGATTAAGGGCATGAGCCACAGTGCCTGGCCGTCAATATCTTCTAATGTTAAAGAGTCAGTCAGATAGTAGATACTATTCTTCCAGAAAAAAGTCAGGGCGTGGTAGCTCATGCCTGTAATCCTAGCACTTTGGAAGGTTGAGGCAGGCAGATCACTTGAGATCAGGAGTCCCAGCTACTTGGTAGGCTGAGGCAGGAGAATCGCTAGAACCCGGGATGTGGAGGTTGCAGTGAGCTGAGATTTTGCCACTGCACTCCAGCTTGGGTGACAGAGCAAGACTCTGTCTCAAAAAACGAAAAAAAGAAAACAGAAATAAAATGGTAACTTCAGACTTTAAACAAGTGAATGGAAATGAGAAAAATATTTTGGGCTTCAAAGTATAGTTGAGTTAGTGTTGCCCGGAGAATTGAAGTAATTTGCACATGAATCAGAAAATGAAGCTAGTGTCCTATTCAGGTAAAAATGTGTTAAGCAATACAAAATAGGAAACAACAGGTGGTTCTTTATTTCAAGTTAATATGACCTGATATAGGGTTTTCCCTGTTTAGCTTTTTATATTTGTTTCTTTTCATTTTTGTTTTCCCTAGCTTTCATGAATTTTTTTGTTTCCATCTCCTGGTGGACCTTTTTGAAAGTAGAGTTAATTTCCTTTTTCTTTTCTGATATTTTATAGTAATATAGAATTAAATAATATGTTTTGTACCCTGGTGACTCAGAGTTTTAAAATCTGGGATTATGGAGCAATATAATTCAGGGGCCTATACGTGTAGATGGGAAAGGGTTACATCTTTAGTTCCATTAACCTGTAAATGAAAGATAGCATTTATGACCGAACGCAGTGGCTCACACCAGTAATCCCAGCACTCTGAAAGGCAGAGGTGGGCAGATCACTTGAGGCCAGGAGCTCGAGACCAGGCTGGCCAACATGGAGAAACACAGTCCCTACTAAAAATACAAAAATTAGCCAGGTGTGGTGGCAGGCACCTATAATCCCATGCCTATAATCCCAGCTACTTGGGAGGCTGAGGCAGGAGAATCACTTGAAACTGGGAGGTGGAGGGAGCAGTGAGCCGAGATCTCACCATTGCACTCCAGCCTGGGCAACAAGAGCAAAACTGCGTCTCAAAAAAAAAAAAAAATGATTTAGTCACTGCCCTTCAGCCTAGGCAACAGAGTGAGACTCCATCTCAAAAAATAAAAATAAAAATAAACATAATTTTATATATATATATATAGCATTTACTTTATGAATATAGAAAAAAATAATAGTAATAGTTGTGTCTGAACATTGTTACTCATATAAATCACAAATACTTTCAAAGCACATTTTAATTATCACAGATGCTTTGAAATGGTTATGTTCTGCACTAGTTACAACAATTTTTTTTTTTTTTTTTTTTTTTTTTTTTTAGACAGAGTCTCCCTCTGTCACCCAGGCTGGAGTGCTGTGGCACAATCTTGGCTCACTGAAACCTCCGCCTCCCACGTGTTCAAGCGATTCTCATGCCTCAGCCTCCCGAGTAGCTGGGATTACAGTTGAGTGCCACCACGCCTGGCTGATTTTTGTATTTTCAGTAGAGACGGGATTTCACCACGTTGGCCAGGCTGGTCACGAACTCCTAACCTCAGGTGCTCTGCCTGCCTCGGCCTCCCCAAGTGCTGGAATTACAGGCATGAGCCACCGCACCCAGCCACAGCTATTGTTTGCAGACATATCTTTACATCTTATTTTAGGTATTAATAAATATAATATTTAAAATATTTTATGTATATGTTTTATTGCAAATTAATTAAAAAATTGTTTTTGATAATTCTGTTTCTAAACAGTGGCTAACCTTTGAACTCATAAATTCTATCACTCTAAAAACAATACTCTGAGAAGGGGTTCATAGGTTTCCCCAAATTGCCATAGTGACATATGACACAAAGTTTATGAATCCCTGAATTAAGTGATGTATGTGATCTTTAAGCACAGAGTATGGAAAATGGATCTCAGATGTATTACCTTCTCTTAGTAAGTATGGGAAGATAGAGAATGTGTGCCTGATAAGGGGAAAAACATGAGGGCATATACATGAAAATCGCAGACATTTATAAGAAACTCATGAAGTTTTTGTGCACACTCATGCGTATAACACTAACAAATAATTCCTGGTCTTGTGAAAGATCTAACAACACATAAGGAAGCAGTAAAATTCTTGTCTCATAGAATTTGAAAAAATAGCAGTAAATAACCCTCAGTACAGCTCTCCTAAGCAAAATTATTATAATTTTTATAAAATTTTATTTTTATGAAAAGTTTGCAAAATTGCAAGCTATACATTCTTGTTACTAAATACGTCACATTTTAGTCTTGTGGTTTATATATATGTGATATATATATATATGTGTGATTTTTTTAATGACGCTGAAGCCTTGGTAACAGATGACAGAAAATTTTAACACTGTATTATGTTTGAAGTATCATTACACCTCAAAATAAGTCTGAAATTGTTTTTAACTAAAACTCAGAAATGTCTATAGAAATATTTTATGCAATAACTATTATTTGTCTTTCATTGTTTTCTACTTCTGGAATATACAAAACAAGTTTCAGATTTGCTTTCAGAACAAAAAGAGGAATTCCTGTATTTAAAAAAATGCTGCCAAAAAATCTCAGAGGAAGTGTCCTTGGAATTTAACTTGAATGCATAAATTATCAACTATAAAAAATAAAAATATAGAAGACTAAAGAGTATGCATTCGGAGGGATTCTCAACTTCCGAAGCCCGTAGATGAGCTTCTGTGCAAATGCCTCATGCTCCTTAACACTGCCAAACTTCTCGAAATAGTTGGAGGTGAAGGTAAAGGAGAGAAAAAAGGAAAAGAAATAGTTCATTTTTAATTTCCTAGGGTCATCAATTATTTTACTAAATTCTTTTCTTGCTTTATACAGCATTGGATGAAACCTTTGCAATCTAGCTCCAGGGATGTTGATTAACGTTATATGGGTTCTGCACTGCACGTTCCAGAGGGCAGCAATATGAATGGTTGCAGAATGCAACATTCCTTTGTGACCCCAACTCTCCTTCCCAATTTCATTTCTTGTCCCATTTCTTATTCTTATCACCTGATAGTGAGTTCTCATGCTACTTAGCCCTTTTAAGAATGTGTCTTTTTTTTTTTTTTTTTTTTTTTTTGAGACGGAGTCTTGCTCTGGCACCAGACTGGAGTGCAGTGGCCCGATCTCAGCTCACTGCAACCTCCACCTCCCACGTTCAAGCGATTTCCCTGCCTCAGCCTCCTGAGTAGCTGGGGCTACAGGCGCCCACCACCATGCCCAGCTAATTTTTTGTATTTTAGTAGAGACAGGGTTGCATCATGTTGACCAGAATGGTCTCGATCTCCTGACCTGGTGATCTGCCCGCCTCTGCCTACCAAAGTGTTGGGATTACAGGTGTGAGCCACCGTGCCCAGCCAAGAATGTGCCCTTAATGTTTAAGCCCCTAAGCCATCTCCCACATGATTTTCTCATAGCAGAATAATCCCACTTAACCTGTCAGAAAGGACACTAATTTTGTGTGTCAAAATGTGTTATAATTACTGAATTTGAAAATGTTTTCACTATTTCTTGAAAAGTATTGAAAAAATATCCTAAGTTATTTATTTATTTATTTATTTATTTATTTATTTATTGAGACTGAGTCCTCACTCTGTTGCCCAGGCTGGAGTGCAGTGCTGCGATCTTGGCTCACTGCAACTTCTGCCTCCTGGGCTGAAGTGATTCTTGTGCCTCAGCCTGCCGAGTAGCTGGGATTACAGGCGCCCGCCACCATGCCCAGCTAATTTTTTGTATTTTTTGTAGAGACGGGGTTTCACCATATTGGGCAGGCTGGTCTCGAACTCCTGACCTCAAGCGATCCACCCGCCTTGACCTCTCGAAGTTCTGGGATTACAACTGTGAACCACTGCACCCGGCCCATAAGTTATTTAAATGGTAATTATTTCTCTTTTATTTGTTCCCATAAAGTTCTTATTAAACTATACATTAATTTGTTTCATTGCATTCTTCGCATGTTTTTGACATATTGAGTCATTTTCTTGGCCTTATTATGTGATTAATTTATTTACTCTTTTACTAGGTCTAATCTGCTGTTTATCTGATTGCTTAGTTTTTTAAGGAATTTATTATAAAATAGTTCAGACATATGACAAAATAGAATAGTATAACAAACTCCCATGTGCACATCATTCTAAGTCAATAATTATCAATTTATTGTAAACCTTACTTCATCCGTTCCACTCCCACTCCTGTATTATTTTTTTAAAAATCATGTTTAAATATTTAACTGAGGTATCCCTCTCATTTTTAAGGTCTGTACCATTTCATATTTTAAAGTAAATAATAGTTACTTAACATCATCAAATAGTTACTCTTCACATTCACAATTGTCTCTTACCTGTATTAATTTTTAAAAGGATTATTGTTTGAATCAGGACACATAAAACATTTTAACTGGTTAATAAATCCCTCTACTTTAGTCTTCAGAATCGCCTTCTCTTTCCATCTCCTTTCTAATCTCTTCAAACGCTGTAATTTATTTATGGAAGAAACTGGATTATTTGTCCTGTAGTTTCCCACAGTCTGGATTTTGCTATTTGCATCCCTGTAGTGTCTCTGAACTCATTTCTGTCTTTCACATTTCCTGAAAATTGGTAGGTGTAGATCTAGAGACAAGACTGTTTTTGGCAATACTGTTTTACAGGTAGTGCTGGGTTCTATTACCAGGAGGCATATAATGACTTGCTGTTTTCTTCTTGTGATGCTAACAACAGTTAATGACAATTGTCTAGATCCATCATTTCATTAGGGTTTGCAAAATAGAAATTTTCTAATTCTATCATTTTTTAGCCATAATAATTGTATAAAGAGAAATTTCTACCTCGTTTACTAATTCCACAATTTCTTGATTGTTTTAGATGGAAAAATTCTATAAAGAGAAAATTCCACCTCCTCTACTGTTAGTGGTGAAGCTCACATAAGAAAGGTAGGTTTAATGTCCTCTTCATTTATATGTTTTCAAAAGCAATGAACTGATAACTAGTATTTTCTAAAGATTTTTCAGTCATAGATTTAAACAGATTTAATGCATTCTACTGGGAAGAAAATGTCAGTAAATTTTGTTGAAGTAGTAAAAATACAGTTGATCTAGCAGGAACATAAAATTATTTTCTAATAAGATAATACTGCACTCCTACCAAATAAACAGGATTTTAGTAATATCTGAGGGATTTTTGATGGTGAGTTAGACTGTATTTGGCGTAGAATTTGGAAATGTAACTTAAATGTAAATATGCTGCAAAATGTTGAATGTATACACAGAAACACTTTTTCTGTCAATGCCAAATGCCCATTGAAAATGAACCTTAAATATTACATTCCTCCTTTGCACAATAATATTTCTTTATAAAACTCATGATTTTGTTCCCCCAGGCAGAGTTGGGGCAGAAAATGTGCAAAGTGAGCTTGAATATCTTGTCCTACCTGATAGCAAGGAAGCTTATTATTTCTAATTTCAGGTCAAAAGAACTCAAGAGCCAATTTGAGGACATTCTGATTAGCTAAAGTATGACAATCTGAGCATCAGTAAGATCATCAATTACAAACCATTT
Organism: Homo sapiens; assembly: GCF_000001405.40. Taxonomy (NCBI): domain Eukaryota; kingdom Metazoa; phylum Chordata; class Mammalia; order Primates; family Hominidae; genus Homo; species Homo sapiens. The sequence goes on along the minus strand of NC_000003.12, from coordinate 191,228,089 downwards.
TGAAAAATCGTATTGCTAGTGATAATCTTGGTATTGCTATTCTGAGATAGTTGAGTTTGCATTGTGAAATAAAGCAAATATGTATTTATTTGATAATCTGATTCTGTCATTCTTGGTGTAAATAAGAAAGGGGATTCGTGGCATGGAAAAAATGAAATAAAGTTATAAGTTGAACGTGTTAAATAAAATTATAACACCTGATATGGCATGATTTCAAAATGTCCACAAAAATTCATATTAGCATATATTTATGTTCCTGAATATCAGTATGCACTCATGACTCAGTCTGTGCACTAAAATTCCTAAAAACAATCACTAATCCAAGCGAAATTAGCAACCCTAATGCCCAGATGGTCGTCTGTCAACACCACTTTTCACTTAAAGGATGCAGTAAGCCTCCTCAGAAAAACAGTCGTTCCCCCAGAACGACAAACTGCCTTTAAGAGTCATTTCTTTGTTATCACAGGTGTCAAAATTTTTCTGTATTTTGTTTATAATTTTATTTTTTAAATAAAAAGTTTATAAAAATGGTTCTAAAATGAATAGCCTTATGCGTGCTTTCGTCTTCTAAACACACTTTTACTAGTATATATTTGGCAGAGATATCTAGAAATAGGAGGAAGGCAGGGCCAAAAAGTAAGTACACATGCACTATGCTGGATATTGCCATATTCCCCTCCATGTGGGTTCCATTTTGCACTCCAATCAGCACCACGTGGGAATGCCTTTTTCTCATAGCCTCAGTAATTATTTTGGTTTTTCAAAAATCCATTTTTTACCAGTCTATCAGGTGAGGAATTGTATATCAGTAAAATCATAGTGCACTTTTTTCTTATAACAAGAATGTTATGCATCTTTTCACATGGCTAAAGGCAATTTGCATTTTTTTCATGAATTGACTACTGTTTTTACACCATTTTTCTACAGTTTGTTCTTTTTCTTCTTTATTTTTCAAGGTTCTTTATTAAATATAGTAACCCTTTGATATAAGTCATAAACATTTTTTCCAGTTTATTCTTTGAGTTTTTACTTTGTTTTATGGTATCTTTTGTCATGATAACTTTAAAATATGTAATTAATTTTTTCCTTATTTTTTCTATTCAAATTTTACGTCTGAATTTAGAAGAGCTTCTCTATTCCTTCTCTATGTAGAACTTCCAACAATGTCTTCTTCTAATACCTATGTGGGGTCATCTATTTCTTCAATCAAATCTCTGATGCATTTAGAATTTATCATAATGTATAGTTTGAGAATGAATTAATTGAATCTTTTTACTCATATCCCAACATCACTTATTCAAACTATATTCTTTTACTTACTAATATGAGATGCTACTTTTTATACATTTTAAAGTTGCATATGAAATGGAGTCTATTTATTGAATTTCTCTTCTGATCTATCTATGGGCAATGCTATTGTAAAAAAAGACTATATAATGTTTTAAATATCTGGTAGGGCTCTTTTTTGCAGAGTTTTTGTGGCTATGCCAGCTTTTATTCTTTCAAATGAACTTTGTAATCAACACTGATGGCACTTTTTATTAGAATTGTGTTAAGTTTGTAATTTAACTTAAGTGGAGCTGATATGTTTGTGCTTTTGCGTCTTTTGACTTAAGAACACAGTATGTGCCTGAACCATTAAATAAGATATTGGCTTTTGGGCTAAAATACAAACACACACATACATGTACATCATGTTTAAAAAGTGTTTCTCAGTTCTTATTCTGTTGCACTTTCTTAGACATTAATAAATATTAGATTTTGTCAAATACCTCTTCTGTCACCTATTGATATAATCATATGACTTTTATCTATTGTTGTATTAATATGAAAGATTACATTAAATAATTACTAATATTAAATCATATTTACTTTCCTGGAATAAACCCCCCTTGGTCAAGATGCATTATATTTTTAAAAGTGTTGTTGGATTCTATTTGCTAACATTTTATCTATGACTTTTGTCTCGATATTCATATATGAGATAAGTCTAATGCTTCCTGTTTTGTAAGTACTGCACACTAACCAATTGCACTACTGAAGCTCCTAAAATTTTCTTATTTATTTATTTGAAATACATTTTATTCTTTTACAAAGTATTTTTAAAAAATATTTTATTTTAGATTCAGGGTATGTACGTGTAGGTTTGCTACATGGGTTTATTGGGCGATGCTGGGGTTTGAGATTTTAGTGAATCCATCACCTATATAGTGAACATAATACTCAGTAGGTAGTTTATCAACTCCTCTCTCTTCCCTTCCACCTTTTGTAGCCTCCAGGGTCTATTGTTTTCCTCTTTATGCCCATGGGTACCCACTGTTTAGCTTCCACTTATAAGTGAGAACATCTAGTATTTGATTTCCTGTTTCTGTATTAATTCAGTTAGAATAATGGCCTCCAGCTGCATGCATGTAGCTGCAAAGAACATAATTTTCTTCTTTTTTATGGCTGTGTAGTATTCCATTGTGTCTATATACCACATTTTCTTTATCCAGTCCACCATTATTGGACACTTAGGTGATTCCATGACTTTACTATTGTGTATAGTGCTGCAATAAACATGATTTCCTTGTTTAAATGTAGTTTTTGGTGATTTGGGAGTCAATATGACACTTGTTTCAGGAAAGGAATTTGGAAATTTCCTTTAAAAAAATATTCTCTGAAAAGATAAAGTACTATTGAAATTATTTGATAGCTTAAGATTTGGTAAAATTCTCCTGTGAAAATATCTGAATCTGGTACTTCTGTTGGCAAATTAAATAAAAACGGTAAATAAAATTAATAATAAATAAACTTTAAAGAAACGGTAATTGGAGTGTATCTATTTGAACCAATGTTTATAAGTTGTATTTTCTAACAATTTATTCATTTTTAAAGGTACTGAATTTGTTTATAGAGAATTGAGCATAGTAGTTTCCTATTTTTCAAGTTCTTCTTTTGTAATGACTATTTCCATGTTGTCATTTCTAATTTTGTAAATTTACTTTCTACTTTTTTCTTAAGTAAGCCTGGCTTGTCTTTTTGTTGATATAATAAAAGCAGCTTTGCATTGATTTATTATATTTTATGTTGTGCTTTATAAACTTACTGATTTCAGCTTTCATCATTGTTAATTTTTACCTTATGCTTTTTTTCTGCTTATGTTGGTTTACTTTGCTGTTCTTTCTACATTTTTTTGCTGTAATATTTGCATTATTTGTATTTTTTTATTACTATCATGCTAGTTTGTATCTAATATTTTCTTTTCTGCCCATCATATTGTATTTTTATTATTATTTTCAATAAAGTGTGTAAGAATACAAAATAAAAATGCAAAAATAAAATTTGGTATTCTTCTTTAACCAAATAGTAAATGACATGGTTTGTATTTTCCAGGTAAGACTGTCTTCTTGTTTTTGATTTTGTTATTAATTTCTAGTTTTACTATATTTCAGTTAGTGATTGTTTTTGTAATATATCTGTTCTTTGGAATATCCTAAGGTTTGTTTGTCACCTAAGATATGGTAAATTTTATAAATGTTCCATATTCACTGGAAAATAAGTTATATTCTCTATTATTGTAGTCCAAAGTTCAAAACAGATTTATAATGTATATTTTATGAGTTATGTTGTGTAGATCTTCTATCAATTTTGAATATATAATCGGTCTTGGATTTTAAACAATTAATTAAGCTCTTCTATTATTAATATGTTTCTTTTTTTTTTTTTTTTCTGAGATGGAGTTTCACTCTTGTTGCCCAGGCTGGAGTGCAATGGTGAGATCTTGGCTCACTGCAACCTCTGCTGCCATTCTCAAGTGATTCTCCTGCCTCAGCCTCCCAAGTAGCTGGGATTACAGGCATGCACCACCATGGTTGGCTAATTTTGTATTCTTAGTAGAGACGGGGTTTTTCCATGTCGGTCAGGCTGGCATCCAACTCCCGACCTCAGGTGATCTGCCCGCCTCAGCATCCCAAAGTGCTGGGATTACAGGCATGAGTCATGGTGCCCGGCCTTATTAATACATTTCTTTCTATTTTCTGGCATTCTTTGTAGTTTCTCTTTGGTAAATGATGTTGCACTGTTTTTCATTTTTAAGTTATTTTTTTTTCTGGTATCGTTTGTTCATTCTTTTACTATTATCCATCCTAAATCTTGTTATTTTTAATTGCATCTCTCAAATACAGAAAAGTATTTTATTTTCCTTTATCAGCAAGTCTGAAAACACTGGCATTTTAATAGGCAAGTTATAGCCATCCACATTTATTGATATAATAGATTTTTAAATCATATTTTAAAACTTACATATGAGTTTATTACATACAGGATTTCTCTGTATTCTATTTTATCGTGCTTTTTTTCATAGAGAAATTTTAGTTTTTATTCTTATGATTATTTTTGTATTAATATTTTTATATAATAATCTTGCACCTCTCTGTTTTCAGTTTTTGTCTATTGTTATTTAGTACAAGATTTATAAAATTCAGTTTGTAATGTTTTCTTTCTTCTTCAGTCCCCAAGCATCTATTTGTTGTAATAATTTTTTATTTTCAGTTAATAGCCGTGAAGCAATCAAATACTCATTCCAAATTTTATGTACTATCACGTTTTACCTGAAAGTTTGATGGTTGTGCTGTATCTGTTTTTTCAAACCGTGTACTATAACACATTCTCTTTCTTGCTACCATCATTTTACTTTGCTTTTAAAGTTAATGCTCACACCTAATTCTAATGGTGATATCTCCCCAGCCATTTGGCTTGCCCAAGGTAACTCATGTATTAGCTTCCTCAGGATATGCTCATGGAAGGAATATTCCCTAAATTTTTGCATATTTATAATGGCTTATTTGTAGCTTTCATACGTGAAAATCTGTTCAGATGGCTATTAAACGCTTGCTAATTTCCCCTTTTTTCTTGCAAGCTGAGCTATATTTGATAGCTAGCTAGATAGATTATATCACCTAGGTAGTTTCTCATTATGGTACTTTCTAAAGAAATTATTATGGTTTATTAGTCCATTCTCACACTGCTATGAAGGACATACCTGAGACTGGGTAATTCATAAAGGAAAGAATTTTAATTTAATTTTAAATTTAAATTAATTTAATTTTAATTCCCCACAGGGCTGGGGAAGCCTCAGGAAACTTACAATCATGGTAGAAGGAGAAGCAAACACATCCTTCTTCACGTGGTGGCAGCAAGAAGTGCAGAGCAAAAGGGAGGGAAAGCCTTTTATAAAATCATCAGATCTCATGAGAACTCACTCACTCTCATGAGAACAGCAGCATGGGGGTAGCCACCCCCATGATTCAATTACCTCCCACTGGTCCTTCCCATAACACGAGGGGATCATGGGAACTAAAATTCAAGACAACATTTGGATGGGGACACAGACAAACCATATAATTCCATCCCTGGCCCCTCCCAAATCTCATATCTTCCCATTTCAAAACATGATCATCCCTTCCCAGCAGTCCCACAAAATCTTAACTCATTCCAGCATTAACCTAAAAGTCCAAGTCCAAAGTTCATTTGAGACAAGGCAGTTCTCTTCTGCCTATGAGCCTGAAAATCAAAAGCAAATTAGTTACTTCCTAGATACAATGTGGGGGGACAGGCATTGGGTAAATACACCTGTTCCAAATAGGAGACATTGGTCAAAATGAAGGGGCTACAGGCCCCATGCAAGTCTGAAATCCAGTGGGGCAGTAAATTCTTAAAGCTCCAAATTAATCTCCTTTGACTTCATGTCTCACATCCAGGTCATCCCCTCTTGGCTGCTTTCACGAGCTGGTGTTGAATGTCTGTGGCTTTTCCAGGTGCACAGCAAAAGATCTACCATTCTGGGGTCTGCAGGATGGTGGCCCTCTTTTCACAACACTACTAGGCAGTGGGGACTCTATGTGGGAGCTCCAACCCAAAATTTCCCTTCTGCACTGCCCTAGTAGTGGTTCTTCATGAGGGCTCTGCCCCTGCAGCAAACATCTGCCTGGGCATCCAGTATTTCCACACATCCTCTAAAATCTAGGTGGAAGTTGGCGAACCTCAATTCTTGCCTTCTGTGCACCCATAGGTAAAACAGCATGTGGAAGCCGCCAAGGCTTGGGGCTTGCACCCTCTGAAACCATGGCCCCAGTTATACTTTGGCCCTTTTTAGCCAAGGCTGGAGTGGCTGGGAAGCAGGTTACCAAGTGCAGGTTCCTGGACCTGGCCCAAGAAACCATTTATCCCTCCTAGGCCTATGGCTCTGTGATGGGAGGGGCTGCTGTGAAGACTTCTGACATGCCCTGGAGATATTTTCCCCATTGGCTTGGTGATTAGCATTTTGCTTCTAGTTATTCATGTACATTTCTGCTGCTGGATTAAATTTCTCCCCAGAAAATGGGTTTTTCTTTTCTACTGCATCATCAGGCTGCAAATTTTTCAAACTTTTATGCCCTGCTTCCTCTTGAACACTTTGCCATTTAGAAATTTCTTCCACTAGATACCCTAAATCATCTCTCTCAAGTTCAAAGTTCCTCAGACCTCTAGGGCAGGGGCAAAATGCTATCAATCTCTTTGCATTGCAAGAGTGACCTTTAATTCATTTCCCAACAAGTTCCTCATCTCCACCTGAGACCACCTCAGCCTGGACTTCATTGACCACATCACTATCAGCATTTTGGCTAAAATCATTCAACAAGTCTCTAGGAAGTTCCAAACTTTCCCATATTATCCTATCTTCTTCTGAGCCCTCCAAACTGTTCCAACCTCTGCCTGTTACCCAGTTCTAAAGTTGCTTCCACATTTTCAGGTGTCTTTATAGCAGCACCCCACTCTCTGTGGTACCTGTTCTTATGTTGGTATGAAGGACATACCTGAGACTGGGAAATTTATAAAGGAAAGCGGTTTAATTGACTCACAGTTCCACAGGGCTGGGGAGACCTTAGGAAACTTACAATCATGGCAGAAGGGGAAATAAACATGTCCTTCTCCACATGGTGGCAGCAAGGAGAAGAGCAGAGCGAAAGGGAGAACGCCTCTTATAAAGCCATCAGATCTCGTGAGAACTCACTGACTATCACAGGAACTTCAGCACGGGGGTAACCACACCCATGATCAATTACCTTCCCCTGGGTCCCTCCTATGATACATGGAGATGATGGGAACTACAATTCAAGATGAGATTTCAATGGGGACACAGCCAAACCATATCATGTGGTGAAGTTTCAATGTAAATTATATAGTATTTACGCAGTGTATATTTAGTATACTATAGTATTTATGCTATAATAAATTTATAAATATTTATGTACAGCATTTATATATTGATTTATAGATTATTTAGTTGACCATGTTGAAATATCCAGGAGCCAAATAAATAACATTTATTAGAAGGCACCATATTTTCTTCTCTAAAAGCTCAACTATTCTTTGGATGCCGATGTTCTTCTTTTTAGATTAGTTTTTAAACATATATTTATTTTTGATATACTTACCCAGCAGTGGTGGTGCTGGAACATACGGTAGCTCAATTTTTAGTTTTCTGAGGAACCTCTAAACTGTTCTCTATAGTTGTTATACTAATTTACATTCCCACTAACAGTGTACTAGCATTCTCTTTTCTCTTCATCATTTCTTGTATTACAATTTGTTATAAATAATACTATGTTATCAATTAGTATGTGATTTTTTTTGAGGTATGTAAACTATATTTTTCTCCTCTTTTTCACCAGAACCTAACATAGTACCCAGAACATAGTGGAACTAATTTCTATTTCTCTAGTTAAAGTAGGGTCTAAATTTCAAAATATAGGAGAGGATTATTTTTCACATACATGTAGTATAAGGTATGGTCTTCAAATGATGATTTTATTTTCTAGTGTAGCTTTGAGAATCTTTCAGAACAGAGGTATAGCAAATTGCGACAAGTATCCTGATAATCATTTAGCATAAAAAACCAGGGAACCAGGAACAAGAATGAAAAGTCCCAGGTCTCTAAGAATTAAGAAAGATGGTGGCAAAGGATGTGAAAATGAGTACAAGAAGAAATGAGGTTCCAGATTATGAAATTCCCTGTAGCTCTTGCAAAGGAGTTTGACTTTTGTACTGTAAGCAATGGATAACATTTCACACAGACTTTTGTTTTAGATGATTAGCCTGCTAGCCGAGTACAGGATACGTTGGTGATAAAGGGGTGATGATGGTGGTGGAGGTAGAGATGAGGAAAGAGTGGAGAAAGAATAAATGTTAAAAAAATTTAATAATTTAGGCCAGAATTAGAAAAGCCTTAATGAAGAGTGATATTCTGGAGATATTTAATATGTAAAGCAAACAGTATTTAGAGAATTTAGTGAGAAATGTTCAGGATGAGCTAAAGGAATCTTGGTCAATTTCCCAGATTCCTGTCTATGGTACTTGTGTGGTCTTTTGTGCCACTTCTAATATGAAATGTACAGTATGAAGAACAGATATTGAAGGGGTAGAAAATGAACTAAGTTTGGAATGATTACTTTAAATTACTGACATAAAGGGATATTTCACTACTCTAAATCCGTAATTAGCATTCTATGAAGCACTTACATTTGATTATCTCATTTGAATTTTATGGAAGCAAGTAATTATTCTCACTTTATGCATAAATAAGCTGAGGATCAGAGAGGATAAGATACTTTACAAGTCACATAGGAAGAAACAGAAATTTGACAGAAACACATGCGTTCTGACTCCACGTTCTGAGAACTTGTCACTCAGATTCATTCACACAATGTGGAACGGTTTGCATCACAGGTAAAAACCAAAGGGTATTCCTGTTACCTCTAGTAAATGGAAAACTCAGTTCACCAGAACATTTATGCCACTGAGCATACATTTTGCGCCACCTCCCAAATGCAGTAATGTCTTATAATAACTGCTTTATATCTGCATAAGACAGAATCTTTCTTAGGAAACATGACAAAAATGCTAAGGCACACTGCGGCAGTCATTTTGCTCCCTAAACAGTTACTTAGAAAACTGTATTATTAAACCTACAGATTAGCTAACATACCGTCAAATCTGTTTATATATACAAGGTTTTCACTGTATTTTTCATGTGGAATTCTCTCAGATTTAGAATCCAGAAGGAAATAATTAGAAAATAAAAACTTTCTTTTTCTGAGTTCACTTACCTCTGTTTACCTTTGTGATCTACAGAGCCAGCTGAGAGTCTGTCAAGGGGAGACCCAAAACCAGAGAAACTCCTTTTCTTCTTTGTCTCAATCACATCATTTTCTAGGGACACCAATTCATCAAGAAGCAAGAGTTTTGCTGTCAGGTCAGTGGCTGATTTCTCTTCCCTGACTGTGGGTGTTGACTGCACATCTATGACTCCAGAATCAAAGGCCTATAAGGCAGAGAAAGGCGATTCCGTTAATTTAGACAAAGAGACTCCAAGTATGTACATATGCATCTGGCTTTTGCTACTGTTAGCTGACATACTCATCATGTAACATCTTACAATTTTTTTGAGACAAAGTTTTGTGCTTGTTGTCAAGGTTGGGGTGCAATGGCGTGATCTCGGCTCACTGCAATGTCCACTTCCCAGGTTCAAGCAATTCTCCTGCTTCGGCTTCCCAAGTAGCTGGGATTACAGGCGCCTGCCATCATGCCTGGCCAATTTTTTGTATTTTTAGTAGAGATGGGGTTTCACCATGTTGGCCAGGCTGGTCTCGAACTCCTGACCTCAGGTGATCCACCCACCTTGGCCTCCCAAAGTGCTGTGATTGCAGGTGTGAGCCACAACACCTGGCCTTAGAATTTCTTATGAAGTTATTTTCCATAGAGAGTGCTAGATCTTTGGGGACTGAAACACATAGTAGAGGGGTATAACGAAGGGAAAAAATAAAACAAGAAAAGAAAAGAAAAACTCCTGGAATGCTTTAAAATTTAGCATATTTACGGATCATTTTTTCAGATTCTGTTTCAGCAACAACTTCATCCTTCCTTATCATTCCCATAGTGCTTTATCTATATACCTCTTTCATCACTGCACTTATTATTTTTTGCCTTGTGCCAGGTTGGTTACTGTATATTTGTACTTGTTATTAGTCAATGACTTTGTCTAATTAGTCTTTCATTTACTTTATTTAATGCTTCATCTCGTATTTTGCTCATAGTATTCAACAAATTTCTGATGAATATTTATTAAATGAATTCCCAACCAAATCTCATTCTATTTTTTTTTTTACCATTCATTCATCATTTACTAACTCAAGCCATTACTAATCCAGTGTGTGCTAGGTTCTGCATTGGACATGAAGGATACAAAAATAAAAATTTAGTCTCTGTTTCTAAGCATCTCACCATCTCTATCCCTGTGATTTATTAACAAATACTAGCATCTGCAATGTGTCTGAGATATCCCAATAACTTTGTGCCCCATGTAAAATTTCTTGTTTGGTTCTTACACATATTGCCACTTTGTACTTCATCCAAATCATAAATGTATAGCTGTCCAGTTTGTGAAGTCTGTCTTTTCCTCTCTGAGGCCCAATGGCAGCATTTCTTAAATGCTCCTATTAACAATCTTGAGTCATTCTGTAGTCCCACAAATACTGCTTTTTTTTCTAAGATCGTGAGAATATTCCCATGAGGGAAAAATTTTTTAGCTCTGGGGAATCTCTTCCCTTCCCACTTTTAGTCATTCTTCCATGTGCCAGACTGTTGGTCTTGGTTTTGAGTTTTCTTCACTTTCTGTTTTTCTTCTAAGATTATTCCTTCTATTGTCTTTTGATATGGTTTGGCTGTGTTCCCATCCAAAATATCATCTTGAATTGTAATCCTCATACTCCCCAAATGTCAAAGGAGAGATCAGGTGGAGGTAACTGAATTATGGGGGCAGTTTCTCTCCTGTGGTTCTTGGGATAGTGAGTGAGTTCTCATGAGAGCTGCTGGTTTCATGTGTTTGGCAGTTCCTCCTGCATTCATTCTTCCTGCTGCCTTGTGAAGAAGGTGCCTTGCTTCCCCTTTGCCTTCCACCATGATTGTAAGTTTAACGAGGACTCCCCAGCCATGCAGAACTGTAAGTCAATTAAACCTCTTTCCTTTATAAATAACACACTGTTGGGCAGTTCTTTATAGCAGTATGAAAATGGACTAATACAGTAAATTGTTACCAAAGAGAGTGGGGTGTTGCTATAAAGATACCCAAAAATGTGGAAGCAACTTTGGAAATGGGAAATAGGCAGAGGTTGGAACAGTTGGGAGGGCTCAGAAGAAGACAGGAGGACGTGGGAAAGTTTGAAACTTCCTAGACACTTGTTGAATATTTTTTACCAAAATGCTGATAGTTTTATGGACAATGAAGTCCAGGCTGAGGTGATCTCAGATGCAGATGAGGAAATTGTTGGGAACTGGAGCAAAGGTGACTGTTGCTATGCTTTATCAAAGAGCCTGGCAGCATTTTGCCCTGGCCCTAGAGATCTGTGGAACTTTGAACTTGAGAGAGATGGTTTAGGGTATCTGGCAGAAGAAATTTCTAAGCAGCAAAGCATTCAAAATATGAGCTGGTGCTCTTAAAAGCATTCAGTTTTATGTATCACAAGGAGATGGCTTGAAATTAGAAGTTATGTTTAAAAGGGAAGCAGAGCAAAAAGTTTGGAAAATTTGCAGCCTGATGATGCAATAGAAATGAAAAACCCATTTTCTGGGGAGAAATTTAATCCAGCAGCAGAAATTTGCATGAGTAACTAGGAGCCAAATGCTAATTGCTAAGACAATGGGGAAAATGTCTCCATGGCATGTCAGATGTCTTCATGGCAGCCCCTCCCATCACAGGCCCAGCGGCCTAGGAGGGAAAAATGGTTTAATAGGCCAGGCCCTGGGCCTTGCTGCTTTATGCAGTCTTGGGACTTGGTGCCTTGCATCCCATCTGTGGCTAAGGGGGCCAACATACAGATAGGGCATTCTTTCAGAGGGTTTAAGCCCCAAGCCTTGGTGGTTTACACTGGTTTACACATGTTTGGGGGCCTGCTGGTACATTGAAGTAAATAATTGAGTTTGGGGGACCTCTGCCTTGATTTCAGAGGATGTATGGAAATACCTGGATGTACAGGCAGAAATTTACTAAAGGGGTGGAGCCCTCATGGAGGACCTCTGCTAGGACAGTGCAGAAGAGAAATGTGGGGTCGGAGCCCTGACACAGAATCCCCACTGTGGTACTGCCCAGTAGAGCTGTGAGAAGTGGGCCACAGTACTCCAGGCCCCAAATTGGATAGCTCCACCGACAGCTTGCACTGTGCATCTAGAAAAGCCACAGACACTCAATGCCAGCCCATGAAAGCTGCTGAGAGTGGGGCTGTACCCTGCAAAGCCTCAGGGGCAGAGCTGCTCAAGACCATGGGAACCTACCTCTTGCATCAGCATGACCTGGATGTGAGACATGGAGTCAAAGGAAATGGTTTTGGAATGATCTCCAAAGGTTTAATAACTGCCCTGTAGGATTTCTGATTTGCATGGGGTCTGTGGCCCCTTTGTTTTGGGCAATTTCTCCCATTTGGAGTGGGTTTATTTGCCCAATGTCTGTACCCCCATTGAATCTAGGAAGTAACAAACTTGCTATTGATTTTACAGGCTCATAGGTGGAAGGGACTTGCCTTGTCTCAGATGAAACTTTGGACTTGACTTTTTGGTTAATGATGGAATAAGTTAAGACTTTGGAGGACTGTTGGGAAGGCATGATTGTGTTTTGAAATGTGAGGACCTGAGATTTGGGAGGGGCAAGTGGCAAAATGATATGGTTTGGCTGTGACCCTACCAAAAATCTCATCTTGAATTGTAATCCCCATAATCCCCACATGTCAAAGGAGAGACCAGGTGGAGGTGATTGAATCATGGGGATAATTTCTCCCATGCTGTTCTCATGATAGTGAGTTCTCACAAGATCTGGTGGTTTTATAAATGTTTGGTAATTCAGTCTCCTTCCCGCCACCTTGTGAAGAATATGCCTTTCTTCACCTTCACCTTCTGCCATGATTGTAAGTTTCCTGAGGCATCCCCAGCCATGCAGAACTATAAGTCAATTAAATCTCTTTCCTTTATAAATTACCTAGTCTTGGGCAGTTTTTTGTTGTGTTGTTTTGAGACAAAGTCTCACTCTGTTGCCCAGACTAGAGTCCAGTGATTTGATCTCGGCTCACTGCAACCTCTGCCTCCCAGGATCAAGTGATTCTCCTGCCTCAGCCTCCTGAGTAGCTGGGATTATGGGTGGTCACCATCACACCCAGCTAATTTTGCATTTTTGGTAGAGATGGAGTTTCACCATGTTGGACAGGTTTGTTTTGAACTCCTGACCTCAAGTGATCCACCTACCTTGGCCTCCCAATGTGCTGGGATTACACCACACCTGACCAAGTAGTTCTTTATAGCAGTATGAAAATGGACTAATACATTTTTCTGTTCTCTTCATTTTCTCCAGTAGAACAAAAGAGTAGCATTTTCAAGCCCTTTAATCATTGACTCAAGCAAGTCTCTTTTAAAATACTTGTAGCCTGGTGTACAAACTGAAAGCTATTGAGCCTCCTGTTTCCTTATACAGTCATATGTGCCCTAAGTCTCGTCAGTTCTTGCAGGACAATCTCTCTTCTGGCTGCTATTTTTGATTCCCATCAGTGGTGGTTTTTTGTTGCTGTTTTTTTTTTTTTTTTTTTTTTTTTTGAGATGGAGTCTCACTCTGTTAACAGGCTGGTGCGATCTTGGCTCACTGCAACCTCTGCCTCCCAGGTTCAAGTGATTCTCCTGCCTCAGCCTCCCAAGCAGCAGGGACTACAGGCGCCCACCACTACCCCCAGCTAATTTTTGGATTTTTAGTAGAGAGAGGGTTTCACCATGTTGGCCAGACTCTTCTCCAACTCTTGACCTCTGGTCATCCAAGTGGTGACTTTAAATGAAGTCCTCTTTACTGCTTAGTGTACTCCCTTAATCACCTTACAATTTGCTTTGATACCTCCAATCTCTCTCTTCTCTATTTCACCCATAATACTGTTATAAAGTTAGTTATCCCCAATACCACTTTTGTCATATAAAAAGAAAATTACAAATCTTTCACAGTTCTTTATTACTTATAGCACAAATCCCACAATATGGTTTCAAACTATTCCTCAGATCTTAGCTTCTGTCACTTCCTTATATAAGCCTGATAACATAGAAACTGGAGATGGGAAGGATGCAAATGACCAGAAAGAAACCCTACAGGAGATAAACCTTCAAAGGGTAAAGAATTTTTTATCTTTCCAAGCATCCTCCAAAAATATGCTTTTATTCTTCCAACTAACACACACTACACAATCGTTTTTTTAAGAAACATCCTTAATCTTAAAAAAAAAAACTTTTAGAAAACTTGTCCTTTAATATAATGCTTTTCAGACTCTCACTTTATGCTATTTAAGAAACACAAAGAACATGTTTCTAATAAGATCAAATAAACTAATTTTTCTCCTTGTGATGCCCTCACATTTCTTTTTCTTTGTACTTTAGTCATAGCACCAAGAAAATATTTGTACTGTAATTAAAAGTTTGAACAAAACTACTCAAATTTTGGCATGCAAACAACTTCAAATTTTACATAAAAGCCCTTCATTCTGACATAACTGATTCAATTAAATATAGCTATAATAATGGATTTTCTCTTAAAGCTTTTTTTGTTCAAGGAATTCAAGTCTTTGTTCTTAAGTTTCTTTCCACGTTTAGATAACTGGCTTGCTCCGACTCCTCTGTGAGGAGAAGATCGTGATTACTGCTCTTTTCATTTCAGGTTCACAACCTTGAATGGCATGTTGGCAATAAAAAGAAGACAATAAAAAACTACCGATTTTCTTGATTTTGTGTTATTTCTCTATTTTATTTTGTGTACATTTTCTTATTGGTAGCTGCACCTCCTTCTTACTCTAGTAGAAATGAAATGTTTACAAAAGAGTCAAAAAATAGGCCGGGCGTGGTGGCTCACGCCTGTAATCCCAGCACTTTGGAAGGTTGAGGCGGGCGGATCTCGAGGTCAGGAGTTCAAGACCAGCCTGGCCAATATGGTGAAACCCTGTCTCTACTAAAAATACAAAAATTAGCTGGGCGTGGTGGCACATGCCTATAATCCCAGCTACTTGGGAGGCTGAGGCAGGAGAATCGCTTGAACCTGGGAGGTGGAAGTTGCAGTGAGCTGAGATTGCACCACTGCACTCCAGCCTGGGCGACAGAGTGAGACTCTGTCTCAAAAAAAAAAAAAAAAAAAAAGAAAGAAAAGAAAAGGAAACGTTTACAAAAGAATATATATGTAATATATAAATATATACATTATATTTATAAAATATATATTCTATATAAAATATATGATATGATATATAAATATATAAATTATATTTACGTATATGAAATATATTTTAATATATATTCTTTTATATACAAACATGTCATTTATAAAGCATGTCAAACATGTATATTTATTTCTGTAAGCTAGTTTCCATTACCTCTGTTGTTGTTACATCTACTGAGAGGACTTTTCCTGAGCTCCACAGTGTCAGTGTCACAGCCAGGATGAAATGTGCACTTGCCAATCTCCAGTCCAGCATCTAAGGGTTACATATGTCATAGTTAGCATTGATTCGTTTGGAATGTAAAGACAAAAAACAGAAGTTCCTAAAAGGACTGTTAGAGGCAAATGGTAAGCCAAATTATTCGGCTTCAGTATATTTGAGTGCATCTCTACAAAACGTAAATAATACTTAATAGAAGCTGTCCATCTCCCAGAACGAATTCTGTCAAGGTTTCTTTTCCATGGAGACCCTGGATTAGGGTTGTACAGCTATAATAATAATTTAATTCAAACTGACCCACAATATGAGAAATGCAGGTAATGTAACTATTTTTTTACTGTCAGACCTAGAGATTACAACATTATATATGTAACTGAGGAGAAATTTGTAACAGTGGTAAGGCATTAGAGCGTAAGTCCTGATTGGTCTGTGGTGAACCAGGGAGACTGTAGTGTCTAAAAATATTTAAATTCAAAATTTCAAAACACCCACCATCCATTAGGAGAATTTCTTTATGTCCTTGTGTCATGTCAGGATTTCATAAGCAAGATTCAAAATTGTTTTTAAAAAACTATGTTTTTATATCAAAATTAAAAAATTACATATTAAATACAATAAAAAAAGACAAATTACTTAATGGAAGATATATTGAATATATACATGATATGTACAATATATACATAAAAGAAAGATCAGCATTTGGAAAATGTAAATGAACCCTTTAAATATAACTTTAAAGATAGACACAAATTAAATAAAAATGGGCCAAAGTTATGAACACACATTTCATAGAAAAGAGGAGAACTGAAGGGACAAAACCTTCCACAATACATACACTTTCTTTAATTCAAATAAAAATAGAAGTAAAATGCCATTTTACACACATTAGATTGGCAAAAAGTTGGTCCACCTTGCAATGTTAGAATGGTTTTAGGAAAAAAAATTCTGGTGGAGTTGAAAATGAATCTAATCATTTGGAGAAAATTGGATGCTTTACAAAAAAGTTGAAAATGCTTATCTCTTACCTAGGACACATTTATTTCACTTCTAGGTATGTGTATACTACTGAGAAACTGTCAATGTTTATATGCAACATGTATCTGAAAGTTCATAGCCTCATGGTATATAGTAGCCAAAAATTGGAATCAACCTAGTGCCCCATTCAAGAGAAAATAGATTTATTAATTGAGATTTTTTCAGACTACTGATTTAAAGTAAATGACTTAAATACATATTTACTGTTAAAACAAATAACTTAAATGTATGTTTGTCTGTATGCATGGATTTCAAAAAAACAGTTTTGTGGAGAAACGGAAAGTATAGAACAATACATGACATTATACCATTTACTGAAATTGTAAATGCCCAAAGCAATATCATATATTTTGGAATATATACATATAAAATATAAACCAATAGAACTTGATTCATGATTATGATTACCTCTGCAGAGATGAAGAAGTGAGTAAACTTATAGAAAAAACATAAGGGAATCAGTTTTTAATCTATATGTATTTTAAAGCAAATATGTAAAAATCTTACACATGTTAATTCTGGGTAGTGAGCACAAAGATGTGTTTGACGTTTTAGATTAAAAAGCCACTATCCAGCCAACTGAAGCTCATCTATGGCCTACATCAGGCTGACCTGCTGCTAGTTTGACTACTGGAAGTTACAAAACTGTAGGTAAAATGGGGCATTGCTCTACTCAGGGAAGATCGTGGAGTATGAGCTAGAACAAAGTAGGCATGAACACAAGCTTTGCCACTTAGTACATGGCAATGGGAAAGCCTTCCAACTTCATCCTTTATGAATGACAAGTCTCAAGAAACTCTATTTTCTTAAAAAAAAGTCATTTGGAAAACCTGCTGGGGGTAAAGAGCAAATGGGTGCTAGAATGGAATCTGTAAGATTGGATTTGAGTCATGTTTTTGCTTTAGTATCAGTGTAACCTTGAATAAGTATCATTTTACCCTACTTAAGCTTCATTTCTACTTTTTGTGAAATGAGAAGTAATTCCCATCTCAAAAAAGCTTTGAGAGGATTGAATCGATTCATGCATACCCCTTCTCATTTACTATTTATAATCTGTAAGTGAAAGAATATGAGGCATCACTAAATATTTCCTTAATAACTACATTTGTTTTGGTGTGACCCAGGATTTTTTTTGACATTTTCTTGAAAAATTGTTACTGTGGCTCTTTCCTTGCCCTCAATGTGTTTGCACAGAGGCAGAGGCTCGGGTGCGTGCCACTGCTAACGCACTGCCGTGAGTTGCCTCCAGTATTGGAGGCGGGGCCTGGAGGGAGACCACTGGATAATGGAGGCAGATTTTCCCTTTGGTGCTGTTCTCTCCTGAGAGTGAGTTATCGCGAGATCTGATTGTTCAAAGTGTATAGCACCTCTCCTCTCTTTTTCCTCCTGCTCTGGCCATGTGAAGACGTGCCTGCTTCCTCTTTGCTTTCCATCACAATTGTAAGTTTCCTGAGGCCTCCCCAGCCGTGCTTCCTGTACGGCCTGTGTAACTGTGAGCCAATTAAACCTCTTTTCTTTATAAATTACCCATTCTCAGGTATTTCTTTATAGCAGTGTGAGAATGGACTAATACAGGTAGCTGCCATAAAACTGACAGAGAGGGAAGACCCTGACAAGTGGTTGATTGCAGTTGTGCAGCAGTTAAGTTCTGTGGCAAAGAATTTTAGGCCTAGGATGTCTTCAAAGAGTATTTCAAACGCAAGAAATGGAAAAAAAATAAAACTTTGGCCCACATTCCTAAAAAAACAACAACAAAAAACAACTTGTCACTATGCAACAGTGTAGATTTTAATAATCAATGTTACATGCTGGTATGTGAACAAATGTTTTATGTAAACAGAATAGTATTTGTATTAACTATGTCAGTTAAGACTTAAAATGGAGATACAATATTTTAGCACTGTCTATAACATTTATTTATCAAATATAATTTTGACATGCAATGTTTAAAATAGTTGTTCATTTTGACACCAATTAATCTATTTCAGAATCTTGTCTCATAATGCTAGTTACTAGAAGCTTCTCCATATTCCGTTCTTTTCTAGAAGGGAGCAATAAATTCTGTGTTCTCTTTTCGCTAACTTGATATTTGAACTGAGATTTTCTGTAAACATAAAAGCAAAACCAGTAAATCATGACTATGTCTCTAAACTGGGAAAATAACCAATAAGAATGCAATAGTTATCTGATGAAAATACCAACCAAAACCTGTATTAGTGATTACTTTAGGAAGCCAGCCACTTAATTGTATTCTTTTTCTCCTGATTTTGCTGATGTCTCTTTGACTTTACATAAAGGAGGATGTACTAAGAACATATCTGTATTTTTAAAATGATTTCATATTTCCGATATATCTTTTTTATTTATTTATTTTTGTGATGGAGTTTCACTCTGTTGCTCAGGCTGGAGTGCCGTGGTGCAATCTCAGCTCACTGCAACCTCTGCCTCCCAGGTTTAAGCGATTCTCCTGCCTCAGCCTCCTGAGTAGCTGGGATTACAGGTGCCCACCACCACACCCAGCTAATTTTTTGTATTTTTGGTAGAGACAGAGTTTCTCTATGTTGACCAGGCTGCTCTCGAACTCCTGACCTCAGGTGATCCACCTGCCTTAGACTCCCAAAGTGCTGGGATTATAGGCGTGAGCCACCACGTCTGGCCTGATATATCTTTTTAAAAGAAATTGTTGTCCCATTTAATCAAAGACAAACTACAATTCTTTATGTTTTCCTTTCTTGCTTTTTGTCATAAAAATAGGTTTCAAATGTGAAAATTGCCCAAATTTATATGCCTTTCCATGTGGATTTCCTTTAACTATTTTTATGTACATTTCACTAACCAGGTTTCTCCTCTTCTCTGTAATCTTATAAATGGTACAGGATGATGAGTGTTTACAATATTGATGATTATGTCTGAGGTATATATTTTTGTGCTTGGGTGTATATAGGAAAAAATCATGATGTATCATCTTACAGATAACCACATCCTGATTATTTGGATAAGGAGATGTAAAAATAAATGCTGAGTTTAAATACACACATTTAATGGTTTAAAGCCATGCTTGTAGCCAGTTAACCAAAAGGCCAAGTTCCTAAATGTGGCATTTGGTACACTAATGAAAACAAACACCCTGGCACCTGCCATACAAAAGACATTTGATTAACTAGTTGAAACTTGATTGCTACAAAATTAGAAATGGAGGAAATTATAGGGAGGAAAGGAAAAGTCTAAGTTCAGCCCCATTTTCCTATTTTTGTTGATAGTGGATAAATATAGCCCATGATTTAAAATCTCTTAGGCACCATGTATACTCTAGATCACAGAAAGTTCAATGAAAGGGTGTTCATTGATTGCGTGAATGCACCAAAGTAAAGGTGTTTGCATTTTTTTTTAGCACATCATTATTTAAAAGTAATTTTTGAGTAATATTTCTCTGGATAGTGTGGAGTTTCAAAAGAAACAGCGACCATGGAATCCGCCTTATAAGAAGATTATCTGTGTACGTCCTTCATTTTTTAGACAATTGGACTATTATGTGTTTTGACGTTTTAAATAATTCTGCTGAATAAACAAATGTCTTATGTTGTATAACATCTTATGCTTTATTTTAAGGACTTTCCACATGTAAGAATTGACTATACCCTGAAAGGATCTTTCAAACTGGCTAGAATGATGGTATATGGAATAACGCAGTGAGGTATAAAGTTTTGTCAGGAGGTATAAAATTTTGTCATTTATGTTTGGGATATATTGTATATTTTTAAAGAGGTGTTAGAGTTCCAATTCACATTAAAGGCTCTGAAATTCCAGCAATAAAGAAAAACTGGCTTAATTATATTTAAACCAGAGTTTAATAAGAAGCCTGTTAAGATGAAGAAAGATGTTTTTATTAGTAGGAATCAGTGTTGCAATGAGCTATTTTTATTGTGAAAAAAGTCTCTCATGTGGGCTGGGGTAGAAAAAAAGAGATTGAAAATCATTTATCTACAAAAGAAAGAGCAAACTTCTATGAGATGTATAAATGTTAGAGATGGTTAGGCTGAAAAAGAGAAGCAATGTAAGCCAGTATCTGATCTCATGCACCTATTAATCAATAAGACTTTTAAACTATCTGCATGTGAAGTCTGGTGTTGAACAACAAAAAAAAAACAACTCAGGTGTAAAGGACATTTCTCTTCAACCTGCAAATTTATGATTAACATCTGACTTATGGATAGTTGATCCAACAATTAGAAATTCACAAAGGTACTAGGTTTGTGAGTAAATCTTGATATTGTCTAGGAATTTTTAATTATTTACCCTAATACCTTGATTGGCAATACTCAAAATAGACTCCAGTCTCCTTTGAACAAAAATTTAAAATAAAGGACTTAATTAAAGGATTTACAAACTAATTCAACGGCTACATTTTCTTTACTTTCTCTTCTCACCGCGACAGAGCACATACATTTAAGAGATTTAGCAGGATATTTTATAAAGGGGCCTTAGTTCTGACACCATGAAATGACCATGCGTGCCTGCCGACAACACCGCCTAAAATCTTCTCCCATTGAAATAATGGTGTTCTTCCAGGCAAGTCGTGAGTCAGCTTGGCTCATAAGTAAGTCTGTAAAACATAATACGTTCTTCAGGTTACCCTTTACCCACTCCATTAAGTTATAAACACTCAGGAATAATAAATGACAGAGTGACAATAATTTTTTATCTTAGAAAAAGGCCTAAAAGGGACAGTGCTTAACACAAAGTCTGCATAGCTCTCTGTAATGGAAAAAAGACCTGATGCAAGAGTCGTGAGACTCAGGCTCTTCATTGCCTCTGTTGCTATTTAGTGATGTGATGTTGGGCAAACACTTTCCTCTCTAGACCAACTAAAATGGAGATGGTCTAACTGACCTCTAATGTTGCATCTGGCTTTTAAAGCTCACTGGTGAAGCTGGCTATTTTCTGGTAAAAGTGCAGACACTTAACATGTAGGTAATGAGAATAGTGCAGATTTAGCTAGGAAAACTGACTGGATGAGTTCCTCAAATCAGCCAAAGTTTATGCAAAAAATTGCATCTAGGCTGTGACAGAAATATTTTCCTCTTTCACTTTCAGTATTTTTAAAATTAGGTATTTCTAGCTGAAAAGAAAGAATCTCCAAATCTTTGATTTTGGGATGTCATTTATGGTAAGACATTCCATTTTTAAGAACATGTTAAGAAAAAACAATGCTACCAATTAAATTGATATGCTTATCAAATGTAAGACTAATTCCAATTTCAGAGATGTTAAATGTGAGGCAAAATTGATGACATATGGTAATATATTTATTTTAAAATGTTTACTTAGGATTTTTTTTTTTTTTTCTGAGATGGAGTTTCGCTCTTGTTGCCCAGGCTGGAGTGCAGTGGCACGATCTTGGCTCACTGCAACCTCCGCTTCCCAGGTTCCAGCAAGATTCTCCTGCCTCAGCCTCCTGAGTAGCTGGGATTACAGGCCCTGCCACCGTGTCTGGCTAAGTTTTGTATTTTTACTAGAGACAGGGTTTCGCCATGTTGGCCAGGCTGTTCTCGAACTCCTGACTTCAGGTGATCCACTCGCCTCAGCCTCCCAAAGTGCTGAGATTGCAGGCATGAGCCACTGTGCCAGGCCTTACTTAGGATTTTTTTCTTACTTCTCTTTTTTTTCCTATCATGCATAAGTCAGTATGCTCATTTCCCTACCCTTTCAAAACAAAAATTGTTAGAACTGAGGTTCCAGATGCCATAGAATGCAGTTATATCCTCTCTTTTAAGCTGAGAGAAAGAAAGACTTGTATGATATTTAACTTGGTTATCAGATAGAAATGTTGCAAGTAACATAAATAATATTAATAATTTAAAAATAATTGAGTACTACTCTCCTGCATTTTGAATTAACAGTCTGTCAAGACAAAATAATCATTTGAATATTTTCTCAGTAATCATGATCTTAATTTTAG